>NC_000014.9:82111713-84611713 GCF_000001405.40 Homo sapiens
ATCATTACACTGAATGTCTTAATGAACAGTTGTTTTATTGTAAAGTATGTAATCAAGGAATTTTCACTTCAAGTTAGTGTGGGGAATTATATAGTTGAAAACTGATTTCAGAAACAAATAATCATAACTGACATTGAAATTTATAAATATTGGGACACAAACTCATACCTAGATCCATTTTTGTATCTATGGATTCATTAATTCAACTAATGCAGATTATTTTTACAACTTTTTGTGCTAGGCACTATACTGATTGCTGGATACATAGAAGAAAAATAAACAGATAAATCCTTCCCACCAGCTTTAGAGTGGAGTGGATAAAAATGTGTTAAATAAATAATCAAAATTACAATGAAACTGCCATAAAGGAAAACTACAGGTCGCTGAGAAAAAATATAATAAGAAAAACTAGAGTCGCCAGATTTAGCAAATAAAAACACACGATGCCTATATAAACTTGAATTTCGGATAAATACAAAATAATCTTTGTTGTTTTTGATAATCCCTTTTCACATGTATAGTTTGCAGATGTTTTCTTCTGTTTTTTTAGGTCGTCTCTTTAATTTCTTGGTTGTTGCCTTTGCTGTGCAGAAATGTTTTGGCTTCAGGTAATTCCATTTGTCAATCAATGTTTGCTTTGGTTTTCTGTGCTTTTGAGGTCTTACTCAAAAAATGTTTGTCCAGATCAAAGTCCTGAAAAATGTTCCCAATGTTTCTTCTAGTAGTTTCATAGTTTCAGGGCTCACATTTTAGCCTTTAACCAATTTTGATTTGATTTTTCTTACATGATGAGAAATAAGGGTCTAGTTTCATTCTTCTTTGTATAGGTATCCATGTTTTTTCAGCACTGTTATTTGATGAGACTGTCCTTTCCCCAGTGTATGTTCTTGGTGCCTTTGTTAAAAAGAAGTTGGCTGTAAATACATGTCTTTATTTCTGAAGGGTTCTCTACTCTGTTCCATTGGTCTATGTGTCTGTTTTTATGCCAGTACCATGCTATTTTGGCTACTAGAGCTTTGAGGTATAACTTGAAGTCAGGTAATGTAATACCCCCAGCTTTGTTATTTTTGCTGTATATTGTTATGAGGAACTCAGAAAGTTCAATGGCAAAAACCCAAATAGTTCAATTTAAAAATGGGCAAATAATCTGAATAGACATTTCTCAAAAGAAGACATACAAATGGCCAAAAGGTATATGAAAAAATGCTCAACGTTACTAATCAGAGGAATACAAATCAAAACCACAATGATATGTCATCTAACCCTAGTTAAAATAACTATTATCCAAAAGACAGAAAATAAATTCTGGTGAGGATGCAGAGAATGGAGAATGCTCATACACTGTTGGTGTGAATATAAATTGGCACAGTCACTTTAGAAAATAGTATTAAGATTCCTCAAAAATAAAAAAACACAAATACTGTATGATTCAGCAATCCCACTGCTGGGTACATATTCAAAAGAAGCAAATCAGTTTATTGAAGAACCATTGGCACTCTCATGCTTATTGCAGCACTATTTGTAATAGCTGAGATATGGAATCATCCGGGTGTCTACAAATAAATAGATAAAGAAAATGTGTTAAGTATACACAATGGGATATTATTCCAACATAAAAAGTAAGATCTTGTCTTTCATAGCAACATGGATGGAACTGGAGTACATTACGTTAAGTAAAATAAGCCAGGCACAGAAGACAAATATTTCATGTTCTCCCTCATATATGGAAGGTAAAAAAAAAGATCTCTTAAAGGTAGTGAATAGAATGGTGACTATCAGAGGCTGAGAAGGGTGGTGAAAGAGGTGGGAGGATAAAGAGGGGTAGATTAATGGGTGAAAATTACAGTCAAAATGAATACGATCTAGTGTACAGTAGCACAAAATGACATCTATAGTTAACAACAATTTATTGTATGTTTTAAAATAGTTAGAAGATTTGGAATGTTCCCAACACAAAAAAATGATAAATGTTTGAGGTGATGTATATTGCAATTACCTAGATTTGATCATTACACATTGTATGTTTGTATTATAAAAAAATCACGTGTACCCCATAAATATGTATGACTATGATATATCCATAAAAATAATAATAAATTTTTAAAAAGTATTTGTAGTTTGTCTAAAGTTCAAATTTAATTAGATGCTCTGTTTTTTACCTGAGCATTCTAAGGGGAAACCTTAGATGGTGCTGTGGTACAAGAAAGGCCTCTTTAAAGGGATAAATAAGCATAGAACCAAAGAATAAGGACTCAGTAATTATTGGCCAATAGAAGAGTGGTGGAAAAAGGTTTGCAAACAGAAAGAATAGCCTGTGTAAAACTCCTTAAAGTAAGAAAGAGCTTGCCACATTTAAGACATGGAAAGAATGTGAGTGGCTAAGTTGAGTAAGGAATATCATAGCCTGGAATGGGATCAGAGAGGTATAGATAGGGTCAGACCAAGGAGAGAGTATTCTCTCTTAAAGCAGTGGTTTAATTTTTTTAAGGTATAAACCCTTTTTAAAATCATTTTAAGTAGAAGCTCATGGCATATAACATATACAATTGAAGCAACTCAGCTTAAAGAGTGAAGATAAGGGGTATTTTGAGGGTTCATGCTTCTCTACTTGTGCTATAGTTTTACTCCATGCAGTAGCAGCCCTTCCTGGTACTAAATCATGTAAGGTATCAGACCATGGTGTCCTTTGCAATTGATATCCAGAGAGGAGAAAAAAATTATCCAAGTTTTAATGTTCATTTTATAAGCATCAGCTCTAAAAATTCAATAGCTAGAAATGGGAAGCTTCTAAATTCACCTGTACAATTAATATAACTTGAACTACTGAAAATCACCCCAGTACTTTGCTTTTGGATATTAACATAATTGGAGTGTATAGAAGTCAGTTTAACATTTTAAAATTAGCATCTCCCAGTCATCTCTGATAGGAAATTGTTGATCACTAAAATATTTCTAGCACCTGAATTTCAAAGGAAGTCTATTTGACCTTCCCCAGCTCAAGGCACGTCGTCTCCATGGAGCAACAAAGCTAGCATTTAATGAACTGTACTATGTCCAGGCACTGTGCTGCATGCTTTACACAGACAATATTCAGTTTTTCTTTATACAAATGAGGAAAACAGTAGGCTCAGAGAGGCAGGGTAATTTGTTTAAGGTTACCAGCTAATCGGGCCCAGGAACAGAATTGGAGTCTATAACTGTTTGACTGTAAAGTATAAGTCACAGTTGAGGGAGTACTGGTCGGAAGTATACCAGTGCCATTTAGGAAGATGAGTCTCCAAAAGTGATTTTTGTCTTAGTTATTCACACACACACACACACACATATGTATATATGTATTTCAGTTTTCTTACTCTTGTCAGACTTGCAACAGAATCAACATTTAGGTTTTAAGACAGGTTGTCAATTTAGTCTGTAACATTTTTAATTTTCTATACTCCTCTGGGGTGTCAGTCATCTGTCTTGCCATAGGAGAGCTTTGTCTTTCACTTCAGAATCTATTGGATTTCCTATGGTGATGTTATAAACAATATCAGTAATTCATAACTACAAAGCACTTCAAAACACCTTGTTACTTTTGGTTAGACTTAGAACATCTCAAAGTGCATGCAGAGAATTTTAAATGCTACATATTATTTAAAACAATGAATATTTATTATTACTATTTTGTGTAGGAAGAGGAAAAAACAGAGAAAGTGTCACAGAGTGGAAAAGGAAAAAATTATTTATATCAAAGGGAAAATAGAGCACGCCTTCTTACCTCTTCTGACTTCTGGCTATTAAAATCTGTAAAAATTAATAAATTGAGAAAGGAACTCACTGAATAAAGTAGCAGATAGTATTATATTTCTAATAAAGGCATGATTTAAAACATGGGTTCCCTGTGGATGATTTTCATGAGATGGAAATACACTGCCCACAGCACTTACCCGAGGAAATTTATCACCACATTTCAAATGCAGAGTGCTATAATTTGAGGGTGTTTGTCAAATTTCATGTGTTGAAAACTTAATTCCCAAATTCATATGTCGATGATATTTGGAGGTGGGGCTTTTAGTAGGTAATTAAGATGACCTAATCCCAGCCACTCAAGAGGCTGAGGTGGCATAATTGCTTGAGCCTAGGAGTTCAAGGCCAGCCTGGGCAACATAGCAAGACTCCACCTTAAAAAAAAATGATTAGATAACATCATCAGCATAGGGCCCCCATGATGGGACTGGTGGTTTTATAGGAAGAGGAGGAGAGACCTGATCTGGAACACTCTTCCCTCTTATCATGTGGTGTCCTCCCCTATGTTATCATGCAGCATGAAGGTCCTCACAAGATGCCAGCACCATGCTCTTGTACTTGCCAGCCTCCAGAATTACGAGCTAAATAAACTCCTTTTCTTTATAAATTGCCCAGTCTGTGATATTCCGTTATAGCAACAGAAGATGGACTAAGACATAGAGGAAAGTCAAGAAGGGCGAGTCTACCCAAGAATGGTAAAGGTGTTTCCCCCCTGGTGTCAGTTTTGACAAATTGGTGATTGTGAAGTATCCCATTTGGAATGATTTTGAAGCCAAATCTCAGCTAAATAGATTGCATCAGAGACCAACAAGCAATGTCTATCATGGCTACATGATGGGTTGTTTCTTGTGAAATGTAAATGTCAACTAGAAACTGAGTACTATAAGAGATGGGATAGATCTATGCCAACTTAAAGGCACACACACACCCACATACACACATATACACATATAAATGTTAAACACACACAATGTTTAACAAATTATTTTTAATTTTTTTTCTTTTTACAAAGTCCCCAATAAGTTTGGAGATGATTTACTTTTCTCTTTAATATAGAAGTAGAGAAACAAATTCTGTTCACTTTAGGACTCTAAATAATTGATTTAGTTCATGAAAATTTTATATTTGATAAGTAAAATATATAAACTAACAAATATGAATAAATGGATAAGTAGACAGTGTGCTCATTCAACACAGTGTGGGGGCAAGGCAAACTGGAAACTTGATTATGCAGTTGGGACAAAGCTGGAAACACAATGAATTAGCTGGAGAAAATAAAGGACTGAAAAAGACTGGAATGAAAAAGGGGAACTCACAATAGAAAATGATTTTGTAAACTGTGAGGAGAAAAGAAGCATGTGCTTATATTTGGAGCTATTTGGAACTATGGCAAGAAAAATTGGCTTAACTAGAAACAGCCAATCATTTAACCCTCAGAATGGTGTTATGTGTGAAAAGTGAAATGGTGGTAGCTAATGTTTATTACATACTCATATGCCAAGTGCTTTACAAGTATTATCTCTTTTATCTCAGATATAACAACAACAGAGTCCCTGGGAGGTTGTTATTGTTTTAACATGATAAAATCAGGGCTTAGAATGACCAAATGGATGTTTCAGACTCCCACTCTATCCAAGCAATCTAGATTAAGCTCACATACTTTCTTAATCACTGCTTATATTATTTTTCCAAAATAATGAATAAGATATATGCTATTTTTTCTCATTAAAAATAAGAATCTCTGAATATAAATCCAATATAAAAATTTTTTTGAATAAATAAACGAGTGTGGTAGGCTGAACAATGCCCCTCCTCTCCTCTCCCTCCATAAAGATATTTATGTCCCAATTCCTACAGCCTGTGATTGTTACTTTACATGACTAATAATGGCTTTGCAGATGTGATTACATTTGTGATTTTGAGATAAGGAGATTATTGTGGATTATCCCAGATGGGTCCTAAATGCAATTACAAGTATCCTTATGAGAGGGAGATGGAGGAAGGTTTGACACAGACAAAAGAGAAGAAGGCAAAGATTAAAGTGATGTAACCACAAGCTAAGGAATGCTGGCAGCCATCAGATTCTGGCTGAATCAAGGAATGAATTGTCCATTAGAGCCTCTGGAGGGAGTGAAGTCCTGACAATGCCTTGATTCAGATCCTACTAAAGTGATTTTGGACTTCTGGTCTGCAGAATTGTGAAATGATAAATTTCTCTTATTTAAAACTAATAAATTTATGGTAAGTTGTTTTAACAGTCACAGAAAACAAATACGATAAGTTTAGAAAATAACAAAGTTGAATTTTTTTTATTCCAGAAACTCTCCCTAGGCCTTCCCTTCCCTTACCACATACTTCCCAGAACCTCAGATTTTACTTTTTTGTGACCTTCACCATATACGCTTTTAGCTATCTTATCTCTGTATCCCAAAATGTCCAGTAAAACAACTGGCACATAGTAGGAGTTCAATAAATACTTCTTAAATGATCAAATAGAGCTCAAGGTACATGGTCAATAATGTGGTTGGATTGTGGCTTTTGTAACTCCTGGTAGGATAAAGTCCTCCAGAGAAGCTTATAGGTTGAAAACAGGGCATAGTAGTTATCACTGAGCACCCCACATGTGAGGATGAGTGGAAACAAAATGTGAATTGCTTAGTCATTTTGGAAGGCAAATTGCCTGTAAAATTACACAGATGTATGACTTTTGACTGAGCATATCCCTTTTTTGGGAATTACCAACATATAAGATTATACAGGCAGAGGTATTTATTACAATGTTGATCATGGTATAATATCTTGAAAAAAGTGAGTATCTAACATTAAGAAAATTATCAAAGCAATCATGGTATGTCCACATCATGGAATATTATGCAACCATTAAAAAATTAAATAGAGCTATAACAATTGACTTGGAGGAATGTCTATGAGATATTAACTAAGAAGAGAGAGATAAGGAAAAGTATTATATGATTTATTTCTTTAAACAAACATTATGTGTCTATATGATATATTACAACATGTATAGTATAATCACATATGCAAAATATTACATATGACTACATAAACGTATCTACACACATGACTATGAATATTGATAATTATAGTATTTTATATTGATACATAATACTAGCTGAATTGTTAATAAAGGCATGTTATAGGGTTAGTGATATGGTTGGGAAGGGGAAGTGAAAGTAAAAAAAACCAAAACACAATGAAAGATCACCCAAGATAAGGCAAATATGCTATAAAATATTAATGCATTTCTGTAAATTTGTATTTACATGTAGATATACTTACAGATACTTTAAAATGATAAATGCAAAAAATACTGTATAGAAGCAAAATATCGTCTAGGGAATGGCTTCCAAACAGGAAAGTGGAACTTAATGGATTGATAGTGAAAGGGGAATTTGTTGGAAAAAATATGTGTTATGTTTCCAATAGGTCTGTATTAATGTTGAAGTTTTGAAATACATTAGTTATAGAACAGGAAGAAAGGGTCAGCTGTGTGGTGAATCTAGACCTTAGCCAAATCAGTAGGAGTGCTGGGTTGCTTGGGTGTGGAGGTGGGTGCTAGGTAGAACATCTGAGGAGAAACAGTAAATGCGCACACTGCACCCAACCATGTGACCCAGGACTCCAGCCACCAACTCTTAATTCATCCCCCACCAAGCATGAGGAAATTAAGCCTCTATCCATACCAATCCATAGAATCAAATCTCCAAAACTAGGCTTGAACACAACTGTCTAACAAATGACCTAGATTGGTTTCCCCTAATGTATACTTTGGTAATACTCTGATCTTTCTTTTCATAAGATTTGTCACATTTCACATTTATTTATGGAGTAGTAATTGATGTCTGTACTCCCTCCCTCCAAGCCCACCTTTCTAAGGGAAGACATTTAGACTCATTGTTGTATCCCCAGGACAGCATTGTGTCTGGCACTTAGTGAAACTTCAGAAATATTTGTTAAAAGTTCATAAACATGTCTTCTCTACTGGAAAATATGTAATGTAGTGATTCTTTCTTTTTCTGTTGTTGTTTTTGGGCCCATTCAGAATTTTGACAAAAGCTATGAAATGTCTTCCCAGAATTTTGTCACATTTTCTGGAGATTCATCGATCCCCTAAAGCCCATTCACGTAGGGTTAAACATTTCCAAAATATGTTAATTCCTCATTTAAACAACAGGTGTTAACTGTTATTGAATATTTATTATTTGTCAGACTTTGCATTGTTTTACATGTAATATTTCAATTAATACTTATAGCTCTGGGAGGTAAGTCCTAATTTTATTTTTTAAACAGATGAAGAATCATTTTAAGAGAGATTAAGTTAGTTACCAAAGCTTGCAGTGCTAATTGGCAGCAAAGTTGGGTCTCAGACAGAGGTCTTTTATTAGTCCAGCCTGAGTTTGCACCCCAGCCACTGAAAACCATCTGTCTGTTCTAGGTTCCCGCCTCATCATGACCAATAAAGTTATCCGGTGAAGACGCTTAATCTCCCCTAGTAAGAGTCTGAAATGATGATATTAACTTGAGCTCCTGACTTGATGTTAGCAAAGTTTCCTTGATCAAACAGGACAGGCTCTTCCCCCAACAACACTCTTGATGCGTAGAGAGCCTGCATTCCTGCTGCACTTGTTTAGCAACTAGCAGAGCTGTGACTCCAAATTATCTCGTGCATGTTTCAAACCATTTAAATTGTCATTGTAGGATTTTGCCTATTAGTAAAATACCATCCTGTGAATACTGATTTTGTAAAATAGTACAATTGTCTGGTGATAGGAAAGCAATAACTTCTTGAATGTAGTCCAGCAGAATGACTGCTCCTTTTTAGTGAAATGTAAGGAAGTTGCTTGTGTAATATTCTTTATGTAATTGGATTCAGGGTCCATTCATATTTTACCACGTTGATAGAAAATAAATTGGCATCATTGCATATCTAAATGTCTGTTGTCACAGTTCAGGTTAAAGAGAATGAAATATGACTTGGACTTACTTTGCATTCTCTTCCCTTTCTTCTTTGGTGGTGACAACCTTTCCATCAGAGACTGAGTTAACCCAAGAACACTAAATGCAGTGGTAGCATGGAATTTAGCAAGCTAAGAGCCTGCCCAAGGGAAAGCGTTCCTGGTTAAATGGGGGGCCATTAGCATGCTGGTGATTGATTAGCTGAGTTATTCACTTTTAAGCTTCATCATTTTCACATTTAAGGTAATTTTGGTCAGTAAGAGTAAATTATACTCGTTATATTCAAATGCAAATACATGTTTAGAAAGTACGTGGTTTAGAAAACAAATAGGACACAAACCCAATGCTAATGCCTCTTTGGGGCATGTGCACACCTCTAGGGACTATTTCTATTTCCTTACTCTTAATAATTATCATAATGTCATGCCTCCCTCCATGAAATCAGTAGATGCTTATTTGTGTCACTCTCCTCATGGGCATGTGACAGAACATATCCCCTGAAGTGAAGCTCCCCCAACCCTGTTTTATTTTTATTTTCCTTGTTTTCTGCAGCAGAAACTGCATTAATCAGATGTAACTTGGCCTGAAAACATAAAGAAATCTTACATGATGCTCCTGGAAAAGACTGTCATATCCCCAAGAGATGACAAAACTAGGAAATAACTTCGTTTACGATACCTTCAGAATGATCACTGGCATTGATTGTGAATTAGGGATCTGTAAAAACTTGACCAAAGAGAACTTGCTCATGGTAAATTAAAAATGGTTGCAAATTCTTTATTATCCTGCCCATTGAGAGATGGAGTCTAACTGGGTTTTCCTGGCTACCTACTTGACCAGTTCAGAGGAAGTGGCATTCTGAGGCTTCCCAGGCAAGGTCATAAGAAGTCTTGCAGCTGCTCTTTAAGTCTGTTTATGCACTCTTTCTGAGATCCTTGAGACGCCATGTAAAATGTCTGACTACTCTGGGATGATGTGTAGGGACTCTCCATGATATTCTAGAGTGCCCAGCCTTATAGACATTGCTTCCAAGTCATCAGTTTTTTTTTTTTTTTTACTTCAATGTAGGTTTTATCATAATTAAGATATAATAAGCCAGCAGATCAGGAGACAACTGCCATTGAAAAGATAGTTTGTTACTCACAGTTCCCAAGAGGAGGAGGCATGCTGTGTTACTCAGGGCTACATGGGGAAGCACTGGGATTGGTCAAGAGGCTGGATAAGCAGGTTTAGAATTAGCTAATTTGAATAATTTTGCAGGCTCTGGGATGTAGGTCTGACTCAAGTTGTCTGGTACTTGGCCCTGGAAAGATTAGGGCAGAGAAATATTGGCCCAGAGTATAAGAGTTCTGTGAGAGTCTGATAAAGGTGTGGTATTTGGATTGGTTGGTTTGCATATGAAAGGTTTTCTCACAGGGAATAGTTGGTTATGTCTTGGAATTAGCTCAGTGGCAGGGAAGTGTCTCCCAAGGCCTCAGAAGCCAGAGCATCAAGACTACAGAAAGTAGGATAATATAGTTAATACCACCTGAAATGTAAGTGAAGCCATCTTAGGCCCTCAAAACCAGCCCATCTGCCAGCAGAATACTATTGTGGAGACTCCATCAATGCCATGCAAAACTGAAGAATTTGCACTGAATCCTGCTCAAATTCCTGACCCACAGATTTGTGTGCTGTAATAAACAAGTCAGTTTCAGCTACTGAGTTTGGCATAAATTGTTATACAGTAATCGTTAATTTGGATATTGCACTCCACCTTTGAGACCTTATACTTTCTGTTCCACATGTCAAAAGTCCATTTAAATGAGTACTTATTTTTGACCATTGCAAAAACTCAGCCAAAATTTAATTAAAGGTGATTTCTTGGTATCTTTTGGCAGAATTATACTTGGATAATACAATTAATTAGTTTACTTTGAACAATTCTGATAAATAGGAAAATCATATATAAACTATAAAATAATACAAATGAGTAACATGAATGACTCCTAGGTGTCTATACTATAAAATTACATTTTCAAACTTGAAGAAGCAGTGGAATTCATAGATTCTTTCCAAACTTACTCTGCCAAAGGATAGTTGGTGGGGCTTTCAGTTGATATAAACATACACGGACCATGAGGATAATGGTAATGTTGGAAATGCTACACAGACAGAGGAGGAAGAAAACTAATGCTATCTCTCTTTCCATAAAAATTGGTTTCAGAGGGTCCCAGGTTTTTCCCAAACAGTCATTGCACTACTGCCTTCAGTAGTGTCTGTGTTTCTCTGTCCTGTGGTTGCCTCCATCTGGAGTTTAATATGCACTCATCTCTTTTCTATTCCAGGGGGGATATGTAATGAAAAGCTCCATATTAGTCATCAGCTGTCAAGATTGATGAATTTCAATTACCATCCTCCGGTAGCAGTTCACACTAGAGAAGGAAATCAGGATAGCACATTGGGATAACATACTCATGACAGATCTATTTTAATTGCCTTCCTTATCCACATTTAACCTCTATCATTTTGACAAGAGAAAGAAACTCACTGAGGGGATAACTTTTCCTTCCAGTGATCAAGGGGAAGAGGGTGGGCAAATAGCCTGCTAGGAAGAGACTGTGCAACATCCATCAGTATATGGACTGGCATTGATTGCTGGGGTCGCTTTCCTTCTCCTATGAGGCCTGCCATAGTAACTTTCTGCTATCAAAATACTTTGCATTTAATCAGCTGCCTGGATGGATGTTCCTGCTGATCATCCATAAATTATTTATCAATTAAAGGGAGTTGGTACAATTGTTTTGTTGTTTGTTTCATTTTATGAGAGATGAGTTTTCAAGGACCCCAAGCAGAAGTTTCCCTTACTGGGTTCTCATTCCTTCTACCAATACTGCTCATTTAGCCTTTGGAGCGCAACCTGATGGTTGCATCAGAGGATAGCTGCAGTGATCAGTCACGTAGAGTTGTGCTATTTTGCTTTTGCTTCTTTCTTTTTCTTTAATCCCGAGGGATCAAAGTGTTTTTCTTGAAATAAAGAGATTCTTTTTAATGTTGTTAATAAGACATTTAGAAAAGCACTTGTGACCTTTGGTTTTTCATTTACTCATTTCTCAGTGCATTTTCACTGTGGGTTCTGTTTCTCGAGTATTCTGGTTTCTGTTATAATCTGTTCAAAATTAGCTCTAGGTATCTTTCTATGACAATAATTAGCTAATATTTATTGGCCCTGACTGTGTTTCAAATGGCAATATTGACCATGCAACATGTTATTTATTTTAATCTTCAAATAACCCCTGTGAGGGAGATAATATTATTATTTATATTTTACAGATAAAAAAGAAGCTTGAGGGGGTTAAGTAGCTTACTCAGGGTTATACAGCTAGAAAGTGGTGCCCAGAATTCATGCCCAGGGAGTCTGACTCCAGAATCTCCATTTGCAACTTCTGTGCTGCACTATTCATTGGCAGTCCATATCTGTATTGTTTCATTTACCATTTTAGTCATTTTTTACAGCCACTGTGAAGAGTAACATCCTCCTGGGGACCTACACATTCTTTAATGCTTTGAAAACTAGAAAAAGAAGACAATGTGGTTTCACCCTTCTTGGGAAGAGACAACAAGGGGTAAACTAATTTTCACTAAGAATTAAGAGCCAGGAACAAGGACAATAGTTAGATTTGAGAAAATTACTCAAGGAGTTGACTAATGCATTGCTAACTTTATGAAAGAGTAAAGTCGTAATGGAGCCAGAGGGACCTAAATGGGACAGAATCATTGGATATCTGTGACTCCTCTGTAGTTTTCTCCAGATGTGGAACCATAGCAGAACCCGGATACTTTCTCTTTTATATCCTCTTTTCTCCTCATTTAGTTCATATTCCATCTGGATCTAGAGGATTATAAGAGCTGTATTCACACAAATGTATAATAAGATAACACATGTCACCCCCTTAATTCTAATTTTTAAAATAATGGAGAAAAACCTGTCAGTCAACAATATTGACTGGTTACCTACAATGTATGTAATTTTAAAATGTGCAAAATAATGTGAAAAATACTGTAGCCCTTCTGAAATATCAGGATGTCAAACAGACGATCCTTTTACTAGGTGGAAGGACTGAGAAACAGAGTGAAGTGTTAGCAAATTTCCAGTTTTGAGGAGGCAGTTAAGGCAGAAGAAAGAGCTTATAATGCTGTGAATACCAGGCCAAGAATGGCCCAGGAGGAGGCAAATTACAATCAGTTATTAATCATAGTGGAATTGAGAGGCGTTAAGGAGGTAATTAAAACCTTCCTCTGCATAGAAATTACAACCTTTAAGTTGAAAGAATAGCCTTGGTGGAATTTAATAGAACTCTTCCAAATTATTTAAAGGATAAATTCTGGTGTTTGATAGAGTGTTCCTTTTTAAATAAAAGCAAATCAAAACTACCCAGGGGTATGTGAATTAACTGTGCTCATTTATAAACTATAAAGTGCTGTATATCTAAGACACTGCATAAGACAAGCTGAAGACATATCTATGAATGTATTCAGACTTGGAGTGCCAAGATTCCATATACTTGTTTAGAAAGTATCCCAAATGAGATGTAATACAATTCAGGAAATCTCAAGTCTCCTTTAGTTTTGCTTGGTGTAACTGAGGAGCCTGTGTAATGCAGGAATGCCTGTAGAATGATTAATATAGAAGCACAGATTTTAGTTATAAATATAATAGTTATCTCTGTCCCTGGAAGTATGACACATTTATCATGTAGCTCTTCAGTAACTGACAGTTAGGGCTTGGGGAGGGGCTCACATTTATTGAATACATATTATCTATTAGGGAACGTCTGGGCTCTGTATATTACTTTATTGAACTCTCAAAGAGATTCTGCTAATAGGCACCATTAGTACTGTTATGGATATAGGGAAACTTAGGCTTAGTAAGTGAAAGTAAAATGGCCAAATATCATAAGGCTGTAACTCCAGAAGCTGAGTTTATAGCTAAGGTCACAGGTCTTTAAAGTATATACTTTCTGCTACTATATCATGTTATCTTATAGAGTATTATAGGTTCTTCCTGTATATGATAGGATTTTAATAAATGTTTGCTGTGTGAACTCTGAAAAATCAGTTCATCTACCTGTACTCAGTGGACCTGAACTTGAGTAGAAGTAAAAGTAAAATAAAGTGCAATTAAAGACTATACATGACTATCATTAAAATGATAGACATAAACACGTATAAGCAGTAATGTTTACAGAAACTGAATGAACAGTGCTACTATTGAAGCCAAGTACTCAACAAAGGACAGTTAAAGAAGAGAACAGTTTGCATCATAAAATATGCAATCTTGAATTAAAATGTTTACTCCAAATCTTTTTGGTAATCCCTTCAGAAGAACATATTACCAGTTTTCAATATTATGTACTGGAAGGTGCCTAAAAGCCTATTTATCCTACAAGAATTTTACTGCAGCCTTGGAGCACATTTTTCTTTCAGTAATGAGGCAAATTAACCATATTTTCAGGTGAATTTTTTTCATAGACTACACAGGCCACCACAAGCTTTTCCCAGTAAAAATGTCCTCTGGGGAAATGTTTTATCTAGGTCCTCAAGAAAAGTTTAGAACTGGCACCATGTTCTTGGGAATAAATATCTCATTCGAGCAGGGTGTGCTTGACCTTGAGAAGCAGCTGTAGATTCTGAACACTGAGCCATGTGACTTCCCAGAGGCCACAATCAATCTATTGCTGACTGTGGTGTTGACTCTGTATCATTTTGAGTCTGGAGGAAAAAAAAAGGCAGAAGTAGCTTTTGACTTAGCTGATTTGGTTAGAAGGGCCCCTGAAGACCAGTTTGGATGACAGAGGAGTCAACCTGCAGCCTCTCTGTTTGAGATGATTTAATTAAGGCGCTTCAGTTGACATCTATATAATGTAATGTGAATTGTGTCAAATTGCAGGGAAGCATGGTACATTCAAATTTTGCCCCTTATTCTTCATTACCACATGAAAAAGTTTTTATTTATCTCATTTTAGATTGCTCCCAGATCATTTTCCAGGTTATTTTACTTTCTTATTTGCCCCTTCAAGGTTTTTCGTTTTTTTTTTTTCTGGTTTATTTTCTGATTGCAGATTTTGAAGCAGCTAAAATAAACCAAAATTATAGCACAGAACATATCCAATATTTGGTTAATTAATATGTGTAAGATGCTTACAAAGACTTTATATGTATATTATTTCATTTACTCTTGTAAAAATCTTATGAATTAGTTACTGTACCATTCACATTATACAGATGAAGACATTGAGTTTTAGAAGCTTGTGTACATTTTTTCAAGGTTATGGACGTGATATAAAGGTGGATTCAAGCTTCAGACTGAGACCGGTATTGTTTCAAAATCCATATACATATCCTAAGACTCTATGCTGTCACCCTTCAGCCTAATTTGAGAAAGCTGTAATCTCAGATGCATTGTCTCTTTTATCATGTTTCATTCACATGAGTTCACTCGCTCAACACTCATTTATCAAGAGGATGCTATTTGCTTGTTACCAGGGAGAGACTAATAGAAGACACAACTTCTCTCTCCCCAAATTTATTTGTAAAAGCTAAAATTTGGTGTGAAATATCAATTCTGATCATCATTAACATCGATTTATTCAACTTTGTATTATTTCATTTACTGATTTAAACCACGTCAATATCCCTCCCCTTCTGGTAATACTTAATCCAAAGCATAAAGATCTTTGCTCTTGTCCTCTTAGGTCAGAATTTCACAACAGACTACCCAGTTTCCCTGTATCCTTTTTGCCTTCATCTTGATCTCTTCTGTGACGCCTCTGAATTTACTTTTTTGCCTTGATTTTTTTTGGACTGATGCTCAGAAAATACTTCTATCCTCAGAAGGAAACGCTGTAATTAAATAATTTTTTTTCTCTTGTTTGTCCTTCATACAGAGGTGCCCAACAAGAATAACAAACCAATTAATGGTTCATAACCTGGTCTTTAAGTTCAAGTGAAACATTTCCATATTTAGAGGAATTTTTAGATTCATTATCTTTTTGGTTCAACATCAAAAACTCAGCTTTTTTTTGAATACCACATCTCTATTAGAGTAGTTATACTGCTGTGCAAAATAGCTAGACTTGTATATTTCTATTATGTCACAGTATTATAAGTTCTTTATGGGCAGGAACACTGTCTAATTCATCATGGCCCTCACATCACCTATGTCTAGCACAGGGCCAGTGAGAAGACATTCAATAAAGATGGTTGCTCCAAATTCTTTTCTTAATGATATGTGTATTCACCTATGCATTGAAAACACATTGGCAAGCTAAATCAGACAAGGTCCCTGCCCTCATGGAGTTTATAGTCTTCAAATTATTTTGGACAGGGTAGACAGAAGGAAAGGGAAAAGTAATAAAGGAGAAATTCATATTATAAGAGTAACTGCAGTATGTGAAATAATATTAGCTATCTTATATTTGCTATTCCATTTAATCTTTTATCAATATCCCATAACAAAGGAAGTAAATTAAACTTTCCTTAACATTTGTGTTACTTGATAATATGAAAATAAACATAAGTCATTAGCCTTTCTGGAGCATGGTAATTTGCTGCTTGGTACTTCTGGAAGTCCCTTTCATTTAGCAAAGATAGGAGTTAGATTTGCTTTTGCTATTGCATTTGAGCTCACCATTGCCTATAGTAAGCATATTACTTCCTTTCTTAATATTCTTCTCATTCTTTGGGCATTAATTGGTGATAACTCACTACTCTGTTATATGTAATTTAAAAAGTATATATTAATAACCAAATATTTATGAAATGTGTTTTTCCCCTCCAAATTTTAATATGGGGTCCAGCTGGGAGAAATAAGTAGGCCTTATATAGCTACCAAGATGAGAGTTTGTTTTTTATTTCTTAGGCCACTTTTTTTATTTGGAAGATTATTTCTATTATTTTATTCTCTCTAACTTGTATATTATAGAAGTACCAGCTGACAGAGACTGATTTAGGAAGAAAACTGCCCCTAGAAAGCTACATATAAATATTCAGTTGCTCTAAGGGATTGAAATAGCCTTTTACCTCTTGCCTGAAGTCAAGATCTTCATATCCAGGTTTGAAGCATAGTTGTACACTATGGCTCTAAAAAGTGCTCTCCCTTGCAAATGAGACAGAACTTATTTTGAAGAAGGGAATGAAATATGTCAGGTTAACCCAATGGGTAGCAATGAGATTAAATTTGGAAGTTGAAGAGCATCAGACCAGGCCTGATGGAAAGTATAGTGCCAACTTGTAGTAAAGATCTCTCAGGACTACAGAGACAAGATGACTAGGGTCTGTTTATAGATCAAAGAGATCAACGTGGTGGCACAGCACTTTGATTACAGAATCTTAACAAGCCAGATATTGATTTGGTTTATAAGCAATCACAAGAGTCTAAACTGTGTTTGAGTAGAGTAGAAGGGAAGAAATAAATAAGCTATCTGTTTCACTTAAGAGGGAAGATAAAAGACTGTCTACTTAAGTAGGTGCATTAAAATATAAATCATCAAACATTATTGAAAGAGATAAGGATGGAAAAAGAAGAATAGTTTTGAAGCCAGCCCTGTCTTCTCCTTGGTGATTATTAGCATTAGATATTAAAGGAATGGCTTAATATAATCAAATACAAGTCCCTATCTGTGAGTTCTGACCCTTTGGGTCTCTAGTAAGATTAAAATGGCAAAATGTGCACTTAAAGTTTAACAATGTAAAGTTTTGAAAGATTGTTGTGTATGATTTAATTTTTAAAAATAATTTTAATTGCCATCAAATTTGAATGATTTTTTCCAATGTAACCAAATAATCACTTTCAAGGGTCTCCAAAGAGTAACAGAGCTTTTGCAAATAATTTTTAGTTTTTCTTAATGATGACAAATGTTTTCTAAATGCCAATTTGCTAAATTCAAGATGTTAAGCTTGTAAATGCCAAAGATAGCAGGTTAAATGTGATGTAAAGTAGAATAAGAAAGAACTTAAAACTCACAGGAAAGCAAAACAGGAACAAACATCAACAGTAGAAATAATACAATTTCACATGACTTTATGTTGCCAATAAGTGTAGATATTCCAGATCTGACATTTCAGATTCCTAGAATATCAAAATGATGTCCAAGAGCACTTAAGCATATGGTACATTCTATAATGGTCTTTCTTAAGCACCTTTTTGACTTTGGGACAGTTGGGTGGTATTTTTTCATAACTCAAATAGAATTTAAAGAGGGAGTAATTTTTAAGCTTTTTTGCTCACAGATCCACTTAAACAGCTGATGAAACTTATGGATATTCTTACTATTAAAAGGGTATATATGTACCTGCACACACAGTTTTACACACAGATTATGGGTTATTATATTTGTCAACCCAGACCCTCCAGCAACAGATGCTGAAATTCAAGAGACTGATGAGGGGTGAGGTCTGTGAACAGCAATAGGGAAGGAATGGGAGAAGGAGATGACATGATGCAGGTCTGCCCCCAGTGAAGGAGAAAAGGAAGAAAGGAATGTCGGATGGAGCCATCTTGGACTGTGGTACAATTCTATGAGGGCTCATCAAGGCTGTGAGAGTCCTTCAGCTGCAGTTACACATAAGAAAAATCCTCATCTTCTAGGGCCAGGTTCCTTATTATCCCTGCCATGCTCAGCACTGGTTGGGAGAAGTCTATGGGGTGTGTGGGGTCCATGAGAACATCTTAATAAATGTTGGCTGCATAGTATTCCATGGTGTATATGTACCACATTTTCTTTATCCAGTCTATCAACTGATGGGCATTTGGATTGATTTCATGTGTTTGCTATTGTGAATGGCACACGTTTACCGATGTAACAAACCTGCATGTCCTGCACTTGTATCTTGGAACTTAAAATTAAATTAAAAAAAATGTTGGAAGGCAGCAACTGAGTTCATAAGTCAATTACACTCCCTGAAGCTGGAGATCTGAGAGGCACATCCTCATGGCTCCCATGATGAAAACCTTGGCTTTAAGGAAATGTTAACAGTTATAATGAGTAAAGAGATGGTTCTTTTTTTTTAACAAGATAGTTATCAAATCTAAGTGTATGACTTAATCTTCAGGTAATGACTTAAAATGAGTCAGAATCTGTGTATCACTCTAGAAATTAATTCAAGTCCAAATGTACTGTGGACTCGTCCAATGATTGATGCTATTTATTTGTTAGTACCTACTCTGGGATAAATATGGTACTGAGCAATTTATATTAATTAATTCAATGTGAGATATTATGATATTCAATTTCACAGTTTAGGAAGTTGAGTAACTCACCCATGTATCTAGAAACCCAAATCACTTCTAATGCTTTTATTATCTACTTAGCATATGTATTTCTGCATATACATCTGTACAATATCAACAGCTACAAAAAATAACATTGGGATCATGGTGCCTGTAGAGAAGGAAAAACGGACATTGTGCAGGAAGTTCAGCCTCCTCTTTATGGCAAAGTCATCTTCCCTACTCTATGAGAGGTCATCTCTAGTCCGTTCCATCTTGTTGTCCAGCAGTGTACATGAGGAACAAGAGGGAAAACATAGAACTGAGGTGAGAAATAAAACCTGTCATAATGTTTAAAGAGACTGAGGAAACATAACTGAAGATTTAAAAGTTACCTTCAACATAAAGTGGAATTATATGAGAAATCCATGTAAATAATGATGGAACAATAAGAAAAGGCTTCTTTTGCAGCAGGAAGATTTAGGTTAATTGGAAGGAAGAGCTCTTTTTCAAGGTTACTAAACAAGTGAATTATGTATAAAATAAATGGGAATAGATAAAAACAGAAAACAAGATAAAAACAGGATATATTATCAAGCCTTCTATTTCAGAAGGATGATCCAGGAATCACCCCTTTGTAATTTAGGTACTTTTGAAAAGAACATCCATGTATTTCAGTTGACTTCAAGCATTATTTTTAACTTAACATATAATAAGAAATACACTTTACACCACAATACAATATACATGCACACACACAAACATGCATTTATATTTCATAGTGTCCACAGCTTGCTATCTGGAACACATTCTATTTTGTTTATTTTGTTCTATTCATTTCTATAATGTTCTATTCTATCCTATCTTACCCTAGTCTAATGCATTAAAGAATGCTCATCACGGTCAACTTAATTGATTTTACTACCTTCTAATGACTCAAAGTTTATACAGTTTATTGAGTCTGTAAGTCTCCAACAGACTACTGATTTAACGACAAGAATAATGGCATCATTGAGGAAGGAGAAAAGCGATGGGAATAGTTTTGGCACATCCTTATATTGTGTAGTTATGGAGTAACTATATAATAGAGTGGAGTAACTATTTTGGGGTGAGAGGAGTAATGCTCCAATTAGTTCTCTATTGTATAGTTACTCCATATGGAGTTCTCCATATAGACTTCTCTATTGCATGTTATATATGCAGTATCAAATGTTGTGTAGAGAACAGTTTTCAGTGGCCACTGAGTCACTGCTATTCTATTGTGCCTATTCTAGGTATCACTACACAATACAGAGAAATACATGACCTTGTATGTAAGGACTGTTGGATACTTCAACACTAAAATAGGAAAGTTACCTTCAAGAGAAAGTGGATTAACTCAGGGATCAACTGAGAGCTAAGTTGTAGGATGACATGAGGCTAAGCCTCAAGATCTCATAAGTGGTTCTCATTTTTTGAAAGTTGTATCTATCCAGAGGTTAAACACATTGTCATTGGTCACAGTGGTGCAGTGGAAGAACAAAATTGGTACTGAAATAAAAATATTTATCCTAGTAACCTCAGCTTGTTATTGAGCTCAGTTTGTTTGATAAATAGGTGTTGAGCAAATGTTGTATACTAGACTCTGCTCATGCTGAGCATCCAAAGACTAAAGGTTGTCCCTAGGCTCTGCATCATCCTGCCTTCTGACTTCTAGTGGGGTTTGGTCAAAGGGAGACACCAGCAGGTGATTGGAAAGTGGGAAGAGAGAGGTTAAGGCTTTTCTTTCCTTGTCCCTCCTGTTTTTTCTGATGTGTTTTCTGATAATGGTTGTTCCCTCCATAACTCCAGTTCTTGTAGTATAGCCCTGTCTTCATTGCTTCAGCTCTCAATGCTATAGTAACACCTTTTGCTCCCCTTGCCTTTGGGTGCCAGGGATGACTTAATGTTACTAACGTCTATGTCTTTAACTTCCCTTGCTGGTTTTACTAATCCTTCCCAGAACTTTGTAAGCATATTTTTAATTTTTTTGAGCTATTTAAGTACCATTCTGTGCCTGCTGAGACTTTGACTGTTATAGGAGACTCCATACATAATATGAGAACAAAAGGAGAAGTATCCCAAAAAAGAAATTCCACACTGACCTTTTTTAGAAAGATCTCTTCTGTACATGCAGTGATGCTGGGGGCGGGGGTGGCAAGGCTGTTGAGAAAGGTTACTTGAGATAGGATATTAATAATTTAACACAGGAATAAGAAAGTATCAGATGATGCTATAATAGAATTTACCCTGATATAGTCATTCAAATTTTTACCATTGTCTTTTCCTTTTTGCATCTTGGCTGAACTATCTTTTAGTTCAACAAAATGTTACCACTTTGGAAATATCCGTGAGCTCATCTCACATTTATTTACTAGTGAAGAATAATGAGGTGCTTAAGGGTATAATGTGCTTATAGGCTGAATGCTGGAGTTATGCCTTTGGGGAGTATTTTCTTTTAATATATATTCACTTTCTCAGAGCATAATATCCTCACTTAAGGCCCATCCTAATTTCATTAAAAACTGAAAAATGAGGACTCATGCTAATGTTTGTAGTTGATAGACTTTTCTGTAGGTTATTCTACCTATTTTGTATTTCTTTGGCTGCTGTGACCTTTTTACCTTGATCCATTTGACAGGTTAGCTAATTTAGCATGAAATAGCAAGCAACAGAAAGCTATCTTCTTGCACATCCAAGAAAGACATGGATATGCTGGAGGAAGCTAGACAAACCTAAATTTTTGACCTTTTTTTAAATGTGTACTCCAGCCCAGTGAGCTTATTACAGGAAAGTCTGTTAGCATCCTGCACATGTTGGCAGATGACTGGTACTGAGCACATGCTGACCTTCTAACAGGATCAGAGAAACCCAGTTTGTGTATAACCCATCCTTGCTACATAGCAAATTATTGTCATTACTTGCATTACACAAAGCTGCTTGATATACATTAAAGAGAACCTTTTGAACTCCGCACTCATTTCTTTTCTCTTTTCCCATTTTTCTGACTTCTATAGTGAGACTGCCATGTAGTCTTATCATATGTGATCATACTTTGGACAGTTAATGAATATGAATGTTGTTTGTGCTAACTCTTGCAGCTGTAAAAGGCTAGATATGGAATCAGTGCCAGCTTTTATCTTAAGAAAAGTTTCAGGAAATAATGCAATGTCGGGTCTGTCAGATTCAAAGGGGACATCAGGGTCGAGAGAAATGAGTCTTGTATGTAACTTTTTCCTCTTGTTCCCCTAAAAGGAAAAGAAAATGAAAGTTAAGACAGGATTCCCCTTTCTCTTTTTGCAGATTCAAAAGTATGGTAAAAATTATCAGAAAAATATTTGCAGGCTCAAACAACTGCCCTTATGGTGTATCTAGTGGTTTTGGGTTCTTAGTCAAACAATGGTTCTTTTTTGTTACACCTTCCTAATGGCTGGTGTTATTTTAGTGTGCAAAGAGTAATGCACACTTTACAATAAACTCGAATCCATATTCCATGATAATTGTATAGAGCCCGAAATTATAGGAGTATATGGCTTTTCAAGTAAGGGCTCAAAGTGACAACAGTTGGAAAGAGCCCTGGGTTACAATCTTGACTCGACTGGTAATTTACTTGTTGACTTTGGACCATTCTTTTCACCATACTTTAAGAGATGGGGTTAGACTATGTAATTTTGCAGTTTTAACACTTTGATTTTGATGTTAAGATTAGCCGTCTAAAGGTGGGACTAACCTTGATTACTAGCAAAGGAACATAGTTAATGGTAAAGTTTACTCATAAATCTCATAGTACTTTTCAAGTCAAATTTCAGCCACTTGGTAGAGAAATGTTTAAAATCAATCTGTTGTATGTCATTGAGCTGGAAGGAGGCCAGTCTGAATTTGTAAAAGATCCAAGATATGCAGATTTTAAAAGAAAGAGAATGTTACTACTACTGTCTTTCTCAAATAAACTAGGTATAAAAATGTAGCAAGAGTATTTTACCAAATAGATTGCTACAGGCCTGTTTTTCACTTCAATATACACAGCTAATAGGTAATGCATATCTTCATATTTGTGCAAATGAGTAAAACTCAAATATTTGCAATTTTACACATTTTTGCACATTTTCTATACTTCAGTCCTCAGAATAATTGTAGGTAACTATTTTAACAGTGATTTTTTTTTTTTTTGAGAGAGAGTCTCCCTCTCACCCAGGCTGGGGTACAGTGGCACTATCTTGGCTCACTGCGGGCTCCACCTCCCGGGTTCAAGTCATTTTCCTGCCTCTGCCTCCCGAGTAGCTGGGACTACAGGCACCCGCCACCATTCCCGGCTAATTTTTCTTATTTTAGTAGAGACAGGGTTTTACCGTGTTAGCCAGGATGGTCTTGATCTCCTGACCTCATGATCCACCCACCTTGGCCTCCCAAAGTGCTGGGATTACAGGCGTGAGCCACCGCGCCCGGCCAAGAGTGATATTTTCTATGAATGACATCATGCAGATGTCCTTGCCTAATGCTTTGAACTGTTCTACCCTTTTCTTGAACTCATGCCCATAATTGATGGGCCAAGTGTGGTATACCATCTAGTGGGTCACTATGGAGAAGAAAGTTGTTGCACACTTTGTTGTATAGGATAGAATGGGAATTGGGTTGTGGTTGTCACCTTTACATTGGTTCTCTGTATGTCAGTGAATCATGTGTGAGGATGAGTGTATGGTCTACAGTTCATTGAACTGGGTTGCGTAATTATCCAGTCATTGGTGCCTTATTTAGGGCCATTTAAAATTCACATTTAGTGGATCAGTAAATACTATTATTTAGTATGAAGTGTGGTATTACCACATTGAGTTAAGTAAAACTAATTGCCAAAAATGAGGTTCTAAGTGTCTCATGTGACTGTGAGAAGGTGAGATTGCAAAGTGTCCAGATTAGAAACTGAAGCATGTCAACATAATTTGAGAAATATGCAGAAGTCTTTTATTTGAGAGAATACAGTGAATTAATTCCTGAGAGGTGACATTAAACTAGACAAAACATCCAAATATAAAAATTAAGAGGAGCACAAATACAATTACTCAAAATAGATTAGGTGTTAGGTGTTCATCAAAATTCATATGCCCATGTGAGTGAGTTCTAGACGATGTCATGTGACATGAAATGATATACATATTAGCAGACCTGGTTTTCATATCCCAAGTGCACTACTTCTTGCTTATTCTCACTATGGCTTACTGGAATAGAGTAACTTACAGGGAAACTATGGAAGAAGGCATGTTGAAGATGGCAAGCTTTCACTATCCCATATCTTTGGATAGCAGCATGAAGGAAGACTACCCTGACCACCTGCTAACTTGTCTCATATTGTTACATGAACAGTAAATTTTCTATTTGTTGACACTATTTGTTAAAACAGTTAGCTTTACCCTAATAAATACAACATCTAAATAATATATAAATTATACTGCAGTCACTTATAACCTTTTTGTGGGGTAATAAATCTTACTGATAATCTTTTGACATTTCTGAAAATTTCTTCCTTAAAAATGCTTATATTCAGCATATTCCATATTTTGCAAATGATTTCCTGAACCTTATGAAGTGCATGTATGGATATTAAAGATGTACAGTTAAAGAATATTAAAATTCAGGAACAGTACAAACAATTACTGAGGGTCATATAGGAAGACTAATTGGCATAAGATATTTCAAAATAGGTATTGAAGATTTTTATCATTTTTGAAAGATGCAGGTCTGTAGCACTCAAATTTCAAAAAAAATGTAGTTTATTAAGCAGAACACCTAGCCACTGGTAGTAGAATTGGGAGAGCCATAGGCTTAGCGCTCAGCTTCTTGAGTTCTACAAGAAAAGGTATGTAATCTTGTACCTACTCAGGGCAAAACAGATTTTATGTGAATTAAGGTTTGTTTTTTTGAGACACAGTCTCACTCTGTCACACAGTTTGGAGTGCAGTGGTGCAATCATAATTTACTGCAGCCTTAACCTCCCAGGCTCAAGCAATATCTTCTTGCCTCAGCCTCCTGAGTTGCTGGGACTATAGGTGTGTGCCACCATGCTCAGCTAAAATTTTTTTAAATTTTACTTTTTGTACAGACAGTTTCTCCCTGTGCTGCTCAGGTTGGTCTTGAACTCCTGGCCTCAAGCTATCTTCCCACCTTGGCCTCCCAAGGTGCTGGGATTAAAGGCAAGGGCCCAGCAGTGAATTAGGGCTTTTAGTTTCAAGAAAGAGAGGCTTATGAAAGTGAACTAAAATCCTGAGAGTTGATAGTAAGGCTACAGAAGAAAATACAGAGACTAGAATTTCATAGAAATAATAGCAGGCCTTGTAATGTCATGTACAGTTCACCCTCAGACAATGTAGACTTGAACTGTGAGGGGCTATTAAACACAGATTGTCTTCCACCTCTACAATCCTAAGAAAGATGAACCTCTCTTCTCCTTTTTCATCCCACTCAATGTGAAAACAATGAGGATGAAGACTTGTATGATAATCCACTTTCACTTAATACATAGTGATTCTCTTCCTTATGATTTTCATAATAATGATTTTTTCTAGCTTACTGTATTATAAGAATACTGTATATAATACATATAATGCACAAAATACGTGATAATAGACTGTTCATATTATCTGTAAGGCTTCTAGTCCACAGTAGGCTATTAGTGAGATTTTTGGGGAGTCGAAGTTATACTTGAATTTTCAACTGCATGGAGAGGCAGCATCCCTAAATCCCCTCATTATTCAAGGGTCAACTGTATTACTAATTGGTTCTGAATGTAAAGCAGCTGAAAGTCAGGGTATAGTGTCTTTTTTTTAGAAATGCAACTCTTTTTTTTTGGATTTGTAATGCCGTTAACCATCATTAAGCCACTCCTTTATTTTGCATTTGGTTCGGTTTAAATCTAATATTTTTCCTCTACTAACCTAATGCTTCTGCCTATTATGAAGCAAAAGATAATTTGGTTCACTTAGTTATTTACAATCACAAACTCTGGATATTTTGTCATACTGGAGAACCACATAGATTGAACTTGTCTTCCAGGGATTAAAGTATAACCTTCAGAGACTTCTCTCAGTTAAAATTATGAATGGGCAGCTTCGCAAAGTATGGAATGTAATGTGGCTGTGGCTGGCGTTACTAGTCATCTAGTGTAACCATTAATAGCTAGTAAATCTACTTCCTGGAAAAAAAGAAAAGGTTCCTATTTGTAGTGTTTGCCAATTTCCATGGTGTAAATATTCTCATCCGGACCAATTTCTGCTACCTATGGTTTTAAAAATGACTTAAAATTTTCTAAATATTTAACAATTGAATTTTATGGTCCAGAGGTTTTGGGCATTGGTACATCACTTGAACAAGAACCTATGTTAAACCAGTAAATTAATTGAAAAAAAATACACATCACTCATGCCAAGACTAGAATTAATCAAACTGACTAGAAGTTTAAGACTCCCAGAATATATATATACACACAATACACACACATCATCTCACACATACACACAATTACAAACTTGCTTAGGAAATAAATATTGCCATTTCATATAACACTGACAACAACCTCAGCTCTTTGCCCTTGGGAATTGCAAGGTCTGCAGCAAGATCCCTGCTACCTTTTCAGCAACACAAAATGTTCTCCAATGAAAGGATGTTTGAGAGAGCTGTAATTAGACTCGACAGGAGTTTAATATATTGAAGACCTAACATTGATTTAATTTTATATTTGCATTCATGATATATGCTTATACTTGATTTCCCTAACTGAGTCTGACACCTTTATTGGAATACTGGCAGCATAGACAAGAATGGCTTACATAAAATATGACAGCATGGTTTGGACCAGATGGAAGTTTTCTGACCTGATGTGATGTGGCATCTGAGGAGCTGGTAACTGCTGGACTCAATATGCTCATTAACTGAATAGGAAACCATTACAGTCTTGAGATGAGCTGATCTGACCCCGATCCCATGCATACCCTTCTCTCTTTATTCATGACAGAGTTGGGGCCATGTGGTATAAGAGAGCCTGCTTATTATCTCAAGCTCCATGTTAATGTAAAGCAGGTAAAATGGACAAGGGAATCATTGCTGAGACATGGGAGTAGTGCCACAGAGATTATGTTGACTAAAGGAAGAAATGATAGAGACTGGTATAAACATTATATCCCATATCTTTATGACCTTATTATAAACATAAAGCACAATTAATTTTTCCTCAGTGTTGCCTCCCTTTCTCTGTTTGGCCCTAGAAACTATAAAGTCAAGAAAATCAGATCAATATCCTTTTCTTTTACTTCTTACTTATTGTTTTGGTTTACTTGGCACATTTTCTACCTTTATTGTTTGTGCTGACTCTGGATTTATGTAATTTTAAGATATCCTAACTGACATAGAAATCAACCACTATGCAATATCTAAAAGAGGCTTATTATAGGACGTAGTTCTTGAGATGGGCTTAAATAATTATAATAGATGAATGTATTGAACTGTTGGAGAGGTTTTCTGAGGTTCGAAGACCTGCACAGTTTACCATTATCAGTTGAGGGGAATGTGTTTCCTAGTCCATTTCTATTGCTATAATAGGACATGTGAGACTGAGTAATTTATGAAGAAAAAAATTTGTTTTACAGTTCTGGAGTCTGGGAAGTCCAAGAACATGGTCCCAGTATCTGGTGAGGGCATGTTTGTTATGTGGTGGAGGGCATCACATGGTGAGAAATTAAGAATGTGTGTGTCACCATAGGCCTCTCTTTCCCCTCTTAGAAGGCCACCAGTTCCATCATGGGGGTCCTGATGAACTTATCAAATCCTAATTACTTCTCAAAGACCCCCACCTCCAATCAGCATATGGGAGATTAAATTTCTAACACACAAAATTTGGGGGACATATTCAAACCATACTCATATGTAAGCAAGTCAGGGTAGATTTTTTCCCAGGGAGGCCTTGCTTAGAGATAAATTCAAAGTTCATAGTAGTTGTGGTAGTAATACACAGCCTAAATGTTACTAAGCTGTCCCTCTGAGATTTATTCCTAGAAGTCTCTATCTCCTGACAGGTACCATCCCCAGACCATATTGTTTGGCAAGTTGCTGCCTGGTGGCCAGCAATTATACTGTCTCTAAAAACATCCCCAGAAAGTTAAACCTCTATAAAAAACTGAACCCTTCTCCAAATTATAGTCTGGTGCCAAAAATTATCAGATTATATACATCTAAATAATCAGGAGGATTTGTTAAAATATAGTGATATTGTTCGGCTCTGGATCTTCACCCAAATCTCATGCTGAATTGTAATCTCCAATGTTGGGGGAGGGACCTGATGGGAGGTGATTGGATCACAGGGGCAGATTTCCCCCTTGCCATTCTTGTAATAGTGGGTGAGTTATCACAAGATCTGTTTGTTTGAAAGTGTAGCACTTTCCCTTTCTCTCTCTCTCCCCCACCACGCACCCCGCCTACTGGCCATGTGAAGACATGCTTTCTTCCACTTCACCTTCTGTCATTATTGTAAGTTTCCTGAGGCCTCCCCAGCCATGCCTCCTGTACAGCCTGTGGAACTATGAGTCAATTAAACCTCTTTTCTGCATGAATTTCTCAGTTGTAGGTAGTTCTTTATAGTAGTGTGAGAATGGATTAATACAGAAAGTTGGTACCAGAGATGTGGGGGCATTGCCATAAAAATGCCTGAAAATGTGGAAGCCACTTTAAAAGTGGGTAACAGGCAGAGTTTGGAACAGTTTGGAGGGCTCAGAAGAAGAGAAGATGATGAGGGAAAGTTTAGCACTTCCTAGAGACTTGTTAAATTGTTGTTATCAAAATGCTGATAGTGATGTGGACAGTGAAGTCCAGGCTGAGGAGTTCTCAGATGGAGATGAGGAACTTCTTGGGAAGTGGAGTAAAGGTCGCTTTTGCTATGCTTTAGCAAAGAGACTGGTGGCATTGTGCCCTTGCTCTAGGGATCTATTGAACTTTGAACTTGAAAGAGGTGATTGAGGGTATCTGACAGAAGAATTCTAAGAAGCAAAGCATTCAAGATGTGACCTGGCTGCTTCTAAAAGCCTAAGCTCATCTGTATAAACAAAGAAATGACCTGAAACTGGAACTTATATATAAAAGGGAAGCAAAGCATAAAAGTTTGGAAATTTTTCAGCCTAGTCATGTGATAGAAAAGAAAACTAATTTTCTAGGAAGAAATTTAATCTGGTTGCAGAAATTTGCATAAGTAAGAGAAGCTGAATGTTAATAGCCAAGACAATGAGGAAAATTCCTCCAAGGCATTTCAGACACCTTCAGGGCAGCCCCTCCCATCACAAGCCTGGAAGCCTAGGGGAGAAAAATGTTTCTGTGGGCCAGGCCCAGGGCCCTGCTGCTCTGCGCAGCCTTGGAACATGGTGCCCTGCATTACAGCTGCTTCAGCTCCAGCCTTGACTAAAAGGGCCCCAGATACGTCTCAGGCCACTGTTCCAGAGGGTAGACTCCCACAGCCTTGGAAGGCACCAAGGCCTCCACATGGTGTTAAGTCTGCCAGTGTGCAGAGGGCAAAAGCTGAGGCTTGAGAACTTCTGCCTAGATTTCAGAGTGGATTATTCCATTGTTATATTGCTATAAAGAACTGCCTGAGTCTTGGTAGTTTATAAAGGAAAGAAGTTGAACTGACTTACAGTTCAGCAAGGCTGGGAAGACCACAGGAAACTTACAATCATGGCAAAAGGCAAAGAGAAAGCAAGGCACCTTCTTCTCAAGGTGGCAGAAAGGTGAAGAGCAAGCAGGGAGAATGCTAGATTCTTATAAAACCATTGGATCTCATGAGACTCACTATCATGAGAACAGCATGGGGGAACCTCCCTCATAATCAGATTTCCTCCACCTGGTTCCACCCTTGACATGTGGAGATTATGAGTATTATAATTTGAGATGAGATTTGGGTGGGGACACAGCAAAACCATATAATTCTGCCCCTGGTCCCTTCCAAATCTCATGTCCTCACATTTCAAAACACAATTATGCCTTTCCAACAGTCCCCCAAAATCTTAGCTCATTCCAGCATTAACCCAAAATCCAAGCCCAAAGTCTCATCTGAGACAAGGAAAATCCCTTTCACCTATGAGCCTGTAAAATTGAAAGCAAGTTAGTTACTTCCTAGATACAATGGGGATAAAGGCATTGGGTAAATACATCCATTCCAAATGGGAGAAATTGGCCAAAACAAAGGGGCTGCGGGCCCCATGCAAGTCCAAAATCCAACAGGGCAGACATTAAATCTTAAAGCTCCAAAATGATCTTTGACTCCATGTCTCACATCTGGGGCATGCTGATGCAAAGGGTGGGATCCCACCGTTTTGGGTAGCTCTGCCCCTGTGGCTTTGCAGGGTCCAGCCCAACTCCAAGCTGCTTTCACAGGCTGGCATTGAGGGTCTGTGGCTTTTCCAGGTGCACAGTGTAAGCATCAGTGGCTCTACCATTCTGGAGTCTGGAGGACAGTGGCCTGATAAGAGGGTACATCCATTGACAGCTTGCACAGTGCACCTGGAAAAGTTGTAGGCACTCAGTGTCAGCCTTTGAAAGCAGCCATGGTGACTATACCCTGCAGAGCCACAGGGATAGAGCTCCCCAAGGCCTTGGGAGTCCACCTCTTGTATCAGTGTGGCCTGGATGTGAGACATGGAGTCAAAGGAGAATATTTTGAATCTTTAAGTTTTTTTTTTTTTTTTTTGAGATGGAGTTTTGCTCTTGTTGCCCAGGCTGGAGTGCAATGGTGCGATCTCGGCTCACTGCAACCTCTGCCTCCTGTGTTCAAGCGATTCTCCTGCCTCAGCCTCCTGAGTAGCTGGGATTACAGGTGTCCACCACCAAGTCCAGCTAATTTTTGTATTTTTAGTAGAGACAGGGTTTCGCCATGTTGACCAGGCTGGTCTCGAACTCCTGACCTCAGGTGATCCACCCACCTCAGCCTCCTAAACTGCTGGGATTACAGGTGTGAGCCACCGTGCTTAGCCAAAGCTTTAAGATTTAATGACTGCTCTGCTGGGTTTCAGACTTTCATGGGGCCTATAGCCACTTTGTTTTGGCCAATTTCTCCCATTTGTAATGGGAGCATTTACCCAATGCCTGTATTCCCATTGTACCTTGGAAGTAACTAACTTGTTTTTGATTTTACAGGCCCATAGGTTAAAGGGACTTGCCTTGTCTCAGATGAGACTTTGGACTTGGACTTTTGCGTTAACGCTGGAATGAGTTAAGACTTTGAGGGACTGTTGGGAAGGCATACTTATGCTTTGAAATATGAGAAGGATATGAGGTTTGGAGGGGCAGAATGATATGATTTGACTCTGTGTCCCCACCCAAATTTCATGTTGAATTGTAATCCCCAATGTTGGGTAAAGGACCTGGAAGGAGGTGATTGGATCATGGCGGAAGATTTCCCCTTTGCTGTTTTAATGGTAGTAAGTGAGTTATCATGAGATCTGATCGTTTGAAAGTGTGTAGCAATTCCACCTTCTTTCTCTCTCTCTCCTGCCCCATGTGAAGATGTGCTTGCTTCCTCTTCACCTTCTGCCATGATTGTAAGTTTCCTGAGGCCTCCCCAACCATGCCTCCTGTACAACCTACAGAAAAGTAAGTCAATTAGATCTTTTTTTCTTCATGAATTTCCCAGTCTTAGGTAGTTCTTTATAGCAGTGTGAAAATGGACTAATACATATAGGTTCCTCTAGGAATCCATCTATGGATGAAGGCAGAGAACTACTTATATTTTAACAAGAAATCTGGGTAGTTCTTAAACATCCAGCTATATTTTTAACCGCATTTTAGTCATTACTTCTTAGACTTGATACATCCTTACTTATACAGTTTTCCTTTTACATCTCATTCCAATTTGATTGTTTTCATCACTGTTAGATCTATACATGGACATTTTTTTTCTAGCCATAACCAGAAGCTATTCACTGAGAAGGAAGTAAATAGTATATATACTTTTTATGTGTGTGTGTGTGTGTATATATATATATATATATATATATCTTTAATGTATTATATATTCATATATAATACATAAAATATATTCATAAAATATATATTATGTATATATATTCATATATACACATATATATGTATATGTGTATTATGATACTGTTTAATATCAATGGGTCTGACCTTGTAAACAGAAATACTTGATAGTTCTATTCTTCTATATTTCTAGATATTAACTATACAATGATATTTATAGAAGAGGGTTTGAATGTTCATTTGGAATCCAGGAAAGTAACTGAGAGCAAGACTTGTTTGTTAGAGAATGGAGTAATATTATTTAGGGTGTGGATGCCTAAATTTGAAAACTCTGTGTTAATAATTTTTTAAAATATTAAAGAAGAGTTTCATGCATTTTATTGATGCATTTTAATATTGATTTTTTAAGAAGAGTTTTTAAAAACATTTCTAAAGAATGAACTCTGAGCTTCCCACAGGGTTCACTCTCATGTTTTAGACGCTCTCATGCTGTGGATTTTATTTTTTTGCTTTATGGCATTTTTATTTAAATGCCTCAAAAGATCTTATAGAGACATGCATGAGCATGGATATTTATAGATGAAAATACATTTTATTTTCTCATTTTACAGAATTTAATTACATATACTAATTTACTGGGGCTGCCATAACACTCTTATTTATAGAGGAAAGAAGCATCTTCTGAAGCAGGGCTCAATTCCTTTGCATTGACATTTTTCCTTGGTCCTCAGATGAGGTGACAGGCTTTTCTTAACCAAAGGGAATGTAGAGAACACGTGTATATCTGTTTTATATTTATAAGTTGCAAAGCTCTTCCTGAGACTGGAGCCTGGGTAATTGGTGCTATGCAAGAGAAATAGGGCAGTTATTATTGCTCCAGCAGCATGAAACATCCTGGTTTGGATTGAGTGTTTATTATCAAGAAGATAAAGGGTGTTAGCAAAGAAACTACTAAAGGAAGTGTAAGCGATTTATTAAAGAGAATTTCAAGACTATCTCATATATTCATGTAGATTTTTCATATTACTGCAATTCATTTGTAAAAGATAACATCCACAGTAGAAATAATAATTTAGGGCCAGGCACAACTGAGTTAAAATTCTTATTCCTCTCTACATGATAGGTGACATTTGGTCATTGTGAACCTCTCTTAAACTCAGAGTCCTTGTCTATAAAATAGGAATAAGCACAATTATATAGAAGATAAAAAATTAAATGAGTTGAAGTCTGTCTCAAAGGAGGAAGTCATTCATAGGAGAATGACTTTTGAACTTTTGATATAATGAATTGCATTGATTGACTTTCAAATTTGAAATAAACTTGCATTCCTGGGATAAACTCTTTATCTTGATGCATTTTCTTTTTTATATATTGCTGGATTTGATTTGCTAACATTTTGTTAAATATTTTTGCAACTATGTATATAAAGAATATCATTCGGTAGTTTTCATATGTCTTTGTCTGGCTTGATTATCAGTGTAGTATTGACCTCATAACATGAATTAAGAAATAGTTCTCCCTTATTTTTGTTAAAGTTTGGTCAGGATCAGCGTAAGTTCTTCTTTAAATGTTTTTTTTATAATTCACTAGTGAAGCCACCTGGACCCACTTTTTTGGGGGAAAGGTCTTAAATTAAAAAATTTAATTTCTAAAATTGATATAGTAGTACTCAAATTTTTTATTTCTCTTGAATTAATAGTGGAGTTTGTCCCTCAAGGAGTTTGTTACATTCACATAAGGCAAAATTTTTTGACATTAAACATTTATAATATTCTCTTACTATCTTTGTAATGTCTGTGGGCTCTGTACCAATGTCCTCTTATTAATTTCCAATATTAGTAATGTGTATTTTATTAATTTCTTCTATTATAGCTTAAGATTCAACTACATAAATTTTTCTTCCAGCTAAAGATTTCTCATTTTTAGTGATCTCAAAGATTCAGCTTTTTTCTAGGGGCGTTTACTTATTATATGTCCATTTTCTAGTTTCTTTATTTCTCAGTGATCTTTATTTTTTCTTTATCCTTAGCTTTGGGATTTTAAATTTTTCTCTCAGCATCTCACTTTCACTAGTTTGATTATGATGTATCTAGGTGTGATCTTCTTTGCAATTATCCTACTTGGCATTTGTGAAGCTTCTTGATTAAATAAGTTACAAGTTTTTGCTAAATCTGGGACGATTTTGGACATTGTGCCTGCAAATATATTTTTTTGTCTCTTATTCTCATCTCCTTCTGGAAATCCAATTAAACTTGTATCACAACTTCTGATATTGCCCCAATTTTCACTGGGCTTTTTGTTTCTCCTGCATGTGTGCATAGTTTAGAAGTCATCCAGGGATTCCTGTAGAGCTTATCTCCCCCTTTCTATGACTATCTTGCTCTCTGAGGCTCTGTTTTTTTAATTCAATCCTTTCCTCTCTGTACTTCAAATTGAATCATTTTCTTTAGTATATCTTCAGTTCACAAAATATTTTTTCAGTCATTTCAATGCTGCTATTGAGCTTATATACTAAATTTTTGCTTTTAATTATGGTATTTTTCAGTGCTAGAATTCCTACTTTGTTCTTTTGTATCATTTCAATTTCTCCCCTGAGATCATTATTGGTTTGCTTATTATTAGCACATTTCTCTTTATCCTTGTGAACATGTTTTCTTTTAACTTTTAAAACATATTTATAGTAGTTGCTTTGAGATCTTTTTCTCCTTTATCCAACATCTAGCCTTCTTTATGTGTATGTGTGATTATGATTTACATTTACTGGTTTCTTTACATGTCTAGTAATTTTTGATAAAAAACAGGCACTAGCTAATGTGTTATAGTATTTCTTAAATCTTTTTTGTTTCTCTAAGGGTTGCTGTTCTGTGTTTTTTTTTTTCATTTTAGTAGGTGATTCAGTTTTCTGGTCTCAAAATGTGAAATCTGTTACCTCTTTGACTTGTATCCATTGATGGCTCTGCTTACATTTTTTTTAACCTTGGTCTCTGCAGGTCTACTTTGTGCCTGTGTAGTTTTAGCAGTCAGTCAATGATTTAGATATAGGCTATGCTCAGACACCACAGGTCAGTAAATCTTCTATGCTCTGCACCCTGAAATGTGATTGAGGAATACATCAAAAAAATTCAGGAAATTTTCAACTTTTTCTAAGGCTTCAATTTTCATTGGGCTTTTTGTGTGTCCTGTATGTGTATATAGTTTGGAAGTCATCCAGGGGTTCATGTAGAGCTTATCTCCCCCTTTCTATGACTATCTTACTTTTAAACACCTCCTCTGCAGTTTCTGGTTTCTGTTTTGTTGACCTTGAACCAAACTATTACTTCTGGCCAGAGAAGCTGTGGCTTTCACTCCTTGAGCTGGGGAGGATGGAAACAATTCAGTGTGGAAATACCACAAATTCACTGTTCTTAACCAATGCAGCAACAGTTTTTCATAAAAATACAATTCTTAAGTTATTTCATGCATAAAAAATTCTCAGACTTATGGTGTCTGAGCATAGCCTATGTCTAAATCATTGACTGACTGCTAAAACTACACAGGCACATAGTAGACCTCTAGGGACCAAGGTTAAAATAAAAAGGTAATCAGAGCCATCAGTGGATACAAGTTGAAGGGGTGACAGATTTTACATTTTGAGACAAGAAAAGTGAATCACCTACTAAAATGAAAACAACACAAATCAGCAACTCTCAGAAAAACAAAACAGATTTAAGAATCATTATAACACATTAGCTAGTGCCTGGTTTTCTATAAAAAATAACTAGACATGCAAAGAAATGAGTAAAAACTCACATAAAAAGAGCACATATACAAAGAAGCCCCATGTATCGGATAAAGGACACAAAGACTTCAAAGCAACTACTATACGTATGTTCCCTACCTTTGGTCATGTTCAGTTCCTGACATGATCATTCTGAATGATTTCAATGCATTTTGTGTTTGCTTTCTGCTTAGCAAAATCATCTCACTCCTTCATGATGCTATTGACAAAAGTAGAGTTCTGGTTTTCAGAGTTTAAATGTGTACCAGTTTTGTTTGCTTGTTTGTTTTCTTATTTATTTATTTATTTTATTATACTTTAAGTTCTGGGATACATGGGAAGAACGCGCAAGTTTGTTACATTGGTATACACGTGACATGGTGGTTTGCTGCACCCATCAACCCGTAATCTACATTAGGTATTTCTCCTAATGCTGTCCCTCCCCTATACCCCCAACCCGTGACAGGCCCCAGTGTGTGATGTTCCCCTCACTGTGTCCATGTGTTCTCATTGTTCAACTCTCACTTATGAGTGAGAACATGTGGTGTTTGGTTTTCTGTTCTTGTGTTAGTTTGCTGAGAATGATGGTTTCCAGCTTCATCCATGACCCTGCAAAGGATGTGAACTCATCCTTTTTATGCTGCATAGTATTCTATGGTGTATATGTGCCACATTTTCCAGTTGCTAGAGGTTCTAAACTACGCTCCTTAAAAGCTGGTAAAAATGTGTACCAGCTTTTAAAGAGCGTAGTTTAGAACCTCTAGCAACTGTCTTAGTGTCAGATAAATAATACATACTCAATAAACACAAACTCCCTTAATCCTAATATAAAGTATTGAATTTGAATATGGTTAATTAAAAAATAGGACAGCCTTCTAATAAGTAATAAAAATATAACAATACCCACTTTGGATATAAGCAATGGCAAGATGTTATCTGAAAACTTGAATTTTTGAATAAATAGACTAAAAACAATTGATTCAGTAAGTTAAAATGATTGCCACACTTGTGTATTGACCAAAGTTATTTACAGAGATATCAGTGGCAAAACTACTACTGAGATTTATACAAAAATCATTTAATACATTCTGTTCTTTGACTAATTTCACATAATTTTTGAAACAGAGCTTAATTATCTCCTTTTGGATATTGTAGCTTTTTCCTGGAAGTGAAGTTGTGCTAAATTTCAATGCATCGTCACTTATCTAAGCAATCTTTAGTAAGACTTTGTTTCTGAAGGTGCCAAGTGTCTGATACATTTTCTACTTAGTATTATAAAATGTTAATTATTCAATATGACACCAAGCAAATTACTATTGAGGAGTCCTTATGAATAAATCAGCTATAGAGTAAAGATACTTAATACAGACATCCCAATCAAAACACTATAACTTGGAGATATGAATTAAAAGTCATTAAGGCTTTTAAAAATTATGAAGAAAGCTCACATGATTGCCAGGGATGGCTGCTGAGAGAAATCCTACTTAAAAAATTTGGAGATTTGCACAGTTTAAAAAAATCTTCCTTTAGAATTCTCTGGCCTTTAAAGATTTTTATTGGGAGAGAGAAAAATTAATACACAAGGTGACCTATATAATGGTCAAATTTTAGAATGATGTAAGTACTGGCTGAAAGTCACTTGGGTGGTCAAACCTTACAGCGTGGCCATCTGTTTCCCAGGTGGACACTGTTTGCATCACTCTTGATATAGGGCTGTTAACCATTAAAGACTATTTTTCAATATTTGGTTATGTCAAAGACTTATTCAATTTATTTTAAGATTCTACTTTTGTAGTTAAAAAAATCATTTTAATGCAGTTTATAATAGCAAAAGTCAGAAACAACCTAAATGTCCTACATTAGTGGATTGTATAAATTATGGTGTATATATTTAAGGACAAACTATGTTGCTATTAAAATTATGTTGAAGAAAAACATTTAATAACAGGAAAGATATTTATAATATATTAAATATTAAAGCACACCACCAAATAATTTTGTAGAGAAGATTAAAAAAACACTTAAAAATATATTTATGAATACATGATACAATATAATAATTATATATTAACACATTATATATTAATAAGTGTTATCCCTAGGTGGTACAATTTTATGTAATTTAATTTTTTATTTTCTAATAGATATTTTGTAAATATACCACAATGACCATAGATTTTCTTTTTGAGGGATTGGTGAGGTTCTTTATTGAGATTATACAATCAAACAAGGGAATTATGACTTTCATACTACATATTCTATTACAGTCATGTTGCATTCAGATGGATCTAGGAAAATGTATAAAAATATAATGTTGAATAGTAATAATGCATAATATGTGACAGATAGCTCAAATGCTTACCATGTAGTAATAATATATTTAATCTCCCAAGCAATCCTAGGAGGAAGGTATTATAGTTATCTCTATTTAGTGGATAGAAAAATAGAGGTGCCAAGATGATTATAAGTAGATTTTGAAATGAAGCATAAAGTGGAAAGAGAGAAAGTGAGAGAATGATGAATGCAGAGAGAGGAAGAAAGTGATGAGTATAAGTAAAATAGTGTAGTTTTAAAAAAACTCTTGCATCTTGCAAAAGTTGTAATGTAACAAAACGACATTTTCTAAGTAAGAAAAAAAAATCTAATCTTAAGAAAAGTCTGTTAAAAATGTCATAACTCCCAAAATGTGCTATTTATTCTTTTGCAATATTTTATTTTTTGTATTAAATGGATAAGGTAAAATGAAGTGTATACTAAGAAATATCTGTAAAGATGATCATTTACCTTATTTATCTGATAATAATTCTAATGAAAGAAATTTTTATAACGTTCCATAGTTATTAGTTTATTTCTGAACTTACTTTTTCCATGATGTCCCTACAAAATCTTTTCTTAGCATCATTGTGTACATTTGCTGTTCTGTCCTGATAATGATCTCTTATGTTTCCTGGGTGGCAACATTATTAATGAAATATTTTATAGTTCTGTAAAATTTGAGGTGTTTTGGTTTAGTGTGTCATATTTTCTTGCTTTCTCAATGCCAAAGCAAGTGGGTTTTTTTTCAACATTGTAAATATGTTGATTCAGCTGTTGGAACCAAGGCTGAAAATTTGAGAAAGACAATCAGCATGCAGTAATTAAACACAATAAGATCAATTTGGCTAAGCTTTTTGAAACTAGTAATTCTGAGGGCAAAATAAATAAACATGTATTCTATTATTTAGCATTTTTTTAATTTTGAAGAAAATTACGAAAGTACTTTTAGGAAAACCATTCTGCGTCCACCTGACATCAAACATGAAAATCTATTTTGAATGTAGATGCACTTTTCTTAGAAGTAGTATATGATCTAGTCCAAGTAACAAAGGCAGATTTAAGAAAATAGACATGAGAAGCTTTTCATTTCTGCTCATTTTCTCTGGTAAAGCCAGAGTTTTAGAAACATGAAAATAAGACAGAATGTTTCTTGTGATTGTTTCAAATGGTTCTGAATGTGCTTCTGTTTTAATCTCTTATATTTAATGATTCATTGTTCCCATTTGAATCTGGCACTTGATGAGTTATACAATTAGGAAAAGTGCATCTTGAGGTGTAAGGCAATGAGGAAAAATAAGCAAATGAGATTAAAATGTGCTTTAGAAACCAAATCACTCTAGGAGTGTCTACTCAAATCTTAAAAAGATGTAATTTTCCTCCTATATAAACATTAAGGAACATCTTTAAATATCACATCATATCTATGTCAAAAATCTGCCTTTGATGAAGAAAAGATGCTTTAATTAGATATGTTATTACTGATGTATTTGCTGTGTTTCTTCCTTCACCATTTTCTAAGTGGAATTGAAATCACATTGGTTAGTGTTGGAATTTGAAGTACATATAGCTTTAAAACATTATAAAATGCACCACAAGGCTTTTAACATTTTTGGGTACCCACCTGGTCATTAACATATAAATCACTATCTTAATTAGACTATCATCTAATGAAACATTTTTCAAAGTATATTCCTAAGTGTTTGGCGGGGCCGGGGGGTGGTAATTAGAATTATCAATTAAATTTTTTTCCGGTTTCCTGTTGCCTGGGAAAGACCTTATAAAAGCAGCCCTCCCCACTCTTTTTAATCCTTTAAAAGCTAAAATGAGAAATAGAATTAATAGATAAGATCTAATGTTCTCTGTGTTTAACCTATACAAACTAACAAGAACTATTGATGACTTTATCTGTGGTATTGAAAACTGGATTGAATTGAACAGTCTTTATTGCTTGACAGGGAGAATAATGACCAAACACAAAAAGGAGATTTGTTTTCTTGTAAATTACGTGGTTTAGAACCTAGCTATCAATTCTCACTTTGAAACAGCTTTGAATTCCTAGTTTGGATGCAAAGTCAGCTCCTGGGAATTTTTTTCTACAACTTTGCTCTCTAGTCTTTTTAACTTGATAGCATTTTACCAGCAATATTTACCAGAAATACAGCTTTTATGGGCTGGTTTTTTGGTACATTGAGTGTGCCATACTCATCCAGGGATAAGAGGTCCTCAAACAACATAAATATCTTAATTTCTTTCTTATATCTAATAATAATAATGATTGGGCACTTAACTTGTGTCAGACATTGAGCTAAGGATTGTATAAACTTTACTTCATTTAATCTTCATCAGTAATGCATGAAGCAACTACACTTGTTACAGATGGGGAAAATGAGTCCTGGGATACCTACTAGAATGTCAGATGTCAGTGGCAGAGTCAAAATGGGTCTGAATCCCAAAACAATGCTATTAACTACCACTCCTGACGACCTCCAACATTGCCATAGAATCAGGAAATAAATTCCTCCATTTTATATGAAGATGAAGACAATTTAATATAGCCTACTCATGACTTTTCAGAATGTCTTATTCTGGTTACAATCTCTCTTTAGCCATCCGGACATGTCTAATTCACTTTATCACCACAGTGCTCTGTCTGCTATTTGGTGAATCATCTATTCCTCTTCCTTACGACTTCCTTCACTTCAAAGCTCCAACTTTTTGTTGAGAAACTCTCTGCAAAATAGTTTACTCCAGGTTTTCTCCCCTGCAGATCATCCATTTTCTCAAGGCTGCCTACTCTGACACTGCCTTTCTTTGCTTCTTATCCTCAGGCTATTTTATACCTAGAGACTAAAGATCAAAGTTGTAGACTGTTCATTGATCTTCCTCTGTAGGATTTCTGTTTCAGCCTGAGTAAGATTATTGGAGAAAGAAAAATGGACAGTTACTTGAAGATACTTAAGGCAACTGACAAAGGGAAAGGGTAAGAGAGCCTTAAAATATACTAGTACTAAACTTAATGGATAGTTATCCATCATAGAATTTTAATACTGAAGAGGTGACAAAAAATCATGTAATCTTAGCACTCTTCTTTATAGATGATGAATCTGGAGTCTAGAGACAGTGACTAACTTGTCTAAGATTTCTGGGTTAGTTAGTGGCAAATTAAGATAAGCCTCTGGATGCAAATGTCCTTTCTATTACAGCACACAACTTACTTGAATTTTCACTGATTTAACACCATTTATTTATTCATGTATCCATCCATCCTTCCAAACTGTAACTATAATTCAGGACATGTTCATCAAAGTCATGCTATGGGCACATTATATGCACTTGGAACTTATGAGAGACGCTAGGAGCTTATGAGATATGAGTATAACATGGTTGTTGTTTTTAACAATATGGCAACTATACATGATCCAAGAAATAACTATGGAGAAATAACTATATAGAAAAAACTATATTGCAAATGTTAAGGTGTTAATTCACTGTGTTGCTTAATAAGCAACTTCATTAATGTGAGAGAAAAATAAAGCACTAATTTTTCATAGCACAACTTTTGTGACTTTCTACTCTATGAAGTCTACAGGAGGGGGAAACTAGAGGAAAACTAACAGGTTCTTTGGCAGGAGGTACACAGTAGAAGCCCTTGAAGGAGATGTCTCTAGTCTAAGAGCTCGCCTGGAGAAGAGTCTGATTATAGGCTAATCATCATGGATTTGAGTCAAGATTGAATCCAGGGCCGGGTGCGGTGGTTCATGCCTGTAATCCCAGCACTTTAAGAGGCTGAGGCAGGTAGATAACTTGAGATCAGGAGTTTGAGACCAGCCTGGCAAACATGGCAAAACCCCGTGTCTACTAAAAATACAAAGTTAGCTGGTCATAGTGGTGCACACTTGTAGTCTCAGCTACTCAGGGGGTTGAGGCAGGAGAATCGCTTGAATCCAAGAGGCAGAGGTTGCAGTGAGCCAAGATCACACCACGGCACTCCAGCCTGGGCGACAGAGTGAAACTCCATCTCAAAAAAACCAAAACCAAAACCAAAACAAAAACGACTGAATCCAGAAGAGTATGGCAGTGATGGGCAGAACTGAGGCCACAACCAGGGTATGAACTCAGGCAAAAGTGAGTATACTTGAACCAGTTGACCAGGAGACAGAAGGAAGCAGAAGTTTTTATTTCATAAATAATGTCCATAGAGATTAAATATATGCATATAAAAATGAAATTGCCTCAGAGAGCCTGATACACTTTTTCCTTGGAATAGTCAGTGAAAAGGAGTGGCTTCAGTATCATGGCAGTTCAAGAGTTCCAGCACCACCGCCCTTGAGTGTGTTGTGGCAGAATTTATTATTTACAAATCTTTCTGGAACTTGGGATAAAGGCTGTGGGCAATAACTCATTGGATGATGTGAATCAACAACCTATCAGTAATAGCATGCTTACTAAAAAGCTGAAGTGAACTGCCAGGGAACTGGCTATAGGTGTAAGAACTTACAAGGATGTGGGTGGTTATGAATCTGTTAATAATTATATATTAACATAATAACTACTTCATCAAGATGGTGTGAACTATTCAAATATTGGTCCAATGATACAACTCTTTGATAATGAAGCATGATCCCTTGTTATAAAACAAGTGATTTAAAGATTTTTTAATAATCTGTATTTTTTTCTCTCATCAATTAAAATGAGGTTAAAAAAACCATGAAGTTGAAAACTTTAATAGGCAATCATTCAGATATCATGTCTACAATAAACCATATTTGGGATGTGAGAAAAATATCTAGTTAATTTAATTATGTTATGAATTTTTGATAGAACGTTAGACTAAAAATACAATCTCCTTTCAACTCTTTCAGTTATCCTATATATATATATATATGTATATATATGTGTGTGTGTGTATATATATATATATATATATGTGTGTGTATATATATATATATATATATATATATATATAAGTATATATATGGTCCTGCTCTGTAGAAATTTTAGGTTTCATCTCACTTAGAAGTTTGTGTTTATTTATGGCTCTGGAAACTTAAAAATATGATAAAAGGCTAATGGTTTGCTATTCCACAGAATACATAGAAGTAGATATTCACAGCCGACAACAGATTTAGGTTTCAAAGCCTCAGAAATGTCACTTGATCCTGGCTTAAAAACATCTGATACAGCTTTTCAAAGAGCCCCTTCACCTAAGACAAATATAAGACAAATAAATAGTGATGCCTGTACTGAGGGAAATAGAATAACAAATATGCTGGCTTGATTTGTGTTGCCATTTAGGAGAAAAGCTCAAAATGACAGGTAATAAGAAATCAGGGCTGATTTAATTAAAAGCCAATTAAACCATGTACATTTAAGAATTATTTCTCATATACATGTTTTTATTAATAAAATAATCTATTCCCCTGCTGAAGAAATAAACTGTAAACCGCAGGGGACTAACAGGACAGAGATTTACTTCACATCCATGCTACAAAAGATAAGGAGGCTTTACACAGAGGTCTAAGCAGATGGTGGCTCCACTGTCTTGTAGCTACAACATCATCTGGATACAGATCTTCCTGGGGCACCACAGTAAGGAAACAGAAACTAGAGAATTTCATATATATGTTTCACTGTCTTAGCCAACAAGAAACAAATGTGGCTTTCACTTACATTTTGCTAGCTATAAATATTCCCATGAGCAACCACAGTGCAAGGAGTAGGAGAAGTGGAATCCTCTGGTGTGCCCAGGAGAGGATAACTAAGTATGAGGATATGTTAGAAGTCCCTGGTTGTGTTGTGAGAAGCAAAAAGCAGCATTTTCCCAAGGTATTTACACATGAGGTAAGATGAGAACACCTAAAAAGATACTACAAATATAACAAAGTTTAGGTTTATAAAACAGAATTTTAGAAAGAGTATGTTATTATGAGAAACTGCAGAAGGAAGCTAGTTGAAAATTGTTCAGGCAAATTGAACTATGCTAGGGTAGTTGGAAGTTTTGGTTGAGGAATAAAGTTGATACTAATTGACCCTGACATATCAACTCATAGGAGGCTCCTTTCTGGGGCCATCTTTGGAATTGGTGACGTTCAAATTCAAGATTTTCCTGCTGTTGTACCTAGGAGTCAGGCTTTGAGGGAGTCAAACACTGCAGTGCTCAAGATGGCAGGCTTTTTCTGTTCTTATTTTTCCTGGTGTTGTTAATTTATTAAGTCTATGTTCTGACATAATATACTATGCCTGAAAGAATATCACAGCATCAAGATTCAATGATGTGCTTTGAATTTGTAATTTTTGCTATTTTAAATGATTCAGCACCAGACTGATGAATGCAATGAATGACAAGTAAGTACCAAGAAAGAATAATACCTACCAGTTAAGGAGTAATCTACTATATTTATTCTACATCCCTTATTCTGGCAGGAAGAACACTCTCCACAGATCGCACACATTTATGTACTCTTGCAGGGATCAATAGGTAGAATTAGAATAGGTCCCACTTACACAGGAATTAAATGTCCAGCAGTTCAGCTTTCTCGAGCATATATATGAAGTGTGCAGAAATGAGCTCCAATTCATGAGAGAAATAGCCATTACAAGGCTTATGTAGCATTTCATGGGCACATTATATACAGAGTAACCGACAGACATTCTTCTATAATCCCAGAAATGTTGTGCAAAATCAACTTTAATTTTCAAGTTTGGCTAGGCATTGTTTAAAAAAAATAGACAATTTGCAGCAAAGAGCCAGAGTTAGGGATGAATAAAATTCGAGGAGAAATTGATGTCTAACAGAGTGACAAGTATGACAGATGGAGAAGTGACAGTTAATTGTGAGAAAGGTCTATCAGTGAGATTGCAAGTAAACAGCAAAATTCCAACTCAAACCAGATAAAGCAATTTACTGAATCATATAACTAAAAAGACCAGTGGTAGGGTGGCCCTTGGCATGGTTTGATTAGGATGTTGGTTCTATAATTCTCAGCTCCGCAACACTGCATTTGGCTTCATCCGTGGTCCGTCTTTTCATAGTCCAGAGACATAGTGCTAATGGTGTGCTTCTTGTCATATTTGGTGCAGATTGAGATCTTGTTTCTGATTTTGCCTTATTTGAACCAATCAATTTCTTTGGTTAGGATAATGTTAAGCCTTGAAAATGTCATGCCTGAAGCAGTGACTATGGCAAAAGGAATGAAGTTACCTTGATGGGACATGCCCTGGATTTGAGAGAAAGGTCAATGTCATTCCCTTTCTTCAAACCATATGGTTGCCATACAAAAGAGATGTTAGAACAATGTTGGGGAAAAAAAACCATAATATCAACAATTAAAGAACAGCAAACAAATGTAAAAAGTAAACCTGAAAAGTGGTGAAATATGGTGATTGGGGCCTTTTAGCCAAGAGAAAATTGGTTTATTTCAATAGCTTCTTATTTAATACAACAAGATATAATAATGCACACTTACAATAATGTCATGAGAGCAATAAAATGTGAAGTTATAATAGTATTTCCTTCTGGGAGGCTGCATTTCCTCATGTCCTAGTGGTAAGAGTAAGTTTGATAAGACAGGAATGATTAACTGAATTTTTTTCTTTTTCAACTGCATGCTTGACTTCATTTTATATGAAAGCGAAATCTGGAAGGGATAGAGGAAAAACTGACACAGTAGAAACTTCTGTAATGCTGACTTCTATGTTCGCCCTTAGCATACGCTATGAATTTGAGAGGTACATCTCAAAGCTGGGCAATCACTATATATAATCTATAATAATGGTATGGTAAGAAAGGGTAGTGGTATGCACTGTATCAAGGTTTAATGCCTCTTTAAATGAACAGGAAAATGAGCTGAGGTTAATGTCTATGTGATTCCCCATCAGATCATATAGGCAGTGAGAGAGCTCATTATGATTAAACTGGCAGTGGTAATGTGAGGCTAGATTCAGAGAGTTCAGCTGATGGAGGGAGCACCTATATGCTATCAGCATCTCTCTAGGACTCCTGGCACAATTGCAGCATCTTTGATCAGTGTGTTTAAAATAATTGTTTCTAAATGGACAAAGAAATTGGTGTGAGAGGAGTAGAAGACTAATGGTCTTTTCCGGATGTTTCCAGTGAATAGAGGTTTGTTCTGTACTCTCTGGGACACCGTGAAAATTCTGAAAGAAGGCTGTAACACATACCACCATCCCAGGGGGATCAGAAACTACCTCTCTGAAGCCACATTAAGAGACATCCAGAAAATACATAATAAAGAAGCATATTTTTATCAAGTTCAGAAACTGTGAAAATGTAACTATTTAAGTTACACAGAAATAAATAAAAATCGCCTTTGAACAATATGAGAAGATGCTCAACTTCACTCATAATAAATGAAATATAAGTGAAAACTATGATGAGATAACTATTTCTCATATAACTGGTAAAAATTCAAAAGTTTGATAACATACTCTACTGGTGAGGCTTTGAAGAAATGGGACTCTTATATTGCCAATAGAAATGCAAATTATTATAACATCTATGGAAAATAATTTGGTTACATTTACCAGAATTTTAAATGAGTTTATCTTGTGGTGCCCAATCCCCCATCTCAGAATTTACCTCGAAGATGCTTTTCCACAAATATGCAGGTGATTGTTAAGTTTGTCATTATTTTCCATAGCAATATATTTATAACAACCTACATGTCCAACCATAGGAGGTTTTTTTGAATAATCTGTAATACATTCATACAATGGAGAGCTTTGCTGTAGAAAAATACTAGAAAGTCTGTATAAATTGATGTGGAGTTGTATTGACTTTTTAAATGCATTGTTAACTTAAAATATCAAGCTCCAAAAGAGTCTATGCTACCTTTTGCGTGTGAAAAGTGAAATACTAATGTTGTTTATTTAGAAAAAAATGAAACATAAGAATAAAAAAGTATTGAAGCTGGTACCTATGGGGACTGAGTGGAATGAGGATAAAAGGGACAGTAGTAAGATATCCTCTATTACATGGTTTTAAATAGTTTTGACCCTTAAACCATATCAATATTTTATGTATTTACAAATTAAATTAAAGAGAATAAAAAAGAACCCTCTAAAATGGAATTTAAACAAAAACAAATAAGCCTAACTTTACCAAATTGATAATATAACGACCCAACAAAAAGAATTAATTTAAGTAACTTTTTATCAACAGTATTTTTACTCATTATAATTAGTGGATTTATTGCATAAGGACATATGAAATTACAAAGAACATTTATGCCTTCTTTTTTAGGCTTGGCTATGGTAATGGATTTAATTATGAATGGATAATTCATGGAAATGGTAATGGTAATTCATGGTAATGGATGTTTAATTATGAAACTATTTTGTGTATATTACGGAAGAACAAATAAGGAAATATATTGATGTTCTTTGGAATTAGGTTTCTCCTTGGGTAAAGGAATATACAAATGAAATTGCCTGTGAAAGATATGACAGTGAGAAAGGTCAAGCATGGCTACTCCATCTTGCCTCTAGAATCATAGGCCAGCTGTCCTTGCTCATTCCTGGGCACAGACCAAGCTAGCCATGGGAGGAATTTAGTTTACAGTTTAATTTTGAAGCAAGGATGATAGTAGTCACTCCCTAAAACAAACATCCTCTTTGCTCAGGGATCAAAGCCACCTTTGTAAGACTAATGGAAGGCCATAAGATTAGGATTATAAAAGGAGCTTGAATTCTGCTAAGATGTAGATGTAGCTAAATGATAACCAGCCATTTTCTTCTGGCTTTCCTTTCTATAATCCCTTGCTGCTCAGGAATCATGTGTCCAGAAGTCACAAGATTTGTGACTTTCCCAGTTGCTCCTATAGACAACATTACTGTTATAGAATGTAAGATTGGCCTTTTGAGATGTTTTTCAGGCTTTTGCATTCTGGCAACTGACTGACTCAACCCATAATTGGGAATCATGACTCAACCAGTTTGGTAACCCCCACCCAGAGGTGAATTTAGCTCCTGAGGGCCATTTTTCACATTCTTATGATTTCATTCCCAACCAATCACCAGCACCCCATTTCCTAGGCCTCTGGAAAATTATCCGTAGAAACCCTAGCCTCTGAGTCCTCATGGAAACTGATTTGAGTAATAACTGCAGTCCTATTGCTTGGCTAGCTCTGTATTACTTATAGAACTCTTTCTCTTCCGCAATACCGTGGTCTCAGTAAATTGTTTTTTTTCTGTGTAATGGGCAGAAAGAACTCGTTAGATGATTACACATGTGGAGGCTCAATCAGGATCTGCCTTTGCAGGCACCTGCCTGTTGGGTGCTTGGGTGGCTTATCAGCCCCCAACCAGTACAACGGATTTAGAGGTTCATTGTAGCAGTTGCTTATTTCTCTTGAACTGAGGGCCATCCCAGGCATTGTCCATGCTGAAGGGGTGCTTTCAGCCCATAGTGTTTGAGCCTAATCACAGTGGAGAAATTGTTCCTGGAAGGCATCTTTCAACTTAGTGTGGTGACTATTCAAAGTGCAACCAACATCCCCTTCCTTCTCCTAATGATTGTGTGGCTTCTTTTGCAGATTCTGTTTTGCCCCTTTTGCAGGTTCTGGTTGGCCCCTTAGCTCCTTTGTGTGTTCTGTTCACCTCTGCTAGATTACAGGAAGAGGCTTGGTTTGGGGAGATTTCTCCAGGTCATCAAAAACCACTATACTGTTCTGGAAGCTGCAGAGAAAGATAACCCAGAAACCTGACATGCCAGAAAAAGAGCAAGAATTTCTTACTAGCCAGGATTCTGACTTTTCTCTCTCTGTGCAAACTGGTTGAGCAAATGGTAAAAATCAGTGTTTGTGGATGGGCGCTGTGGCTCACACTTGTAATCCCAGCACTTTGGGAGGCCGAGGCACGCCAATCATGAGGTCAGGAGTTCAAGACCAGCCTGGCCAACACAGTGAAACCCATCTCTACTAAAAATACAAAAATTAGCTGGGCGTGGTGGTGGGCGCCTGTAATTCCAGCTACTTGGGAGGCTGAGGCAGGAGAGTCGCTTGAACCCGGGAGGCAGAGGTTGCAGTGAGCCTAGATCGTGCCACTGCACTCCAGCCTGGGTGACAGAGCTAGACTCCATCTCAAAAAACAAAAAATAATCAGTGTTTCCCTCCTCTGAAAGATTTTTATTAACGGGAAGAAAGAAATTTGTGACTAGTCAAAGGTTGTAGCAAATCTGGTGTACATTTTGTACTTTGTACTGCAAATATTCATATTGTTTGACCCCTTTTTCCTCTTAGGAGTAACTTTTAGTTTTGCCATCTTCCTTTGTTTTTGTCTTCCTGTGTTGTTCTGTTATGGAGAGGGGTACCATATGATAGAACACAGGCCTAGAACCCCTAGAGCCCCGTGTTTTGAGCCAGCCCTGCAGGCTGTTTTAAATGCTGCAGGTCCCTGAAACAAAAACCAGATAAAGTTTTCCACTTATCTTGTCTTATGTTCTTGAGAATTTGACTTTGTGACCATGTGGATACTGACTCTTGGTTTCTGCCATCTGAAGGGTGGGAATTTTGGGGTTTGTGTCATGTGGCTGGTCTGAAAGGACTGAGAGGCTGAGACACAGCAGTACCCTTTTCCTTCCAAATGCGTCAAGCCCTTTGGTGAATTCTATCTTAAAAGGTCCCAGCTCTATGGGTCTTTTGCTATGTTAAGCCCATTTCTGAGAGAGAATTTTTGGGGGTCATAGAGATGCATTCTCTACACTTTCTCTAGACATACCTCTTGCTTATATGATAAAAACCTAAAAAGAAATGTCATCTGAGTTTTAAAAGGCTTTTGGATTGAGCCACTATTGGAATTATATGCAATTAAAAGTAAAAAGGATTTTTCAAATCCCTTATTCTAAACAAGTAATAAAAAGGTTAAATTTAGAAAAGGACAATTAATAGTGTTATGGCTAGCCATAAAACATCTCTCTAGCAGTTAAAATTATTTTCAAGTTCAAAAATGCCTCATCTAGACCCATTCTGCGAAGAGCATTGGCAACTGCCTCATACTGTAGCTCAGTAGCTAAGACTTTGCATGGGTTTTATTTCCAGCTTAGGAAATGAGCCATTTCTGGTTTGATGTTTGTATAGTTTGCCATTTATTGATTATCTTCCCCTCTATGGGCAGCTTCTGATTTCTTATCTTAATTTTTTTTTTCTTTCATTCACCTTTGGGATGATTCCAGATCTTGTAAAAACTGCTCACTGTCTCTTTTGAAAACACCTCATGTGTCCATGTTTAAGTTATAACCTTAGTTAAGGCTTATTGGTTTCACTTAGAATACCTATCATTAAAAAGGCTTAAGAGACAGAGGTATCATCTGTCCTGGATAAAATCTGGTAATAAGATATTTGAAAAAAATTCCCTTCAAGAGCTCTATAATTAAAAGTAGGCTTAGTTAGGCTGATATTTCAGCTACATGTGTGTATATATTGTTTTAAAACCTCTGCTCTCCCTCTGTAAAAACTTCTTGGCCAACTGAATTCTGTTTGTTTAAATATTAACTTTGGTATGTAAAACTAGGTAAGAGATATACTTCTAAAAATGGCTAAACGGCAGGTGCTTACAGTGAGTGTTTTTTATTTCAGGGCAGTACTCCTTTCTTTGTGCACTTAGATAAGGAAAACATGTTTTTGGGCACCTACAAAGTATGGTAATGGTGGATGGGCTGGTTACAGAGCAGGATGATTTACATTGGGTTGCCCAGCAACCTTGGGAAAATGTCCTTACAATGTATTACACTGTGGAAGCATTGCATTAACTCATCTCATCGTGTTTTCCTTTTCTTGGAGACCTGGGACTCAGTGTAAAAATGAAATCCTTTATTTGGGAAAATCTTTTCTGCCTTCCAGCTGTGACTGCTTATTAGGCCCTAGAAACTACATGCTTTATTGACCCTGTTCCTTAAAAGGGCTTCACCCTAAAGCTGGTAACCCAATTTAGAAACTTGCATCTTTAAAGAAATTTCCATGTGTAAGGCCGTCTCCTTTTCCTGGCCATCTTAACTAAACTTTTGCTCACACCATTTTTCGTTGGTTTGAGAAAAATACTAATTCTTTATTTCATTTCACTTGAGTTTATCCTTTTAGAAATGGATTGGAGCTGCCTCACTGACAATTGTTTAGGGCAGGAAACAGGTTATTAAGAGACTGTCTAAAATGGAAAAGAGAAACTTTAAAAACTGGCACATAAAGAATCTCATAAATAAGGCCGGGCACGATGGCTCATGCCTGTAATCCCAGGACTTTGGGAGGCCAAGGTGGGTGGATCACCTGAGGTCAGGAGTTCGAGACCAGCCTGGCCAACATGGAGAAACCCCATTTCTACTAAAAATACAAAATTAGCTGGGCGTGGTGGCGCATGCCTGTAATTCCAGCTAATTGGGAGGCTGAGGCAGGAGAATTATTTGAACTCAGGAGGCAGAGGTTGTGGTGAGCCAAGATCATGCCATTGCACTCCAGCCTGGGCAAAAAGAGTGAAACTCCATCTCAAAAAAAAAAAAAACCTCATAAATCTGTAAAATCTGTTTCTGTCTGGTGTTTGTATGTCCACATGTTTATATGTGTCATGTGTATGTGATATTTTCACTACCAAAATATATAAAAGAGCTCTTATTAATTGACTTAAAAACAAGCACTTAAATAAAATATTGTATCAGAAAAACAAAAACTTTAGCTAAAATGCCTTTTAGTTCACTTTCGTAATCTTTGGGAAATAAAGACAGTTTTAAAAATTATTAGTAAAATAAAATAAAAAACATTTTCAGAATTTAGATACTTGGCCTGAATTAGGCAGGTTAGATATTGTCTTTGCTAGATGTCTCAAGGTCACAAACTGCTTCTATGTCATTTTTTGATGATTGATTTCTCTGTTTTATAGCCATTAAATTCTAGGTAAGGCCTGGGGACATGTGGAGTTAGCCGTGCCCCCTGGCTGTGCTGAGAAGAGTCAGATATTGTAGTTCTGTTCTTGTTCTGGGCTCTGCAATTTAATTCATAGTTAAAATTGCTTACTTACCAGGTTTTCACTAAAAGGAAAAGTTGCTAAGAGTTAGCATTGTAACATACATAACTGAGACTACTAGAGAAACAGTTTTACATGCAAGGTATATAAGAAAAGTAGATGGTATCTGTGGCAAAAGGTTGTAAGAGCACATGGAAATATGGTTTTCATGAAAGGGAAAGCATTTTGTCTAGTTTAAAGGTTTTTAAAAATTGTCTTAATTTAAAAAACATAGGAAAAAACTAAAGGTTTAAGCAAATTATAGAAGATATGTGAAACATTTATCTTGTAAAGAAAGGTCTGTGTGAGAGAAAGTTGGCCAAAATTTGAAGGGGATTATTCTGTTTTTCTGTAAGTTATATATTAAGATAAAAAGCACACTGATGCAGGGCAAGAATCTAGGCCCATGTGTCAGAATAGCAGGGTTTTTTTTGGATCACCGATCTGCTCTTCAATAGGAAATTGTAAAGGATTATAAAATGTTTATGGAAATCTTACCTTATGGTCAAACTGATTAAAAGAATATATATATATTTATAAGATTTTATTAAAAATTGAGGTTAGTGTTAACAGTACACTAATGAAAAGGTGAATTTTGGTTTTCTTTTTTGAACAAGATCTTTGTGTAATATTGAGAGATAATAAAAGATTTTTGTTTGCCTTTGGAATAAACTGCAGGACAAAAGAGGGGAGAGAGAAGAGAAAGATTCAGTTGACCTCATGCTGTCTTTATTGATTCTTGTTGTTTAGAAAGCTGAGTTTCTTCTCTATCAAAGAGTAAATGTTTTTGCCTTTTGAAAATCTGTGAAGTCATCACTTTAGCTGACTGAATAATCTGTAATCCAATTTTGTGATATCAAGTATTTAAACCTTTGGTATTTGATAAACTTTCTGAAATCAAATTTGAAATTCAGTCCTTTGACATCATTAACTTGTTTAGATATTAGGTCCTCTGAAGTCCAAAAGAGACATATTTGGTTTATTTAGCATGTTAAAATAATATAGGAAACATTGTCAAGTATGAAATGGTGTTCGGCTTTTTTTCCATTGCAGTTGTGTGAGTGTGTTATTGGTATGTGTTCCAGAATTGTGTGAGACTGCTAAAATTTTGATAGGACTTAGTGTTATCAATAATAATTATGATTATGTTTAATTGTTGTATGCCACAAAAAATAACAGTTTTCTTTTCAATTATATCTTTAGCCAGGGCTGTTCTGACACTTTTGTCATTCATAATTATTGCTTTACTTTGACTCTTTTTCATAAGTTGATTTTATTATCAGCTATAGGCCTCTGGCATGTACTCTTCAATGCAGGTTTCTAGTAACTTTTGAGATTGTGTCATTGGAATAGGGAGAAAAACCTCCAGCACTTTCATGGACAGCTTAGGTGTCCATGAATATCAAGCAGAACAAGAGTTAATTGCATGGACTGAATTAATAGAAGACTGATTTTTTTTAATGATTTTTTGCTTGAAACATTGCTGATTCTTTTTGTTTTGTTTTTCAGGGTCAATACAATTTCTTTGAGTTATTTTTAGCTTTTTACAATTGAGTAAAGTGTACTTCTGTGAGCAAAATTTGAATCACATTTCTTTTTCTCTACTTGATTTCTCCAGAATTTGAGAACTATTTGTGAGTATTCTTAATTTATGGCAATATAGTTATTTGTATAAGTTCAATAAGAATCTGTTTTCTTTTGTAACAGGACACAATTTTAGACACTGATTATTTTACCATGGCTTTGACTAGAATGACATTTTTTCAGACTGCATTGAGTAATTGAGGCTAACCTATAGAGCTGATAAAAGCCCTTTGGAAAAACTGGTCTCATATTTTGTCTATGCAGTTCTTTTGCAGAGTTCCTGACCTGTGGTAAGTAAAGAATATCGCCTTCTAATAGACCCAGGAACTTCACATGTTTTTTTTTTTTTGGACCTTGAGAATATAGGAGTTCACCCAATTCATACATGTATCTGCAAAATCCTTGGTTGGGCTCAAGATAATTTTGAAAAGTTTAATCTGAGATTTCCTGAGTTCCAGGAAAGCCAATTTAGAAAAAAAGCCTCTATGGCAAATAATTATTTTTTCCTGCCTTTTATGCAAATAATCAAGCCAAATATAAGGGACTAGAACTTATTTTGCAAATAAATTGGTCCTACTATGATTTCTCTTTGGTAAAATTGGAGAACTGAGAGAGAAAAATTATGTTTCAGAAAAAAAACCTATAGTACACCTATTATTAGATTTTAGCCTCATCCATTATTTTTGAATATCTACTGATGACCCCATATCTGATTAGTTCTTGGGTTCATTCACCTGGATCCCTCAAAACTTCATGTAAGTTCTGGAGCGATTCCTAAAGCTAGGACTTTCACTCTTTATGTTAGGGTTCAGTATTTATTATAGTCCACTATTCACTGAAGTGCTGTACTAAAGCTGTGAATAAGAGTACTAATGTTTTTGTTATGCAGACCATGAGACCCCAACCAGGCACCCATGAATACCTGCAAACAACTGTAAAACAGTTTCATTGCTCTTACCCTGGGGACAACTCCTACTCCAACTATGCCCCATCTCCATAGCTCACAGTTAAGGACTGATGTGTGCTGACACCCAAGGGGTCATTGAAACCACCTTTGCAAAGATTATGAGAGTAAGAAAAGTCTAGCATGGCTTACTCCATCTTGGAGAAATCAAGTAGGGAGAAAAAAATTTGAACAAAATTTTGCTCACAGGAGTATAATTTACTCAATTGTAAAAAGTTATATAACTCAAAGAATTTTTTGACACTGAAAAACACAACAAAAAGAATCAACAATGTTTCAAGCAAAAGGTCATAAACATTATTAATAAATATTTCCAAATAAAGGTCTCTGTTAAATGTTCAGTGAACAACTTTATTATTTCTTAAGCAATTCTTGGTCATGATCGAGGGCATTAGGAAATGATCAAATTGATTTTCAAGTTGTTAACCGGTTAGTCCCTGGTATTTTAGAGTCCTATCCTTTCCTCAGGGTCCTGCAGGTTCATGCTCGTTTGAATTATTTTTCGTATTAGTCTTTGTTTTTTCTTCCCCTTTCTGACTACTTATTCTCTTAAAATGTGAGAACAATTTTATCCTCATGAAATTACAATTATTTTATTTATTTATCTTTTCCTTCTCTAAGATATTTCAAAAGTGGCCTTGTGTTTTTTACTTTATAGCCTTTGGGGAAAAGTTTGGAAGAATGATCTCCATTGCTGCTAGAGTTCATTGGGACATGTCAGCCTAAGTGGCTGTAAAGATACTCTCCCACTAATTAACACATATCTCAAATCAGGATGTGCATCTTTCTATTCTCCTTCCTCAGGATAAATCCCTACTAATCTGTCAGAGTTTGTGCTTATCCTTTTTCTTCTTTGTTAGAAAAAAAGATGATTTCTTATTCTGATGGTGGGAGTGAGGATTGGAGGCAAATAGGCATAAGTAAGCTCTTTGGAGTTATGGAAATATTGTAACACTAGATTGTAGTGATTGTTGTATAACTGTACATTTACTAAAATCATTTGAATGTACACATAAAGCTGGAAATTATGTAGCATGAAAATTATACCTCAATAAGTATGTTAAAAAATTAAATCCCAGTAATTTGGGGGTCATTGGAACCTACATTGAAAAAAGTAGTTATTCTTTGCATCTACTAATTAGGATTCCTAGTTGTCTGCTCAAATATTTTAGAATCTTCAAGATGGGAATGTAGCTTTGCTCTCCATAGTGTCCTTATGGAATGGACACACTCAAAGTGTAAACCAAGCAGGACTGGATTAAGGCTTTGGAAGTCCATGTACTTCTGGAAAACTATGGTGCTGTACTATATCTAATTAAAAAATTCTAAACTTTAAACATAAAGTTATCCTATACACAATAAATTTGATGTTTTTAAAATATGGAGTATTAACCTTTTTCGTTTGTGGTGTATCTGATTTGTTGGTGTCCTAAGCACATGCTTGATGTACCCATTGGATTATCCAGTACTTCTTTCAAGTACTTCTGAGTAGCATTGACTTCCAGCTTATCTGTCAGCCAACCAAATATTGTAGCAGTTTTCAGGAAGAAGACGTCATGAACTCAATTTGCTAACATTTCATTTAGGAATTTTCTTTCAATATTTAGATTGATAAGGGCTTATAAATATCCTTTTCGTGCTTGCTTCGGCAGCACATATACTAAATATCCTTTTCTTCCTTGTCTACCTTTAGGATCAGGCTTACAAAAGCCTCAACATATAAGTTGGAAAATGTTCACTGTATTTCTGTTGTCAGTAGAGTTTGCCTGTAATATCTGATCCTGATGTATTCTGTGAGGGAAGATGTTTAACTATAGATTCAATTCTTTGAATGTTTTAAATATACTCAGGATTTTTTAAGAGTTATTTTTGGTCAATTTTCCCAGGAATCTATCTATTTTGTCTACATTTTAAGATATATCAGCACAAATACATTTGTCATATTGCCTTATCTTTAACATAGTTGCTAATTATAGCTATATGCCTCATTTTTTGCACTTCTTAATATTGTTTCTTTGGACATTCTCTATTTTTCCTTTAAAAATGCCAGAAATTTTATTAACAAATAGAAGGACCAACTTGGCTTTTATTGTGTCTCCCTTTCTTTATCTTTGTTTTTGTGGTCTTTGATTTTTACTTATGTTTCTCCTTCCTTCTACTATCTTTGGATTTCTCTTATGTTATTTATCTAATTTAATTTTTTTTTGAGATGGAGTCTCGCTCTATTGCCCAGGCTGGAGTGCAGTGGTGCAATCTCGGCTCACTGTAAGCTCCGTCTCCTGGGTTCATGCCATTCTGCCTCAGCCTCCCAAGTAGCTGGGAGTACAGGCACACACCACCACAGCTGGCTAATTTTTCTATTTTTTTTTTTTTTTAGTAGAGACAGGGTTTCACTATGTTGGTCAGGCTGGTCTCGAACTCCTGACCTCGTGATCTGCCTGCCTTGGCCTCCCAAAAATTTTTGTTACTTATATTATTAACTTTTCTAATAAAAGCATTCCTTTAATACCATTTTAAGTTTATGCCCCAAACTTTGATGTGGATATAGGTATTGCTGCTTCTTTCTGAATATTTAAAATTTTCCTATATGATTTGTTCTTTGAGTTATTAGGAGTATGATTTTTAAAGCACACACTTGTGTTTGTACTGTCTTTTAAGTTTATAATTGGGTTATTGGTTATTTAACCTAACTACACCTTGGGTAAGTGCTATAGAGTGGATGTTTTTTTCTATGAAGTAGATTCACTGTGTACTAGTTACCACCTTGTCTGAATCCAGTGAGACAAAACATCCAGGCACATAACTTACATGGAATGAGTTGATTACTTACAGATAGGCAGCAAGGGACAGCAGAAGCCCAGGATTCAGAGCAAGCCAGTTCCTCAAGGATCAAGAAGGCTTGCACAGGGCATATAGAGTCTTTTCTGCACATCGTTCATTTGCATTGCAGTTGAGCAACCCTGGCTGTTGTGCCTAGCTCCCCTTCATTTCAAGATGTTGCTTTCCCAGTGTATTCCACAGTTATTTTTGATAACTGTAAGCAAGACAGACGGGAGAACTGGGTCAGTGCAATGCCCTCTGAAGATCTGTCTTTCCAATGGAATGGCATTAGGAAGTGGAACATTTGGGTGGTATGGTAATGAGGTTATGAGGGTACAGACCTCATGAATAGGATTAGTGTGATTATAAGCATCCTTCCCTGATTTTGGCATGTGAGAACACAGCAAAAAGATGGCAATCTATAAACCAGGAAGTGAGCCTTCACCAGACGCTGAATCTGCTAGTGCCTTCATCTTGAATATCCCAGGCTCCAAAACTATGAGAAATAAGTTTCTGTACTTTATAAGACACGCAATCTATGGTATTCACTTATAGCAGTCAGAATTAAGTAGGAAAGAAATAGAACATAGTTTGTCTGATACACATTTTTTGAAATTGGTTTAGACTTGCTTTATGGTATAGTAAATGTTTTTATGTTTATGATATAATAAATGTTTTTATGATCATGTTTTACAAATATCACACATGTACTTGAAGAGAAAATGTATTTTCTAATTATTGGATGAATGGTTCTATATATATTCATTTATATCAAGCTTTTAAATTGTGTAGTTTAAATTTGTATTTGTAAATTTACTGCCTAATTGACCTATAAAATTTGAGATTCATTTAAAAATTTTTCACAATAATGGTAGGCTTGTTCATTTTTACCCATAAAGCTAAATGTTTGTGTGTTTCTATATTTTGAGTCCTCTTAATTAGATGCATACAAGTTTAAAATTTATAACTTTTGATAAGTTGAATTCTTTATCATCACGTAATGGTCTTTATATTTTTTGCCTTAAATTTCTTTTGTTTCAAAAGTAATATAACTACCACAGCAATATTTTGTTAGTATTTATCTAGTATACCTTTTTCTATTATTTTGCTTTCCAACGTTTCATTTTTATTTCCTTACGTTTTGATGAGTTTTCTCTCTCTCTCTCTCTCTCTCTCTCAACACCCTCCCTTGCACCTCATTATGAAAATCTTTGTTTTCTACCTTCTGTGTCACAAGTTTAGATCATTAATATTGAATGTGATTTCTGTCATTTTGGTGCTTCCTAAAATATTTTAATTTGTATTTTCTATGTATTTCATTTCATTTTATTTTATTTCTATTTATTTCATTTTATCTATGCTTCATTTTTTTCTTTTCATATTAATGACTAAATGTTTGCAATCCATTGATTTAGTCATTTTGTTTATTTTCTTGATTTTTTTTTTCAATTTACTAAGTTGGTTGTATTCTTTCAGTGACTGCTCTTGAAATTTAATCACATATCCTTTGAAAGTTCTACAGTTAATCAATATTTAAGTCCCCTCTCCAGAATAATGCATGATTTTAGAGGTGTAATTGTGATAACTCCCTCTCTTCACCAGACAATCATTCTATAGTACTTTGTTTCTGTCATTTTTTAAGTAAACAATTTAAGGACTAATATTACTTTCCAAGATGAGTTTGTTTAGATTTATCCCATGTCTACTAATTTCTTTGCTTACCAATACTTCTTGCATTGCACACTTTATGTCAGAGGTCTTCTTTCTTCTAAGGTTCCTATAGTAAAAATCTGTTGGTGGCAAACTCATTCAGTCATGATTTTTGTTGTTTTGTTCTCTTGTTTTAATCTGAAAGTGACTACTTCATCCCCATTCTTGAAAATATTTTTACTAGATATAAATTTCTAAATAGTTTTATCTTTTGTTTCTTTTATTATATTATTGTGCTATTTTCCAACTGTTGTCATTGCTGTTGAACAGTGGCTGTCCTTTCAATAATTTGTGTTTTCTTTTGAGCTATTCTTAGGAGTATATTCTTCGTTTAATGTTTTCAAGTTTTATTTCAAAGTATTTAACTATGAATTTTTTCTTATTTATTCTTCTTAGTATCATAGCATTGTTTTTATTTATGGATTCCAGTCTTTTTGTCAGCTCTAGACAATTGTCAGCCTATGTCTGTTTAAACATGGCCTAACCTCTTTTAGGACTGTCATTAGGCATATTTTATATTTCTTTCTATTCTCAACGTTTGTTAAGTTGTCATATTTGTCATCTTCTTGCCTATCTCTGTAAAATGGGTAGATCTTTTCTCCAGTTCACTGTTACTTTATTCACTGTTTGTCTATTCTTCTCTACATATTGAGTTTTAATTTCAAATAAATTTTTCATGTCTAAAACGTTAGGATTTTATAATTAGTATATGCCTGGTCTCTTAATTTTATTAAATATGTTATAAATACTTTGGCATAGATAGACTATCTCTGATTATTTCAGTGTCTGAGTCCCTTAGGGATCTGAATATGGTTTTTGTGTGTGTTGTGTTTGTTTTTGCCAACCATTTTTTTTTTTTTGCAGTGACCTGTTTACTTGTGAATTCAAAAATATTTGATAGTGGGTTCACATTTGGCTGGGTTTATACTGTGGGAATTCTGAGTGTATAGACTGAGGGAGCAGTCCTTCATGGAGGATTTGCATTTGCTTTTGCTGGGAGTCAGGAGATGTGACAGACTTGTTACTACTGTAGCCCTATCAATGCTCTTAGCTTACCTCCAGATTCTCAGTTTACCTCCTCTAATTGTGTCTGGTTCAAGGTCTAAGGTTACTTTTTTCTCTCTTCTTAAAAGTACTTGATTATTTTAGATCAGTTTTAGGTTCACAGCAAAATTAAGAGGAAGGTAGAGAGATTTCCCATATATCTCTGGCCCCACACATGCCTAGCCTCCCCCAGGATCAACATCCCTAACCAGAGTGACAAATTTTTTAAACTTGATGAGCCTATATTGGCATGATATTCACCCGAAGTTCAAAGCTTACATTAGGGTTCACTTTTGATGTTATAAATTCTGTGAATTAAAAAAACATATAGTAACATATGTCCATCATTATAGTATCATACAGAATATCTTCATTGCCCTAAAAATTCTTCTGTGCTCCTTCTATTTATCCCTCCTCAAACCCTGGCAACCACTGATGTTCTTCCTGTCTCCATAGCTTTGTCTTTTCTAGAATGTCATACAGCTAGAATCATACAGTATATAGCCTTTCCAGATTTTCTGTCAGTTAGTCATATTCGTTTAGAGTTTCCGCATGTCTTTTCATAACTTGATCATTTATTTCCTCTTAGTGCCAAATGATATTCCATTTTCTGATATACCACAGTTTATCCATTTATCTACTGAAGGACATGTTGGTTGCTTCCAAGCTTTGATGAGTAAGAATAAAGCTGCTATAAATACCCATGTGAAGGTTTTTGTGTACACATATGTTTATTTTTTGTTTTGTTTGTTTATAATTGACACATAATTATTATATATTTTTATGCGGTATGGTGTGATGTTTCAATATGTGTTGTACGTTATATTATGATCAAATCAAGGTAGTGTATTAATCATCTTGAACCTATATCATGTCTTTGTGATTATAACTTTTAATATCCTATTTTCCAGCTATCTTGAAATACATTGATATTAGCTGTAATCACCCCACTATGTAATAGAACACAAGAATGTGTATTCTGCAGCCATTGGATGGAATGTTCTGTAAATGTCTGTCAGGTCCATTTGGTCTATGGTGCAATTTAAGTCTGATGTTTCTTTGTCAATTTTCTGTTTGGATGCTCTGTCCATTGATGAAAGTGGGGTAAAAATATGTTTAGTTCTATAAGAAGACCTTGTATTTTGTTACTCAATATTGATACCAATATTTTCTTGTTGGACAATCTTGGTTTTGAGTTAGCTTTTCTGATCCAATTTGAGCTCACAATTTTTAATCATTCTTTTTCAGCTTTTTTAAGCACTAGCTATTTCTGTTTCTACTAGATGAAAAATGATTTAAGTATGCATTTTACTCCAGGAGTTAAGCCTTTCAGAGTGTCTACTTTGCTATCATGTTATAAGATGCAGTAATGCTACACTTTTAGAAGTGAAAATCACTCCAATATTTAGATTCTGGTGTGTGTATGTGTGTATTTTTCATATACACATATACACACTTGTGTATATATACATATACACTTGTGTATATATACACGCATATATATGTAGGTGTGTATATATGTATATATTTCTTAAGAGTTAAAAATATATATGGCATATGTATGTGTGTTTTTGTATCTATAAAATATATGTATATATGTATATTTCTTAAAAGTTACAAAATCTAGCCAAATTAATTATACAAGGGAGGGTAAATCAGCTTTAGGATGCAGAATGACATATACCTAACATTATGTATCCCATGAGTGTTGCCTATATATTTATAATATAATGAGTGCTGTTTGCACATAATCTAACTAATAACAACCCATCCTCCCCTTTTGATGTCTAGGATTTTGTATACCTATAAACCCTCTTCAATTGCATGTAATTAACACAATATTTTTCTTTTGAATGCTTGAATGTTCACTTATGATTTCCATGTGGCTTTATTAAAATGCAAATATTCTTTGTGGCTTGATCAGGGAGGTTGTGTTGTATAATTTGTTACTTTAATGAGCATGATAGAATAAACAATGGTTTTTAATAAAGGATGGCCAAACTCAGAATCTTGGACATTTTCTATTGAATAATTTCTAGTGTATGGCACGTCCTGAAAAGATATACTATGAACAGTTAAATTTATTTTTCAAAAGTCAATAACATGATTGAACATACTTTTTGGAGTTCTACTTTGTGTTTTTTAGGAAGTTGAAGTATTTCCAAGGACATAGCTCCTGTAATGCATAAAATGAGCCCCTGTTTTTGGGTAAATTACCAGGAGGTTGATAAAGATATGAATATATTACTTAACTCTATGCTATTAATTTATTTGCTGTCATGAGCACTTATTATCCTAGGAAAATAAAGGTAAGACTTAATGAAATTTGTGAGCTGGACCATACATTCAATTTCTTTTAAACTGGGCTACTTATGCCTAACCCACCTTAACCACTCTGACTACCATTGAGTCTGGAATTCAGATAACCCAACCATACTGCGGTTGCATTAGAAAATCCTGAGGACAAGTCATACATCCATCACCAAAAATGGAGTTCTTTGGAACTGTAGTGGTACAGTGGCAGCAACTACAGAAGTAATAGATGATCACCTCGGGGGAATACCAACAAAATGGAAAAGCTAGGAAGGTTGAGATAAACTTTGCTCTCTTGTGGTGCTGTTCTTATCACTTCAGTGGCCTCTTGTTATGTTTCAAATAAAATTTTAATATATAAAATATCCTATTGCTATCAGTTTTATCATTCAGTGTTTGGATCTTTATGTCTTTCAGAACATCAGTAAAGAAGAAAATGAACTATGATCACAGAAAAAAAGTGCACTGTTACTAATACATATTATTGTTTTAATCCTGTATTGGGCATTATTAAAATGATGGGCAACTAGGAACATCTTAGAGCCTAAATGGGTCAAACTTGTGAAATATGATGATTATTTCTGATTCCTTACTAGAATCATCTGAACACTTTAATGAGTTTTGGTGTAAAATAGAGTTTAAATGAATATACCATGTGGTTATGGTTATTGTTTTCCCAACAGAAGTACATATGGAGCAGCCACTGGGAATTTTCTTTGTGTTTAACTAAACACTTTATATTTAAGGGTCTTGCAATGGGTTAATCAATTTATTTTTATATTAACTCAACATAATGCTCTTAGTTATTGTAGTAATGTGTAAATAAAAAGGCTTTTTCTGAATAGGGTTTGTCTTAAATAAAAATAAACATAACAAATACAGAGTCAGGAATTAGTTTCCAGAAGGTTGCTGTCTGAATACTTAGTTATGAAGTCTAAAGTGGCACTGAGATCTCAGAAAGGGTGTTGTTTCGAAGCTAGTTTCTTAATAGACAAGGTGGGCTGGAACAGAGGCTCTCACTTGTTTATCCACTGGGATGCTATTGACTGATTGATTGCGTTCACGTGAATGCAGAGCTGAACAGAGTAATGTAAGCACCTGCAGAAGACCAATGATTTGTGATGCTTCAAAAGAACATTCTTAAATCTGTGTTCAACATTGATTTAGAGGAAAGACTGTGATATGTGGGGAAATCATAGGAAAAAAGGACTTTTGGTGGCATGGCCTCAGCTCATCCACTCATTTAACAGGAACTCTGCTATTAATAACGTCTACTCTCCTTAGAAAAGAGCTAATGATCCTCCCTTGCTATTTCATCATGTTGCTTACTGGTCTCACCTTTCTCCCTCAGTGACTATCAAAATATTTCTTATAATCACATGTTCCGGCATATAACATTTTCTCTATCCATAATGTTTCCAGTGGGGTTTTGAAACCCCTGTAATATTAGTGGATTATAATATTATTTCGAGATCCCTTGGAGATGTCAGGTTGGTAAGGTGATCAGTCAGGATCCATATCAAGGTCAAATTTTCATATGCCTATGTGTTTGATTGTTGCCATCTCACCATCCTTACTGCTCCCTAGTCTAAGTTCTTCTAAGTCAGAATTCCTCTCCCTGTATAGTTCTCAGTTAAATTGTGTACATGAGAGACTCCTAGAAGGTAGCAAAAGAGATGAACCATTATTTTCTTTTTTTTTTTTCCTTCAACTTTTATTTTAGTTCTGAGGTACATGTGCGGGATGTGCAGGTTTGTTACATAGGTAAACGTGTGCCATGGTGGTTTGCCGCTCAGATCAAACCATCATCTAGGTATTAAGTCCAGCGTCCATTAGCAATTCTTCCTGATTAGCAGCTCTTCCTCTCCCCATCCTCCTGACAGGCCCCAGTGTGTATTGTTCCCCTCGACGTGTTCATGTGTTCTTATCATTCAGTTCCCACTTATAAGTGAGAACGTGCATTTTTTGGTTTTCTGTTCCTGTGTTAGTTTGCTGAGGATAATGGCTTCCAGCTCCTTCCGTGTCCCTGCAAAGGACATGATCTCAGAACCACTATTTTCAAGAGGATGGGGTAGGTAGCAGTGTGGGTGGGCTAATTTTTCTGGACTAACTTCATTTTGACTTAAATGTAATTGAAAACAAGGACCCGAAGCCTAGCTGGCATGAGAAAAGGCTCATGATATTGGCTACACGGCTTTTAATTCTAAAAGCCTGTAAAGTGAAACAGTCATATAAGGAAAAACATAAGCTAGGAAGAAAGCAAAGTGATAAAACACTATAAAGATCTACATAATAGAATATTAAAATTGGGAGAAACGTACACTTTAATGACCTTTTTCTTTTCCTCATCTGTAAAATTAAATTTGGGAGTTGGTAATACTGACAATGACCTCAACTGAGTCTACGCTGGTCATTAACTGTGGATATTTCACAACGGAGATTTGGTATATTAAAGCAAATTGAAATTATACTAATCAGTTAACTCTGTTATACATCACCTCTCTACAAAGTGTTAAACTGCAATGGCAATCTATAAATTTAAAGAAAAGCTATTTACTGAAGAGTAGGTTTTAATTAAAATAAATAAAACAAATATGAATAGTCATGATCTGTGATTTCTAGTTTTTCATTTGCTTTGAGGTTTTTGTAGCTTCCAGAAGGAAAATCTAGCCAATCTCCTTCTCTTTGTACAAGTATAAGAACACTTTCCATCAATTTCTCTTTGCTAAAATCCTTTTAGAAAAGTAAGACGAATGTCGGTTTGTGAGGCTCTGCCCACTTGAGGGCCTGGTTAACTATCCATCAGTGTCTGACTACCAGAACAAAGCCTTCTCAGGACAAATGAAAATTCCCTCCTTCCTAAACTTTACTAACAAGTTTTTTTGTTTTGTTTTTGTTTTTTTTTTAAAGAGAATGTTGGTTTCAGTGAAATCTCTAGGCATGCCAAATCTAGAACTGTGTGTATCTTTGGGGGATCATATATCTGAAAAATCTGCATAAATTTTTAAGGATAAAACAGGAGAAAATTTTTTCTCCAAAGACTTAGTTTGCCTGCTCATGTAATTATGTTTGTGCAACAGGTTGAAATTGACTCCTGTCACCTTACAATGTATTCAGTACTCCACTCTGGTTGTCACAGTTCCTCCCCATCACACCCTGTAATTTTGGAGAAATGACTCAAATTAATCTGATGTCACAAAGAAGAAGAAAATTGCTTATTGCCTAAGTTTCCAGTTTTCAGATGATTCCTTTGATTTCATTTATTGATAGTCATGGTGCATCATCCACTCAGTTTTCCAGCTTCTCTTGAGGAGTTCCTTTGAAGAGCTATGGTCAGACAGCAAACTGAGGGGAGTGATAGAGGATCTTTATTTGAATTGTTTTGAAATCAGTTACAATCGCTACTTCCATCCACAATTTCTATATCCAGAAAGAAAAGTCAGTCTTGCTGCATTTCGTTCATTAAGAATTCAGAGACTCAGAAGAAAGATTGGTTTTAACAATTGCATTCCCTCACTTAGCTTATACTTGAGTTGACTGTTGACCCCAGAATATGCTCTCTTGTCAATAATCTCAGGTCCTCCCTCTGCCTGCTGAAACCAAGTGGTGCTAAAGACCCTGACCTCTAAGCTTTCTCCTGCTTTATGCATTATTATGTCTTTTAATTCTGTTCTTTCCTTATTTGCCTTTAGTTACCTGTGTCCCTGATATTATGTCCTATAAGACCTGGAAGATGTGCAGGGACAGCTCATTACTAGACTTTCATCACCAAAAATTCTTACTAATAACTATTGTGAACACAACAGGAATGTTCTTATTGCTTGTCTTCCATTCCAAGTACTGTCAGTCCTTGAGTGTGCTTTTAGAAGCTTAGTTTTTCTTTGATACTCCTCTCTCCTCATTTCTTCTTTGTCCTCTGCCCTCTCTGTAGGGTCAATGCTTTATTAATATCTGTTTGGTATCCACATGATCTGAGTGTGGAAAATAACCCTTCCTATCTATATTTTAGGATGTCTATGGTGATATCCTGTAGAATTCTATATAGGAATACTTTGGGTCTTTTAGAATACTCAAAGTGGGGAAGCTACACATTTGGCAGATATTTAAAACTAGATTATTCTCTTCTGGGCTGATTTTGTGAGATTTCCAGAGATTATTATACTTGCCTTCATTTCTGGGGATCTTTCAAATGTATTTCCCTTGATGTGGATAAATGTATCGCTTCTGTCTGATGATGTGTTATTTCTCCTTCAAAACCAAGATGTTCCTTTGGCTGAGGACTCCGCTCCTCTCCAGGCATCCTTCTTGGACAGAATTTAAGTCAACCTTTCTACAGTACTCTCTTGACTATACCCTGAAAATTCTGGGAATAGACATTGTCCACAAATTTGTAACTTGTTTTTCTCTTCCAGCAGAGTAGCTAGGCAGCCGTTGCCACTCTCCCTTTAGGCTTCCCAGCATGTGATCAGTCTGCTGTGTCTTCCAAGTTCTATAGAAAACAGATAAAGCTCTCCAAGGCATCCCATTGAATCCTCCTTCCATGGTTTTGGAAATAACTTAAATCCCTCTTAGCCTCCTTCCATGGCATATGGGTAGAGAACTCAGAGAACCTTGACCGCTCTCCCCAATAATTATTTTTTAAGTCCATCTCCTCTGGCCTCTCCAGCCTCTTTAATAGATGGATATGAATTTTCAGTTGAGGGTTTTAAAACTACTTTGTTATTGCTTCTTTTGCTTGCAGGTCTTGATTTTAGAATGTGGTAGTAGTTGCCATCTATGACCTTATTAAGATTTCAGTTAAAACTGATTCTAAGTCCATCCTGTAGGACCTAAAAAAATAAAACATGAGCTATTTAGACAAGGACACACTATAGTTGGTCCTCTTAGTCAAATCTAGTGAAAATTTTAATCCATTTCTTCATGACAGGAATTGGAAACAAATGTATGTATTTATTTTTTATTATTTTTAGTATTTATATTTTTATAACTTTATTTTATTATTTTAATTTTTTTCTTGTATAGCAATGCCTAAAAGTATTGTAAACCACAACCATTCTCATTTAATCTTTTTTTTTCCTTCTTTAAGAAAGCCCTAAATAAAGTATCTGGATTGGATTAAAATAAAGTCACTAGAATGTAAGCTCCTCAGAAGCAGGAATTGCAGTGGACATCTCTTGTGTCCCACTTCCTGACTTTTTGGTCACTGTTTTCACCCCAGTCACTGCTATGCTATACTTTTACGCAGGTATAATCTGACAGCACTTTGCATTACCTCTACCACAAATTCCTTGCTTTTGGCATCTTACTCTGTCACTTCTGAGATGCCTATAAGATTATGCTCAACCTTTCTGATACATGCAGAGGAGAGCCTTTCTGATACATAGAGCTAATGTTCTATGGTATAACCCTTTGCCATTGAGAACAAAAATTTCTCTTTTTTGTTTCAGGTGGACAATACTGACTTTTGTGTACATGGCTTCTCAGAAGATCCCCAATGGAATTGTGTTCTAGTTGTTTACTGAGCTGTAATCAATCAGCTCAGTGATGCAACCTGAAATTAACTTTCCCTCCTTCCCTGTGTTGCCCTTCTAGTATTCTACTCCAGTTACTTGTGTTCACTTCTCAAAATTAAAATCCATGAATCTAAACTCTTTTCTCAGGCTCCTTTTAGGGGGAACCTAGGCTAAGACTGTAACTATTATTTCTTTTTTCCCTGAAGAATTCCAAGCACTTAGAATGGTGCCTAGAATATAGTGAACACTCTTAAAAAATTGTTGAATTTATCACTGAACTGCAACAGTATGGTGTCCAGAGGATGGACAAGATAAGCATTCTTTCTTGGAGAATGCAGCCTAGAGAAATTCTCCTCCTCTGTGGGTTGTGCTACATCTTAAATAGATTATGAATAGTAGGTGCAGTCCACATCTCTCTGATGTACTGTCAGAAACATGCCCTGCAAAAAAGGACTTGCCTCTTCACACTAGCATCAGGCTCTCCAGGAAAATGATGTTTTACTAGGAGAATTATAGCAGGCCAGCATGATAGATTGTTCTTTGCTCATAAATAATGCAAAGGTGATACCAGGCAAAGATAAAAGCCAGTGATTTATTCCCCATAACCTTTATGTAAACCTAATAAATTCTGCGCAGTGGTGTCTGTGAATGTGACAGTGGCTGTGGCACTGGATCGTGTTGACAATGGCAAGCATTTCATGCATTGAGAACAAGAGCTGAAGAGAACACTCCTTCTCATTTCTCTTGGGCTCTCTCACCAAGAAAAGACACTAATATTTTCAGAATGAAGAAGACTCAAGAATTAACAAAAATAACATTTATGTAGAGAGAAGTCAGTACTACAAAATCACATTATGTAAGCTCTCATCATGAATGAATTGATTTGCATAAGGTTTTTATTATTTCTAGTGGGTAAAGTTATAAAAATTACATGTATAGATACATATATAGTGACTTTGTTTCTCAGTTGCAAAGTTATAGAACTTGCACATGCATCCACATACACATGCATACACACATCTATATAGTTGTACAGTAACCCAGCAACATGGGAGACTCCTGCTCAATTGAACCAAAATATAAAAGGGTTAGTTCTGAAATTTCTAAGAGTGAGACTTTAGAATCTTTAGTATTTTTTTATTGTCTTTATTGGTTAAAAAAAAACCCACATTGATGAGGAATTTTAGATGAGAACTAGTATTGTACTAAATCATTCTTCACTCTGGTACAGATTCACATGGGAAGTCACAGTGCATAGTGAAAACGAGGCTCAGAGAAATATGTGTTTTTTATGTTAGGAGGGGGTGAACCTTAAAAATAATGAATTATTTAATAATTCAATGAGAAAAATACTGATGAGAATTAGTATATCAATACTAATTCTAAAATGAGGAGAGTCAGGGGAAATAATAACAACTACACACTTGCCCCAGCATCGGTTCAATATAGTGGAATTTATTGCATTCTAAAAGTACCGAGGTATCATAACATATAAAGCAATATATTCCAGTGACATTTATAAGACTTATTCTACTAGAGTTATTCAACCTTTCACCTCAATTGTGCTATGCAACTTCCCTCTATGAAAATTTCTTTTTTCTTTTTCTGAGGTTCCAAAATCCTTGAAGAACTCAAAGGAGATGACAGAGATGCAGCATAAGCTTAATTAGCTAAATTGACTTAGATAATATTGTTAATTATTTCTATAGTCATTTGGCAAAGGTTAACTTTTAAACTTAAATAAGAGATGCTGTCATTTGCTTCTAAATAAAAGTGCTGACTTTAGTAAAGAAAACAACAGCAAAACACTGCAGTTTCATCTATGGCATTGACCTTCATAGAGAGATTGTTCGCACAGTAAGCACTGAATGCTTTGTTTCTCCTTTTGACTGGTACTTGGAATCAGGTTTTTGCTTTAGGCACTTCCCTATAACAAACACGATTTTTTTGAATTAATTAAAAAAACACAACTGCAACATGAAGAATAGGAAGCATCAATATTAGAAATTCAATTTCTAGCAATGTGCCTGTGCAATTATGAAGCAGCTACACACTTTAGCTACCCTTGATATAAAACATAAGTTATAAAAAAGGCAATGCAGCTTCCAAGTTCCCCCAAAAAATGAGAACATTGCAACATGCTTGAACTTTGACCCTCCTATAGGTTGGCTTTTTGGAACTGTCTGCCACAACAGCTTAGATCTTGCTCTTCATAAACATAAAGTAACTTACATATAAAGGGAATTCCCAAAAAGCAAGTAGCATTAAAGAGAAGTTTTCTTTTCTGGGGAGTGAAATATATAATGAATAAGTATAAGTAAATACAGACCTTCCTGTGCCATACTCCTGCAGCCAGTCATTAAAAGTACTATCCACTGTTATTAAGATGCCCAGATTCAAATTAATAAATTATTATATCACACACTGTATTTATTTTGTGCCAGCTGCCCTCTTAACCATGTGGTAGGGACATAGAGAATAGTTAGCTATTCTGGATTCAAAGAGAGCCAAAAACTCTAGTTAGCAAGATGAAATAAATCTAAATCATATAACAAATTAATATGTTAATGTTACCTTTCATCTGAATTAGTAAAATGTCATTTTCTCTAGTCTACTTTTTAATTATCAAACTTCAGTGATACTATGCTTATGCTTTTAAAAAGTGACTTTCCTTCTCATATATTTTTTACAACTCCACACTGTTGATAGGTAAAGACAAACTCAGTGGTATGTGTTAAGTAATTACAGGGCATGGGTCAAAGCCTTGTGTTGGAAGACAGTTCTCCATGGGTCTCATTTTCCTACTCATTTTTGAGAAGACTGTCTTTGTTCCAGACTACTTTTCCAAGAATATTTGCATAGTGAGCTTTGGAAGATGTAGATTGTGTTTTCCTTCAGAACCAATGGCAGGTTTATTTACTGTATAATAAAATAAAGAAAATGAATTACTTCAGGTCAAAAGTCAAGTATATTTACTGTGTGGTATAAAAGATTCAGTTGGCACAAGCTTAGGGTACCTTCTTTGTGATGCAATCCACTTTGAGAGTAGGTGTTACCAGGCCCACTTTGCATTTTCCTGTTGGAATTTGGGCCTGGAAAGCCAGCAAAGCTGCTGCTCTTTTTGTTACTGTTACTGCTGTGAATAACAAAGTACTATGCTCTTCTGCCAGCATCCATGAGACTGTCAGACCAGCTCATTAGCTCAGACCCCTTACAACTCCTTACTTTTGCCACCTCCCTTGCCTTTTTTTAAAAGCTCTATTTGATTATCTACCAATCTGAGCAGTGAAAGGACAAAAATTTCTGGGTGAATTATTGGGAGAAAGAGAATCAGCATAGTAGAAAAATTACCTTTTTCAAGTGGAAGTCTGTAATATGGAGTAAAGGGATTAATGAACCAATGGAGTGCAGAGGAGGGACATTATTTAAAAGTAGAAAACTTAAATTTGGCCATTTGGAATTTTTCACAACTTGGTCCATCTTTCTGGATATGGATAAAGTTTCATTCTCATTTATTTATTCTAGTTATGTTCATTACACACACACACACACACACACACACACACATTCCATTCTCATTTTTTATATATGTGAATTCGCAATTATTTTTAAACTAATTTGTGTGTCAAAGTTCCATATTATTTAGTTTATTATCAAATGTAGCTGCTTTGTTATTATATAACTCTTCTTCTCTTCCTCACATTTACCTAACATCTTTCTCCAGTCCCCCTACCATCCCTAGTTCTAACAATTTTTTGTTGAGTCTTTAAGGTTTTCTGCAGATAGGATCATGTCATCAGCAAATGGAGATCATTTTACTACTTCCTTTCCAATTTACATGCCTTCTTTTTCTTATCTAATTGCTCTGGCTAGGCCTACCAGTCCTACTTTGAGTAGAAGTGGTGAGAAGGGGCATCCTTGTCTTGTTTCATATCTTACAGGAAAGGTTTTCAGTTTTTCACAGTTGAGTGTAATGTTAGCTGTGGGCTTCTCATATATGGCCTTTATTATGTTCAGAGAGATTTCCTCTATACATATTTTGTTGAGAATTTTACCATGAATGAATGTTGAATTTTGTCAAGTGTTATTTCTGTATCGATTGAGACAACTGTGGTTTTTATCTTTTATCCTGTTTACATGGTGTTTACCCTTATTGATTTGTATACATTGAACCATCCTTACATTCTAGTGATAAATCCTACCTGACCATAGTGTATAATCCACTTAATGTGATGTTAAATTTGGTTGAATAGTATTTTGAGGATTTTTGCACCTAATTTCATCAGGCATATTGGCCTATAGTTTTCTTTTATTGTGGTGTCTTTGTCTAGCTTTGATATCAGGGTGATCCTGGTTCATAAAATGAGTTCGGACCTACTCTGTTTCTATTTTGGAAGATTTAAGAAGAATTGGTGTTAATTATTCTTTCAAATATTTGGTAGAATTCACCCAGGAAGACATTTTATCTTGGACTTTCTTATTGGGAAGTTTTTGATTGCTACTTAATCTCTTTATTTTTTATTACTCTGTTCAAGCTTTCTATTTCTTCTTGATTCAGTTTTGGTAGATTATATATCTTTAGAAATTTATTTCTTAGATTATCTAATTTATTGTTATCTGATTATTTATAATAGTCCCTTATGAATTATTTGTCAGGTAACCATTGTAACATCTTCTCTTTCATTTATAATTTTATTTATTTGGGTCTTTTTTTCTTTTCTTTTTTTTTAGTTAGACTAGCTAAGGATTTGCGAATTTTGTTTATTTTTTCAAAATTCAATTCTTAGATTTTTTTTTTTCTATTCTCTCTTCATTTGATTTATTTCTAATGTTCTTTTTTTCTTCAGTTAACATAGGGCTTAATTTGGCCTTCTTCTTTTTCTAATTTCTTGAAATGTAAAGTTAGGTTGTTAATTTGAAACCTTTCTTCTTTAATGTAGTAATCTACTGCTATAAATTTTCCTCTTAGTATTGATTTTGCTGTCTCCCATACATTTTGGTATGTTGTGTTTTCATTTTCATTTATCCCAAGTTATTTTTAAAGTTCCCTTTGATTATCTATTTGATGCAATGGTTGTTCATGAGTGTTGTTAGTTTCCACAACTTTGAGAATTTTTCCATTTTCTTACTGTTATTGATTGGTAGTTTCATTGTATTTTGGTCAGAAAGGATACTTGGAATGATTTTGGTCTTCTTAAATTTGTTAATACTTGTTTTGTGACCTAACACGTGATCTATCCTGGAAAATAATCTATGTGCTCTTAAGAAGAATGTGTATTCCTCTGCTGTTGGGTGGAGAATGTTGTATGAATGTATGTTCATTTGGTCTGTAGTATTATTTCTGCCATTTACTTATTAATTTTCTGTCTGGGTGATGTATTCATTATAGAGATTAGGGTATTGAATTCTTCTACTCTTATTGTATTGCTATCTATTTATCTCTTCAGATTTGTCAATGTTTGCTTTATAATTTAGATGCTTTGATATTGGGTACATGTATATTTATAATTGTTATATCTTCTTGTTAAATCAACTTTATATCATTATATAATTACTGTCTTTGTCTCTTGTGACAATTTTTGACATAGAGTCTACTTTGTCACATATAAGTACAGCAACTGCTGTTCTCTTTTGGTTACTATTAATATTTGTGTGGAATATGGGCAAATACTACATGACAAAAATGCTAAAAGCAATTGCAACAAAAGCAAAAATTGACAAATCATATCTAATTAAACTAAAGAGCTTCTGCACAGCAAAAGAAACTATCATCAGAGTGAACAGGCAACCTACAGAATGGGGGAATATTTTTTCAATTTGCCCATCTGACAAATGTCTAATATCCAGAATTTACAAGGAACTTAAACACATTTACAAGAAAAAAACAAACAACCCCATGAAAAAGTGGGCAAAAGATATGAACAGACACTTCTCAAAAGAAGACATTTATGCGGCCAACAAACGTATGAAAAAAAGGGCAACATCACTGATCATCAGAGAAATTCAAATCAAAACCACAATGAGACACCATCTCACACCAGTTAGAATGGCGATTATTAAAAGTCAGGAAACAATAGACGGTGGTGAGGCTGTAGAGAAATAGGAACGCTTTTACACTGTTGGTGAGAATGTAAATTAGTTCAACCATTGTGGAAGACAGTATGGCGATTCCTCAAGGATCTAGAACCAGAATACCATTTGACCCAGCAGTCCCATTACTGGGTATATACTTAAAGGAATATAAATCATTCTACTACAAAGACACATGCACATGTATGTTTATGGCAGCACTATTTTTAATAACAAAGACATGGAATCAACCCAAATGCCCATCAATGATAGCGTGGATAAAGAAAATGTAGTACATGTATACCATGGGATACTATGCAGCCATAAAAAGGAATGAGATCATGTCCTTTGCAGGGACATGGATAAAGCTAAAAGCCATCATCCTCAGCAAACTAACAGAGGAACAGAAAACCAAACACCACATGTTCTCACAAGTAGGAGCTGAACAATAGAACCACATGGACACAAAGAGGGGAACAACACATACCAGGGCCTGTTGGTGGGTGGGCAGTGAGGGGAGGGAACTTAAAGTATGGGTCAATAGGTGCAGCAAACCACAATGGCACACGTATACCTATGTAACAAACCTGCATGTTCTGCACATGTATCCTGTTATTTTTTTTAGAAGAAATAAAAATATTTGTGTTGAATATCTTTCTTCATCCTTTTACTGAATTTCAGCCTATGTGTGTTCTTAAATCTACAGTGAATCTCTTGTGGACAGCCTATGGTTTGATTTTGCTTTCGTATCTATTCAGCCACTCTGTCTTTTGACTGGGAGTTTATTTCAATTACATGAAAAGTAATTATTAATAAGAATGAACTTAATCTTTCCATTTTGTTAGTTGTTTGTTGTCTGTTTTATAGTTACTTTGTCCTTTTCCACTTCTGCTGTCTGTCTGTGGTTTGATAATTTTTTTATGGTGGTGTGCTTTAATTCTTTTGTCTTTTGTGTCTCTACTGTACAAATTTTCATTTTGGTTACCCTGGGTTCACATACTTTATAGTTATAAGCAGTCTGCTTTAATGCTGATAACAACTTAAATTCAATTGCATATACTCTATACTTTACTTCCCTCTCCCTCATACTTTATGTAGTTGCTGTCAGGTTTTATGTCTTTTAAATTGTTTTTCTATTAACAAATTTCTGGGGTTACAGTTACTTTTACTACTTTTATCTCAGACTTTATGTATCAGTGTTAAAAGTAGTTTACATGCCACTATTGCAGGATTATAATATTCTGTGTTTGTGTTTACCTTTAACAGTGAAACTTACACATTCATATGTTTTATGTTGTTGTTTAGCATGTTTCCATTTCAACTCGAAGAACTCCTTTTATCATATACTGTATGGCAGGTCCTCGTGGTAACAATTTTCCTCAGTTTTTGTTTGTCTGAAAAAGTCTTTATCTCTCCTTCATTCTTAAAGGACAATTTTGCTGGGTATTTTAGGTTGGTAGTTTTTTGTTTTGTTTTCAGTACTTTGGATATATTATCCACTCTCTACTGGCCTGTAACATTTCTGCTTAGAAATCTGCTCATAGTGTTTATTGCGGTGCTTCCTTGTATGTGACAAGTTGCTTTTCTCTTGCTGATTTCAAAATTTTCTCTTTGTCTTTGACTTTTTAATTTTATTTTATTTTATTTATTTATTTATTTTTAGATGGAGTCTCCCTCTGTAGCCCAGGCTTGAGTGCAGTGGTGTGATCTTGATCTTGGCTCACTGTAACCTCTGCCTCCCTGGTTCAAGCGATTCTTCTGCCTCAGCCTCCTAAATAGCTGGGACTACAGGTGCATGCCATCCTGCACAGCTATTTTTTGTATTTTTAGTAGAGACATATATTTAGTATATATTTTGTATATTTAGTAGAGATGGGGTTTTGTCATATTGGCCAGGCTGGTCTTGAATTCCTGACCTCAGGTGATCCACCTGCCTCAGCCTCCCAAAGTACTGGAATTACAGGCATGAGCCACTGTGCCCAGCCTGTCTTTGACTTTTGACTATAATCTATTTCAGTGTACCTCTTTAGGTTTAATATATTTGGGGACTTTGGGGCTGCATGAATAAAGACGTATATTTGCCTGTATAGATTTGGGACATTTTCAGTCATTGTTTTTAAACATAAGATCTCTATCACTTTCTGTTTCTCTCACCTTCTGGTATCCCTAGAATTCATATATTGGTTCACTTGATAGTTATCTCATAAGTCCTGTGTGGTTTCTTCAATCTTTGTTATTCTTTTTTTCCCTCTAACTGGCTAATTTTATTCCTCTATCTTCATGTTCACTGATTATTTCTTCTGCACAATTGAGTCTGCTGTTGAAGTTCTCTATTGATTTTTTCAGTTCCATTACTTTATTCTTCAGCTGGAAAGTTTGTTTGCTTACTTTTTATGGTGGCCATATTTATTAATCTTCTAGTTTTGTTCATGTATTTTTTTCCCTAGTTTTATTTAGTTTTCTATCTGTGTTTTCCTTTAGGTTATTGAGCTTCTTTAAGATGATTATTTTGAATTATTTGCCAAGTAGTTTTGAATTTCTGTTTCTCTTTCTTTCTTTCTTTCTTTTTTGAGACAGAGTCTCAATCTGTTGCCTAGGCTGGGGTGCAGTGGCATGATCTTGGCTCACTGCAACCTCTGCTGCCAGGTTCAAGTGATTCTCCTGCCTCAGCCCCCTGAGTAGCTAGGATTACAGGTGCCTGCCACCGCACCCGGCTAATTTTGTTGTATTTTTAGTAGAGATGGGGTTTCACCATCTTGGACAGGCTGGTCTTGAACTCCTGACCTCATGATCCACCCGCCTCCAGCTCCCAAAGTGCTGGGATTACAGGCATGAGCCACCACGCCTGGCCCTGAATTTCTATTTCTTTAGGATTGGTTACTGGAGCTTTATTAGTTTCATTTGGTGGGGTCATATTTGACTAATTCCTCATGATCCATGTAGCTTTGCATTGGTGTCTGTGCATTTGAAGAAGCAGATATCTATTCCAGTTTTTACAGATTGATTTGGCAAATAAAAACCTTTTTTCTACTGGGCCCCTGGAAAGATAAAACTACCTTTGGGATAGCAGTTGAGTGCGCTGGAGCTGGGTCATGGGGTTATTTCTGAGTCTCTAGTCAAGTTTGCACATGGATGGAGGGCTTATTACCAAAGACATGAATGGGTATGATGGCTCCTAATCAGTGAGCAAATTTCTGAACTGCCTCTGGACTGCAGAGGAAGACAGGAGCTATGTTGGGAGCAAGCCCCCCAAAATCTGGCCATAAACTGGCCCCAAAACTGGCCATAAACAAAATTTCTGCAGCACTGTGACATATTCATAATGGCCCTAACACCCAAGCTGGAAGGCTGTGGGTTTAGGGGAATGAGGACAAGGAATACCTGGCCCGCCCAGGGCGGAAAACCGGTTAAAGGCCGGTTAAAGGCGTTCTTAAGCCACAAACAATAGCATGAGCCATTTATGCCTTAAGGGCATGTTCCTGCTGCAGTTAACTAGCCCAACCTATTCCTTTAATTCGGCCCATCCTTTCCTTTCCCATAAGGGATACTTTTAGTTAATTTAATATCTATAGAAACAATGCTAATGACTGGTTTGCTGTTAATAAATATGTGGGTAAATCTTTGTTTGGGGCTTTCAGCTCTGAAGGCTGTGAGACCCTTGATTTCCCACTTCACACCTCTATATTTCTGTGTGTGTGTGTCTTTAATTCCTCTAGTGCTGCTGGGTTAGGGTCTCCCTGACCGAGCTGGTCTCGGCAGAGCTATGTCATCGGGCTGCTTTAGGGGCTGCAGTTCAGCCTGAGGTTAGTGGTCTGGTTACTGAGTGGTATGTCCTGTTAGCAACCTGGGCAGATCAGACTGCCCCCAGACCACGGCAGAGGGAGCTAGAACTGAGTCACAGGCCTATTTCAGTCTCCAAAGCCAAGACCAAATTTGGTCATCTTTTAACTGGGAGCATGAATGGCTGTATTTCCCACTGGGTCTCGAGGTGGGGAGGACTTCCCCCTACCTGTGGTAGCATGGAGCTGGAGCTGGAACATAGGGCTGCTTCAGCAACCGCAGTTGGAACTGTTTTTGGTGGGTCTGCCACACAGTCCCAAATGGGCATATCTCTTTTTGAGTCTCTGGGTGGGGACTAATGCCCCTGGACTACGGTAGAAAAAGGTTGACACTGAGTCATAGAGCTATTTCAGGATCCCGGTTGAGCCCAAGTTTACTAGCTCATTTACTGTGGGCATGGATGGGTTTAAATCCTTCTGGGTCACTTGGCAGATGGGGCTGGTAGCGGGACCATGGCCAGGCAGGGTTGCTGCTAAGTCCGCAGGGGCATAAGGCTGCTTCCAGTCCACAGTGCAGACCATAGTTGGCTAAGTTATTCAGAACACTGGGGCATGTACATGCCTTCTGAAAGCAGCCCTCGTCAATCTTAGGCTCTACCAGGGTTTTGCAACCTCCTATGGGTCCCCAAACTCCCACAAAGTTGTTGTCTGTAGATTTTTGTCTGTAGATGGATGTCACATTGTTTCTATGAGCTAGGAACCTCTTATTCGGTCCCTTTGCTGACATCATTTCTATTTGCTGTTTAATGGCCAAATCTGTTTTTTTGTTCAAAATGATTAGGTATGGTTGGACAATGTTCCTGTAACTAACAAAGCTACCTTTTTTTTGTATAAATAATGACAACAGTAGTTTTACTTGGCTAAGCACCCATAATGATGACTTGAAAGAGTATAGCACTTAGAACAGAAAATGTCCTTTGAAAATGTAGTTCAATCCCTCATTTAAATAGATTCTGGAAGCTCAGGCCCAGAACAGTTAATTCTCTGAGCTCATACAACTGGTAAACAGCAGAGCAGGAACTTGAGTCCTTTGACTTTCCAAACCTACACTCTGCCCCTCCATAGGAAAACTGCCTTTCCAACTGAGATGAAATATAAAATAAAATGAGAGTGTTCAGCATTTTGAAACACATAATGCTCTAAACACAATACAACAACGCTGCTGTCCTCAGGAAATTAGAAAGCAATTTAGAGAAATGAAATGGGTCAAACGAGCTGTCACTGAAACAAAGGCTGTGGATCAACCAGTAAATCAGTAACTGCTTCTTGTGCTTGAGATTTTCAACCCCTCAGGGTGGGAGGTAAACCACCAAATAAATTTAAAAGGATTTCCGCTGAGTGTTTCTTGTGAAATTCTGAAGACATTTATATTGCACTCTCTACACCCCTAATTTCCTGTGCAAAAATAGAATGGCATTCAGTGGTCTTATGTTTTTAAGAGGGTTATTTTCTATAATATTTTAGAAAATACCATACAGTACTTCAGTAGGGGGTGGGGTGGTGGAGGCTAATTCTCAGTAGAATTCAGAGACTTGCTTATTTCTCTAATCAACGTTAAAATTTTCTTGTTCTGCCTCATCTTATTAATAACTGACTGCTGTCTCTTTCCTTTCTCTCAGAACTCCAGGGGAAAAATTAGCCAGCAAGATATGGTTAGCTTCGTTGTAACTTGTGCATGATATGCAATTTTAATGACAGTTTTACATACATTACTCAACCCCCAGTACAGTCGGAGGTCAAATCAATATTTTAACAGACATTCTAAAGGGAATTGAGTGTCCAGTCATTTATTCACGATCAGTTTGAGAGAACAGCAACTCTCCAAATCATCTCAGGTTAGCAGGAGCCTGGGAAATCAACAGCAACCACTGATTTCTTCACCCACTTGATTTTGGCAATTGGACATCAACTGCATGAAAACTCAGAAAAAAAAGGGCTTGCATGGTATTTTAGTAAGTCTCGTCTACACTGATCAATGTGAATTACATATTGCTCTATGAATATTATTTTGATTTTGGTTGGCTACATCTCCAAATAGATTGTGGGTTCAAAAAAAAAAGGTTGTTTCAAATCTTCACTGAACCTAGTTAAGTGCTATGAACCTCAAATTCAGTAAACCTTGAATTCCAAATAGTTAATAGATGGTGCTGGTTGAGATTGCTTTTGATTCTGTGCTTTCTGATTTCCAGAGTTATTTTGTGTAATAACTACATAAATGAGCATTTTACTATTACCTACCATTATTCTGAGCTGATGTTATTTCATGATGGTGAAACAGAGTGTAACAGAGCATCACTTACCTGAGGTTATGTGGCAGGCAGAATTACGGCCCCCCAAAAGATGTCAACATCCTATTCTCCAGAACCTGCAAATACACTATATTACATGGCAAAAGAAAATTAAGGTTGCAGGTGAAACTAAGGTTGTTAATCAGCTGACCTTAAACGAGATATCATCTGGATTATCTAAATGAGAGCCATGTAACCACATAGGTCATTAAAAAAGGAGGAGGAAGAGTTAGTGTGAGAGCAATGTGATGTGAGAAAGATTTGACCAGCCAGTGCTGGTTTCAAAGAAGGAAGATGGAGCTCTGAGCCGAGGAATGTGTGCAGCCTAGGAGCTGGAAAAGGCAGGGTAAACAAATTATCTCCTAGGGCCTCCAGAAGGAATGCAGTTCTGCCAACACCTTTATTTTAGCGCAGTGAGACCCTTTTCAGATTTCTGACTTTCAGAACTATAAGATAACACATTTCTGATTATTTTGTTTGTTTGTTTGTTTTTTGAGATGGAGTCTCACTCTATTGCCCAGGCTGGAGTGCAGTGGCACAATCTTGGCTCACTGCAAGCTCAGATTTTTTTTTTTTTTTTTTTTTTTTTTTGCTATGTGCTATGCTGTGACTTTTCACTTCCTCATTTTTACTATGAATAATAGTTTTGAATATACCCTGATGTATTTATCTCCCTTTTTGTCTTCCAAGGTCTGATATTACAAACATGTTGCAATAACCTTCTGTATGTTCTTCTTTGTGTTTTTACATGAGTATTTCTTGGATATAGAATTACTGAGATGTATAAAATGCCGTTTTCAACTGACATAGATATTGCAAATTGCTATCCAAAGTGGCTGGACCAATTATAGTCTCACGAACACTGTAAAAGTTAGAATGTCTTCACATTCATACCAAAACTAGTTATTATAGACTTCTTAATTGAGCTGATTGTATGGATTTTATATTGTAAGTTATTATATGTGGCATTATATAAAAAATTCAGCTAACTTCTGATATATAGCAGTGTTTTTGAAGGTTTCACTTGGAACTCTGCAGTGGCTTGTTATTGCTTCCAGAATGAGATGTAAGAGACTCAACGTAGTATATATACCTGGACTGTTTTACCAGCCTCAACTCTCCCACACTCTGCTTTCTCCTTTGTAGTTCAGTTATACTAAGTGGCTTGTACTTCTGTGCATATGCAATGCTGATGCTTGATTTTAAGATTGTCTTTATCCCTCTCTTCTATCTGGAGATCCGTCATTTCCACCACTCCCGGCTAATCTCTTCTCCTAGTCGAAAAAGTCACCTTACAACTTTCTTTTGACATTCTTTTGGTTCTCATCACAATGTATCATCATGTTAAAACAGTTTTAAACATATATCATATATGCACATGAATTGAAATATCCAATTTATTACAAGGTATAAAATGAAAAGTCCCCCTGTCATCATTGCTTCTTCACTGCTCAGTGTCCTTCCTGCTGAAGGTAAGAATTTTTAAGTTCTTGTTTAACCTTCTAAAAATATTTTATGTCCATTTACAAACCAATATATACATACATGTGTTTGTACACACACACACACACACACACACACACACACACAGGTTGTTTTCATCTCTCTTGCCTATTTCTTTCTAAACATTGGCTAAGTCTCTCTCAGTGAACAAGATCTTTGAGAAAAGTCCTAGAGAATATGAGGTGGCTGGTTATGGAAATGTGGGAAAGTACTGGAGAAAGCAAAAAGAAACATTAAGTGCAGAGGCTTCCAGGCAAGAGCATTTCCGACATGTTCCAGAACAGCAAGGAAGTCAGTAGTAAATGAAAACAATAAAAGATAAGGGCCAAGCATTGATAGATTTCACTTTTATTAATAGAAATATTAAATGTGGGTATATTGCAAAGCATTGAACTTTTTCTATAATCTAGTCTTTTCTATTTTAATAAAATCATGTTATATATTTTCTTATTAGTTATGCCTATATGTATATATTTTATATTCCTACCTTTGTGTATGTGTGTGTTTAAAATTTTTATTTTTTTTTTTGAGACAGGGTCTCACTCCATCATGCAGGCTGGAATGCACTGGCATGATCATGGCTTACTGTAACCTTGACCTCCAGGGCTCAAGCAATCCTCTCACTTCCATCTCCCAAGTTGCTGGGACTACAGGCATGCACCATCATGCTCAGCTAATTTTTGTATTTTTTTTGTAGGCTGGTCTTGAACTCTTGGACTCAAGCGATCCCCTCACCTCAGCCTCCCAAAGTGCTGGTATTACAGGCATGAGCCACTGCACACGGCTTTATGTGTGTTTTGCTGTGTGTTTTATTTTTTTCATTTTCCTGTGTGTTTATGTGTAGTTCTCATATTTAGGAAAGGTTGCCTTCATTTTAAAAGGTTGTGCAATAAATTTATCCTTTTCTTAAAGAAGAATCACTGTTCTATAAGAGATGATATAATTAGCATATTCTCCCTTTCCCCTCTACTCTTCAATTTCAGTAAATTTAATTCTTTTTTAAAATTATTATCTTTATAGAGTTAAATGCTCTTATACTTATTGATATGGTTCAGGTGTGTCCCCACCCAAATCTCATCTTTAATTGGAGCTTCCATAATTCCCACATGTTGTGGGAGGGACCCGGTGGGAGATAATTGAATCACGGGGTGGCTTTTCCCGTACTGTTCTCATGGTAGTGAATAAGTCTCACGAGATCTGATTGCTTTATAAGGGGTTTCTCCTTTCACTTGCCTCTCATTCTTTCTTGCCTGTTGCCATGTAAGTCATGCCTTTTGCCTTCTGCTGTGATTGTGAGGCCTCCCCAGCCACCTGGAACTGTGAGCTCATTAAGCCTCTTTTTCTTTATAAATTACGTAGTCTCAGGTATGTCTTTATCAGCAGCATAAAAATGAAATAATAAGCTTGTATTATTTGATATATCAGCTTTAAATGATATCTTTTGACTCCCAGTTATTTACCATTCAATGTTCTCTCCCTGTACTGTTGCTATGGTTTCTTCATACTCATCGTTGGAGGCTGAACTTGTCCTCTATTAATTTCCAAGAAAAATCCACAGGAATAATTCCACTTAATGTTCATATATTTAATACCATTTGTGTATCATCTTTATAGCTGAAGGATCATTTCATTTGATATAATTTCCTTGGCTTTTATTTTCTTCAAGTTAATTTTAAATGTTTGTCAACAATCATAGATTTGAATGTTCTTGTGGATTTTCTCACCATTCATATTTTATTTTTCTGGCTGTTAAAGAAATTCTGTACTTTTAAATCCATACATCCTGGTATCCAGTCTAGATATCTAGCACAGCCTTTTCCATATGTAGATTCAAGTGTACTTTTATTTCAGAAAAAAATGTGACTATTTTTACCCAATAAGGTTTCTTCCTTCTTTGAAGTCACTACTTAGGTATATGCTGGATTTCCCTTTGACTGTCTTCTCTATCATTTTTCTCTCTCATTCATTTTTATACTTTCTTCCATTTCTTTTTAAAATTTTGCTTTTTTTCCTATTCAGTTTTGTTTTTTCACTCTTGCATGCTTTCCAGTTTCATCTTTACTGCTGCATTGATTTTACATTTTGTCTACCTCTTTCTTGAAGTCAGCTTTTATTTCATCTTCACTTTCTTACCATTTATTTTCTTAGAACTTTGAATTCTACCTTTTAATGTTATTGCAAAGAGGCAATAGTTTTAGCTTTTCAAATTCATGGTAAAATGTTTGCTCATAATTTTCACTGCGTGCAAGGATTTTTCATCAATACATTTACTGCTCTTTGGATTTTGCATAATTTTAGGTTTAAACTTCTAAATGTTTTTGACAGTCTACTGCTAACACATGTCATCTTTGTATTTTGTCTGTGCAGTTGATTTTTAAACTAATATGACTAATTTTCTTTCTAGATTAATTTTTTGGCTATAGTCTGCTAATATCTTGCCTTATCAATATAATTCCAGTCTCCTATTTGATAAGCATATCTTCTATATCTATGTTGAGGGTGTTTATGAATATGTTGTCTAGAATAAGACTGAAGGCAGAGTTTTGTGACCCTTCGCTGGATCTCTCTGTCTTAAGCTGGTGTTGACAACTCCATGCCCACTAAGGTTTAATTGTCCTTTTATCCACCTCGGTCTCTTCAACTCTTCCAGTAGTACTCCATCCTGTTGATAGTTCAGTTAGCTCTTTCATTAGAAAAGTCTCTCTTTTAACTACAGTTGACTGCGGTTAACTTTGACTCTGAAATCATTGGTGAATATTAGAGGGCAAAAATGTAAATCCTGGACTGATTCTTGCCAAATATTGAAGTCATCATCATTATCATCTTATTATTATTCTTTTTAATAAATTTCATTTTCTGATTATTTATCATTTGTCTTGCAACAGTGCAAACCATTTTGTATGACACACTTTATTTATAGAGACTATGACCCTCCACTCATACGTAGGAAAACTGGCGTGCATAAAGTTTTTTACTCAAAGTTACATAGCCAGTAATTAGTGGGGCCAGAGTTCACACTAAGGCAGTTTGACACTAGCATAGTCCTTTTAAACCACTGTCTGTACTGTCTTTGTTTATTAATTCTCTAATATTGGTTCTGCCCCCTAATTTTTCTGGAACTTCATTCCTATTCTCCAAAATTATGAAGCTGAAACAGATGATCTCAAGGATTTTTATCATCTATAGTGTTTTATGATTCTGGGAAAGAGATTTATTTGTTTTTTAGTGTATTTTTATATAAAACATGTTTAATTTTTTTTCCTGTGGGGCAGCCATGAATTCACTTCCAACATTGCTCCTGGAATGATGTAGCCTTTCCCACTTCTCAAGGTGCTATATATGAGTTGCTGTTGACAGGATGCCAGGTCAGTATCCAATTTGTGACAATTAGGCTTTCCTTTAAAACAGAAGCTCACATCTCAAGTGCCTTAATATTGCAAGCATATTCCTTGGAACATGTGCCCTTGAGACCTCCTTGTTTAAGAGGAAATCTATCTCAGTGGAGAATATGCTAACCTCTCAGTTTTCCTTAAATCCTTTATCCTCCTGTGTGCTAAATTTAGGAGGCAAGTCCAGACAGCTAATTATACCTAAAAACAAGTTCAAGGCCATTTTATAATCCCAGCCAGTCCTCCTTGTACAACTGGTCCAAGAGTCACAAGTGACAGACAGTCCTAAATTAATCCTATTTGGGCTGATTCTCTGTTGTTATAGATTTCTAAGCCTCTAGCTTGCTGCTTAGCCACTCCAGCTCTTGCTACTGTTGCAGATGCCTCCTTGGTGTGTCATTGTCAGATCCACTTCAAATCAAACATGCAAAGTATTTGGTCTCATTTAACCCTGCTCTTTTCCCCAAAGAGCTATGCAGAAAGTGATTTCTGTGGAGGAAAAGACTTTGACTCATCTTCTGTGCCTTATAGTTCTGTACTTCTTGGAAATTTACAAGTGGGTGAGATGATGATTAAAATCAAATTCAGACTGGGTTTTTAAAAATATTTTAAATTCTGGATGGTGTTCTCTTCACTATGCTTTCGCCTCTTTTTTTTTCGGTCTTTAAATTAGCCAATTTCTTTAGAAAAATGGTACACTAACAGTTCTAGATTAGGCACTGGGTTCTGGAAGACGTGGCAGCTTCTCTGTGTGTGTCTGACCCAGAAGAATCTCCTTTATAGTTATTCTAATGCTGTATTACCTTCTCCTTCTTTTATTACCACCATTTCTTACCCTTAAATCTTCCAAGAAAATCTAGGCACATATTTTTTATTCACAGTCCTATAGTTGATACCTCATTACACAGAAAAGCCCACTTCGCTGAAATGAGTTCTGAGTTCCAGCCCAATTTTTACCTTTATGGTCTTGAACAACTCACTCAACCGTTTGAATTTTTTTTTTAGTATACCTCTCACATCAATGATTTGGGATTTTAAAAATCTCTACCAACTTTAAATTGCTGTGATTTTACTCATTATAGAGAAATGACATCTTAATCTTAGTGGTACAATAACTTGAATAATGAAAACCTTAGTTTCTAAGTAACTGCCTAACATTCAGAATTCTTTCCCAAATGTAGTAATTCTGGATAGACAGCTAATTTCCCAGTATTGATTTGAAGAGCTCCTTTATGTGGGAAATAGAAAGAATAGAATAAAATTTTATGTTTTAAATCTTTAGTTTAAAACTATAAATGATTTTATTATCTTTTGTCGATAGATTTTTGGGCAGAGAGCCTTAGGTGGGCTGTATTATTTGCAAGAACAGTTCAAGGCTTTTGCACATAAAGGTGTTGATTCCTTACCTAAATAAAAGCTGTCTAAATTTTTCTATTAAAAAGACTCAAGGACTACATACCTTTTCTGCAAATTGACCAGAAACGCACAAAAAAGCTAATTTTGTATAATAAAACAGTGCACATACATAGACTCTGGGAAAAAAGAAAGAGAGGAAAATAAAAAAGAAAGAAAGAAAAAAAAAGACTAAAAAAGTTCCAAATGTGAAGTTTTCCTGTGCCACTGTTGCAACACATATGTAACTACTTGTCTGATATTTTATCTGTGGGTATAACTCATTCTACTTTGTAACCTAGGCCTCCCGATTCTGTGCTCAGGGTGCAGTCTTCCCTTTTGTTACCAAAATCTTCACCTTAAGTATCTTGTCCTTAGATGTGAGCAAGAAGGGCTCCTTTTCCAGGTCCTGGACTTTAGAGGGCCCTGTTCTAGTCTCCATCTAGCTGAAACCAGAAAAGCATAAGACCAAGGGAATGTCCTCATCTGGTGACAGCACCTTGCCTTCCAGACCACACTTAGTACCTGGTCCTTGTCTATGTGACCCCGAATCATTTTCCAGGGCTTATCCAAGGCTGCTTCTTGAGTCGTTCCACCTGAAGGCACTAGCCTCCACTTCGTTCACTCTCATGCCCAAGGGGCTATTAAGGGTCTTCTTTTGAAGACAGTGGAATGAAGCAGGAATCTCACCATGAAGCCCCAGCTGGGGCAGGCAAGGGCCTGGAGACGGCTCTCCTTGTACCACCGTACTCTAGCAGGAAAGTCCACAGTGTGCAGTAATAGTAAATTCAAACATAACTTGCCCAGTTACATAAATATATACTTGTATGTCAGAGGATAGAGCTTATTTTAATTAATAGTTGTATAGCTTCATTTATAATTTTTAATATTTAGACATAAAGTGCATGGGCTTCCAGTTGTACTCTTGACTAGAGTCTTTCAAACGTTTTTGCCTTGCAGCACCAAAGTTGGAAAAAGGCAGAAGCCTAGCTGGATCTATTTCTACACCACTCAAAGTCTATTAGGGTTAATGCCCCTTGAGAGAAGGGCTTACAATTTTTCCTTCATTCTGCTTTGAATCAGAGCCTTAAGGTTCAATTCAGTACTTACTTTAACAACCTCCAGGGCTATATCTATTTGCTGACTGTTTTTATTGAGTTAACTGTAGTTTGTTTTTATGTGAAAAGAGGAATACAGTTGATAGTTATACAAGATTAACAAACTAGGTACTATTCTAAGCACTTTACATACTAAGCTTTCTTCTTCCCCTTCCCTCCCCACTCATTGTCTCTATTGCACAGAGGAAGTAACTGAAGCTTAAGATAAATTAAAAAGAAATTACCTAAATAACCCAAGGCTCTTTGACTTTCAACACTGTTTGTCATTCCACTAATGTTGTAATTGCCACAAAAGAGCCTTTTTAACCTGAAACCTTGTCACTAATTCTTTTACTTTTCAGAGACAGCACCATAAATCTTCCTTACAACTTCAACTTGGTCGAAGTCTCAAACCAGTCATACCTTGGTTTAGCCCCCTGAAAGGTGGCTGATGGCTGGTGATGATGACTATGGGAACTTCTGCATGGCTGATACAGACAGTATACATGGTAGAAAGAGTTTAAGCTTTGGTATGAAAATAGGAGCAGGTGTCAGCAAGTGAAATTTTTAGACAGTGACATTACTCAATGTGTTAGACCATTCTTGCATTGCTATAAAGACATACCTGAGACTATGTAATTTATAAAGAAAAGAGGTTCAATTGTGTGAGGAATGGAGAAGTTCTTCAAAGTTTCTTAAAACCATAAAGAGTTTGTCATTTCTGTACTCTATGCATATCTATGTATGTTCAAATGCAGCTGCTCTGACTTGACCCGGCATGCCTGGACAGGGTTAAGTGAGCCCCAAACCATAGTGCACGCCATTCCTTATTTGGAAACCCTCCTGACCCTCTCATGACTAGCTTCCTCTTTTCTTTGTCCTCTTTCCCCTTTGCCTATTTAGAAAAGTTTCAAGCTGTTAGCCAATTGGGTCAAGCTTAGAACGTGAGGTCTCGTTCCAGCCAATGGAAATGGGACACAGCCATAGGACCATTGTGTGAGTTTACAAAGATTATAAATGTCCCCGTCTCCTTTGTTTGAGTGTGCTCTCGCGGCAAGACTGCTAGCGAGTGGCACCCTTTCTGCAGAAAGTAAATAAGCCTTTCTGAGAGATCCTTTGTCTCAGTGTTGATTTTGTGACACCGAGCACCCGTTTCCAACAAATTGACTCACAGAATCTCAGGTATTTAGAGTCACTTTAACACAGGAGGCAGAGGTCGCAGTGAGCTGACACACCACTGCATTTCAGCCTGGGTGATGGGAGTGAAATCTGTCTCAAAAAATGCATACATACATATATATAGATATATAATGAAAAAAATATAAAATATATATATATATAAAATCTGCTTCTTGAGTCCTTGAGTCCTGTATATATATATAGGACTCAAATATATGTATATTTTTAAAATATATATATATTTATAAAATGGCTGCTGTTTTCCAGGCCATCACTACCTATAATAGAGGAGATAGAAACATACTCAGGCAACTCTAATGAATTATATAGTGTGAAAAATGCTATGCTAAGGTACCTGCAATGAAAGAAAAGGGAAGAAGAGATTAACTTCTCTGGGGTGGGTGGTAGGAATTGCTACCAATTTGTTAAAGCTCACTTGGTTCAGATATTATTTATTTTATCCTTAGGGACCACCTACTGAATTTTCTAGGAAGAAAACATTAATTGTGTCACATATCCTTTTTTTCAGATAGAGAAATTATCAATCAACTCTTCAATTTTTCTTTTATGAATCAAACTAGCATTCCCCTCCTAAGAGCAGAGGGCTTATTCATAGCTATGTTTCTTTTTTTTTTTTTTATTTTTAGACAGGTAATTTTAACCATGAGTCAATGGTTTTCTAGCCTAAGGAGTCATTTTCTTAACATTATAAAACCAATTATAAATCCTATTAACCTTTTAAATTTTGTTTTCCGGTTCCAGGATGAGACAGACAGACTTCCAGACAATGGGATTCCTGGATAATTATTGTATTTATATAATTTTTTGGTCAGAGGACAAATGTTAAGGTGTAAGATATTAGAGAAATGTAAAGTTATTCATGGAAAAGTGTGTACTTATTTTTTTCCTGGAACAACAACTTCCTGAAGTTTCTTCAGTAAGCTGGTTAGAAAGCAGCTTATTGAGAAATGATACAGTGACTGTCATTTGCAAGCTCTCTACATCTATCAGGTAAAGTGATTAAACCGGAATCCATCATTCAGCATAATTAATCAGCAAGACACAACAGTCCACGCTTGCATGTTGATTAATCTGTAGTTCAGGTACATACATGTCAAGCTTCAAGTTCATAGGAGAAATATATCCATCAGTGTTGCCACATGCGTTGCTATGCTCTATTGCAATTATAAAATGATTAGGTATTTTTTTTTAAAGAAGGGTGGTAAAGGGCTTTTTCCTAACCAGCTGCAAGTAAGGTCAGAGTTCTTCAAAGTCTGATAAATGGAAAACAAAAATTCAGTAAAATGGATTTCTTTGTTTTTTTTAAAATTTATTTTAGGTTTTTTTCTGGAAGTGATGCCAAATAATTCTCCACTTCTTAAATAGATTTCTGAGCTTAAAAGACTTAAATATTTTTTATGTACTTATTGGGCACTTAGCATGCCCTAAATTACACAACAATGATTCCACAAGGTCCTTGTTCCCAAGAAGCCTGTGGTTTGGGGTTCAAAGGCCAATAGGGTTAAAAATGGCAATTGCTATCACCTTGGACTTCACTAGCATCGATCTGAGGTTTACTGTTTTGTAAGAAGATAGATGTCTTTATAAAATTAGTTAACACAGTGTCTTAATAATGGTTTAGACACCTGAAATACATTTAAATTTCTCTGTAAACTCTTACAGTTTATTTTGTAAAACTCAAATGTGTTTTGATAGCAGAAGAGACCACAGTGGTTACCTGGTTGAATTCAATCATTTCACAAATGAGCAAAGCTCAGAGAGGATTAACTCACTCAAGCTCACCCAGCTGGTGGTTATCAACATCCAAATGCAAATTTATGGTTCACTTATCCAGTCTTCTGCTCCACTCTTCCATGCTACCTTTATTGAACCTTTTTAAAAAGTAGAAGGTAAAATGATTTGATATGGCTTCAGGATAGATTTTTTTTAAAATAAAGTTTTTTACACATACTGTTTTTAGCATTTAATTGTTTTTTTCTTATTATGATAGTTTTAGCATAGAACTGTGATCCTTCCATATTCTTCCTACCTGCGTAATAACATTTACAAATACATATACACATACACATGGATATGGTTTGCAAAATAAGTGATTATGATAAAATGAGTAAGTTTGAGGATATAATGTATAGCATGGTGACAATAGTTATACTGTATAGTTATACTATAATGTATACTTGAAATTTAAGATAGTAGAACTTAAATGTTCTCACCATAAAACAAAAGGCAACTATGTGAGGTGATGGAGGTGTTAACTAATTTGACTATGGTCACCCTTTCATAATATATACATATATCAAAGCATCAGTGGATACCTTGAATATATACAATTTTATTTGCCAATTATACCTCAATAGAGCAAGAAAAATGTGACTATGCTTTATGTATTGTTTAGTTTATAAGCATTTCTGTAAAAATTCCACTTCTGATTCTTTTTGTTTAGTTTATAAGTATTTCTATAAAGATTCCACTTCTGATTCTTTAAGTCCCACTTTAATCACAATTTCCTACAGTATGGGTCTGAGTTTCCACTTTCCCAGTGACTACACCAATCTGTCAGTCTTACATTAAGCAAAAAGAAATTTCTTTTTCTTGGCTACTATAATAACTGCTGTGTAATGATTTTGAGTGGGTCCTTCAGACTTACCCCTAATATTCTCAGAAATTGGGCTCTTGAAGAAGGTAGAGACTAGAGGGAGAAAGACGGCAAAAGAGTGCGTATGCTGGTATTTCTGATAAGTGCTGATACTTATGACAAATTTACAGTGTTTTTGTTAAACAACTTAGAATGTGCATATTTAGTATTCATCATTTTGAATACTTCTTAGGTAACGGATATTGGTGGTAGAAAACCCTCAGACAGGAGACCTGGCATTAGCCACATCCAAAAACGTGTAAGTGACTATCGCTGAACCCAGAAATGAGAAATGGCTTTGATTAGAACATGAAGTCAGAGGTTTCAAACACTTTGTCTCTTCAATACCAAATTTTGAGTTCTACATTCTGTAGTATAGCTAACAACTAGGTAAGGCTGAAAAGGAGTCGATATTGTGGATGAGAGTTAAAATGGATTATGTTGTTTGAACTCTTCTCATTGTTGCTAAAATTAATGAATTTTAACTGTAGAAGTGTTTCAGGAAGTCCAAACACTTTAAATAAGAGCTTTTGCTGAGTGAAAGATATTTATGATGAAATTTAGTTTCCTCTTAAATTTTGCCTTCCTAAGCCTGATAAAGTCATTCTCCAAAGGTTGTCTACTTTTTGATTAGTTTCTCTTTGATAAATTAGGCTACAATGTCTTAGTGCTTGAAAAATTACAAAATCTATATAATAGATTTATTAAAAAAAAGGACAGAATGTAAAGAAACCCACACACAATAAAAAAGCACTTAATGTTGTTTTCTTCGTGAAAAGTTATTTGTATTCTTACAAAAAGGTAATCTAGTATATCCTTTCCTCTTTTCTGCTAAGCATCTCAATCCATTAATAAACCAAATGTCTCATGTTAGGATATCACCAAATCTCTGACCTCATAAGCTCGCACTGCACATCTTAATAAACATTTTTAGAAATAATTGAGATATCAAGAATTATTAGCAGCATTACGCCTTAATAGCCTGTTAAACCAACAGGAGGATACCCAAACAAGTATTTTCTTTGAGTAGCATGTGGCTAATTTACAAACACTTTTTATACATTTCAATTTACTTGCACATATCACATCATTTATGGTAATCAAGAATAAAACAATGGGGTCCATTACCTACTGCGCCAAAATTTATAGCAAATTTTGCTATAAAATTAAAAAATTATGATTGGTAGTTCATAATTAAAATGTTAAAGTTTTTTAAGGGAAATTGTCAACCTCAATTCTGTGGTAACATAATCCAGAAAACCTGCCTGGTTACACAAACTGAAAATGTGGCATTAAATGTTTTTTCAACACGGGAGTAGAAGAGATCATGAGACATTATTTTTCCTTTGGACTCTTGGATGTTGGTGAGAAAAAAAAAACTGTTGCTATCATGAAATGGCTTCTGTGAAGCAAGTAAAGTGTTATCTGAGGGAATACTTAAAATTATAAGGTTCACCTGCCAAAATGAGCTCTAGTATAACTTCTTAATCTGTTCTGGAATTGGCAAAGCTTTTTGAGACTTCGATGTAATTGGAGGTAATTATAGTTGATCATTGAATATTATGGAGGTTAAGGGATCTGAGCCTTCCTCACCATGCAGTTGAAAATCCACATGTAACTTTTGACTCCTCCAAAACCTAACTACTAATAGTCTATTGTTGACTGGAGTCCTTTTTAAATATCTTTATAGTTTTTATTTTGTGGGTAAACAGTAGGTGTATATCTTTTTGGGGTACCTGAGATATTTTGATACAGACATGCAATGCATAATAATCACGTTGGGTTAAATGAGATATCCATCACTTCGAGCATTTATCGTTGGTGTTACAAACAATACAACTATATTTTTACTTTTTAAAAATGTATAATTAAGTTATTGATTATAGTCACTCTCTTGTACTGTCAAATACTAGATCTCTTTCATTCTTTCTATTTTTTTGTGCTAATTAACATTCCCACTTCCTCCCACTCCCCTACTACCCTTCCCAGCCTCTGAAAATAATTATTCTACCCTCTATCTGCATTAGTTCAATTGTTTTAATTTTTAGCTTTCACAAATAATTGAAAACATGTGAAGTTTGTCTTTCTATGCTTTGCTTATTTCACTTAATATAATGATGTCCAGTTCCATCCATGTTGTTGGAAATCACAGGATCTCATTCTTTTTTATGGTTGAATAGTACTGCATTGTGTATATGTACCACATTTTCTTTATCCATTCATCTGTTGAGGGACACTTAGATTGCTTCCAAATCTTAGCTAATGCGAATTGTGCTGCAATAAACATGGGAGTGCAGATATTTTCTTAATAAACTGATTTCCTTTCTTTGGGTTATACAGCTAGGAGTAGGAGTGCTGGATTGTATGGTATCTCCATTTTTAACTTTTTGAGGACTCTCCAAGCTGTTGTTCGTAGTGCTTTTACTATTTACATTCCCACTAACGGTGTACAAGAGTTCCCTTTTCTCCCCATCTTCACCGACATTTGTTATTTCCTGTATTTTGGATAAAAGCCATTTTAACTGGGGTAAGATAATATCTCATTGTAGTTTTGATTTGCATTTCTCTGGTGATTAATGATGTTGAGCACCTTTTATATACCTGTTTGCATTTGTATGCCTTCTTTTGAGAAATGTCTATTCCGATCTTTTGCCCTTTTACAAAAATCAAGTTATTAGTGTTTTTTTTTTTTTTTTGAGACGGAGTCTCGCTCTTTCGCCCAGCTGGAGTGCAGTGGCACGATCTCGGCTCACTGCAAGGTCTGCCTCCCGGGTTTACGCCATTCTCCTGCCTCAGCCTCCCAAGCAGCTGGGACTACAGGCTCCCGCCACCATGCCCGGCTAATTTTTTGTATTTTTAGTAGAGACGGGGTTTCACTGTGTTAGCCAGGATGGTCTCGATCTCCTGACTTCGTGATGCGCCCGCCTCGGCCTCCCAAAGTGCTGGGATTACAGGCGTGAGCCACCGCGCCCGGCCAGTTATTAGTTTTTTTCTATTAAGTTGTTTGAGACCATTTTATATTCTGGTTATTAATCCCTTTTTAGATGGATAGTTTGCAAATATTTTCTCCCATTCTGTGGGTTGTCTTTTCACGTTGTTGATTGTTTCCTTATTGTGCAGAAGCTTTTTAACTTGATATGATCCTGTTTGTCTATTTTTGCTTTGCTTGCCTATACTTATGAGGTATTACTCAACAATCTTTGACCAGATTAATGCCCTGTAGAGTTTCTCCAAAGTTTTCTTTTAGTAGTTTTATATATTTCAGGTCTTAGATTTAAGCTTTAAAACATTTTGATTTGACTTTTGTATATGGCAAGAGTTAAGGGTCTAATTTCACTCTTCTGCATATGAATATCCAGTCTTCCCAGCACTATTTATTGAAGAGACTGTCCTTTCCCCAATGTGTGTTTGTGACATCTTTGTCAAAAATGGGTTCACTGTAAATGTATGGATTTGTTTCTGGGTTCTCAATTCTTTTCCATTGGTCTATGTGTCTGCTTTTATGCCAGTAACATGCTGTTTTGTTTGCCCTACCTCTGTAGTACAATTTGAAATCAAGTAATGTGACTCCTCCAGTTTTATTCTTTTTGCTTGGGATAGCTTTGGCTATTCTCTCTCTCTCTCTCTCTCTCTCTGTGTGTGTGTGTGTGTGTGTGTGTGTGTGTGTGTGTGTGGTTCCACATAAATTTTAGGATTCTTTTTTCTGTATCTATGAGGAATGTCATTGGTATTTTAATAGGGATTGTGTTGAATCTGTAGATAGCTTTGAGTAGTATGGACATTTTAACTACATTGATTCTTCCAATCCATGAACATGTAATATCTTTCATTTTTTGTGTGTCTTCTTATATTTATTTCATAAATGTTTTATAGTTTTCATTGTAAAGGTATTTCACTTCTTCAGTTAATTCCTAGGTATTTAGTTTTACCTGTGGCTATTGTAAAAGAGATTAGTTTTTTTCTTTTTAAGTTGTTTACTGTTGACATATAGAGTTGCTATTGATTTTGTGTGTTAATTTTGTATCCTGCAACTTTATTGAATTTGTTTATAAGTTCTATAGTTATTTGATGGAGACTGTTAGGTTTTTATAAATATAAAATTGTATCATCTGCAAACAAGGATAATTTGACTTCTCTCCAATTTTGATGTCTTTTATATCTTTCTCTTGTCTGAATGCTATAGATAGGATTTCCAGTACTATATTGAATAATTATGGTGAAAGTGAACATGCTTGTCATGCTCCAGATTTTAGAGGAAAGGCTTTAAGTGTTTGCCCATTCAGTATGATACTAGTTGTGGGTCTGTCATATATGCCTTTTATTATGTTGAGGTATATTCATTATATATTCAGTGTTTTGAGGGATTTTATTATGAGGAAATGCTGACTTTTATCAAATGCTTTTTTCAGTGTCAATTGAAATGTTCATATGGCTTTTCTTCTTCATTCCGTTGATCTGACATATCACGTTGATTAATTTGTGTATATTGAACCATCTTTGCATCCCAGGGATAAATCCCACTTGGTCATGATGAATGATCTTTGTAATGTTTAATTCAATTTTCTAGTATTTCGTTGAAGATTTTTGCATCTCATCAGGGACATTTGTCTATATTTTTCATGTATCTTTGGCTGATATCAGGGTATTACTGGCCTCACAGAATAACTTTGTAAGTCTCCCGTTCTCCTCTATTTTTCATAATACTTTGAGGATTGGTATTAGTTCTTTAATTGATTAGTAGAATTCAGCAGCGAAGCCATTGGATCCCAGTCTTTTCTTTGCTAGGAGACTTTTTATCACAGCTTTGATCTTGTTACTTGTTACTGGTCTCTTCGGGTTTTTGATTTCTTCGTAGTTCAATTGTGTTAAGTTGAATTAATATGTGTCTGCTAATTTATCCATTTCTTCTAGGTTTTCCAGTTTATTGGCATATAGTTGCTCATAGTAGCCCCAAATAATCCTTTGAATTTCTGTGGTATCAGTTTTAATGTTTCCTTTTACATCTGTAATTTTATTTACTTAGATCTTCTCTTTTTTTAGTCTAGCTAAAAGTTTGTCAATTTTGTTTATTCTTTCAAAAAAACCAATTTCATTGATTTTTTGATATTGTTTTCTTCATTTCAATTTCATTTATTTATGTTCTGATGTTTATTCTTTTCTTCTCCTAATTTGGGGTTTGGTTTGCTCATACTTTTCTAGTCCTTTAAGATGTATTGTTAGGTTATTTGAAGTCTTTCTTCTTCTTTGATGTATGGTGCTTATGGCTATAAAATTCTTAGTACTGCTTTTGCTGTATCCCATAGGTTTGGGTATTTTGTGTTTCCATTATCATTTGTTTCAAGAAATTTCTCAATTTTCTTAATTTCTTTATTGATCCATTTGTCATTCAGGAGCATATTGTTTAATTTCTGTGTCTTTGTATAGTTTCCAAAATTTCTCCTGTTACAGATTTCTAGTTTTGTTCTATTGTGGTCAGATAAGATACCTGATATTATTTCTTTTTTTTTTTTTTTGAATGTTTTAAAAGTTGTTTTGTGTCCTAACAAATGATCTATTCTCGAGAATGATTTAGGTGCTGAGGAGACGAATGTGTATTCTGTAGCCCTTGGATAAAATGTTCTGTAAATGTCTATTAAGTCCATTTCTTATATAGTGCAGATTAAGTCCAAGGTTTCTTTGTTGATTTTCTCTCTTGATAAGCTGTCTAATTCTGGAACTGGGGAGTTGAATTCTCCAGCTCCTACTGTATTAGAGTCTATCTCTTCCTTTAGCTCTAGTAATATTTGCTTTTTATATGTGTGTGCTCCAGTTTGTGGTGCATACATATTTACAATTGTTATAGCCTCTTGCTGAATTTACCCTTTAATTATTATATAATGATCTGATAAGATAAATAGCCAATTAACACATATTTTGTATATTTGATTATTATATACTATATTCCTACAATAAAGTAAGCTAGAGAAAATATTAAGAAAATAAAGAGAAAATATATTTATTATTAATTAAGTGGAAGTAGATCATCATAAAGGTCTTCATTCTAGCCTTTTTTAAGTTGAATGGGCTGAGGAGGAGGAGAAAGAGGTGGGGTTGGTTTTGCTCTCTCAGGAGTGGCAGAGGCAAAAGAAAATTTTCGTGTAAGTGGAACCACCACACAGTTCAAACGTGTGTTGTTCAAGGCTCTACTGTATCCTGAAAAGTAATTTATGACTTTTGTTGTGTTCACAGGTCTGTCTATTAATGTCTAATGTTACCTTGAAGAGTCTGTTTACCATATATAGACATATATACATTTCAAGTTCAATAAAACTTTGAGGAGGGAAAACAGAAAAACCTGAGTTCTAGTTTTATGGGACCTAGGGTTCTAGGTGAATTTTAAATAAGTGAATGCCATTTTAACAATATGTCAAGTGACAGGTAGGCTTAGGTAATTGTGATAAAGGTCAAGAGCAGAATAATTATTAAATGTATGCCTTTTTGTTGTTATTGTTTTATTGCACTGACTAGAGCCTCTAATAGGATATTGAATAGAAAATATGTTATTGTACATCCTCACATTTTCTTGATCATTCACAAAAACAGTCAGTATTTCACAGTTAACTATGGTGTTAGCTGTAGGTTTTACATAAATGCCCTTTATCAGATTGGAGAATTTTCCAATTACTACTGGTTTGCTGAGAACCTTTATGTAAATCAGTGTTTAATGTTGTCAATTTTTTTCTGCATAGTGATACATTCATATGATAGTTTTTCTTTATTCTATGAACATGGTGAATTGTACTGGTTTTCAGATTGAAATGAATTTTTTTCTGGGTATACACAGTACTTGGTTATGATGTTTTATTAATTGTATATGTTGCTGCATTTTTATTTGCTAATATTCTGGGAAAGAACTTTATATTTTCATGAGGAATATTGCTCTGCACTTCTCTATTCTTGTATTGTCATTGTCAGTTCTTGACATCATAAAATGAGTTGGAAAGTGTTTTATTCTCTATTTTCTGAAAAATGTTATGTAGGATTAGTATTACTCCTTTCTTAAATGTTTGAGTTCACCAGTAAAGCCATCGGGGTGTAAAGTTTTGTCTGTGGGGAGGTTTTAGTCACAAATTTAATTTCTTTGACTCCTTTAAGGCTATCAAAGATTTCCGTTTTTTCTTCAATACAATTTTGCAGTTTACATCTACCAAGGAATTTTTTGTATCTAAATTTTCTAATTTATTTTCATAAAATTGTTTATAATAATCTCTTGTTTAGTTAATGTCTGGATGATCTCCGGTTATGTTCACTCTCTCATTCCTGATATTGACAATTTTTATCCTCTCTCTCTCTACACACACACACACACACACTCACACACACACTTGTGTGTGTGGGCATGTCTTCTTTTATTAGCCCAGCTAGAAGTATATCAATAGCGTTGATTTTTTTTCAAAGAAGCAAGTTTTGGTTTCATTGACTTTCTCTGCTTTTGTAAGTTGTCTATCAATAACATTTGCTCTTATCTTAACTTCCTGTATTGTATTGTAATTTGCTCTAGTTTTTCTAGTTTCTGAAGGGAGAAATTTTAATTATTGATTGAGATCATTCTTCTTTTCTAATATATAAATTGAAAATCACAAATTTCCCTTGAATAATTACTTTAGCTGCATTCCACAAATTTTGACATGTTGACTTTTGTAGACAATTGTATTTGACAATAATTTTTACACAATTAAGATGTGTAATTTATATATATATATACCAATAACTCAATCAAGGTACTGGGAATACCTGTCAACCCCAAGAGTTTCTTCATGACCATTTGCCCCTTTTTAGTTCTTATATTTTGCTTTTCTTTGCTCACTCTTCTATTCCTCCAGGCAAGTATTTTCTGCATAATGTTCAGAATTTATAGATGTTACCTAAAGATAGTTCACTACAGTAGAATCATATCAGCCACAACCAGACACAGAAGTCTTTCCTACTTGCTTCTTATATTTTTTCTGACCTTTCTCTCAATTTTAAACTCTCAATTTTTAGCCATTGTTTCATTTATTGTGCCTGCCTCTAACAACCTCACTGGCACCTCAGTGTGTTACTACAATCTGATATTAGCTTAGAAACAAAAACTTCTGACTTAGTAGAATTTGGTCTGAATTAAGAGTATATGGCCTCTAAGATATTCTTATATCCATAAAGATTATGAACCTTAATTACATATGTTGGCTGCTTGCAAAATTTATTTAATCACTTCCGGGTTTTTGTTTTAGCTGTATTTTTAAAATTACAAACTCCCGTATGAAATTTGAAAAAGCAAGGTGTTTTTCTTATATGTGTACACAATCTCATTTAGACCTTCAGGCGCACTTTAAAAAATGTGAGCCATATTACCCAGCATCGTTCAACTCCTTAAGTGGAACATGCAAAAACCCCATCAACTTATTTGTATTAAATGTCAAAATAACATAATGATTTATGCATATTGATAAGGCTGAGTACATAGGATGAAAACTAAAATTCATTTTCAACCTTTGATAACCCAAGGTGGGTTTTTGAATGAAGACTTACTGCCAAACTTGCAACAATTTTTTTTAATAAAATGCAGCATTTGCTATTTTTTATATATAAAAAAGCTGTTCATAGGATGTTCTTGTAAGTGAAAAGCCTTAGTAAGTTTTATGGCTCTGAGTTATCTTCATTAATACTTGAGTATATAACATAATATATACTAGAAGTGCTGAGTCTGTTGAATCAATACGTACTCACATGGCTTTAAAAGTGTTTGTTTAGTTTCTCAGTTTTTCTGTTCATATTTGATTTCAAAATGTTGTGTAGTGTTTTTCAACTGAGCTACATTTGAAGTTCATGGATTTACCAATACCTTATGTACTTTTGAACTTTGCCTTCTGATTCTAAAAAATGCATGCCCTTTTTGTTCCATTCCATTGGATAAAGATACATTGTTTGATATGTGTTTTGACTTCGATTTTATCTAAACAACCAATCCATATGTGCTGTGGTTTGGATATGGTTTATTTAGCCCTGTCAAGTCTCATGTTGAAATTTGAGGTATTTGGATTGTGGGGATGAATTCTTTTTGAATGGCTTGGCACCATTCTTTCAGAAGTCAGTGAGTTCTTATTAGTTCCTGTGAGAACTGGTTGTGGAAAGAGCCTGGCACCTCTTTCTCTCTCTCTTGCTTTCTCTCTCCACACATGTGATCTCCACACATGCTGGCCCCCATTTACCTTCCACCATGAGTGGAAACAGCCTGAAGCCCTCACCAGAAGCAGGTACTGGTACCATGCTCTTCTTCAGCCTGCAGAACTGTGAGCTAAATAAGGCTTTTCTCTTTATAAATTGCCCAGAATAAAGTATTTCTTTATAGCAACACAAACAGACTAAGACAATATAGATAGATAAAGTTAGCATCTCCATTTGACCACACATATCTTTATATTTCTCAAGATAGTTGTTTTCTACTATGTCATATCAGGCTAAATTCTAAAGGTGGAGAAACAGAATCTTCATTTTTCCCCCTTTGGATTCCCAGTTGCTAGTGGGAAATGATTCAAATAAGAATTTTTTTTCTGACCTGAAAAATAACTGCCCTCTGAAGACCAGACTGAAGAAACATATTTGGAATATGAAAATAAATGCAGGCAAGTTTGATTAAATTAGACGGAGCCTCTTTCACATGTTTGGACATAACATTTTATTAAAGAAATAACTAGCAGATCTAGAAAAAAATATATTCAGCTGAAGGGAGTAAAAAACCATCCTTTAATCCTTGAATGGATTAGAAATATTATAGTAGAAGAATTGTTGTAGGGTGAGCTAAAATTGTTTAAGCAATAGAAATAAATGATGCTGACTTGAAGAAAATGGGCAGTATCAGGAAAATCTCCAAATGACAGGCTCCAATGGAAAATAATGGGAGTCTTGGGGAAAATAATTTCAAGAAGCATAGTCTCATCCAGGTGCAAGACAAACTGCTCAATAGAGCTGAGGATCTTGATTTCTTTTTTTTTTTTTTGTCGTTACAATAATTAGGATATGCTAAGTTATGACTGTGGATATTTACTCAGGGGACAGTGTGTTGACCCTCACATCAGGCTCTGGTTTATAGCCTCAACCTATGTGAGTTCTGGTAAAGCTGTTCAATTATCATGAGCAACAGATGCCAAAAATCAGACTTGTGACTTACAAAGGAGCAATACTTGCAGGTCATATCAAGTCTTTTAAGCCATTCATTTACTTTATTTTATTTTAGGAGGGCTATTTTTGATAGATGTTAAACAACAGGAAAGCATGCCTTAGACATTTAACATTACAGTTGCTTAAGACAACCTTAGAAGAAGAAAGGCACTCAAAGGCTGAGTGAACAGAGACATTTTGGAAGACAACTGAAACCTAGGCATCAAAATGTGAAGACGCACTGACTTTCTGTTCAATCCAGAAAAATAATAGGAAAAGAGGGAAAATGATGACAAATACAAAACCAGAAATTTGTCTTCTTTCCATGGAATTAGCAAGGATTGAAAAAAATCAATCAAGCTGCAATTTATGATGGCAAAACTCCTGGAATTGTGGAAGGTAGCAATCTAAGCTGACTGTAGCACACGCAGCCAAGAGCCTTGGCTGGTGGCAAAAAAATATGCAGGAAGGTGATTCACTAAAGAGGTGTTTTATCTGCTTTTAGGATTCCTGATAGCCTCTGTGTGAGGGAAAGGAGGGAACCATATATACTGATGAGGACACATTCATTGTGAGCCATCAATAAGGCTGAAATTCACACATTTTCATGGGATTCTATGCTAGGAAACAGCACACATATTCAGGTTCCTCTTGCAGGGAAGGATTCTATCGATATCCAGTGTACACATATAAAGTCTTATATATATGTGTGTGTGTATAGATTTAGATTTCAGCTAAAATTGTTACTATTACTGTATGAGATAGCTTCTCCCCACATTTTAAATATTCTATGTTTCTAGAAAAGGGAGACATATACATACAAGTCATCCAGAAAGAATTGTGAAAGAATACCTGGAAGTCATACCTGGAAGAATTCTCGAAAGCGTGTACAGATTATGACACTGCCTACACACATATTTTTTACCTGAAAGGCAAGTGTAATATTCTGAGATTTGGGTGCCATTTAAGAAATGACAGCTTAGAAAAGAAAAAAAGAAGAAAGGAGTTTGGAATTGGCAGAAGATCGTGGTTAAATGCTGGCCTAACCATAGTCAGACATAATATTCAGAGGACAAGGCAGGTACAATGGTGATTTTAAATGTGTATCAGAATTCCAAGTTGTTTCCACTGAGCAGCATAGAAGGTGGGCAGCACATAGACAAGGGAAGCAGGTCCTATGGAATCACGAGCAGAGGTAATTACAGCAGGCAGTGGGGAGGAGAATTCTTTCCATGTGTGTTGGTTCCCGGGCTCTGGACCAGGCTACTAGCAAGTATGGCATCTCTAGAAACAAGTTCATGGTGACTAGAACTTTGATTTAGAGAAAAAAATGAAAGTCTAGAGGTACCATTGTCTTCTGTTGGAGGTTGCTTAATGCTAAGTTATTAACTAACATGATTTCACATCTTAGAGTGTCTGGAAACTAGAGCAAGGCCAAAAGGTCCAGCTACACAGAATTGCACACGGAAGTAAAAGTGGAGGCAGGGGAATTAGGTAGACCTTGGCAAAAAGAAGTCTAGGTTCACATTCTATGGTAGGCGGATTACTTCTCTCTCTCTCTTTCTCTCTCTCTCTCTCTCTCTCTCTCTTTATATATATATATATATATATATATATATATATATATATAGGAAAATAAGCTCTTTGATCTGTATATGTACAAATATATATATTTATATATATCCATATATGTATAAATATATAAATATATTTTTAAATATTTACATATTAAATTTAAATATTTAAATATTAAAAATTTATATATACATATATTATATATGTATAAATATATTCATATTTATATATTTATACATATATATTTATACATATACAGATCAAAGAGCTTATTTTCCTATATTCAAAATGTCATTGAACTCTGATGCAAATATAATCTATATACATCCAAATTACCTTTTTCTAATCATACTTCATCTATGTAATTACTATTAATGTTTACTGTTTTTGTTTGTTTTTTTCCAGTTACAGGTTTGTGATTTTTTGTTGGTTTGTTTATTGCTATTTAGAAAAAGGTCAGTTGCTCTCTGTAGAGGCAGGGACAGAAGGTCTCCTTGGAGGAGGTCTTTTTGTCCTAGAAAGTTCACATAGCCCTTTTATAATAGTTGTTTTAGTGTAGAGTGATTAAACATCTATTGCTGTAGGAAATGGGTTATTAGGACCTTACATATTTCATTCTGAGCTTTAATTTTTTTCTTTATTATTGATGCAATTATTAATGGCTTGTCACTGAAGCTCCTAAGGCTTTCATGATAGAATACTGAATATACTACCAGATGAAATTGTACCTGTGTGCTTGTGGCTTTTTGTGACTGAAAAAGAACATAAAATTTAAAACATTAAAATTTTAGATCTCTACATGCTAAGGAAATTCAACATATGGAAGGTCATTCTCTTATTAAATGCATTTTTTAATGTCTACATGATAGGCAGAATTCTAAGAATGACTCCCCAACATTCCATCACCTGTATAATCTGTACCTTTTTGAGCGTGGGTGGAACCTGTGAAAATATTGGGATACCACTCCCAGGATTATGTTACATTACATTTCAAAAGGGAAATATCTGCACTCGTCTAATCTATCATGTGAGCCTTTTTAAGATGGAAGAGCTTTTTGTTCAAGCTCTTCCATCTTAAAAGATGGAAGGTAGAGAGAGTCAAAGCATGAGAAGGATTTGAGGTGCCATAGCTGGCTTCTGGATAGGAAGGGCCACATGACAGCCTCTAGAAGGTCAGAGTGCCCCGCTGCTGACAACCAGCAAGGAAATGATGACCTGTGCATCCTACAGATTCAAAGAACTGAATTATGACAACAGTCCGAATTGGCTTGGAAGCAGATTCATCCCCAGATCCCAGAGCTCAGCCTGGCTGACAACTTCCTTTTGGCCTGTGATACCATAAGCAGAGAACCTAGTCAAATGCACCTGGACTTCTGACCCATGGAAAGTGTATGATAATAAACGGGTGTTGTTTAAGCAGCTAAATATGTGGCCATTTGTTATTCAGCAATAGAAAACCAATAGAATATACCATGCATAAACTCTGTGTGAAGTGTTGAAACACGAGATGAATAGAACACTATCACTTCTTTTGAGATGTTTACAGCATAGTGAACAAGACAGATGCATAAACACCAAATATAATTATAATGTATTAAATTCAGTGATAGGAGTTGTTTATAAAATGATATGGGTACCCATAGCATTTTATATGCGGTAGTGAATTCTGCCTAGGGAAATCAGAAGAGACCTTTCAGAGACTGTGAGTGTTGAATCCTATAATGAAAAATAATATATAACAGAGACACATAATATTGCTGAGCGAAAGAGACACAAATTCTTAATGCATGAATATTCACAACTCTACAAACTGATTGAAGGTACAAAGAAGGCCAACTTCAATTTTATAGGAAATTAACTGGTATAAGGGTGAATGTACCTTAGTGTTTGAAGAAATAGTTCTATCTTAGAATATTTATTTTATTATGTGGCAGAGAGACTTCCTCCAGCTTATTCTGACTGAGCAACACTGATCATCAATGAGTAACTTAATTGAATTTCTGCAATGTATTTAATAGCTTCACTAGCTCAGAAAAGTAAGTTTAAGCTTTGCAAATTGCTGTATCAGGTAAGATTAGATTCATCTGGTAGTGCCTGCAAACCCCCAATGACAGTGGCTTTAACAAGATGGCGTTTTCTTCTCTGTCTTGTAAAGGTATTGAGATTTGCACTTGGATGGGAGTGATTATGGTGGCTCCACTACGTCAGGGACCTGGGCTTTTGTGGCTCTGAAGCACATATAGTTTGTATTCCCATGGAGAGCTCATGATCTAATTGTCTGTTGCAATTCCAGGATTTACATCTATATTCCACCCAGAGGGAAGGAGTAAGGATTCTTATGCTAACCATACCCTTACACCCCAGCAAGATTACTACCCCGAAGTTGCCAATATCACTTTTATTTATATATCACCCATCAGACCTTAGTCACATGGTCACATCTATCTGCAAGAAGGCTGGAAAATGTAGTAATATTTAAGATGGGCCATGTATTCTACTAGAAGTTTTAGATTATATTACTGAACATTATGAAAGTTATGTACTTTGGATAGGAATCAACTAGAAGTAAGTACTCATATATTTCCTTTAAGTTTTAAATTTGTTCACTTTGAGAAAAGCTGAGATATTTTAACATCAGTGATATTTTAAAATACTGTTTAAAAATACCATTTCCCAAAGTTTTTAACTTCAGGTAGTAAAAGGTCACTTAACAATGTATTGGAAGAAAGTATAGATGTACTAAGAACCACAATTACATATAGAGTAAATGATAGTTATTTATTTTCAAAAAAAAGAGCATAAAATATACCATTTCCAAGGATACGGTGTTATTTCCTCACCTTTAATCACTAGACATTCAAGAAAACTAGTTTAAAGTTTGAAAGTGCATTATTCACATTCTAATTAGAATGTATGTTACAGAAGTTGATGGACAAAAGTTTTAAAACAGTTCATACAGCTCACAAAAAATTTCTGAACTTAATAAATCTAACTTGACAGGAGATAACAGAGACTCTTTCATGGGGACTTGAGTAAATACAATGTATAAACAGATTTGTTTTTAGCTAAATTTTTCTTATTAGAAATTGAAAGTAGGTTTGTAAGGGTAAATATCTTTGGATAGTTACTTGAATGAATGTTAGCAAAAGTTTATCCAGAAAAGAAGAATGGTGGAAGTAAAATCTTCAATAATAGCCTTGAGAAATAACAGCTCAGAAACACAAGAAACATGAAAATTAGCAGTATAGCAATCATTGCAGGGAGAAGAACAGGTATGGAGTGCCTGAAAAAGCTCCCATCCCCAGAGAACTGTTGCTATTTGACGTATTTGGCAGATTCCTGGACTTGTCTTTATTTGCAGAGTTTGTGTTTATTTGACCTGATTCAGAGCTCACATAATGAGCAAACCCCTACTTCCAAGACATTTGGAAAAATCCATTAGTGGCAATTATTTATCACATCAGTTGCCTAAAGTAGCTGTAACAGTTGGGGCAGACAAGAGGCTGACCAAAAATTTTAAAATGAAAATCTGGAAAATGAGATGTCCATAGGAGGCTTTGGAGAGCTCCAATTATACCCCTAGGCTACACACATGTGCAGGGATGTGTGCATGCCTAGGGAAGATCTTATCTTCTGGTTAACCCTGAGGGATTTCAAAGCAACTCATGAAGTCTAAAGCAGAATTATAAACTGCTGGAGAATTGAAGATATGCCCTAACATGCAATAGAGCAAAGGGTAAAAGAGTTATTAGTGGCATTATGTAAAACTATCTCTCTTCAATCATTGTCTAACCACTGAGCTGACCAAACAAAAACTTCACTGATTACGTACTACATTGAAAGACTTTTCAAAATTAATACAGGAAAGTCACTAAACAAACAAAGAGCAGCAAACATCAACAACAAGAAACACTGGGAGAAGGTAGTACATGATGCCTAGAATTTTCACATTATATTATTTAACATTTTCAGTTTATTAATTAATTAATTTATTTATTTTTAGATGGAATATTGCTTTTGTTGCCTGGGCTGGAGTGCAATGGTGCAATCTCGGCTCACTTCAACCTTGGCCTCCCGGGTTCAAGCAATTCTCCTGCTTCAGCCTCCTGAGTAGCTGGAATTACAAGCACCCACCACCATGCCTGGCTAATTTTTGTATTTTTACTAGAGACAGGGTTTCGCCACGTTGGCCAGGCTGGTCTCGAACTCCTGACCTCAGGTGATCCACCTGCCTCAGCCTCACAAAATGCTGGGATTACAGGCATGAGCCACCACACTTGACCAACATTTTGTTTTTAACAAAAATCTATGAGACATACAAGAAACAGGAAAGTAGTCCCCATACACAGCAACAGCCAAACAAAATTAAATAACAGTCAGTGAAAACGGTTCCTGAGCAAGCCTGTTTGTTGGACTCACTAGACAACGTATTTATTTACTTTAAATATGTTCAAAGAATTAAAGGAAACTATATAGAAAGAACTAAAGAAAAGTGTGGTACAATGCCTCAACAAACAGAATATTAATAAAAAGATCGAAAGTATTTTTAAAAGGTCAAATACTAATTCTACAGGTGAAAAGTACAATAAATTGAATTAAAAATTTTCCAGAGAGGCTTAACAGCAGATTTTTGCAGGCAGGAGAGAAAATTGAGGAATGTCAAGATAGGTACATTGATATCATTCAGTTTTAGAAACAGGGAAAAAATGAGGGAAAATGAAGTGCCTCAGAAACCTATGGAACACCATTATGTGTACCAATAATCAAATTCACAGAAGGACAGAGAAGAAGGAACAGAAAGCATATTTGAATAAATAATGGCTGAAAACCTTGCAAATTTGATGAAAAACTTTGATCTACACATTGAAGAAGTTCAACAAATTCCAAGTAGGATACACTCTAAGATTTTCCTACTATGATGATTAATTTTACATGTCAACTTGTCTGGGCCATGAGGTGCTGAGACATTTGGTCACACATTATTGTGGATGTTTCTGTAAAGGTATTTTTGGATAAGATTAACATTTAAATCAGTAGACTGAGTAGAAGAGTTTGCCCTACATAATGTGGGTGGCCTTCATCCAATAAAGGGCTGTATATAATAAAAAAGCCAACCATCCTCAAAGTAGAGAGAACTTTTCCTGCCTTATGGCCTTCAAAATGGGACATTGGGTTTTTTCCTGCCTTAGTACTCAAACTGAAACTTTGTCTCTTCCTGAGTCTCAAGACTTCTGGCCTTCAGATAGGAACTACACCATTGGCCCTGGTGTTCAGGTCTTTAGCTCTCCTGAGCTTCCAACTTGGTAACTCAACTCACCCTGAAGATCTTGAGATTTACCAGCCTTCATATATCTGTATTTTATATATAATGAATATCTTTATACGCACTCACACACGTCCTACTGGGTCTTCTCTGAAGAACCTTGACTGATGCTCCTATCTAGATATATCATGGTCAAGCTCTTGAAACCAAAGACAAGAACAGAATCTTAAAAGTCAAAAAAGAAAACTGTCTCATCAATAAGACTAACAGCTAACATTATATCAAAAACCATAGAGGCTAAAAGGCAGTGAGATGGCATATTCAAATTACTGAAAGAAAAATATTGCAACCAAAACTATATATTCAGGAAAACTATCCATCAAAAACTAAAAAGAAGTGAAGACATTTCAAGATAAACAAAAACTAAGGATTCAATGCTAGCAGAACTTCCCTACAAGACATACTAAAGGCTTCAGGCTGAAATGAACAGACACTAGATAATAACTTGAATCCATATAAAGAAATAAAAAGCATTAGTAGAGGTAATTTTATAGGTAAATATAAAAGATAACATAAATTTATTTTTGTTGATAATTTTTTTCTTCTATTTGATTAAAAAACTATAAAAAGTAATAATTAAAAAACTGTGATTATATAATATATAATGATCCTATACTGTGTGTTTTAGTCAGTTTTCACACTGCTATAAATATACTACCTGAGACTGGGTAATTTGCAAACCTAAGAGGTTTAATTGACTCACAGTTCTGCATGGCTATGGAGGCTTCAGGAAACTTGCGATCATGGCAGAAGGGGAGGAGAAGCAGGCACCTTCTTCACATGGTGTCAGGAGAGAGAGAGAGAGCAGGGGAAACTGCCACTTTTAAACCTTCAGATCTCATGAGAACTCCCTCACTATCATGAGAACAGGATGGGGGAAACCGCCCCCATGATCCAATCACGTCCCACAAGGTCCCTTGCTGGACATGTGCGGGTTACAATTCAAGATGAGATTTGGGTGGGGACACAGACCCAAACCATATCACTGTATAATGTATAATGATCTTATAATATAAAAAGATGTAATTCTGTGAACATAAAACATAAGAAGGAGGAAGGAAACGTTGTTATGCAGCAAAGTTTGTGTATGCAATTGAAATTTAGTTGATATTAATCTTAACTAGAGTATTTTAGATGATAATAATAATTCCCAGAGAAATTATTAAGATAATTCATACAAATATGTAGTAAAGAAGAAAACAAAAATATAATTAGAATGATCCACCAAAAAAAAAATCTAACACAAAAGGCAGTGATGGAAGAAGAAAGCACAGAAAGACATGAGATAAAAACAGCCAAATTACCAATGTAAATCTTACTATAATATCAATATAATAATAATATACAATAATATTAAATATAAATGATGAATTGTATACTCAGAACAAAAGGCAGAAATTGGAAAAATGTATTATTCAACAATGTACTCTCTATTAAAGTCATACTTTAGATTCAACGAAAAAGAGATTGAAAGTAAAAGGATGGAGAAAAATTAGCATGGAAAGAGTAAATAAAAGATAACAAGTGTGATTGTATTAATATTAAATTTAAAAGACTTTAATACAAAAATGTATTTTTGGAGATAAACAGTGACATCTATAATAATAAAAATGTCAATCCATTAGGAAGTTGTAACATTATAAACAGGTAAACACCTAACAGAGCCGCAGAATACGTGAAGTAATAACTGACAAAATTGAAGTAACAATAGATAATTCAACAATAATAGATGTCGAACTCAATATTCCACTTCCAACAATAGCTGGAACAACAGGTAGAAAATCACAAGAAAATAAATTATGTGAACAACACTATCAGCCAACAAGATTTAAGAGACATCTATTGAACATCCCATCCCACACCACATGGAGCTGTCTTGGGTAGACCATATGTTATGCCACAAGACAAGCCATAATAAATTTAAAATGATCAAAATGACACAAAAGTGTATTGTATAACCACAATAAAATGCAATTAGAAATTAAAAACAAGTAAATTTGGGAAATTCACAAATATGTGGAAATTAAACAATACATTTCTAAATAATCAATAGGTCAAAGGAGAAATGGAAAAAGGAAATAGAAAATACTTTTAGATGAAAAAAGCTGATAATATATCAAAACTTAGAAAGTGCAGCTAAATTGATGGTCAGAGGGAAATTTATAGCTGTAAATGTGTATATTAGAAAGGTAGAAAGATCTTAAACATTACCTCAAGAAACTAGAAAAAAAATCTAAATACAAAGCAAAAAGAAATAAGAAAACAATAAAGATTAGGCTGGAAATAAATGAAATAGAGAATAGAAAAACAACAGAAAAGAGTAGTGGAACCCAAATTTGGTTTTTGGAAAAGGCCAACAAAATTGACAAATCTTTAGTTAGAAGGTCAAAGAAAATATACAGAAATAAAAAATAAGGAATATAAAATCAAGACCTAAAGGGGATGCTACTGACCTTATGGAAATATATATAAGATAATACTATGCCATGACAACTGTGTATCAACAAGTTAGGTAAATTAAATGCTATGGACCAAATTATAGAAAGATACAAACTACCAAAAATCAAGAAGAAACAAAAAATTGAAATAGATTCAAAACAAGTAAAAAAAATGAGTACATTAAAACCTTTTTACAACTAAAAGTCTAGGCTTCACTGATGAATTCAACTAAAGGTTTAAAGAATAAATAATAGCAATTCTTTACAAACTCTTCCAAAAAATAAAAAAGGGGAGAAAACTTACCAATTCATTCTATGGGAGCAGTATTACTTTGATACCATGGTGTAAGATGATACAAAAAGAATAAACTAAATTACTAGCAAATTACTAGCCAAATTACTAGCAAAATGAATCCGGCAACATATAAAAAGTATTATATACAATCACCAGTCACCAGGCAGGATTTATTCCAGGAATGCAAGGTTGTTTTAAAATGTGAAAATCAATGTAATATACCACATTAATAAAGGACAAAAAAAAAGTGATCTTCTTAACAGATGTAAAAAAAGAATTTGACAAAATAAACGACTCTTTGTGAAATAAATACTCAGTGACCTACAAATAGGACTTCTTCAACGTCATCAAGATAAATGTCATATCAAGAATGGACAGTCTCACCACTTTTATTTAATATTACACTAGATTTTTTAGCCAGGGCAATTAGTCAAGAAAATAATTAAAAGTCATCCAGATTGAAAATACAGAAGTGAAACTACCTCTGTTCTCAGATGATAATTTTATATATGTAGACAGTCCTAAAGAAGCCACAAAACACTACTAGAATTAGGAAACAATTTCAGCAAAGTCTTAGGAAACAAGATCAACATACAAAAATCTATTATATTTCTATACATTAGCCATGAATATTTTGAAAATGAAATTTAAAAACAATTTACAACAACATGAAAAAGGATAAAATGTATGAATAAATTAAAGAGGTACAAGACTTTTACACTAAAACCTACAAAACATTGTTGGATGAAATTAAAAGAGGTAAACAAATTGGAAAGACATGCTATGCTCATAGATTAGAAGATAAAACCATAAAGATGGCTTCAGGCTTCATTCCCCTATTGATCTACAGATTCAATGCATTTTCTTTTTTCTTATCTTATCTTTTTTTTTGCAGAAATTGGGAAACTGATCCTAAAATTCATATGGAAATGAAAGGAATGCAAATAAATTTAATGAGTGACAAAAGAATATTTTATAAAAAGGAAACAATGATATTTTGGATTCTTCTCTACCCTGACCCTTCTTTAACTTTAGGAGCCTTTAGGGTTGAGACTGATTATAGTTCAAGGAAGAAAAAATATAAAATGTCCATGATTTCCCTCCCCTCTCTACTGAAAACAAACTATGAGTTTGGTTCAGGAACAGAGAAAACAAACAATCAAACAAAAACAAGCAAAAAGCAAGTGCCTCGTATAAAATTGAATAGAGACATTTTAAATCAGGACCCAGGACCATTTCAGTGTGTTTTCAAAACTTCTGCCCCCTAAGGCCTCCCTGAGATGAAGTGGCATGCCCTTCTCAATATGGAATTAAGCATGGTATTTCGTTTTTTTTTTGTTTTTTTTTTTTTTTTTTTTTTTTTGAGATGGAGTTTTGCTCTTGTTGCCCAGGCTGGTAATAGTGTGATCTCGGCTCATCTCAACCTCCCTATCCCGGGTTCAAGCGATTCTCCTGCCTCAGCCTCCTGAGTAGCTGAGATTACAAGTGCCCACCAGCACGCTTGGCTAATTTTGTATTTTTAGTAGAGATGGGGTTTCTCCATATTGGTCAGGCTGGTCTCGAACTCCCGACCTCAGGTGATCCACCTGAATTCAACCAGGTAACCAGTGTGGTCTCTTCTGCTATCAAAACACTAGTGCTAAGATTACAGGCCAGTGCCACCACACCCAGCCTGAATATTTCAATTTTTAAACTGTCTCCTCATGCCCTGCAGTTCCTCTTAGCAGCCCAGTGAGAGAAGCGCAGGCTCCTGCCTCTGAATTTAACTGACAGGAATGAATCATGCTCATTCAGAGAAACGACCTGCATTTTGTCAGATGCCATGCTCTGCACAGTCTCCTCTCAATGGGACAGCCAGACAGCATGCAGAGTCACAGCGCACAAGGTTAGCAGGTGGAAAAGAAATCATGGCAAGCCTGTAAGGAGAATCATGGTCCTGGAGAAAAAAGTATTGTCCTTTAATAGCCACTGAGTTAATACTGTTCATTACAGTATAATTTCTGGCAGAAGGCTCAGTCTTTATCCCTGTACTTCTGGTTCTTAAGCCAGAGCATGACTTAGGTGTTGGGAAGAGAAGCTGTTGTGTGTAAGAGAATGGACTTTGAGAGTGAAAAATCTATGTTTGGGTCTTAGCTCTGGAACTTGAAGAGGCAAAGTGATATGGCCAAGGTCTCACAGCTACAATGGTCAAGCTTCCTCAACTGTGAAATGCCAGTAACAATAGTGTTTTCTTCATAGAGTTGCTATAAGGATTAAGGTATCGAAAGCATGTTAAGCACGTTTTACCATAAGTGACAATTCTTGAGTCATTTTTATTAAATGAGAAGCTGATTTTTACTTTAAATCAGTATTCTAGAGAGCTTTCATAGATTTCCAGACTCTTGAGCCCAATTCTCTTAACCAGATAAGAGATTGGTGTGGCACAACTATAATATGTATTCCCCAGAAGTTATCCTAGATTTGGACTATGCCTAACATTCCAAGCCTATTAATTTCATAGAATATAGATTGTAATGGGTCAAGCAGAAAGAAAAGATTAGAGACTTATAGTTGCTTAATTCAAGAATTACACACTCCCTTAAGAAAAATGAGAACGATGTTTCAACTCTTTTGCCATATTATCTTGTAAGGAAGTCAAAGTACTGTGTCAGGGGGTTGGGCATACAAAGGGGGCTTTGCACTTTCAAATGGGTTGACAGTGATTATTCATTTTTTTAAGATAAGGAAAGTAAAGTCAAGGAAGTTAATCTTACCAAATAGCAAATCACTTTTTAATTGTCTACCTTGAAACAAGGTCTTTTGATTCTCAGCATATTGAGTTTTACTTGAGGCTCCGTAGGAGCAAAAAAAAAAAAGCAAGCTTGAACACTGACTATGATAGGTTTCATGAAAAAAGTGAAACCTTAACAAATCTCATGGTGGCGATAAGTAGAGGAAGACTTGAGGACTCCTTTTTTCATTTACCCAATAAAGGAAATAGTTGCCTTTGTTTCATTTTACTCTGTTGGAATGCATGTAATACAGCTGGAAAAAGTCATCCTGGGGAGAACTTCCTTATTTCAAAGGAAAACTTAAATTGAACCACTGTGGGAGAAACGAAGCCATCGGGCACAACTATGATGGCTTTTAATGAGACTATACTAGGCCAGCAGGTAACCTTGGTGCTGAGTCAAACTCCAGAGAAAGATGGTGAGAGATCAACGGAAGAGTGGAGGGGAGAGGTAGAGCAGGAGCTTGAAGCTGGCAGCCAACCAGGAAGTTATAGAGGAGCTAAATTATGCATCTTATTTAGTACATTTATTATAGGAACATTTCTAAACAAACAACCCGAAACAAATGTGACTATTCATAAGCTCCCTGCTGTCCTGAGCAGATTTAGTGCTTGACAATTTTATCATAATGGCTTTGTGGTGTTTGCTGAGTTTCATCTCTTTACAGCATTTTATGAATTGTCATTTTATGGGGATTTTAAACAGGCTGCATTTGCCCTTCATTTGTGGTTGTGCAACCAAGTCAGAAATGGATACATGTAGAGTGAAGATGGCACAGGAATGGGAAGAACATTGTTGTCTAAATCATATTCAACTTAAGTTTTTGGTTGGCATTTACCAGATCATTATTCTTCCCTATTGTTTATTAATTTATTCTAAGAACTTTTGAGCATCATCTCTTTTGTATTGGGGTTTGAATTCTAGATCCTGGGAGCATGAAGAGGGATGAGGTGAGATCTTGATGTCAGGAATTGCAGTTTTCAGAGCTGGAGACAAACATGAAAAAGGTGAAGGCAGACCTAGATAGATAAAGGTATCAAATGGTGTGAGGCATAAACAAGGGTATAGTCATTCTACCTGGAAAGTAATGGGAAGAGCCAGAATGAATTTCAGAGAGGAAATGATGAGAGTATCACTGATGTAGAAATAAAGCGAGCAGACAAAGTCAGCAATAGGCAAGATATGAATTAGCTTGGTGGTTTAGGGAAATGGAAGCAGAGCAGAATAACTGGAGCATGAAGGGGAGACAGAGGAGTAGACACAGCCAGAGTAAAGACTGGTAAGACAGGGCCAGGGGATGGATAACTCTATATACCATGTGAAGGAGTAGAGATAGACATAAGTTGAAGTTCCACAGCCAAGATGACAAGTGGTATAGACGGAATCAAGGCAGTAGCACTGTGGCCAGAGGAGGCAAAAATTAGATATGATCAGTGGAAAGGGCATAGAATCTACAGTATTTGATGACATATTGAGTGAGTGGTATGTGAGGAAAAGTGTGGAATCTAGAATGCGTCCGAAGTCTCTAGCTTGGGTGACTGAGTAATATGATCATGTAAAAAGATGTAAATCTCATTTGATATCCCAAGCTGGGGAAGCAGAATATACTCTTTAAATATATAAACAAAAAGTATACTGGAAGGAAGTATAACAAATATTAACAATGGTAATCAATAAGTGATACAATTATAGGTTATATGTTTCATTCAGTGGTACAGTATTTTACAAAATAAAAATAATAAACATGAATCACTTTTAGGACAGGAACAACTATGATAAAAGTTTTTAAAAAATAATTAGTAGAATAAAAAGAAGTTCCTATAAAATATTTTTTCTTGGAGCTTGGCTTGTGTAAATAGTTGTATGAATTGAAAAAATGGAACTCTATGAATATGCTGAACGATAAGGATTCCATTTTGAGTAATGATATACTTCCTTCTTTTCTTCTAGTTTTTGACACTGATGTAATTCTCAAACTATATTGAACTAGAAAGCAAATAGCATGATAGGGAACAGCACTTAAGGCTTGCTTATTATTAACATATTTAAAATCCTAGTCGCTAGGATAGAGGAACATGGGAGTAGAGAAAGATTTTTCTTCTTTTCATGGTCCATGACACTGACTGGATGCATGGCTTGGTGCCAGTATCACTTCTTCGGAGTTTCTTGTGTCATGATTTCCTGAGGGTTTCATAAATGCTTTTGGAGGAGATAGTATTAAAAGTGTCTATATGCACGAGTTTTCCTGGATAATATTCCTATCCATCAATCTTTCACATCCATGCTGTATGTATTTATACACATAGGCTTGGACATCTTTTATCAGCTTTAGTATATTCCAGTATTCTTTACAGTGACAGTCATTTCCTAATATCTTAAACATGATTTGTCAACAGATGCTCCTACACACTTTAAATTTTAAGAAATTGGCCCATTGTCCTTTGAATTTGAGTTGAACTTTTATTTCTGAAAGTCCTGAGAATTAATTTAAAACACTCTTAGCTCTTGATTCTAAAGAGCATTTACTTCTGTCTGAAGACATCTTTACACAGAAAAGGAAAAAAATCGATAGCTGACCTTAATATTTTCTTACTTCAAAGAGACCATTGACTATTCTTTTCTACTAGTTATTTGTGAACCTGTATCCTCATCTGGGAGTCTTAGCTTTTGATTAGAAATTCACCTTAAGTTTTTTTGTTTATCCTTTGTCCATAGTATTTCATAAGAGAAGTAATCCATCCTCTAGAGACTGTTACAAATTTGAATTACTAAAAACCTGAAGCAGAACTGAACATTTGCCAGGATTGCACTCCCTGTGCAGGATTGTGCTCCCTCTTGATGCTTCCATCATTTCTGATTTTGATACCAGATTTCAATTTTCTTTAATTATGAGAAGCTATAGAACACCTCCTTGTTCTTTTTCCATTCCTAGAGGTAAGCAGAAGGAACATTGATGGACTTCAACTCCCATTATAACGTTAAAGTCTTTAGAGATGAGCTGAACATCATAAAGCAGGCTTTTCTGTCTTACCTTTCTCCTATTACCTCTGCTGCTTTTTTTTGCCTTGGCTCAATGCCTATTTCAATGTTGGGATTTCTGAGCTCTCCTGGGACTCAGAGTTTGCAGCATATGATCATACTCTAGGGGCAAGTGGGCAGATAAAACTACCCACTTACCCATTTGCTAGGAAGAATTAGAAGGGAAGACGCACTTTGAGAATGCATTTTACCCAGGGGGATCATAATGACAAGCCATAGCCAGCAATAGATGACTACTGAATGGACCATCTGTCTCTGTAAAAGGCATTTCAACATGGTGAAGCCAGTAGCTGAGAGGCCAATTGAACTTTTAAAACAGTGAACAGCATGCATCTGGGCCTTATCTTCCAAGTTCTTGTTTTATTACGTTGCTATACCTTCAAAGTGCAGAGATAATATTTTTTTCCACGAGAAGATTAAGATTTAGGCCAAAAGATTTTCTTTGGAGTTGTGTGAGAAAATGAGTAGAGGGGAGAAAGAGTGAAATTATACCTCTTTGCATATTAGATTCTATTCTCAATCGGCACATTGCAGTTACATCCTGAAAATTAATGAGATTTTTTTTTTGCCTATAATTGTGTTGAACTTATATCTGAATTGATGGCTTGACTTCTCAAAAATATAGGTCTGGAAGATACGTACCTCAACATAAAGGAGAAAAGGCATATATTATCAAAATGGGATATAATCTAGATATGAAAGACTTGACTTTGAATTTTGTTGCTAGCTAAGTCAGTCTAAGTGACACTAAAAATATAGGAATAAAGTAAAGGCAATGGCTTCATAAAATTTAAATAAAATATTTTAAAATATCTATTAAAATTAAAGATAAAATTCTGTAATTTAGAATTTTAAGATATGACATAGCTAAATAACCTTAATCAGCGTAAGTTTTATTATGGCTATAGCTATAATTTCATTAAGAAACCTATTTGATCTCTAATGAATCAAACTCAGTAAACTTCAATTTTCCAACTTCAACCAATCTCAGGGTGTATTATCTCCATTTTCCTTGGTAGTGACTTGTTACTGATATTTTAACAGAGCTTTGAACTGTTTAAATGCGTTTGTCATATGCCTCAGAGAGATTTAGTCCCTGACTAGTTGTCAATACAGATTGTGATTCTTAAGTTGTCTTTATTATGGTCTGAATCAAACAAATCCTGAGTTCCCTTCCCCCATGAAATCATTGCCCATTCCAAGCAGTCTCAGTGTTTATACACGTGTCACCTAAATGCACTTTTCTTAAAACTTCTCCGGATAGCGGTTGTTTCCATTAAGATGTGGAAATAGCAAATTGGCTAGCATGCAGCTCTTGCCTATGATGTGGGGAGCACCACCAAATAAAGATGAAAGTGCAAACCTTTTCTTGCTCACCTGTCTAAATTCTACTGAGTCATTGTAAGGAGAAGATAGAAGACAGTTGTCTCTTCGAATGGAGAAGACATCTGGTTAAATGTAAAATATGTGGATTATGTAATAAAGAATTATAAACATATCAAGTAATACATTGAGAATTGCTGAATTTGCAGGGCAAAATTTGAAATTGACATCCTGGAGAACAGTGAATATGCCTTGACTGGCTATCACTTTTATAGCGTTTCCTCGCCCTTTGTGGTGATTTACTAGGACAATTTCCTAGTTCCCATATTTTTATTCTCCTAAACTCCACATCGCACGCATTCCAACTTGCACCTCCACAGGCTGTTGTAAGCCTTCACCTTCTGGTCACAACATTCCTACAGATAACTCCTAAGGGTACTCCTAAGAGAGTGCTTGCATGTAATAAATGACCTGCAATTTCAATTAAATGGGCTTAGGAGATTGTGGATCAGTGTGTGCATAATCCTTCATTAGTCTTTTCCTTGCATGATTGTTGTGGCTCTTGAGAAAAATGAAGACTTTTTTTTTTCTTTTCCTGTTTTAGAATATAAGGCAGGATAAAGCACAAAATTCCAGGACTAGGGAAAGAATGCTTTAGAATTTTGTTTTTTTGGCTTTCACGTGAAGACTTATCTAGGATTTAATATTGTCCATGTATGGCTTTAGTTCTTAATTTATAGCTTCATCTCGAGTGGTTTCTCAAACCCTTAAAGGTCTGCTTTCATTTCCTGTGGGCAGAGTATTTCTTTTTTGTTCTCTCCGTAAAGCATATCTCTGTAGTATTTGTTTGTCAGTTAGGCAGGATCCTAGCAGGAACAGATGCTTATACCTCAAATTGAGTCTTTTGAGGAAAGTGTATTAGAAAGAACATCCACAAAGGTGTGAACAGACTATAAAAAGGCAACACAGGATGAAGTGTACTTATGGGAAAGTGACAGAGGCAGCATTTCCACCCCTGTAAAAGGAGAGTCACTGGAGGTAGGGAGAGGACAGAGAGAACATTCTATATCACTATTCCAAATAGTATGGATGCAGAAAAGAGAGAGAAGCCAGGGCAATTAGTGTATTCTCTGAACTTCCTCTCTTCCTTTCCTTTCTCAAAACTGCTGCAGTTGCTTCCCATCAGAAGAACCAGTCAGATAAAAGACCAGGGATCTGGGCCAGGCGCAGTGGCTCATGCCTGTAATCCCATCACTTTGGGAGACCGAGGCAGGCGGATTGCCTGAACTCAGGAGTTTGAGACTAGCCTGGGAAACATGGTGAAACCCTGTCTCTACTAAAATACAAAAAAATTATCCAGGCATGATGGCATGCTCCTGTAGTTCCAGCTACTCAGGAGGCTGAGGCAGGAGAATTGCTTGAACCCAGGAAGCAGAGGTTGCAGTTAGCCCAGATGGTACCACTGCACTCCAGCCTGGAAGACAAGGGACCTGTTGTTTCTGTTGATGCAGCTTTTGTAGATCAGCTCTCTAGAGTAAAGCAGGATGGAAAAATGCAAAGAGTAAAGCTGAAGGAGCAAATGGAAGATAATCAATGCACAGGGTGAATGTATTTTGGTCTCTGCTGCCACTACCAACAAGGCTGAGTGCACAGCAAATGTCTTGATTACTGGACTGAAAAGATCTGTAATTAGGAGCTCATTACACATCCACTGGAACTTCAAAAGTCCATAGTTTGATTTGGGTAAGTTATTCTCTGGAGCCCAAAAGAAAAGGCTTGAACAAGAGTCATTGCCTGGTGAACGTTTATGGTAGTACACTTGTTATTCCTGGATACTCCAGATTCATTCTCAGCACAGCTCTGGCTTGCTCTGTCTCCTGGGAGACTGGCCACTTCTGATTACATCTCGGTACTCCCTAGACCTTTAGCTTCTGGTTGGGGTCTCAAAATGAGAAGCTCTGGCTAAGCAAACAGGTGTTGTTGTTTTTTTTTTTTAATAAACTAATAAAACCCAAGAGGTTAGGGATTGTGTTTCTTTTTCTTTATTTCTTTCACAAACCCAGAAGAATAAGGCTATATATATTACAATAAATATGTGCTACATTATTGATTGGCTGGAGGTTCATAAAATGTGTCTCAGCCTGCATCCCAAAACAAATTCCAACGTCCATTATGAATGTTGCTACAGGGAGAGATTTATTTCCCATCATGATTCACTCATTCAACAAATATTAATTGACACTCCCGCCCACTCTATGCCATGTTGAGCACTGGGAATCACAGGTGCAGTGGAGGGTGATGCAGATGGAGCACTTGCCTTGATGGCACTTAGAGAATGACATGGTGAGAAGAGCTTGAGCTTCGGAGCCCAGCAGATGTGGGGCCCTGGTTCCAGGACTGGTTTTGTGAAATGCTGGCAAGCTTACATTACTTTTTACAAATCAGTTTTTCTTATTTGTAAAAATGGCGATATTAATATTTTGTAATTTTATTTTTGAGAAATAAAATAAGCATAACAGATCACTTATAATAGTGCTGGGTACACAGCCAGAGGTCAACACATATTAGCTACTATGATTAGTGAACTGCATGGGGACAGGAAAGAGCATGAAAGGGCATTGGTGATGCCAAGGTGGGGGAGCACTGGCCTTAGAGGGGGACAATTCCAAGCGTTGAACAAGCCACTTAAAAGAGGCCTATACCAAGAGAAGGGACAAAAATTCCTTTCTTGGTGCAACGAGAAAATCTTGCTTCTCAGAGTGGCAAGGCAAGATTCAGTATGTCAGGATGCTTGGTACTGGGATTTGCCTGTCAGCCCAACTTTCATGGTGCCATGTTTTGAATCCTCTACTGTGTATGGTTGAATGGCGGAGGAGAATAGCAAAACACTTGCTACCTCTCTAACAGAATTAAACTCAGAGGAGGGAGAGGTGCTCTTTTCAACTCCCATAGTCCCCAGTTTTGACACTTTAGAGCCACACTGGGGCTCAAAGAAAGAAGATGGGATGCAGCATTGTGGAGACAGCTGGGATTCCGGTGAAAATTTTAGTGAAAGCATTAGTCAGCAGCTGTTTGGAAGAGACAAGAGGCATGCCCTGAGGACCTGAGAACCAAAAGGTGCTGAGATTTAGGATGCATAAAGCAGGAGATGAGGAAATAAAAACCAGTCCCCATATAGTAGCTGTAGTGGACTAGCCCATAAATGCAGAACAGGGATGCACAGAGACATCCAGGGGGATAAATTACCCTAGGGTTGCACAGAAATACCCATGGGGATGAAATTACCAAAGGATTGGGGTTAGGGTCTCTCTGAGAGACACATTTTATTTCTCTTTTGGTGATTCCCAGTCATCTACATATTTCTAATGATGAAACATAATTTCAAAAGTTAGGAAATACAAATAATACTTTTAGAATATTAATAACAATGTAAGAAAATTCTACTATAAAATATACAAAAAGCAATAACTTATAGTGTACAATGATAATGGGGTCCAGTGTTAGGATAAAGTTTTAAAGTACAGGTAGACCTCATTTCATTACACTTCACTTTGTTGCACCTCACAGATACTACATTTTTTACAAAGTGAAGGTTTGTGGACACTGCATCAAGCAAGTCTATCGGCACCATTTTTCCAACAGCTTGTGCTCACTTTATGTCTGTGCATCGATTTTGGTAATTTGTGCAATATTTCAACTTTTCATTATTATTATATTTGTTACAAGTGGTCTATGATTAGTGATCTTTGATGTTGTCGTAATTGTTTTAGAACTCCAGAAACCATGCCCATATAAAATAGGGAACTTAATCAATAAATGATGTGTGTTCTTACTGCTCCACCTACTGTCCATTCCCCCATCTCTCTCCCTCTCCTTGCCCCTCCCTATTCCCTGAGATACAGCCATATTGAAATTAGGCCTATTAATAATCTTACAGTGGCCTCTAAGTGGTCAAGTTAAAGGCAGAGTTGCACATCTCTCACTTTAAATTGAAAGTTAGAAATGATTAAGCTTAGTGAGAAAGGCATGTCAAAAGCTGACTTAGGCCAAAAGTTATGCTTCTTGAGCCAAACAATTAGCTAACTTGTGAATGTAAGGGAAAAGTTCTTGAAGGAAATTAAAGGTGCTACTTCAGCTGAGACACAGATGATAGGAAACCAAGTGAGCCTTATTGCTGATATGGAGAAAGTGTTAGAGGTCTAGATAGAAGATCAAACTAGCCACAATATTTCCTTAAGCTAACACCAAACCCAGGGCAAGGCCCTAATTGTCTTCAATTCTATAAAGCTTGAGATTGGTGAGGAAGCTACAGAAGTCTTCAAAGCTAGCAGAGGCTAGTTCATGAGGTTTAAGTAAAGAAGCCATCTTCATAATCTAAAAGTTCAAGGTGAAGCAGTTAAGTGCTGATGTAGAAGCTGCAGCAAGTTTTCCAGAAGATCTAACTAAGATAATTGATGAAGGTGGCTACACTAAACGGATTTATACGTAGATGAAACAGCCATATATTGCAATAAGATGCCATCTTGGATTTTCATACCTAGAGAGGGGAAGACAATCCCTGGCATCAAAGTTTCAAAGAACAATTCAGCTCTTGTGATAGAGACTATTGCAGCTGGTGACTTTAATTTAAAGCCAATGCTCATTAAAAGAAATCCTATGGCCTTTAAAATTTATGCTAAATCTACTCTGCCTACACTCTATAAATGGAACAACAAAACCTGAATGACAGCACATCTGTTTACAGCATGGTTTACTGAATATTATAAGCCCTTTTTTTTTCTTCTTGAGATGGAGTCTCGCTCTGTCGCCCAGGCTGGAGTGCAGTGCTGCAATCTCGGCTCACTGCAAGCTCCACCTACTGGGTTCAGGCCATTCTCCTGCCTCAGCCTCCCAAGTAGCTGGGACTACAGGCGCCTGCCACCACACCTGGCTAATTTTTTTTGTATTTTTGGTAGAGACAGGGTTTCACCATGTTAGCCAGGATGGTCTCCATCTCCTGACCTCGTGATCTGCCCGCCTCAGCCTCCCAAAGTGCTGGGATTACAGGCATGAGCCACCGCGCCAGGCCTATAAGCCCACTTTTAAGACCTGCTGGTCAGAAAACCATTCCTTTCAAACTATTGTTACTCATTGACAATGTACCTGGTCACCAAGAACTCTGATGAAGATGTACAAGAAGATGAATGTTCCTTTCACAATGATAACATTCATTCTGCGGCCCATGGACCAAGGAGTAATTTCACCTTTCTCTTATTTAAGAAATATATTTAGTAAGGCTACAGCTGCTAGAGATAGTGATTTTCTGATAGATCTGAGAAATGTACATTGCAAACTTGCTGGAAAGGATTTTCCATTCTATATGCTATTAAGAACACTCAGGATTCATGGGAGGAGGTGGAAATAGCAACATTAATAGGAATTTGAAAGAAGTTGATTCCAACCCTCATGGATGACTGTGAAGGATTCAAGACTTCAGTGGAGGAACTAACCATATGTGGTGGAAATAACAGGATAATTGGAATGAGAAGTGGAGGCTGAAGACGAATTGCTGCAATCTCATGATAAAACTTGAACAGATGAGGAGTTGCTTCTTAAAAATGAGCAAAGAAAGTGTTCTTTTTTTTTTTTTAGAAGAAATCTACTCCTAGAGAAGATGATACATAAACAGTGTTGAAAGGACTACAAAGGTTTTAGAATATTATAAAAACTTAGCTGATAAAGCAACTGCAGCGTTTGAGAAGTCTGACTCTAATTCTGTGGGTAAATGTTGTCAAACAGCAACACAGGCTACAGAGAATTCTTTTATGAAAAGAAGAGTCAGTCAATATGGCAGACTTTATTGTTGCCTTATTTTAACTATTTCTCACAGCTGCCTCAGGCTTTAGCATCCACCACCCTGATCAGTCAGCAGCCATCAACATCGAGGCAAGGTCTTCCACCAGCAAAAATATTACAACTCTCTGAAGGCTCAGATAATCATTAGTATTTTTTACCAATAAAGTATTTGCTAATGAAGATATGTACATGGTTTTTTATACATAATATTTTTGCACACTTAATATACTACAGTATGGTGTAATCATAACTTTTATATGCACTGGGAAACCAAAAAATATTTTTTTTTTTTGAGACGGAGTCTCGCTCTGTCGCCCAGGCTGGAGTGCAGTGGCGCGATCTCAGCTCACTGCAAGCTCTGCCTCCCGGGTTGAGCCATTCTCCTGCCTCAGCCTCCCGAAACCAAAAATTTTGTGTGACTTGTTTCATTGAGATATTCTTTTTATTGTGGTGGCCTGGAACCAAACCCATAATATTTTCGAAGCATGCCTGTATTATTTTCTTTTAGTCCTGTCAAGTGTGTCTCAAAAGCACTATAGCTTTTGAGATAATTTGGAAGTCTTTTGTGAAAGTGAAACACACATGAAATAATCCTTCTTCCATTCTCTCTTCTCTTCATCCCCCATACCAAGAATGAGCCTTAATTGTGGTGCTATAATAGCTGACGGGAGCAAGAACAGCCACAGACACAGTTGGGAAGTTTTTTGTTTTTTTACCCACAGACTAGGTCAGCCTGGGTGATCTCATGTCCCACATGTGGTAGCCTGTAATATGGTAAGTGTTTGCTGTCTCTGCTCTCTTGACTCCAATTTTCTTCTCAGCCTAGCCTTAGCTTCTTTTTCCATCACTCTAGTGGAACACTTTTCATGAATGTCATAAGTTACCTATTAATTGGCAAGCCAATGGCATATACTACTTGACCACTTTAGTCTACTTTCTGACCATCTTCTTTCCTTTGTCTTCCTGTGTGACTTTCTATATTCATAACCACTGATCTTGCTATTTAATTTGCCCAACTTGCCGGGCACAGCGGCTCATGCCTGTAATCCCAGCACTTTGGGAGGCTGAGGCAGGCAGATCACGAGGTCAAGAGATCGAGACCATCTTGGCCAACATGGTGAAACCCCATTTCTACTAAAAATACAAAAATTAGCTGGGGCTGTTGGCATGCGCCCCGGGAGGCTGAGGCAGGAGAATTGCTTGAACCCAAGAGGTGGAGGTTGCAGTGAGCTGAGATCACACCACTGCACTCCAGCCTGGGCAACAGAGCCAGAATCTGTCTCAAAAAAAAAAAAAAAAAGAAAAAAAAATTTACCTAACTTCCTCCTCTGCCCTCTCCTTATAGGGCTGCATTCCAAAGAAGTCCCTCCTGGGTCTTCTATTATTCCAAATCTCGGCTATTCCCCTAAGGCACATCATATAATCACTGGTTACTGTTCTTTTACATAAGACTCACAATTCTGCATTACATCTCCAAACCCAGATTTCCTCCTGGGTCTCATATTCACATATCTAACTAGTTTTGTCTACTGAATCTTTTTTTTTAACTGGAATGTAGCATACTCAACAAATATTTGACATAAAAAAAGGAACTCTTTGTTTTTTCACTCTTTTACAACATGCAACATGCTCTAGCTTTTTGTTTATTCTAAGTTAATAGCTTCCTAGTCACACATGGAGACTCTTTTGAGTCTTCACGCTCATGCTCCACAGTAAGTTGCAATCACAGTAACTGTTTCATAATACCTTTCAAATATGGCATTCTCGTTGTTATTGTCTAACTTTTGAAAATTCGTACAGGCTTCTTTTTGGTTCCTCCTAACACCCACCATACTGTCGCCAGAATTATTTTCTAATAAATAAAGATGATCATGCAAATTTCCAGCTTCAAAAACCATGTGGACTCCCAGTTGCCTTCAAAATTACATCTTACCTCATTACACTAGAATATAAGAATCTTGGTATATTATTTCCTATAATACCCTTACATTTTTTTAATCTAAGAAAATACCCAATTATTCTTCAAGAGGCAGATCAATTGGCAAATTGATTGAAATTGGTTGAAAACTTCCAAGACTACCCAGCAAGTGTGATTTTCATTTATTTTCTGTTCTCCCACATAGTTTTTTAAAATTTTTTATTTGTTTAGGTAACATCACTTTAAAATTTCTCAGAATATAATTTGTTTGTTTTCATTTTTTAATCTCCTATTTCTTAGCCTAGTATATGCATTACAGGGGCTCAGGGTACAGTTAAATCATGTATGGATGAAAGAATGAAAAATACTGAAAAGCAGGGACTGATGGTAATATTTTGCTGCATCTATGCCAGTTTTATGGGCTAACAGGCTTGGTATGTGACATCCATAGCTTCAGTTTTTCCTGAAAGAAAATGTAGAAAACAAGGATTTATAAGAAAACAGAACCTCCTTTGCAGGGGCAAGAGGCAGAAAAAGCAATGGCATTTATCAGAGAGTTAGCATAGTGTAGTAAATTTATGTGACAAGGTTGAAGTCTTCCAGCCAGGCAGTCAACAATGGTTTAGTTGATAACCTCAGAATTTAGGGTCAATTTCTGCAGATACCCTCACTCCCCTTTGACCAGACAACTACTCCTTATCTTTATGATATTTCTAATTTTGTTAAAATATTTTTAAAAGGGTATTAATTTAGTAGTCACTTTACTATTCCTTCTATTTATGGTAACAAACTCAGTGGGTTGACCTGAACTATAATTTGTCATCTCTTTTTTATTTTCTGTTTTGTTTTCCAAAAACAATATGCTATTAAGAATAAAGGCATCCCTATGTACATACAGGCTCTCTGGGCTAACTAGTTTTTTGCGGATGGAAAACACATGATTGTAAACAAAGGAAGTTTCCTCTATTGTAACCTTGACCCATGAAGGCCAAGGAATGTATTGTTCTTTTAAATGAAATTCATTTCACTGTCATATTAGTTATGCTTGAAAGTTTTATATCCAGCAGAGATTTTCAGGGACATGCTGTTCCTGGAACAGTGAACATGCTAATGCAGACGGATATTAGAACTGTAGAACACACTTCAACAAGCATAGAAAATATAGTGCAATAGGGGGAGAAGCAGGAAGGAAGGAAGGGAGAAAGGGTGGAAGAGAGAGAAAAACAGTGAGAGGAGAGAGCAAGAGAGCATGAGAACAAGTGAGCACATTTTCATCCTGATTTTTTTTATAATAGTGTTATTGCGTCAACCTTTACAGCAAATTACATTATTTTCTTTCTTTATTTTGGGAAAATATCCGTTCCCTTTCCTAAAAATAATACATTCATGCGCTGTTAAGAACTGTGAAGAGTCTGATATCTTACCCTGCTTACAAGCCAACAATTTGGCCTGTACAGCTTCATGGATGCTGGCAGAAGATAGAAGATTCCTGGGTCGGAGACAGAGGACGTTATTACTCAGATAACACCAGGCAGTGTGAGCTTCATGTTTACAACAACTTTGCTTCCCACCGCCTGTGAGTTCCACAGAGGAAACATGGAAATGGGCCCAGGTCGATGCTGCATACACAGAGCGTTCATATGTTTGCTGAAAAATCCTGAGCTTAGTGAACCCTCAATTTTATAAGGGACTACTAGCAAACCTGCCCAATTTTTTCCCTGCAGGGAGACATTATCTATATTATCCTCAACGGCAAGGAAATCTGTTTCTTACCCTTAAGGGAGACACTCTGTCTTCTAAGGCTATTTGCTGTACAAACATCCTTAAAACCATAGTTCTTACCTACACCATGGATCTTGACAATTATTCTTCCAAAGTTTAAAAACTGAAAAATTATAAAACTTTGCTCAAGTAATAAAGTTTTAATGCACAGTAATTAAAGATAATAGTACTGTATATCATGTAATGCTTTCCACTTTACATAATACCATCCTATATATTATTGCACTCAATTATATGTAAAATCAGTGGTAATAAAGCTAAATGCATTCCAGGTTTGTAGGTAATGAGCCATGTTAGTAGGAAGGGGGTCTACAATTATCATGACGGTCACATACATTAGGGTGGTACAGCTGGAAATGGAGGTTATGGGAGCTATAATAAATCATGTTTGTGTGTGCTAGTGTTTCTTATCAGGTTATTGTAAAACAAATGTTATAAATTATCTACATGCATGTATTATTGGCTTTCTGGCATTTTTCTTAATCAGCATCATTAAAACTGTATCACAACAGAATGAGAACGTGAGTGTAACTTAGAAATTAAAAGTAGAGGTACTACAGCCGGACACAGTGGCTCACGCCTGTAATCCTAGCACTTTGGGAGGCCGAGGCAGGTGGATCACTTGAGGTCAGGAGTTCGAGACCAGCCTGGCCAATATGGTGAAACCCCATCTCTACTAAGAATATAAAATTAGCTGGGCCAGGTGGTGCGCGCATGTAGTTCCAGCTACTTGGGAGGCTGAGGCAGGAGAATCGCTTGAACCCTGTGGGAAAGCGGAGGTTGCAGTGAGCTGAGATTGCACCAGTGCACTCTAGCCTGAACGTCACAGTGAGAGTCCGTCTCAATGAAAAAAAAAAAAAAAAAACTAGAGGTGCTGGGTTTAGAAACAGTTTTCTCAAGGAAATGTAAAATAAGATTTTAAAAATATCAAAATCCTATCTCCATAGATTGAATACCAGAGAGACAAGCTGCAATTGTTGGCAAGCTGGAGACATTTCACAGATAGGCTACTGAGCAGCTCATGTTACCTTTGAGATTTTCTTTTCCTTTCCTTGTTATAGAATTAAAATCAGTATTGAATCTAAGGTACATTGGCCATTAGTGTTGAAGGGCCCTGAAAGAAACCTGCAGCGCAGAGAACTTTAAGCATTATTTTATGCCCATTGAAATTAATTGAGAATCATCAGAATTAATAAAAATACAAGTCATGGTAACTCATGCCTATAATCTCAGCATTTTGGGAGGCTCAGGTGGGAGGACCATTTGAGCCCAGGAGTTTGAGGCTGCAGGGAGCTCTGCTTGTACCACTGCACTCCAACCTGAGGAAAAGAGTGAGATCTTGTCTCTATTAAATAAAACAAAACAAACCAAAAAAAGTCCAGGGCCTCACTGCTCAAGGATCTGATTTTCTTAGCTATAGCAATTCTGATGGAAACCAGTTCTGACATGATTTTACAGATGAAGAAAACTTTCACTTGTAAAATCTTGTTGTTTCTCTTCATTTCTATCACTACTACCCTAATTCCAATTCTTGTTACTTCTGTATCTAGAATAGTGCCTAGCAGTAGGAGAAATTGAATGAATATTTGTGAAATTCATAAATGTTTATGTTTTGCTTTGAGATTATTTTGGATTCTGGTAATTATTCTACCTCCAACCAATCTATGCTTTTCTTCTGATCAATATTGCTTTAAAAAGAAGAGCAATCTTAAGTAAGGAGGGAATTATTTATCCATCCACTTAACGATTGAGAAAACTGAAGCAAGGAGAGGCGAGGGACCTTCTTTTCTTGCACAAAGCATACTGAAAGAGATATTACTTGAATTAAGAAATAGCATAATTATGAATACGTGATTCATGGATTCTTTGTGTAATTTAGATAAGTCACAACTATTATGCATCAAGAAATATAACATGACAGAGCACGAATGGAAAATAAAGTGAATGAGAAGTAGTATATTGCAGTGGTTCAATAGAGACTGGAGATAGACTCGGGTTCAAGTCCTACCACTATCATATCTAACCTCTAGTTGTGGAACTTCAGTATGTTTCTTAATCTCTGAAAGCCACATTTTAAAAAATCTATACAATGATGATGATAGCATTTTATTCCGGTGTTAGAATTAAAGATTAAGGGAAAAAGCTTAGTAGATTATCTGGCAAATAATAAAACAAATGCATTTAACGTATTTGTTAATCTTGTCATATTATCACCATCATAATCATCATTAACATAGGAATACATTAGGAGATCAGGCTTTGCCAAGCTCAGAGTCACAGAGTGACACTGTTTTATAAAATAGTACAGGAAGCTCTTATCAAGGGTTATAATTATAAGCCAAAATTATGAAAAAAAGTTGTATTCAGATATATAAGAAAAGAACAGAGGAACAAGTTGCCTAAACATATTTAAACAAATACTTTCCCTTCTGCTATAGTAGAGTCTAAGATGCCTACATTTGGCGCTTTTGTCCAGTAGTATCTTAAATGTATCATGAAATACCTGGCACTATTGTTCATAAATCCATGCATTTCAATATATGCCTATTTTTTGAAGTGCATAAGTATGATTATTTGTGTATACAGGCTCCAAGTTTCTTTGAGATGTAAATGAGAATACATATCTTTTGCATATGGGCATAATTGTATGAAATATGGTATAGAATTTAAGAAAATGTTATATTCATAAGTTCTTTATTAGATTAGCCTTGTGGCAACCCAAATTGTTTCTTATGCTCTTCCTGTCATTGTGAGCCATTCCATTGACATAAACGCACAAAGTAAAAGGCATCAGTAGAATTGTATACTGGTTTATTGAGATTGTAAATAGGCATTTCCACTGTTCATAAAACTTCATTGGCATTAGAAAGATGTCTCCATTTATCTAATACATTACATGTTTGCACAAGTAAAGTTTTGGTAGGTACCTGGTCAGGGACTGTCAGAGAGATTCAGGGCTCAGGAAAAGAAACATCCCTTTTTTGTCACATGACACATCTCAGTCAACCTCTGTGGAGACTATTGTAAAGAACTGCAAAAGATTTTGGCCAACTATATTAATAGTAGTTTAAATTTTATAAGCATACCCCTTCAGAACTATATAAATATTCTATCTAAATGTAATAATAGCAGCAAATATTTCTCAATAGAGCTTACTATATGCTAAGACTATGCTGGGTTCTTTATGAGAATTACTTCATTTAGTCCTTATGGAAATAGTATTAACATTTCCATTTTATAGATAAAATAAATGAGGCACAGGAAAATTTGCTCAAGCTCATTTGTGTAGTAAGACAAACTCAAGATTTGAATCCAGGCCATTTGTCCTCAGAGCCCTAATTCTTAAATATTAATACTATGCAGTATTTGATTCATATTAACTGTATGCTGCTGGGAAAGAACCAATAGTTTTTTATGTTAATTTTTCATTTCACTTAGGAGACAAAGCATTGATTGATCAAATAGTTTCTTATTGTGTTTGTCAGGATAAACTAATCTATGCTGTGATTACAAATAAATCTCAAAATCTCTGTGGCTTAACCTAAAAAATTGTTTATTTCTCACGCATATGTGGTACTAGGGGGTACTCCTTGGCTGTTCTCAAATTATGGTTCAAGGTCTGAGCCGTTTCTGTCCACCGTGCTGAAGATCTTTCCTTTCAGTTGAACAGATGTGAGAGGGATACCAAGAAGAATGCATACCAATTCTTAACTGCCTTTTTTGCTTATATTCTTATTGTGAAATTGCAGTCATATGCTGACAATTCAGATCCAGGGACACTGAGAAATGTAGTCCTCTTTTGTAAAGAGAAAGAGGAGACACTGGTAAATACATAGTATATTTCTCCTTAAGCTTCAGATCACAGCTATTTCTTTCTACCTTAATTCCTTTTCTTCAAGCATGTCTCATTGCACAGAAGGAACTCATAGAAGAATGTGAGATTGCTGAAGTTAATATTTAATAAAAATTTGAAATCAGTAGCTTTCTTGAATTCTGCTGGGACTACAAATGGACATGCCAGTTTGCACACATAAATTACAGGATAACAAGGACTGTCAATAACATTGTATACATTAAAACTTCTGAGTATATTTTAGATATGAAGATTGAAAATCATCACATTAACTAAAGATTTGTCTGGCTAAGGAGCGGTTTGGCTTTAATTACTAGTTTCTAGTTACTTTACCAGTACTATGTAACGCAGCCTCGCACTTTATTTGTATACTGTGTGCTGTGAATGTGTCTGTGTGTGTGTGTTTGTGTGTGTGTGTGTGTGTGTGTGTGTGTGTAATAGCCACATCTCACTAACATGGTTAATTAAAGCAGGCAACAGTATTTACAGTACTTTCATTTATCTAAAATAGTTTTTTTTTTAAATTAAGGAAAACATGTTATTTGGACGTTGGGAGAATAGAGGATAAGCTGTTTATAAAGAAATCTTTTCATAGCAACCATCCTTCCTCCAAATCCACACTCCAAACACTAGAATATACCATGCCCTTCTTTGTATCTCCGTTATACTCTGTACATTCTTCTATCAAAACACTTGCATTTATTTTCTGTGTTTATTACTTCTAGAGGATAAACTTGTGCAATACTTAAACTCTAGAAGTATTCTTCTATACCTAGCGCTCAAATGCCTAATCATAGCATGGTTCCTCTTACGTAGAAAGCAATGAACAAATAGTTTCTGCAGGCAAGATGGAAAAATTAAAGCATGCCTGAAAAGCTGTATATTTAAGTACAGTGTAAGTGGCTATATATTTAAGTATGGATGACAGTGCTAGATTCACAGATCTAAAAGTTTTCAATTTATCGGAGATGTTTGAATTCATTGTGTAGGTGAAACTAGGCAAAGGGTGTGTGCCTAGATGGCATATAAAAAGTTCAGGACAAAGTGAGAAGGACTAGTCTAGATTTCTACTGAAAATGAAGCAGTTTTAATGAAGTAGAGCTGTATAAAATGACAATTTGAAGGAAGAATAACTTATGAATGTAACATAGACTGAGAAAAGCCAAGACAGCTGTTCAAATCAAGAAAATCTGTATCTGTATTGAGGAAAAGCAATCTCAGGAAATTAGTAAGATTTTTTTCATACACAGTAGTGCTGAACTACTGAGACAGATTTTATGAATTTTATTCTCTGAGAATCTGTCTTCCTTTAAAAAAGTAACAATTTAAGGAGTCTTTTCTTGCTTGAAATTCATCTTGTTGCTTTTCATTATAACTTTTTTCTTCTTCCATGTCGTGCCAGAAATGCAGACACTTGAATGTATCGCCTCTGCCTAGTAGAGCTAATTTTTCAATTTACATAAATAAATAACCTGCCAAAGCTAATTACTTCTCCTCAAAATCTAAATACATTATTCTCCTCTTTTTCCAGTCTGTCTTGCTTTAATTATTTTCACATCAGTTGTCATTTTAGGAGCTGGTTTAAACTAAAAAGGGATAATCGGATGTGTCTTACTGTTTTAATTTGGCTAATTAAGATTGCTGCTTTTGTCTGCGTGTCTGGAGGCATACATTTACAGCCTGTTCATAGTTTGGGGTGTTGGGGGAAAGTACAGTCAAGAAAAAAATAGCAATATGTGTCTATTTATATTTACATATTAAGTGACCATTATCTCGACTCTCCTTGCCTCCCTACACATGTTTTCAACTGCCAGCAAAAACTATACATGCACATAAAGGAAGGCAGTTTAAAATCTTCTTAATCATATGGCTTATTTTTTAAAAAACAAAGAATGTCTCAAATATTACACCTCAGATTTCTGCATCTTCCTTGTGGCTTGAATCAAGAAAATTGTGAACACAGTACATGATTGTTCCTAGAAAGCAGATGGTTAGCTGACTAACCACACAATTCACGTGGTGTAATTGCTTGGTTGAGAGAAAGATTATACAGCAGCACCTGGAAAGTGTGTAGGTAGAATGAACAGGTGGGAAAGTAGAGCCATCTTTGCATCAGCAATCTAGTTACCACATCTGAATTGCTTAAATTTGTGTTTTTCAGAGCAGTACCAGCTTGGATTTGTAGAGCATACTGTCCTCCAAATTGATCTTAGATATTTTTCATACTTTGTCTCATTTGCCTTTACTACATGATTGTATAAAAGAAATTGACCATCTACAATTCTTACTGCCATTGAGGTAATAGACTAAAATAGAGTGGGTTCATTACTGACTCCACATCATGCAGTTAATTAGACTTTGGGATTTTTCTGTGACAGTAAACTATTATTTGCATTTTCTAATAATCCAAATAGGTAGATATTTTGCTTCCAATGGTAGTGTGTGTGTTTGTGCACATGTACATATATGTATGTACATTTGTGCACACGTACATGCATATACACACATATGTATGTACATATAGACATATACACACATATATGCATATATGCATGTACGTGTGCACACACATAAACCACATATACATGTATATATACACACACAGAAACACATACATTTAAGTGCAATGGAGATTAAGTTCAGTGGAGACCATATATTACTTTATAATAAAATATTTAGGAGGTGAAAGTTATATTTAGGCTGATTTCTGAATTAACACATGTAAAGTCTACTGTTTAGGTAAGATCTCTTTAATTGTAAGAGTAGTTGATATAGAAGTTTACCAAAATGGTCAATTTATTTAATCAACTGATACTATGCTTGTGAAACAGAATATTTTAAATAATTTTATATATGTCTTTGTCTTAGATGCCTTATTTCTTGGTTTTATGTTTATAAGGTAGATCTTCCTTCTTGTAGGCACATAATGAGATGTTCTTTACATTAGGTAATTCTTGAATCTAGTTGACAATGTTGGCATTTAGGTAAAAAGTAAAACAGCTCTTTGGTAGCACATCAAATAAGGAATGGTGATAATAGTGTTTATTGACTCACTACCACACAACAGACCGAGTTCTTGATGCTTTAGAAATATTTTCTTATTTAAAGCTCAGACAAACCTGTAAAGCATGTTATTATTATCAGTATCATAGATTCATACATGAGCTACCTGAAGCTCAGAGGAGTTACATGACTTGACCAGGTTCACATGTTTAATAAATCGTGGAGCCAGAATCTAAACTCTCACTGTTCGTGACTGGAGACTCTATCCTCTGTCAACTCACCTTCCATATGCTGTGGTGCCCAGGATCCCAGGATGGAATCTCTGTTCATCACATTCAGCCTAGACACAGCAAGGGGAGAGAAGAATCAAATGTAAGACTCCACCTTGAAAAGCTACAGATTCTGTAAAATTCCTGTATCTAGCATTTCTTTCTAAATACAGTCAGAAGAAATTGTTCTTTTGCCATTTTCCTTAATCTTTTTTTTTCTTAAATTCTTGCAGGTCAATAAATATAAAAAGAAAAGAAAATGGGAGGCAATTAAATACTTCGTTTTCATTGTTTTAATGTTTCAATGTTTTTTATTTAACTTATTTAATTGGCAGCATTTCTGAGAAATTTATAAATTACATACAAATTTTAAAAAGGTTTTCTGTCATTTTCACATACATAGACCAAACGCGTTAACTGTTAAATGGACATACTCCACATCTCTCCATTGTCTGTGGTGTCAAATTCTACAGTGTTGTTTGGACTGTAAAGCCTAGTGTTAAAAGAACATTAAAAAACAAAAGGGTAAAAATCTCAATTCTCATACAAATATAAAATGGACACATATTGGAGATTTTATTTAACTAATTATGAATGAAGAAACCAGAAACAGTTACAATCAGTTCAAAAAAGTTAAAGAAGCAGACGTGTATATGAAGTAAAACCATGCTGAAATACATTTAGAAATGGAAGAAAACTGGCTTTTTCCACAATGGAAAAAAAAAAGGATGGTCAACTGAATTTCCACCAGATAGAGTGTCTTCACGTTTGTATAGACAAGTATTACTTTGCACTTTTATCAGTTATCTACAGTTTATAGAATTGTGAAATAGCTTCAAGGCTGTGAAAAACTACTATCAGATAACCAAGAAAGGAGTGCTCTAAATAATGCTTTGTTTTCCTACACTGGATAACCTGAATATAGATACTTGAAGCTGTCCACATACAAATGGTAGAGCTGAGATTACTGACACAAAAATTATCCAACAGAGATTCCATTATTATTATTATTATTACTTTAGAGACAGAATCTCACTCTGTGGCCCATGCTGAAGTGTAGTGGTACAATCATAGCTCACTGCAGCCTCAAATTCCTGGGCTCAAGCGATTCTCCTGCAGCCTCCCAGGTAGCTTGGGACTATAGGCACACACCACCACACCTTGCCCAACAGAGAATTTTGTGATGTAAATTTTTAATTTTATTATGTTACAAACCCACAGTTTTAAATGAATGGCAAAATTTATCAGTTGTGATATCATTTGAATTAGGAAATAATCATAAGAAAGGAAATAGTTCAGAATTTGGGGATTTGTAAGGAGTAGTTCCACAGGAGAAACAAAAGTAGAAAGCAAATACAAAAAAGATTGCTGGAAAATAAGGGAGCTCTCACTGCAGAAAATTTAAGATAAGTATAAAAACTGCAAGAGAAAGAAAATGTCAAAATGCAATTTGGATGCTGAAGAAAATCAAAGTATTTCACCCTAAAATATATTTCTTCATCATATGTTGAGATGACTCTTCATAGGACCTGCAAATAGAAATAGCCCTGCAACACTTACCTTTCATGGGGGAGATTTGCATCTGTAGAGAAAATCTGCACTGAGGCAGCCAGGTTTTCTCTGACGCCTTCCCTTCAAAAGATCTAGGAAAGGTTAACTGAGAGTCTGATATGGTTTGGCTCTGTGTCTCCACCCAAATCTCCTGTTGAATTATAATTCTCAGTGTTGGAGGAGGGGCATGGTGGGATGTGATGGAATCACAGGTGCAGATTTCCCTTTTGCTGTTCTTATAATAGAATTCTCCCAAGATATGCTTGTTTAAAAGTGTGTAGCATCTACCTCCTCCACCTCCTTCCAGTCATAAGAAAACCATGTGTGCTTCCCCTTTACCTTCCACCATGATTGTAAGTTTCCTGAGGCCTCATGAGAAGCCTAGAAGATGACAGTATCATGCTTCCTGTACAGCCCACAGAACTGTGAGCTGATTGAACATCTTTTCTTTATAAATTACCCAGTCTAAGGTATGTCTTTATAGCAGCCTGATAATGGACTAATGCAGAGTCTGATACCTTTTAAGGGTCTTAGGAAATACTAACCATCTATACTCTCTGAAAGATTACCTGTAAAATTTCATATACATAATACAACTGTCACCTTTGCCAGCCAGGCCTTCCTCTCCAATAGCATGTTTTGTTTTGCCACAGACCAAATTCCCATTTCTTCAGTGACCTAAAGATGGTGTATAATCTTCTGAATCCCATTGGAGCATTAGGGATAATTACACTGTGGTTCTCCCTACATACACGTTAATAAATTTGTATTCCATTTCTCCTGTTAATCTCCTTTTATCAGTTGAGTTTTTCATTGAATCTTTACAAGGGGAAGTAAACATTTTCCTTTGGCTTCTACAATGCCAATGTCAGAAAAGTCAAAGCTTAGACAATATTGGTTTCATGGCTTTTTTTAGTGTATTTACTCGAGACAGAAGGAAGTTGATGATGAATACAAAGTTTATCTTTAGGCTTTTTTGACACACGGTTACTTGTTGGAAGCTCATCAGGTATAAAGGTCACTAGCAAATGTCTGAAGAAGAAGAGGAACGAGAGGGTCATTTATGAGGCAGAATTTGGGACCTTGCTTTGCTGATGCCTATGAAATATGACATTAATTGATGACATCCCAGTGGTACCTACATGATGTTAGTAAATACAAAACCACGATTTCTGTGCTGTCTTTTTCTGAATATATTATGTAAGGCAGAACAGTGGCAAAGCTTGAAATCCTTGTACTTTCTACAGGCAGCTTAAACCCAAAGACTAAGATTTAATGTGCAAAAGGGTCAGCATGAGGTCTGCTCTGTCTGAGAAAATGACAGAAACCAAATTTGATTTTCTGAGCCTGTCATTCTACAGACAGAGTTGCTTTGTCTCAATCATGGACACGGAATCAATTTTCTAGAAAAGTAAAACAGAATTCTGGCTTTCTAACTTCTTTTTATTAAGAAGGAAATTTGATATCTTTCCTTTAAGAATATGGCTATAAAAGTAAAATAAATTATATCAATAAATATAATTCACACCCTTGATATATTGATAGAAAATAAATATTAATATTTATTATAAATATATTATAAATATCATATTATAAAACAGCTACTAATAAAAATATTGGCCACATGGATTCATGAACAATGAGATCATCATCTTAAGCTCATTTTTAAGAAGCAATATACATTTGCTATTTAATTTGAGCCTAACATAACCAAATAATTTTTCAGTACCAAACATGGTAAATCAGCTTTATTTATGAGATACTGCTGTCTGGTGACACTGATGGAATAAACAGTAGCAAAGAAATCTTTCTAGCTCAAGGGCCACATAAAGTCTCTTTCATGCAGTTCAGGCAAAGGAGGGATGACTTTTGATTATCTCACCCCATGTCACTCTTCTTCAGAAGTTGTCTTCATGGGTTGCTTTTGGAAATTAAAATCAACTATATTAGTAATGCTTTCAGCATATTCTTGTCTTCTCTGGGGATAATGTCAAAAGGAGAGAATCTGTACACAAGCACTTAAAGATGTAAATATTTTAACAGTTCTTTAGTTTGCAAACATCACCTTAGTTAAAAAGTGGAAGCTCTTAAAACATTTTATTTCTCCCGGTGGTTTTCAGTGAAAAGCAGCATTATTTTTTAATTACCTCCATCTCCGGATTGCTTCTTTCCTTCACAGTCTCCCACTTCAGAGTGTCCCTTAGTGTATAACGGTCTCACAGATACATCTCATCCACTCCACTCGACACTACAGTTCTGCATCCATCCTGCCACCTTCAAAGAGTGGGGTGAGCTAGACTTGGCTAGTAAAAGACAAGGCATGGCCTTGTATATTCTTGTACTGCCTGTCTCAGATTTTTGCATCGAATAAGCTTTTTCACCTTCCACATGAGAGATAGAAGTTACCTTTGAATCACATCTGAAACAAGTTTTACTTACTCTTGCTTAAAAAAAAAAATTAATGGATTTTGTTGTCCTTGTCATGTTTGAAAATGTATTGTTACCATTCAGCACTTTGTGACTACTGGCAACAAGAATTTGCCAGATGAAGTTGTAGCTGTTTTGGAGGTATTCAATCTTTGGGATTTTATACTGGCTTTTAGAAATCTAGCTATTGACTACTTAGATAAAATAGTCAACTCACCTACAAAACAAAATTTTCACAACATAAGGATGGCTATTGAGGCTTGAGAACATTTCTTAAAGTTTCATAAAATCGCTAGTAGTATCAGAACATTCTTCAGTGTTCTAATTATTATCTTTGGTTTGTGTGATACAAATTCTGTAGATAATAATACCAGTCTTGGTAAGTAAGTATTGATAGTTATAAGTGTTAACATAATTTTTCCATTTTTCCTTAAGAAGTCATTTTAACTTCTTTGCAGGCAGTTGACTAGGTAAAATGGCATTTTGGTAAATAGAAAGCTTTTGGGGTATTTAAGAGAATATTAAGGTAAAAAGCATAGAAAATGAAACTATATATTGTACTTATATTCTCCCTTGTATGACTGCGTAGTGGTGATACGGCTCTGATGACTGCCAGGATCCTTAGTCTCGTCCCGAATTGGATAAAAGAACACAGACGAATGTGGAGTGGTTTTAAGTAGAGGAGAGTTTAATAGGCGACAAGGAAGGAAGAAGCTCCCCCATACAGAGACAGAGGGAGGGGTCTCTAAAGCCAAGAGAGGAAACCCTGAGTGCCACGGAAATCAGCCAGTTATGAGGAGGTGGTGTCTGATTTGCATAGGGCTCAGGCGATTGGTTTGACCAGGTATGTCATTCACGTAGCCCATGAAAAACTGGCCCTCCCACCCTAGCTTTTTGATATGCAAATACAGGAAGCCATGATGTTCTACACACGTGAAGATATACGGGGGGAGGCTATGTTTCCAGGCACATGGGCAAGGAAGAAGACAGCTGGAATCTCCGTGTTTGGGTAGACCCAGTTTCTAAGGGCCCGTATTTGCATATCAAAGCTTGCTGGCCCAACTCTAAGAGCTAGGGCTTTCTGCTACACAAGAAACGTTTCTGGAGCTGCTTTAAAAGAAACAAAAACTTCCGGCCAGGCGCAGTGGCTCACGCCTGTAATCCCAGCACTTTGGGAGGCCGAGGCGGGCGGATCACAAGGTCAGGAGATCGAGACCATCCTGGCTAACATGGTGAAACCCCGTCTCTACTGAAAATACAAAAAATTCGCCTGGCGTGGTGGCGGGCGCCTGTAGTCCCAGCTCGGCGGCTGAGGCAGGAGAATGGTGTGAACCGGATAGGCAGAGCTTGCAGTGAGCGGAGATTGTGCCACTGCACTCCAGCCTGGGCAACAGGGCGAGACTGTTAAAAAAAAAAAAAAAAAAAAAAAAGAAAGAAAGAAACAAACAGAAACTTCCCAAGGGCCCCTTTTCCTCTCTATCTGTCTAAAATAATTTCTTAATAACTTTGTTAACAGTCGCAAGGAAATAACATTTGGATTCAGGAAGGTGTGGGTAGGAATTCTTGGCTTTATAACTTTTAATAATAAAATTATTTGAATTTTAACTGAATTTACTATATGACTTTACTTTTTGAAGTCTTTTCCTTCCTAATATAATTGGAATAATTGTGTATTTTTTCATGTGTATTTTACCATGAGGTTGTGAAAGACAAAATGGTAGCATAATTGGCTCAATACCTAGGTTGGAATAAGTGCTCAAAAAGATGATGTGGCCCATCTGAGTCATATTAAGTTATGAAAGTGGGTGGAGGTAGGATGTAGGGAAGGCCTTAAGGCCCCTTGTAGCACCTGTAAAGCTTTCCATGTTCCTACATATAATACAATTTACATTAGTGTTATCCTGAGAAATAATTTTTCAGAAATGTTACACGATGGCAACAGTATTTATGGTTGTCATAATTTTTACATTATGGATTGTATTCTACATCTCACCTATATATTACATTACAACCTCTTCCCACAAAAGATCCAGGGAGTGCATTTATGCTATAAAGCAGTAAATTTGGTACTTGAAGACCAGTTGATTAAAAATTTGAAGATCCTAAATAATATTCAGGTTTAGCAAATGGTCCTAATAAAAAGGGGTGAGCTGAAAAGAGTTGTCTGGGCTGAAGCTAGATATTTATCCTAGTTATTGTTATTATTATTATTATTATTTATGAATGGGGTGGTTTTGTTGTAAGAGTGGGTAAGGGCCTGAAGAGAGAGAGATATTGCCTCACCTTAAAAGTCTTGTGGTAGACACAGTTGCTTCCGCAATTCCCACTTCCCCTTCAGCTTGCTAATAGAATCTCCATTTGAATCTCAGTTAGAATGGAGCAGGCACTGGATGGTGTTTGAATTGGTCACTTTCCCAGCAGACGCATCTAGAGAAGGACACGTGCCTCTGTTGTGATCAGTGAGAGTCCTAATCCAGTATCTGCAGAGAAGTCATTAGGAAGGCTTCTGCATTTCTGTTAGAAGGGTTAAAGATGGCCTTTTCCCTTGTTCTCCTGCCTTGAGCAATTATGTGATTTTTGGAGCTGTAACAGTTGTTTGCAGCTTTCCCTCACAAACATAAAACTGCAAGCCAGCCTGTGGACAGTAGCAGGGCACAGAGAAATATTTTGAGACACAAATGGCATCACACAGCTGCGGAAGCAACACTAGCAACTGCCTACTCATTGGCTAATGGCATGTGAGGATGAGAAAATCCATTCTTTTAAAGCCCTTGATAGTTGGATTTTCTGTTGTACGTGTACAAAAGGTAATCTTAACTGACATAGATTCTGTAAGGTCTTTCTCATTTTTAAATCAAAATGAAATAAAAATCATAAAGATACTTTATAATTACACAATTTTTTTTTTGTTTTTATTTTTTTGAGATGGAGTCTTGCTCTGTTGCCCAAGCTAGAGTGCAGTGGTGTGATCTCGCTACACTGCAACCTCTGCCTCCCGGGTTCAAGCAATTCTCCTGCCTCAGCCTCCTGAGTAGCTAGGATTACAGGCGCCCACCACCATACCTGTCTAATTTTTGTATTTTTAGTAGAGACGGGGTTTTGCCATGTTGGCCAGGCTGGTCTTGAACTCCTGACCTCAGGTGATCCACCCACCTCGGCCTCCCGAAGTGCTGGGATTATAGGCGTGAGCCACTGCACCTGGCCTACACAAAAATTTATGAGGCACATTTATACTAAAGAACTCATTTGATTCCCACAACCGATCTGGGGGATAAGCTATTCTGTCAATTTTTTAAAATAGTGAACATGAAATGCATGATGTTTGGAAAATTGTTGGAAAGATTCAACAATAGCTGGAATAGTTTGGAAAGATCCAAAACTAATAATGGCGGAGATGGGCTGCAACCTGGATTTTCTAATGCCAAGACCAGTGCTCTTTCTCTAATGCTCTGTTGATTGCCATGATGTATTATTAGCATTATTGAGACATCATGGTAATAAAGAAAACAATCTTAAGTCAAGCTCTCTCTGTTTTCTATTCATTCATTTATATGTTTATTTATGTATGTGGAGAAAGAAAGACTCCCTCCATCTTTCTGAATACCTTCCTTTTCAATATATTAAAAGAAATATAATTCTAATTTTTTAGCTTAAAAGCAACACTTTCAGGAATATGTCTGTCTTCTACATTGGAAAGTCAAGGGAACATAAATAGAAAATGAAGTGCAGCTGAGCAATCAAAACAATTGGAGAGGAACCTCATGATTTATTTGAGACTATCATGATGGAGAGGCCATGTGAAAGACAACAGCCAACAGTCCCAACTAAGTTTAATCTTCTTGCCATCCCTCCGGACATCAGACACGGAGGGAATCCTTTTTGAAACCTCTTGCCTGGCCCATCTGCTGGCTGAGTACCACTGAGTGACCTCAGTTGATGTTACAAGGAGCAAAGAAATTTTGTTGCTCTGCCAAGTTCTTCCCAGACCTTCAGCCCACAGAATTCATGAGGATAATAAAATGGTTGTTGTTTTTTTGCATAACGTTTTATTCAGCGGTAAGAATTGTAATAGGTGGGTTTATCTTAGGAAAGAAAGATTGGGTTAATCGTAGCTGACTAAGAAAATCCAGATGATTAACTTAATGGATATAGAAAAACTATTATAGGAAATACAATATACAGTACTGATTTTAAAAAAATAGCAGGCAGGCAAAAAATAAAAGGAAATATCTTTAACTTAAGCTATGACAGAATGAATACAATAATTGAAACAAATAGACAAATATACTAAGATTCCTCTCAATTAATAAAGCAATACAAATAATTTAGTCGAAAAATCTGTGGTATATAAAGCAGTCAATTTTCAGAAAATAAAATGCAAATTGCCAATGAACATTTGAAAAGATACTAAACCTCATTAATAAGTATGTAATACAAATTTAAATTCCAATAATATACCAATTTTTACTCATGATCTTTGAAAATTTAAATCACTGATGATATTTAATGTGCAAAAGTACTTGAGAGGACAGGTTCTTTCAGTAAACTGCTGCTATGATTTCGAAGAGAAATTTGAGAAATTCTTATTTTTTAAAGAAAATGAAATGTGCATACTCTTCGACTTAAATACTCCTAGCAGTTTGCCCTGCAAGGAAAAAAATGTGTACATGTATAAAGATAAATATAAAGGACACTACATAGAATTTTTTGTATAATGGAAAATATCGAAAGTATCTAAAAAATGCCTGTCAATAGAGGAATGACTAAGTGAGTTATGATGCTGTGGAATTACTATATAAAAGTTTTAAGACAAAGAGAGAGATGGAAAGATACGTAGTACATAATTTTAAAGATAAAGTAATAGAAAAATATGCATAATTCTATGAAAATCCTCCTAAATATTTGTATATACATTGTATATTTGTAAATATGCCAGCAGTTGTCTGAAAGAAAACACTCTAGGCTCATCAATGTGTTTACCTTTGGGGAGAATGTTAGGATTGGAGGACTAGGGAGTGGGTAGAGAGGAATGTTTTAAGGATTTTTCTATTCCTTGGATTTCTGTCTCAACAAACATGCTTTGGAATATTTATTGTATAATTAAAAATTAAGCAATTCAAACACACAAAACAATGTAAGACTGAGAAAGTTTGAGATAGAGTCTAAACACAGAGATTGTTTGTTATAGTGACAATTCAGAAAGACAACAGTAAACAGCTTCCCAGGACTCATCTTCCAGAATATTTTTTATGGCTCCATACTGCTATGAATTCTGATTGGGATAAATACACTATCTCTTTAACTGGCTTTGGTGAAATTGAAGACTGAGTACTTTTACATTATTATATTAACATAGCTTCTCAGACAAAATCATGTTCAAGTTGTTTCTCAATTTTACAGAAAACAAAACATTTTTTTCTGTTATTCTACTTTTCCCTGCTGTTCATGGGCCTTTTGAATAAGACCAAAAAAAAAATTTGTTGTTGTTTTAAGTCAGATAATGTGTCTATTATCTCACATTTTTTATTCTGCCTTTGGTCTAGCTTTCTTAGCTGACTCTGATCCTGTATAATCATCTACAATGAGTGTTTAACTGAGCATACTTCAAAAACAGAGCCTTCTGTGTGAGATCTGAGCTGTCACTATCAGCTGGCCTCTTGAAACACTGAGTCCCCTTCTTTAATTTTCTTTTATAATACATTAACAACAACATGCTTTTCATGTTGTAATTGTGTTTCTTTTATGCTGGTTTTGTCATCTTAGCCCCCACATTACCCTAATGGATGTTGCCCTCCCTTCTGAATTTCTTTAAACCCTTTATATTCCCATGTTATCTCCTTATGTATACTTCTTTTCATAACACATCTGATTCTCACCTGAGGGCTGGATACACTCATCAAGTCAAGAGGCTGGACATTTTCACTGATCCAAAGGTCATCCTCTTCCATTATCTCATTCATTAATTTAACAACTGCTGAGGGCCTGAAGCTGTACTTCATGTTCTATTATAAGTGACCCACTCATAAGCTCCTCTCTTCTGTTTTAATGCTACCCACTTTCTCCCTTCCTCCCAACTAGGCATCTATCTGCCATCCTATTACCCTGTTTCTTATTGGACACATGCCACTATTGTCTACGCACCCTGCCAAGTTTAATTATTGCGCTCAGATCTTCTGTACATGTTGGTGATTGTTCTGTGATCTCACTGGTGTTCTCTATCCTTTCAACAATGCAGATAGCTTCATCTTATCTCTCCTATTGTAGTCCTGCGTCTCTGAGACTTGCCCCCCAATTCTTTTTTTTTCATGAAGAATGAGGATAGTGAAAAATCATATTAGGTAAAATGTTACTCTTTCCACTGTATACCTCTCCTTGTACATTTTTATGTGAAATATATTTCATGGATATAATAAGGCCTCAGTCGTGGTGACTTTTCAATAACCTTGAGATCTATAAAAGAACTATAATGCCGTCTTTCTTGCCCTCTGAGTAAGTAAAAATATCACCACCTAAATACTAATAGCCAGGTTTATTACTGCTGATGAGACACAAAGCAGAAAGAACACAGACACACTTTAAAATGATCATTCATACCTGGGAAGTCTCACCATGCTCAACTCCTTATGAATCTGTTTACTATGGAGCATATACATTTCAATACAAATCAAAAAGGTGTTGTCTGTCTGTAGGAGGCATGATAATGGCCCCCACAGATGTCTATATCCTAATCCACAGAACCGATGGATATGTTACCTTCCAAGGCACACACACGCACAAAAAAGGACTTTACAGACATGATTAAGTTCAGGATATTGAGATGGGGGAGATAATCCTGTATTATCTAGGTTAGCCCAATGTAATCTCAAGGATCTTTATAAGTGAAAAAGGGAGGCAGGAGCTCAGTGTCTTTGGGATTTGATGTGAGATAACACCGGTCTTTGTTGACTTTGAAGATGGCAGAAGGAGCATGAGCCAAGAAACGCAGGCAGTCTTTAGAAGCTTAAAAAGACAAGGGTACAGATTTTCCCCTAGACCCTCCAGAGGGAACACAGCATAGCCACACCTGAATTTTATCCCCAGGAAAACTCGTCCTGTACTGTGACATCCAGGACTATAAGATAACACATTTGTGTTGTTTTAAGTCACTATGACTTGCGGCAATTTGTTTCAGCAGCAATAGGAAACTAATACATTGTCCAAAGAGGCAGTTTCCATAAGTGATTTACTGGAGCAGTAGAAATGTCCAACCAAGATCCTGCTGAGTAAAATAGACAAATTACTTCTCACTTGCACCTTCACAGATGAGGTTCATTTTTATTTCAACAATCCAAATGTCCATCCCCTGTTTTTCCCCTTAGGCTAAACTATTTCCTTTAGCATCTTCAGCTATTCACTACATCCACCCACCTTTGTTACCATGACCTAGTCATATAGTACAGAAAAACCCCTAAGCATTACTTTCCCTTTCTTCAGTAGAGTCCAGTCAGTGAACCTTGGGGTTCTTTCTTTTATTGGAGCCATAAATTCCTCCACTGAGATGAGGACTTAGTTTTACAACCAGTTCCTTTTTTAATGATATTACAACCTACCATGAGGCCAATTGAAGCTGAGTGGTCAGAAGTACAACATCTGCATTTTCAAGTAAAAAAAGCATTCCGTTAAATACATTGATTACTGTAAGAAATGCCTTTATTGTCCATTAAAACACAAGTATATTTAGGAAATAAAGCAATACTAAGCACTTTTTATATATCATTGTTTTTCCAGCCTGGCAGTTTTATAATTTCCCCATGTCCTTTCAGACCCAGTCTCCATTCTAATACCTCATGTCATTGTTTTTTAAGCTATTTAAGTTACTTCATACCATGTTAATAGAAAATATACTATTAACTTCGCCTCTCCTCATGATTTTTGTTTTAATAGTGAAACAAAACTACTTGCTGCTATGTCGTTTCCATCTTTGAGCCTAACTCTTAAATTATTACACACTGTTGGGATAGGCACATTTTCATTCCAAATCGTATCTTAAGAACACAAACACCTTTTTATCTCATTTAATTCCAAAATATTAATCCAGTCAGTCATTCTCTTGAATAGGGTTAGTTGGTAGTTAATTGAATAGACTCTGTGTGTATATTACTATGCTAGGGCTTGTGGTGATTAAATTTTTAAAAATATATAATATGTGTAGTCCCTGCCTTCAAAGAGCTTATTGGTACCTTGTATGTATATTGAACCGTTAATTAATGTTCTATAATAATCATACACACAAAACACGGTGTAAATACATTAAGAAATACCTCTTATCTCATTTGCTTGCTCATTTCTCTTCTCTAATTGAAACAGATATTTTCCCTACATTTCATTCTTTTGACACCTTTTCCTTTGATACTTTCTTAATTACAGTATTTAAGCAGATATTTCTAGCTGCCTATTTTCAATATAGTCTATGTGATACTTTCACCCAAAGACAACTTCATCCCAAGGTGTCTACAACCAGATTCATAATGTTCAACTAAGCTGGTACTTTCTGTTAGCATCTTCCTTTTCTTAGTTGCTAATGCCATTTTTTCCTAAGCATTTAAGCTTAAAAAACTAGCTTTACTGCAATGTCATCTTATCCTTTAATTTAGGATTGACAGGTAAAGTACAAGATTTCCAATTGAATGTAAATTTCAGATAAGCAGCAAAAACTGTTTAAGCATAAGTATGTCCCATGAAAGATACTGTATTTTCTTTTTTCTTTCTTTCTTTCTCTTTCTTTCCTTCCCTCCCTTCCTTCCTTCCTCCCTTCCTCCCTCCCTCCCTCCCTCCCTCCCTCCCTCCCTCCCTCCCTCCCTTCCTTCCTTCCTTCCTTCCTTCCTTCCTTCCTTCTTTCCTTCCTTCCTTCTTTCCTTCCTTTTTTACTGAATGGGACAACCTTAGGCCAGTGGTTCTCAACTTCAGTGCATCAAAATCACCTGCAGGGCTTGTGAAAAAACATTTTGCTGCTCCCCCCTCCCCCATTTCAGTAGGTCTGAGTAGGTTTTAATTATAACAAATTAGAAATTGATTTACACTTCTAACAAATTCCCAGTTAATGCTGAAGAGACCAGCACTTTAAGAATCACTTATTCAATTTAATTACCCTGATTATTGGTTGTAGGTCTCAACCCTGGCTGCATACTAGAATCTACTGGAGACTTTTAAAAACAACCTAATACATGAGTCTTACACCACATACTTTGCTTTAATTGATCTGGGGTGTGGCCCAGGCTTGGGGTAGTTAAAAAGCTTCCGAGGTGATTTTAACTTGCAGGCAGGATTAATTATGACTAATCATATATACTTCTGCTGAGCCTCTCTGTGGACAGCATAAAGGTACAGATAATTCAAGTCTTTATGACTGTTTGCTTTAGTTTTGTAATCCATTCTCTGATTCTCATGGCTTCACTAATTCATCTTTTCTACAACTGTGTATTACTTTTTCTGAAGCATGTCTCTGATTGTATAATTGTCTTTTTAAAAACTTCAACATAAACCCTCGACAATTGAACAATATATATTTCTTATCTTGGTATATAAGATGTAGCACAACCTTTTTCTAATCTACTTTTAAGGTCTTTTGAGCAATGTTTCTTTATACAAACTTGAGACCCAGGAAACCAACCTACACTCGTTTCCTTATCCCCTTGTCTTCCAAGTATATCGATGGCTGCATTTACTCGGTGACCTTGTATTTGTCTTTATCTCTCCCTTATAGGTCAATCAAACTATATGCAATTCTTCCCTCCCTTTCCCTCTCCTTGTAAATCTAGAAATACCCTCTTTCCTCAGAGCCCACTTTTTAATAACCTTAAAATACTTTAACTCAAATTATTCATTTATTTACTCAATCGATTGACATGCAACCAGTAATAATAGTGTCCTTTATGTGCACTGGGCTACATCAGTGAACCGGGAGTCCTTATTCTCTTGTAGCTTCTATTGTTTTGGGAGAGACAGATAATTAACAACTAAAACAGGTGTTGGGTGGTAATTAGTAAGAATAAGAAAAAATAATGAGAAGGAAAGAGGCTGAAAGACGAGAATAGTGCAGAGCTATTTTGAATAGGGTAGTTTTGTCTGGAAATGCTTCTCCCCTAAATGACATTTTACATGAGGACCAAGTGAGTGAATAAATGAGCTCCAGACATGTCTAGGGGGCTGCCTGAAGTGCAACTGCTTGATAAGCACCCAACTGGAGCAGTAATCAGGCCACATGAAAAGTCTTGTATTCTAAGTGAAAGGTGAAGCCATTGAAGAGTTTTGGAAATAAGTGATGCAACATGATCCACATTCTAGAAGATCATCTGTGTTGCTCTATACCAAATAGAAATGGAAAGCAAGGATGAAAGCAGGAAGAGTGGGTAGCAAGCCTGATCATCATCATCATCATCACCATCCTCATCCAGGTGCTCTGGAGAAGTAGTGGGAACAGTCAAGTGGAGGAACTGGGTTTGTTGGAAAGATCATGAATGGTGGTAAAACTGTTGAGTTTAAGAAGTTGAGTCTGCAATGGAAAAAAAAATCATTATACCAAAAAGACACCTGCATGTGTATGTTTATTGCAGTACAATTCACAATTGCAAAGACACAAAACAAACCTAAGTACCCATCAACCAATGAGCAGATAAATAAAATATGGTATATATACACCATGGAATAGTACTCAGCCATAAAAAAGAATGAAATAATGTCTTTCACAGCAACTTGGATGGAGCTGAAGGCTATTATTCTAAGTGAAGTAATTCAGAAATAGAAAACCAAATAACGTATGTTCTTACTTATAAGTGGGAGCTAAGCTATGGGTACACAAATGCAAATGAATTGGTATAATAAATGCACTAAAATCCTAGACTTCACCACTATACAATTTATCCATGTAACCAAAAACCACTTGTACTCAAAAAAGGATGTTGGATCTGTAATGAGAGAAATGTGTAATTCTGTTATTTGGATGTTTTTAATTTATTTGTTTATTCATTTATTTTAGAGGAAGAAAATGTTGTAGCTACAATAAACATTCGTGTGTTTACACTTTTACATGTACAAGATAAGATGGTGCATTTTTCTTGAAGCTAATAAAGCAAAGTGCCAGAGTCCCCCACCCCATACTTGGCTCTCTGTGTGTCTTGGAGAATGATCAATATCAAAGGAAAGCCAGGATGCAATTAAGTAGCATTCCTGAAATATTGCCCTGTAGGAATCTCAGAAAAAAAAAAGACTTGAGTAATTTGTTGTGATTTCTTTTTACAATCTAAATAAATATTTATTTGTGTATCTACGTTTTCAGTTTTCATATGTGATTTTGTATTATTTTCCTTGAAAGGCCCCATGAATTGTATAGCAAACTATACCCATATGCACTTAAGCAGTGGCATAAATTATGTTAATATTCTGCATGTTTTACTAATTTATATTATGTTTATGACATGTATCCCTGTTGATATTTGCATGGAATCTGTCTTATACATTTTAGTCACTATATAACATTTTTCTATATGATTATAGCACAATTTACCCATTCTCTTCCAGTTGGAAATTTAGCTTGTTTTAAATCTTGTTGCTATAAAAAATAATGACCATTATAATAGATACCTTTTACCTACCTGCTTGAGTTTTTTAGGTTCTCTATCCAGAAATATTATTGTATCTTCAAATTACAATCACCAGAACCTGGGAATATGTTGTATTGCATAGCAATTGGAGAAACCTGACACTACCTCAGCCTCGTGATTAAAGTTAACATCAACAGTGATAAGTCATTTTTATAATATGTGTGATGAAAACAGCACTTTACCTCTGTGCTGTTTTTCCCCAAAATCCATACTATGATCTAATCATGAGAAAAACATCAGCTAAATTCCAATTAAGGGACACTATAAAATTCCCGACCAGTACTGCTCAAAACTTCCAGTATCATCATAAATAAATTGTCACAGGTGCTAACAGAGACATGATGACTAAATGTAATCTGTTGATGGGACCCTGGAACATAAAAAGGATGTCAGGTACAAACTAGTGAAATTTGGACTGAAATTATGGGCTTTAGTTAATAATAATGTATTAATACTGATTCATTCATTTTGACAAATGTGCCATATTGTGCAAGTTGTCAGAATTAAAATAGAGTCACTTTAATAAAAATTCTAACAAATAGAGCTGGGAAAGGTCACGAAGGGAGAGTTCATATCCACAAAGCTCAGTAACAAGAATTATCACAAAGGACTCTGCAAAAGCCACACCCTTGCTCAAGGGCCATTGCAACCTTACATTTAAAAAGTACTTCTGTGAGGACATCTGCCCAGCAGCTGCCTATCTACCTTGAACTGGCAACACTCTTGTTACTAATTTTTGTAGCCAAGGATAACTATCTCAAAACAAGAATGTAATCTTGGTTTTTGTTTTGTTTTTTTTTTTAAAATCCTTTGTGTTCCTTGCTGAATTTGCACATAGTTTACTATGGCACCTGTATTCTCATTGCAATGCCTACTCCCAAATAAACATTTCCTTTAAGAGTCTCTGTCTCTCTATTTCTCCCCTTCTCTCTCTTTCTCTTCCTCATTTGGGTCGACAATACTAATGTAAGAGGTTAACAATAGGGAAAACTGGATGCAGGTCATGATAATTCTTTGTACTACCCTTACAGTTTTCTGTAAATCTATAACTACATAAAATGAAATGTTTATTTTTTTAAAAAAAACATATGCATAGAGTAGATTAAATTTATAATATGATGAAACTTTGTTCCAAAAAATGAATAAACTTAGTAGACTATCAACTTAATATCCTAAGTCTAAATCAATTCAGCTATGTACTAATCTATCAAAGCTTTTGAAATTTTTGTGAAAATGAGATAAGGCATGCATAAAATCTATCACGCTGGTTGTGATACAAAGTCACTTGTTGAATATTAATTTTATTTTTCTTTGGGAGGGATGCCTAGGAAGTGATGCTTATGTATTTATTAGTCCAAGGTCGGTTTTGGGGAAAGAGATGTACATTTACTATATTCTAGGGAAAAGAACATGGGTTATGGAGGTATTCACCATACAATCTGGGTTACAATCTGGGATTCACCACCTTGTGTGGCAAGATATGTTACTGTCTGAACCTCAGTTTTATCTTTATGCAGTGGTGGTCATAATACCAACCTTTTAATGTTACTATAAAAATTAAAGACAACAGGCCGGGCGCGGTGGCTCACGCCTTTAATCCCAGCACTTTGGGAGGCCAAGGCGGGCAAATCACGAGGTTAGGAGATCAAAACCATCCTGGCTAACACGGTGAAACCCCATCTCTAATAAGAATACGAAAAATTAGCCGGGCATGGTGGTGGGCACCTGTAGTCCCAGCTACTCGGGAGGCTGAGGCAGGAGAATGGCGTGAACCCGGGAGGTGGAGCTTGCAGTGAGCCGAGATTGCATCATCGCACTCCAGCCTGGGGTACAGAGTGAGACTCCGTCTCAAAAAAAAAAAAAAAAATTAAAGACAACATTATTTCTAAAGTCATTACTCTCTGGTGGGACATTTGATAATATTTTATTTTCTTTCTATTCTGTTTGAAGAACTAAGACTTAATCATTTTAAGATCACTCAATTACCTGACAATACTATTTATGTATAATGGATGCTCAACACATTTTTGATTAATGATTATTTATGAAATAAATAAAGAAAACAAAGCACACCTAACGGACAATGAAAAGAAAAACATATGATGATAGTTGCTTTGAGTTTCTGTGTTGTTTTTCCTAACATTGCCATTTTGTTGTCCGTGTAGAATTTATTTTAAGACTATTTTGGTATTAACAGTGTGATACATGTTTGTGTATACAAGTTAACTCGAATTTATATCCTAGTGTAAGTTTCCATATAGCACCCTATTCAGGAATACACACTTCACAAGTGGCTAAGCAGCATATCATTGGAAGCACCCCAATTAGAAATCAACACCTTTAGAGGTGGTAACTTAGCACTCTGATATGGAAATTTACACAAGCTAGGTTGTTTATTAGTAGCATAATGGGTGTTAGAATTAATTTTTCCATTGGAGAAATAAAAGTGTTAAGGGTAGTTACTTAGTAAGTTTCTATGCAAATCCCCCAAGGCAATTGCATGAATGAATTATAAAATTTAGAAAACTTGATAGTAGATTAACATCAGTGCAGTTTTGGGAATCCTGTGACCCTCTGCTTTACTGGCCCTTGCTGTAAACTGGTATGGTCTGCCCCCTGAGAGCCTCACATGAGCCTGCTATTGGGAAGATCTTAACTACTGAACACATGACTTACTCTCCTTTGTTTCCATTTGCTGGCAAGTACTTGTATGGTACATGGAAGAATTTAGTTTTAGACTTGCTTTGATTTAACATACTAACCAGAAGCAAAGTTGTAAGAGAGGTGGATGTTTGTGTTTATTTATCTGTATTGAGAGACTCAAATATATATTTTTAAAAATACTTCAGTGTGCTACAACATAATTTTTTTAAAGGTAAAAATGATTCACAGATTTAAAACACATACATGTTAGATTTTCTTTAACTCACTAATTAATGAGAGATCAGGAAAATGTTTTAACTGTTTCAGAAAATATCCAAAAAACAAACACATTTATAGACACAGACTATTGAAAATAATGTGCAAATGGACATGTGTTGGGGGTTCCCAAGACCACCCTTAGGCTCTGTTTGCTAGAAGGACTCACAGGACACAAAGCTATTATTTGTTTGGTTATATATTATTACAAGAAGATACAGATTAAAATTGGTGAAGGTAGAGGAAAAAAAGGCATAATGGACAAAGTCCAGGAGAAACCAGACACAAGCTCCCAGGTAACCACTTCCCACCAAGGGGATTTGCATAGGGATGCACTTAAGTCTGCTAGCAATGGTATGTGACAACACATGTGATGGAAAGCTCACCTGAGTATTGGTGTCCATGGATTTTAGGAGGAGATGGTCAATCATGTAGGCATGCAGTGGCCATGTGACTTACCTCAGCTACTCAGACTCCAGCCCACAGAGTAAAAATAGACTTTCACCATAAATCACATTGTTAGGATAAGCTTATCTGGGCAAAGAAGTTTAGAGTGGCCCAGGGCAGAAAAAAAGTATATAAAACATTCTTTTTTTTTTTTTTTTTTTTTTGAGACGGAGTCTTGCTCTGTCACCAGGCTGGAGTGCAGTAGGACGATCTTGGCTCACTGCAGTCTCTGCCTTCCAGGTTCAAGTGATTCTCCTGCCTCAGCCTCCCGAGTAGCTGGGATTGCAGGCACGCGCCACCACACCCAGCTAATTTTTTTGTATTTTTAGTAGAGACAGGATTTCACCATGTTGGCCAGTATGGTCTCGATCTCCTGATCTCGTGATCTGCCCACCTCAGCCTCCCAAAGTGCTGGGATTACAGGCGTGAGCCACTACACCTGCCTATAAAACATTCTTACCAGGCAGAATATTCTAAGGGCTCAGAGGTTATCTCGCAGAAACTGACCAAGATCCAGTCCTGAATAAGGGCTGTTGTTTGAAATGTGCAGGATTGGAGCAACCTAGGCCTGCTGAGTTAACCCTTTGCTGTGTTAGAATCAAAACTAGCTTTACCATGGAGGGAGAAAAGGTTGTCCTTCTACCAAACAGAATTCATTTTTATGTCTATACACAATAATTATTTTGCATTGCTATCAGTTATCTACAATGTACACAGTTCAGAATCAGACGACACTGAAGAGTGTGTTACAGACAACGCGTAGTTTACTATTGAAGCTCAACTCTCTCCCATAGCTTTAATGAAATTGGTGAAATTGGTTTAGTTCTGTTCAGCTACATTTAATATCTCTTTCACTGGTGTGTGTGTGCACACATGAGAGTGTGTATCAGCCCATGCTTCTGTGTTCAGGATTAATAGAGAGCATCACTTTCATATAGGAGAGACAATAGCCCAGAGAAGTTCATGGCCCTATTCACATCAGAAAGTAACACATCATTCACAAAACAATGCTTATTCCACGTGACTAAACTTCTCTGGATCTATCACAGGCAAATGGGGAAATAGATGTCAGTACATTTCAAAATAAAAAGAAAACGATTCCATAATGACTAAATCTTTAGCAACAGTGTGTAGACTCAAGCTTCAATAAGCTTGATTATCTCCTTTCTTGACTGAGACAACATATTCAGATAAACTGCTAGTAGGATCAGACCCAACTCCTTTCTTCTTACTGTATGAACACATAAATGGGGTTGGCTCGGTAGTGCAGGCCAGAGAAGGCAAACCTGGCTTCTCCTTGGGTATGGTGCTACAGCAGACCAGCTGAAATTCTTTAGCGCAACAAATACTCCCCGGTAAGCTCATGTAAAATATTTTGGAATATAATGTCAATTCACAAAATTACAGATTTCCAACCTTATGATTTTCTTTTCTTTAAAAAGCATATCAGTTTGGTAAGTACCAATTATATCGCTAACCTTCTCTTTCTCCAGGCAGGACAGCTCCTTTTTCTAAGCTGTCTTTTTTCAAACAACTTTCAATTTGTTATTTAAATTAATAGCAAACTGGGAGGTTCTTTCCCTACTAGGAGCTTTGATTATATATTTTAAGGTATGTATTCTCATAGGCCTCAATGGAAAATATTAAATACATAAAACATTAACTATATTTATATCTAAAATGTAATGTGTGTTTATGTGTATATGTATGTGTGTGTACGTATGTATGTATATGCATGTGCTTGTCAGTGTTTGAGGGAGATAGATGGAGGCTGTAATTTCTAAAACAGTAGAGAATGCTTCAAGCAATAGAGGAACAATGGCCTTCCTTGCTAATGTGTAAGGAAAATTCCCCGTGTTTTTAGAGTGTCTAATCATCCTTAAAGCAGAGAGTGAATCTGTGTGAAACTCTTTGTCATTTAGAAATATAACAAATTATTTTTCCCTTTTCAAAGGGAGATCTGGGCTTTTGGAAAGATAGATTGATAGTCATTGTTAAAAGTGGGGTATATTTCCAAATAGGGAAAAAAATGCTGTTTGTAAAGAATAAGAGATTGGTCTCATGTATGTACTAATATAATATATGTCCATAGAAAAAAGATCTGAACACATATATTTTGTGGAGTTAATAGTTTTTCTGGGTCTGTTGGGATTATAGATGGTAGTAATTTTCTTCCTTTTGCTCAATAATAATGACTTCTAAATGTTCTGTGATGAACATCTTTTATTTTTTAATAAGAAAATGAACAAAAAATATTTTTAAGTCTTAACAAAGTGCAAGGAGGATAATTGAATATGTGTTATACCACCTCCCACGGTGGCAAATGTTTTTAGCTTTAGAAAGAAAACAATGAAGTGTGTGCAGTTGGGTTATATCTGCTATTTCATCTAGTTGTTCTAAAATTAAACTCCTACTTTGCTCTGTTGTCTGTCAGTAAAATCTCTCAAAAAAGTAAAAAAAAGTCAGGAGAATATGTACTTTATGACATTAGAAAGTTACTGCTATCTTTCTGCTACTCTGGAGGAAAAATAACACCAATCAGGCTAAAATCAAAAGGGTAAACCAACAAAGCAGATTTATTTGAAGAATCATTTGGGCAACTTCTTGTATAGAGCAATCAGTTGATATGGGGGCAGTGCAGAGGGGTAGGGTGAGGGATTATGGTGGTATGGATTAGCTTAGTGCAGGATTTCTCAGCTTTGGCTCTGTTAATATTTGGACCAGATAATTCCTTGTTGTGAGGGCTGTCCTGTGCATATATGATGGTTAACATCATCTCTGACCTCTACCTGTTGGATGCCAGTAGTAACTCTTTCCGCTTCAAGTTGTGACCACCAAAAATGTGCTTGAATGTTTTCAAACATTCCTAGAAACAACATCACCCCTGATGAGAACCACTACCTTAACACTTGCCTGCAATTTCTACACGTGGAATTTTAATGTTATGATTATTTTTTAATGCATGTGACAGATAAAATGACTCAAAATGATAGACTATTTCTACTTATGTAACAGATGCTTGGAGCTGAGCCTCTCACATCTCGCATGGTGATTCTGTGGTTATGAGGGACCCTGAGTTCAAATTTCTGCTCTTCTATTTCCCATTCTCGGCTTCCTTTCTGAAAATCACCTCATTGCTCAAATTACTGCTGGCCATCCAATCATCAGAACCATTTTCAAGGTAGGCATCCAGAAGAAGGGCAAAGGCATCTGAGAAGGCTGTATTTGCTTCCCTCTTAAGAGAACTTCTGGGAGTTCTGTATTTTATTCTTTCATCTCTTTGCCAGAGCTTAGCCACACAGCCCTGCTTAGCTGCGTGGAAGAAGGATAAATATAGTCTTGTAGCTGAGCACATTTTCTCTCCAAATCTCCACATGGGGTTCAATTGGAAAAGACAAGGAGCAAATAAATACTTCAATTATAGTCTTTTAACAACATGCTACATTAACATTAGAAAAGTACTTTTTCTAGAAAAAACTTTGATTCCAAATAAAATATTTTAAAATCACTATAGAATATCTGCTGCAAAATAGGTTTTTAAATAGTGACAATAGCCTATAATTGAATTATCTGCTTAACAGAAGAGACTCAAAAATAGCAGTTTCATCTCATAATATTTAAACTGTTCTAAAGTATCTATATCTCTGCCTGGATAAAAGCAACATGGTGAATAGCATTAGATCTTTCTTCATTTGACATCCTTATGAAGGGCTTAATTCTTAGCCTGTGTTTTCCTGAGAACAGTGCCTGAGACAAAGGCTTCCATGCAGGTTGTTCATTCAGAGAGTTATCTTAAAGAATGGGAGTTGGGAAGGAGAGAAGACAGGGAAGGAGGTGCCAGGCAATGGGGTGCCATGAATGTGTGTCAAGTGCTTGGCAGTTTCCCACTCCCTGGAGTCAAAGAAGTCACCAGTCAAAAAGTGGGGGCTACTTCCAGATTGCCTGTGGGAAGCTGGTCCTTGTGCAGTGGCTGGAGCATCAGTTGAGACACATAGAACCAAGGCAGAACACAACTGGAACAGGAAACATTTACTCTTCTGATCAGAAATATCATTGTTTAGGAGAAGAGATGAAGGAGTTTGGTGTTAGAACATACCTTGTTTGTCACTGTCCTGGAACATAGTTATAGGATACAGAATGTTAATTTTGAAATAGTATATGGGAGATGTAAGTACTTACACATATGCACATATACACATGTATATACATATGCACACACATGTTCACACACGTGTGTGCAGATATACATGCACATACACACAAAATGTATACCCATATACATGTTTATGTTATTTTCCATTGTGAAAGGAAAATAAATATCAGAACCCCAAATTCACTAAGCCAAAGGGAAAGAGTCAAGCTGGGAACTGGGTCACACAAACCTGCCTCTCATTGTGTTCTTAAATAAGATAGCAACAAAGATGAAAAAGCTCCATCCCTCCCTCACAATTTACTCAAAAGGACATATCTTCTGGGCCCCAAGGTCTTTACCCTAAAATAGGTCTGTGGAATTTCATTCTGACAATGTAAATTGATAGCTTATCTTCACAGGTACAGGACAAAAGACAGAACTCAATGTCATCTCTCTGCTCACCTGAGACAAATGTATATCTGATGTTTCCTCTGTCCTATGTTTACTTTATCTTATGTAAAATTTCAGATTCATAGAGCTAGGTGAATGCATAAGTGACATTCCTCTACCCCCCCAACCCCACATGTGAATGGCTGATCAAAGACTCAAAAGAATGCAACCACTTGTGTCTTATCTACTCACACCCTTTTAAAAAAAAGTCTTCCTCTTTCTCCAATACCTGCCATTTTCCTTTTAAATATTGAGGTCTCCAGACCCTCTTCAGAAACAGCATGAACCACCTAGTTTTCTGTGGATCTCTGTTCTTTCCCAGATACATCCTTAACCTTGGCAAATAAATCTCCTAAAGTGATTGAGACTTGCCTTGGTGCTTTTTCTTTGACTTACACCATTTTAATAATAAATAGTCTAATATACTATGCATTATTTTCAAAGTCTATAAGCCAAGAGAGTAGACGCCATTACACACACATGCTTGTACCTTGTGAGTTTCTGCATATGCTTCAGTTGATATACTACACTACTTTGTTCCATTTAGATTATCTTTGGGCATTACTTAATCTCACGAACGTATTTGATTCATACTGGATGAGAAGTGTTGTTGGCTATACAGTGCTAAGTTGGCATAAAAGTTTAAAATAAAGCATTCAACGTTTGATGTTGAAATTTTTATGTTGATTGGAGAGATACCAGCATCTTGAATGAAGTAGCGGTAGAAATAAACAGTAAAGTCCAACCATCCTTTAACATTTTGAAGAGCATACTTCTCATCAATGAACCCTGGAAGAAAGTTACTAATAATTGTCTGTATAGCAGCCAGAAGAAATTGTTGGAAACATAACCAGCTTCTGGATATTTGAAAAAAACCTGCCAATTATAGTTGTGAATTTTATCATGATGTTTTGGTTGATAAAGGACCACATATATGGTGGCGGTTCCATAAGTTATAATGAAGCTAAAATAACTCCTATCTTCTTGTGATGTAGCTTTCATAAAGTGGTTGCACAATACAGTACTCATGTTTTTGATGATGCTGCTGTAAGCAAAGCTACTGTGCTGCCATTCATAAAAGTAAAGCACATTCAGTTATGTACAATATGTAATGATAATAAATGACTTACTGGTTTATTTACCATACTATACTTTTTATCCTTATTTTAGAGTGTAATCCTTCTACTTGTTAAGAAAAAAGTTAATTTAAAGAGCCTCAGGCAGGACCTTCAAGGGGTGTTCCAGAAGGAGGCATTGTTATCATGGGAGATGACAGCTCCATGTGTGTTATTGTCCCTGAAGACCTTCTAGTGCCGCAAGATGTGGAGGTGAAAGACAGAGATACCAATGATTGTGGCCTTGTGTAGGCCTAGGCTAATGTTTGTGTCTTATTTTTTAACAAAAATGTTTAAATAGTAAAAAGATTTAAAAATTTTAAAAATAGAAGAAAGCTTATAGAATAAGAATATAAAGGTGTCTTTGTACAGCTGTACAATGTGTTTTAAGCTAAGTGTTACTACAAGAGTCAAAATGTTAACATGGTTATAAAGTTACAGAAATCTAAGGTTAGTTTATTGAAGAAAAAAATTTTAAATAAATATAGTGTAGACGAAGTTCACAGTGTTTATAAGGCCTACAAAAGTGTACAGTTATATCCTAGGTCTTCACATTGACTCACTACTCACTCACTGACTCACCCAGAGCAACTTCCAGTCCTATAACCCTCATTCGTGGTGTCGATAAAAAGAGTCAAACTCTGTAAAATATTTAAAGAGATTTATTCCGAGTCAAATATGAGTGTCAATGGCCTGTGACACAGCCCCAGGAAATCCTGAGAACATGTTCCCAAGCTGGTTGGGCTACAGTTTAGTTTTATACATTCTAGGGAGACATAGGACATCAATCAGTACATGTAAGATGTACGTTGGTTTGGTCTGGAAAGGCAGGACAACTCAAAGTGGGGGCTTCCAGGTTATAGGTGGATTCAATAATTTTCTAATTGGCAATTGGTCAAAAGAGTTAAGTTATTGTCTGAAGACCTAGAATCAATAGAAGGGAATAACTGGATTAAGATAAGGGGCTGTGCAGACCAAGGTGCCCATTACGCAGATAGTATCAATAGAAGGGGATGTCTCTTATCTGTCTTAAAGAGTCTTTTCTATTGGTCTTAAGGTCTCTATTTTAATGTTAATACTGGTCAGCTCTGCCTGGATTCCAAAGGGAGGAGTATATAATGAGGCATGTCTGACTCCTACTTCCCATCATGGCCTGAACTAGTTTTTCAGATTAACTTTGGAATGCCCTTGGCCAAGGGAAGAGTCCATCAATCTGTTGTGGGGCTTAAAATTTATTTTTGGTTTTCAATGGTAAGGGCCCTTATATAGGTGTACCATTTTAAAATCTTTTATACTGTATTTTACTGTACCTTTTCTATGTTTAGATACACAAATACCTATCATTGTGTTACAATTGCCTGTAATATTCAGTATAGTAACATGCTGTATAAATTTGCAGTCTAGGAGCAATAGCCTATGGCATATAGCCTAGGTGTGTAGTAGGCTACACCACCTAAGTTTGTGTAAGTATACCCTATGATGTTCCCACAAAGACAAAATCACATAAGAATGTATTTCTCACAATGAATCTTCATCATTAAATGAGGTATGACTGTATATATTATTAGGAATGTAGTGGTATAGGGACTGTGCCTTAACAACATTGTACAGAGGCGAATCATTTAAGCTCATAGATCCCTGGAGCTAACTAGAATATAATTAAAATCTGTTCTGACCCTAAGGCTAGCACTGCAATTGGACATTTCGAAAAAATTTTGAGATGAGTCTTATCACTTGCATACATTGTTTGAGATATAAATTTAGTCTAAATTTTAATTAACCAAGGTTTGAATAGTTTGAGTTCTTGTAACTAAAGACTGACTTCACTGCAATTAGAGTTAGTGTGGCTCAGCATTATTCTTATAGTTTAAGGGGAAAACTAAGATTGAAGCTATAACTTAATAGAACTTTTTGGGGTGAAAGTCCTTCAGCTTCTATTAGATGCTCATGAATTTTACAGCACAAAAACACACAATTATTTGGATGCTTAGAAATGGTTGCTTAGTTTTTGGTGGAAGCTTCTGTCTTTTAAGAAATAAACAGTTTGATTTGAGCTAAAGGGAAGATCAGGCACAGAAACACAGCTGGGGTATCAATTCCAAGCGCATCAGTAAGTGAACAGAAGAGAGATTGCATTTGCTGGAATTCTCACAGCAAATAAATGAGGTAACAGGAGAGATTTGCTGAAAACAGTGGGCTGAAGAGAACCAGTAGCCAAGCACTTTGCTTTCAATTCAAGCATTGAGTATGTAAATCTGAAGATCTAGTTTCTGTTTACTGAGACACTACGAAGAAGTTTACCTATATTACACCAAAAATTGCCTTCCAGCTTCCTTAAGTTACTTCATTAGCATTTGTGAGAAAAGACGAAGCAGCAGTAAATGTAAATCTAAAGCAGACTGTTGGAGTTTGGGAGGTGTGGGTGGTTAATTCTTTCAGCAGCAGCATCAGTGTTGTTGCCCTATATCACCCAGGCCTCAGACACAGAAGGCATAAACAATGCCTCTGTCTTCCTTGGTCTCTCAAGAGAAAGAATTTTGAAGTCTTTCACTTCTGTAATGATCAAACGCCTAAACCCTCAACAGTCTAATTTTTCTATGGATCAGGTAATTTATCCATGTACTGTGTGATGTAAGATGAAAATATTGGAACTCAGCATCAAAATCTGAGAGGCCTCAGCAAATCTTTTCATAAACTTGAATTTATCTCCTTGAAGAAAATATAGAGATACAACTAGGGTCCTTGATTAGTTCCATCTCCCTGACCTCTGTGGTCATTTTCCCTCCCCATTCATGGGCTGGTGTTGGTCTTGTGACTTATCTGGTGGGATGTGAGCAAATGAGAGTTGATCCTGTTGATGAAAAGAGTAAAATTCTGTAAAATATTTGGAGATGTATTCTGAGCCAAATATAAGTGACCAATGGCCTATGACACAACCCCAGGAGATCCTGAGAACTTGTGCCAAAGTGGTTGGGCTATAGCGTGGTTTTACACATTTTAGGGAGACATAATGTTACCAGTGGTGAATCTGTACAGGTCCTCAGCAACCTCAGTTCTTGCCTCCTCAGAAGAAAGAATTCAACTGATGGGCATGAGTCAGAAGGAGAGACTGGGCAAGTTTTAGAGCAGGGGTGAACGTTTATTAAAAACCTTTAGAATGAAAACAAAAGGAAGGAAACTACACTTGGAAGAGGGTGGCTTGAGAGATCAAGTGCATGTTTGACCTTTGACTTAGAGTATTATAGGTTAGCATACTTCCAGAGTCATGCATTCCTTCTTTCCTTATTCTTCCCTTGGTGTGGGCTGTCTGCATGTGCAGTGGCCTGCTAGCACTTGGGAGGTGAGCATGTGCCGTTTGTTTACTGGAGTTGTATGCATGCTTACTTGAGGCGTTCTTCCCTTACCAGTGAATGGCCTTAGAAGATCATATACCAGTTAAACTCCACCATGTTGCCTGTTAGTGTGCATGCTTGAGCCCACTTGCCCAACTACTGAAATCTAATCAGGAAGCTTCTGATCACCAGTTTCAGGTTTTTTTCTATTTATTGGGAAACTGCCTTTCCCTGGCACTGGCTGCAACCAATTATTATTTTAGACAGTTAACAACCACCTGACCATCACCTGATGGTCACCTGACATTCCTGGTGGGTGGTGAGAGGAGCCCTCTCCTGCCCTGCTTATGCCCGTCTAGCTACCAACTGTAATAATAAGACAACAATCAATACATGTAAGATGTATATTTGGTTGGGTCCAGAAAAGTGAGACAAACAGATGTGGGGGCTTCCAGGTCATAGGTGGATTCTAAGATTTTCTGATTGGCAATTGTTTGTAAAAGTTATTACCTAAAAACATGGAATCAATAGAAAGAAATGCCTGTGCTAAGATAAGGGGTTGTGGCTATGATAAGGTTTTATCATGCAGATGAAGTTGAAGACTCCAGGTAGCAGGCTTTAGAAGTCTTAACAGACAGATTGTTAGTTAATTCTCTCCTGGATCAGGAAAAAGTCCTGGAAAGGATAGGGGATCAATTCTTTACAGAACATAGATTTTTCCCCACAAGAAACAGCTTTGTAGGGCCATTTCAAAATATGTCATTAAGATATATTTTGGGGTAAAATACTTCGATTTCTTTCAGGATCTGCTATCTGTTACATGATACTATACTAGAGTCAGGCTGGAATTTGGTGCCTTATTGCTGTAAAAGGTCTACCTCGTCAGTCTTAACATCTCTATATTAATGGTAAAGCTGCTCAGCTGTGCCTAAATTCCAGAGGAAGGAGGATATAGTAAGTCATGCTCGACCCCCACTTTCCATCAGGGCCTGAGCTAGTTTTTCAAGTTAACTTTGGAATGCCCTTGGCTGAGGGAAAGGTCTATCATTCAGCTGGGGGCTTAGAATTGTATTTTTGGTTTACATTCTGAGTTCTGACATGCACTGCATGTTAGGGCTTTCGTCTTGTGCTCCTGCCTTTCTCCATGAAAAGATATGCTCCTTGGCTAAAGGCTAACTAAGACATGAGAGACTTGTGGAGTTGACTTGATCTGACCCTGTGTTCTAGAGTCAAGTTCAAACTAAGTCAACAGAACTCCAGCCAATACACAAAGGCAAGATCAACAATCAATGTTTGTATGGAAGCCATAGATATTCTTATATTCTTAAACGTATTTTAACTGATCACTTTAGCTGGATTGTATTCAGGGGTTTGTAATCACCCAATGAGTTCTCTGTGCCTGCTTCTCAGAGACTTCTCAGAACTGTTTTTGCAAGATGGGAATTGCAATAGAGAAAGAATTTAATTCATACGGAGCCACTCATACAGAAGATTAGTTTTATTATTATGTGAAATGGTCTCCCTGAAAATTTGGAGGCTGGAGTTTTTAAGGATAATTTGATGGGTAGGGGATTGGTAAGTGGGGAGTGCTGATTGGTCAGGTCAGAGATGAAGTCATAGGGGATTGAAGTGGATTTTTCTTATTGTTGTTGGTTCCTGGGTGGGATCACAGAACTGGTTGAGCCAGATTACCCATCTTGGTGGTGCCAGCTGGTGCATCAGAATGTAATGTCTCTGAAATATCTTGAACACTGAACTTAGTTTTTATGAGTAATGTTATCCCTAGGAGCAATTTGAGGATGTTCATAATCTTGTGGACTCCAGCTGCATGACTCCTAAACCGTAATATCTAATCTTGTGGCTAATTTATTGGTCTACAAAGGCAGACTGGTCCTCAAACAAGAAGGGGGTTTATTTCAGGAAAGGGCTGTTATTTTTGTTCAAAGTTAAACTATGAACTAAGTAATATAGTTTGAATTGGTGTCCCCACCCAAGTCTCATGTTCAATTGTAATCTCCAGTATTGAAGGTGGGGACTGGTAGGAGGTATTTGGATCAAATCTCAGCATGGATGCTACTGATGTGGATCTTCTCTAGGCTCAACATTTATAATTCCTCAAAAATATTCTCCGTCATGGAATCACTGTAAACTTTCTGTAGTTTCTTAAATGAATGAGTTTTTTTTCTCCTTGCCATAGTTTCTTGTATGTGCTGTTTTTCATTTCCAGCAATATGTTTCTCTCCATGATTTACTTGGGAACTCATACTCATCCTTTAAGAGTTAACTGATGCTTAGCCTCCTCTGGGAGGAAGAAAGAAGAGCCAAGTGTTAATATCCAAGACAATAGGACAAATGTCTCCAAGGCATTTGAGAGACCTTTGCAGCAGCCCCCTTCTATCACAGGCTCAGAGGCCTAGGAGGGAAGAATGAGTCTGTGGGCCAGGCCCAGGTCCCTCAGGATACTGCTCCTTGCATCCTGGCTGTTTCCAGCACCAGCTGTGACTCACAGGAAACCAGGTAGAGCTCAGGCTGATTCTTCAGAGGGTGTAAGCCATAAGCCTTGGCAGCTTCCATGTAGTGTTAATCCTGCAGGCATGCAGAGTGCAAGAGTTTAGGCTTGGGAGCCTCCACCTAGATTTCAGAAGATGTATGAAAAAGTCTGGATGTCCAGGCAGAAGCCTTCTTCAGGGGAGGAGCCCTCTTAGCAAACCCCTACTGGGGCAGCGAGGAGAGTAAATGTGGGTTTGAAGCTCCCACAGAGTCCCCACTGGGGCACCACCTAGTGGGGCTGAAAGAAGAGTACCTCTATCCTCCAGATCCCAAAATTGTAGATCCAATAAGAGTTTGCTGCTTCCACCTGGAAAAGCTGCAGGCACTCAACACCAGCCTGTGAGAGCAGCCATGGGGTCTGAACTCAGCAAAGAAACAGAAGCGAGATGCCTAAGTCCTTGGGACTCTATTACTCACACCAGTGGACCCTGGATGTAGGACATGGAGTCAAAGGAGACTGTTTTGGAGCTTTAGGAATTAAATACTTCCCTGCTGCATTTTGGAATTTCATGGGGCCTGTAGCCCCACTTTTTGGCCTATTTCTTTCTTTTGGAATAGGAATATTTGCCCAATGCTTGTACTCCCATTGTATTTTGGAATGTAAATTGCTGTGTTTGGTGGTAACTAACTTGTTTTTTATTTTACAGGCTCATAGACAGTAGGAACTAGCCTTAGCTCAGATTAGACTTTGGAATTTTTTTTTTAAATGCTGGAATTAGTTTAGACTCTGGGGGACTATTGGGAAGGCATGATTGTATTTTGAAATGTGAGAAAAACAAGAGATATGGAGGGGCCAGGTGCAGAATGCTATGGTTTAGATTTATGTCCCCACCCAAATCTCATGGTCAATTGTAATCCCAAATGTTGGACCTGGGGCCTGGTGTGAGGTGATTGGATCATGGGGCCAGTTTTTCATGAATGGTTTAGCACCATGCCCTCAGTGCTGTTCTGTTGATATCAAGTGAGTGAGTTACCATGAGATCTAGTTGTTTACAAGTGTTAGCACCTCCACCCCACCCTTGATCCTGCTTTGGCCATGTAAGATGTGCCTGCTTCCCCTTCATCTTCTGCCATGATTGAAGGTTTCCTGAGGCCTTCCTAGAAGTTAAGGAGATGCCAGAATCATGCTTCCTGTACAGCCTGAAGAACGTTGAGCCAATTAAACTTATTTCCCTTATAAATTACCCAGTCTTAGTTATTTCTTTATAGCAATGCTAGAACTGACTAATACACTAAGTTCTTCCCCCAATTAGTTTGGCCTATGCCAAGGAATGAACAGGGACAGCTTGGAGGTTAGAAGCAAGCTGGATGGAGTTGGTTAGATTAGACTTCTTTCACTGTCATAATTTTCTCACTGTTATAGTTTTTGCAAAGGCAGTTTCAGGTTGAGAGCAGGGTAGAGGGTAAGAAGAACTTTTCTTCCCATCTGCAAGTATATAGTTTTTAAGCTAAATTATTCTAGTCTTTGATTTGCCAGCCATCTGGGCTTTGCCCATTTCCGCCTCATCCCTTCAATTTAATGTAATCTCTGTTTAAAGTGTCAGTGTCAGTCAGCAAATGATAAAAGCACACAACTCTAAAAGTACAGCATCTAAGAAAAATAAAGATTTGGCAACAATCTCTTATCACAGTAGTCTTTCAGGGACCTGGGCTGATATAGTTCCCTTTTAACACAAGTTTCTAGGACCATTATAGCAAAAGAAGGGGAATATACCAAACTACTGACTCATTTTTATGATATTGTCATTAAATACATGAATCTACTCACATTTTATTCACCGAAGAAAGTCATTGTGTCTGACATTTAACTTCACAAAGGATGGAGAAGTGCAATCCTACTGTATGCATCTAAGGTGAACAGCTCTAATGACTATTATACCATGTGTAACAATGGGTTTAAATGATAAGGCAATTTTCTTAATTTGATCTCTGCAAGTGTGATGACTTACATTGTTGAGCAAGCAATTCTTAACAGAAGATGCTTGAAAATCTTGCATGGGAACACAGCATCTTGCAATTCTTAACAGGAGATGCTTGAAAATCTTGCGTGGGGACACAGCATCTTATTTTCTGTTCAAGATATATTTTCATGATATTCCATATAAACTTTAATTTCAGGTAATAAAGAAATTGACCTTTACAGTGAGGTAAGGATTCAAATAATTGGATTCTCAGTTAACTGAAGTCTTAGGCCAGATACAGAGACTTTATGAAATCCTATTTCTCTTTGCAGGCCATCTAGCTTGAGCCACAGTTCATATCTTACATGCAGGGCTTTGCTAAAAGTGGCAAGAAGTAGTAAACTCACATATACATGCTGGGTTTTTCCTATAATTTACTCTAATGTCACAGCTGACTAGCTCATGGTCTCCTTTCAAAGGACAAGTAACAATTTAATCAAATGCTTTGCTATTGTATAACAAAAGTCATCAATTTCTCAGTCTGCAATATCTGAGTCCTTGCCATCCACCACTGTGTCCCTCCCAATCAGCCAATCTTGTGTATTTTGGGTTCCATTATAGGAGTACTCTGCTTACTGGAACTACCTTTTACATATTTAAAAATTAATATTGCTGGCAATTGATGGAAAACACAAAACTACAGTGATACAAACAAAATAGTTATTCCTGTCTCACATAGATGGAAAACAGATGTACATAATTTAGGACTAGTGAGATATTTCTGTTTCACAAAGTCCTTAGGCACCCCAATTTTTCCAGATTACTACTTTATCTTCCCTTGGTAGTGGTCCTCATATTCAGAGTCTAAGATCATAGCATCCATAGGAAAAGCAGCAAAATGGAGGAAGGGATGCATAAGACAATGAAAAACAGTGTGTATTGCTTTCTTATAAGAAAGGCTCCCAGAAGTTGCACATGACATTCCACTTACATACTATCGTACAGAAATTTGCGCAAGAAAGGCAAGGAAAGGTCTTTCTTCTGGTTATAAATATGTCTAGCTAATTCTTTTAAGATGTAGGCAGCCGGTAGGCTCTACCACAGATGCTTTCATGCTCCTCTGTGCCGGATGTTTATCACCATTGTATGGGTGAGGAGACCAAGATCCATAACATACACAGTTAACTTGCTTAAGGTCACATAGCTATTGCAAAATTAAGAATATGACTCAAGTCCTCCTGAGTCACAAACTACCTAACACTATGTTGCACTCAAGTGCAGGTCTCAGTGAAGGTTGAGCACTGTTCAAAGAAAAATTCAAGACAAATAGCAATCAGATTTCCAGGGTTAGTTTCAAGGTCTGGGCTATAACCTCTTATGATTTCCAAATGGCTAGACTTCTTGATGGCCGGCAGTTTCCAGAATGAATTTACGATATGAGATTTGTGTGTCTAGAAAGCTTTTTGATGGCCATGTTCACACATTTCAAATACAGATATACTAGATTAAAAAAATGAATTAGTCCTTGCCTGGTGGGCTAATTAGACTCATATTGAAAGAGGAGGTCAAATATCAGGACTGGGGACAGGAAGGCTGAGACAATTAGCTTTTATTCTCTACTTTCTTGTATAACTTGAATTTTTTACAATGTCCATTTAAAACCTAATTTTTAAAAGGTTCATTAAATCAAGTTTGACAATTTAGATCATTGAATTAACTTTCTAGAATGTTAATTTCTAGCTAACTCTCCTTTGAATTTCAGGATCTCAGAAATATTCAATATTTGAGAATTCCAAGTGTCAAGAGAATTTTGATGAAACAATATCCAACTTAAAAAATCTTATGACCTCTTCTAGATCATAACCTCACAACTATCCAACAAAGAACACAAACTTTCTATTTGAAGCCTTTAGACTTAATGGCCAGTGTTCCTGTTGTAAGCATTCGTCCTTCTCTGGATTTCCCAAAAGCCAACTCAAGCTAGACTGACAGATTCAACATTGATTATAATTTTTTTAACTCACAGCTCTGCAGATATAACATTGTTCTCATAAAAATTGCTTGTAGAGATGGAACAGGCTTACTCAATTGAGTCATCTAGTTCATTTTTCTCTGCATGCTTTTTCAGGGTGGTTTTAGGTTTGAAAGCGTTTAAATATCTACAAAGACCTTGTGGGGGAATTATTTTAAAGCTATTTGTAACCTTAAGGAAATTTTCATGAGTTGGATAAAGAATATGCTAAGAGTAAGAAATCAAGGAGAGTTCCTCTGTCTCAGAAACCATTGTGTTTTTCAAAGCGACTGTTTAAATAATGGCATTGCTGTTTTTGGGGGAGGAAAATAAGCTCTGATTTAGGAGGCAGAAGCTCCCTGTTATTATTAGGGAAGGAACAATATAATATTGTCTTTGTAGTTATAATCACTGCCACAACAGGAGTTTCCAAGTCTGTTTCACATCTAGGACCCCCACCAATGGGTTAAGATTGATGATTTGATCTCAAAACTTCCTCTCATTTATCTCTAAGCTGGTTGTTAATGTGATATATTACTGGCTTATGTTGATATGGGGAAGAGGGAGCACATACTGACATTTACACATATCACCCCCTGTCCTGTCTGCCAATCTAGGGGGTCTGAGCCTTGAGTGAAGAAAAAAAATCATCATCCCAACACAAAGGCTGTGATCAGCATTTTCACTGGCTTATTCTAGGGAGCAAAGGACCCAAAGAAAACTGTGAAGGCATTTCCCCAGCTTAAAGTGTGTTGCAAAAGCATGGTGCTACATAGTCAAGTTTCTCTAAATGGTATAGAGAGCATTTCCAGGCCCCCTTCTTTTTATTAACCCTTCTTCATAGTTTGAAACAACTTGATGAGCTTATATTTCCTCTTTGGAATTCTCTCACCTTGACTTTCCCCAGAAGGAAATACACATATGTATACACACACACAATCTTAAGAAAGATGCGTAATCTTGGCTGGGCACAGTGGCTCACACCTGTAATCCCAGCACTTTGAGAGGCCAAGGCAGGCAGATCTTTTGATGTCAGGAGCTTGAGACGAGCCCGGCCAAGATGGTGAAACTCTATCTCTACTAAAAATACAAAAATTAGCCAGGCATGGTGGCACACACCTGTTGTCCTAGCTACCTGGGAGACTTGCTTGGGTTCAAGCAGGAGAATTGCCTGAACCCCGGAGGCAGAGGTTGCAGTGAGCGAAGATCACACCACTGCACACCAGCCTGGGTGACAGTGTGAGACTTTGTCTCAAATAAATAAATAAAATAAAAAGAATGATGCATAATCATAATCTTTATTGATGATTAAGGCTTCCCACTCTACTTGCAACAACTAGGTTGGAATAAGCTACAAGGAAGATTGAAATTCAGGCTCCCAATAATTTCTTAATATTACATTTTCATCCTACCTCTCCCCAAAACACCCACTTTCCCATGTTCATGATGTACTTATCTGAAGTTGGTAAGAAAAGAAGAAAAGGTATATCTTCTCTTTTTTCTCTTCTAGAGAAGAATATTATTTCTCCTCCTTTGCAATATTCTTCTTCTATTTTACCCTGAGCATTCTTTATTTAGCTGACTATAATTTTCTCTTCATGGTTAAATCCATTTTAAATGTTAACATTTAGTCTAGGAACTTTTTTCCCTCCAATTATGTCTTGATTTTCTCCAGGTCACTTTCCTGAGAATTGTGGACTAAAAATGGATGGATATTAGAACCATCACCTAAGAGAATGGTCCTTTCAGTAGGAAGCTCATGAAGCTGGATTCAGACACCAAATTGAATTCATAACTCTGCTACACTCCAGCTGTGTGACTTGGAGCAAGTGGTTTATTATCTGTTAGTGATTTCCATCATCTTTAAATGATGGTACCTGTACCAAACATTTCATACTATTGTTGAGACAATAAAATAAAGCAGTGCACACCCACAGACTCAATCTCTAAAATAACATACACACAAACACACACACACAGGTATGATATCTGTGACAAATACATTAATATATGAGGTTAATAGTTTCCTAAAACTGTCCTTACATAGTGTTCAACACTACTTAATATATCGTTCATTCATTTATCCATTTTTGTTATTTGTTTATTCATGTATTTGTTTTATCTCCCTTCTCTAGAAAGTAAGCTGTATTATAGCTGGAACTCTGCCTATTTTATATTTTGTTTCCAACTGTATTCTCAGAGTCTATAATATTTTATGGTATACTGGATGTTCAATACATGTTTATTGAATGCATAAAGAAAAGGGTGAGAACTTTTTATGTGAACAATGTTATTATAGAAGGAAAAATACTCACTTTGTTTGTTTGTTTGTTTGTTTATTTTAAGATGGACTTTCGCTCTGTCGCCAGGCTGGAGTGCAGTGGCACGATCTCACCTCACTGCAACCTCTGCCTCCCCGGCTCAAGCAATTCTCCTGCCTCAGCCTCCCAGGCAGCTGGGACTACAGGCACACGCCACCACGCCTGGCTAATTTTTTTTTTTTTAATTTTAGTAGAGACGGGATTTCACCATGTTGCCCAGGCTGGTCTCGAACTCCTGAGCTCAGGCAATCTGCCCACCTCGGCCTCCCAAAGTGCTAGGATTACAGGCTTGAGCCACCGTGCCTGGCAATACTCACTTTAAAAAACAATTTCCAATTTCCTTCTAGAGGTTGCCCACCTTTCTCTTTACTATCAGAATTTGAAATCTGAGCATGCACAAGATTGTCTTGCAAGAAGTCATGTCACAAAGAGAATAGAAGTATCTTTGCCTCTGCCAGCTCCTTTCCACCACAATTTTAAGCCAAGTCTTCATAATTTATAATTTCATTTTGTGCTTCTGGAATTATATGTGTGTGTGTGCGTGTGTGTGTGTGTGTGTGTATGAAACAACCCATATAATACTGAAGATTTGAATCTGAAAAATATTATTGAGTTATTTGGATGAAGGCCCTATAATATTGAGGTACCTGGAATAATAAATGTCTGCTTTGGCAGTTCCTGTATCTCATCACTTTTATGCAAACACAACATGAAGGAGAAAATATATATAGACATCCTAGTGCTTAATAACCATGAAGAAAGATGTCTGTGTCTTGCTAGAAGAAATGGCACTGTTGAATATTCATGAGAGAGATCCATTTTACCCCCCTGCAGGCAAAAAATATTTATATGAATATGAAGTCTATGCATAATTATATGAAAGCAGACATTCCCCAGAAGTTAATATGTTAACAAGAAAGGTCTCTCCCTCCTGTAGATTTTATTAAATGAATTTAAATTGTCGAAAGGATGTAAACATGAAAGAAGAGCACAATACTTTAGGGTGGTCCAAAGGAATATAACTGAAATAATGAGACTACGCCAAGTAAGGACAAGGAACTTGGGAACATTTTTACTATGTTGTGTTTTACTCCATAGCAATGCATTTAGAAATGCTTTCAACCTAAAATGCAGAGTTTAATGAAATCTATTAGACTGAAATTACCTTTCTGAGGACATGATGAAAGTCTTATTCCCTGAAATGCCGACTGCAGCTTGACTTAATGTTTCAATCCATCTTAAAATTGGATCAAATGTAGAGAGGCCAAAATAACATATATTTGGTTGTCTTTGCTTTGTCAGTGACTGGTATGTGACCTTAGACAGTAAATGCAATGGCTGACATTCTTTTATTATTATTTTTTTAAAGTCACTTTATATTCTTTATCATGGTTCTAAATATCAAGTTGACTCTTGCTTTCAGGTAAACTGTTCTCTCATTTTAAGACGAAAGAAACATTTTTTCTTTTGCCTGGGACAAAGCTTTTTTGTAACAGGATCTTTCCACACCTCTCCATGTTCTCAAATTGGTCAGGTTCCAATGCATAAGTATATTTGAATTTAATTCTTCATATCCTTCACCACTCCTCTTTTCTATTTTCAAAACCTGAATCTCTTGATCTTCCCCAACCCTTAAAGATTAGATTTTAAGGTTTTAAGGTTTTAAATGCTGAGATCCCTTGGGTTCTAATTCAGTAGTTAGACCAAATATGTGATGATATAAAATATTATATGTATATCATATTATGTAAAAGGGCCATATCTTTTGGCCATATCTTTTGTTCAGAGCAAAAACATCCTTGATACTGTGATTTTTAAAAGACAGTCTTCCCTTTCAAAGGGCACTTTTTGATATAGTCCTCTATAAAATATTGATGATTTCATTATGCCAAGGCACTGTAAAGTATGTGAAATGCTAAGCTGATCAGCTACTGCCTGTCTTGTAAATTTCTGCTGATTCCTCATTTCCCACAGGATGAAGTTGTAGGGAGACCCCTGAAACTATTGCTACAGAATAAAAGATGAAATACTCCTGATTATTGTAAATACAAAATTGCATGCAGGATTGTGTAAAGACAATGCCAGGTTGGACTGCCAGAATGAGCCAACAGCACGTGATGTGCTTCCCCCTGCAGCGAGCCTATGAATGGAGGTGCAGTCAGGGAGGTTTCACATCACCAAGATTCCTATCCCAGAAAAGCAGATATTCATAGCTCTGGGAATGGAATGCAACCTTTATGGAGAGCCTATAAACGGATGCATGAGGGGCGCCTGTCCATATGAATAAGATAGGACTATAAACGCCCTCATCTTGCCATGGCTCTTCTAGGCCTCTTTAGGGTTAAGGCATACTCCCTTCTGAGAATTTCTGGTCTAACCAGTTGTCTAGCTTCACATCCTGTTTCTATGGATTGTTTGTAACCAGCTTTTGCTGCAACTGTTAACTGCTGATTAATATCTGGCTAATCATAGGTTATGGAAAGACTGTGTTTCTGTTTTAAGGCTCTGTTAGAAATTACTGATGCACACACTATACTGTAAATTCTTATCTCTGTATACTGTACTTCTGCATACAGATGTTATGTTAAAGAATTACTTCATCCCCATGTGACCATCTCACCTCATAATCAAACGACCCTAAATCCTTCACTAACCTACCCCTGCCCTCCCTAAACTTAATAATAAATGCTGGTATATCCAGTGCATTGGCGGCATCACGGAACCAGAAGGCGGTGACCCCCCTGGACCCAGCCTTCACTATCTTGTGTGTGTCTATTATTTCTTGACCTGCCAATCTGCCTGGGAACAAAGAAAAAGCCCCATTGCATTGCGGGCTGCTGGCCAGATCCCGCAATATGAAGTCAAATCCCACTGAGCAGCCTATAGAACCTTTCAGAATATGGGTTACAAACTACCATTGCTCAGTTTACCCTGTCCTTTTTCACATCAACTCAGCTACAAATTATTCCAGTTTTTTATGAAAATTTTGTTCTCTCCATCCATCACCTATGATGTTATGTCTACCTTGTGTGAGTAGATATAAAGACTTGATATTTAGCTACCTAAAATTTATAAAATCATGTTCAGCAGCAACCCCAAATCTCCTCTATTTCTTATACCAGGGCTACTCTTTAGGGATTTTTGCCTAGGCTCTTCCTATTCTTTATCTCTTCAGCCACCTTATTTGTTTCTTTCCTTTTTGTTTTTATGCTCTACTTTCATTAAATTTACCCATGGTCACTTTGTCTCAGTTTCTTTGTAACTTCTCTCTGCTAGTAATTTTACTTCTATCTTTGCTCTGAAATACTAGCATCAGTAAGAGGGTAATTTGGCAACATCAGTCCCAATATGTCCTCAAGATAGTTTGACCATTCTAATTTATTTTTTCATCAATTCTGTTGAAGTGTAATTAACAAAGAATATAATTTACATTTTTAAAATGTATAGTTTGTGTTTTGATAAATGTATGTACTCCTATAATTGACACATTAATAAAGATAGACCAAGAAAGTTTTCTTGTGTACCTTGAAGTTATCCCACTTACCATCTTTACTATTTGGCACCTAACGATCTAATTTTTATCACTATTGATTACTTTTGAAATTCTAATAATTTATATAAGTTGAAGCATGCAATATGTACACTTTTGTACCTGGCTTCTTTGCTCAAGGTAATTTTTTGGAAATGTTTTATGAGGTTGCTTGTTTGATTATGCTTTTGCTGTAGTTGTTATTACTGTGTAGAATTATATTGTATGGATATATCACATTTGGTTTATGTATTCACTTGTTTGGGGACATTTTGTTTGCTTCTAATTTGGGACTGTTATGAATGGAGCTACTATGCTCATTCAGGTACAATAATTTATTTGTGTATCTCATTTCCTTTTTCTTGAAGAAATACTTAGGAGTCAGAATAATGGGTACAATAGTACCCATTATTGGGTACTATAGTAGGCATATATATATATATATATATATATATACTTTTGCATATGCCTTTGACTTGTTTTTCTTGCACAAATGCACTAGCTGAGACCTCTAGTACAATATTTAAAAGATATGCTAGGAATATATGTTCTTGTCTTGTTCTCAATTATGTGTAAAAGCATTTAGTTTTTCACCATTATATGTGGTACCTAAGTTTTCAGAGATACCTTTATCAGTCTAGTTTGCTGAGAGTTCTTGTCATAAATGAGTGTTGACTTTTATCAAATAGTTTCATCAATTCAGATTATATGATTTTTCACCTTCATATATGCTTTCCTTGTGTAAAGCCTACATGATCTTAAAGTAAGATCATTTTTCATATTTTGCTGAATTGGATTTGCTTATGTTTTATTGAGGATTCATTCATTTGTTGGTTTCTGACAGTATCTTTGCCAGATTTCAATAACAGGGCCTCACAAAATGAATTAGGAAGCCATCTCTATACCTCTAGGCACTTTAAAGGTGTGTGTAAAGGATAGTGTGTTATTTTTCTTCAGCGTTTCATGAAATTCACACAAAAACCCAAATGGGTTAATAAATTGCTTCAAGGGAAACCTTTGATTATAAATGTAATTTCTTTAATATATTTTGTATATTATTAATTAATTATATTAGTCTAAATATTAAATTTTCTACATTTTTCAATTCATTTTTGACAGATTACATTTTCTAGGAATTATTTAATATATTATCAAATTATTGACGTGTTTTTTCATAAAATTCCATATTATCCTCAACATTTGTAGTTTCTGGAGTAATCAACTGTTATACCTAATACTTTAAAGTTTTCTCTATTTTTTGCTTGGTTAGTATTGTATAATAAGTTGAATACTGTCTGCCAAAATTCATGTCCACCTTAAACCCCATTACTGATTAATTATCCAATTTATCATTATACAATGACTCTTTTAATCCTTGGCAGCTTCTGTTCTGTAGTCTACTTTTAAAGTATTAACATAGCCACACAGCTTCCTTATGTTTACCATTAATATGATATATCTTTTTTCATGTTTTCTAATTTCAACCTATTTGTATTTTTAATTTTAAAGTGCATATTTAATTTTAAAGAGTATATTTTAAATATACTCTTGTAGACAGCATGTGGTTGAGTTTGGGTTATTGGTTCAGTCTGTATTTGTCCTTTAGTTTGTGGTATTCAGGCCATTTACATTTACATTTAGTGTAATTTTTTTTTTGAGATGGAGTTTTGCTCTTGTTGCCCTGGTTGGAATGCAATAGCATCATCTCGGCTCACTGCAACTTCTGCCTCCTGGGTTCAAGCGATTCTCCTGCCTCAGCCTCCTGATTAGCTGGGATTACATACGCCTGTCACCATGCCCAGCTAATTTTTGTATTTTTAGCAGAGACAGGTTTCACCATGTTGGCCAGGCTAGTCTCGAACTTCTGACTTCAGCTGATCCCCCTGACTTGGACTCCCAAAGTATTGGGATTACAGGCGTGAGCCACTGCACCTGGCCCATTTAATTTTTCATATGGTAAAATTACCTGGCCCTGGTAATTTTTTAAGTTTGAATTTAAGGACATTCTTTGTTACTTATTTTCCATTGGTTCCTTTGGTTTCTTTATCTGTTGCTCCTTTACTGCGCTCTTGTAAGTTAAATTTGTTTAATTCATTCTTCAATTTTATTTTCTCTCTTGGATGCTTACTGGTACTTTTTATGTCATTATTTAGTGGTTTCCCTGGGGACAACACTGTGCATCCTTAACTATAAAGTCAATTTAGATTCAAATAGACTATACAATGTCTCTAAGTATAGATTCTCTGGGATCATTAGTCTGGACAAAAATGGTCAGACTGTGTCAGTTTATGGTTTTTAATCATGAAAATCTGTCAGTAAGTATATCTATAATCAGGGATTCAAGCAAAACTGATGATTTAAACAGGGTGCGAGTCATTACTAATCCCTATATTCCTATTGACGTTTGTTTGACCACCTTATATAGAGATAATAAGAGGCAAAGGCTTAAAGTTAATGAAAATTATATCAAATCAAAATAAAATGAAAAGGCAATAGATGCACAGAAAACTCTTTTATTTTGACTAAGTTTAATCAGTTGAAATTATTTTTATAGCACTATTGTCTTCACATTTTTGAAATGAATACTTTTTAACAGAAAGTCTGCGTTTTATCCTATGGAACACAGGGTCTTTCACTTAGTTACTTTCCAAAGATGTGTGTTCATTTTATTTTGTGGATTGATTAGAGTCAAGAGATAATTCATCATATATCTACCAAAAAATGTATGTATGTCACTTCTTATTGTTTGTGTTTACAATATTATCCTATACCACTTCTTGGAGTGAAGAGTTTCACTATTTCCTAATTGTGTTAAAAACAGAAATGGCTGGGCACGGTGGCTCGCACCTGTAATCCCAGCACTTTGGGAGGCCAAGGCAGGTGGGTCACGAGGTCAGGAGATCGAGACCATCCTGGCTAACACGGTGAAACCCCATCTCTACTAAAAATACAAAAAATCAGCTGGGCGTGGTGGTGGGTGCCTGTAGTCTCAGTGACTCGGGAGGCTGAGAGGCAGGAGAATGGCGTGAACCCAGGAGGCGGAGCTTATACTGAGCCGAGATTGCACCACTGCACTCCAGCCTGGGCGACAGAGCGAGACGCCGTCAGAAAAAAACAAAAAACAAAAAACCAGAAACTACATTTAAAATGAGCCAATGTTAAAGTGGTATGTATGGCTTCATTCTGGGATAAAAGGGCGATGTTATTTTACCACGTATTCAATAAAAATGCAATGTTTACAATGTGCTATATGTTGGTAACATAGAAATCACATATAGAATTTCTGTCCTTGAGATATTTAGTCTAATGATGGCAGAGATGAGGAGCAAATCAATCAACAATTATACTATAATTGTATATACTCTGTTAAATAACACGTTAGGAATATGTACAGAAAAGGCAATGGAAATACAGAGAAGAGAAGTCTAGCTTCAGAGTTTTCCCAGAAGAGGCTAAGCATCAGTTAACTCTTAAAGGATGAGTATGAGCTCCCAAGTAAATCATGGAGAGAAACATATTACTGGAAATGAAAAACAGCATATACAAGAAACTATGGCAAGGAGTTAAAAAAAAGACCTGGTTCATTTAGAAACTACAGAAAGTTTACAGTGATTCCATGATGGAGGATATTTTTGAGGAATTATGAATGTTGAGCCTAGAGAGGATCCACATCAGCAGGGTCTGTGCTGAGATAATTTGGATCGCAGCTTTGTAATGATGGAGAGAACTGGATGATGCTAAGCATGAAAGTAATCATGTTTACTTCTGGAAATAACACTCTGGTAATAGTAAGAAGGACATATTGAAGGGGGGTAAAACTGGGATTGGAAGACCAGCTGAGAAATTTCTGCCGTCATTGACGAGATACACAATGAGTGCTTAACCGAAAGCAGTTTCCAAGAGTATTGAGAGGAGAAAAGATGAGAGAGAGACTGAGTAGGTAGAATCACTGTGAAGTATTTAGTTTTTTTTTTTTCTTTCTGCCTATTATGGGAGAAAAACTGACTGCAAATTTTAGCTGGGTTGATCTGCCTTTTGTTTTTCTGAAGAGGGTCTTTAAAATTAGAATTTTACAAATATAAAAGTGAGAATGGCTGGGCCAATATTATGGAGTAAATTTTATATACTTCAACTAAAAAATTACATTTTATATATATATATATATGACTATAATGTGAAAAATTATTTAAATTTTTTCTGATAGTGGTAACAGGTACTTGTTCTACAGACAGAAATAGGCATTTTTCTTTCATTATACAATTTTTTCTCATGTCCTATACGATTTCAAAAATTTTATATAGTTATTTTCTTTTATCAAGGATGGTATGATAGAGAGAACTCTGTCTTTCTCTTCCTGCAACTATTCAAAGATCAGACTTTAATTAATGAATCTTCAACCACACCTTTTTATAAAATAGCTCTAACAATTATTGCAAAGAATATAAAAGTACCTAAGCATGGCTACACTCTCTTGCACATTAACTCATGCACCAAGAGTTTGTGTGGAAGAAATTTGAGTAGACTGGGGATTTTTTTTTTTTTTTTACTAGATCACTTTGAGGCAGGATGGAAAGAAGGAAAACTATGAGACTAAACGTGATTTCTAAAAGTCTTTCTCCACTACTTTTCATTTGTTTTTTTTCAACAGGCCTAGCCACTTTGGTTTCTAATTTTTGGTCCATGTTATGCCTATGTATGCCTGATTCATTCCAGAATTTAGAATTTGTGGAGCTCAATCTTGTTTATTCATAAATGTATTGTTTCATATTGTACCATATGTCTGGATATATTCATAGAGTTTACTTTTATTATATAGAATACAAGATACTTCCTTTCAAAATAATGTCACTAATAGTCTCATTTAAATGAGAGTCCCTTGTGAAAGTCTCATTTCTTGCTAACAGTTAAGAACAAGGTGTTGTGGAATACACAGGACTCATAGTCTAAGAGACTTTTCCAAATATACCCAAGCTACTTACACGCTGTGTATCAAAGAAATGTTATTTGCCCCCCTTGAGACTTGGTTTATGTATCTATTAATGGGGATAACCTCATCTATTTTGCATGATTGTTAGAAAAATGAAATAAAAAGTTTTGCATGAAGTTTATAACATACCCACTAGCTGGTATAGCTTTTCAATTAGTGTTTTTCTTGTTTATTCTTTTCTGCAAGAAATTCGGTGGTTAATCCTTTCCTTCAGTGTCGGGATAGTACTTCTCAACTGGGAAGGCATGTCTCCCTAAGTTAAATCTGGATGTCTGTGGGTCATGGTGATTATTGTAAGGTTTGGAGGCCACTACTGGCTCTGTGGTTGGGGGATAGAAATACTTGATATCCTGAAAGTGAATATTCTGCGGGACCTATTTATAATATCTGAAGCTATTACCTAACCCCAGTTTACATACAAACATAAAATATGTTTTGCGTGGAATTAATATACACTGAATTTTCAATACATGCAATTCCTATGCAATGGAGAAAAGATGTCATGTGTATGGATAGAACCTTCTTAAGATTTCTCAACAATTTTGGAAAATAGTGTCACTAATGACTGTTCTGAATTTAAGTTACAGAAAGACACAGCTGTGTTGGCCTGCTTTTGTAGTTTTCATATTTATAGTATTTTTGTTTGTTTGTTTGTTTGTTTGTTTTGGTATATAAGTTTATTTCATCATTTCTTTTAAGGAATTTGTGCTTGTGCCAGGATGACTAATGTATTTAAAATATATTTTTAGTATAAATTCTTCTTTATATGACTTTTAGTTCACTGAATGGATTAAAAATATTTTTTCAAGTATACTATATATCTATAGGTTGTACTTCAGGATTTTGGATGAGTTATTAAGTTATACATTTACTTAATTTGGTCTGATGGCTTGAGAACTCACTAAGGACCTGATAGTACAAGGCTCAGGCTACTTTCCTTATACTATCCTGTCCTTAGTGAATTGGGGGCCAGGTCTAGGAGCTTCTCATGAAGTAATTAAAAGCCGTGTGTCAGTGACATCCTGATGAATATTGCCTGCTCAGACTGGTTAGTGCCTACTATTCTTTTAGCCTCAGGAAGGGCGACCCACCAGGTTTGCCTTCTGATTGTTGCCCAACTAATGGTACTGACCCCAACATCTGTGAATATGAAAAACTTGATGAAAAAAGTGTTATAAAAGAACTACTTTTCAAGCCCTCAAGCCATCTCATCACTCCATTATTTCCCTTTAGCTACCTTCATTTCTGTTCCAGCTTCCTCTGAAAGTGGGAATTTAATCTGCTTACTTTTACACAACTGCCTTGTAAGTTAAAATCACTTGCATTAAGTCATTTCAAGTCTCCTTAATTTCCTATGAGAATAAGTATGACTTTTTCAATTTTGGTGAGTAATATGAGACGTAGCTTACAGCCAGTAAATTCTACAGCAATATTCGTATCTCCTCTGATTTATATTTTAGTTTTTTAATAATACACTCTAGCAAACTATGTGACACTTTCATTACTGTCTACATGCTTGGGGTTAAAGATGAAGCTAGCATGCTATAAAATGCCTTTTAAAAAGGCAGAGTGTGTATACTTTGATTCCCAATTTTATGTTTATCTTCAAAAATATTATGAATAGATTTCAGAATGTTTGAACAATAATCTTTCCCCCTCCTGACAATAAGAATATGTATGTAAACTAAATAACTGTGTTGCAAGATAAATATTAATGATACATGAAAAAAACTGAATTATTTAAACGTTTTTGCAGCAATTTTACCAACTCTGTGATCCTCTGAGTAGAATTATCTTCACACGACCTTTCTGTTAAGGGGTGTGTGTGTTGGGGGCTGCATATGTGTGTATGTATAAATAAAGACATAATTTTTTCCTCTATAAAATATATATTTTATTTGGATATAGAGATTCCCCATTGTGCTATGGGAAATTTTTCTCTTTTACATAGTTAAAACAGAGCTTCTCATATTTCCTAGGGCCTTTGTGAGGGGGTATGTCTTTCAATCTTGGCTCATAGATTTTAGTTCTACTCCCTATTCCATAGAATTGTGAATTCCTAGAGGGAAAGCACATCCTCTATAGTAAATAAATGGAACTCACAGTCTATCATCTTTAAAAGATTGAACTACGGTTGGAAAGAAAAAACTTAGAGCCAGATATAAATGGCTAGGATTGAGAGTGTGTGTTGTTAAATAGTAAATTATATACTGAATTTTTAAGGAAGGAGTTACAGAAACTTAAAAGCCAGAGAGGAAATGCCATCAGGAATGAATGGAACAACTTGCTGGGAAACGTGGGCAAAATTGAATTTTTTAAATTGCTATTTGATTGATTCTATTTTCAGTTTTTATTCATACTTTTGCTGGTATAGACATAATTTTCAAATGGGTTTAATTTTTTATATATTTTATAACCCACTATTATATTCAGCATCAAAATTCTCCAGTGGCATCTTTTTATATCAAGGGAAAAGTGTTTTGAATGATATTATTGTGATTACTGATTGACAGTTAAGCATCTGAAGTTACCATGTTTCTACTGCCAAAACGTGTCACCTCTTCATTTGGGCCTTATGTTGATTATTCTGGAAATATTTTCATTTGCAAGGTAGATTTCCCACCTTGTTATATGCTTTTTTGGGGCTATTTATATGACAAAGTTTCTAGTAATCTGACAGGAAGAGCCAGGGTTTGAAGCATATATCAGAGTATGGGCCTAGATGAGAATTTAACATGCATCTAAAAGTCTTTCTCCCCTATCTCTCATGGTCTCAAAGCTTAGAAATATTTGTGTGTGTGTGTGTGTGTGTGTGTGTGTGTGTGTGTGTGTGTGTGTGATTTGTTGGTTTTAAATAAAGTGAATAGGTTTTCTTCAATCTAGTAATTATTTAGGGATTTTACTCTTAGGTTTTTAGAACCCTAGTGAAATAGATTAGCTCATACAATTTTGCCTTAGGAATTACATGTCAGAAATTCCAAATTCTCCTTCTTTCTCTTAACAATTGTGTCTTTACCTTACTTTTGTGTTATCAGCATACTTGTTTTATTCAAAAGATACTTTGAAGGGAGGGATTCTTTTTGTGATAATATTAATCTTATCCTGAGAAACAACGGTCTTTTTTCAAATTGAATGGTTTATTTGAAGTTTGACTGTCAAAATAATGCTTAAATATCCCCTTGGCTGGCTATTTACAGAGAGTTCTACCTACTGATAGGAGGTACAGAAGATCCAACTTTACCTACCTACTGATAGGAGGTACAGATAGGAGGTACTGATAGGAGGTACCTACCTACCTACTGATAGGAGGTACAGAAGATCCAACAAATTATATTTGTTTAGAATATAATTACTAGTGTGTTCTACTGTTGTGACCATGCTAGTAATGGGATAAATGACATAGTAGAAAGATCTGGACTAACCCTAGTGGCATGTTGTCATGGTTAATTTTACATGTCAACTTGACTGGATCATGAATTACCCAGACATTAGACTAAACATTATTTTTGGGTGTGCATGAGAGGGTGTCTCTGGATGGGATTAGCTGGTTTTTTTTTTTTTTTTTTTTTTGCTTTTTTTTTCGTTTTGAGACAGGGTCTCACTCTGTCACTCAGGCTCCAGGCTGGATTGCAGTAGTGCAATCTCAGTTCACTGCAACCTCCACTTCCTGGGTGGGCTTAAACAATCCCCCAACCTCAGCCTCCCAAGTAGCTGGGACTGCAGGTGCACACCACCACGCCCGACAGGTGCATTTTCTGTAGAGACAGGGTTCGCCATGTTGCCCAAGTTGATCTTGAACTCCTGGACTCAAGCAATTCACCCACGTTGACTGCTGACAGTGCTGGGATTACAGGTGTGAGCCACCATGCCTGGTAGGGATTAGCATTTTAATTGGTAGCCTGAGTAAAGCAGATCACTCTCTCCAGTGTGGGTGGGTATCTAGTCTGTTGAAGGCCTGAATAGAAGAAAAGGCAGAAGGTGAGAGAATCCACCCCTTTGGCTTGAATGCTTGAGTTGGACATGGGTCTTTTGCCCTCAGACGGAGACATCCTTGGCTCCCCTGGTTGTCAGGCTTGAACTGGTTTGCAACACAGGCGTTCCTGGGTCTCCAGCTTGCAGATGGCACATCATGGAACTTCTCAGCCTCCACAATTGCATGAGCTAATTCCTGATAATAAACCTCATTCTGGATAAATATGTGTATAATCATGTGCTACCTTATGACATTTCAGCCCATGATTGACTGCATATATGGTAGTAGTCCTCTATTATTCTGTTTTTGCACTTCTATAAAGAAATACTTGAGACGGGGTAATTTATAAAAGAAAAATTTAATTGACTCATAGTTCTGCATGGCTGGGGAAGCCTCAGGAAACTTACAATCATGGTGGAAGGTGAAGGGGAAGCAAGGACCTTCTTCACCAGGCCGCAAGAGAGACAAGAAGCAAGAGCAGGGAAAACTGCCTTAGAAAACCATCACACCTAGTGAGAACTCACTCACTATCATGAGAACAGCATGGGGGAAACTGTGCCCATGATCCAATCACCTCCCACCTGGCCCCTCCCTCCACACATGGGGATTATGGGGATTGAAAACCTAGATGAGATTTGGGTGGGGACACAGAGCCAAACCACATCAGGTCCCATAAGAGTACAATACTGTATTTTTACTGTACCTTTTCTATGTTTAGGTATTTTTAGATACATGAATATTTACCATTTTTCTACAGTCGCCTACAGTATTCAATATAGTAATATGCTGTGTTGGTTTGCAGCTTAGGAGCGAAGGATACACCATATACCATCTAGGTTTGCATAAATATTCTGTATGATAGCACAATGACAATATCACCTAACAACACATTTCCCAAAACATTTCCCTTTCCCTGTGCTTAAGCAATGCATAGCTCTATATATTTGCATATCTATGCATGTATGTCAGTTAACTGTGTTGAGCCTCAGTTTCTTCATGAGGAGAACTGGTGATAATGATAACTTCCTAACAATGTTTTTTATGTTAAGAAGTAATGTACGTAAAGATCCTAATTAAGTACTTTGAGTACTACTGAAACTCACTAAGGAGTATCTCTTAATATCAAACCAGAAAAATGCCGTAAATGGCTTCATGACTCTGTAACCCTCAAAGGTCAATATTATCATCAAGGATAATTAGAAGAGAAATAGTAGTGACTGGAGAATAGGTAAGAGGTTAAGTGGTTGGCAAAGGAAAAATAGATTTTTATTAATGCAACTATGAGAAGTTCACACACATTTGACAGTAAGTATGCTGAGGCCTTGGTCATAGTCTTTCTGTTTTTCTTAAAGAGTAGGGAGAAGGAGAGCAGATCAACCTAGGTTTTCTTTTTCTTTTTTTTTGTCTTCCCTGACATAAATTTATCATTATTGGACTCAAGTGATTTAAAAACTACATCTGTATTTTTCCTTGATTTCATTAGGCTTTTATGTCATGGTTGGCATTATGGACATAATTTCAGGAGTTGGGAATCCTCGGGGTAATAAGATTTTTAGAGTCAGATTTTTTTCTCAAAATGAAAGATTCACTTAAATGACTGAAAGCTCAACTTTTCAATATGAGGTGTAAATATCTATTCAGTCTTCACTTTATCCACATGTACTATGTAGCCCTTCCCTTCCTCAATCACTAGCAAGAAATCCTCTGCTATACAGAATTTGCTCAGTTCTAGGAAATGTTCCAGTCTCTCTCTTTGCTTTGCCCACAAATTCTGCCCTTTTTTTCCAAGGACACCTAGAATAATCTCTTTATTGAATTCAGATTCTCTTATCAGAGCAAGAAATTGTAGCAGCTCTTGCTTCCTGCCTTGCAAAATCCCAGAGTGAAAGAGTTGCAAAGGACCTGGCTATCTGCGGAGATATTGGATTCTTTGTGTTATGGGTTGCAAGAGAGTGGAAGAAATATTGGCAGAATAAATTTAATATCTGAATAAATTATGCTGCAACGGGATACACAGTTTTTAATTTTTTTAAATAAAAATTACTATCTCCCAACCCTATTGAGCTCCAAGTAAAATACTGATTTAGGTTAAAAACTATCTTTGAATCATGTCAACATTATAATATCTGGTCCAAGTAATTTATTTGATTATCACTAATGCAGATATCACTGAAAGCCTTCTTCATTTATTAGAGATTACAGTTAGTGAAAACAGGTCTCACATCATTTGGGCTTTAACCATGAAGGGAGAAAATAAATTTGGACTTCAGTATTATTAAGCATGAAAGAGGTTTAATTTTTAACAAAACTTACGTGCATGTAATTTTTTAAGGCACCAAACTTCAGGTATAAAGAAGCTCCCTTATAACAGCAATCATATTTTATCTATTAAGAGCACTTAGAGACAGCAGGTATACCTATACAGGTGGCTTGGCTTTTGCACATTAACTAAAAGTTTTGGTGGCTATGACTTCAGGAGCAAAACAAAAGAAAATAGTATCAGTAGATGTGCTTCTTAGTGTTTAGGTCATTCTATTGCAGTTATATCCCTACTAACCAGAGTCGTTTTAAAATTTCATGTTATTTATTTGAAAGCATAGTGTGATTTTGTTCATGGCACAAAACAACTGCTTGATTTTCAAAGAGCACAACAGGGACTGTGATTGTAAAGTAAGGTGTAGAGTTGAATGAGCATGGGTTAAATTACAAGATAAAGAAGAGAGCTATTCGGGCTCAGTAAGTTATCCATTGAATTGGCAAGAGAGTGTTATAAACAGAATGTTTCTAATTGAAGGAAACAAGTCTTGAGCTAATTGGAATAAACCTTTGGCTACCAACATACCTGGAACTCAACAGAGCATATTCCTTGCCATACCCTTGGCCTGTTTCAGAAGTCACAAGCCATGCATTTCTAATCTGCCACCTTGGATAGGATAAGGTTTCTCATAAAATGTCTTGAGCATTACCACTGTCTTATAAACAGCAATATAATCAGTGAATGGCAAATCTATTAGTAAAACCTTATGTATGCAGCAGTGTTGGGTGATCAATTGGCTGCAAAAACATGAAAAAGGTATTCAGGATGGGATCATTTCCAGACATTGTGTTCTTGGATCATTGATTCAGCTTTGCTCAGCTTCCACATGGCATGCAAGCAACACAGAATGATTATTCCAAATGCTCAATCTTACATGCTGGCTGATACTACTATCACAAGAAAGAAGAGGTTTCTTAAGAAAATCTGCCTTTGCAGTGTCTCAGCCACCAGCCCAGGAAAAGCAGGCCATTCAAACCTCAGTCTTCTCACTTTTCACTTTTAACATGAGACCTTTCTAGTAGTAAATTAAGCGTCCACATTAATGTCTAACAGTTTTAGGCTCTAATCAACAGAAATAACCTAAAAGCTAGACAATTATCAATGTCTCTCTCTATGTGATCTCATTCCTATCCCTCTGAGTCTGTATTTCTCATTCTTGTTTGCTATAGCTTTGTCTTGCAAAATATAACACACACAAGAAATGCATACAATGAAAATAGATAACTAAATTATCCCCAAAATAAAGCCAGGATAACAATCACCCAAATCGAGAAATAGTATATTTTAGCACCTGAGAAAGTTCTCTTGTGCCTTTTTGCAATCCTCTCTCTCCTTCCCTTCCAAAGATAACTATTACTGTTGTTAATTGTAATTACTTTCTTTATCGTGTAATCACTTAGGCATACTTAAACACTAAAATTTGGTTTTAATTATTTTTGAACTTTGTTTAAATTAAACCATATTATATGTGTGGTGTTGTGTTTGGTTCTTTTAACTTGTCATTTTGTTTGTGAAATTTATCCATGTTTTCCTAGTTGCATTTTATTTCTATTAAGATTTAGTATTCTACTATATGATTATCTCACAATTCATGTATTTATTTATTTATTTATTTATTTTTGTTAGTGAACATCTAAATAGTGTTCAGTTTGAAGTTTATATTAGTCGGGATTTTCCAAAGAAATAGAACCAGTAAGACATATATACATATGGGTGCGGGGAGGAGGCAGAAAAAGAGAAATTGATTGATTGGTAGATTCGAAGGCAATGGTTCACGTGATTATGGAGACTGGCAAGTCCAAACTCTGCAAGGTAGACTCACAGTCTGGAGACCCATGGGAAAGTTTGTTGCAGTATTAGTCTGAAGGTGATCTAGGGGCAGAATTTCTTCCTTAATGGGGATCTCAGTCTTTTATCCTAAGGCTTTCAACTGACTATCAAAAGATTGTGGAAATTCATCTGCTTCATTCAGCCTACTGACTTAATCATACCTAAAAAATAACATTCACAGCAACATCTAGACTGCTGTTTAATCCAAAACTAGGTAATTGGCCTAGTCAGGCTGACATATGAAATTAACTATAGCAGAGCTATTAGGGAAAGTGCAACTCTGTACAATTTTGTGCACTTGTTTTTATAAACATAGTTATGCTTCCTCATGGAAGAAACGTAGGAATGAAACTGAATAATGCTAAACTGTTTTTCCAAGTTGTAGCACCACTTACTTTCCACTCAGCACTGCAGAAGAGGTCTTGTTGCTCTGTATTCTCTTTTGTTAAGTGGCTTCTTATATCCTTTGGGTATTTTTATATTAGCTGTTATTTTTTATTTGCTTTTTGTCTTTAGACATTTTAGATATGAGCTGTGTATTTGTTATACATGTTGCAAATAAACATTGTCTACTTTTTTTTGCCTTTTAAGTTTCTTAATAGTATCTTTTGATGAGTAGAGTTTCTTAATTTTAATGTAGCCAAGCTAGAGATTGGATCTGTAATTGTTAATGCATTTTAAAAAACACTTTATTATTTTAGAACACTTTTAGGTTTATATCAAGATTGAGAGAAAGGTACACAGATTTCTCATATACCTCTTGTGTCCCACACATGCATAGTCTCTCCCATTATCAACATCTCCTAACAGAGTGGTACGTACTATATTGACACATCATTATCACTCAAAGTCTATAGTTTACATTAGGGTTCACTCCTGGTGTTGTACATTCTATGGATTTGAACAAATGTGTAATGACATGCAACCACCATTGTAGTATCATACAGATGAAACCAATGTCCTAAAAATCCTCTGTGCTCCCTCCATTCATTCCTTCCTTCCCTCAAATCCATGCTAACCACTAATATTTGTACTGTCTCCATAGTTAACTTACCTTTTCCAGAATCTCATATAATTAGAATCATACAGTATATAGCCTTCTCAAACTGGCCTTTTTTAAACCTAGTCATATGCACTTAAATTTTCTCCATGTCTTTTCATGGCTTGATAGCTCACTTCTTTTTAGTGTTGAATAATATTTCACTATCTAGATATCTAGATGTACCGCAGTTTATTGTATTGATTAACTAATGGAAGGACATCTTGGTTTCTTCCAATTTTGACAGTTATACATAAAGCTACCACAAACATCCATCTGCAGATTTTTGAGTGGACATGTTTTCAATTCCTGTAAGTACCAAGGAACATGATTGCTGAATCTTATGGTAACAGTATTTTCAGTTTTGTGAGAAACTGCAAAATTATTTTCTAAAGTAGTTGTACTATTTTGCATTCCCTGCAGCAATGAATGAGAATTCCTGTTGCTCCTCATTCTCTACTGACATGTTCGGTATTGTCAGTATTCTGGATTTGGGCCCTCTAATAGGTGTGTAGTGGCATGGCATTATTGTTTAAATTTGTATTCCCCTGATGAAATATGATGCAGAACATATTATGCTTATTTGTCATTTATATTTTTGGTGAGTTGTCATAAGGCCTTTGGCTCCTTTTTAATCAAGTTGTTTATTTTCTTATTGTTAAGTTTAAAGGTTTTTTTGTACATTTTGGATAACAGTCCTTTATCAGATATGTCTATTGCAAATATTTTCTCTCAGTTTGTGATTTGTTGTTTTATTCTCTGCACAATGTCTTTCACAGAGCATTTATTTTTAAATTTAATGATGTACTCCTTATCAATTCTTTCTTTCTTCCATGAATTGTGCCTTTAGTGTAGTATGTAAAAAGTCACCACCAAAGTCGAGATCATCTAGATTCTCTCCTATTCTATCTTCTAGGTTTATCATTTTGTGTTTTACATTTAGATTTGTGATATCTTTTGAGTTAATTTTTCGTGAAGGGTGTAAAGTCTGTGTCTTGGTTTATTTTTTTGCATGTGGATGTTCAGTTCTTCCAGTACCATTTGTTGAAAACACTATCTGTGTTACATTGTACTGCCATTGCTCCTTTACCAAAGATTGCTTGATTATATTTATGTGGGCATATTTCTGGGTCTTCTGTTCTTTTTTATTGATCTACTTGTCTGTTACTTCATTAATACCATACTGTCTTTGATTAGTAAAACTTCATATTAACCCTTGAAATTGAGTAGAGTCTGTTCTCAAACTTTATTCTTCTCCTTCAATATTGCATCGGCTACTCTGGGTCTTTTTCCTGTCTTTATACACCTTAGAATCAGTTTTTCAATATTCACAAAATAACTCACTACCATTTTATTGGGGATTGCATTGAATTATGTAGGTCAATGCAAGTTGGGAAGAAATGGCATCTTGACAATATTGCATCTTTTTATTCATCAACATAAAATATTTCTCCATTTATTTTGTATTTTGTTTTCTTCCATCAGAATTTTGTGGTTTTTCTTGCATAGACCTTGTAAATATTTTGCTAAAATTATATCTACATATTTTATTTTTGGAGTGTGCTACTACAAATGATATTGTTTTTATTTCAAATTTCAATTTTATTGCAGGTACAATAAGTCTTCAATTAACATCATTAACAGGTTCTTTGAAACTGCAACTTTAAGTGAAAGGACATATGAATTAAAAAAATTTTTTTTCTCTCATGAACATTTTAACAAAACTATACTAAATGAAATGATGTTACATCGTTTCACTTAAAGTCACAGTTTCAAAAAACCTATTGACAACATTAAGACTAAATTTATGTAGAAAATATTGGCCTTTTGTATATTAACCTTGTATCATGTAACCTCACCATGTGTAGTTGTTGATTAGTTCCAGGAGAATTTTGTCAGTTCTTTTGGATTTTCTATATATTCATGTCATTTGCAACCAGTTTTATTTATTTCCTAATCAGTAAATCTGTTATTTCCTTTTCTTGTTTTATTGCATTAACTAAGACTTCCAGTATGATTTTGAAAAACAATGAAGAGAGGGTATTCTTGCCTTATTCCTGATCTTTCAGAAAAGCTTGGAGTTTCTCACCATTAAGTAAATATGGTTAGTAAAGTAAGTTAGCTGTAGGTATTTTGTAGATATTCTTCATTAGCTTGAGGAAGTCTCTCTCTATTCCTAGTTTACTGAGAGTTTTTTTTCTCTAATCATAAATGAGTGTTGGATTTTGTCAAATGTTTTTTCTGTATCCATTGATATGGTCATATTATTTTTTATTCTTTTTCCTGTTGATATAACAGATGACTTTTTTTTCAATATTCAATTACCTTTGCATGCCTGGGATAAATCTCATTTAATCAGGTGTATAATTATTCTTTTTTTTGAGATGGAGTCTCGCTCTGTCGCCCAGGCTGGAGTGCAGTGGCGCTATCTTGGCTCACTGCAACCTCCGCCTCTTGGGTTCACACCATTCTCCTGCCTCAGCCTCTCGAGTGGCTGGGACTACAGGTGCCCGCCACCACGCTCGGCTAATTTTTTATATTTTTAGTAGAGACGGGGTTTCACCATGTTAGCCAGGATGGTCTCGATCTCCTGACCTTATGATCCACCCGCCTCGGCCTCCCAAAGTGCTGGGATTACAGGCGTGAGCCACCACGCCAGGCCAATCAGATGTATAATTATTCTTATATATTGTTTAATTTGCTAAGAATTTTTGCATGTATGTTTGTAGAAGATATTTATCTTTAAATAATGTCTTAAGACATTGATCATTTAGGTTCTTGTAATGTCTTTGTCTGTTTTTGGTATTAGGGTAATGCTTGTCTTATCAAAGGAGTTAAGAAACAGTTCCTCTGCTTCTACCATATCAAAAACATTTAGAGAATTGGTACAATTTTTTCTTAAATTTTTGGTAGAATGTACCAGTGAACCTATCTGGGCCTGCTGCTGTCTGCTTTAGAAAGTTATTAATTATTGATTCAATTTCTCTTATAGATACAGGTCTATTCAGATTGTCTGTTTCTTTTTGGGTGAGTTTTGACAGATTGTGTTTTTCAAGTTATTGGCCCATCTCTCCCAGGCTATTTAATTTGTGGGCACAGAATTTTTGATAGTATTTCTTTTTATCTTTTTAATGTGCATGAAATCTTTATAATCTGTATTGGTGTCCCATTTTATTTCTGATATTAGTAATCTGTGTCCTATCTATCTTTTAGCTAGCCTGTTTAGTGTCTCATTTATTTTATGTATTTATTTATTGGGTTCATTGATTTTTCTCTATTTTTTTTATTTTCAAGTTTGGTGAGCCCAGCTGTAATTTTTATTATTCCTTTTTTTCTGCTTACTTTGGATTGAATTTGTTCTCCTTTTTCTAGTGTCTTAAGGTTGGTTAGTGCTTTCTGATTCTGATTAAGAATTTTTGACAATGATTAGTAAATGTTATATCATATATTAGATGTCACATATTGTATGTTAAATATTAAATATATACAATCTTCTGGGAGATGCATTATTTTGACTTCCACATGTAGATCTGCATCTACTTGGAAGTGACTTTGTATAAGATGTGAAGTAAACATCCACTTTTATTTTTTTACATGTGGATATCCAGTTATCCTATAATAATTTTTTAAAATAAATTAAATCTGTTTTTTATCAACTGTTCTGCAGTGTCATCTTTTTCTTAAATATCAATATATACATGGTATGTGTTGATTTTTTTATTTCATTGGTCTATTTCTCTGTTGCTGCACTGATACCACACTATCATAACTACTATGTTTTATAATACATCTGTAATAAGGTTTTGTTTGAGATGCAAGGCGAAGAATCAGTTGCAGTTTTCTCATGTGGATAACCAGTTGTTATAGGACTATTTATTGGATAGTCCAAAATTTCTACATTATCTGAAATATCAAATTTCTCATGTAAATGTTTAAAAATACATGTCTATTTGTGTATTCTTTATTTCATGTCATTGGTCAGTATTTTTTAGGGACTCATAGTATCTAAATTACTGTAGTTTAACAAAGCTATAGATTTGATACCTGGTAGAGTAAGACCAACTATATTCTTATTCTTATGTGTTTCTTCTTGGGTCTTTTATTTCTACATACATTTTAATGTAATTTGTTATGTAACCCCCCAAAAATATTCCTGTCAAAATTTTGATTATAATTGCATTTTATGTAAGTAATGTGAAGAGAATAACATCTTTGCCATATGAAGTCTTTATACTAATGATTGTGGTATATTACTCATATATTGAAGTGGTGTTTATGTTCTTTCAATGAATGTGGCATATTACTTCTTTTTTTTAAGGCAATGTTTTACATTGCTTCAAAACATGAATTTTCTCTATCAATATCATCTATTTATATATTTTATTAGGTTTATTTCTAGGTACCTTACATATTTTTCATTTATTTACCTTGATGACAATGATAATGCTCTCTACCTTTTTGTTGCCAATATATGAAAACACAATTAATTTTTGTTATTAGTGTTACATGTGGTTATCTTGTTAATCTCTTATTAACTTGTTATTTTGTCTGTACCTCTTGGGGAAGGTGTTTATTTCATTTGCAATAGTTTGGTTTTTTTCTTTTCCAGAGTTTTAAGAATGTAGCTATCTTTATTTGTTGACTATTTTTATGTTTTAGATATATTTTTTAAAACATCATAAAGATAGATGATTTTGTCCAGCTGATCTGACATTTGATATTTTTATTTTCTAATTTTGTCTATTTATATTTATTAATATTAGGCATTTGAATTTCAGTATTTTTTGTTTTCTTGTTTTGTCTTTGTTTTTTATTTGTTTTCATGCTATATTTCTGTTCTCCAAATTGAATAATAGAAATAAGGGCAAATGGTTTTTAAACAGACAAAAAAAGTTCAAACAATATACTAAAAATCCATGTATATGTCTTACTTGCTATTGTAAAGGTTGCTAAGAAATTAAAAAAAAACATTATTATCACTATAGTACTAGACACCATTTTCCATAGTGCCACTTGGTACAGAATTTTTAATATTTTCATGTAACAATTATCTATTAAATTTAATTATATATGAACATTTAATCTTATTTTCTTATAGCCATCTTTCCTCAGGATCATCTGGATTTATTATTTTTTCTCTTGCTTCACATGCTGAAATCTGCATAGTTATGCTGAAAAATTATGTTGCTCCTAACAATTACCTGAAATAATTGTATTCAGTTGTAAGACCCTTTCCTTTTCCCTGCCGATACTGGGTTTTTACTCATCTTGCAATATTTTTATCTCCTAAGGTGGTTTTTTGTTTTTTGGTTTTTTTGCTGGGCGCAGGGGCGGTTCTTTGTCTTTGACTTCGGCTCTTTTCCTTCTCTTCTCATCATTTGTCTTCTACCCCTCTACTATCAAAACCATTTCCATTTTAAGTGCATATTTACCATAAAACCAAGAACAAATAGAAAAGTTGAAATAAAAGAAGTATTTATCTCATGTTGCTGGTTACGCAAGTTGATAAATTACTGGTTAAAGGATTTTGGATTACTTAACTATATACATACTGGTTATGCCAGAGAGGATGAACTATGTATTTTAAGATCTACTTTTTCTAGCAGTTACCCCTGTAGAAGTTTCTGTTTCCAGGTCAGCATTGTGGAAGTTTCTGTTTCCACATCAGCATCTGCATATGTAGATCCATGATCCATGAGAAGCAGAAATTTAGAGAGGTAAGTTCATGAATATCATTTAAGCAAATATTATTTTCACTCGACTTTGAGGTGCAGTTGGGATTTGGGGCACATTCTTTTACACAAATCATCAAACTTAGATCTGTGCCCTCTGTTTCAAGATTGAGGGCATTCTCAACACTCTTTTATCTTGAGCTCTATGTGAATTGCCACTTCTTGTATCTGTTCCCAAAAGATAACTCATAAATGAAAAACCTACAGTGACATTAATGAGTCATACAATTGGCAAACTTAAAAATCAAAATTCCTTGATCAGGGCAAAAATTATGATGCCTAATACCTTTAGCACTTGTTACTACATTGTTCTAAGTACTTTGTATATAGTAATTTCTTTAAACTTTACTACCATACCACAGATAGGTGTTCTATATTTTGGATGAGGTTAATTAATTTTCCTTAGGTCACACAAGTTATTAATTTGCATCCATATAATATGACTTCAGAACCGATTCTCTTAACTGTCACACTCAACTTCCTCAAAGTTAGTAATAGGGGAATTCAATTAAAGTTCTGGTTTTCGGTTCCAAAGACGGTTATCTGATGCTTTGTCCAAGAATAGACAGGCTGGTAGATATTTACAGTAACTGGTATGTATGTATGCATTGTTTTATAAGATATCACAATTGGGCTCACTAATCAAAAATTAAGATATTCAATTAGTATTTTATTCTTCTTCTTCTCTCTCTCTCATTTGATTCCTTTATTTGCCAGCTACCATGATTTAGTGCAGGATTTGGCCTACATTCATTTTTATCCAATATAAACCTTGCTGAAGTCCTAAACTTTGCATACTTACTGCCAGCCAACTTTATTATTTTATGAAGTTAGAAAAGCTGGATCTTTCCTGTTTCACTCAGATAAAAGTATCTTGGCTTTCCCTACTCCACTGTGATCAGGCTAACCATATGGAGTTTTCTCTTACTTTTCTTGCTTTTTATATCATAAGCAAACACATTTTGAGATATACAATATAGCAGAACTAGTATAGTCATTAATTGGCAGTGGGTTTAATATATGAAATAGGATATTAGTTAATAGCAAACTATTAAGCTATAGTTACCTGGGTTCAAGTCCCAGCACTCTTTTAGATACACAACCTTAAGTAATTTACAAAAAAAACTTTCTGTGCCTCTGATTTCTCATTTATAAATGTAAAGATGATGACACTGATTTTAAATATATCCTAGACTTCTTATAATAATTAAATGAATTAACATGTATAAAATGAATTCTGCCTTTTACAGGGTATGTGTCATATAATTACTAATGTGTTATTAATAGTCTGTCTTTTTTGAGTTAGAAAAATTTAACTTTAATTGAAAAAAATATATATATACACACATACACAAATACATGTATAGTTACAAACAGTAACAATGAATATAAATAAAAGTCATTATGTTGTAGAGGAATGATATGGTTTGTCTGTGTTCCCACCCAAAATGTCATTTTGAATTGTTATCCTCATAATCCCTATGTGTCAAGGGCAGAACCAGTTGGAGGTAATCAAATCATGGGGGTAGTTTCCCCCATGTTGTTCTCGTGATAATGAGTTCTCATGACATCTGATGGTTTTATAAGTGTCTGGCACTTCCCCTGCTTACACTCACTCTGTCCTGCCACCCTGTGAAGAAGGTGCCTGCTTCTTATTTGCCTTCCACCATGATTTTAAGTTTCCTGAGGCCCCCCCCACCAATGTAGAAGTGTGAGTCAATTAAACCTCTTTCTTTTATAAATTACCCAGTGTTGGGTATTTCTTCATAGCAGTGTGAGGATGAACTAATACAGTAAGTTGGTACTGAGAGTTGGGTGCTGCTATAAGGCCTGGAAATGTGAAAGTGACTTTGGAACTGGGTAGCAGGCAGAGGTTAGAACAGATTGGAGGGATGAGAAGAAGACAGGAAAATCTGGGAAAGTTTGGAACTTCCTAGAGACTTGTTGAATGGCTTTGACAAAATGCTGATAGTTATATGGACAATGAAGTCCAGGCTGAAATGGTCTCAGATGCAGATGAGAAACTTGTTGGGAACTGGAGTAAAATTCACTCTTGCTATGCTTTAGCATAGAGACTGGCAGCATTTTGCCCCTTCCCCAGAGATCTGTGGAACTTTGAACTTGAGAGAGATGATTTAGGATATCTGGCAGAAGAATTTCTAAGCAGCAAAGCATTCAAGAGGTGAACAGAGAATAGAAGTTTGGAAAATCTGCAGCCTGATGATGCAATAGAAAATAAAACCCCATTTTCTGAAGAGAAATTCAAGCATGCTGCAGAAATTAGCATGAGCAACAAGAAGCCAAATGTTAATTGCCAAGAAAATGGGAAAAATGTCTCCAGGACATGTCAGAGACCTTTGTGGCAGCCCCTCCCATCACAGGCCTGGCGGCCTAGGAGGAAAAAAGGTTTTGTGGGGTGAGCCCAGGGCCCTCTTGCTCTGTGCATCTTCAGGACATGGTGCCCTGTATCCCAGCTGGTTCAACTTCAGCCATGGCTAAAAGAAGCCAAGATACAGCTTAGGCCGTTGCTTCAGAGGGTGTTACCTCAGAGTCCTGGCAACTTTCATGTGGTGTTGGGCCTGTGGGTGCACAGAAGTCAGTAACGGAGGGTTGGGAACCTCCACCTAGATTTCAGAGGATGTATGGAAATGCCTAGATGTCCAGGCAAAAGTTTGCTGCAGGGATGAAGCCCTCATGGAGAATTTCTGCTAGGGCAGTGCAAAGGAAAATGTGGGGTGTGAGCCCCCAGAGTCCCCACTGGGGCACTGCCTAGTGGAGTGTTGAGAAAAGGGCCACTGTTTTCCAGACCCAAGAATGGTAGAGCTACTGACAGCTTACACCGTGTGCCTGGAAAAGCCACAGATACTCAAGGACAGCCAGTGAAAGCAGCCAGGGGGGCAGGGGAATTGGACTCTGCCGAACTACAGGGATGGACCTGTCCAAGGCCCTGGGAGCCCACCTTTTGCATCAGCATGACTTGGATGTGAGACATGGAGTCAAAGATCATTTTGGAACTTTAAGGTTTAATGACTGCCCTATTGGATTTTGGACTTGCATGGGGCTTATAGCCCCTTTGTTTTGGCCAATTTCTTCCATTTGGAATGGGTATATTTACCCAATGCCTGTATCCCCATTGTATTTAGGAAGTAACTAACTTACTTTTTATTTTACAGGCTTATAAGTGGAAGGGACTTGCATTGTTCTAGATGAGACTTTGGACTTGGACTTTTGGGTTAATGCTGGAATGAGTCAAGACTTTGGGGTACTGTTGGAAAGGCATGATTGTGTTTTGGAATGTGAGGACATGAGATTTGGGAGGGGCCAGTGGTGGAATAATATAGTTTGGCTGTGTCCCCACCCAAAATGTCATTTTGAATTGTTATCCTCATAATCCCTATGTGTCAAGGGCAGAACCAGTTGGAGGTAATCAAATCATGGGGGTAGTTTCCCCCATGTTGTTCTCGTGATAATGAGTTCCCATGACATCTGATGGTTTTATAAGCATCTGGCATTTCTCCCGCTTACACTCACTCTGTCCTACTGCCCTGTGAAGAAGATGTCTGCCTTCCACCAAGATTGTCAGTTTCCTGAGGCCTCTCTAGAAATGTGGAACTGTGAGTCAATTAAACCTGTTTCCTTTATAAATTACCAAGTCTTGGGTATTTCTTCATACGAGCGTGAGAATGGACTAATACAAGGCTATATATCAATGAAACCTAACTAAGCCAGGGACATGGGTGAGAATTTTTTTTCCCAGTGTTTGACACTCAAAGTAAGAATGATTCGTAAATAGATGGTAATATGCGCAAGTAGTGGAAATTGCACTGGCAAAGATTCCATGAAGAAGGAAGAATGGCCTGTTTAAAGAATGGAAAGGATCAGGCTGGGTGCAGTGGCTCATGCCTGTAATCCCAGCACTTTGGGAGTCCAAGGCAGGTGGATTACCTGAGGTCAGGATTTCAAGACCAGCCAGGCCAACATGGTGAAACCCTCTCTGTACTAAAAATACAAAAATTATCCGGAAATGGTGGCATGTGTCTGTAGTCCTAGCTGCTTGGGAGGTCAAGGCAGGAGAATCTCTTGAACCCAGGAGGCAGAGGTTGCAGTGAGCCAAGATTCTGCCATTGCACTCCAACCTGGGCAACAGAGTGAGACTCCATCTCAAAAAAAAAAAAAAAATGGAAAGGATCCAGTATGGTTTGAATTTAAAGACAGAAGAGGAAATGGAAAGAAATAATTCTTTAGAGTTAATCAAAGATAGTACAGAGTCATGTAAACCATGCTAATAGTTTGGTCTTTATTCCAGTAATAAGAAATATCCACTAAATAGGTGGCTAAATTCATCAGTCATGTGTCCATGTTCATCATAAAGAGGTTACTCTGGCCAGCAGTTTCTATTACAATCTACCAGTCATGTTTGGCCAATTCCCACAAATCAGATGGTTGCATTTTCCCTATTATCTTCAGGTTTCTTCTTTTTGTTTATTCCTCCCTTTTATGGACTGAATTGTGTCCTCCTCTTCCCTCAAATTCGTATGTCAAAGCCTTAATCTTCAGTACTTTAGAATGACTGCAATGGAATTAGAGCCTGTAAAGAGGTAATTAATTTAAAATGAAGCCATTAGAGTAGGCCCTAATCTAATCTGACTCACTGACATTTTTATAAAAAGAAGAGATTAGGATATATAGATAAATATCAGAGTTGTCCATGAACAGAGTAAAACCATGTGAGAATACAATGAAAAGGCGGCTATCAGTAAGCCAGAGAGAAGGGCCTCAAGAGAAACTAAATCAGCTAGCACCTTGATCTTGAACTTCCAGCCCCCTAAACTGTGAGAAATAATTTTCTATTGTTGAAGCCATCCAGTCTGTAGTATTTTTATGGCAACCCTACCAAACAAATATACCCCCCTCTCTTTTTGTCTTTTCTATTTTTAAATATTAAATCTGCACCCCTGTCAGTGGAAATTATCATGATAAACCATTTGATATTGAAAAGATTGTGAGTTATTATTTTGGGGCTCCTCTAACATGCTATTTTCCAAAGGTTATTGATTATAGCTAAAATAAATTCAGTTTGGCAAACAAACATTAATGTGGTATCATGTCCTGTGACTTTGATTTTAGCAAAGCTCCTATTGAAGCCCTGGAATTCAAGCCTGAGTACTAGTTCACCATTCACAGCCTTGTAGTTGGAGCACTTGGATAGTTCTAATAATTCCTTGCATGACTCTCAATAATTAATGCTTTGGTTGTTTTGAATGTTTCAATACCAAAAAAAAAAACCTTACACCAAGTGTCAGATGTTCAAATTATAATACCAAATAGATGTTCTGCAGTAATTTACATGAAATTAATTCTATCCAGAGTTCTGGTAAAAATTAGAAACCATTTACATGCTGGGCTGTGGTAGTTTATGTGTCACTAGACCCCTGTCTCTGCAACCATTTTCTCTTAAATCTTTGCAGTCCATTAATATTTTGTACTCACTTAGTCTCTTGATGGCTCTGATGATTCTTAATTGAATTTCTCATAGGCAGTCCCAGTGGTAGGTTTGTTACAACTAACAACTAATAATGATATGCCATTATGGGTAAAATAACTACTCTCACTTTAATTATTAATAATAATAGTAATGTCTTTCTAGTTACTTCTAAGAAAACATGAAAGTACATTGATTAATTAACAGACCATTCCAGCATATAAAGCATAGTTTAAAATTTTTTTTTATGTATTTACGTTTAACTTCAGGTGCCCTGGATTGAGTTAATCATATTCCTCTAGCACCTGGAGCATTAGTACGGATCTGCCAGATCTGCCAATGAACCTCTGTATTTTATTTATGCATTTGTTTATTTTCTCATAGGCAATATTCCAAATGTGATTTTTTAAAAAAATTATTTGTTTTGGTTGTCATAAAACTTGTACACATCTTTTTTTTGCACAGTTGCTATATTCTCTATGTGTTCTATTTTGTTTTCTTTCAGCAGTGTTTCTTAGGACCATTTTTCTTTTTTAAAAACGAATGAAATTGTTTATAACCTCTCATTTGGGAAAAGAATACAAACAACAAAGCCTCTATGGTATATTATGCTTACTGCTCCCCTGGTCTGATGTCCAATTAAGCAAGTGATGCTCCTATGCTACCTATGTATGTATAAATGAAAGCAAGTGATTCTACCTATGTAGAATGAGACAAATCCCAAGCAATATCTTCTTAATGTAACATTTTTCAAATTTAACATTTTAGTAGCTCAGGTACACATTTCTTTTGGAGTACTAAATCTCAAAAGCCCATTGAAAGCTGTCTTGGGTAAGAGAAACATGTATCTGATTAAGACTAAAAATGTTATTAAAGAAGGTAGAGAGAGGTACTGGCCAACCAACGTAATTATAGTTTCTTGCCTTTTTTAAACAACTGGAAGGATTTGACCATGCATGTGCTTCTATTGGAGAGTAGAGTAGGTAAGCATCAGTTAAGATTCATTCTATGGCTTCACAGAAGACAGTAAATAGCAGCAGGGCACTCAAAGTAACCCCAGAGTAGGGCTCGTGTCTATGGACTTGGGTTATATGGGTATTAGTCTAAGCTAGGAATAGCAATATTTGGCTGCATCTATTCAGGAGATGCAGGAAAGTGGAGAGTAAAACACAGAAGCAGTTCATCTCAAATCTTTTGTATCTACCTAGAAAAGGAAGTAAATGGCTAATGGTATAGGTAAGGTGTTTTGGCTTTGCAGATTGAAATTGCCCATAAATTCAATGCATTTACATGAAATCTGTCTGCAAATGTTATGGGCATTATTTATATAATTTTTTCTGTTACTTAAAACTATTAATATAATTCAATGATAAGAGTGCTTGTCTTGATTTCAGGTATTCTGAGAAAAGCTAGAAGAGAAAATAGAATGAGACACATCCCAAGCAGTATCCTCTTAAGTAGATTTTCCAGGGGGATTAATGTGCAAACAGCCACATGTTTTATGTACTTATGGATAAGTAGATGAATGCTCTCTGTGGGTGGTACAGCGTGTTTGGCCAGAATAAGGGTCAGCAGACTACAGTGTGTGGGTTATATTTGGCCAGCTGCCTGTTTTTATAAATGGGGTTTTATTGGAACACAGCAACACTCATTTGTTTACAGATCAGCTATGGCTGCTTTTGTGATAAAATTGCAGTGCTGAGTAGTTGCAACAGAGACTGTTTGGCTTGCAAAGCCTAAAATATTTATTCTGGCTTTTTACAAGCTTGACAATCCTTTGACTAAATCAAACCAAGTCAAGTTTCAGAAGTGAGTATAAACCAAAATGAAGAAGACTGGATAAAAAACAAAATTTGAGAAGAGGTTAATCTTAACTCTTAGCATCATATTGAGGGTGAATCCTGACAATCTAGGGAAAGTAGAAGTAGATTGATAATGGGCCTGACTTAGGGATGAATAGATAAAGAACCCAAATGTAGGTATGTAGATTAGAAATAATCTGTACAGACAATGAGCTAAGTTGAATTTTGTAGCTTTCATGTGTGATTTGGCAACTATTTGCAGTCTTCATATTTTGGTTATTGAAATGACAAAGAAGTTGTAATTGAGTCTGTAGGCACTTAGTTTCTGAGTATATCCTCAGAATTTAGGTGCTAGGAACAAAGGCACAAAGTTAATGCAACATCAGTTTATTTGCTAACAAAAATTGCAGGTGAGCAAGGCTAGCCCTTCATATTCACTGTATATTTCTTATTTTCACATGTCATGTGCTCTGGTAAGTGACTATAAAGGAAAAATGGTAGGTTTCCTTATTCTAGTGAAAAAAAACACACTCAACTTGGGGTGGAAGTATGGTCTGAGAATTACTCTTTTAGGAACAATATTTTCAGCAGAAAAGGTTATCTCCTAGAAAAAATTATGAAGACCCTTTGTGAATGCTCCTGAGTTTCTAGTGTTCCTCTAGCCAAACCCTCTGTATGAAAACCTCAGCTCATTTCAAACAAGCTGATTTCCAGTTAGAAGTCAGGTAAAGAGAAATTTAAATGAATTCAAATACAAGACATCTAATTATAAGCCTGAATTAAATATGCCAATAACAAGTATTAACTGCCCTCATAAGGCTGGGACTGTGAGTATAGGTAAGGAGGATACTGAAGAGTAGTTCTACATTCATTTCAGTTAAGAATAAAATTTCTAAAAACCTCTCTCTTAAATTATAATTGCCTGACCTTTAGTTAGATGTCAAACATAAAGTCTGAAGTTTTACACTGGCATATTATTATCTAATATTTTATAGTGGCATCTTTTTAAAAGGATAAGGGTATAAATGGATGGAGTATATATTTTGAGAAGACAGGAATCCGACTGATTGTTACATGCGGTGAAGTGTTTATATGGTCTAACTTTGGAAAGTGATTTTAATGTTAAAGGCAGAAAAATTAAACACATTTCCTGAAATGCCTCAATTTTAACTAGAAACTTCATTGACAAATTCTAAGAAGCAGCTTCACAGTTAAGCAAAACTTTCTAATTTCTGTGTACCTGTGCTTTGCAATAATATATATGTAATAGTCTGGAGAAAGTTGTATGCAGTTTTGGGCTTCTGTTTATGGTCATGTGACCATTTGGAATCTTAGGTGAGTTTGTAATATTAATTAGAAATATGTGTGATTGTTATTACTTTGAATGAAGAAAGAGCAACTTCTAGATTATTTTAAAAGTTTCAAAATATTTCTTACTTTAACAGAATAATCATAGATATTTTTATAAGATTTATTTAGTTAAAGTAAAAGTAGAGGACAATGAATTAGAAAGAATTGAAGGGATCAGGGCCTCCTGTTTCTGCTTTTGACACGGTGCTGGATATAAAGAATGCTGGACACATATGAAACCAGGCTAATATTATGAAATAAAGAGGCTCTTTTCAGCCATTATTGCTGTAGTTCAATACTCACTGAGGAGGCTGAGCTTGGCAGTGAGAGCTGGGCTGGCTAAACTTAAATGGGAAAGGCTGCGGTGCCACTATGATTAGATTAATCCTATTTATAGAAATATTATTTATAATTCATATTTTAGCACCTCGGGGAAGAACAGCAACAAAGTCTAAAATCCTAATGACGCTTTGGCAATACGTGGAATATGATACTTACGACTATTGCTAATCCTTGTATTTCATCTTTAATTTCAGGGATAGTATCTTTTTTGTTAGCAATTTCTAATCTTCAAACAAAACTCATTTCTCACCCAAAAACGTCAATACTATTAATGTGAAGATCTCCTTTAGTGTCCTCTAACATCCCATGATCCTCAGTAATAGGCCTCAGCTTTCAGCCATAGCTTTGAATAATAGCAGTGTTCACTTTGCAATGTTAACGCCTGTCCTCCTAGGCCACATTGAGTTCCAGGGATTAGCAACATGAACATATCTTTTTATGTCACCTATTTTAATGCTGTGGTCTGAATGTTTGTGTCCCTGCTAAAATTCATATATTGAAACCTAATCATCAAGATGATGGTCTTACAAGGTAGGGCTTTGTGAAGTGATTAGGTCATTGATGGCTCCACCCTTGTGAATGGGATTAAAGATCTTATAAAAGAGGCTCATAGAGCTGCTTTCTCCTGCTATGTGAGGACCATCTTTGAAAAAGAAAATAGGCAGTCACCAGAGACCATATCTGCTGGAATTAACCAGCCTTAAGTTCTTGATTATAGCATCCTGAAATGATTAGGACACCTCATGAAGCCACTTTGTTTTATTTGGCTTTTTTATAAGGCAACTACAGAAAAAAAGTAACCAAATTCATCTTATTTTTTAAAGCAAGTTGTCAATGCTGTGGAATAAATTTTCAATATCTATTCAAACTAAACAGGGTTTTCCAATAAGTCATGCCTATTTTCTTTTTTCATTTTATAAAATAATCTACCTAAATAAAAATAAAAGCCTATGTTAAGAGCATTTTTTTTTTCTAATTTTTTTTTCAGTTTACAGTTCAACATGATAATAGCTTGGGATTTGTTTCTCCTTCATGTGGGTATATATTGACCCTCACAGTTTCTGGAAGCAGACAAAGTTGTAATTGTACTTACTTGGGAAAGACTACTTAACTTTTCTAGGTCTTAATTTTCTCATTTATAAAGTGGGATGTTGTGAGCCTCAATTGAGGCAATGTACATGCAATATAAAGATGATTAGGACATTATTTACTTATTTTTATTTATTTCATTTTTTATTATACTTTAAGTTCTGGGATACATGTGCAGAATGTGCAGGTTTGTTACATAGGCATACATGTGCCATGGTGGTTTGCTACACCCAACAACCCGTCATCTACATTAGGTATTCCTCCTAATGCTATCCCTCCCCTTGACCCTTACCCCCGACACGCCCTTGTGTGTGATGTTTACCTCTCTGAGTCCATGTGTTCTCATTGCATGTGTCTTTATAGTAGAATGATTTATAGTCCTTTGGGTATATACTCAGTAATGGGATTGCTGGGTCAAATGTATTTCTGATTCTAGATCCTTGAGGAATCGCCACACTGTCTTCCACAATGGTTGAACTAATTTACATTCCCACCAACAGTGTAAAGGCATTCCTATTTCTCCACATCCTTTCCAGCATCTGTTGTTTCCTGACTTTAATGATGGCCATTCTAACTGCAGTGAGATGGTATCTCATTGTAGTTTTGATCTGCATTTCTCTAATGACCAATGATGATGAGCATTTTTTCATATGTTTGTTGGCTGCATAAATACCTTCCTTTGAGAAGTGTCTGTTCATATCCTTTGCTCACTTTTTGATGGGGTTGTTTGTTTTTTTCTTGTAAATTTGTTTAAGTTCCTTGTAGATTCTGGATATTAGCCCTTTGGCAGATGGATAGATTGCAAAAACTTTCTCCCATTCTGTAGGTTGCCTGTTCAGTCTGATGAGAGTTTCTTTTGCTTTTATTTTTATCCTGAGACTTTGCTGGAGTTGCTTATCAGCTTAAGGAGTTTTGGGCCTGAGACAATGGGGTTTTCTAAATATAAAATCATGTCATCTGCAAACAGTGACAATTTGACTTCCTCTCTTCCTATTTGAATATGCTTCATTTCTTTCTCTTGCCTGATTGCCCTGGCCAGAACTTTCAATACTATGTTGAATAGGAGTGGTGAGAGAGGGCATCCTTATCTTGTGCTGGTTTTCAAAGGGAATGCTTCCAGTTTTTGCCCATTCAGTATGATATTGGATTTGGGTTTGTCATAGATAGCTCTTATTATTTTGAGATATGTTCCATCAATACCTAGTTTATTGAGTGTTTTTATCATGAAGGTGTGTTGAATTTTATTGAAGGTCTTTTCTGCATCTATTGAGATAATTATGTGGTTTTTGTCATTGGTTCTGTTTATGTGATGGATTACCTTTATTGATTTGCGTATGTTGAACCAGCCTTGCATCCCAGGGATGAAGCCTACTTGATTATGGTGGATAAGCTTTTTGATGTGCTGCTAGATTCAATTTGCCAGTATTTTATTGAGGATTGTTGCATTGATGTCCATCAGGGACAATGGCCTGAAATATTCTTTTTTTTTGTGGTGTCTCTGCCAGGTTTTGGTATAAGGATGATGCTGGCCTCATAAAAAGAGGGAGGATTCCCTCTTTTTCTATTGTTTGGAATAGTTTCAGAAGGAATGGTATCAGCTCCTCTTTGTACCTCTGGTAGAATTTGGCTGTGAATCTGTCTGGTCCTGCGTTTTTTTGCTTGGTAGGCTATTAATGACTGCCTCAATTTCAGAATTTGTTATTGGTCTATTCAGGGATTCGACTTCTTCCTGGTTTAATCTTCGGAGGGTGTCTGTGTCCAGGAATTTATCCATTTCTTCTAGATTTTCTAGTTTATTTGTGTAGAAGTGTTTGTAGTATTCCCTGATGGTAGTTTGTATTTCTGAGGGATCAGTGGTGATACCCCCTTTATCATTTTTATTGTGTTTATTTGATTGATCTCTCTTTTCTTCTTTATTAGTCTGGCTAGCGATCTATCTATTTTGTTAATCTTTTCAAAAAACCAACTCCTGGATTCATTGAGTTTTTGAAGGGTTTTTCGTGTCTCTATCTCCTTCAGTTGTGCTCTGATCTTAGTTATTTCTTGTCTTCTGCTAGCTTTTGAGTTTGTTTGCTCTTGCTTCTCTAGTTCTTTTAATTGAGATATTAGGGTGTCAGTTTTAGATCTTTCCTGCTTTCTCTTGTGGGCATTTAGTTCTATAAATTTTCCTCTAAACACTGCTTTAGCTATGTCACAGAGATTCCGGTATGTTGTGTCTTTGTTCTCATTGGTTTCAAAGAACTTATTTATTTCTGCCTTAATTTTGTTATTTACCCAGTAGTCACTCAGGAGCAGGTTGTTCAGTTTCCATGTAGTTGAGCCATGTTGAGTGAGTTTCTTAATCCTGAGTTTTAATTTGATTGCACTGTGGTCTGAGGGACCACAGTTGTTATGATTTCCATTCTTTTGCATTTGCTGAGGAGTGTTTTATTTCCAATTATGTGGTCAATTTTAGAATAAGTGCTTTGTGGTGCTGAGAAGAATGTATATTCTGTTGATTCGGGGTGGAGAGTTCCGTAGATGCCTATTAGGTCCACTTGGTCTAGAGCTGAGTTCAAGTCCTGAATATCCTTGATAATATTCTATCTCATTGATCTGCCTAACATTGACAATGGGGTGTTAAAGTCTCCCACTATTATTGTTTGGGAGTCTAAGGCTCTTTGTAGGTCTCTAAGAACTTGCTTTATGAATCTGGGTGCTCCTGTATTGGGTGCATATATATTTAGGATAGATAGCTCTTCTTGTTGCATTGATCCCTCTTCCATTGTGTAATGCCCTTCTTTGTTTTTTTTTTGATCTTTGTTGATTTAAAGTCTGTTTTATCAGAGACTAGGATTGCAACCCCTCCTTGTTTGTTGCTTTCCATTTGCTTGGTAAATATTCCGCCATCCCTTTGTTTTGAACCTATGTGTGTCTTTGCACATGAGATGGGTCTCCTGAATACAGCATACAGATGGGTCTTGATTCTTTATCCAGTTTGCCAGTGTGTGTCTTTTAATTGGGGCATTTAGTCCATTTTCATTTAAGGTTAATATTGTTATGTGTGAATTTGATCCTGTCATTATGATGCTAGCTGCTTATTTTGCACATTAATTGATGAAGTTTCTTCATAGTGTTGACGGTCTTTACATTTTGGTATGTTTTTGCAGTGGCTGGAACAGGATTTTCCTTTCCATATTTAGTGCTTCCTTCAGGAACTCTTGTAAGGCAGACCTGGTGGTGACAAATCCCTCAGCATTTGCTTCTCTCTAGAGGATTTTATTTCTCTTTCACTTATGAAGCTTAGTTTGGCTGCCTATGAAATTCTGGTTTGAAAATTATTTTCTTTAAAAATGTTGAATATTGGTCCCCATTCTCTTCTGGCTTGCAGGGTTTCTGCAGGGGATCCGCTGTTAGTCTGATGGGCTTCCCTTTGTGGGTAACCTGACCTTTCTCTCTGGCTGACCTTCACATTTTTTTCCTTCATTTCAACCTTGGTGAATTTGACGATTATGTGTCTTGGGGTTGCTCTTCTCGAGGAGTATCTTTGTGGTGTTCTCTGTATTTCCTGAATTTGAATGTTGGCCTATCTTGCTAGGTGGGGGAAGTTCTCCTGGATAATATCCTTAAGTGTCTTTTCCAGCTTGGTTCCATCCTCCCTGTCAGTTTCAGGTACACTAATCAAATGGAGTTTTGTTTTTTTCACATATTCCCATATTTCTTGGAGGCTTTGTTCCTTTTCATTCTTTTTTCTCTAATATTGTCTTCATGCTTTATTTCCTTAAGCCGATCTTCAGTCTCTGATATCCTTTCTTCTGTTTGATAGATTTGGCTATTGATACTTGTGTATGCTTCACAAAGTTCTCGTACTGTGTTTTTCAGTTCCATCAGGTCATTTATGTTGTTCTCTAAAGTGGTTATTTTAGTTAGCAGTTCCTGTAACTTTTCATCAAGGTTCTTAGCTTCCTTGCACTGGGTTAGAACAAATTCCTTTAGCTCGGAGGAGTTTGTTATTACCCACCTTCTGAAGCCTACTTCTGTCAATTTGTCAAACTCATTCTCCATCCAGTTTTGTTCCCATGCTGATGAGGAGTTGGGATCCTTTGGAGGAGAAGAGGCATTCTGGCTTTTGGAATTTTCAACATTTTTGCACTGGCTTTTCCTCATCTTTGTGGATTTATGTAGTTTCGATCTTTGATGCTGACGACCTTTGGATGGGGTTTTTGCATGGGTGTCCTTTTGGTTGATGTTGATGTTATTACTTTCTGTTTGTTAGTTTTCCTTCTAACAGTCAGGCCACTCTACTGCAGGTGTGCTGGAGTTTGCTGGAGTTCCACCCCAGACCCTGTTTGCCTGGGTATCACGAGCAGAGGCTGCAGAATAGCAAAGATTGCTGCCTGCTCCTTCCTCTAGAAGCTTCATCCCAGAGGGGCACCTGCCAGATTCCAGCTGGAGCTCTCCTGTATGAGGCGTCTGTTGACCCCTGCTGGGTGGTGTCTTTCAGCCAGGAGGCACGGGGGTCAGCAACCCACTTGAGGAGGCAGTCTGTCCCTTAGCAGAGCTCAGGCGCTGTGCTGGGAGATCCACTGCTCTCTTCAGAGCCAGCAAGCAGGAATGTTTAAGTCTGCTGAAGCTGCACCCACAGCTGCCCCTTTTCTCAGGTGCTCTGTCCCTGGGAGATGAGAGTTTTATCTATAAGCCCCTGACTGGGGCTGCTGCCTTTCTTTCAGCAATGTCCTGCCCAGAGAGGAGGAATCTAGAGAAGCAGTCAGGCTACAGCAGCTTTGCCACGCTGTGGTCTGTTCTGCACCCAGTTCAAACTTCCTCGCAGCTTTGTTTACACTGTGAGGGAAAATTCGCTTACTCAAGCCTCAGTAATGGTAGACACCCTTCCCCCCACTAAGTTGGAGCATCCCAGGTAGACTTCAGACTGCTGTGCTGGCAGCGAGAACTTCAAGTCAGTGAATCTTAGCTTGCTTGGCTCTGTGGAAGTGGGATCTGCTGAGCAAGATCACTTGGTTCCCTGGCTTCAGCCCCCTTTCCAGGGGGAGTGAATGATTCTGTCTCGCTGGGATTCCAGGTGCCACTGGGGTGTGGAAAAAAAAAACTCCTGCAGCTAGCTCAGTGTCTCCCCAAACGGCCACCCAGTTTTGTGCTTGAAACCCAGGGCCCTGGTTGTATAGGCACCTGAGGGAATCTCCCGGTCTGCGGGTTGTGAGAACTGTGGGAAAAGTATAGTATCTGGGCTGTATAGCACTGTCCCTCACGGCACAGTCCTTCACGGCTTCCCTTGGCTAGGGGAGGGAGTTCCCCCACCCCTTGTGCTTCCTGGGTGAGGCAATGCCCCACCCTGCTTCTGCTTGCCCACTCTGGGCTGCACCCACTGTCTAACCAATCGCAGTGAGATGAGCCATCTTGCCCTGGAAACCGATATTTTATAAAAGTATGCAACTGGAGGACCATAGGAAAAAAATATACTTCCTGATTTTGAAAACAAGGGAAAATTTCTCAGAAAAGGTGATAGTAGAAAAACAAAAACCAAAATGATAAACTGAGCCATTTTACTTTTTTAGAATAATATTATAAATGCATGATAGATGAGTGATTCAATTCAGAGAAGTAAAGCACACAATTGAACACATATGCAGGACAAGAAAGCCAGAGATTGTGTCTGGAGGAGCTTAGAAGCAGATAAAATACTACATTCAGAATTGACCATGAAATATTAAAATAGCTGAAGCAGGGCACATACCAGAAACTCAATGATTCTGGGATAAGAAGGCTACAAATGGTGTTAAGGACATATATAAGACTAACATTTTGTGGAATTCCTTTTCCATAAGCAAAGTGTCTTTTTAATATTGTATTGTTCTCTATTGAATTAGATTATACATGGAAAGCAAGCTTGGAAGTGGAGAAATGTTGTTTATCTATTCTGGACTACTTTTTCTCTATGTATGAGTGACAGCTTGTAATAATTAGGGAGTTAACTATGCAAGAATTATAGTGATATGTCATTGCATATGTCAACTCACAATTCTGATAAAGTCTTGTAATCCTTTCCTAACTCTGGGCTAAATATTCACTGGGAGCATTTCATGCTTTACAATAGCACCTGTGAATTACAAATAACTGAGGAGCTTGAGTGAAACACAAACTCATATTTGCCTCTTTGTGTGGTCTCACTGTGCTGCTGCCATACACATAACCTCCACATCCTGATCTTTTGTTGCTGTTGTTATTTTGTGAGATGTAAGAGCCAATGCAAACCTTATCATAGATTCAATGAATCTCATAATTGAAAAAGACTTTCAAGATCATCTAGTTCAATATTTCAGCCAAATAATAGATTCTTTTTCTTGCATGTTTCAGAAATTGGTAGAGGTCTCCATAACCCCTGCCATTCCTGATCCCTGAAGTTTTGACTAGCTAAAAGTTTGACAATTTTGTTTATATTTTCAAAAAATCAGTTATTTGTTTTGATCATATTTTGTAATGTTTTTCTATTGTCTATGTTGTTCATTTATTGTCTGACCTTTATTTCCTTCTTCCTACTAATTTTGGGGTTAGTTTGTTATTGTTTTTCTAATTCTTTGAGGTGCAGTGTTGTGTTGTTTGAGATCTTTCTTCTATTTTGATGAATATATTTATTGCCTATAAACTTCCTTCTTAGAACTGATTTTGCTATATCCCTAGGTTTTGGTATACTGTGTTTTCATTTTAGTTTGTCTCAACAAATAGTTTAAATTTATCTTTTAATTTCTTCATTAACCCTTTGGTTATGCAGGAGCATGTCATGTAGTTTCCATATATTTGTAAACTTTCTGAAATTCCTTTTATTAATGATTTCTAGTTCTGTAGCATTGTGGTCAGAAAAGATGCTTGGTATGATCTTATCTTATTAAACTTAAGACTTGCTTTGTGGCCTCATATACAATTTATCCTGGAGAATGAGCCATGTGCAGTTGAGAAGTATGTGTATTCTGTAGCTGTAAGATGGAATGTATTGTTAATGTTTGTTAGGTCTATTTGGTCTATGATACAGTTTAAGCCTGATGCTTGTGTTCTTGATATTTCTTGTAATCTGTCCATTGTTGAAAGTGGGATGTTGAAATTTCCTACTAATATTGTTTGCAATGTACCTCTTCGTTTAGATCTAATAATATTTGTTTTATATTTTAGGTGCATATATTTACATTCATTATATTATCTTGCTAAACAGTTCCCTTTATCATTTGATAATGATCATTTATGGTTTATTTTTAGTTTTTTTTTTTTTTTTCTTAAAGTCTATTTTATCTGATATAAGCATAGCAACTTCTGCTTGCTTTTGGTTTACATTTGCCTGGTGCATGGAATGTCTTTTTTATCCATTTACTTTTAGTCTATGTGTGTCCTTACAGGGGAAGTGGATCTCTTATAGTCAGCAAATACAGTTGGATTTTGTTTCTGCCATTTTGTTAATTATTTTCTGATTTTTTGTTTTTAAAATTCTTTGTTACTTTTTCCTCTCTTGTTTACCATAGTGGTTTGGTGGTTTTCTGTTGTGGAAAGCTTTCATTCTTTTTAAAATTTTATATCTATCTGTTGTAATTCCTTTCTTTGTAGTTACCATGGTGCTAACAATAACTTTTTAGAAATAGTAGACTATTTTAAGTGACAACAACTTAGCTTTGGTAACCTAAAAATGCTCTAGACTTCTATCCTCTTCATCATAATTTATATTTTTGTTTTCTTAATTTACATTTTTATGTATTATCTATTTCTTAAAAACTGATGGTAGCTGTAATTATTTTTTATCCTTTGAATTTTATCTGTCATACTTGAGGATTGAAATATTTCTATAGCACCTTTCCAATACTGGAGTATTCTGAATTTGATTATGAATTTACCTGTACTACTGAGTTTTATATTTGCATGTGTTTTGAAGATAGTAATTATTGTCCTTTTGCTTTCAGTTGTAGCACTCTCTTAAGCATTCCTTATAAGTCCGTTCTAGTGGTGATGAATTCCTTCAGGTCTTGCTGGGATGAACTTTATTTTTCTTTCATTTTTGAAATGTAGCTTTGCTGGGTATAGTATTCTTGGATAGCAGTTTTTTTTTTTTTCTTTTAGCACTTTGAATATATCATCTCATTCTCTCCTAGCCTGCAAGGTTTCTGGTGAAAAATTTGCTGATTGTGCAATGGGGATTTACTTACATGTTACTTGACATTTTTGTTGCTTTTAGAATTTCCTCTTGGTCTTTGACTTTTGATAATTTGATTATAATATGCCTCAGAGAGAGGTTTCTTAGTTGAATTTATTAGGGAAATTTTGAGCTTACTAAACCTGGATGTTCAATGATACCTCCAAAGACTTGGTAAGTTTTCAGCTATTATGTTAAACATGGTTTCTGTGTCTTTCTTTACCTTTTCTCCTTCTTGAGATCCTATAAGCTGAATATTTGTTCAATTGTGTCATATGAGCTACGTAGGCTTTCTTCATTCTTTTTTATTTCTTATTTTTTCTCTGACTGGGTTATTTCAACAGACCTGTCTTTAAGTTCAGAAATTTCTTCTTTTGCTTGATTTAGTCTGTTGATGAAGCTTTCAATTGTACTCTTAATTTCTCTCATTGCATTTTTTTTCAGCTCCAAGATTTCTGCTTGTTTATTGGTGATATTTATCTTTTTCGGCATTTCATAAATTTTCTTTTCTTTGTGGTAATTACTGGAGAATTACTGTGTTTTATTGGAGGTGTCATGTTTTCCTGTTTTTGTTTTATGTTTCTTATGTCTCTAACTTGATAACTGTGCGTCTGGTGGAATAGTTGCCTCTTCCAGTTTTATGGAGTATCTTTCATACCAAAAGTCATTTTTCTGTGGAAGAGTTATAGGGTGTTGGTTAGGTAGGATGCTTTGTGTTTGGTTCTGGGTGGACATAGTGGTGTAGGATTTGTGCAGTTTTTTCATTTGTCATCAATGTCAGTGATGTCTGAGTGCCTCAGTGGCCTAGGCTGCAAGAGTATGTGTTGGTAGTGGCACGACTTTGCAGAGGCAGAGCCACTGGGCTGGTTCTCAGGCTGATGGTATGCACACATGGTAGGTTTGCTGGCTCAGTGTCAGAGCTACTGAACTGGTTTTCAGGTGAAGGATGTACATGCATGGTGGTTCTCCTGGCTGGGGTTGGACTCTTTGTTGTGCAGAACTGCCTTTTCCTTAGGAGGCAGGTGCTATGTGAGCTCAGGCATCAGGATCATGGTCATTCTGTTCGCCCTAAGCTCTGAGTAGCTGATGGCACTGCAGCCACCCATGTGAGTGTCCTGGAATGACAGTGGAGCCTCAGGAATGGAGTGACATTACGGCTATTTGCCTCCAGAGCAGGATACCGTCTAGCAGTGACATCAGTTTCAAGATATCACCATGCCTTATCAGCTTGGGGGTTGGAGGTGTGTGCAATGTATGCTCCTACTCCAGAGCAATGCAGCCATGTGAACCCCTGAATGCTCCCCAATCTGGGCCCATGGCCTGTGAGGGCTGTGGGATTGTCCTGTAGCAAGAACTGCAGGTGTTTCTGTTGCTAACAGGGGCTTTTGGGAGCCTACTGCTTATCTTTTTTCTGCAAAGAAAAGTTCCTCCTTATTTGAAGTCAATCCTAGTGGAGGAGAGGTGTGGCAGAGGCAGGGTGTTTTGCTCTCCTTTCTATACTGCCATTACGGGTTTCTGTGTTCCATAGGAATTCTGCCACTACCTTGCTGTACTCCAGAACTCTCCGTAGGGAACTCCAGTAGAAATGTAGTTGTTTATTTGTTCTTTAGGTCCTTTTTTAGGGGATGAAATCAGTGCCAGGCACCTCTAGGCAACCATCTTGATGTCATTCTGAAGTTATGACTATGTCACTCCCCCATATTTTGGATTAATCTAATTGTTAAATGTTTCTCTGATTTAATATAAAAGTATAATTGTTTTTCTCTGCAGTGACTATCTAGGTCTTCATTCTTTCTATGAAGAAACACAGAATAAGTCAAATCTGTATTTCCCTTACAAACTTTTAATAACTTTAAGAACTCTTTTGATTCTGTATCCAAATCTACTCTTTTCCTAGTGAAATACATGTGATTCCTCCTTCTCTAATACATATTCTTAGTGCTTGTTTTTGGAGTGAATACATATGGCATGGTTTAGATCCTCCATCATCTACTTTTCTTTCTTCTGGATTCCATACAATATTTTATTTTTATGTTTCTTTTAAAATACCATGCCCAGAATGAAACATTATGCCCCAGATTTTTTTCTGACTTTCCTAGAGTAGACCAAAAGTATTTGCTTTATTGTGACAGAATCATTACTTCTATTATTATGGCCTAAGATTTCATTAGGTTTTGGCCAGCAAATCATATTGTTGCTACGTATTGAACTTAAATCCAAGAGCTCTCATATGTCTTTAACTTACAGTATTCCATTTAGTCCAGCTCTCTCCTTGTGTCCATGAGTAATCAGAACAGTAGAGAGTAGTACTAATGTAATATTTGGAAAAATTCTGAAATGGATTAAAACATTATAGATATGTTTATTATTGGTTTATGAAATTATTATATTATTAATTCCATTATCACCACTCCCAAAATGTACCCTACAAATCTATCACCTAAAAAAGCTACTGTTTACTTATGGTGCCTTAGAGAAAATTAACATCATGCCTAAACCAAAAGGTCTGCTTAGCTAGAATTACAACCCTTGAGTTAAAGAACATTTAGCCTAATTTGTATTTCTTTTGTTAACCAGGAATTCATGGTCAGTGGAGATTGATAGTGCATTTTGCAATCTATTCAACTTAATTTTTACCTGATCTAACGTCACCTGCTCTGCTATGCTGTGGAGACTTAGAGTAAGCTACTCCATTAAGCAATCCTGCTGTGATATTTCTAATGTTTAGAAGTTTAATGTATTTCCGCAATATATATCCACAGGTGTCTGGTGAGTATCTATTTATTCATCTGTGGTAAGCTGGTTACCGATTTCTACTAGTATATTATAAGCTTGAATTATTTTTTTTTGAATCACATCTTCCATCATTAGAACTGTAACCTGCCACAGTGGTCTCCCTTAGTTAATGACCTAATTTTTATGAGATTCTTTTAATAATTTTCTTTTGTCCCCATGTGTTTGTTTATTGCCTCACATAAAATTATATTAGCTAAAGATTAAAGAATTATGTCTTGAACAATGAGAAACATGCCTACCAACCTAGGACTTTTGAATAGTGAATAAATTGGATGAGGAATCTAGGAAACAAAGGAGGGTACATATGTGTGAAATTTTGATGGGATAAAATTTTACTATTAAAAGTTCTGTATAACTAAGGTACACACACATACATGCACACATATCAAGATGTAATGTAATAGAGCACAGCAAGTCTGCCGTGACCCAGATAATTGAGCCGAGGCTTTGATAAACAGGGACGATGCATTTAAGGGCAAAACATGAGCATGGTTATTTAAGGCAATATCAATATCTCTGCCACACCCTTGATATGACAAAGAACAGAGAGCTAGATGTGATTGAGTTATTATTTCAAAAATATGTGCAGTGTATACTGAAGGGGGATTATACTACTCCCCCGGGGCCTCCAGCCACACCACTAGTCCTATTGACATCTGAACTGGCCATGTTGCTTAATTGAATGTCAGCAGAATTGATGTGTGCCCCTTTCAAGTAGCAATAGGAACCATTCTGTGATTCTGTCTCTCTCTTGTTTCTATTGTAAGATCAATATGTTCCTTATAGTGGCTATTCCTTCATCTCTTGTCTCAAAATAAACAGGAGGTAGAAGAAATCATTTCTGACCCATGTCAGATAAGAATGTAAAAAAGAAATTATTATTGTTATAAGCTATCACATAATATGTGCTTCACCATTTATAAAGTTACCTTTCAGTGTTCAGAGCTGTGTGTCAGAACAAAAGCACTTATGCCTAATTAAGTAATAACCACATAATTGACAATTACAGGTCACATATAATATAAACATTTTCTAAGTAAGTATTTGTAATTGTATTAGCAGAAAATAGTGATTGTCTATTAGATGTAATATATGCCTTAATTAGAATAGTGAGCACGAAGCATATTCTTGGAAAATTGGTAAGGATAATGTAATCAAACTATCATTTAAGTAGTAAAACTACAATAAACTTCAAATCATTCAATTGTTAGATTCCTAATTTATAAGATAAAAAATTTAGTCAGCTGAATGGTGCTACAAAGATTGTGTCTACTTCCTAATCCCTGGAACCTGTGAATAGTACTTTATGTGGCAAAGAGTAAATATCTTATTTGGCAAAAGATGTGATTAAAGTTCTTGAGAGGAAGCACTTATCCTGGATTATCTTTGATGGCCCTAAATGCAACCAATGTTTTCTTATATAAGATAGGCAGAGAAAGTTTTGAGATAGACACAAAGGGAAGGTTACGTGAAGACAGAGCCACAAACAGATGCAGCTACAAGCCACGGAATGCTAACAGCCACTGGAAGCTGGAATGAAAAAACAAAACAAAACAAAACAAAAAACACCTCCCTTTAAATACTTGAGGAACAATGGCCCTGCTGACAATCTGATTTTGGAGTTTTGGTCTCCAGAACTGTATGACAATAAATTTCTGTTGTTTTTAAGCTGCCAAGTTTGTGGAGATTCGTTACAACAGCCTTGGGAGACTAATATCCATGGTAAACCAAACAGATCACAAATTCTGGGGACTTTTTAAGTATACAGGTTTATAGGCCTGGAGATTAGAGTTCAAATAAATCTACAGTGGGACACATGTTTGTATATTTTCAACAATTTCTTTAAGAAACGGGAATACTGTAAATCTTAATACATTTTGGGAGGAATATTTGGAATGGGTAACACAAAGAAATTCTTGTGAGTACATATGAAGTAATGAATAGCTTACTGAGTAAACATTACAAGTTCATGTCTCCAGTGATTCAGCATACAACTTCCAGGCACATCTCACTATTTCTTATTTCTGAACATCATGCATATTTTTAAAAAAAAACTAAAATGTACTTACTCTTTTTTAATGATTAATTTTACAAATAACATAATCAGCACCCCACACCCCAAAATGATCAATAAACTATTATTAAACACGGGTTTTATAGCACATGGTGAAAAGCTCTTAAAACTGCATTTATTTATCAACAAAATGATACAGTCTTGAGAAACATCTACAATCATAGACTATTATAAACTTTGCTATTTCAAATCATATCAGAAAGCATGGAACATGTCATTCTTGTCTAGAATATCTGAGCTTCTTGGGTCACTTCGATACAGAGAAGCAGCTTTGATTTTTCAGACCAGCTTCAGTGTCTCAGATACAGGATTTTTGCACTCACAATTCTGTGTTCTTCTAACTTGTAGATTTTAAGAAAATGGAACCTGAGTCTTATTTCTCAACTTGAGCCTGATACTTACCTTTTACAAACAGGGCTACTTTGCTTTGTGCCAAACAAAACACTGCTTCATTTAAATTTTACCTAAACCCAACCCTTGGTCAAAATTCTGTAATAACCCTTACGTCTTCCTTTGTTAGGTGAGGTACTTTTTTTTCCCTCAAGTATTCTTCCTTATTCTGGCAAATTAATAATCCTAACTTGTTTGGACCCTAGGTTGGTCTTGTTGTCTTTGTCTGTTGGACTTTATTAACAGTTTGGGAAATGCTGGTAAAGAAAAAAAAAAGTACAAGTTCAGAAGAAGATAAGATTATGGAGGAATAAAGTAGTATGATGAGGAATCATTGAGAGAGAATGTGAGCTGGATACTATTGGGCATATTGGGTTTATGGAGGCAGAGATTTTAGAAGCAGCATCAGATCAACTGTGTGACCAAAGACAAATGAGGGAGCATTCAATTATTTAGCAAATCTTTATAAACTCTCCCTTTAAATGCAATAACTCACTACATCTCTTGCTTCTACACTAACCCGAGCCCTGTCTGGATTAATGCAGTAATTTTCTAATGGGTTCCTACTTCTACTTGTGCCCACCTACAGTGCATAAAACACTCAGCAGCCAGGATTACCATTCAAAATGTGAACCATGTCATATTTCACTCCTTCATAAAATCCCCCAGTGACTTCTGCTATACAAGAAATCCAAAGTCCTTCCATAGCCCATAAGGCTTTATACAATCTAGTCTCTGATGACTTCTCAGAATTTATCCCTACCAACCTTTGGGCTCACTGTGCTCCAGCTACATAAGCCTGCTGTCTCTTTCTCCATCAGCCTAAAGGTGTTTGTATGCATTGTATTCTTTGCCTAGAGACGGTAGGGGAAGAAAGGGGTTGAAAGTAGATTTTGAAGTAACTAAAGGGGCATATTCAATCACATTTATGACTTTATATATGTCATAAATGTACAGACCAAAATGCATATATCAAAAAACATCAAGTATAAGAATGAAGACTTGATTGTTGTTACAATAGTTTCTGTTCTACATGTAGTCAATAAAAATGTCATTTTAATTTATACAATATACATTTTTTACTTTTAGAAAAAAAAATCTATTTAAACAAGGAGCCCCTCAAGGTTAGTCTGTTTGACTCTTAGTAGTGCTTAAGGTGATGCTGTTCTGTGAATCATGTTCCCTTTACATTCCCATCCTCCTTTCCCACCTTATTTAAGTTATCTTAAAGGGGCAAAATTATCATCATCTTCTAAAGACAAAGCTTTCCTATGGCACTACAAATATTGTATAATGATGGAACTGAGATGAAAATTCACAGACATATGCAGTTTTTTACTTGTGAACAATTGTGTTGCTTCTACAAACGATATATTAAGACTTTTGCTGCCAAACTCATTGAAAGCCCATAAATTTGCATACACTTTACTGATGTGACCTAATTAAGAAGTGAATTGAATTTTATTAAAATCTATGTTCCAGAGCCTCATTCTAATAAAGTACTTTTAGTGGCTGAAATTGATGTATTGAGCATTTTGACTCCAATATTCTGATGTGGATTCAACTCCATGTGTAAACTTTTTACCTTTGCTAATCAGCAGCATGTCTTACCATAATAGGTAACAGTATTTCACGTAGACTACCATTCCAGGCTTCCACATATATTACTAAATGTTTAGATGAGTGATTCATTATAGAATGGTCAGGTTTGTATCAGTGGATGTGACTAAATTTGTAGTATAGAAGTTCAAACATTAATTATTTTGATTTCATTTATACTTTTCATTCTAGAACTAAAACATTCTAGAACATTTCCATTCATCAGAACCCCACTCTGATACATTTAGATTTGAAATGTTAAGGTCTATCGGTATTTGTAATACTTATAATTTTATTTTTAAATTCCTAGGGCTTATTGTTCTCAAAAAGAGACTTGGTCATTCTTTAATATTTGTATTATTCTGAACAGTACATAGTTCATAAGTGAGTCTAGTTAAAGTCTTAGCAAACTGTAGGCCTGTCTTGTGTTTGGTTTATATGGATACAGAGAATGAAAGACTATTATCTTGCCATAAAGGTAATAATAATTCATAGAAAAACTCTCATTGGCTTTAACAGAATATCCATTTCTATAAATAGCTATTTCTATGAATATCCCCCTTCACCACTAATAAATACTTTTAGATTTTAGCTATGTTTTTAGATAGACAGTTTGATTATATTGCTTTAAAATTATATATGGTAAATTAATTTTTTCCTAATTTTATTGTCATGTTTATTATTACAAATTATTTACTAAAAGTCTATGAGAAATAGGAATAGCACTTGTGCTGTTTTCAAGATAGCAATGTTTTTCCATGTATAATCAACTCACATATACTTTACTCTGTGATTTGTGTAAAATAATTGGCATTTAAAGAGGTATAGTGTATGGCACTATAAGAAAATTAACTTGTATTTATTCTCTGAATTTACTCATTGTTTGTAGCTCTGATACACTAACACAAAACTTGTTTATGACCAGAGTGTAAAGTCAGAACCATTCACTAAAAAGGAATTGATTGCAGACCCAGTCATATAAGCTTATTTTGAGTTTTTGCTTAAATGCTAAGGTATAAGTCTAACAGGGATCCTGACACCACATTTTTTTCTTATCTGAATTGAGTTCTTTATTCTGAGCATTCTTGTTCTTTATCATATATAATTGGACATTATAGCCAAATGATAATTCATGATTTGTTTTAAATAGGTTATTTAGTAAAAAGATTATGTTTTATAGTTGTTTCTAAGAGGAGTGAAAGAGTTCAAGGCCTTCCCAGTCATAGGTTTATGCAATTTTTAGAAATTTACATTTAATAAAATCTGCTTTTTGTGATGTACAACTCTGTGAGTTTTGAGAACTTCATACAATTGTGTATCCACTGCCATGGTCAAGATAGAGAACACTTCTGGCTTCTAAAAAAGTTCCTCTGCTGCCTCATTGTAATCACCTTCACTCCACATGCCTAGCTCCTGGAATTCACTGATCTATTCTCTAACCCTATAATTTTGCTTTTTCTGGAATGTCATATAAGTGAAATAATATAATATGTGGTTTTTCAATTAGCAGAATGCATTTGATATTCACCCACATTTTTATTGTGAACCAATAATTTGGGGTTTTTTTTGGTTTGTTTTTTCCCTTAATAGCATTCTGTAGTATAAATATCTAGCAGTTCATCTATTTACCAGTTTAAAGATATTAAGAGCTTCAAGTTTTGAGTGGTTGTGTTTAAAGCTTGTTTAAACACTTTGTGTGACCATTAATTATAACTGCTCTAGGTAAGTGCCCACAGAGGGTTGCTGGGCTGTGTGATATTTGACATTACAAAAAACAGCCAAACTATAATCCAAGTGATGATACCATTTTACTTCCTATTGGAAGGTAAAATGGTTCTTGTTGCTTTGCATCTTTGCCAGCACTTGATTAGTTTCTGTTGTGGTTGGATTTTGGCTTTAATTTTTGATCATTCTAATTGGTATTTCATGGTATCTCATTGTGGAGTTAACCTATAATTTTTTTAGCAAAAAATAATGGTGAGCATATTTTATGTGCTTATTTGCCATCTGTTCATCTTCTGTTATAAAATATCTAATCAGATTTTTCACCCACTTAAAATATTTAAGTTAAAATTAATAGTTTCCTTTCACAATAAAAAATGAGCAAATCAAACCCAATAATGTATAAAAGAATTGTATACCATGACCAGTTGCAATTATCCTGAGGATGTAAGGCTGGTTCAATTTGAAAATCAATTAATTAATCCATCACATGAACAGAATAAAAAAGTAAAATCACATAATCATATCAATAGGTATAGAAAGCACTTGATAAAATCCAACATTCACTCATGACAAAAACCCTTAGCTAGCTAGGAATCGATGGACACTACCTTGACTTAATAAATAGTATCTACAAACATTTTACAGCTAACATTCTACATAATGGTGAGAATCTAGATCAGAAACAAGGTAAGACTATCTCCTCTCACCGCAGATTTTCAGGGTTGTACTGGAAGTCCTACTTAATGCAATAAGATAAGGACAGAAAATGTATATGATTCAGAAAGAAGAAATAAAGTTATCTTCATTCACGGATTACATGATTGTCTATCTAGAAAATCCAGAAGGATAGACAAAAAAAAAAAAAAAAAAAAAACCTCCTGGAACTAACAATCAGTTACAGCAAGGTTGCAGAATACAAGGTAAATATACAAAAATCTATTGCTTTTTTACATACCAGCAATGAACAAATGGAAATTGAAATTCAGAACACAATATTATTTACAGTAGCACATCCAAAAATAAAATGCTAAAGTATAAGTGTATTAGTCTGTACTGCTATAAAGAACTGCCCGAGACTGGGTAATTTATAAAGAAAAGAGGTTTAATTGATTCACAGTTCCACATGGCTGGGGGTGGGCCTCAGGAAACTTACAGTCATGGCAGAAGAGGAAGCAGGAACATCTTACATGGTGGCAGGCAAGAGAGAGAGTGGGCAAGAGCAGGGAAAACTCCTTGTAAAACTGTTAGATTTCATGAGAACTCACTATCATGAGAACAGCATGGGGGAAACTGCCCCCATGATCCAGTCACCTCCTACGTGGTCCTTCCCTCAACACCAAGTGATATGGGGATTACAATTTGAGATGAGATTTGGGTGGGAACACAGAGCCAAACCATATCAATAAGTCTAACAAAATAGTTACAAGATCTGTACAAGAAAAACTAGAACTCTGATGAAAGAAATCAAAGGACAACTACGTAAGTGGAGAGATACTCCATGTTCATGGACAGAAAGACTGAGTATTGTCAAAATGTTAGTTTTTCTCAACTTGATTTATAGATTCAATGCACTCTCAATACAAATCCCAACAAGTTATTTTATGAATATTGACAAGCTGAATGTAAAATTTATATGGATAGGCCAGTGACCCAGAATAGCCAACACAATATTGAAACTTCATATACTTGAGATAAGAATGTTAAGCAAGGAAATGTATTTGGAAACCTCCTTGCACTTGGTATTAATAAGTTCAAAGGTTTTATTTTCTTTAAAAAAACAAGACTCTAGGGGAATAAAATTATGGCTTTTGTAGCAACATGATGGAACTGGAGGCCATAATCTCAAATGAAATGACTCAGAAACAGAAAGTCAAATATTGAATGTTCTAACTTATAGGTGGGATTGAAGTAATGTGTACACATGGCATAGAGAATGGAATAGATACTGGAGACTTGGGAAGGTGAGAAAGTGAGGGGGGTGAAGAATGATAAATTACCTAATGGACACAATGCACACTGTTTGAGTGATGGTTACACTCAAAGCCCAGACTTCACCACTGAAACACTATACAATACATGCATGTAGCAAATCTGCACATGTGCCCCATAAATCTACACAAATAAAAATTTTAATAAAATTTTAACTATCAAAAAATTACTTTTCAAAAAAAAAACCTTAATGATACTTCTGAAAAAAGTTTAAACAATAGTGACTCTGGGTTGATTTCTAGTTTGACCTGGGTTTGTTTATAAGGCTTATTAGTAGCCAAAGCCAGCATTATTAATGGTTTTGAATGCCCCATATATGTTTCTCTTTGTGCCTGTCTACAAATAGGCCAATTCCTATACTTGGGTCATAATGCACATTTTTGCACATGTACTTGTATTATTAATATTTTGTCCTTTTTATTGATGTCATTTTTATTCCTTGCTTTTGGAGAGCAAAGAAGGTGTTTTAATAACTTTTTTTTTTTGAGACGGAGTCTCCCTCTGTCGCGGGGGCTGGAGTACAGTGGCGCCATCTTGGCTCACTGCAAGCTCCGCCTCCCAGGTTCACGCCATTCTCCTGCCTCAGCCTCCCAAGTAGCTGGGACTAGAGGCGCCCGCCACCACGCCCGGCTAATTTTTTGTATTTTTAGTAGAGACGGGGTTTCACCGTGTTAGCCAGGATGATCTCAATCTCCTGACCTCGTGATCCGCCTGCCTTAGCCTCCCAAAGTGCTGGGATTACCGGCGTGAACCACCGTACCCGGCTCCGGGTTTTAATAACTTCTACACATTCAAATAGAGCTCGCCCGGATATGTTTTAATAACTTCTACACATTCAAATAGGGCTCAATCACGTTATATTAAAACTCCATGAATATCATGGAAGTTTTATCAGCTCTTACATAGCAGGTGTCTAATAGGAATCTAATAGGGTTAGAGTCTAATAGGATTAGAAAATTAAGGCAGTATGAAGTGGTGGAAAGGGTATACATTTGGGGACCATATAGACGTGGTGTAAATTTCAACATTGCTGTTTGCCTAAGGAAAAAGTACTTATCTTTCATGGGTGGTTCTCTAATCTTTAATGTGTCAAGTTGTTCGTATATGACTGGTGAAAATGCACTTATCAAAGAAGTGGGTTAGAACTAGACATGGACCAGGCATGGTGAGTCATGCCTGTAATCCCAACAGTTTGGAAACCAAGGCGGGAGGATCACTTGAGACCAGTAGTTTGAGACCAGTCCGGACAACATAGGGAGACCCTCTCTCTACAAAAAATAAAAATAAAAATAAATTAGCCAGGTATGATGGCACATGCTTGTGGTCCCAGCTACTCAGGAGGCTGAGGTGGGAGGATTGCCTGAGCCTGGGAGGTGAAGGCTACAGTGAGCCATCCTCATCCCACTGCACTCCAGCCTGGATGACAGAGTGAGACCATGTCTCAAAATAAAAACAAGAGAGAGAGAAATAATATGCATCCAAATCAGTGGAATTGAATTTGACAAATAAAAGATCCAAAACCTGTCTTCATTTGTAAAATGGGAATGATGGTCTCTATTTTGCAGGATGATGGTTACAATATAAATAATTATTTATTTGGCACGAAGGCCAGCACCTGGTTTTAAGTAGGTACTTATACATGAATGACATTGTTATTATTTAAATTATTACAAAATTAATCCTATAGCAATATACTTACACACCAATATAGTCACATTCATTTTTTTCGCTATGACCCACAAAAATTCTTTATGTATCACTTGCCAGTATATGACACCTCTCTCTCTCTGTGTCTCTCTCTCCTCTCTACTCTTCACCTTCTCTTCATATTGAAATAAGAATTTAATGAAGCAATTATATCCTTGCTGTATGTAATATACCACATTCTATCCAACCCTATCCTGTCCTTTGCATTCTTCTTCTAATTCATGATTCACCAATATTTTGCAACCTTGGTTTCAAAAATGCTGGCCTAGCAAAACAAAGAGATACATAAATATGTATAATGCATTTGGAATCAACAGTGGTGTATGTTTATATACGATATAGAAATAGTACAGTAGAAAAAGTGATTGAAGCTTTCATGGAGTGTTAGTGCAAGATTTATAGGAGAAACTATCTGCATAGTTTTTGGGGAAGATAAGTTTGCAAGATAAATGAGAATGAAGAACAGCTTTAGGGAACGGGTATTGTATTCAGGATATATAAACTGTGGAACTTAGGACAATTCCAAGCTGTTTAGCTTATCTGGAATGCGAAGTACAAGTATATGCTGTAACTAGTGCAAAAATTTTAAAAAACTGGCTAATATGGACAGGAAGCAAAATCATGAAAGATAATGGTAAGTAGCTTTCTATTTATCTTATATTTGTCTGGGAGTCATTGAACACTTTTGAGCAGGGAAATGAGATGGTCATATTTGTATTTTAAAAGAATCCTATATTGGTAGCCAGGAGGATTACCATGAGTATTTTGGGAACCAAAATTTTGAAGAGGCGATTAGACAAAGCAGTGAAAAGATAATGACGGCCTACAGGAAGGCAATAATGGCAAGGATAGGGAGAATGGATTCAATACATATTTAGGAAGTAATTAAAATGTTTTTATTATTTGGGTAATAGGAAGGGGGAGATAGAAAAATCACCACTCTCCATTTTATTTGATGAGGAACTAGATAGAGATGTCATCTTTCACTGGGAATGAGGACAGAAGTCTCAGTGAGTCATCCAAGATGAGGAACCAGATGGATATATAAGAGAAGAGAGAAAAACAGAAGGTTACTTTTTAAGTGTGTGTGTGCATGTGTGTGTGTGTGTGTGTTGAAAAATCTGATTTCTAAATTTAATTGGTTTGCAAAAAAATTTCTCAGGCTTCTGTTATCAAAACCTGATAATTTAAATACATAAAACAAGCAGTTTTGTTATACCTATTATTTAATAATTATATGAACTAGTTCTATAGTCAGAGAGTGACAAGAGTTATGAAGAAATAGAGATGGATGGCATTTGTCCTGTAGTTCTCCAGGTAGATATGATAATATAGGAATAGGATAGCTTTAAATTACTTCTACTTTCTACTTCTTTCCCATGCCCTCATGGCTTACACGTCTTTTTTAAGGTGGGGTAGGACAGGCTTTCTAGGAGAAAGGTACCTTTATGACAGGAAGAAGGAAGAGAAAGCAGGATACATCTCTGGTATTTGAATAATATTAAAATAGACCTGTAATAAGGACTTGAGCAAGATCAAAGGATATGACTTAAAGATAATGTATAGCTGTATAATAAATTACTTAAGTGGTCAGGTGATTTGAAAGAAAAACCTGATAGTCTAGTACTTGAGTTGTTCTTTCCCCTCACTTGAGAGGCAAAAGAATAACTGCATGGAGTGAGAAAACTAGTGGGTGATGCAAAGATGGTTCAGGAATATGTGAAGGGTTTAGTAAGTGTTTCTCTTAACTCTGTATTTAAATCACCCCTGCTCTCCACCCCTTTTTTTCATAAGAATCACCAGTACAGATTTAGTTTGTACTGTTTTCTTCTCTCCTTGACATTGCTCTAAGGAAATTTATTGTTAATGAAATTGAGGCTGCCTTACTAAACGATTGGCAGAGGTACTCTAAAAACAGAAATCTTTTGTATTCTACTGAGGAATAGCAAGAAAATTAGAGGCTGGGGAAATGCTGATCTCTCTGAAGCAGTATTGCTGGGGAGTGGGCTAAAGTGGGGTAATAAACTCTAGGTTAAAAAGTGAATGATGATAGATTGAAAGAAGGAAGGAAATAAAAATGAATCCCAGGAGAATCTCCAGAGGAGAGAAACATGCTTGGGGATGTAAGATTGATGGCCAGAGTATAACTAAAAGAAAGACTCTGTGGTTCAACCCTGGTTCTCAGCAACAGAATTTCAAGAAAGGCATTGCTCTTATTAGATAAATATTACATATTCTTATTTTCTTTATTCATTTATTATATAACATATTTTATGTGGAAATGTGCTAGTACATCTGAAAGGAACTTTTGGAATGTCTTGTGTTTGATAAAATGAAATGAAACTGAGAATCTCTCAAAGAAGAGAGTAACAAGTAGAATCTACCTTGCAACCAGGGATGGATTTAGTTGAATCTTATGGTTTGAGAAAACGGTGTAAGAATGTTATATTCTTTTTCTTTTTTTAGCTTTTATTTTAAGGTCAGAGGTACATGTGCAGATTTGTTACATAGGTACACTTGTATCATAAGGGTTTGTTGTACAGATTATTTCTTCACCCACCTATTAAGCCTAGTAACCATTAGATAATTTTCCTGATCCTCTCCCTCCTCCTACCACTCCACCCTCCAATAGGCCCCATTGTGTGTTGCTCCCCTCTATGTTTCAATGTGTTCTCATCATTTAGCTCACACTTGTAAGTAAGAATATGTGGTATTTGGCTTTCTGTTCCTTTATTAGTTCGCTAAGGATAATTACCGCACTACCTGAAGATATTAACATGGTCCGATTATGTCTGTTTCCACTACTGAAATAAACTCTTGGAGAGTAGGAACAAAGAGAATATTTCTTTGTATTCTCTGTGCCTGGCATAGTATTATGCACAGAATCTGAGCATAATAAACCTTTGTGAAATTGAAAATGTACCTGCCCTCCTGACCAACATGGAGAGGGAGCACAACCATATCATTTGTGATGATATTGTAATATCATTGTGATGTTGTTGATATTTTTGTTCGCCGCAGGATATATACAGTCCGTGTTCAATAGAAGCAAAAGCATAGTTTTTTGCTCCTATTGAACACGGACTGTATATAACCTGCGGCGAACAAAAATATCATTTTCTGTTGGCTTTTGCTTTCTTCAGGTTGAAAGAACTCAAGATATAATGTCCTCTGTAAGCTCAGCTCTGCCTGGATCCTAAGCCCATCTCTATCAGGTAGACATTAGCAATTACACATGTATCAATTAGAAGAACTTAGAGTTACCTGAGTTGCTATAGAATTGTTATGCTTTAAGTGAGCTGAACTCCTAAGAGTATCAAGAATGAAGGGAAAGAGAATTCTTTTCCAAAACCTTATATTTTAAAGACTAGCTATTTTTCACTTTTCTGGGAATTCTTTGGCATGAAAGCTTTGGGTTTTGCAGGTTATGTAGGTGTGTGGATTTCCTGTCGTCACAGTGTATTTAACTACAGTTTAAGAGTATTTTTACCTTATTCACATGGGTTTTTTTTTTTTTTTTTGAAACCTGAAACACATGGTGGAAGCTAGATATTAGAAAGCAGGGAGGGTCTGAAATACACAGCACTTGCAGCATTTAGAACCAAAATGCCTCCAGGTAACTGATGGCTATGCTGTCCATTTGGGAACCAAAAATGAAGGAGAAACTATTAAAAACACACAATGTTCTTAAATAGTAGCATAGAGAACTAAATTTAAAATCAGCCACTAGCAGCTGATTACGGTATCATTGATTTGTTCCATGTTTTATTAATCTGTTGGTGGTAAACTGGAACATGGTTTGGGGCAGGATTTGTGTTAAGAGGTGGAGCAGCTGCTAGCTTGTTTCTTCAGTGACACTTGCAAATGCTTTTCTATGGTGACCTCTATCTAGCTTAAATTTATGTAGCTTGGTTAAATGTCAAACAAGCTAAGTGGTGCATTTCATTAATGAAAAATTAATGAAAACTTTTGGCTGGCATATACTACTGTTTACAATACGTATAATTCATTAGGAAGACATCCGTCAAGCAAGGGCCTTGGCATGGATCTGGTGGCATTGTAAATGGGCTTTATTCTCTTCCTTCCAGTTAATGAAAGTTCAAGGCTGGGAAAAATACTCATAAAACAGATTTAATGAGTCTTTGGGGGAAGTTTTACAGAACACAGTATATGAGTCATAAATATCACATGCAAAATCTATTTGGCCCAAATTATTTAGGATTAGAAATGACTATAACTTTACTTTATAATCAAAAAGTGCTCCAGTGTTTAGACCAGGAGCTTAATTCCAAGCAAAAGTCATACATTCTTTTTACAGCCTTGTAATTAAGTAGGTTCCATCTTGAACAAAACATTCAGAATTTTAAAATATTAATTTTTTTCTAAATCGTGATATAATTGGGGACCACATCCCTAGATATAGGACATACTTATTTATTTTCTAAAAGTCTCCAAATAGTGAATATTATTCACATTTTGTATATACAACTTCCCTGATCCTGGTGGTCTGGTGATATGGTTTGAATATATATCTCTGCCCAAATCTGCTGTTAAAATATAATCCCCGTGTTGGAGGTGGGGCCTGGTGGGAGGTTATTGGGCCATGGGGGTGGATCCCTCATGACTGGCTTAGTGCTGTCCTTGTGATAGTGGGTAAGTTCTCATGAGGTTTGGTAGTTTAAAAGTGTGTGGTACCTCCCTCCCCTCTCTTGCTTCTGCTTTCCCCATGTGATGTGCTTGCTCCAGCTTCACCTTCTGCTATGAGTAGAAGCTTCCTGAGGCCTCCCCAGAAACTAGCAGATGTCTGCATCATGCTTCCCGTATAGCCTGCAGGACTGTGAGCCAATCAAACTTCTCTTCTTCGTAAATTACCCAGGCTCAGGTATTTCTTTATAGCAACGTAAGAATGGCCTAACACCTTTGGTTACAAAAGATGGTAGACAATTAAAAAATATTACTTCCAATAAACGCTCTTTTGGCACAAGTAATCATCCCTCAATATTAACGTAGATGACAGTATTATTGGTCTCCTCTGTTTTTATTCCTCTCATTATTTTACTCAATCTTTCCTAAGCTTCACTGTTATTATTTTCAAATCTGTAAGGAGAAATACAAGCTACTAGAGAAAGACAAGCTGCTGGTCATGTAGGCTCCATGTGGATGAGAACAGGTATTTTGTTTTACTCAACACTTTTCTTGGCAAATACAAAAGGACCTGATACAGAGACATGACTCAAAAATATTTGCTAAAATATTTAAAATACTTTTAATTTATTTTTATTTTATTTATGTTTTATTATTTTATATATTTAATTATTATTTTAATATTTGCTAAAATATTAAAACAATAAAAAAGAGTGATCCTCTCCCAAAGTAATTTATCTATTGGAGAGATGGATTATTACCTAAAAACATAAATTGTAGGATTAGTTGCCAAAAAATAAATCATATCAACTATGTGAGGTATAAATTTGAGGGAACCAAGCCATCTCTTCTGACCTGAGTTACCAAGCAAGTTATTGCAGAGAGTGGGATTTCAGTTGGTCCTTGGAAAATAAATTGTTGCATGACAGTTCTTTATTGTCCGTGTCCCCTTGGTGGCAGAAACTCTTTCTAGTGTTTGACACAAGATGTAAGTGTTCAGACATAGCCACGGAAGAAAATATGAAAAAAGGAAAAGAGGGGAAACAGAGAAGGGAGAACAAGTTACAGTGCCCAAATCAGAACTGATATTGTGATTATAGATTGAGGTGAAAGTAATTGAAGAATTTGGCTGCAACAGAAAAGATAAGAAGGGAAGGCTAATAGAATGGGAATGTAGTCTTTGGAGCCAAACTTCATTTGCTGAATGTCAGTAACTACCCCTGACCATGTTTGTAACTCTGGGCAAAGTACTTGAGCTCACTCTGCCTCTGTATACTCATTTTTAAAATAAAGATAATAAAAATACCTCCCTCATAGAGTTGCCAGCATGATTCAATAAATAAATGTTACAAAGTTCTAAGAATAATACCAACCACATAGTATTATATTTATGTTTATTAAAAAAGAATAACGTAATTCTGGAGAACTCAGGTAGCCGAGGAGATAAACAAGTCATTTAAAATTTTGAGCAGATATGAAAGATTATAATGGTGGGGTCATGGCAAGATTAACTTGGCAGCAACATCTATATAGAAAGGACTCATGAAAAGAAAAATGGCAGACAGAGAGGTTAGTTGGTGAAAACATTTAATGGTCAGGTAATAAAATGTTTTGAGTTTATGGTTGAAATGGGAATCACAATTTTGCTGAAAATTTAAAAAGGAGAATGCCTGAATAAAATGGGTGGAGGGGTCAGCCCACAAAAGAAGTGAGATTTGTAGGCATTAGAAAATTACACATCCCTTCGTTCCCTCTCCTCTCACTTTTCTGCTTTAAATAATGGGTTTATAGCTCAACTGTATCCTGAATTTCACCACACTTACTACTGTGTAGTATTCTCAAAGTTGGCTGTATATGGAGTCATGGATGCCTGTGTTCTGGTGCTAGAGACAATGATTTTATAGATGTGGGTATGGCCTGGGCAGCAGAGCTTTAAAAGCTTCCCAAGTGATTCTCGCATGTAGCAAATTTAAGAACCATCAATAATGAAGCAACTTTCTTTGCATTCCTCTTTATTTGCTTTTCCCTACCACATGTATACAACTCCCTAACATTCTATATTTATGTTTCTGTGAGGTGTCAAATGGGGTGGCATCCTGAATCCTCCCCTTTCTCCTATTCTTCAATTTCCTCTCAGCAATCAGGAGAGTTGAATGCCAAGAGCAGTGATCATTCATTTTCCCTTATTTGTTGTGAAAGATTTATGCAATTGTGGAGTTTCCCTTAGTAAGGATGTATGCACCTGAATAACTGTATGGATATATGGACCCATCTGAGATATTTTCAACTGGTGGTGGTTTAATGTGCTTTAGGGACCCAGGACTTTATTACAAGAGATTCTTAAACACAAATACTTCTATAATTGAAGTTAAAATTGAAACTTATTTTTCTCTCTGTCTTGATAATTGGCTACTTTATAAAAAAGTGTTTGGATTATTTTGGTTGCAGGAGGAGGAGTTTTATAAGAGGACACCATGAGATGGTGAAATATGAGGACCAAAACCTGTTTCAGAGGTCAAAAGCGGAACCAAAGGGCTGCCTCCAACACACAAACATGTTCTGTTTTCCCCACATAACATAGGTCTGCAGATCGTTTTAGATTTGAATTAGTTAAAACATTACAAATTGGGGTGGAATGCTGCTTTACATGAAATATTCATTTCCAAATTTTTGTAAAATGGAAGAGTTTGTTCATGCCCCTAAGATACCAATAAGCCAGAGCTGAATAGCTGCCTCTTTACGTGTGAACATATGTCCATCTTTTTGCCAAATTGATTATAAGCACCCTAAGGGAAAAACTTACTTGTTTTATTTCCTCTTGCATCTTTCTTGGCTAAGGATGATGATGATGATGATGTTGATGATGATGATGATGATGATAATGATGATTTTTTTCTTTAGATGTAGCAAGGAGGTACAAGTTAAACAAAAGCATGTATTTCAGTCTATATTGACTTCACAAGTGATAAAAGTAGTAAGTATATCCTGCTTTGCCTCCTACATGCCTTATTTTCTTAGCAGAATGCCATAGGTAATGTGATCTGTGGGCTAGATTTCAGTGTTACCTCTTTGCTGAGTTGATATCAACTCTCACTATGCTCAAGTAAAGGTCCTGGCTGTCAAACAGTATCACTGCTAGCTAAGGACATCAGCATGGCAGCTGCCAGCCTACACACTGTCTGTCATCAGGAAGCTGATAGTCATCCACAAACTCATTGAAACAACAGGATCTCAGAATATCACCAGATGGGGCAATCTGTCATGCTCAAGCTGTAGAGGACAGGATGAAGGTTCTTTATATGATTTGAGAGTGCCAAGTGCCACATCTCTTCAAAAGAGAGGCCAAGGCCTGCCAATCATGACAATCATTGCAATGCAAAAAGGTCAGATAGTCTTGTCTTTGTGTATCAGAAATGCCAACTTTCTGTCAATGATGAGGTCAAAAATCTGTACTAGATTAAAAGCATTTGTGCCAGGAGCCTCAGACTTCCAAAAGGTCAGCATCAGTGCCAATCAAAATTCATGTACAGAATGGAAGTTAACTTCTGCCTAAACTTAAATGAAATAGCTTCTTTTTATTTCCTCACTGAATAACCAAGTCCTCTGTAACTTTATCATCAAACTCCTCCTAAATAGTCTCAGGTGCTCTATGCAAACAGGGTTGTAGAAGTAGTAACAGTTTTTCTAAATCAGTGATTCTCAAACTTGAAGGTACATCAGATTGGGATGGTGGGCTTGTTGAAACACTGATTACTGGACTCCATCCTAGATTTCTGATACGGTGGGTCTGGGATAAGGCTCAATAATTTGAATTTCAAATAAATTCCCATGTGGTGCTAATAATACTGGTCTGGGGACCATACTTTGGGAACCACTACCCTAGATAGTCACACACAAAGAAAAAAATTTTATAGGGCTGTGCTTTCCATATGTAAATAATAGGCATGTAGACAATTGTGAGCTTTTACTTTTATATTAGTTTTGTTTTCTTAAAGTGTTTGGCTATTCTTGTTAGCATTCTTTGTATAAACATTACTACATTTCTTGAGCACCGTGTTTTCTAACATTAAGCTAAGAGAATTTCTAGATGATTAAACACATCCACACACACACACACACACATACACACACACAAGCACAAACACATACATGTCAGTATAGAAGAGGAAATGCTATTTGCATTGGTACTAGTGATATAAATGATGAAATAATGGTATTGATAAAATTCCTGGATCACATAGGAACAACTACAGCAAAATGTCATGCTTGGTATACTGTCAGTAGCTTTCAAAATTTATTCTTTCTTCTATTCTTAATACCTGAACTGACCTCCCTGCTGACCATTGTGGCTGCCTACTTGACATCTCCACTGGGGTAAGCAGACATCTCAAACTTAACTGATGTGCGAGAGAATACTTGATATTTTCATTCCAAATTTATCCTGCTAATGTCCCCATCATCTTATTTCATGGTATCTCTAACCTCCTGGTTTTCATTTCTGGATAATAGATGTCATTCTTCTGTCTGGCGCAACTAATCCATTACCAAGTTCTAATGGTTGATTCTATGTATAAAATATACTTTAAAATTCATTCATTTCTCTTTGTCTCCTCCAGCATCAATGCTGAACAACAAACATCTTTCTCCATGATTACTACATAAACCATTTAAATATTCCAGCAATATTTTGTCAATCTATTTTCTCTTAAAATTTTTCTATTCTGCTTTTTGTTATTAACCTGATAACACAGAGTATACTTTTTATCATAAATGTTTTAAGCAAGTATATGTTATGAAAAGTGGAAGTTCTTTTCTTACTCCCCACTACTTACTGTCCCTTTTCTCCCAAGGAGACTTTTTTTTTTTCGAGACAGGGTCTCACTTTGTCAGCCAGGCTGGAGTGCAGTAGCAAGATCTTGGCTCACTGCAGCCTCCAATTCCCAAGCTCAGGTGATTCTCCGGGCTCAGAGAAGCTGGATACTCACTGTAGCTGGGACTACAGGCACAAGCCACCAATACCTGGCTAATTTTTTGTAGAAACGGGGTCTTGCCACGTTGCCCAGGCTAGTCTTGGCCTCCTGAGCTGAAAGCAATCCACCCATCTTGGCCTTCTAAAGTGTTGGGATTACAGGCGTGAGCCAACATGCCTAGCCCGAAGGATACTTCTGATAAAAATATAGTATATTTCTTTTATATTCATTTTCAGATGAAAATATATGTTTATATGTATGTGTGTGTTGTGTGTATGTGTATATACGTATATATGTATATGTATATACACATACACACACACATATGGGGGCTTACATCTTCTTTAAGTATGCTAATAAATCCATTGTTTTTATCTGGTTTTATCTACTTAGTCTTTTTAAAATTTAAAATAGTGTTCTGGATGGGGGAGGAGCCAAGATGGCCGAATAGGAACAGCTCCCGTCTACGGCTCCCAGCATGAACTACGCAGAAGACGGGTGATTTCTGCATTTCCATCTGAGGTACCGGGTTCATCTCACTAGGGAGTGCCAGACAGTGGGCGCAGGCCAGTGGGTGCGCGCACGGTGCGTGAGCTGAAGCAGGGCGAGGTATTGCCTCACCTGGGAAGCACAAGGGGTCAGGGAGTTCCTTTTCTGAGTCAAAGAAAGGGGTGACGGACGCACCTGGAAAATCGGGTCACTCCCACCCGAATATTGCACTTTTCAGACCGGCTTAAAAAACGGCGCACCACGAGACTATATCCCACACCTGGCTCGGAGGGTCCTATGCCCATGGAGTCTCGCTGATTGCTAGCACAGCAGTCTGAGATCAAACTGCAAGGCGGCAGCGAGGCTGGGGGAGGGGCGCCCGCCATTGCCCAGGCTTGCTTAGGTAAACAAAGCAGATCGAACTGGGTGGAGCCCACCACAGCTCAAGGAGGCCAGCCTGCCACTGTAGGCTCCACCTCTGGGGGCAGGGCACAGACAAACAAAAAGACAGCAGTAACCTCTGCAGACTTAAATGTCCCTGTCTGACAGCTTTGAAGGGAGCAGTGGTTCTCCCAGCACGCAGCTGGAGATCTGAGAACCGGCAGACTGCCTCCTCAAGTGAGTCCCTGACCCCTGACCCCCGAGCAGCCTAACTGGGAGGCACCCCCCAGCAGGGGCACACTGACACCTCACACGGCAGGGTATTCCAACAGACCTGCAGCTGAGGGTCCTGTCTGTTAGAAGGAAAACTAACAAACAGAAAGGACATCCACACCGAAAACCCATCTGTACATCACCATCATCAAAGACCAAAAGTAGATAAAACCACAAAGATGGGGAAAAAACAGCACAGAAAAACTGGAAACTCTAAAACACAGACCTCTCCTCCTCCAACGGAACGCAGTTCCTCACCAGCAACGGAACAAAGCTGGATGGAGAATGACTTTGACGAGCTGAGAGAAGAAGGCTTCAGACGATCAAATTACTCGGAGCTACGGGAGGACATTCAAACCAAAGGCAAAGAAGTTGAAAACTTTGAAAAAAATTTAGAAGAATGTATAACTAGAATAACCAATACAGAGAAGTGCTTAAAGAAGCTGATGGAGCTGAAAACCAAGGCTCGAGAACTACGTGAAGAATGCAGAAGCCTCAGGAGCCGATGCGATCAACTGGAAGAAAGGGTATCAGCAATGGAAGATGAAATGAATGAAATGAAGCGAGAAGGGAAGTTTAGAGAAAAAAGAATAAAAAGAAATGAGCAAAGCCTCCAAGAAATATGGGACTATGTGAAAAGACCAAATCTACGTCTGATTGGTGTACCTGAAAGTGATGTGGAGAATGGAACCAAGTTGGAAAACACTCTGCAGGATATTATCCAGGAGAACTTCCCCAATCTAGCAAGGCAGGCCAACGTTCAGATTCAGGAAATACAGAGAACACCACAAAGATACTCCTCGAGAAGAGCAACTCCAGACACATAATTGTCAGATTCACCAAAGTTGAAATGAAGGAAAAAATGTGAAGGGCAGCCAGAGAGAAAGGTCGGGTTACCCTCAAAGGGAAGCCCATCAGACTAACAGCGGATCTCTCGGCAGAAACCCTACAAGCCAGAAGAGAGTGGGGGCCAATATTTAACATTCTTAAAGAAAAGAATTTTCAACCCAGAATTTCATATCCAGCCAAACTAAGCTTCATAAGTGAAGGAGAAATAAAATACTTCACAGACAAGCAAATGCTGAGAGATTTTGTCACCACCAGGCCTGCCCTAAAAGAGCTCCTGAAGGAAGCGCTAAACATGGAAAGGAACAACCAGTACCAGCCGCTGCAAAATCATGCCAAAATGTAAAGACCATCGAGACTAGGAAGAAACTGCATCAACTAACGAGCAAAATCACCAGCTAACATCATAATGACAGGATCAAATTCACACATAACAATATTAATTTTAAATGTAAATGGACTAAATGCTCCAATTAAAAGACACAGACTGGCAAATTGGATAAAGAGTCAAGACCCATCAGTGTGCTGTATTCAGGAAACCCATCTCACATGCAGAGACACACATAGGCTCAAAATAAAAGGATGGAGGAAGATCTACCAAGCAAATGGAAAACAAAAAAAGGCAGGGGTTGCAATCCTAGTCTCTGATAAAACAGACTTTAAACCAACAAAGATCAAAAGAGACAAAGAAGGCCATTACATAATGGTAAAGGGATCAATTCAACAAGAAGAGCTAACTATCCTAAATATATATGCACCCAATACAGGAGCACCAAGATTCATAAAGCAAGTCCTGAGTGACCTACAAAGAGACTTAGACTCCCACACATTAATAATGGGAGACTTTAACACCCCACTGTCAACATTAGACAGATCAACGAGACAGAAAGTCAACAAGGATACCCAGGAATTGAACTCAGCTCTGCACCAAGCGGACCTAATAGACATCTTCAGAACTCTCCATCCCAAATCAACAGAATATACATTTTTTTCAGCACCACACCACACCTATTCCAAAATTGACCACATACTTGGAAGTAAAGCTCTCCTCAGCAAATGTAAAAGAACAGAAATTATAACAAACTATCTCTCAGACCACAGTGCAATCAAACTAGAACTCAGGATTAAGAATCTCACTCAAAGCCGCTCAACTACATGGAAACTGAACAACCTGCTCCTGAATGACTACTGGGTACATAACAAAATGAAGGCAGAAATAAAGATGTTCTTTGAAACCAACGAGAACAAAGACACAACATACCAGAATCTCTGGGACGCATTCAAAGCAGTGTGTAGAGGGAAATTTATAGCACTAAATGCCCACAAGAGAAAGCAGGAAAGATCCAAAATTGACACCCTAACATCACAATTAAAAGAACTAGAAAAGCAAGAGCAAACACATTCAAAAGCTAACAGAAGGCAAGAAATAACTAAAATCAGAGCAGAACTGAAGGAAATAGAGACACAAAAAACCCTTCAAAAAATCAATGAATCCAGGAGCTGGTTTTTTGAAAGGATCAACAAAATTGATAGACCGCTAGCAAGACTAATAAAGAAAAAAAGAGAGAAGAATCAAATAGACACAATAAAAAATGATAAAGGGGATATCACCACCGATCCCACAGAAATACAAACTACCATCAGAGAATACTACAAACACCTCTACGCCAATAAACTAGAAAATCTAGAAGAAACGGATAAATTCCTCGACACATACACTCTCCCAAGACTAAACCAGGAAGAAGTTGAATCTCTGAATAGACCAATAACAGGCTCTGAAATTGTGGCAATAATCAATAGTTTACCAACCAAAAAGAGTCCAGGACCAGATGGATTCACAGCCGAATTCTACCAGAGGTACAAGGAGGAACTGGTACCATTCCTTCTGAAACTATTCCAATCAATAGAAAAAGAGGGAATCCTCCCTAACTCATTTTATGAGGCCAGCATCATTCTGATACCAAAGCCGGGCAGAGACACAACCAAAAAAGAGAATTTTAGACCAATATCCTTGATGAACATTGATGCAAAAATCCTCAATAAAATACTGGCAAAACGAATCCAGCAGCACATCAAAAAGCTTATCCACCATGATCAAGTGGGCTTCATCCCTGGGATGCAAGGCTGGTTCAATATACGCAAATCAATAAATGTAATCCAGCATATAAACAGAGCCAAAGACAAAAACCACATGATTATCTCAATAGATGCAGAAAAAGCCTTTGACAAAATTCAACAACCCTTCATGCTAAAAACTCTCAATAAATCAGGTATTGATGGGACGTATTTCAAAATAATAAGAGCTATCTATGACAAACCCACAGCCAATATCATACTGAATGGGCAAAAACTGGAAGCATTCCCTTTGAAAAGTGGCACAAGACAGGGATGCCCTCTCTCACCACTCCTATTCAACATAGTGTTGGAAGTTCCGGCCAGGGCAATTAGGCAGGAGAAGGAAATAAAGGGTATTCAATTAGGAAAAGAGGAAGTCAAATTGTCCCTGTTTGCAGACGACATGATTGTATATCTAGAAAACCCCATTGTCTCAGCCCAAAATCTCCTTAAGGGGATAAGCAACTTCAGCAAAGTCTCAGGATACAAAATCAATGTGCAAAAATCACAAGCATTCTTATACACCAACAACAGACAAACAGAGAGCCAAATCATGGGTGAACTCCCATTCACAATTGCTTCAAAGAGAATAAAATACCTAGGAATCCAACTTACAAGGGATGTGAAGGACCTCTTCAAGGAGAACTACAAACCACTACTCAAGGAAATAAAAGAGGATACAAACAAATGGAAGAACATTCCATGCTCATGGGTAGGAAGAATCAATATAGTGAAAATGGCCATACTGCCCAAGGTAATTTACAGATTCAATGCCATCCCCATCAAGCTACCAATGACTTTCTTCACAGAATTGGAAAAAACTACTTTAAAGTTCATATGGAACCAAAAAAGAGCCCGCATCGCCAAGTCAATCCTAAGCCAAAAGAACAAAGCTGGAAGCATCACACTACCTGACTTCAAACTATACTACAAGGCTACAGTAACCAAAACAGCATGGTACTGGTACCAAAACAGAGCTATAGATCAATGGAACAGAACAGAGCCCTCAGAAATAATGCCACGTACCTACAACTATCTGATCTTTGACAAACCTGAGAAAAACAAGCAATGGGGAAAGGATTCCCTATTTAATAAATGGTGCTGGGAAAACTGGCTAGCCATATGTAGAAAGCTGAAACTGGATCCCTTCCTTACACCTTATACAAAAATCAATTCAAGATGGATTAAAGACTTAAACGTTAGACCTAAAACCATAAAAACCCTAGAAGAAAACCTAGGCATTACCATTCAGGACATAGGCATGGGCAAGGACTTCATGTCCAAAACACCAAAAGCAATGGCAACAAAAGACAAAATTGACAAATGGGATCTAATTAAACTAAAGAGCTTCTGCACAGCAAAAGAAACTACCATCAGAGTGAACAGGCAACCTACAAAATGGGAGAAAATTTTCGCAACCTACTCATCTGACAAAGGGCTAATATCCAGAATCTACAATGAACTCAAACAAATTTACAAGAAAAAAACAAACAACCCCATCAAAAAGTGGGCGAAGGACATGAACAGACACTTCTCAAAAGAAGACATTTATGCAGCCCAAAAAACACATGAAAAAATGCTCATCATCACTGGCCATCAGAGAAATGCAAATCAAAACCACTATGAGATACCATCTCACACCAGTTAGAATGGCAATCATTAAAAAGTCAGGAAACAACAGGTGCTGGAGAGGATGTGGAGAAATAGGAAGACTTTTACACTGTTGGTGGGACTGTAAACTAGTTCAACCATTGTGGAAGTCAGTGTGGCGATTCCTCAGGGATCTAGAACTAGAAATACCATTTGACCCAGCCATCCCATTACTGGGTATATACCCAAAGGACTATAAATCATGCTGCTATAAAGAGACATGCACACGTATGTTTATTGCAGCACTATTCACAATAGCAAAGACTTGGAACCAACCCAAATGTCCAACAATGATAGACTGGATTAAGAAAATGTGGCACATATACACCATGGAATACTATGCAGCCATAAAAAATGATGAGTTCATGTCCTTTGTAGGGACATGGATGAAATTGGAAATCATCATTCTCAGTAAACTATCACAAGAACAAAAAACCAAACACCGCATATTCTCACTCATAGGTGGGAATTGAACAATGAGATCACATGGACACAGGAAGGGGAATATCACACTCTGGGGACTGTGGTGGGGTGGGGGGAAGGGGGAAGGATAGCATTGGGAGATATACCTAATGCTAGATGACGAGTTAGTGGGTGCAGCGCACCAGCATGGCACATGTATACATATGTAACTAACCTGCACAATGTGCACATGTACCCTAAAACTTAAAGTATAATAAAAAAAAGAAGTGTTCTGTAATACAGATGTGCCCTTCTTTATTTGACTCTATTGATAGATATTTAGATTTTATTTTCTATTTTTCTCTCTTTCACAAGCACTGCCATGATCATATTTTTACATAGATCTCTGGGAACAAGGGAAGCATTTTTTATTTTTTTAAATTTAGAATAAACATAAAAAATTGTATCATCACACAAAAAGGCTGTTGCATTTGAGAATAAAATCCCAGGTACTTCACAGGTATGACAAAGCCCAACGTTCTAGTGCCTGCCTCGCTTCTGATCATGAGACAACCTTCCTCTGCCTGTGTCATCCACATTTAATTCCTCCAATATTCCATATTTTTTTTATATGTCATCCTCATCCCCTGGAATGCTCTTTTCCAACTTTTTTTCTGGTAACTCTGATTTTACCATCAAGTTTCATTTACATGCTCAATCCTTGGAAATGTGAGTTGTATTCCAATGACTTTATGTCCCCCAATTAATCAGGGGGAAATTTGTTATAATGTCTTTGTCTTTTATAATATTTCCCTTCCTTAAAGTTCTCATCAAAATTTGCTTCTTTGTTTAATGTCTGCCCCTCCACCTTACCCCTTAATATATAAAATTCCATGAGGGCTGTGAAATGTCATACACAGGGTAGTAACTCAATGAATATTTTCTTGAATGTTAGCTGCTGAACTTGCAATGACCCAGAGGTCCTTTAGTGCTCAATCCCCAAACAGACAATTAGTTTTTTTATGATGCTTCCTGTGTACAGTTGTTTGTGGGTCAGATTGCTTTGCCTTGGGCTATTTTGTTTTGAGGAAGAGCTTGCATAAACAGAACTGAACTGTTGACATTTCAAAATTCATGGCACACAGTCATCAGCAGTCTATAAACATCCCCTCTTTTTAATTTTACTATATTTTACTTTTATTTACCATCCTCAAGCTCATCCTCCAATAGTTATCCACACCTATGTTTTGATGTATGTTTTTTCTCTCCACAATCCATAGTTTATTTATATACTCATGTATATCTGATAAATATATGGTACCATTTTATGTAGTTTGAAAGATTGACACAAATGAAATTTAGCTGGAAATCTTGTACAATGTCTGTTTAATCATTTATTATTCTTTCACATCCATACATTTAGCTATGTGTGGCTGGGTGCAGTGACTCTTGCCTGTAGTCCTAGCACTTTGGGAAGTCAAGGCGGGTGGATCACTTGATATCTGGAGTTTGAGACCTGCCTGGCCAACATGGTGAAACTCTGTCTCTACTAAAATACAAAAATTAGCCCGGCGTGATGGTGGGTGCCTGTAATCTCAGCTACTTTGGAGGCTGAAGCCAGAGAATCACTTGAACCCAGGAGAAAGAGGTTGCAGTGAGCTGAATCATGCCACTGCACTCCAGAAAATTAAAAAATAGTAAAATAAATAAACTTTAGCTATGTGTAAAACTAAGTCATCTTTCTGATCATACTACACAGTATTTTAAAATGTCTATGTGGCCCATTTTACTTATCTATCCTCCACTGATGAACACTTAAGTTTACCTCTAAATTTTTGTTATCAAAAATGACACACTGCTAGACATTTTTATATATGTATCCTTCCACATCATGTGGTGCTTTTTCTGGGGTGTATAAGTCAGAATGGAATTGATGGGTCATAGATATGCTTTTATCTATGTTAGTGTTCCGCAAACTGTCTCTTCTTCCTAGGCTCTCAACTTGACTGTACTTCCCAACCCCCTTTGCAGTTGGGAATGGCCATGTGACTTAGTACAAGCCAATGAGAGATGGATGAGAGTAACATGAGCCACTTCCAGGCCTGGTCTATAAAGCCCTTCTATGTGCCTTTCTTCCTAATCTTTCCTGGCTGAAATGGTTATGAGCTCAGGGAAGCCCTTAAGAGCCATGTAATGAAGAGGAAAGAGCAACACACTGGAAGGAACCTGGGTTCCTGAAACACAGGTCACAGAAAAAGCCAACAGACAGGAAGACTGGCAGTGGACTGCTATATGAGAGTTTTATTCTATTTAAATAACTGAAATTTTGACATGTATTTTTTTTTACTTCAGTGTCTAACATTACTCCAACGAATATTGTCCTTATATCCAGTTTGCCCTAAATAAATCCAGATTGCTCTCAAAAATGGCTGAACAAAATTAAATTTTCAGTTACAAGAAGATTCTCATTTTCTCTCATTCTACCCAATGCTTGATATTATCTGACCTTGTAATTTCTCCATCAGGTAGATTCAGAAGGAAACCTCAGTTTGATATTTTTAAAATTTGCATATTCCTAATTGCTGGTGAGTTTATCTCCCTCTGTGCATATTTATTGATTGTTAGGGTTTCTATGAATTATGGTTCATATCATATTCTCACTAATCCATTTGCTTTTTCTCATTTTCTATAAATTCCAGACATTGAAGCTTAGTTACTTTTGAATGCTGCAAATATCTTCTCCAACCTAATATCTGTTTGATAACTTTGTATTTTCTTTTTAAATTGGACCAATATCTTACATTTTCATGAAGCTTAATCTATAAGTTGTTTCTTTAATGCCTTTTGATTTATGGGTCTGTTTTAAGAAATCCTTTTAGTCCTAAAGACACACCTATAGTCTCCTATATTTTCTTCTGGTAGATTTAAATTTTTTTTTCATTTTTACATTTCTGGCCTATTTAGTCCTAATTTTTAAATATGATATGTGGTAGAAATCTAATTTCTTATTCTTCTATATATTGAGCTAATTTTCTCAATACTATTTACTAAATACAGTTGCTCCTTGACCTGTGAAGGGGTTACACCCTGATAAACTCAATGTTAAGTTGAAAACATGATGTCAAAAATTCAATTAGTGCACCTAACCTATGATGTGTCATAGCTTAGCCTAGATCACCTTAAATGTGCTCAGAACGAGTACATTACCATAAAGTTGAGCAAAGTCATTTGACACAAAGCCTGTGTTATAATAAAGTGGTGAATAGCTTATGTAATTTATTGTACTGAAAGTGAAAAATAGAATGGTTGTTTGGGTATTCAAAGTACAATTTTTACTGAATGCATTACTAAATACAGTTGCTCCTTGACTTGTGTGGGGGTTATACTCTGATAAACTCAATGTAAGTTGAAAATATGATGTCAAAATTTCATTTAGTGCATCTAACCTATGAGATATCATAGGTTAGTCTAGATCACCTTAAATGTGCTCAGAACAAGTACTTTACCTTACAGTTGAGCAAAGTCATTTGACACAAATCCTTTGTTATAATAGAGTGGTGAATAGCTTATGTAATTTATTGTACTGAAAGTGAAAAATAGAATGGTTGTATGGGTATTTGAGGTACAATTTTTATTGAATGCATACCACTTTTGCACCATTGAAAAGTTGAAAAGCAGTAAACTTAGACCACTGAAAGTTGAAAACTATTTGTAGTTCATCCTCTAGAAATTGATATACACTAAATTGATATATAAGTGCTTTGGTTTCTATACACTCTATTATGTTTATTTGTTCTGTTTATCTAATATTATTTTAGAACTGTGCTGTTTCAATTCCATAGATTTGTAACATGACTGAATGTGATGCAAAAGTGTTCCCATTTTGCTCTTTGAAAAATTATATTTCCACTCTATTAAACTTTGTTCTTCCATAGAAAGCTTAGGATCATTTTATTTTTCCCCCAGCTCATAAATATAATTTTAATTGGAATTTAATTTTATTTTATTAAGTAATTTGAAGATAATTGATATCTTTACAATCCCGCTATGTATACGGCTGACCATTTACTGAGATCTATGCTCTTTATTAGTCTGAAATTTTTCTCTACACAGGTCTCAAACAATCTTTATGTGATTAATTACTAAAATCTCTAGATACATAGGATGGTAGAGATAGAGACAATAAATAGAGACATTGTAAATAGTATTTACTTTATTGTATTGCATTTAAATTGGCAATTACTGTGGTGTAGAAGCTTATTAAGTTTATTGATATATTATCCTCTAGTCATGCTAAATTCTTTTATTAGGTTTAGTGTTTTGTCTCATGGTATTCTTATATTTGAAAGGACAAATATTTACGCCTCTTTTTGTTTCCTCTCCTTATGTCACTCGGGCATAACTCTAAACACTATGGTGAGCAATAACAAGAACAGAAAGTACCCCCCCCCCCTTTTTTTTTAAACCACCTTGAACGGGATGCTTCTAAAGCTTCTCTCTTTAGAAATAATGCCTTCTGTAGATGAAGGTAGATTGACTTTATAAAGATACGAGAATTTCTTTGTAATACCTGGGTGTTTATGTTTATCAAGTAAATATTTTGAGATAAGAGATTTAGCAATCTTCTTGGAATCCTGAGGGATGAGGAAAAAGTACAAGTCATAGATCCCAATAAGATATAGTTTTTACCCACAAAATGTTTTCAATATATTCAATGAACAATTCATATGTAGAACGAAGTATTCCCCCATGAATGAATAGCATAGCAGAGTAGATTATACTGTGTGCACAAAAGTACTATCTTTGTAGTTTACATATATGCTTGTACACACTATCAGTTAATTTTAAAACTTCATCTTTTGAATATGGTAAATTTCAAGATTCTTATGCAATCAGTGGGAGGCTTGTGATCTCAATCTTCTATATAAGTCTCTGTCTTTTTATTTTGTCTCTTACATCCTAATTTTTATCATATCATTGCCTATATTTAGAATAACCTTACAATCAGTCCTCACCTTTTGAAATCTCACCTATCACTGAAGGTGGAGTTTAAATGTGCTCTCCTTCCAGAAAGAAGTCTTCTTCATGAATATGTACAGAAACAATTACAAATCACTGATTTCAGATTAGTTCTTGTTTCTATAACCCTATGAGCTCTATACCTTGCATTAGCTTTAACTTTTAACAAGTATGTACTGAGTTATCACATGTATTAGGTACTAGAAATAGAAAGATGAAAACAAAATTGTTGTGCCTGCCCCTAAGTAAGTCAGTCTACATAGGGAACTATATATACTTGCAAATAAAATGTAATGTGATAAGCTCAGTAATTTCAGGAACAGATGAAACAGAAAAGAAGGAATGAGCAGTTATATGTGGAGTATAGAAAAACCTTCACAGAGAAAATAATAGAAGCTGGAATACAAGGGGGAAGGCATTTCAGACAGAAGCCTCTGTATCTGACAGAGGATTTTGAGGCATGAAATAATATGTTTTTGCAAAGCAATGAATAACTTGAATCGTTGGTTGAATATACAGCACACATGAGTGTGGGGAATGGGCAGAGGGAATGATGGGAGGTGAGACTGAACAGGTATGCAACACCCAGTTTGTAATGAATTTTACACGGTATGCTAAATATCTGTGAATTCATTTTTAAGTAGTAAAGTCCTATTGAGAGGGTTTATGCATGAAGAAACACAATCAGATTTATACTTGGACAAGATTAGTCTGTCACCACTGTGAATGATTTATGAAAGAGTGGAAGAGGGAGGAGATACCAGAGGCAGCTACTACCGATAAACCAGGTGTGATGATAAAGTTGTGAGTCTGTAGCATCTGAGAGGGAAAGGAGGGCACACTTAGATGATATTCAGAAGGAAAACCCAGGAAGACTTTCTGAGTTATTAACAGAGATGTATAAGGAAATGGGAGTTTTCTTTTTTAGGTACTATTCAGAGTGAGTGTTACAGAAAGGAGAATCAGTTTTATTGGATTTATTCAAGTTTGGTATGTAGAAATAGAAAATGAGAGAGGCGGATTAAATGTATGAGACTGCAGCTCAGAAGAGTACCAAAATAAGAGTTGAAGGTCTTAAAAAAAAAACCTCACGTCATCATCCATATGGTAGCTGGAATCATGGGGTTGCTTAAGACTGCTCAGAATAAGAATATGCAGTGAGAAGGTCTCTTAAAGCCCTAAGTGCTACCAAATTTAGTGTGGGAACTGAAGAAGTGAATCCATGAATGTAGCCTGAAAAGAATAGTCAAAGATATAGATGAAAAACAAAGTGTTGACATAAAAAACACGATTCTGGGAATATCTTAGCACTCTGTCCCTAGAAAATTCTGTCAGTATTCTCATTGGGTTTAACATCCACTTAGGCGATTCTTTCATTTCCTGGCTTCTCAGTTCCTTGAGGGCCATTACATATGATATTTTTTAAATTTGGCTTACAGTCAGAGGCTTATCCAATTAATTTACTATGTTAAACCAGTATTTAACAAATAAAAGAAGAAAGAATACAGCAGGAATGGATTTTAAAAACCATCAGGGTGTATTGTGTGAAATGGGTATTATGGCATTCCTGGGAATGTGAAGCTCTCTTGTCCATTCATATAGCAAGCACCTATAATCCCACACTTTTTGAATTCCTGAAGCACTTTCTTCTTTGCATCTTCCATAGGACATTTATAAATTCTGTAGTCCTTCTAGTAGAATAGAAAATCCTTGGGAAAAAGGAATCTTTTATGTGTGATTCTTCATTATATCCCCAGAATCCGGAACAGTTCCTGGTAATAATTAGACAAAAAGAAAAAAAAAAGTTGAATAAGTAAAATAAATGAACACATTCTTCCCTGTATCATATAATTTTATTATTAGTAGAGTGCACTTATTGCTGTGGATAGATCTTAGAATTATGATTAATTAAAATAAATTTAGCTATTATTTATGTGTTCAATAGTTTTCCTACCAAAAATATCAACTATCTTGAGAAAAGTGGGAGCATCAAGCTTAATTTTTTTTACAGCCACTAAAATATTTATTGATACTTATAGCCACTGTATAATTCATCACAGATGAGATGGAATCATGCTTGTTAAAAATAAGAATTAAAACATTTTTTCTTAATCAGAATATACTTTGTAACATGAAATTACTGAGGCTTTTCATTTGTGTTCTAATAATGTTACTATTTCTGCATTTCTCTTTCTTTATAGAATACTTTTTCCTAACTTATTTTTGCTACCAACTTTTAAAATTTGAGAGCAGATGGCTTTGCTACAACAGCAATAACTTATAAAAAATGGTGTATGCATGACCATATGAACACAGTTTTGATTATATAATCAAAGGAAACATATAAACTGAAGTGGCACATATATAACTGTATGTCTAATTATTTTACTGCATTGAAATTATTCATAAATAAAAGTAGTACACACAAGAACATAATATTGCATTTATACAACCAAACCAATTATGAAATGGTTTATTTTTCTTTTGTTACTTCCCCAATATCCGTAATTACCATCAGTTTCAAAAACATTGCTTTACCATATGGGATATAAGCACAAATGCACACAAATAAACACAGTCACACACTTAGTGATACTCGAGAACTAGCAATAAGTCTGAGCAGAAATCCACTAAGAAGATTGTAAGCTTGGTTTCTGATTCCAAGGCATCGAGGTATCATGGGACCAAAAGAAGTATGAAACTATAAGCCCCCTTAACCCTTGTGTTTCACTCCATTCCACCTAAAATAATTTTGATTCAGTCTTGTTCACAATCAAAAGAAGATCTATTGGCCTCAGTAGTGTCTTATGAGAACTCCAGAGAGACAACAACTATGTTGTGACTATATGCTCTTTGAAAATTCTGTGCTTGCTACTACCCTTCTCAGAAAAAGTAGGAAAAGAAAAAAAAAGTTGCTGAATATCTACTTTTAAATCTATGCAAACTTTTATTTATTTATTTATTTTTGAGATGGAGTCTTGCTCCATCGCCCAGGCTGGAGTGCAGTGGCACGATCTTGGCTCACCGCAAGCTCCGCCTCCCGGGTTCAAGGGTTCTCCTGCCTTAGCCTCCCAAGTAGCTGGGACTACAGGCACCCGCCACCACTCCCGGCTAATTTTTTGTATTTTTAGTAGAGACGGGGTTTCACCGTGTTAGCCAGCATGGTCTCAATCTCCTGACCTCGTGATCCGCCCGCCTCGGCCTCCCAAAGTGCTGGGATTACAGGCGTGAGGCATTGCGCTTGGACCTATGCAAACTTTTTAAACATTAAATTAAGATTCTTTGTTCAGTGTTAACTGAACATAAAAGAATACATTTCCTGAAATGTTAAACTGTGAAAATATTTTGATTTAATATCCCAGAAATGCCACCTTTAGTTCTGTAGCATGTCGTGATCACAAGTTATAAAGCTTGTATATTACAGGAAATTGAGTTTTCAGATAATCTACATAAAGTGTTTTTCTAAATAGGAAATTCAGATTATTCATGTAGCTTGTAAATAAAATCATGATCCTAAAGGAACCCACCACTATGTAAATTAATGGATGTCCCAGTGTCAACTCCCTAGTATGGTGTGCAGGACAACACAGTGTTTACCCATAATGAGGATTCTCTTGTTGGACGGAAAGTACCAAATACTTTGAATATGTTAGAAACACTCTTTCAAGTACTTGGCAAAGAGAAAGCTGAATGCAGGCATAAGGTAGAACAGATCATTTCACAGAAAAAGTTAAATTACAAACTATACCTAAGTCTTTATTTAGCTTATTAATTTTAACCCCACAGTTATCTCTTTTTATTTCTTTTTTAAATTAATATCTGGAATAAAAAGAAAAAGCATCCAGTCTATTTTAATCTTAAACATTTCCATTTTCTGCTCATGTATTTAATTTTCTTATTTTGATTTTTCTCTTTTCTTTTACTTTATTTTTTCCCTTTTGTTTTCCACATCTAAAGAATGTAGTGTACAGGTGAGATGTATTCTTGCTGTAAGAATAAGAAACAGATTATAATTATGCCTGTTTTTAACTAGAGTCCAAAATCATGTTCTACAATCTACATTTTTCTCTTAGAGGAGGCTGGGTTTGAATTGGATTTTCTGTCTTTATATTTTTACATTGTGTTATAGTGAGAATTAAGAGAAGTGCTATCTATTGAACAGACAGAGGTCCATAGATTTGGGTATATCTTGTATCATTATGATATTCCAAGGTCTGGTTCTAAGCTTCTCAGTCTCTGGAACCCTGCTGTATCAGAGCACTTCAAGTTTATTAATAGCTCTGGAACTGATTACTCAACTCACAAAAGTCTGATGTACAAATTGCCAACTTGTAAGTTAGAACTAAAACTGTGAAAGGGAGCCAAATATTCTCTCCCTAAAAGGAAATGGTCATTGGCTGCCAAAATTTCATCAGAAATGTACTGAGGAGCATGGCATTGCAGCAAGAGGAGACAGCTGGATTATATGAGAAGCTGCTCAGTTTGACAACCTGATGTATCCTTCTCCTGGGTAAGAGTATACATGCCAAGTTAATACAAATATTGCTGCCAAAAGGTCAGATACCCTCTTCTAATCCATGTAAAAGGCACATCAATAACGTATCACTTGTAGATTTTCACCTGTCTAGACTTTAGAGAAACTATATGCATTTTGTTAACAATCTTTCTTTAACCTGAGAACATAAGAGGTTTATATTTTGATGTAATTGCAATCATATTCCCATCTAGGTTCCTGAGTCTGTATTTTTATGAGACCAGGTGGACTTTGGCATTCCCAAACCTTCTTTACTTCTCCCCCACTATCGTTTACAACGGCTTCTATGGTTTAACCATATCCATCTGTGTGAATTTTACTTCTACTGCTGCTAATGGTACCACTACTTCTATTGCGATTCTTATTACCACAATTTCTAACGGCGAAGACATACCGAGCATAAACCAATATCAGCTCTCATTTAATCTCCAAAACACAACTAGGGGGTAGGTATAATAATTATTATAGTATCATTTTACAAGTAAGGAAACTAAGGTTTAGAGAAGTCCAAACAGAAAGTGGTAAAGCTGAGATTTGAACTCAGATACATGTCTTCGATCTGGATTCTTATTCAGAGTAATTTTGCTGTTAATTTAGGGTGGCACTCTTTAACATCCAGAGACTTGTAAATGTCATTAAGCCATTGCTGAGATCTTTTTTTTCTTTTTAAAGAAAACTAGAAAAATTGAGTGGAATCCAAAAGTTGCTTTGGAACATAGATTTTTCTAGATAAAATATTATGAAGTAGGGAGCAACAGTAATTTATGTAGCTTTAAATCCACGAGGGTACAGTGACCCTGGTGAAATTGCTTGCCATGTTAGACTTGTCATACATATTCTGTGAGAATATTTATAGAGTATGGTAAGAGTCTGTGGAGCTTAGCAAAGCATAAAGCAGCAAAGACAAGGTGTTTGCCCTGAAGAGTTGGTGATTCAATTTAGATGTAGACAGAATACTAGATACCTATAAAATACAAATAGAGAGTTGGTTGATTGACTTATAACCTCAGTCATGGTACCATAAATCAGATGGTTACACTCTAAACATCTAATGAGCTGCTGGGTAGATCAGCAAGACCATGTCTGGCTACTATGACAGCTGTGGGTGGGTTTATTTTGAAATAACATGGGAAGTGGCCAAAAATTCAGGGAAAAATATAATATACAACGGTCAACATGGCATGCCATACAATACAACATTCTGAAAAGGACAACTATACAAAGTCATATTCAAAGGAGACTTTTTTATTGTTATTCAGTGGGGCAACCTCATTTTTCTACTCCAGAAGGGAGTAGAAAAGAAATTATAATGCAGATTTTTAAAATCAGAATTTATCTGAATTTTATCAGTTAACTTATCTTTTACTTAAATAACTATCCCTTGATATTCACCACACCCTTACCCCATGAATACCAAAATCAACAGATGCTCAAGTCCATTTTATATAAAATGATGTAATATCTGCATAGAACCTATGCACATGCTCCAGTTTACTTTAAATCATCTCTAGATTCCTTATAATACCAAAAACAATGGAAATATTATGCACAGTTTTGTTATATGGTTTTGTTTTTATTTGTCTTGTTTTTTATTGTTGTATTATTAATTTTAAAAAATATTTTTGATCTATGATATGTTGAATGCCCATAAGTGGAGCCCATGAATATTGAGGAACAGCTGCATGCTAATGGTATAATTATTCAAAAAAGCCAAATAAAGTAGAAGAATATGGGCATCAGTCACAAAATTTCAGTGTCTGTGCAGTAGATAGAGCTGTGGAATGAAGGATCGTGATACTGGGTGCTCCTTGAGGCTACTTTGTGTTCACATTGTTCACTACCAACCGCCAATACCCCTGGCACACATACAGGCATACACATGTAGATTTAAACATAAAAAACCCTGCCTGCCCACTTTTTTTTTTTTTTTTTTTGGTTAAGATTTGGGGAAAAAAATGACCATATGTCTTATTTCCTTCTACGCTTCCTCTTTTGGGGCAACATGCCTGGTAAGCCCAAAAGCATTTCTGTCCTTTTTGTTCCTTCATGTAGTAAGCTTGTAAGTCAGCCTTCACTCTAGTGAAAAGTGGGTATGGGGCAGCCAATAATTCTAAACAGCCAATTTTAAATCAGTGAAAGCATCAGAAAGTCTGCTTGTGGCCAAATATTAATTTCTACCAGCTAGCCCAGCTTCATCAGTAATAAAACTGCCATTTTCTCTCCATCTGTCTGACTTTATGTTTTGCTCTCAGTTGATTTAAAACTTGAAAAGAAAGAGAAAGAGTGTGATTAAATTCCAATATACATAATAAGTGAGTATTGAATAAATGGTTCAGGTAAATTAGCAATACGAAATTGAAAAGCTAATTAGGTTATATATGAGTTTGTGGATGTCTTTGTTTTAAATTATGTATTGTTGGTCCCCTTGAAGTCAAGATCTATATTACAGTCATCTTAGTAACAATTAGCACTTAATAGTTACAGGCATATAGTAGGTGTTAACTATACTTAGTATTAAATAGACTTGCTTATTTTTAGTTCTAAATTATACATGTAATCATATATTAGGCTGGTGCAAAAGTAATTGCAGTTTTTGTTGAAATTTGCTATTTGATACTGGAATACATTCTTAAATAAATGTGGTCATATTATACATCATTTTAATGCACATTTCTTGCTTTATGTTTATGTTTTGCTAAGGACTTATTACTTGCTACTTATTTTAGACTATGGAAATGATATTAGGCAAAAAGCAAATTTAAGCAATTTTCTTACTCGAGTTCAAAATGGGTCATAAAGCAATGGAGACAACTCACAACATCAACAGCTCATTTGGCCAAGGAATTGCTAATGAATGTACTGTGCAGTGGTGTTTCAGGAAGTTTTGCAAAGGAGACAAGAGCCTTGAAGATGAGCGTAGTGACTGGCCATCAGAAGTTGACAACGACCAGTTGACAGCTGATCCTCTTACAACTGAAGTTGCCAAAGAAGTCAGCGTCAACCATTCTATTGTTGTTTGGCATTTGAAGCAAATTGGAATGGTGAGAAAGCTCAAAAAATGGGTGCTTCATGAACTGACTGAAAATTTTTAAAAAATCGCCATTTTGAAGTGTTGACTTCTCTTATTCTACACAACGACAATGAACCATTTCTTGATTGGATTGTGATGTGCAATGAAAAGTGGATTTTATACAGCAACTGGAGATGACCTTCTCAGTGGTTGGACAGAGAAGAAGCTCCGAAGGCCAGACTTGCACCAAAAAAAGGTAGTGGTCAGTGTTTGGTGGTCTGCTGCTGGTCTGATCCACTATAACTTTCTAAATCCTGGTGAAACCATTACATCTGAGAAGTATGTTCAGCAAATCAAGGAGATGTACCAAAAACTGCATCATCTGCCACCACCATTGGTCAACAGAAAGGGTCCAGTTCTTCTCCATGACAACACCCCACTGCACATTGCACAACCAACACTTAAAAGTTGAATGAATTGGGTTATGAAGTTTTGTTTGATCTGCCATACTCGCCTCACCTCTCACCAACTGACTACCACTTCTTCAAATATCTCAACAACTTTTTGCAGGGAAAATGCTTCCACAACCAGCAGGATGCAGAAAATACTTTCCTAGAGTTCATCAAATCCCAAAGCATTAATTTTTACTTTACAGAGTGATATTAAAAAATACTTCACAGAGTGATATTAAAAACAACTTTACAGTATATTATATTCTAAACATTCTGTGGGATCACTATTTAACATGTTGCCATGGAAATACAAAAAGTTATCTACTTGAAATATCAGCATATAAACTTTATAACTAGGGCCTGAGAGAAGACACTGTATTAAAAACACGTTGTAGAAGATTGAATCTTGGAATAGAGATGTGAAGAGTGCAGCAGACCATTTCCCCAGCAAACAACCATGTAAATGAAGAACATTATATATGTGAAAAAAATCTGTAAATTATCCTTAGGGATTATAGATAATGGAAGAATATTCATTCAGAAAACCTACTAAACTTCATTGAGAACAGTGAACGTTAATGTAGCCTAACTGTCATTGCTCTCCTACCCCCAGCTCTGTCTCAATGAAACTACTCTGGGAGTTGTAACCTTAGTGAGTGCTGTCATAAGACAAGGATTCTGTCTCCCCCTACCTTCCAGTTTAGAACTACTTCACCTCAGAAGGGACAGGTCACAAGTGTTTGTCATTGCCTCCAGCCCCAAGATACAGATCTACTATGCCAGGCAGGCACGGTGGAGATGTCTGTGGTTACCTTCCTTTACCCAAAACCAACTTCTAGGGCAAAATCCCTATTCTAGGCTGGCAGGCTGAGAATACTAGGCCCTAATTAACCACCAAAGCTGGCTCTGTGAGCAGAGTTTCACAATAGGAGAGGCAAGTCAAAAAGACTAAGGGGTCACCTAGCACCGTCTTTTAAAGCAGAAGTGGCACTCTGGGAGAAGTCCTTCCAGTTCCTATGCAGTGGTGCAGAGATCCTACCCATAAGGAAAGACAGGAGAGAGAAGCAAACCTTGAAAAGAGCTCCTTATCTCCACCTGAAGGAACTGACTTGATTTAGCAGAGAGGGTATAAACTTCCATTGCAAAGGATAAAGTGAAAAAACGATGGAGATTTTTGTGGAAAGCAACTAAGAGAGTATACATATAACTCCATGATGTAAACAGCAAAAAGTAAAATTGCAGAGCAATAAGAAGTTTAACAAAGAGAACCAGGGAAAGAGATAGCCAAGAAGAGTCTTTCTGGGATCACAGTCAACTCTGGCAGTTGGGAAGGCTGTGCATATGTGCTAGAATGCAATCATTCAGGAGTTATCAGAGTAGAACATGGAAAAGACCTGAAAACATTTCCAAAGTCACACACAGAGCCATCAAGAGTGAGTCTTACTGGCATGAGGACTTAAACATAATCTCTGTCCAACTACTAGCTGAATAATAATTTATTCTGACTCAGAGGCGATTTCTATTTAATACCGCCTTAAAAATAAAGTTACATATTCCGAGAATGTGGAAGACCCTGTGCATGCCCAATAGTTGGGCCTTTCAGGAGTGAACAAAGAGTGTAGGTTCAAGCTCTGAATGTGAGTGAAAAAATGTAAGCTTGTTGAAGGGTGATAGCAGCCTCCAAGCCACACACCCATTCAGTGGTAAATAAGAGGGCTTAAGCACAATCTTTAACCAATAAGAGGTGTATTTCAATACAGCGACATACCATAGGTATCCTAGATAAAAAAATTAAAAAACAATCTTTTTAGAGATATCAAAGACTGCACATTGCAAGAGTTATAGACTTCAGAGTCAGTCCAGCCAAGTCACCAGCCAAATAAACAATCAAGCAAACAACATCACATCTCCCAGGGATAAATAAAATTGGTATCCAGAGTTGCTAAGATATATTATCCAAAAATATACAGTTTAAAAAACGATGGAACATGCCAAGAAGCAAGAAAATGCGCCCCCTACACTAGGGGCATGGGAGAAGGCAGGCAATAAAATTTATTTTTTGAAGGGCCTAGGCATTGGATTGGGAGAAAAACTTTAAAGTAGCCAGTATAAATATTTTCATAGTACAGGAGACCCCATATGAATAATTATTTGAAACTAAGATAATATGTCATCAAATAGAAAATATCAATTAAGATATGTTGTATTAAAAAGGAATAAACATGATTTTAGCATGCACAATAAATGAAATTAAAAATGCGCTAGAGAAGCTAGCTCAACAATAGGTTTTTGCTGGCCTAAGAAATAGAGAGCTTGAAAATAGATCAATAAAGGTTATTCAATCAGAACACAGAGAGAAAAGAAAAACAAAGGCAAATGAACAGGGCCTCAAAGAAATGTAGATTATCATTTAGTGAACCAACATATGCATAATTAAAATGCCAGACAGTGATGAGAGAGAAAGAAAAGTGAAGATAAAATAGTAAAAGAGAACATTGTATAATATTTTAAAATTTATTGGAAACATCCCTGTATACCTACAAGGACCTCAAGAAATTCCAAGAAAGATAAACTCAGAGAGATTTGAATACAGACAGCATAGTAAATGTCTTTGTTGAAAGAAGATGAAGAAGAAACTGAAAAGAGCAAAGGAAAAATAACTTATCATGATACATAAGATTACTCAGCAAGATTAGTAGCTATTTTTTTATCAGAAATTATATATTCTAGAAAAAAAGGGAATAACACAGTCAAAGCAAATAAAGTACTGAATAGATAAAAACCAACAAATACTGTTAACAAAAAATCTTATACCAAGCAAGAATTATCTTTCAAAAATAAAGTCAAAAGAAAGACATCCCTGGATAAACACAAGCTGAATTTTTTGCTAGCAGTCCTGCCCTACAAGAAATACTAAAGAAAGTTTTCAGGCCAAATGCAGGTGACACCAGGGGAGAGTAACTGAAATCCCCATGGGGGAAAAAAAATACTGGTTAAGATAATTATATAGGTAATTACAAAATTAAGTGTGAATATTGACACAGATGGAGCAAGATAGCTAAACAGAAGCCTCCACTGATCATCACCACTGCAAAACCACCAAATTTCAACAACTAACTACACACAAGAAAGCACCAACATAAGAACCAAAAATCAAGTGGTCAATCACAGTACCTGGTATTGACTTCACATCGCTGAAAGACACACTGAAGGTAGAAAAGATAGTCTTGAATTGACGATGCCACCCCTCCTTCCTCCACTGGCAGTGGCCACGTGACAAGGAGAGAGAATCTGTGCACTTGTGGGAGGGAGCACAGCAAATGGGGACTTGGCATTAAACTCCAATTGCAGCCCTGTCACAGCAGAGAGCAAAGCTATGTTGGGTTCAGTTGGTGTCCCCCATGAAGGGAGCATTTGGACTTGCCTTAGCCAGAAGGGAATTACCCATCCAAGCAGTTGGAACTTGAGTTTCTTGGCAGGCCTCACCACTGTAGTCTAAAGAGCTCTGGGGTCCTAGGTAAACTTGAAAGGCTTTCTAGGACAAAGGGACTGCAGTTCCTAGGCAAGTCCTAGTGCTGGGCTGGGCTTACAGCTAGTGAACTAGGGTGCCATGTGACCCAGGGGACACCTGACAGGGCAGCTAAGGGATTGCTTGCACCACTCCTCCTCCAACCCCAGGCAACACAGCTCACAGCAAGGAAAGTGACTCCTTCCTTTTGTTTAAGGAGAGGAGAGCAAAGAGTAAAGAAGAAGAGGACTTTGTCTCGCATTTTGGATACCAGCTCAGCCACAATAGGATAGGGCACTGGGCAGAGTTGTGAGGTCTCCATTCTAGGCTCTTGCTCCCTGATGACATTTTTAGACACACTCTGGGCCAGAAAGGAACCTGCTGCCTTGAAGGGATGGACCTAGTCCTGGCAGGATTTCTTATCTGCTGACTAAAGGGCCCTTGACCCCTGAATAACCAACAGCAATATTGAGATAGTATGCTGTGGGGCTTAGGTGAGACTCTGAGGCATGCTGACTTCATATAGGACCCAGCACATTCCCAGCTGTGGTGGCCACTCCTGCTTGAGAAAAGCAGGGGAAAAAGTAAAGAGGACTTTGACTGACACCTTAGGTATCAACTTGGCCACAGTGGGGTGGAGCACTAAGTGGGTTCTTGGAGTCCCAATTCCTGTCCTGGGCTGTTGGGCAGCATTTCTAGATCTCCTAGGGCCAGAGGAGATATCACTTCCCTGAAGGGCAAGTCCCAGGCTAGACAGCATTTACTACAAGCTGACTGAAGAGCCCCTGGGCTTTAAATGAACATTGGCAGTGGCCTGGCAGAACAACTTGTGATGGTTAACAATCAAGTGTCAACTTGATTGGATTGAAGGATGCAAAATATTATTCCTGGGTGTGGCTATGTGGGTGTTGCCAAAGGAGATTAACATTTGAGTCAGTGGAATGGGAAAGGGAGGCCCACCCTCAATCTGGATGGGCACAATCTAATCAGCTGCCAGTGTGGCCAGAATAAAAGAAGCAGAAGAATGTGAAAAGGCTAGACTGGCTTTGCCTCCAAGCCCACATCTTTCTCTTGTGTTGGATGTTTCCTGCCCTTGAACATCAGATTTCAAATTCTTCAGCTTTGGAACTCAGACTGGCTTTGTTTCTCCTCAGCTTGCAGACAGCCTATTGTGGGACCTTGTGATCATGTGAGTTAATACTCCTTAATACACTCCCCTTTATATATACATTTATCCTATTAGTTCTGTCCCTTTAGAGAACCCTGACTAACATACTCCCCATGGGCTGGTGGTGGTGGTAGCCACTGGGAGAGGCTCCTCTTCCTGGGGAAAGGGGAGGGAAGAGCAGAAAGAATTTTGTCTTCTGGTTTGAGGGCCAGCTTAGCTGCAGTAGAATAGAACATCAGGTACATTTCTACTTCCAAACACTGGCTCCCAGACTGGATCTCTGGATTCCCCATGGGGCCTGTAGGAACTCACTGCCCTGAAGTGAAGGACACAAACCTGGATGGCTTCCTCACTTGCTGATCATATAGCCCTAGGGCCTTGAGTGAACATAGGCAGTAGCCAGATAGTGATTACAGCAGGCCTTAGGTGAGACCCAGTACTGTGCTGGTTTCAGGTCTGACCAAGTGCAGTCCCCAGTGATGGTGGCCACAGGGGTGCTTTCATCACCCTACCCCTAGGTCCAAGCAGCTCAGCACTCAGACAGATAGAGATATTCTGTTTGTTTGGGAGAAAGTAAGGAAATAAAACAAGTGTCTCTGCCTGGTAATCTAGAGAATTCTTCTGGATCCTATCCAAGACCACCATGGCGGTACCTCTAAGAATGTGCAAGAACCACAGCATTTTCGGGCTGGAGGCCAAAGTCCCTTTAAACACCTGGAAGGCCTTCTGAAGAAAGATGGGCAGAAACAATCACAGACTGCAAAAACTACATAAAAGACCTAACTCTTCAATGCCCAAACACCAATGAATATCCACAAGCATCAAGAGCATTCAGGAAAACATGACCTCACCAAATGAACTAAATAAGGCACCAGGGACCAATCCTGGAGAAACACAGCTACATGACTTTTTAGATAGATAATTCAAAATAGCTGTTTTGAGGAAACTCAAAAGAAATTCAAAACAGCAGAGAGAAGGAATTCGGAGTTATATCAAATAAATTTAACAAAGAATAAAATAATAAAAAAGAATCAAGCAGAAATTCTGGAGCTGACAAAATGCAATTGACCTACTGATGAATGCATAAGAGTGTTTTAATAGAATTGATCAAGCAGAAGAAAATTAGTGAGCTTAAAGACAGGCTATTTGAAAATACATAGAGGAGACAAAAGAAAAGGGTAAAAATAGTATTAAGCATGCCTATGAGATCTAGACAATAACCTCAGAAGGCCAAGTCTACTAGTTCTTGCTGGCCTTTAAGAGGAGGTAGAGAAAAAGACAGGAATAGAAAATTTATTCAAAGGGATAATATCAGAAAACTTCCTAAACCTAGGGAAACATCAACATTCAAGTACAAGGAGGTTATAGAATACCAAACAGATTTACCATGGTCCAAAAAGGACTACCTCAAGGCATTTAGTAATCAGTCTCTCAAAAGTTAAGGATAAATACAGGATCATAAAAGCACCAAGAAAAAAGAAGCAAATAACATACAGTGAAGCTTCAATATGTCTGGCAGCAGATTTTTCAGTGGACACCTCACAGGCCTGGAGAGAAGGGCATGACATATTAAAGTGCTGAAAGAAAAAAAAATCCAAGAACTTTTACCCAAAAGAGTATATCTGGCAAAAGTATTTTTTAAACGTGAAAGAGAAATACAGACTTTCCTTGATAATATAAAAAATAAAAGAAATAAAAAAAATAAAAGAAAAAGAAAAGCTGAGGGATTTTATCAACATCAGACTTGTACAAGAAATGCCAAAGGGAGTTCTCCAATCTGAAAGAAAGGATGTTAATAGCAATACAAAATAAACTGAGGGTACACAACTCACTGGTAATAGTAAGCACACACAAAAAACTCAGAATATTGTAACACTGTAATTGTGTATAAACTCTTAAATAGAAAGACTAAATGATGAAACAATTAAAAATCATAACTACTGTAACTTTTCAAAACATAGGCAGTACAATAGAACAAAGAGTAACAACAAAAAGTTAAAAAGCATGCGGACAAGTTAAAGTGTAGAGTTTGTATTAGCTGTCTTTTTGCTTGTTTGTTTGTTTATGCAGTGAGTGCTGTCACCAGTTTAAAATAATGGGTTATAAGATTTGCAAGCCTCATGATAACCTCAAATAAAAAAACACACAACAGATACACAAAAAATAAAAGGCAAGAAATTAAATCATACCACCAGAGAAAATCACTTTCACTAAAGGGAAGACAGAAAGGAAAGAAGGAAGATAAGACCACAAAGCAAGCAGAAAACAAATAACAAAATGGCAGAGGTGAGTTCTCATTTATCAACAATAATATTGAATGTACATTGACTAAACTCTTCAATCAAAAAACACAGAGTGACTGAGTGAATACAGAAAAAATAGAAGACCCAATATCTGTTGCCAAAAGGAAACACAGGTCACTTACAAAGATATATATAGTTAGACTGAAAAAAAGGGATGGAAAAACATATTCCATAACAATGGAAAACAAAAAAGAGCAGCAATCACTGTGTTTATATCAGACAAGATAGATTTCAAGACAAAACTGCAAGAAGAGACAGAGAAGGTAATTATATAATCATAAAACAGTCAAGTAAGCAAGGGGACATAAAGACTGTAAACGCATATGCCCTCAATTCTGGAGTACCGAAATATATAAAGCAAATATTATTAGAGCTAAAGAGGAAACTAGATCTCAATAGAATAATAGCTGGAGAGTTCAACACCCCAATTTCAGCATTTCAGATCTTCCAGACAGAAAATCAACAAAGAGGCTTCACACTTCTGCAAATTTCTGCACTATAGAATAAATGGACCTAATAGATATTTACAGAGCATTTCATCCAACAGTTGCAGAGTACACATTCTTTATCTCAGCACATGACTCATTCTCAAGGATAGACCATAGGTTAGGTCACAAAATCAGTCTCAAGACATTCAAAAATGAAAATAATATCAAGCATCTTCTCTTACCACAATGGAATGAAAGTAGAAATCAATGACAAAATAAATTTTGGCAACTATGCAATCACATAGAAATAAAACTATATGCTCCTGAATGACCAATGGGTCATTGAAAGAATTTAGAAGGAAACTGAAGAATTTTTTAAGTGAATAATAATGGAAACATAACATACCAAAGCCTAGGGGATACAGCAAAATTAGTACTGAGGGGGAAATTTATAGCTCTAAGTACCCACCTCAAGAAATAAAAAAAACTTCAAATGAATAACCTACCAATGCCTCTTACAGAGCTAGAAAGGCAAAAGCAAACCAAACCAAAAACTAGTAGAAGAAAAGAAATAATGAAACTGAAATGGAGAAAATACAAAAGATTAATGAAAAGGTAGGTTGGAACTTTGAAAAGGTAAATAAAATTGACAAACATTTAGCCAGAATAACTAAAAAAGAGAAGGTCCAAACACATAAAGTCAGAGATGAAAAATGAAAAATTACAACTGATACTGCAGAAACTGAAAAAAATCATTAGTGGCTACTATGAGAAACTGTATGGCAACAAAGTGGAAATTTACAGGAAACAGATAAACTCCTAGACACATACAACCTACCAAGAATGAACTAGAAAAAAATAAAAAACTGGAACAGACAAATAACAAGTAATGAGATCAAAGCTGTAATACAAAGTCTCCCAGTAAAGAAAAGCCCAGGACTGATGGCTTCACTGCTGAATTCTACCAACCATTTAAAGAAGAACTAATACCAATCCTACTCAAACTATTTGGAAAAATAGAAAAGGAGGGAACACTTCCAAACTCTTTCTATAAGGCCAGTATTACCCTGATACCAAAATCAAAGACCTATCAAAAGAAGAAAACCACAGGCCAATATCTCTGAAAAATATTGTTGCAAAAATCCTCAACAAAATATTAGCAAACCAATAAAACAATACATTAAAAAGATCACTCATCATGACCAAATGGGATTTATCCCAGGGATGCAAGGATTGTTCAATATGTACAAACCAGTCAATGTCATGTCATATCAACAGAATGAAGGACAAAAACCATGTGATCATTTAAATTGATGCTGAAAAAACATTTGATAAATTTCCACATCCCTGCATGATGCAAACACTAAAAAGCTGAGTACAGAAGAAACATAACATAATAAAAGCTATATATGACAGACCCACAGCTAGCATTATATTGAATGGAGAATCACTGAAAGTCTTTCCTCTAACATCTGAAACACGACAAGAATCCCCAGATTCACCACTGTTATTCAATGTAGTACTAGAAGTTCTAGATAGAGCAATCAGACAAGAAAAAGAAATAAAGAATGTCCAAATCAGAAAAGAATAATTCAATTTATCCTTGTTTGCAGATGATATAATCTTTTATTTGGAAAAACTTAAAGCTGCCACAAAAACAAACTATAATAACTGATAAACAAATCCAATAAAGTTGTAGGATACAAAATCAACATATAAAAATCAGTAGCATTTCTGTATGTCAATAGTGAAAAATGTGAAAAAAATAAAAACTGATCCCATTTATGACAGTCACAAATAAAATTAAATACCTATGAATTAACTTCACCAAAGTGAATGAATTTTACAACAAAATATAAAACACCTATGAAAAAAGTTTAAAAGAACACAAAAAATGGGGAGATATTCCATGTTCATGAATTAGAAGAATCAATATTGTCAAAATGTCCATACTACATAAAGCAATCTACAGATTCAATACAATTCCTATCAAAATACTAATGACATTCTTCAGAGAAATAGAAAAAAACAATTATAAAATTCATATGGAACCACAAAAGACCCAGAATAGCCAAAGCTATCCCAAGCAAAAGGAAAAAAATGAATAAATAACTGTAGAAGTCACATTACCTGACTTCAAATTATACTACAAAACTATAGTAACCAAAATAGCATGGTACTGGCATATAAACAGATGCACAGACCAATGAAACAGAATAGAGAACCCAGCAACAAATCCATACATCTACTGTGAGCTTGTTTTCAACAAAGGTGTCAAGAACTTACATCAAGGAAATGACAGTCCTTTTAATAAATGGTTCTGGGAAAACTGGATATTCATATGTGGAAGAATGAAATTAGATTCATATCTCTCAACATATACAAAAATCAAATCAAAATTGATTAAAGATTTAAATCTAAGATCTCAAACTGTGAAACTACTAACGAAAAACTTTGAGGAAACTCTCCAGGAAATTGGCCTGGGCAAAGATTTTTTTTTTTTTTTTTGAGACAAGTCTCGCTCTGTCGCCTAGGCTGGAGTTCAGTGGTGAGACCGCAGCTTACTGCAACCTCTACCTCCTGGATTCAAGTGATTCTCCTGCCTCAGTCTCCTGAGTAGCTGGGATTACAGGCACCTGCCACCATGCCTGGCTAATTTTTTTTTTTTTTTTTTGTATTTTTAGTAGAGACGGGGTTTCACCATGATGGCCGGGTTGATTTTGAACTCTTGACCTCAAGTGATCCGCCCACCTCGGCTTCCCAAAGTGATAGGATTACAGGCATGAGCCACTGTGCCCAGCCGGCAAAGATTTGTTGAGTAATACACTACAAGCACAGACAACCAAAGCAAAAATGGACGACAAATCGTATCACATGAAGTTAAAAAAGCCGCACAGCAAAGGAAACAACCAACAAAGTGAAGAGACAACCCAAAGTATGGGAGAAAATATTTTCAAACTACCTATCTGAAAAAGGATTAGTAAGCAGAATATATAAGGAGTTCACACAACTCCATAGGAAAAAATTCTAGTAATCTGATTAAAACATTGGTAAAAGATCTGAATAGACAATTTTTAAAAGCAGACATACAAATGAAAAACAGGTATACGAAAAGTGTGCAACATCATTGATAATCAGAGAAATGCAAATCAAAACTACAATGAGATATCTCACTTCAAAAGACAGGCAATTACAAATGCTAGAAAGGATGTGGAGAAAGGGGAACTCACACTGTTGGTGGGCATGTAAATTAGTACAATCACTATGAAAAACAGTTTGGAGGTTCCTTAAAATACTGAAAATAGAACAATCATACAATTCAACAATCCCACTGCTGGATATATACTCAAATGAAAGAAATCAATATATCAAAGGGGTATCTGCATTTCCGTGTTTGTTGCAGCATTGTTCACATTAGCTAAGATTTGGAAGCAATCTAAGTGTCCATCAGCAGACAAATGGATAAAGAAAATGTGGTATGTATACACAATGGAGTACTATTCAGCTATAAAGAAAAATAATATCCTATCATTTGCAACAATATGAATGGAACTGGAGGTCATTATGTTAAGTAAAATAAGCCAGGCACAGAAAGACAAATGTCATCTGTTTTCACTTACTGGCAGGAGCTAAACATTAAAACAATTGAACTCAGAGATAGACAGTAGAAAGATAGTTAAGATAGTTACCAGTGGCTGGAGAGGGTAGTTGAAGGGAATAGTGGAATGGTTAACTGGTATGAAAATGTAGTTAGTAAGAATGAACAAAACCTAGAATTGTACACAGTTGATGGGAACGTAAATTAGTTCAACCATTGTGGAAGACAGTATGGTGATTCCTCAAGGATCTAGAACCAGAAATACCATTTGACCCAGCAATCCCATTACTGGAAATATACCCAAAGGAATATAAATCATTCTACTATAAAGACACATGCACGTGTATGTTTATTGCAGCACTATTTACAATAGCAAAGTCGTGAAACCAATCCAAATGCCCATGAATAATAGACTGGATAAGGAAAATGTGGTACATATACACCATGAAATACTATGCAGCTGTAAAAAGGAATGAGATCATATCCTTTGCAGGAACATGGATGAAGCTGGAAGTCATCATCCTCAGCAAACTAACACAGGAACAGAAAACCAAGCACTGTATGTTCTCACTCGTAAGTGCAAGTTGAACAATGAAAACACATGGACACAGGGAGGAGAACAACACACACCAGGGCCTGTTGGGGGGTGAGGAGTGAGGGGAGGGAACTTAGAGGACAGGTCAATGGTGCAGCAAACCACCACTGTACACATATACCTATGTAACAAGCCTGCATGTTCTGCACATGTATCCCGGAACTTAAAGCAAAAAAAAAAAAAAAAAGAAGCCCTACTATTTGATAGCACAACAGAGTGACTATAGTCAATAATAATTTAATTGCACATTTAAAAATAACTAAAGGAGTATAATTGTTGATAATATAAACAATAAATGCTTGACGGGATAGATACTCCATATACCATGATGTGATTATTATAGATTACATTCTAGTATCAAAGTACCTCATGTATCCCATAAATATCATAAATATGTACACCTACTATGTACTCATAATAAATAAAAATTGAAAAAAGGAACTATATTTGCATATTCTTTCTTAACTTAGTAATAAATAATATGTATTTTTTTATTATTTAATATCTATGTAAAATTATATAAACAGACTTTTAAAACTTGTATCATGTATAAAAATGTAATATATTTGATAGTAACCACACATAGGAGGGGATAGGACAAAACTTTAACAAGAGTAGAGAAAAAGATATCAAATGGTAACCTGAACTAACAGGAAGAAAGAATAGAACCAGAAAGAATAAAAGCATTAAAAAATTAATAAATATATACTTAATTTTCTTCTCTGAGCTTCAAGACATAAGATTATGTAAAGTAATAATAATAGCCATGTACACGGGTGCAATATGTGTAACCACAATAGTCCAACTGGGAGAAGGGAGTGAAACTATATAAGTAAATTTTCTATATTTCACTAGAATTTAAGTATAAATCTGAAGTATGTTCATATATACACACATACATATCTATGTCTACATGTACATAGTAAGCTCTAGAATAATCACTAAGAAGATAGTTAAAAATATACACAGTTTAAAAAATTATTATTTTATTTATTTATTTATTTTTTTTTTTGAGACAGAGTCTCGCTCTGTCACCCAGGCTGGAGTGCAGTGGCGCGATCTAGGCTCACTGCAAACTCTGCCTCCCGGGTTCACACCATTCTCCTGCCTCAGCCTCCCGAGTAGCTGGGACTACAGGCCACAGTTTAAAAAATTATTGAATAAATTGAGATGTTACACTAGAAAATATAAAAAGGCTGTGGAGGAAAAGGTGCATGACACAGACATGAAACATACAGAAAATAAAAAGAAAAATGACAGATATAAATCCAACAATATTAATAATAACATTAAGTTTAAAATAATAAAACAATTAGAAGGCAGACATCCTCAGATTTGATGAAGAAGAAATGTCTAACACTATATTGTCTTCAGGAGACACAATTTAAAAATATAGGTTATAATGAAAATAATTGAGAAAGATTTATTTTTATTTTCTGTATGTCTTATGTTTTTGTATTTTCTAGTGTAACATTTGAATTTGCTTAATAAGTTTTTCCTCTGTGCACATGCATTATGTTATCTCCTTTCATAAGGATACTAGTCATATTGAATTAGGGCCAATCCCAACAGCTTAATTCTAGCTTAACCACCTCTTTAAAAATCTTATTACCAAATATAATAACGTTCTGAGGTACTAAGAGTTAGAGAGTCAACATACATATTTTTGGGAAAAACAATGTGGTCCGTTATACTCATTTTTAGTAATGGATAGGAGAACCAGGCAAAAGCTCAACAAGGAAACAAGAGTTGAACATTATAAGCCAATTAAATTTGACAGAATCTTTAGAACACTCCTCTCAACAGCAGCAGAATATGTATTCATTTCAAGTGCACATGGAATATTCTTCAGGATAGACTCTGTGCTGTGTCATAAAATGAGGTGTGAATAAGTTAACAGGACATGATGTCATACAAAGTAGTTTCTTTGATCACATTGGAATTAAATTAAAAATAAAAATAGATGGAATATTGGAAAGTTCACATATGTGGGAATAACACAATCATATATAACAAGGGATTAATCAAGCAATCACAAGGAAATTAAAAAATACCTTATGATGAATGAAAATAAAAACACAACATACCAAAACTTATGAGATGCTGGTAAAGTAGTGCTACAAAGGCTATTTATAGCCTGTACACACCGATATTAAAAAAGAACATCAAATATAAATAAAAAGTTTTATCTCAAAACAATGAAAACAGAAAAGCAATTAAATCCAAACCAATTAAAGAAAATAAATAATAAATATTGGAGCAAGAATAAATAAAATACCTAATAGAAAAATAAAATACATAAAACCAAAATGTGGCTCCTTGGAAAGATCAACAAAATCAACAAACTTTTAACTAGACTGACCAAGATAAAATGGGAGAAGTCCTAAATTACTAAAATCAGGAATAAAAGATGACGCATTGCTACTAACCCTAGGGAAATGAAAATATTATAAGGGAATACTATGAAAACTGTATGTTAAGTTAAATAACTTAGATGAAATGGACAAATTCATAGCAAGACATGAACTATTAAAATCGATTAAAAAACCCCTCAGTGAACCTATAACATGTAAAGAGATTGCAGTAATGATTTAAAAACTTACTGCAAAGAAAACTCAAGGCCCAGACCAAACCACTTCACTGGTTAATTCTACCAAGTGTTTAAAGAAGAATTAGCCTCAATTTTATACAAGCTTTTCCAACAACCCCTATTAACTTTCTGCTTCCCAGCCAAAAAAAAGAAAAAGGAAAAAACACTTCTTGACCCATTCTATAGGGGTTATTATTTTCCTAATACCAAAAGCAGGCAAAGACATCACTAGAAAAAACAAAATAAAATAAAATCTACATATTCAATATTTCTTTCTCAACCTGATAAAGAACACCTGCACAAAAATAAAATCTAACATTATACTTATTGGTAAAGGACAGTAACATTTCCACCTAAAATTATAAAACAAGAATGCCCACTCTCAAATTCTATTTAATATTGTACTCAAAATTCTAGCTTAGTCAAATAGGCAAGAAAAAGTAATAAAAGGCATCCAGATTGGAAAGAAATAATTAAACTCATCTATATTTAAAAATGATGTGATCTTACAGGAATCCACATACACAACAAAACTATTAGACTTAATAAACAATTTCAGTAAGGTTGCAAAATGCAAGATCAACATCCAAAGTCAATTGTATTTGTATACATTAATAATTAACAATCAAAAACTATTTTTTAAAAATAATTCTATATACATTGAATTGAAACAAACAAAACATTTAGGACTAAAACATAAGAAGTGCAGGACTTATACACTGAAAAATACAAAACATTAAATAAATTAAAAGACATCCCATGTTCATGGATTGGAAGACTATTATTAAGATGACACTATTCCTCAAATTGGTTTATAAATTCAAGGTGATCTGTCTTAAATTTCCAGCTTGCTTTTTTGAAAAAAAAATTGGCAAACTGCTTCTAAAATGTATATAATATGAAATAAATATATATTTATATTAGCATATATTAATAAAAATATGTAATATTTTATAAATGTATTATCAGTTATAATTACATGTATTGATATACTTTAATAAAAATATAAATTGTAAACCAATATAAAACACAGAATACTTAAAATGTATAGAGTAATAAACATATTTCTTTTTCAATGCTGGTTTGTCTATCTTGGTCTCAAAATAATCTTTAAAAAGAAAATCAAATTTGGAGGACTCACTTCCTTATTTCATACTTTATGTACAACTACCATAGTAAAGATAATGTGGTACTGATATATGGTTATTCTTTTATGTCACATGAATGGAATTGAGAGTCCTGAAATAAAGCCTGCTATGTACTATCAATTTAATTTCAACTTACAAGTCAATGGAGAAAAATGACTTTTCAATAAGTAACAGTGGGACAACTGGATATCCACATGCAAAAGAATGAAGTGGGACCTCTTCATAATGTATTACTTTCACACAAATTTAATAGCCAAAGTAAAAGTATACCTTTTACACAAAAATTAGCTCAATATATCAAAACCTAAATCTAGGTTCTAGAAATATAAAATTCTTAGAAGAAAACATAGTAATAAATTGTTGTGACCTTCAACTAAGCAATGGTTTCTTAAATGTAATACTAAAAGCAAAAGAGGCAAATGAAGCAGTAAATTAAACTAAATCAAAATAAAAAATTGCACTGTAAATAATACTATCAAGACAGTTAAAAAGTAACTCATAGTTTATGAGAAAGTTTTACAAACCTTATATTTGATAAGGGTTTAATATCCAGATTATATAAAGAATTCTTAGAACTAAATAATTAAAACATTCAAATGGCCCAATTAAAAACTGGACAAAGCTTTGAGGAGATATTTCTCCAAAGAAGTTATACAAATGAGCATAGAAAAATATGCTTAATACCATTATCCATTAGGTAAATGCAAAGTAAAACTACTATAAGATATACCTTCACATCCTCCTAATGTCTGTAAACAAAATGAAAGATTATATGAGATGACACAGAAGTAGAACAATGGGAACTTTCACAAACATCCTCACATAGAGGTAGCAATTAAAAATGTTGCAGCCATTTTGAAAGACAGTTTGGCAGTTCCTTAAAATGTATACACAGAGTTCCCATATGACTCAGCAATTCCATTTCTAATTGTATATCCAAGAGAAATGAAAACACATACTCAAAAAAAACTTAAGGATGTTTATAGGAACATTATTCGTATTATATTACAAAATAGAAAACCCCAAATAATCTATTTTGATTTTTTTTCTTGATATGTCAACTTGGCTAGGTTACAGTCCCCAATTATGTAATCAAACACTATGATAGGTGTTGTCGTGAAGGTATTTGGTATATGTAATTAAAGTCAATAATCAGTTAACTTTAATTAAGAGGGATTATTCAGATAATCTGAGTTTGGCCTTATTTAATTAGCTGAAAGTCGTTAAGAGCAGAGCTGAGGCTTCCCTGATGAAGACACTCTGCTTTGGTGAACAACAGCTTCAGCCATGCCTAAAAATTGTAGTTCATCTTTTCTCATTGCCTTCCTTGTAGACTTTGGATTTGCCTCACGAGTCCTTATAATCACATAAGCCAGTTCATGGGAGTAAATATTTTAATGGATATCTCCTACTGAGTTCAGTTGTTCTGATTGAACCCTGAATAATACATCTGTTAATTGATGGGTTAAAAAAAAACAAAAAAAATCTACATAAGGGAATATTATTTGGCAATAGAAAGATAGAAGTACGATTTATGCCACTTCATGTTCACACCATGAAAACATTGCACTAAATGAAGGAGTCTAGTCACAAAAGAACACATATTGTATGATTTTGTGATTCTATTTATATGAAATATCTGGAGTGGGGAAATCTATAGAGACAGAAGGTAATTACTGAGGGCTTAGTAAAAGCAATTACTGCTATTGCTTAGTGGGGATTCTCTTTCTGAGGAGTGATAAAAATATTTCTAAACTTAGATTGGGTTGATTTTTGATTACTCTGTGATTATACTATACTTATCAAATTATATATTTTAAATGAGTGATTTGTATGGCATATAAAGTATATCTCAAAACAAACATTAGAAAAATGAGAGAAACTTATCAAAAGGACACAGCAGCCAACTAGAAGGAGAACCCATTGGACAAATATAGAACAATATGAGTATCAAAATAATGATAACAGATTACAAACATAGAAAAAAATAAAATTACATGTGCCAATAATGATATAAGTAAATGTATCAATGAGTGTATTGTCATTCCTTGTGATAAAATGCCAACTGTTAAATGTAGAAACAGTGACAGAAATGAAAAATCACCATTTGGCAATCATATTGGTGGGTGCTTTAGGTAAGAATCATCAAAGGATGCCAAAGACTGGTCAGTGGAGTCTAATGCAAACAGGATATTGACACAATCTAAGAAAATCTTTTCATAAAATTTTACTTATTACAAAGGGTGAAACATATTATTGTGTATGGAGAAAGCTAGCGGAAATGTCACCCACTTGTCATGTTTACAACACCAGTGATGATAGTGGGGGATTGAACTTGTGTCTTTTCTGATGTGCTACACTGCACAGTATCATACCTGGGATGTTTCTGCTAGGAATGCCAAACCTGAGTCTGCTCAAGAGGGGAAACATTGGACAGACATTGACTGGGGGTCATCTATACTCTTTGAAGGTGTCAAGGATGTGAAAGTAAAGGCAAGACTGAGAGATAACTCCCAATTAAAGGAAACTGGACCAGAATGGAAAGAAGAGCTATTGTCCAGACCATTAAGACATTTGGCCTAATTGGAAGAGGGTCTGTGGATTGGATTATAGCGTTGAAACAGTGTTGAGTTCCTCATTTGGGGGTTGGATGGAAGCAAAATGTAATGTTTTTGTTTGTTTGTTTGTTTGTTTGTTTTCTGAGGGAATCTGGAATATTTTCTGTGAATGGAGCAAATAATGTAAAACTTTAACAACTGTGGGATGTGGTTGAAAGCACACAGGAGTTCTTTTTACTGCTGTAACAATATTTTATGTTTGAAATTGTCTAAAAATAATGTTTTTATAAATTATGTATTGTTTCAAAGGTTAGTTACTTGGTCTCGACCCAAACTTACAAATCTAAAATTCAACAGGTTCAAGGAACAAAAACAAAGGAACAAAGCAGATTAAAAGCTTTTTAGTTTGTTTTGGCCTCTAAGCACTATTTGATTAAAAAAGTAAGAGTCTCGATCGAGGGATTTAGGGATGGATACCAAGAGATTTCTACTCCAAAATCTAATCTAATAAGAGATTGAGAACTTCTCAAACAGTATTTAAAGTGATGAACAAGGATGCTTATATAGGAATCAGCATTGAAAACATTCTGTGAAGAAAGTTCTGCACAGTCTAAAAAACAAATGATTTGTAAATATTTCCTGAACCTTAGCTTGTATATTTTTCTTATAATATTTCATATAACAAATTTCTTGTTGAACTATTTCAATTGATTCTTTTTTCTAATACTGATAGCCTTCATGTTCAATATTTGGTGAAAACTCTTACTCATGGTCCTAGCATATAATTACTTTTGGTTTTCAACTTTTTTTTTTAGATTCTTTCATCACATATGACTTCAGTTATGGGTGAATCCAATGCTTTTAAGAAGAAGTGAATGTTTATTTTGTATTATCAACTCAATATTTGAATTGGCACACACCTTAACAATGAATTTGATACTGTTGTTCTTTAACACAGAATTAGCTTCTATTGTGGTTTTGGAAGACATTCAGCATGAAAAAATCAATATGATATGAAAAGGGTAATATGGTGTAAATTATATTGTTATGACCTGGCCAGAAAAGCTGTTCCATGACTTCATTCAGTTTATACTGTGAAAACAAGTCAGATTGACACACTGCCAAAAGCAATGCCATGTTTATTTACAAAATCATAAACCAAGGAAGATTATAAATTGACTCACTAGTGCATGATTTAATTTTTAAAAGAGAGTAAAAAGTCTTCAAATACTTTTAACACTCTCTTTAAAAATAAAACTTCAGCTTATTTTTTGTCATAAATTCAAGGCAGTCCTAGAGTTCAGTAGTATACCCTATAGGTAGCAAGATAGTGGGGCAAGAGTATATATTTTGGATTTAGATAGACATTGATTCAACTATTGTATCTGCATCTTAGCATATTTGGTCACAAAAATTATTTTAGCTTACTAAACTTTCTTATAATTTTCCCAAGGTGCTGTGTAGAAGAATTAAATAAGGACACAAATATACAGTATCAAATATGAGACCTTATATCTACTAACTTATGTGGTTTGCCTGTGCCCCCACCAAAATCTCAACTTGAATTGTATCTCCCATAATCCCCACGTGTTGTGAGAGAGATCCAGTGGGAGGTAATTGAATCATAGGGGCCAGTCTTACCCTTGGTATTCTTGTGAATAAGTCTCACGAGATCTGATGGGTTTATCGGGGTTTCCACTTCTGCTTCTTTCTCATTTTCTCTCACCGCCACCATATAAGAACTGCCTTTCACACTCTGCCATGATTGTGAGACTTCCCCAGCCATGCATAAGTCAAATTAAACCTCTTTTTCTTCTCAGTCTCAGGTATGTCTGTATAAGGCAAATTAAACCTCTTTTTCTTCCCAGTCTCAGGTATGTCTTTATCAGCAATATGAAAATGGACTAATACACTAAACATTCAAAAATTTCCAATTGTCTTCCCATTTCATTTACTTACTTTTGGGTAGTGGTCTTAACATTTTTTTTCTTCTGGTTTCTCATCGTGATTTTTACATTGAAATTACGTAGGGAAGTTTACAATATTGCTGTTTGCTTCAGTACACAGCTTGCTTTTGGAAATATGCTCATCATTCCTAGCTTCTTCACATCAAAATGATAGCTTCCTTCAGAAGAATGACAAGAAAACATAGGCATTGCAAATAAAAACTCTTGAGAATTACAGGCAATCGACTGAAGCTGAGCTGTGACTTCTAAACATACTCTGTCATTAAAATATATGCTTTGGGGGGGATTTAACAGTTCAATGCCATTCAGTGCCCTACTCAGAGTTCATATGTGGAGACTTCATCTTGTATTAAAGGAAACACAAAAGACAATCCAGGAGAGGGATGTTCTTTGAACTGAGTGGTCTGAGTAGTCCATAAAAATGCCATTGTAACGTTTATGGCAAATCAGCTTCACCATATCCTAGGGTCTGGACCTGGTGAGGGTTCTTCCTGTATACTTCATCACTCATTAGTTAAATACCTGTCAAAGAAATACAAATGGAAACAAAAGCCCCATAGAAGAGGGAGTGTAAAAACAGAAATGAGCAATATTGTAACCGACCCTGAGTAGAGAGATAGAGGTGGAATCTCTTCACCTGGTTTTGCCCTTTCAGAGCTCCAGAATTCTGATTTTGTGTTCCCTGCAGCCCGCATGTCTATACCTTTCAGTGTTTTTTAAATCAGGAATTAAAACAACAAATAAATGTGTTTAAAATAACTAGATTCATATTCTGAAATAATTTCATATAATTTATCATGAAAAGTTAGCATTAAAATAATATATGCAGTATATTTTGATATCACCTCCTTGCTCCTTTTAAATAAGTGTCTATTAAATGTCTTTTTCCAGTTTTACTGTAACATAGCATCATCTATTCTGTATGTTATTTTCTGCTACTTTCCTGTAAGAGTTTTTTAATGTAGGAAGAACCGACCTACGTACTCCACAGTTCATTCTTGTCTACATCCTTCCATTTATCAAATCTATCAAGCTTATACTATCAATAATGTATTTTTAAATTTCTAAATCAGGAAAACAGCTGACAAGCATTCAATATGTCCCCATTTCACAGTTCATCATATTTCATCTCCTCATACTTACAACAATTCCATGAGGTAGGTACTGTCCCATCTGACTTATAAAGATGCTAGTGAGACCAGGGAGATAAATCAACACAACCTGGTCCTCCTTGAATAAGTTAGATTGCCTGTATTGCAAGTTGGCAATCTGATCAGACAGCATAGGCTTATTCTAGTATATTGTACCCTCATAATAATTATATAAATAACTACCATTTATTGATAGCTCACTCTTTGCCAGAAAGTGTGCTGACTTTGGGAGGATGAAAAAGAAAGTATAGTGTAGTGGGATGTAGTCCTGAAGCACAACAGATTCTAATTTGGGGAGCGATTTTTAAATAAATTAATACAATGATTCTGAGTGATATAAAAATGTTATTTATGTACCAAGTTCTGTCGGGATAGAGAGAAGAGGCTATGTGAGTATGTAGGACAGAATGTGAGGAACTACGCAATTGCTTTTTGCATTAGACTGTGTGGTTCTTGTATTCTAGGTGCCAAGCTCTTGGCATGTGCTCAATACATATTTGTTGAGTTAGTTAATGGAAAGTGAATTAAAAGGTCAAACACCAGCTAGATTTTTAAAGAAAGGGTAGCAGTTATTGGCCAGGCCTGGAAGAGCAGTACAAGAATGACAAGTAGAGAGTACAGAATGTACAAAGGCAAACAGGGAGTGTATAAAAAGCTCTACAAGGATTGGCTGCAGTGAACAACTTGTTCATTCATCTATTTAACAAGCATTTATTCAGTGTTTACTACCTCAGGAACTGTTACGGCACCAGTAGTGAGCAATGCACATATTTCAGTGTGTCCATATTGCAATGGTTATGGAGAATATGGTAAGACAGGATGTCTAAAGTATAAGTGATGACCATTGATCATGAATATCAGGCTAAAGAGCTTTGATTTATTTTGAGAACAACGTGAAGCAAACTCTTAAGAAAGTAACTTGATGAGATTCAAAATAAAAAGCTAAAACTTTTATCTATTTCATCAAATTTTCTTCGTAAAAAATTTGCTGAAAATTTAAAAAGAGAAGAGTAAAATATTTGATATTTACAAAGATCACACAGTTGTATGGGAGCATGGGAGAGATATAAGCGTGGTGAGAGTCAGACTGATGAAGACTGGGAATCAGTCAGCTGGAAATGAGGAGAAACTGACATCAGGCAATAGTTATCAAATAGGAACAACTCTGGAGGGTCCTGTGGTAGGACTGTGGTAATCCAATGACTTTATATGGCAGGGTAATGTAGGAATAAAGGAGAGAGATGAGTCATGGATGAATCTGAGGTTTTCTTTTTATGCACATTGGTTATGCAATGTGGAGACACTGGCTCAAAGTGAGAGCTTTGGGGAGAAACACTTATCAATATGAGGGTAGAGGAACAGCATGAGCCAGTTTTGGAAACGGTGGTTTGAGTTGTATTTAGTAGGCAGTAAGAAAGACAGGTGCGAAACTTCTGAAAAAGGCTGATACTGAAAACGTATCATCAGAAGTCATCGTAATAGAGGTTTTAGCTGAAGCCAGGAAGGCAGATGTGCCAACCCAGGGAGAAAGCAAAACACATAAGAAGAGAAATTAGAACTGCTCAAAAGCCTGGAAAGCCATCGGTTAATGGGAGAGAAGTGGAGAACCAGAAGGGGACTGGGAATGAGCCGGCAGAGAAATAGGTGGCATCCTCACTGGGGCCTCTGCATTAGACTTCTGATTAAATTTGTTTACAAGCCTGGCAGAGCAATAATTAATGCTGATGAGCTGAGTTGTTTGCAGATCACAGATTCGGTTGTGCCCTTGACACTGGGAATTTCAAGGCTTCTCTGAAGATCTAAAAACAATAGGCAGCCTTTGCAAAATTTGAAAGCCAACTTTCAAATGGAATCTGGGGACTTAATTCAACCCTTTTCAAAGAGAAGAATATTTCTCTAGTTGCTGCCAGGCATCTACTTTCTTTTCCATAATTGTTGCAAAAATTAACCTTTGCCGATTAAAATAGTGTTAAGTATCGGGTTCTGGATGCTATGCTAGAACAAAGGCCTGGTTTTATAGGATCAGAAATGACTAAGTAAAGGGGATTCCTTCCAGAGTGACTTGGGAAATAAAGAAATTCTTCTTTAAGTATTTAATCAATAAATAGAGAAGTGAAAGCCTATATGTGTCTTAGAAAGATGAGGTTTCTTCTTATTATTTCTACTTCTCCTGCCTCCCTGTTTGAATGTGTTACAGTGATCGTGATTGGATTAATTCAAAATAATGCTTATTTAAATGATAAGATGTTGCTTGCTAATGTTACATAAATGTTTTTCTTGATGTTTTTAAGTTCCCACCCACTTTTCTTTCTACTTGAGAAGATGTTTTATATTTACAGAAAAGTTCCAAGTAATGCTCAGATTGAAAGAACCAAGGGTCTCTCATAAATCAGTGCCAGGTTACTGTTGACCATTAGAGGCAGACTGGGTGCAAACGTGATGGGCCAATAATGTATGGGCATCGACACCAGTCTCTGCCCCAACCTCCCTTGGGTCAGCAGTTGTACCTATGTCATCGGAACATCTGCATGTCAGATCAGCATTACTACAGATAACTGGTCTGACTATGCTTTAATCTGAGAGAGCTCAGCAGGATAGTGAGGTGTCTTGAGTCTGGAGCTTGAAGGCGTGGATTAATTACCTACTTTCCTAATCACCTTATTACTATTACCATGTGACTCTGGGCAAGTTACCCCATCTTTTGTAATTCACTTTTTGCTATTGTTTTGCTTGGAATTTTTTTTCTTCTTGAGGCAGAGTCTTGCTCTGTTGCCCAGGCTGGAGTGCAGTGGGGCAATCTCGGCTCACTGCAACCTCCGCCTCCAGGGTCCAGGTGATTCTCCTGCCTCAGCCTCCCGAGTAGCTGGGATTACAGGTGCATGCCACCATGCCCGGCTAATTTTTTGTGTTTTTAGTAGAGGTGGGGTTTCACCATGTTAGCCAGGATGGTCTCGATCTCCTAACCTCGTGATCCGCACGCCTCGGCCTCCCAAAGTGCTGGGATTATAGGCGTAAGCCACCGTGCCCAGCTGCTTTGATTTTTAATATGTAAAACAGTCATGGGGATAAGATTGTAATGGGGCAGATAAGACTTTCTGGGTTCTCATGAGGATTACATGATGAAATACATCAATACATGAAATGAGGAATCTGTGTCCCAGGGCCAAACAGCATATTTGCATTAGCGGCTTCACTAATCTGTTTCTGCAGTCTTCTGTATTTAACCTCTTGGTGCTTGTAAAGTCCTTTTAGATAATTTAATCTTAAAATGTTTAAAGTTATTTAATAAAAAGACTATAAAAATTGTATCTAATAGTATTGGTCCTTCTATTTTTCTCTTAAATTCATTTTGACTATTCATTTGCATATTGCATTTGGCCAGGCTGGGCACGCTTCCTTTTTAGCTTCCATTGTTTCTAACACATTTTTTTTTAAAGTTTTAGAATTTTTAATTTAATTTAATTTAGAATTTAATTTAAATTAATTTAATTCTAATTAAATTAGAATTTAACTAATAATTTAATATCACTATTGTTAATATTTTAACAACAAGACATTTGGAGCCAAACCATATGGATTTTAATTTTGGCTCCTCCATTAATACTTCCTTTGTCAATAAGCAAGTTGTGAAAATCCCTGTGCATCAGTTTCCTCATCTACAAATCAGGATAATTTAGTATGCAGCTTATATGGTTGGGAAGATTAAATGACTGGGCATAGGAAAAAGGCTTAGAAAAATGCCTGGTATATAAGTGTTTGCTCTTAAGTTATGCAACCTTTATCTTTATTAAGGATGGATCCATCATTTTAATAACACTTTGGGAATGAAGATAAAGTCACTGTCATGCTACATTTAAACTAAGTGATACAACTAGTCAATTTAAAACATTTGAAGCATTTTCAAATTACTTTCTAAATGGAAAGAAATGACTTAGTGGAGTAGCTTTACTCTGAATGATAAGGCTGAGATGCACATGTGGGCACAAAGCCCCAGGTTTTTGGGTCAATTAAAAAAATGAAGAACCAGTATATTGATTTCAAGAGACCTGATGAAAAGGAACAATTTTTGTGATGACAGTAAAATTGCTATGGATCACATTATTATTTTTTTAAATTCCCTAATTTTTTCTCAGAGTATGCTTAAATGGTTTATTTGAAGAGCTAATAACTTAAGGTGGGAAAACTTGAACCAATTTTCATCCTGGTCACTCTTCAACTGACATATACTTCCTATGTTTATTTCATGTTTCTGACTTTGCTATTTTCCTAGAGTGGCTACCATCTTACTAAAAAATAATAATTATACAGTAAACAAAGATCAATAATGTTGAACTGACTAACAATAAGCATAAGAAAGGAAATATTAGAATAGCCAGGTAAAAATAATCTCCCAGTTCATTCATTAATCATAAGTAGTCTTTCCTATGATTGAATTATTTTACTAAATTGTCATTTCATTTGCTTGTTTTACTTCTTCTTTGCTTTATTGTTGTACATTTTTCTTTCTTTTACATTCTATGCTCTTAGAATAAAATAATAATCATTTTTGAGGTCTGGGAGTGTCATTCTATCTGGTCTACCATTATATTGGAAAGCTTAGGAAACTGGTCCAGAGTGATTTGTGACTAACTCAAGATCATGTTTTATCTATTATTGGCTGCAGAACCAATAATAGAATTTGGTCTCCAGACTCTATTATCTCATCTATCTCTACAAGCCATGTTTCTTCTAATTGCACACATTCTCCTCAGATTACTTGTATTTTTGATATTTTTATTATGGTTTTTATTGCTTTTTCAGTGCTTTAAAAAATCTTTATTATTTTTCTATTCACCAATTTCTGTAAAAAGAACAATGATGAATTCAATCTTAAATAAAAAATGCATTTATGAAAATACTAAAAAAAAGAAATGCCAAAAAATAGACGTTTTTCTATTTTCATGTTCCATCCTTGATTCACCATTGATTTATTCCTATAACTTATAGGAGGAATAGCTGAAATCTGTCATTGTCTCAAAATGAGAATTCTTTCTTCAGTTTGGAAGACCCATAAACACATCTGTTGCTACTTTTATCCATGAAAGAATAATGCAAAAAGATAAGTATTCACATTCATTTAGTCCTCTGTATCTGTCTGTAGTTTCCACATCAATGAATCCAACCAACCAATGATTGAAAATATTTGAAAACAACATAGATGGTTGTAACTATACTAAATGTCTATAGACTTTTCTTTTTTATCATTATTTCCTAAACAACACAGTATAATACTATTTACATAGTATTTACATTGTATGAGGTATTATAAATAATCTAGATATGATTTATACAGGAGGATGTGCATAGGTTATTTGAAAATACTACACCATTTCCTATAAGAGACTTGGGGATTTCATGGATTTTGTTATCCACAGAGATCATGACATAAATTCCCTGTAGATACAGAGGGACGCCTATATAGACTTAAAGAAAGTGTTTAATTCATCAATAAGAATTTCAAGCTATTTATATCTAATCAAATATAACTATGAATTTTTACTTAGAATTGAAAAAGTAAAGATATCAGCTAGATGATAAAGAAATTCAAACACACACACACACACACACACACACACACACACACACACACACACACAAAGTACAGTGAGCTTTCTAAATGTAGTAAGATTAAATCAGAGGCCTATCTTATTATTTAAAATCTTAACCTGAATAAAATATTAAGTTAGTTCAAGTTGAATGTAGAATTTGGTGGATTAGTAATTTTATAAAATACATAATAAAATCACAAATAAATTATTTCACCAGGATATAGTTGTGAGCTTTTAAATTATTCAGTTTTTAGTGTAGGAAAAAAAGTGATTTGATTCTGATTTAAATTTAACAAAAGCAGATTTTCTTTTGGATGTGTGATTCACTATTTACATCCCCAGTTCTAATCAGAGAATGTGATGCAAATTCTTAGAAATATTTTTTTCTAACTTCTCTCAGTATTTCTAGCCTATCATTTACAATTGAACGTTTTAAGTAGAATCTCCTTGATACAGGGGTAGAGATTTTTTATTTTTTATTTATTTTAAAATTTTTTCACGTGTGAGCATATTTAATTGCAGAAGTATAGTACCTGGAGCTATAATGTCACAGGACAAGATATGCTAGGTAATATGTTCAAATTGAAATGCCTAATGGAGAGTTTGATGACATTCATGTGTTGTTACCAATTGCCTTAATGAAGTCCTGTCTCTCTTCCTCTGAGAGGTTCCCATAGTGTCCACAACACCTAATGGAGGGCTCACTGTGAAAACTGAGTAGGGGATGAGCCCAGGGTGCAGGGATTCAGCTACCTAAGAAGACAACTCAACTACCTAACACAGGAACAGAAAACCAAACACCACGTGTTCTCGTTCATAAGTGGGAGTTGAACAATGAGATTTCTTATCATCTTAATGTGCTGCAGCACAGTGACTTGTATACAGTATACCTGTAATATATATCAATTAATTGACATCAAGTTAATTTTAGGCCTATGGGCATTTCTGAAAGAAATCTGTTTCTAGATAGAGTTTATCTAGATCACTAACTTGCTTTTCTATGTTAATCATTGTATTGATTGATGAGGGAAAGAACTAGGATACAGATGGCTTAGTTATGCAGTGAAATGCTAATGATTACAATACATAGTTTCTTCATATGACATTGAAAGAACGTATGATAAACCACAAAAGAGATGACAAATTAAGGCAAGTGTTCACATTTCAACTGTAAGTCATTTGAAACTTTATATTTCTGTTTTTAGGATAATATTTTAAAGATAGTGGCAGTATGTTCACTTTTCCTGTACATCCTTAAAGCTCAAACATACACAAAATATCTCCTGACATTCTATTCTATGAGATAATAGTGATTTTACAACTGTTTCAATCCATTGTTTATCAAGAGCCGCATGGGTGACTCTTTAAAGTCAGCTCATAATAACATTTTTCTCCAGATTCACTGGCCTTCACTGAATTTTAATATGTCTAAATTTTAGTGCAATCCATTTGACTATACAAATACCTTCTATTTGTTTCTTTATATATGCCTGAAATTTCTTTTCCCCTCAACCAACTTGTAAGATAATTGAAGGCAGGACCTTTGACTTACATAATTCTTTTCCATCCTTCACATGGCTTAGCCTAGTGCACGACTTATGAACTGCTTAACAACTCCTTGAAAATATACTGTGCTTGGGTTACAAGTTACCTTAGAAATTACATATTCACTATTCACAAAACATTTGAGTGCTCATTGTATACAGCATGGCATTAAGGAGTTGGGCTGTGGAACTGAAGACCATGCATGGATCTGTTATTCTTAGCTGTAGAACATTGGTCAACTTTCCAAAAATTTCTGTCTGACATTTACATGCTCTAAAGTAGAAATAATTTAATTCTCCCAAGAAACAGCAGGGAAATTACATTATGTATGTAATATATATAGGGTTCACAAAACAAATACCTCTTACATGATAAACACAGTAAATATTGTCTCCTCTGTGATCATAATAGTGATGAAAATGATGGTGACAGTGATGCTGATGTCAGGGACTGAGCACATATAGACAAAATTTTCCCTTTTAAAAATAAATGAGAGTAAAACTGAAACGGAAATCACAAAACATGACACAATGTGATAAACTATGAAACAAGACTGAATAATAAAATGGAAGCCTGGGAGAAGAATACCTGTGGTTACCTAAAAGAATCAGTAAATACCTCTCAGTTGGGAATACATTAAGAAGATCCTTAAAGAGATTAGCAATTTGGCAGGTGGACAGAATGTTAGTTCTTGTAAAGTGGAGCAAATGCATTCAACCAGAAAGGACTGCAGATGCCAAGTATGAAGGCCCGGGAGGACATTCTGAGGTCCAAAAAATTCAGTAGCCCTGGAACATATTTTGAGAAAGAGATTTCTATGAAATTAGATCAAAGTAGATAGGGAACCATATATAATGCTACTAGCAAAAATAACAATGACAATAATAACAAGCTCATAGCTGCCAATGACTGATTACTTACTATTTTTATGCGCTATACTATGTACTAATACTATATATGCATAAATTATTTCATTCAGTTTTTTTTTTTTTTTTGAGACAGAGTCTGGCTCTGTCACCGAGGCTGGAGTGTAGTGGCGTATTCTCAGCTCACTGCAACCTCCGTCTTCTGGGTTCAGGCGATTCTCCTGCCTCTGCTGGGATTATAGATGCCTGCCACCATGCCTGGCTAATTTTTGTATTTTTAGTGAGATGGGGTTTCTCCATCTTGGCCAGGCTGGTCCTGAACTCCTGACCTCAGGTGATCCGCCTACCTCGGTCTCCCAAAGTGCTGGAATTACAGGTGTGAGCCACCGCGTCCAGCCATTTCATTCAGTCTTTACAACCACCCAATGAAATAGGTATTTTATTATCTCCATCTTAAACAAGGGAAAACTACTTATTAAGATGGAGCAATGTGCTCAAGTTCGCACAACTTTGAAGTGGTGGACTCATCTCTGAACTTAGGCAATTTGATTGACATACAAACCAAGGATTCTTAAAGAGAATTAAAAAAAAATCTATGCTATACAGTTCCTAAATAAAATATGCTAAAAATTCTGTAAAAAAAATCAACTAGGTATTAGAAATCACTATTTGGAATCTTAAGTTTGTGCCTTGGTTCAGCCTCTTAGATTGGCATTACTTTATGTAATTAGAAACATTGAATATGTAATAATAACAATATAATAAGAAAAACTGGGTGATTAAAAGAGATTGAAGGTAGAAGAAAGACTACATTGCCTAATTTTTTACATCAGGGAATCTCTAAATACTAAATATAAAATGTGAGTTTATATAATGTATTAAGCAAACATGTTTTTAATTTTTTTATAATTTTGTATTTCAATGATCACCAATTAACATCTACTTGTCACCAGAAATATTTATAAGGAGGCCAACATTTTCTTCAGCTTCTCCATAGCTTTTTCTTAAAGAAGTGAAACTGAATTTGATAATTTTAATATAATGCCTTAAGATGTTTAACCACAATTTTATGTAATATTTTCAATAATTTATATTTCTATCTGCCTTTTTTTTTTACATGGAAACACATCTGAAATGATGTTCTTCAACTGTAAACATTTAAAAGATTTATAAGTTATTGTCACTGGCGTACATTTTTCCACTTTCTTAGACAATTTTGTATGCTTGTATAATTTGTATAGTAAACATGCATAGTTTAATATGCAGTACATTTATTTAAAAGACTTTATTTCCAGTGTGGAGACCGGATACCAAAAAAGTGGTATCGGTAGACTGTTTTGAGGCTCCAGGCTCATGAGAGTGGGCTTTTCATGTTGTAGGAGGTCTGCCTCTCCAAGGCTCAGCAAGAGAATCAACCCCAGGCAGCCACAGCAGGGCAAAGGCAGAGTCAGGTGACCATGGATACTAGGATCCACTCTTTACCTGACTTCCAAATCAACAAAATCTTGTCTTGTCAATCATGTCAACTCCTAGTACTCCAGGGCTCTATTTCTGGCTGTGTTTGAAGCTTCCCTCACTCCCATTTGTTGATTATTAATCCCCAGACAGTTCCAAGTTTTTTGGTTCATTATCACATTTCATTTGGAGTCTCCTCCCATAAGGCATTCTCACCCAACACTAGCTGCACAGTTTTTCTCAAAATATCTTTCACAAGAGGCTTCAGAGCTCTGATAACTTCACACAGGAGACAGTTGGGTGTTGCAGTTAAAAACGGTGCCCATGGACTTCAAGGGGAAAGGGTGGCTTTTGTTTTCATACTTGTGAATATTTATATCTTCCTCTGTTGGCACCTGACTCAGCATGGTAGAAGTGATCGGCTCATGTTCCCTAATGCTAATCACAAGAAAGAAAAAATTCCAGAATTGTTGCATTTCTTCTCTTTTCTCTTCAACCTACATTTCTTCCTATCTTCAATCTACATCTGAGTTCTAAAATAACACTGGGATGCTAATTAAAACCACAAATAAAAACAAAAACAGTATAGGTGCTAAATATTATTTCTGTTTTTCTGAATCTCTGATTCATGGTTACCCTAAGAAGTAATGTATTATTTGCCAGTCACTAGAGCTTTGGGGTAGAATAAGAAATCCTCAATCAGCATCGAGTTAAATAAACTTACTGCAATTAAATTTTCTGTGGCATCATAGAGATTTCCAAGCTGATCCACAACATGACTTTGAAGGCTTTAGGATAAAGATGAGGATGAACTGATCTCGCCAAACCACAGTTGACTCTCACCAGAATTCTACTGAGTTATAGAGATGTGATTTTTTTTCCCATTGAATAAAATGTCTGCCTCAGCTGAACAGAGTTAGATACTAGGGCTACAGGGATATATTACACAGGCATAGATCGTGCTCTCAAGACTTGACAATCAAATAGGGCAGACAATCAGAAAATTAAAATCCAGGAAGATAACAGCAACGATGAAAAAGAGTTCAGAACCCTGGAGAAGAATAACCTTACAAAAATTCTGGGGTCAGGAAGTCTTCCCAGGAGAGATGACATCTCAGCTGAGGATTAAAGTTTCCATGGGAATGACCCAGGTAAGATCTAATGAAATTCTCAGTGAGGAAATTATGTTTAAACATCCCAGTTGAATTATTGTGAATGAAAGTGCTACCTCTTTTCCTCCTGGAACTTTTCTCCTCCCTGAGGCAATTATAGAAGCAAATTTTCCTGCAGAAAAAAAGAATCAACGTGTTGTTTTGAAACTTGGCCGCACCATCATAAAACCAGCAGCAGCCAAGCCTACAGATAGAAAAACCTGTAAAGAGGAGAAGGGAGGGATAACAGAGATAGACTGTCCCAAGAGGCCTGTTTATTCCTTGATGAAGCTGGAGGAAGAGAAAGAGACAGAGAGAGAGAGAGATGGAAGCAAGATTCCATGTAAAAGAATCTTTCCCCTGAGCAGCAGAGATGCTGAGCAAAGTTGCTGGGTTATCAGTGTTGTGAATAAATGGTGTCAGCTTAACATTTTCCTGCTGGTACAGACAGAACACCCCTGAGAAAAAGACACGGATCTTAGTTTTGTTTATTCAGTTGGGGGCGATGTCTTGCCAGGTTTTGATAAGTGTGTTTAGAAAGTGAAAGGGATATGGTTATTGTGTGGCTTCTGCTTTTTGCAATGTTAGTGTTACCCGTCTGAATTACAGAGTGAGTCTCAAGTGCTGCATATTTAAAACACAAACCATCAGGTGATCATTACTGTGGCCAATGCCTATTAAGATATGCCTAGCGATGCCCCTCAAACTTGCTTTGCCCATTAGCCCAGATCAGGCTGTGTTTATACAGGATTTGAAGAAATATACCCTATTCCCTGTAATAGCTGGTTACTGGTGTATGAAATTCCTTTTAGTGAGATAAACTTTTCATTCGGCAAGCCGCAGCTGAGGCTCAAAATGCAAATAGCCCTATGGAGATGAAGCTGTTGGTTTTCATACTTTCCCATAAGTGAACTGAATGAAATGTTATCTTTTAAGAGCATTTTTAAAATGCATGTAGGAATTGAAGATGCTGTTGTGTTTCTGTGTGTATAAAAGAAAAAAAGAAAGGAGAAATAAAGGGATGAAGTGGGGGAAGAGAGAGAGGAGAGTGGCCAAGTTGCAACAGTAGAAGGTGAAAAGTAAAAAAGGCCTCCTCTGAGTTGCCACCATGATTTTTACATAGGCAGAATGGTTGAATAGAGACCATCTGGAATTTAGATGAGGTAACATTAAATAGATCCATATATCTATATAGATACACACAGACACACACACACCACAGAATATATATATATAGATTCTCACACAAATATACTACTTAGTCATGGGGTGTCTTGGAGAGAAGGAGATTTTATAGAAAAATGAGGCTGTTGGCAGTGTGTATACCCTTCCATGTCAGCATCACTATCCCACCTACTTAGGAGGCCTACAAGACACTCACTTTTTAGGGAGTGTTGATAATAAATTAGTCAAAAAATTTTACAAAAAAGATGAGCTAAGTGAGGTCCTTACAGCTGGAGAAAAGAGGATGGGGATGAATGTCGGGAAAGGAAATCTAGCTCACTAAAAAATGAACCTTCCCTAAAGCCAACCCTTGAAAACACCTTTTCTGACATCTTGCAATAGGTAAACAGCTGAAGCAATGGAGTATCATGAAAATTCTGCTGACTCCAGACTCAGGCAAACCTAGATTTAAGTCTGTGTGCTACCACTTACTATTTGTGTGACCTTGAACCTGTTAAACTATCTAAGCCTCAGTTTTCTTAGCTTTGTAATAGATATACTATCTAGATCATAAGAAGATTTGTTGTGATAGAAGCCAAGTCATGACTACAGGAACACATAGATCTAGTTTAACTATTGTTGACATCATCATTATCAGACCAAAAACTCATCAGAAAATATCCACCAACTCTTAGCAATGCTTCTGTTGGGTGCTTTCAATTGGAGGCACAGCAAAAATAATAAGCAGTTACTTTGTTTGAAAAGCTAATTCTAAAGCACTGCTCTTCTGGGGAAGTGGAGGTAGCACAGTGAAGGGTTTAAAGGCTTGCCCTTTTCAATTCAAGCTGGTTCAAGTGCTGATACCACCACTCCAAATTATTTAACTTCTTTGGGTCTTAGTTTTTTAGTTAAACATGTTTAATAATAGCACTTACTTCATAGAATTATTGGGAAGGCTAAACGAGGTGACACTTGAAAATTACCTGGCATAGGATTAGCACAATAAAAATTCATTTTTAATATTGCTGGCCTCCATGTTTTGTTGCTTCTTAAGAGTAAACTTCACAAAAAGATTTTGAAAGATAAAATGTCCAATAGCAAGGGTTCCACAGAGAGGAATATCTGTGTTCATAGGCAGTTATTGCTTATAATGGCGAACCTTCGTTTTCCTGCCCCGCAAAATGGGCTTACTATTAGCTTGGCGAAAAGTAATTGTGGCTTTGCAATTAAAAGTAATTAATTTTTAATTAATAGCATAATGTTGGCCTCAGGATATAGGAGGTAAACGAGCCTGGTGGGGAGCAAGGAAGTGAGACAAGAACGGGAAAGATCAGTGATGTTGAGCTTTTTTTCATAGAATCGTTGGTCACATGTATGTTTTCTTTTGAAAATGTCTGTTCACATCCTTTGTCCACTTTTAAATGGAGTTTTTTTCTTATACATTTATTTAAGTTCCTTATAGATGCTGTATATTAGACTTTTATCATGCACAGTGTGCAAAAATTTTCTCCCCTTCTGTAGGTTGTCTGTTTATAGTTTCTCTTGCTGTACAGAAGTTCTTTAGTTTAATTAGATCCCATTTGTCAATTTTTGCTTTTGTTGCAATTGCTTTCGGCATCTTCATCAGAATTGCTGTTATTAAAAAGTCAAAAAATAACAGATGCGGTGAGGTTGCAGAGAAAAAAGGAACACTTATACACTGTTGGTGAGAGTGAAATTAGTTCAACCATTGTGAGAGACAGTGTGGTAATTCCTCTAAGTCCTAAAGACAGAAATACCATTTAACCCAGCAATCCCCTTACTGGGTTATACCCAGAGGAATATCAATCATTCTATTATAAAGACACATGCACACATATTTTTATTTCAGCAGTATTCACAATAGTAAAGACATAGAATCAGCCTAAATGCACATCAATGATAGACTGGATAAAGAAGACATGGTACATATACACCATGGAGTACAATGCAGCCACAAAAAGAATGAGATCGTGTCTTTTGCAGGTACATGGATGGAAGTGGAGACCATTGTAAGTGAGAATTAAATGATGAGAACATATGGACACACAGAGGGGAACAACACATACTGAGGTCTATCGGAGGGTGGAGGGTAGGAGGAGGGAGAGGATCAGGAAAAATAACTAACAGGTACTGGGCTTAATACCTCGGTAATGAAATATCTGAACAATAAACTCCCATGATAGAAGTTTACCTATGTAACAAACCTGCACATGTACCCCTAAACTTGAAATAAAAGTTTAAAAAATGACTGAGAAAGAAAAGCAACTTGTAAGAGAGAATGATCAATTAGATATCACTATGAGGTGATAGATGCTATAAACTGGACAAGGAACACTGATGCTAACAGGGGAAATTGGGTGGGAAACACCAGCCACATAGAGTATTCATTCCTCTCTTCAACATGCCAAACCCATATGTGATAAGTCATAGCATACAATTTATTCATAATCTCTTTGCAAATTTATTATAAATATTTGTCCAATTCTAAAGAACATCTCACTTATAACATCTGTGTTTTTATTTTTCTAGTGAAGTAGTAAAGTCTTCCTCCCAGTGGAGGAGAGAGTAAAAGACAGTAATTATAGAGTTTTTATATAAGGCAGTTGATTCCAATATAATATAAACTCATAGGTCAAAAAAACCCCAAAAAGAATCAAACCAAAATTCTTTTCCTCCAATCACTTTATAAAATAATCAAACCCGCCGTGTGTACTTTTCTTGCTAGTTGTTTAGTACAATCTTTGTATTTGTTTATTTATTTACAAATTTGTTTTTTAATAGTATTTTAGGGGATATTTACCGTTTCAATTCAAAAATAAGGCATCTTGACTTATGGTTGGAAAGCTGAAAGACAGTAAAAAAGAAGATAAGTCTAGGTTGTAATGTTGCTGATGTGTAGAACATTATAAATGACAAATATCAGACTTCAGTGAAAGGCAATAGTGTAAATGTACTAATTTTCCCATTTTTATCATAGGAGGTCTACAGCTACTGACTCATATTGAAATATATGAAAACTCATATGCAAACACATACCAAACAAAAGCAATAATCCCCATAATGTGTTATATATATATTTCATTTTAGAGCAGTTAGTTGAAAAGTACAGCCTATGAACCAAATCTGTTCTACCACCAGGTTTTTATAATAAACAAAGTTTTTTTTTTGAAACGGAGTCTCGCTCTGTCGCCCAGGCTGGAGTGCAGTGGTGCAATCTCGGCTCACTGCAAGCTCTGCCTCCCGGGTTCATGCCATTCTCCTGCCTCAGCCTCCCGAGGACTACAGGCGCCCGCTACCACGCCCGGTTAATTTTTTTTCTTGTATTTTTAGTAGAGATGAGGTTTCACTGTGCTAGCCAGGATGGTCTTGATCTCCTGATCTCGTGATCTGCCCGCCTCGGCCTGCCAAAGTGCTGGGATTACAGGCGTGAGCCACCACGCCCGGCCATAAATAAAGTTTTGTTAAAACAGATTTACACCGATTCCTTTGTGTCTGTGGCACTACAATGCATAAAGCACTTGAATAATTATAACAGAGACTGTCAGGGGCCTGCAAAGCTAAAAATAATTACTATCTGTTCCTTCACTGACCCTGTTTCAGAAGAATATTTTAGAAAGACTATCATTTACCAAGAATTATAAAATTTTCAATCACTTTAGTTTCACTTCAGTTACATTTTTATTTTGTTATAGTCAAGTGAATATTATGCTTTTAGTATAAATTTAAATATGAAATTGTGAAAAGGTACATCAGATGATATACATTAGTTCTACCTGCACTAGAGAAAATGAATGTGCAGAATATTTAGCAAAAACAGTCAGATGAATTGGATTTCTGTTGGGCTTTCTACTCTCTTTGTCCAGGTATGTCTTCTGTTTTTCTGGAAATAACACCTTATATAAACTTGGTGGCCAAGCCACCCTAGGTATTGTTGGAACAGAAAAACTTTCTTTACGACTGCTCATATATTTGCTGCCTCTCTCTTTCTCAATGATTTGAGCGCTGTTTTCCAAGTGGAAGAAAATGAAATCTAGAATTTTCCTGATTTGAAACCCTGATTATATTACTCTGTCTCAGCCATGTTATAGGCCTAATAATTCCCAAAATTCCTGTTGAATTCTGCCTCCAAATAAATGACCTTCTTTTTAGGATTGATAGAAAGCCTCTTTCACTTTTTATTTTATATTTTATTTTAATAAATCAATCACTTGCTGAAACCCAGATAAACTAATCAGCATGTCATTTTATGTTGTAGTTGTAAATGCCACAATATATAGTGGAAAATTAGAAAATTTAATTTGAAATGTTTTAAGCGAAATGAAACGCCTATATTTCCTTTTCAAACCTTTTTTTGTTTCTTGTTTTTTTATCCAATTGTATAAAATTTGTATGTAGATTTAGAAATAATAAAAAATATGTTATTATGTAGAAGAGTATAATGGGCCTGATACATTTTTTAAAATCTCAGAAAATAAATGATTTAACGTATTTAGAAAGAAAATAGCTGAAATAACTAATCGTTTTAATAATTTTTAAAATTCATTTGTTACTCTCAGGTTAGAGTACCTATATTATGTTCTATACTCCCCGTGGTTAAAAAAATGAGACTATTAATGGATGCAAATAGATTAAAAATAAAAAGTTAGGATTAATACACGTTATTCAATTTTTATGCACACTAGAGCACAATGCAAACAATTTAGAATAGATTTACTTTTGACAATTATTTCAATAATTATCAAAAACACATACAAATATTTTAAAGGCAAACTTCTCCCCTTACCTTAAGATAGTAAACCTTGGGTTTTCCAAAAGTATTTGAGATGAGAAATAAAATACAGAAATTGATAAATGGTTTCCTATCATAGACATTGTTATATATGTATGCTTACACTGTAGTAGAAGACTGATTAAATGGGTAACTTGCTCTGAGTACAAAAGGTGAATTTTCTGCTACAGAATTCCTACATATAAACAGGTGGCTACCTCATGATAATCTACCCTTAAAGACACAGCAAGGTAACATTAAGAAAACAACTGTGCTGGTTGCCAGGGACATTTTCCACTTAGTTGATAGTGGTGAAGTGGTTGCTAGACAACTCAAGTGTTACATTTGTTCTAATGCTATTGTGCTTGGAGAGTCACAGATACTTAACCACATAGGATGGGACAGAAGGGGTTCTGTTAGCAAACCAATCATCTGTAAAATAGTTGACATTAGAAATGTATAAAAAATCTAGTTGCAAATGGTCAGATATTTTATATATTTACTTCACTTCTTCCTTATGTAATAAGTAAAATTTACATCAGGAAAGAGTGCAGCAATTTTAAGCTTTTGACTCAAGGGATAGATACTTAAGTATATACATACCCATTTTACTACCCAAGATGAAGATATATGATATTTTCAGTACCTAGGAGGGATCCCTTATACTTCTTTCCATATCAATACCTCCCTAAAGGAACCAGTATTTTAACTTCTATTGCCATACATTCATTATGCTCATTCTTGAAATGTGTACATATAAAAGCATATTGTATAGAATTTTTTGCATCTGGCTTCTTTTGTTCAATATAGTGCCTTTAAGATGCAGTTATTACATCTATCTGCATGTTGCCTTATTTTATTTTCTTCTTAAAATTGCATAATAGAACATTTATATACACTGAAATTTATTTATACATTCTGTTATTTGTGAATACTTGCACTGCTTCAAATTTAGGTTATTTAAGTAAAGCTTCTAGGTACATTCTGGTATATGTCTTTTTATAAGCAAATACATGACCTTCTCTTGGGTGCTTATTTAGGAGTAAAATTACTCTTATAAATACTACCAGTTTTCCATAGCTATTTTACTATCTTATACTGCTACCAGCAATGCAGCAGAGGTCCATAACCTTGACAACACTTGGAATTGTCAGTCTTTAATTTTAGTAATTCTAGTGCATGTGGGGGTTTTAATGTGTATTTTTCTGATAAGTAATGCCGTTGAGCACTTTGTTCATGTGATTACTATTTGGAGATGCTCTTTTGTAAAGGTAATTTTCAAGTGCTCTGTTCATTTTTTATTGGTTGTTTACATTTTTAAAAATTGATAGCTTAAATTGCAAATATGTGGGGATCTTCTCTTTACCTTTCTGTTATTGATCTCCAGTTCTGTTTTATTGCCACTTACTAAAAAACAATTTATATTGAAAATCCTTTGATATTTGTTGATATTTGCCTTTTATATTTCTTGATATTAACCCAACATATGACCTGTTTTATTAAACATTTTGTGTGCACTTCAGAAGAATGTGTATTCGGTAGTTATTGAGTATAACGTTCTCAAAAGCAATGAAATTGAGTGGGCTAATGCAACTATTCAAATCTTCTATATCTTTGATGATTTGTATCTGCTTCTTCCATCATTTATTAAGAGAAGTTAATTAAAATATCCAACTACACTTGTAGCTTTTTCTATTGTCTTTATTTCTGTAAAATGTTGATTTTTACATTTTAAAGAAATATTATTAGTCAATACATATTTTCAACATTGTAGTCTTCCTTTTTAATTTATTCCTTTCTAAAATGAAACATCTCTATCTTTAATCAGATTTCTTCCCTTTGTGTCTTCTTTGCCTGATATTAAGAAAGCCACGGTGGTTTTCTTTTGATTAGCATGTTTCTGTTGTTTACTTTCTACCTGCGTCTTTCTGTTTACAATGAATCTTTTTTAAAATTATAGAAGTGGGCTTGTTTTTTTTCTTTTTAACAATCTGACAATATTTTCTTTTAGCTAGACTATTTAGTCTATTTCTGTTTAATACAGTGACAGATAGACTTGGTTTACCTCATCTTGTCCTTATTTATCTATCCTTTACTGCCTTCTGTTAAATTATCAAATATGTTTACAGTCTATTTTACTGCTTTTGTTTTAGTTATACCATAGGGTTTTTTTTTCAGTATGCCTTTTTGGTTGCTCTAAACACTATAATATGCAACCTAAATGTATTAAATTCTACATCAAATTAGTGCTATATTACTCTCAGTGCAACATGTAATTACTATTTACCTGTCTCTTATGATACATGTTATTATCATATATTTTTCTCTATTCATAGTATGACCATCATATGACATAGTTATTGTTTTTGCTTTAAATAGTCTGTGGTATATTAGTACTGTATCAACAAGCTAAGTTGGAACTACATTTTCTAAAATTTTATTTCCTATATGGTTTCAGGTTAGGCTTGGCCACAAGAGAATCTTGTGTGATATTGAAAATGTGGATGTGAAGCAGCAGCCATGATTCTGAGGTTGGTTAAGTGTCCTGGATGCTGCTGGAGCATGCATCCCTTGTGGCTAACCTACTGGGTCACATTGTGGCATGGAGACTTGTAATACAAAAATATTTATCTTGAGAGTTTAGCATTAATGTCTAGCTACCAATATAAACGTTATCTAAATTTAAAGAACTAATTTTTCACACATTTTGAAACATAATTCAGCAACAAGTATAAAAGGAATCACCTACAGATTATACACATTCTCAATATTTTAATCAGGTCAGCTGTAAACACTTGCAAAGTGCATATAAAATTGAGTGCACCCAAATACAAGTGGATATTGAGTCCTGACACCATATGAACTATATGGAGATTGGATTATAAAATAAGAGTGATACCTTCCATTAATGAAAACACCATTTTGATTTGATATGTAGTGCCCATACAATTATGGGCTCGGTTGAACATTGAACATTGACCCAGGTATTTAGGCATATAATATCTATTTAGAAGGATAAATAACTTGTAAATTCATTATAACCAATCTGTTTCAGTAGAAAGTATCATCTCCACCCTTTAATAGTCATCCGACATATTATACATTTATTTATTTATTTTTTGTTTTCCTTCACTAGAATGTAAGCTTCCTGGGAATCTATTTAATTACTGCCATATACTGCTATTTGTTTAATGCTTTGTGCATTGCAATTGTTTAATTTTTTTTAATGAATAGACAAAACTCTATTAAGGATTTCAAAGGTGTGTTATGGATCGAGTGTTTTTGTTCCCCTAAAATTCATATGCTGAAGTCCTAACCCACAATGTAATGGTAGGGGGTGGGGCTTTTGGTAGACAATTGCATCATGAGGGTACAGCCCTCATGAATGGATTACTGTCCCTATAAAACAGACTCCAGAGAGCTCTGTTGCTCTGTTCAATATGTGAGGGCACAAAAAGTTGGCCCTCTGCAACCTAGAAGAGAAGGTTTACCAGAACTTCTGCACTGTGATCTCAGATTTCCTAATTCCAGTACTGTGAGAAATACATTTCTGTTGTTCATAAGCCATTCAGTCTATGGTGTTTCATTATAGAAACCCGAACTGACTAAGACAATGTGTTTAGTAGATTCTACTAATAAAAATTATTCTTAGACCTGAGCTGACAGTGCAACCACCATTACAAATTTGGCAGTTGCTGTACTATGTGAGAAAAAGAGAGTTCTAGAGGAGTTTTAATTGGCAGTTAAATGCCAGAACTATAGCATGGCTCAACTCAACCACGAGGAGACCAATAATACCGATCCTATAATTTTTGTGGAAAGTGGGCCAACTGATAATACCTGGAAAACAGCATGAAGAGCTACTCTACTGCATGTACACTTTGGGATATAAATACTTAATTTTCTGTAAGTTTTTGAAGATATTAAACATTTTCCAATACCTTTCCAATGGCAACACAGTATCATATAATATATGTAATGTAATATCACATGTCATATGGATATATATATATATATATATAACAATTATTTCCCTAGCATTTGTTTGCTAAAAAATTTTTTCACTTCAGGCCGGGCACAGTGGCTCACGCCTGTAATCTCAGCACTTTGGGAGGCTGAGGTGGGCAGATCACAAGGTCAGGAGATTGAGCTAACATGGTGAAACCCTGTCTCTACTAAAAATACAAAAAATTAGCCAGGCGTGATGGTATGCACCTGTAATCCCAGCTACTTGGGAGGCTGAGACAGGAGAATTGCTTGAACCTGGGAGGTGGAGGTTACAGTGAGCCGAGATCATGCCACTGTACTCCAGCCTGGGTGACAGATTGAGACTCCGTCTCAAAAAAATTTTTTTTACATTTTAAATCACACTGAAATAAATGTTTTGTGCATAAATCTCGGCCCATATTTCATATTAACAATTAAGAAAAAAGTAAATAGAAATTTCCCTATGAAAGAACTATTAGGATATTTTTATGATGATTTTGAGTGCCATAATATTACCTAGCTCCATATTTATTTTTATTGGTTTATCTCTGCCACAGGACTGCAAAGAAGGATGACAGATTAGTTATTTATCTGAAACTCTTTAGATGTGAATTCTATGAATTTAATTCAAATAGCTAAAATTCCAAGTATCATTAAGGAAAAAATGATAATTTATTTGGTATATCATCTTTCTAAAATTTGTTATTCATCTCTTAGTTTATTTTGTGCTGTTTAACAAAATATCTGACACTGCATAATTTCTAAAGACCAGAAATTTACTGTCTCACAGTTCTGAAGGCTGGGAAGTCCAAGATCAAAGTGCTAGCAAACTCAATGCCTGCTGAGGGCTGCTCTCTGCTTCCAAGGTGGTACCTTGTTGCTGCATTCTCTGGAGGGCAGGAATGCTGTATCCTCACATGGCAGAAGAGCAGAAGATTAAGTGGGCCCAGTGTTGTGTGAAGCCTTTTATAACGACCTTAATCCCATTCATGGGGGAGGAGCCCTCATGACCAAATCAATTCTTAAAGACCCCCATCTCTATCACATTGGTCATTAAGTTTTGTGAAGGCTAAAGCAACTCCATCTTTGATGCTAATCTGCTATGTTAACTTCTGATTAACGCTTGTTCTGGGAATGCCTCTAAGACTTCCAGTGTATCTATTGTTCCTTGTGTAAGTGCACTTACTTATGAGAAATCCTGTCCTCAGGTCAAATGATCTTGATGTTACCCTAAGTCTTGCCCTTAAGCAATTGTCCTACTTATCCCTTCTGAATCACTTATACCCCTTCCCTGTGGTATAGAAGCCGTAGGTCGGCTGGGCTTCTATACCACAGGGAAAGGGTGTACGTGATTCCCAGGTATAATGGCATGGGAATCCACTATCTTGTCTCTCTGCCACTCAAGACATAAATGTATGTTTTGTTTGTATGTCCCTGTTAAATGCTTATTTCTCAGAAACTGGATATACCAGCCTCTTTCTTTGACCTCTCAGCTCCCCCTGGATTTTGGGGGCAGGTTTGCATAGATGTGCCTACGAGTTTCAACACCTGAATTTGGAAGGGGGCACATTCAAACCATAGGAACATCTTTTCTTTAAAGGGGTGGGGGGAGGGGGGAGGGATAGCCTTAGGAGATATACTTAATGCTAAATGACGAGTTAATGGGTGCAGCACACCAACATGGCACATGTATACATATGTAACAAACCTGCACGTTGTGCACATGTACCCTAAAACTTAAAGTATAATAATAATTAAAAAATTAAAATTAAAATAAAAAAGGAGTATAAGGGGCATATACTTTCATCCTCTTAATGACTTGGGTTATCATTATGAAGATAAATGTGTTTCTCTTATTTTAATATGGTTAGAAATAGACCTTTTGGGGAGATAGCCAGCACTGGGCACTTTTACATCTAGTTACCTTGGAATATTGGACAAACGACTTAACCTTTGTTTGAATCTCAATTTTCTTTTCTGTAAAATGGAGACAATAATATTACTACAAGCAACTGACGCAGGGATTAGAAATCATACAGGGGAAAGGCATAAAATCACAGCAGGCCCAGTGTCGATGATAGCAAATGCCAGCTATGAAAATGATGTTACATTTGAAAACTACCGAGGCATGAAACTGTTCTTCCTTGCAGTAAATGTTAACAGTATTTTGCAACTTTAACTGGCATGTTAGTGGACATGTGTGTGAGTGTGTACATGTCTGTGTGTATGTACATGTCTGTGTGTATGTAAATATGTGTTTATGTACATGTTAGTGTATATATTTCCACACTTGCTGTTAGTAACTATCCTTCTTCTGGATTCTAGCACCATTTAAGTAGCCTCTCCTGGTGTAATTTATTATATTTAATCAACGGAAAGTTTGGAAACCAGAAAGTCCTTTAGCAGTATTGACTTGAGGCTAAGTCCTTTAAGTAAAGTCAATAAACTCTAATGCTTTTGTTTTCCCACACTGACTTTATTTGTTAAGGGGCCTTTTTACTCCATTTTTATGCTACTGATTGTATTTTGAATAAGTGAGGTTGCAAGATTGCTAGGTTTCCAATAAATAAATGACATTAAACTGTAAATATTGTAATATGAGAATTTGTTCATTTGATTTTAGTATTTATTTTTAAAACCACTTTGTTGAGATGACTAACATATAAAAAGCTGTACCTATTTAATGTATACAATTTGATAAGTACATGCCTGTGAAACCATCACCACCATCAAAGCCGTAAACATATTCATCATCTTCCAAAGTTTCCTCCCAGCCCCTTTATTTATATTCTTATTTTTGAAGGTAAGAACACTTAACATAAGATCTACTTTCTTAGTAAATTTTAAGCATATGGTACAGTAATTGCTATAGGGTATTTATTCTTCAGCCCCTGAAAAACCGGTGTTCTACTAAAAGTTATTTGTCTCTAACTTATCTCAACCCTTCAGACCAAGATTTAAAAAATTAAGTAGAGGAGTGTATTCACCAATCTTCTGAAGATTTCAGAGTCATGTTTCTGGAAAGATCTAACTCTTCATTTACTGCCTTTATTACTTACTTCCTTAAAGTTTCACACCAGTGAACATTTTCAGATAATAATGTCTGTTTTACCAGGAAAAGACTGGTAAATTCTAGTTGATTTTTGAGCTCTCAGCTCAAGGTCCCTCTCCAAAGCAGTGTGTGGGGCCTGGGGACTGCCCAACCAGGAGAGGAAGCAGTAGCCACTTATCTTCCAGCACTGGAGAAGCAGGACCAGCTACATAATTTGCGGAGTCCAGTGAAAAATGAAAATGAGGGATTCCTTGTTCAAACGTATGAAAGATTTCAATATAGGGACAGTAGAGCATTAAATCAAGCACTGTTGCCCTGAAGGCTGGCCTTGTGACTAGACGCTTCCTAGGGTGGCCCTGGACTTTGCACCAGAGGAAGAGGTACAAGCTTTGCATCCCTAAACTGCTGCTTTCTCCCAAGTTAGACCTTGTGCAAAGGAAAGGGGGATGAGACTGTCCTCTATGGGCTTTCAGCTATGTGTCAGAGTTTTCCTGCATCTTATTTAATTCTTACAATAACTCTGTAGGCAAGTCTTGTCACCACATTTTTGCATATGTGAGAGTCAGAAAATTTGTTTAATTTGTCAAAGTCATAAGTGTTTCTCTCTGGATCCCTGGCTTCTTCTGCCAAACCCCCTTTCCAGTTTCCAGAGACTGCTGGACTTCTCTTTCATTTACAAATGAATGTATCTCTGAGGGAGTGTATTGGACTGCTGGGAATTACAGTGTGGTTTGGATAACATTAAGCTCTTCCCCACCTCTGGCTTGGCTTTGGTGATTCTCAAACATAAAACTAAAAACAACTTAGCTCAGGATCTGTGTTATTCTAATGCCTTTCTGTAACTAGGCTAAGGATCTTATTAATTAGCAAAGATCTTCTTACTTCAGGGTTTCACACCTGAAGCCTATTAGCTGCCCAGGCTCTCTGTGTATAAAAATAAAGTAGCGCCTATTCACTCTTTCCTAAATGACTCCTGGGATTTCTCATCCCCTGTTTCTATAAGCAAAAACTACCAAAAATTTATTCTCAAAGACCCTGATAGCTCCTTTAATAAGTAAAAAAAAAAAAAAATAGAATTTTGAAATTATCTAGGAAGCTAAAAGAAGCAAAATTATGTTACCCTCTTCTCTGTATAGATACTACATCTATACAAACTATACTTGAGTTCATATTAATTCTAAATAATGCCACTGTAACATCTATTTTTAAAAAGGCCAAATTATTTAACAAAACTTAATCTTACGGAAAATTACATTTAAATACAAACAATTTACAATTCTTGTCACCAGAAGAGGAATTCAGTTATTTGATCCTTTTGAAAATTTCTGCCCATAAACATGATGAAGCCAGTAAACTGCTAAAATGATCTAGAAAAAGCTGCTGGACATACTCTAAGTTACTTGATAGGAAAAAAAAAAAAAAAAACCTAGAATAGGATGTGTACATCATTACCAAACAAAATCAGAAAATTCACTTCCACAAAATTTTTGAACCTCAATAAGCAATGCCTCTAATTATCTAAGCATGTTTGGACTATTTGGAAAGACTATTTTACCAAAAAATGAGGTAAAACCTTGATTGGTTATAGTTAAAATGAAACCTAAGTTTTCCTTCTCCAAGATATCCTGAATAAGATTCACAATAAATAAGTTCAGTAGTTAGATGTTTTTATTTGGTAGAAATAATCTGCTTTACTTATTTAGCTTGATGAAAACCCTAAAGTGCTTTTAAGTCCAGTTTATATTTCTATATTATTTTAGAGAAAATATGTTGTTAATGACCTCTTGGTGACAAACTCTCAGCACTTATGGAAATAAAGAGGAAGTAAGAGTAGTCTGTGGTCACTCTGATTTTCATAAAACAAACTTTCTTTGTCTGAATTGGGCAACTAATGTATCAGAGGAGAAATATCTTTCTACATATAAATGTGTTGCTTTAAAAATTGGTATTCTTGTATTTCTTAGTTTCCGTTGTCAATTTTTGTTAACTTGATTTTCAGTCCAATTGGGAAGAAAGTAGAGGTAGGGATAATAACACCAGAGACAGTCCAATAAACACCAGTATATTAAGAGATTATGAATGACTATACCATTGTACTTATTCACTTACTCAATTTATATTTATCAAGAACCTAGTTTTGCCAGGCATGTGGATAAGGGCTGGGGATGAAAAAGTAAATAAGACAGAGAAGTTACTATTTGCCTGAATCTTATGTTTCAGTAGTATGAAACATAAATAAATAAATAAATAAATAAATATCTAGGTGATTTTGTCTAGTGCTACTTTCCATGAAGATAGACAGGATGGTGAGCTGAGGATATCTTTTGAGTGAGTGTGTGTGTGTGTGTGTGTGTGTGAGAGAGAGAGAGATTGTGTGTGTGTGTGTGTGTGAGAGAGAGAGAAATGGAGAGAGAGAGAGAGAGAGGGAGAGTGTGTGTGTGTGTGTGTGTGTGTGTGTGTAACATTTATGCAGAGAGTAAACCACTTGCTTTCTTGATTTACTTGGTACTATGGTTTGATCATGTGTCTTCAAGCATGTGTTAGAAAATTAATCCCCAATGCAACAGTGTTGGGAGGTGAGGCCTAATGGGAAGCGATTCAGCTATGAGAGCAGAGAAAATGAATAGATTAATGCTGTTATCCCCAGAGTGGGTGTGCAACATAGGGCAAGTCCTATCCCCTTCTATTTCCCCTCATTCTCTCTCTCACCTTCTGAAATGGGATGACAGACATAGAAAACTTGTGCCAGATGCTTGCACCTTGATATCAGACCTCCCAGCCTCCACAACTGTGAAAAATATATTATTTTCTTTATAAATTACCAAGTATCTGAAATTCTGTTTTAGCAGTACAAAATTAAGGCATTTGGCTAAGTGGCCTCATACTCAAAGATCTTTGAAGTTTCTTCATTCCCTAAAATCATATGTTTCCTCCACATTCTCATATGGCTATTTGAGTTTAAAATAAGCACAGTATCCAACATCAGGGAACCTTTGTTTAGACCATGGAAGTGAAGTCACTGCCACATAGTAGCTTGCCCACAAAAAAAAAAAAAAAAAAAAAAAGAAAAGAAAAAAAGAATTCACATCAGCCATCCCTACCTTAGTTTGCAGAGAAATAAACAGGATCCAAACCCTAACTATGTTTGTTAATCGAACCCTAACTATGTTTGCCAGGAACCTTGAAGGATGTTGAAAAGGAGAAAGGAAAGTAGAATCAGTCAATCATTAATCAATCAGTAAGCAAATGTGCATAGAGTTCCTACTGTGTACCAGACATAGAACCTGAGCTTTAGAAGTGAAGTTTTATGGGGTTTCTAGACCAGGAAAATTTATAGCCCTGGAGGTGCCTATGAATCTTTATGAACTTATGGCCACTGGAAAAGGAGAAGTGAATGTGAGAATGTGGACACTATAAAATTAATATAATGCTTTGGGGTTTTTTTTAATTTCAATTTTTAGTTTAGATTCAGGGGACACGTGTAGGTTTGTTAGATGGATATGTTGTGTCATGCTGAGCTTTGGGAAACAAATGATCCCCTCACCCAGGTAGTGAGTATAATATTCAAGTAAGTTTTTCAACCTTTTTCTGCCTCCCTTCCTCTCTTCTCTAATAGTCTCCAGTGTCTATTGTTGCGAACAATATGTCCAGATGTTTAGCTCCTAGTTACAAGGGAGAACATGTAGTATTTGGTTTTCTGTTTCTGCTTTAATTTGCTTAGGATCTTGGCCTCCAGCTGCATCCATATTGCTGCAAAGGACTTGATTTTATTATTTTTTCATGGCTATGTAGTGTTCCATGGTGTATACGTACCACATTTTCTTTATCCAACCCACTGTTGATAGGCATCTAGGTTGATTTCCTGTCTTTGCTACCGTGAATAGTGCTGGGATGAACATATAAGTATATTTTTTTTTGGTAGAAGATTTATTTTATTTTGGGTGTATACCCAAGGTTGAGATTATTGGGTCAAATGGTGGCTGTTTTAAGTTCTCTGAGAAATCTCAAAAGTGCTTTTCATAGTGGCTGAACTAATTTACAGTCCAACCAAGAGTGTATAAGCATTCCTTTTACTCTGCAGCCTCACTAGCATCTGTCCTTTTTTTTTTTTTTACTTTTTAGTAATAGCCATTCTGACAGCTGTGAGATGGTTATCTCATTGTGGTTTTAATTTGCATTTCTCTGATGATTAGTAATTTTGAGCATTTTTTTTCATGTGTTTGTTGGTAGCTTGTATGTTTTCTTTTGAGAATTGTCTTTTCATGTTTTTGCCCACTTTTAACAGGGTTGTTTTTTGCTTGTTAAATTGTTTAAGTGCTTCACAGGTTCTGGATAGTAGACCTCTATCAGATGCATAGTTTACAAATATTTTCTCTCTTCCTGTAGGTTGCCTGCTTACTCTGTTGTTAGTTTCCTTTGCTGTCCAGAAGCTTAGGTTAAATTTATCTGTTTTAGCTTTCGTTTCAATTGCTTTTGAGTACTTAGTCATACATTCTTTCCCAAGGCCTATGTCCACAATGGTTTTCCTGGGTTATCTACCAAGGTTTTTATAATTTTAGGTTTTACATTTAAATCTTTAATCCCTCTTGAGTTGATTTTGTATATGGTGTAAGGAAGGGGTCAAGTTTTATTCTTCTGCATTTGGCTAGCCAGCTAACGCAGCACAATTTATTGAACAGGGAGTCATTTCCCCATTGCTTATTTATGTTGACTTTGCCAAAGATCAGATGGCTGTAGGTGTGCAGCATTATTTCTGGGTTCTCTGTTCTGTTTCATTGGTCTATGTGTCTGTTTTTGTATTAGTACCATGCTGTTTTGGGTTATTGTAGACTTATGATATAGTTTAAAGTCAGGTAATGTGATGGTGATGCCTCCAGCTTTTTATTTTTATTTTTCCACTTAGGACTGCTTTGGCGATTCAAGCTCTTTTTTGTTATTTTTCAGTTCTGTGTGAATTTTAGTCTATTTTTTTCTAATTTGTGAACAATGATATTGATTGTTTGATAGAAATTGCGTTGACTCTGTAGATAGCTTTGGGCAGTGTGGCAAGCTTAACAATACTGATTCTTCCAGTCTATGAACATGGGATATTTTTCCACTTGTTTGTCTCATCTATGATTTCTTTTAGCAGTGTTTTGTATTCTCCTGGTAGATATCTTTCATCTCCTTTGTTAGATGTATTCCTAGGTATTTTTTGGGGGTGTGGCTATTGTAAATGGGACTGTTTTCTTGATTTGGTTTTCACGTTGAACATTATTGGTGTATAGAAATGCTACGAAGTTTTGTATGTTGATTTTGTATTCTGGAAGTTTACTGAAGTCACTTATCAGTTCTAGGAGCTTTTTGGCAGTCTTTAGGGTGTCTTAGGTGTAGCGTCAAATGATCAGTGAAGAGAGATAGTCTTATTTCTTCTATACCTGTTTTGGATACCTTTAATTTATTTCTCTTACCTGATTGCTCTGGCTAGAACTTCCAGTACTGTGTTGAATAGGAGTGGTAAGAGTGGGCATCCCTGTCTTGTTCCAGTTCTCAAAAGGAAATACTTCCAGCTTTTGCCCATTCATTATGGTGTTGGCTTTGGTTTGTCGTAGTTGCTCTTATTTTTACATATTTTCCTTTGATGCCTAGCTTCTAAATGGTTTTTATCATGAACGGATAGTTAATTTTATCACAGGATTTTTTCACATCTATTGATATAATTACATAATTGTTGGTTTTAATTCTGTTTATGTGGTGAATCACATTATTGATTTGCATATGTTGGACCAAACCTGCATCACAGGATTGGAGACTACTTTATCATGGTGAATTACATTTTGATGTGCTGCTGGATTCAGTTTGCTAATACTTTTTTGAGGATATTTTCATCATTTTCATCAGGTTATTGGCCTGTAGTTTTTGTTTTTGTTGTTGTTTAGATGTATCTTTGCCAGGTTTTGGTGTCAAGATAATGCTGCTTTCATAGAATGGGTTTGGGAGGAAACCGTTCTCCTCAATTTTTTGGAATAATTTTAGTAGAATTGGTACCAGTTCTTTTTTGTCTGGTAAAATTTGGCTGTGAATCAATCTCCACTGGGGCTTTTTTTGGTTGGTAGGATTTTTATTACTGATTCAATTTTCGGAACTTGGTACTGGTTTGTTTAAAGTTTTGATTTCTTTCTGATTCATTCTTGGGATGTCGTGTATTTCCAGGAATTAATCCATTTTCTCTAGATTTTCCAGTTTGTGTGCATAGAGGTTTTCATAATCCTCTCTTAGGATCTTTTGCATTTCTGTGGGATTGATAGTATTGTTACCTTTGTTGTTTCTAATTGTGGTTATTTGGATCTTCTCTCTTTCTTTCTTTGTTAATCTGGGTATCTAGCTACTGATCTTGTTTATTTTTTCCAAAAACTGACTTCAGGTTTCATTATTCTTTGTATGAATTTTGGGGTCTCAATTTCACTCAGTTCTGCTCTAAGTTTTGTTATTTATTTTCTTCTGCTAGCTTTGGAGTTAGTTCATTCTTTTTTTTTTTTTTCTCGTTCTTCTAGGTATTATGATAGATCATTAATTTGAGATTTTTCTAACTTTTTGACATCTCCATTTCATGCATAAGCTTTTCTCTTAATGCTGCTTTTGCTGCATCCCAGAGATTGTGGTATGTTGTGTCTTTGTTTTCATTTATTTCACAGATATTTTTGATTTCTGCCTTAATTTTATTGTTTACCCAAAAGTCAGTTAGAAGCATGTTGTTTAATTTCCATGTAATTGTGTGGTTTTGGGAGAGATTCTTGGTGTTGATTTCTGCTTTTATTCTATTTTATTCTAAAAGTATGGTTGGTATAATTTTGCTCTTTAAAAAAATCATTGAGAGTTGCTTTATGGTTGCGTATGTGGTTATTATTACAGTATGTTCCATGTGCAGATAAGAAGAAGGTATATTCTGTGCTTGTTGCGTGCAGTATCCTGTAAATATCTATTAGATCCAATTGGTCAAATGTGACATTTAAGTCCAGAATTTGTCTGTTACTTGTCTGCCTCAATGACCTGTCTAACACTATCAGTGAGGTATTGAAGCCCTCAGCTATTACTGTGTCATTAATTCTTTTTGTAGGTCTAGATGTAGTTATGTTGCAAATCTGGGGGCTCCAATGTTGGGTGCATTTATTTGTAGGTGACTTAAGTTTTCTTGTTAAATCAAATTCTTCATCATTATGGAATGCTTTTCTTTGTCCTTTTTCATTGTTGTTGATTTAAGTGTTTTTTAATGATATAAGACTAGTGACCCCTACTCTTTTTTGTTTTCCATATGGGTGGTAGATATTTCTTCAGCCCCTTTCTTTGAGCCTACGTGGCTTATGTGCGAGATTGGTCTCTTGAATACAGCAGATGGAGTTTTTAAATCCATCTTGCAATTCTATGTCTTTTAGATGAGGAATTTAGACCTGTTATATTACGTTAATATTGATATGTTCTTTCATTTTCATGTTTAGAATTCCTTTAAGAATCTCTTGTAAGGCTGATCTAGTGGTAACAAATTCCCTTAGCACTTGCTTGACTAGAAAATATTTATTTCTTTTTCACTTACGAATCTTAGTTTGGTGGGCTATGAAATTTCTTGGTTGGAATGTCTTTTCTTTAAAAATGCTCAAAATAGACCCCCAATCTCTTCTGGCTTATAAAGTATCTGATGAGAAATCTGTTGTTAGCCTGATGGGGTTTCCTTTGTATGTAATCTGATATTTTCTTCTAGCTGCCTTTAAGACTTTTTTCTTTGGCATTGACCTTGAACCATCTGGTGACTATATACCTTGATGATGTTCGTTTTGTATCTCATAGGTGTCCTCTAGGTTTCCTGTATCTGGATGTCTACCTCTCTAGCAAGATTAAGGAAGTTTTCTTGATTTATTTCTTTGAATATGTTTTCCAGGTTGCTTACTTTTTTTCCTTCCCTCTCATGAGTATCAATAATTTATAAATTTGGTTGCTTTACATAATCCTTTATTTCTCAAGGACCTTGTTCATTTTGAAAAATTGTTTTTCTTTATTTTTGTCTGACTGGATTAGTTTGAAAGACTGGCTTCAAGCACTGAATGTTTTTCTTCTGTTTGGTCCATTCTATTGATAAAACTTTCAACTGTATTTTGAAATTTCTTATGTGAGTTTTTCAATTTCAGAATCTCTGATTGATATGTTTCTAGAATGTTTATGTTTTCCTTTATTTCCTCGATTGATTGAGAAGCTTCTTTGTGTTGATTTTTAGCCTTATCTTGGATCTCATTGAGCTTCCTTGTATTCCATGCCTTGAATTATTTTGTCTGTCATTTCTGAGTTTTGATTTTGGTTAGAGACCATTGCTGGAGATTGAGTATAGTCCTTTGGCGGTGTCACTACATTCAGATTTTTCATGATGCCGGAATTCTTGTGCTAGTTCCTTCTTACATGAAGGTGCCAACACTAACTTTTGTAATTATTTTAATGTGGGTAGAATTTTTTTTCTTTTTCTCTGTAATACCATTGTGTGTGTTTTTTTCCTTTCCCTTCCCCTTTCTCCCCATTCCCAGGGGGTGTGAATGTGGGGAATGTTGCATAGAGTCTTTCAGCTTTGTTTCTGTAGCCCTGTGGATATGTTTTAGCTGGTTTGACCTACCTGCTGGGTTATGCAGTTTGACCTACAAGCCAGTAGATAACACTTATGGGTAAGGTCTGACTGTGGCCAATGTGGCCGGGTATACCTTTGATCCTTGTTTACTGGGAGAAGCTCTTTATTGTCTCAGGTAATGGGCTGAACCATGGAGTGCACAGTGGTCTGAGCTCCCTGCTCATCCCTGACAGGTGGGAGGGTCAGAGGGAAAGTTATACAGGACCAGCCTGAGGAGACTAACCTATAGGTCCCTTGATGGCAGGCAAAAGCCCTAGCCACTAAGGGAGAATCCAGTGGGAAATCAGTTGTCCAGAGGTGTGCCTAGGCATGGAACTGCGAAACTTCCTTGACTGCAAATTCTCTGCATGGGGGAAGTGGGTGGCCTAAACTCCTAATTCAGTGGGGTGGGTGCTCCAGATGCCTGGAGATCTACATAGGGATGAACTACAGAGGGCCCACTGTACCACAATCTGCATAGGAAGGGTAGGGTGGCAAAGGCTGCTAATCTAGGAGAATAGTGCTTTAAATGCCTGGAGATCTGCCTGGGCATGGAGCAGAGAGGGCTCTGTTGCATCACAATCTCTGCTCAGGAAGAGTGGGGCAGTTCAGGCTGCTGGACCAGATAAGCAAGTGCTTTGAATGCCTGGAGATCTGCCTGAGTGTAGAGCAAAAAGGGCGCTTTTCCACCACTATCTATGCACAGGCTAGAGTGGGATTGCTCAATTTGATTATCCAGTTTGTAGTTGTATGCTACCCCCACCCACCCACACACACTCAGGCTCTCGTACCCATATATGCCTGCATTTACACATACATGAGAATCAGAACTACTTTTCCTACATTTTTACCTCTTTAGGCATAAATTTTAAGCAGTAGTGCACTGAATACTGCTCCTACTAGTGCATAATTACTATAGTTTCACAAATTTTTAAAGGTGTTTTGCATCACGTTGACAGGTTGAAATTGGTCATGGTAGGATTATTTACAGATGGCTAATCAACAAATGGTACAATTCACAGCTTGTCCTCCAGGTAGGCAGTTAAGCTTTTACCAGCATATCATTAGACTCTAAGCATCAGGAAGGGTCTCTCCTTCTTTCCTTTAGCACTTGTAATACTTATCATGACATCAAGCAGCACACAAAAAAGCAGTATTTAGGGAGTATTTAGAGAGTGACCACTATTTAGGTTATATTAAGTAACTTAAATTAAGTAACCCATATTAAGGTAGTGTTTAGGGAGTAACCACTATTTAGCAGTAGTTAGGGATTGGTTGCTCCCTAAATACTTCTTAAATAATGCTTTTTTTGTGCTGCTTGATGCCATGAGTTTAGCCTAGATAGATAAATAAATTTGTGGAAAGGAAAGACACTTTCTGCTTTGCACTGAGGCACCAGTTTCTTTAAGAGTTCCCAAGAGAAGGTAGGCCCTTTAAAGTTTTTCCAGAGGGGTTGACCCTCTTGGACTGGTCTCTGGCTGATTTCCTAGGACACTGCCTGCTGCTTCATGCTCAGCACTCCCTGCTGACATCTGGGGAACCGAGTTGGCAGCACACATGCTAAATGTAGGCCAGAAGCCTACAAGGTGCATAACTATCCTGCTGATGCTGTTTCCTCAACTCAGAACGGTTTTCACGCATTTTCGTATATTAGGTGTATTGGACAGCATGCACCTCGTGCCCTAGTTGGATGGAGGTTTTTAAACAATGTGCTATTGGATTGGTGGCTTCTCTACTATAATTCCTTAAGGAATTTTACTTAGCTACATTCACATTTTAATCCTACCCTTAGAGTTCTATCTTAAGTGACACCTGGCATCTTTTTCTTTCTCATTCTGTTAGCTATAATAATTCCAATGTTTAACGTCGGGTCTATTAATATATTTCCCAGGATTGTTTTGGAGTTCAGGGAAACAGATTATGTCCCAATGTCAGCACTTTTTCAAGATGTGACTTTGGGGAAATAATTAAATCCTGCTGTCTGTGAAATGGGTGTCAAGATTTCTTTCCAAAAGGCCTCTTGAGGAAATTGTGCAAATAAGTAAGACCATGTGAGATGTTTTATACTTCATGAATAATATATTGCATACATGGAAATACAAAAATGCCATTTCGAGATTTATGCAAAGTTCTTTTTTCCCTCGTAGTTTCTTCTCTACTTGGATATTCCAATGCATCTTGCTGCCTCTCTTGACCACTCCTATGTTAAGCCATTTGCTGCTCTCATGCAAGTTGAGATTACTGTTCTGCCACTTAGTGTTGCTTTGAACATTGATCTTTTCAAATCTATTGACCTTGTTTCAGTATTGTACTGAAATTATCATAACTGGCCAGACGTGGTGGCTCATGCCTACAATCCAAGCACTTTGGGAGACTGGGGTGAGCGGATCACCTGAGGTCAGGAGTTCAAGACCAGCCTAGCCAACATGGTGAAACCCTGTCTCTACTAATAGTACAAAACTTAGCCAAGTGTGGTGATGCATGCCTGTAAGTAATTCCAGCTACTCAGGAGGGTGAGGAAGAATTGCTTGAACCCAGGCGGCAGAGGTTGCAGTGAGCTGAGATCAGGCCATTGCACTCCAGCCTGGGTGACAAGAGCAAAACTCCATCTCAAAAAGAAAAAAAAAAAAAGAAATTATCATAACTAAGTCTTGAAATGGTCTCCTCAGAATAAGACATGGGGTTTCTAACAACTCCTTCTCTATCACCCTGCTCTAACCACTTTAGACCTAATGAGATCTTTTGTAAGTCTCAAATAAACTAAGCTGTGTGTGATCTGTATTTCCCTCCTGTATTGGTTTCTGACACCATCTGCTTCACTGCTTCAGCAACCGAAACCTGGAATGGACTCTTTGACTTCTTGCCAGTGACATTCAATAGGAAGAAAAAAAATAACAAAAGAGACTGTAGAGCAAAATGGAATAAGCAGCACCTGGGGATAGTGTTGATGGGATTGCACAACCTTTCTTGTTTGTTGACTAGTTTAAATGGAAATTTCAAGCTGCTCTTCTGAGTAAATGTTTGTGTTGTTGTTTTCCAGTCTTAACATGGCCTGTTTGGTTTCTTTTGACTCTCACTACTTTGTATGACTTCTGTACCCCTTATTTTCCCAGGTTTTGCTAAACATAGAAAAATGAATGATTTTTAACAACCAGGGAGTTGTTAAAAGTTAACAACTAGGGAGTTGTTAACAAGCGGTTGAGTTTAATTTCACCTTTATTTGGTTATAAGGATTCAATTCACTAGCCTTCTAACCCCACCCATCTCAGTCTTCTTCCTACTTTTCAGTTAGATGGTCAAGCCATGAAGTGACTGCTTTCTTTTGGCCTCCTTGTTTAAGAATTTCACTTCCCTCATTTGCATAATTTATTAGGATGACTGTATTAGTCTGTTCCCACATTGCTATGAAGAGATACCTAGACTGGGTAATTTATAAAGAAAAGAGGCTTAATTGACTCACATTCTTCATGGCTGAGAAGGCCTCAGGAAACTTACAGTCATGGAGGAAGTCACCTCTTCACAGGGCAGCAGTAGAGAGAATGAGTTCCAGCAGGGGAAATGCCAGATGCTTAGGAAACCATCAGATCCCCTGAGACTCGCTCACTATCACAAGAACAGCATGGGGGAAACTGCCCCCATGATTCAATTACCTCCCACCAACTCCCTCCCACAACACGTGGAGATTATGGAGATTACAATTCAAGATGAGATTTTGGTGGGTAAACAGCCAAACCATATCAATGACCAATCATCCAGATCGGTCAGGGACTTTCTTGGATTTATTACTAGAAGCCAACATTCTGGAAAAACCCCAGTCCTGGACAAGCCTAGATGGTTGATCACCCTACTTCAGATTCATCAGCTGAGGAATATGAAATGAATGTTACATCATACTTTGCTGCATTCAGTCTTTCAATTGAACTTAATCTTGTGTTTCCTACCAGATAGATAAACAATAGCCCATCAATCACATTTAGCCTTAGACCTGTTTTAGTACAGCCTATGACCTAAGAAGTTTTTTTACATTATTAATGAGTTGATTTTAAATAAAATGAATATAAAACAGAGACGATGTGGCCTGTGAAGTGAAACATTCACTCTCTGGTCCTTTACAAAAAATTTTGCTAATCCATGGATTAAACACTTCTTCCTTTGTAATGCACCAAGTTTTGGGATTCTTAACTGAAGTCTATTTTGCTAATGAGATGCATGGAGAACATAGTGATTATTAAGATTATTGAAAGCAGGTTTTAGGAATGACTGTCACACCATTCCTTTAATTGTTAATATGTTGTTTATTATTCTGAAGAAAAAAGCAAGCAGTGTATTTGGAGCAGAACTGGCACAGAATTTTGTTAAGTTGCTTTTAATTTAATAATAACCAAATCATAGCCTCTGCACATATGTGGCTAACAGTTTTTCAGTACACATTGTGAATGATCTCCCAATATCTATATGCTATAGATGATTAGTCTGAACCCATAAACCATTCATAGTGAAGAGAAAACATGTGTTCTAAATTTGCCCAATCAGACTGAAAGAAAGGCTTGACATTCTGTGGATATTAACAAAGATGTATGTGCACCTGGAGCATGCACCTGGCGATCGCACCTGTGCTTAAGTTTAAAAATTTGATACATCAAGGAAGTTTCTACCTGTCTCTACATTGTCTGTGAAATAGGCTTTTCTTTTCTTTTTTCTTTCTTTTTTTTTTTTTTTTTAGCTCAGACTGTAGAGAGAAATGAAATCATAGAAATTGAAGCCTGTTGAGTTGACTTTCTGTTGCAACTGCGGCCACATGAGAAGTCTGCTTTGTATTCTTAACATCAGAATAATTCTTATTGAATCAGATCTTTTTGTTATCTCTTTCTTATATTACTCAAGAGTAACTCTTTCATAATTATAACACAAAACTGCCCGGTGTAACTTTTCCCTTGTTACTCTAATAAAGGTATATGTACCCTGTTAAAACAATTAGAAGATATTCATCTATGATATCTATTTCATTTTGTATTCTTTCCAATGTAGTATTTTAAAAAATCACATACAAATCCCTAAAGTTCCCAAATGCTTTATTCTGAGACTAGGGACAAGCTTTCAATTCTAATGAGAAAGGTTTTAAACAGTAGAATTGTAAAGGTTGTTTTTGTTAATTGCTCTTTGAAATTTGAAGTAGAGATAGCCTATCTCCATTCTTTTTACAGTATCCTTTGCTGACACTCCCATGTGGCTTTGTGTAGAACAATGATCCATAGCCAGGATGCCCACAGGTAAGAAGGCTCTTTCTTTCTACTTCTCTATATTTTCTAGCTAAAACTTTTTTCAAAATTGCTAACAGCATAAGAACCTAGTCTAATACTGAGGCTGTTAACTAGTGATCAGTTGATTCCTAGTGAGTTCATAAACAGGCTTTAAGAAATATCTTGAAAATGTATGCAATGAATATGTTCATTTTGGGGGAGGCGAGTACAAGCTTTGATAACATTCTCAGAGGGGGCCCTGGTGAATAAAGGTACAAAACGGTTTTAAACCATTCATTCTACAGATGGATAAACTGAGGCATCAGTGACTCTGGGACTGATCATTATCACCCAACTAATAAAAAGTAGAAGGCCAAAATGAAAGATATCTGACTTCTAGTCTGGGGTTCTTGTTCTTATTACTGGAACACGTATGTGGCAGGGGTTCTCTGGGGGGTGGGTGAGTGAAATATTTCTCAGATGCATACTTCTCTCAACTCAATGTGAGTCTCAGTGTAGGGTAGGCTTTCCAGAAATGTGAATGATTTTTTCATGTGGCTTGGGAAACCAGTCTTGTTCTTCCATATGTCCAAGCCTGGTATATGACAGAATTGTGCTCATTGTTATAGTGAATACATTAACAGATGATCTCATAGCTTTAAATATTTAAATTGAAACCTACAAAATTCAAAACGTAGCTTAAAAATTAGCTATTATTTAAGTTGCCATCTGTAGATAAGTTGAAACCTGTGCCAGTCTAATTAGCAATCAGGAATATGGTAATTGCTTTTGGCATATGAATGTGGAGAACTTCCCCAGAGTAAAATAATGCCAAGTTGTGCATTTCTGGGTCTTTTTTTTTCAAATTGACAGTGTTAATATTCTAATAATATATTACTTGGCATTCTGTTTGAGGCTTTAAAGAGAGTTTTTGTTTTCATTATTTAACAGAAGAATATAATCTATCAATCAATCTGTTATCATCTATCTCTCTTAAGTGTCGAGCAAAGTTTGTTAACTTGGGCTCAGCCTTTTGGAAAAGAAAATTCTTTGTTGTGGTACTGTCCTATACAATGTAGCAGTATCCCTGGCCAATACCCACTAGATGCTAGAACCCTCCTACCCACAACTAAAAGCTAAAATGGCTGTAGACATTGCTTCCAGATGAGGAAACAGGTATAGTTGCATTTATTCTATAAATGGTGACTTCTTGAACATAATAAAGCATGTGATTAATGCTTCTAGGAAACTGGCTTCCCAAAGTTAACAGAAAAAACATGGTAGGGCTCATGCTTAGTTTGCAGGACCCACTGGTGATATCATATTTTTTCCAGAAATAACATTGTATTCTTCTTTGATATATATGTGCAACATGTTTTTTATTTACACGAACAATTATTACAGTTTACTGATTTACTAACTTGTTTTACTGTAAGTGTTCAACTTTTGCATGGTTTATGTTTTTCCCTTTATTCGTTTTCACAATTAAAATTCCTTTCACATAATAACATATGTGTGTGTATATATATATACATTAGCAGAGTAATGATGATTATGAGATATTTCACAATTGCATAAGTTAAGTCTTCATTGAAGTAGCAGCTGTTTGTGGTTGGATGGATGCTCTCAGCTGTCAGAATGACTATCTCTTTGGGAGCATGTAGATGTTTACCTGGGTGTGGCCCCTGGCCTTTGCAAAGTTTCTTCTCTCTATGCTGGGAGTTGCTAGAAAACAAGGAGCTAGAAAGGACCATTAAAAGGAGTAAATAAGTATTTTGTCACACTGCTAGGCAATCTCGCAAAAAAGCCTCCATTTCCATCATCTATTTTCTTATAAAATTACGTTTCTATTTAGCCTTTCAGATATTCCACTTTCAGGTACATTTTCAGGTACATGTTTTGTAAGAAAGTGGAGAGCTGCTTTTATTTTCTTTATATGTATGATAAAAAATACTCAGCAGATGCAGATAGTTTTATTTATATATATACATATTTTCTTTTTCCCACTATTCCTTTTTGTTCTGGCCAGGCCATGGAGATGTCCCAAATTATCTTCTAGACTCAGCCTTGATATTATGATCCTTAATCTGATAGTGACCTCTCAAGTAGCAATTCTCAGTTATTTGGTTATGAAAAAGCCCCCTCTTTGGAAACTAGTATCATCTTTCTTTGTGTCACCTTGTTGGAGGAGCAATGGAATCTAATTATCCTTTACAATGATTTGTGAAGTAGCAAATGGGTTTGACATCTGTTCAGCAATTCTGAAGACAGCCCATTTTTATTTTTACCCCTATGGAGCTAAAGTCATCATAGATTGTGTCTTTTGGCCTTCCTTTTGTTCTTTGTTATAGCCTTGTGATAGTCTAAGAAAAGTTGATTTAAAAAACTAAAAGGAGGACTAGGGATGAGAATAGGAATTACTTTTTATTATAATGCAAGAAGAGCAGTGTTTGGCCCTAAGCATTTCAATGAGAGATCAGGATAATTAAGCAATCAGTGTTGTTATAGCAATATTTGTTATTAATTAAATGATATTTTTGAGCCCCTATTATGTGCCATATATTTTTCTAGGCGTTGAAGTTGAGGTTATAAATCATGCACACAATTTCCTTGCTTGCACAGAGCAGCTAGACAATAAAGAATGAAACCAAAATATTAGGTTAGTGCAAAAGTAATTGTGGTTTTTCCTTTGAAACAATGGCAAAACCCACAGTTACTTTTGCACCAACTTAATACAAGTAAGACAATTACTGATAGTGAAAATTACTGTAAAAAGAGTAACAGAGTCTACTATGATGAAGAGGGGGGCACGGGATGCTCCTTCAGAGGATCAGGAGACAACATTTAAAATGAGTTTTGAATAAAAAGGAGTCAGACCTGCAAATGCTGGGGTAGTTGAAGGGGAGCAGAATATGCCACCCCAAAATATGCTACTTTGGCATAAGGATTATTTTGTGTGAAGGGCAATTGAGAAAGAGTGGGCACAAAATGCTCTGCCCTCTCACTTTCTGTCTAAAAGAGCGTACATTTACCTTTGTAAAGGTGACAAATTTCCATTTGCAAAGGTATTCCCCTCTCCAGTGCTGTGAGAAGGATATTCTTAATCACTGAAGAGGACTCTTATCACAGGATATGACACCAAAGTGAGTCTGCATAATAAGCTTTATTAAGCAACTTTTTTCTATCATATATTTCCTGGTCATCTGCCCACAGTTTACCATCCCTGGATGTCCAGTTCCCATCCTTCTTTGTCTAGTCACTTGTTCACAATTTATATCCCTTTGTTAGAATGGTATATAAGCTCCCAGTCCAACTGCTTCTTTGGGTTTTGTCTTTCTTTCTGTGTAGTCCCCATGTGTGTAAAATAAAAGCAATTAAATGTGTATGACTTTTCTCTTAATTTGTCTTCTGTCGATTTAATCCATGACTACAATTTCAAAACCTAAGATGGTAGAGAATTTTTTTTTCCTCTCTCAAAGCAGGAAAACATTTGCCCAAAGAAATAACTGCATAGTTTCCGAGCCAGGAGCAAACTTAGCATGTTTAAACAGAAAGAAGTAAAATAAGTGAGGTTTGAAAAGTAGATAAGGGCTAGATCAAGGATGGTTTTATAGCTTATGGAATGATGATTGGGTTTTTGAAAAATATGCTCATTTATTTATTTTGGTCTAAAGTGCGAAGAAACTACTGGAAAAGCTAAGCAAGAAAATAACATAAACCTTATTTTATTTATTTGTTAAGACATCACACTGGCTGTTCTGAGAAGAATGAATGACAAGAGACAAAGAATGAAAGGAAGGCAAAGATTCTGGGAAGATGATGTTAGGACTCAGAAAACAACACCCCAAAATAAAAGCCTCAGAAGCAATAGTTTTTCTCTGATCTTTTCCTGCACTCGTCTCTCAGTTCAATTCTCCTCCAAGGCTAGCCATAGAAACTGAGTTCCTTTTCCCCAAAGCCAGCCATGAAAACTAAAAATGTTACTCTAATTTTCCCCTCACCTTTCTGTGTAAACAACTGGCCATAAAGAAGTTATCTGACCTACCTTGTTTGAATGGGAGTCATAAGCCCCCATTCCAGAGAGGATCCTGTCCCATACCCAGAAGGAACAAATGCAGGCTCAGAGATGCTAAAAAAGCATCTATACAAATGGGCCTTGCTGGATTTCCCCACTCAGTCTATTGGCATTAGATCATACCCTTTTTGTTCAGTTGTATTTCTATATTGTTGTCAATAGTTTGTTAGGCCTAAGTGTAAAAATGGACAATTTTCCCTATATTTTGGAGTATTCATTCTGAAGGCTCCCATGTCACATAAAACTATGATCACACATTTACATATGCTTTCTCCTGTTAATCTGCCTCTTTGTCAGTGATTTTCAGTGAACTTTCAGTGAGCAAATGAGAAGTTGTCCCTTAGCCTTGACAATGACAACAGTCCCAGAACTGTTTCTTCAGTCACTTAAGAGCTGCCACATAAAAACCAACAGAACAGCTATAGATGTCAAAACAACAATATTTAGAACAAAATATGGTGATGAGTTACTTATGAGAAAAAAATATTCAATGATATTTGCTAAAGCATGGCAAGGCAGACTTAATTCAGGACCCCTATGATAGACATAAGGACCACCACAAATGAATTTTGCAGTAGTGAAGACAGACTGGGTTCAGTTCCAAATACAGCATGGACAAGTGAGAATTTATAGTCAATTAATGGAGTGGGAATCAGCAGATAAAAAAATTACGAAGACGAAACATCACGAGGAAGGAGGATTTTAGCTAAGCCTACCTAACAGAATTCTTTCTGTTACAAGACAGGCCTGTGTGATCAGACATCAGCTGGGGGATGGTGGAACATGAGGAACCTGATCGGATATCCAGGGTGGGGAGTACTCGCTAGGAGGATTCTAGCTAAACACACCTAATGGGATTCTTTAAAACTGGATTCTACAAAACTGGATTCAACAAGGGAGTTCACAGATGGGCCAAGGAGCCTGATTAAAGTTTGGTCAAGCAAAGAATTTTTGTTAGCATCCCTGATAATTCACAAATTCAAGAAAGTGGAATTGGGTGAGGGGCCCCCTGTCCCCTCCCTCCCCACTTCCCTGTAGTCACAGCTGCTCAGAAGACTGAGGCAGAAGGATGGCTTGAGCTTTACAGATCTGGGCTGTAGTGCACTCTGCAGATCAAGTGTCTCCACTAAGATTGCCATCAATATGGTGACTTCCTGGGAGTGAGGATGCCCCAGGTTGCCTGAAGAGTGGGGAATTGGCCTACATAGAAAACAGAGCAGGTCAGAACCACCATGCTGATTAGTACAGGGACTGCACCGGTGAATAGCCAGTGCACTCCATCCTGGACAACACGGTGAGGTACTGACTCTTTAAAAACACAAATAAATAAGAAACTAAAAGAAGAAAGTGGAGATAATTAACAGGTATGCTAGTGGTAGGTGTGGGCTAAGGGAGTAGAGGGAAGTAATGAGATGGGGGGAATTTTAGACCAGCAGCTCTGAAAGAAAGGGTTTGTCTTCTCCACTGCTGGGTGAGTGCAAGGGCATGTGTTAAGGACTGAAGAGTCTAGAATATTCTAATGTCTTTGAGTTGCCTTTCTAGAGCTCCTTTCTAGGCCAGGGTCTCATACAGAGGAGAAACTGCTGTAGGAGCGAAATCAAAATCCAACAGTATAGTCTCCATCAGAGACTAAGGAAGGTGAAGTCTTAGACCACAATAAGGGTGGAGAACAGATTTAGGACATCTCAGTTAGAAAAGCCACCCTATTTTAGAAGACTATACTCACACCACAGAAGAGGCTGAAGCTTGAGAAGCTTTCCTGAATTCTGTGTCTTTCTAAAAATTCAGAAACAATAATTTCTGAAAAATATCTAGAGTGATAGAGCCTCACTGTTAGTAGGTAAGTGAATGTGGGAAAAATAGAGCAGCAGATGACACAGGTGAGTTAAAAAGTACAGTGGTTAAAGCAGTCTATAGATCATCTGCCTGTGTTGGGGCTCAGAACATGATACTCCAAAGTATGGCACTTAGGCATGTTGAGTACTTTGAACTAAAGGAGATGGGAAAGCCTCAGGAGCAAGGTCTCTCTCATGTTCTCCAATCCTCCTGTCTCCTATCCCTCTTTCTCCTCTGAAACAGTTCATAGAAATCAGAATTCCACTTCCCCTAGATGGGTCATAGAAACTAGAACCCGTCTCTCAAAACAAGCCATAAAACCTAGAAAGGTCTCTCTACTTTTTCCCTTCAAGGCCCTCATTCCAGCAGAGTCTTGGCCCATACCCAGGAGGAAGGAATGCTACAGGTTGAATAAGAAGAATCTGAACAGACAGGCCTTGCCTTATTAGCTTTCCCTCTTCTGTCTATTACTATTAGATTATACACCCTTTGTCTAATTGCATTTTTACACTGCTGTCCATTCTTTATCAAATACTAGCATAAAAATGGACACTCTTCCCTGAGTCTTTGGGTCTTTATCCCTGAAGTATCTCTTGTCATGTAAAACAAATATGTTTATTATACTTTTCTCTCATTAACCAATATGTCTTTTGTTATAGTGAGACAAGAGAGTTTCCTGGCCCCCCTCACAGTGTGTGTGACAGGGGTGTGGCTCTCTGTTAGACTGCTGTGAGCTCAAACCCCTTGCAGGAGAGAGAACACACAGATGGGCAGGTGCAGGAGCCAGGGCAAGTGCTATGGGCTCCAGCCCCGCAGTAGTGTCTAGGGGTGGGTGCCTGTGATGCCAGTGTTACAATGCTCTTTTAGCCTTGCTGTCCACAGATGGCTTAAGTGTTAACCAGGTTAGTGTCCCCTCTGCCTTTCTGCAAGAACAGAGGGCCAGTGTGACAGCTTTCTGTATCCTGAGCTCTTGCCCAGCGTCCCAGAAGAATTGGGTCACACACAGACTTGAAGGATGAATGTGGGGGTTTTATTGAGTAGTGGAGGTGTATCTCAGCAGGATGGATGGGAAGGCAGAAGGGGGATGGAATGGAAAGGTGATTTTTCCCTGGAATTTGGTCATGCAGTGGCTGAACTCCTCTCCAGCCACCCCCAGCTGAACTCCTCTTGGCCTTCAGTTGCCTCTTCTCCTCTTCCTTTCTCTGCTGCACTGTTCTGCAATTTCTCTGCTTGCCTCTTTGTCTCTCCTCTTTTTGTCTGCTTCTGGACCCTGAGGTTTGGGGTTTATAGGGTACGGAATAGGGAGTGTGACAGGTCAAAAGAGAACTTTTTGGGCACAAGAACAGGAATTCCTGTCCCCATTTAGGATCGTGGGTCTCCAGGCTTGAGGGTGGGGCCTTCGCCAGGGAACCGCCCTCTTCTACCCAGTATTTCCCTGTCTCCTGTCCACATCAATAGGAGGGTAGGCTGTAGCCTTCATGATGGGTGAAGAAAGATATCACACCTTTCTGCCTCTATACCTAGTAAGATAAAGCCTACTACATGGAAGAAATAATTGATTAATTGATTTATTCACAGTGGCTCCTATTAAGCTGTGCTTAGGAGTAGCTGCCTAGGTGTTGCCTTTATAATTAGAACAGCTGCTTTATTTGGCTATAAATTCTGTTTTCAAAGAAAAGTTTGTGTGAAGCTTGCATAGCATTTGCATTCATCTTTCATTCAATTGTAGCAATCACTTAGCCAACCAAGTGTGCATCGCAGGAATCTTTGGCAGTGCAAGCTAAGGAGAGCAATGTTAGGCTATTTAATGTTCATTGTGTTAGGCTTTTGGGTTTTCATCAAAGCTGAAATGTAAAAGTTGGGAAATTTATCCCCGGTCTAAATGCTCATTATTTGCATTTCTTTTCAGTCTATTTTTGTCCCTTTAAGTAGACCCAGCATAAACTGGCCAGTGGTGGTTTTCTTTTACATGCAGATTAACACTTTAACAAAAGTTTACTGTTACAAAGCCCGTAACATGAATTTTCCACCAAAATATTCTCTTAATTAAGCACTTTCTAGGCAATTAGAGAAAAAATGGAATAGGCAAATTTAAGAGAGAAAATAATTAGGAAGATATAAAAAGAAATGCTAGACACTCTTTTAATAGTGCCTGATCTGTGAGCTTTCAACTTGTATAAGCAAACCACTGCTGTCATTTTCTATGGCTCACACAGAAGGCCCCAGCTGTCCTTCAGTGGAGCCTTTGGTATTACCCCAAGGGACATAGAGAGCTACTAAAGTGAAGTTGCCTGCCCAAGGAAGCCAATGACTTTGAGCCTGGGTACCAATACTTACTATGTTGCTTCTTCTGCCAGGAGCCACAACCATCATTTCCATACTAGGTACCAACCATCACCAAATTCTCCTAAGACTTGTTAGGAGCTTCGGCCTCACTAACCAATCCTTCTCATTTCATAACAAGTAGTCCCTACTGCTCCAGACCTCACTGATACAGTGCTATTATTTTTCTTAATATAATGCATCACTTCATAACTCCTCTAAAGCTCCATTGTAAATAGAAACCATAGAATTTCAAATATTCTATTTATCCTGCCATGGGGAATGCCATGTATCCTAATTTTTTATTCAGAAACTCTGTTTACTCCATTTCTAGAATCCTGTCAACATGGATGAGGAGAGAAATATATTCATATTCTGTAGTGGAAAGATTTTAGCTTTTCTTGTTAGTGCTAACAACAGGAGATAAGGGTTTATGAGAGTTGTTCCTGACATCCCCTGTTGGAACCTGGGCTATATTTTGCTACAGAAATCATAATGAAATTGCTTTTGTTTACATAGGATTATAGAGGCTCATATAAACTCTTTGTGGTAAGCTAATGTCCCTTATACAATTATTTCCATGGGTAAATGCTTCAAATATCAAGCAATAACTTATCTAACACCTTTTGGAATTTAGCCTCATTATTGACTGTAGACTGCTTATAAGAATTCTGCAGTCCTTACGTTGATGATACACATACCTGTGTCATGTATGTACACTAAACTTAAACAGTTTGGAAGTTGAAAGGACGTATTCTTTAGTTAAATATTACCCCAAACTAGTTTTGTAACCATAACAGAGATATATATGTGAACAAGGATTTTAGCTCATCCCTCAGAGAGTTCATTTTGCAGGGAAGAAATGAATGTCATTACACAATGATAAAATAATAGAAGGAAAGTACCTCAGTGAAGATAAATACAGTTTGTTATGCGAAGGATTGTACTGAAAGAGGGATTCATTCTTCCGGGTGGAGCTGAAGAAAGCTCAGTAGAGGAGGAGTCAGTTAAGTCAGGTGTTCAAATATTAGTGGGAGTCTACCAGAAGGAAGACAGGGACAGATATCTGAGCACGAGCAAAGACTACAGATGGGTCTTCTGTTTGAAATTCTTAGTACAATTTTGTGTCTACTATTCATCGCCCATATTTTAACTCTTTATTTAGTACAAGCTCTTCTTTTCTCTTTAATCACTTGTTAGACTGTCCTAGTTCCCCTGCGTGTTCCAAATCGCCAAAGACATCATCACACTGCTTCCACAAATGTTTGCTGTCCCTGACTTACCATCTTCTGGAGATAATGTGAACATGAAAGAAGCTGGAATTTTGATCTGCTTCTCCTCACTGTGCCATACCAATTCTTTCCAGGAATATATTGAGATAGGAGCAGGAAAGGCTATTGTCACTGAATCTTTGTTCTATACACTACAAATTGTTCTCACACATCGGCATGCACCGTGCTTTCTCTTCTCCAAGATTTTGCATACCTGCTGCCTTCTGCCTTGAGTATTTTCCACTACTACTTAGCCTAATATGTCTTCTTACTATTGAGGATGGAATTTTGATGTTATTTTCTTTGGGTAACTTTTCCTGAATTTCCAGACCGTCCAGACCATTAAATATCAGGTGTCTCTGCTTTATGCGTCCATAAAACTTCATATTTCTCCTATCAAATAAGTCTGTATTACAATTGCTTAACTGTCTCTATCCACCACTGGACAGCAAATTTCGTGCAAGTAGATATTATGTTCGTCCTATTTATTATGAAATACCTGTTGTCTACCTTATTTTATATAGGCATTATAAAATGCCTATATAAAATAGATGCTTATTAAATATTTGTTGAATAAATAAAGGAACATTTGGTAAAGTAATACACACAGTAATATTGATTTATTCACCATTTATCATGTTCAGGTACTTTAAATATACCATCTCATTTTAATTTGATTTTTAATGTAGTCATTTGTAAGAGTTGTTATTATCTATATTTTTAGGTGTAGAAAATGGGACTTGGAGAGAAAGCTTGCCAGAGATTTCACTGTTTATAATGGGGCCACTTTGGAGATTCTCTAAAGGTGTTATTTATTTTTCCCCAAAATGCTTTTCTTTATAAATCATTTAGCCTAAAATCATTGCATAGCTGTGCTCTTTGTAAGAACTCTTTGTAAAATTCATCTTTTTTAAGAAACAGGAAAGCACATTTGCCAAGAGTCAATAAACAAACACCTCAAGTGGTTCAAACTTGAAAGGTATACATCAGAAGCTTTGAGAAACATTTAACCTTGACATTCTCCAATCTTAATTGACAAGTCTGGTGTTGGTTACTTGCTGAGATAAGAGAGATTTTCAGTGTCTAATATGCAGGTCGCTGGCTTTAAGTTGGGTCCATTATAATTTATTGTAGTCCTGACAGTTCTAGGTGATATAAAAAAGAAAGATTGGCTTTATTAGGTGATTTCCCCATCTTTGGTAGGGCTACTTTAATAGATGATAATAATGGTTAACAACTTGATGACATTTCCCCGATTTTATTTTAGCATTTGGAGGGTGGTGAATTCTAGGACTCACTAATAATGGAATGAGCTCATAGCCCAGAATAGTGAGTCTGGGAGCTGCAAGAAGTCCATTTTTTCTAAACTTCAGCCCTGTGGCTTTAGCTCTGTGCCTTTCCAAGTACAACCTGACATTCGTGTCTGATTGGTTGAAAGCTCCTAGCAGCAATTAAGAATATACGTGAATACTTATCCAAATGTTCCAACTTAATATATTTCACCAGAAACAGAAAGCCCAGGTAGTTTGCTTGGTTTGGAAAGACTTTTGATACTTGCTCATATTTAGAACCAGCCTTATATCTAAGCAGACTGGTGACTTTCAGTGTCACTTGAAAGCATCCTGTCCCCCCAAAACTCCTCTGGTTTATTCCCAAATCCCAGAAATTCAACATGGAAAAATTCTTCATGATTAATGATTAGGTTGTAAATAACCCTAGACAAGTAGTGCCTTAGCTTACATTCATGCTTGAACGTACGTAATTGTAATATATCTGTCCCTGTAATCTGCGATAGGATCAGAGTGAAAGCACATTAGGACCCCGGCTGTCTGATAGAATAAAAGGGGAAAGCTGTTGCACTAAAGACAAAACTGCTAGTATACACTTCTTCTAAGAGCTACCCCTGTTCATGCTCATCTCTCTCTCACTTTTCTTCTTCCCTTTGTTCTTTGATCATCGCATCACCTCTCCTCAAACTGTCTTTTACAGTGAGTAGGGTTTTGGAGTAGGGCTTCAAAGTTGGGCTTGTTCTTCACTCAAAAATGGTGGTGTGATGGGCAGCATTCTAAGAATGACCCCCAGTGATGCTTCTATTTGAATGTAGGTGAAACCTGCAAATAGGATGATATACCATTCCCGTGATTATATCACCTTATATGATAAAAGGGTAATTATCTGGGTGAGATGAATCTAATCACAGGAGCCCATTAGAAGCAGAGAGTTTTCCCCAGCTTGTGATAAAAGGTGAAGGAAGAGATTCAAAGTAGAAGAAGAATCTAATATACCCTTGCTGGATTTCAAGATGGAGAGGGTCACATGCCAAAAAAATGCTGGTGTCCTCTTGAAGCAGACAGTGGCTCAGGAGTGACTACCAGCAAGAAAATGGGGTCCTCATTCCTGTAACTACAAGAAACTTAATTCTGCCAATAACTTGAACTTGTAAGAAGATTCTTCCCAAAATCCTTCAGATACGATTTGAGTCTAGTCAACCCTTTGGTTTCAGGCTGTGAAGCCCTAAGCGGGGAATTCCCTTGAGCCCACCTGGACTCATGACCTACAGAACTGTGAGACAACAAATGGAATGTTGTTTTATGCTGCCAAATTTGTGACAATTTATTATATTAATACACATAGCAATCTAATTTCCCTTTCACACATAGAAATGTTTGCCACTTCATATTGCAATGCACAGAACCAGGTCTTTAGCTGTTGAAAGATCTTACATATTCTATAATTTTCTTGTTGATGAAGTTTTGCAATTTAATTGTGTTCTATTTAGTTTTGATTACAAATAACTTTTCTTTTTTCACTTATCCAGAAAACTGTTTTTTTTTTTTAAATAAAACAATTATTTTCTGCAAAGACCATGTCTGTATTTGTTTGTACTAATAGACATGGTGGGCATTGAAAAACGTGCTGATATTGAAATTATTATTAAATATCAGTGATATGGTTGGCTGTTTTCACAACCCAAATCTCATCTTGAACTATAGTTCCCAGAATCCCCATGTATTGTGGGTGGGAGGGACCCAGTGGGAGGTAATTGAATCATGGAGGCAGTTACCCCCATGTTGCTGTTCTCATGATAGTGAATGAGTTCTTATGAGTTCCGATGGTTTTATAAGAGGCTTTTCCCCCTTTTGCTTGTCATTTCTTTTTGTTGCCACCATGTGAAGAAAGACTTGTTTGCTTCCCTTTCTGCCGTGATTGTAAGTTTCCTGAGGCCTCCCCAGCCATGCGGAACTGTGAGTCAATTAAATGTCTTTCCTTTCCAAATTACCCGGTCTCAGGTATGTCTTTATTAGCATCGTGATAGCAGGCTAATACAATCAGCATAATCATCATTACATCCTTTGTTACTAGGTTTCCTCAGCTATGCAATAGCTATATGATCCTAGAGATGGAGGGACCTTAAAGATGCAGGATTCAGGGTTTCTCAGTCTAGGTGAAAAGGAGAACAACCCTTAAAATGGAACATCTATACCTTAGGAAGAATTAGGTGAGAGGATATGTTTGCATTTTAAATAACATTTTATAATTCATGTCCTCTTTGGATAAACACTAAACAATCAAAGCTCTTTATTTTCCAGATATGAAAACCAATCCAGGAAGGCTAAGTAACCTGCACAATGTTATACTGTAACAATAGGAGTAGAACAAATTTTAAGGGTGAGAGTTTCTTTCAAATTATGCTTTCATATTACTGGTCTTTCCCAAGTATCTCAGATACTCTAGAGTCAGTGTGTCACATTCTGAATTCCCAGGCAATGGTGATTTCCTAGAATTGAGTACATCTAAGGGTTGCTTTTATAAAGCCATTAGTGTCCGCATCACTCGTTTTGTCTTCCCAAAGTCAAGCAGTTCGGGATTATTTAGAATAGATGCTTCTATGCCTTTGGAAGCAGAGAAATCACTTCCTGCTTCCCACCTCCCAAGAGTAACAAAAGACTTCTAACATTTTAATGCACATTTGTCTTTGAATGAAAAACACATTTAAAGAACACAAGAGAAAGAAATTATGATGTTATGTTTCTAATAATAGAAAAAAATGTGTTAATGGAAAAACTGTACGATCAGGGTTATTGAAATATCTGGTTAGTAATCAAAGTATAATCAGATGTTTCCTCACATCTTTCCAGTCCTAAGAATGAAAAACCAAGAATATGTTACGTAAGTAGATCTTGAACCTTAGTGTACATCATCATGACATGGAAGGATTGTTAAGTTACAGCTTGCTGGGCTGCACAACTATAATTTCTGATTCAGTGGGCTTGGGGCAAGGCCAGGAATTTATAGTTCTAACAATTTCCCAAGAGATGCTGCTGTTGCTGTTCTGGGAACCACACTTTGAGAACTACTTGGGTATTGAAACTGCTCCAGATATTTCATGATGACTACTAGCATGACTCTAGTGGGATTTAGAGCCTTCCAGGGCATGATGAGAGGTAAGGTTGTAAATACAAACATCCCTGGGGAAATGGCAGTGGCTTATTCATTTTCCAAACATTTGCTAGGGACTTTATGTGACCAAGCTCTATGTCGGACATCATAGTTATAAAATAACAAGTCATTATCCCAATCAGAGAAAAAGGAACACAAACAACAAAATATAATGTGAAATTATATTATGATTTACATATATAATATATAAATAAAATATTTATAGCTAGAAGTGAGCACATCATGGTCTACAAAGACAAAGTTGGAGTTACCCAAAATATCAAGGGAGGAATGGCCCATGAGTTGATTATTAACTGTCAGTAAAGTAGCTAATGCTTAGAGAAATATGTGTTTAGATGCTATACTAAGCACAATTCATTGTCTTATTTAATTTAACCCTGATATAGTTTGGCTCTGTGTCCCCACCCAAATCTCATCTCAAATTGTAATTCCAAAGTGTTAAGGGAGGACGTGTAATCCCCCTGTGTCTAGAGAGGGAGTTAAAGATATCATGAAGGCAGTTCTCCAATGCCGTTCTCATGGTAGTGAGTTCTCACAAGATCTGATGGTCTTATAAGTGTTTGGAAGTTCCTCCTTTGTGCTTCTCTGCCGCCCATGTGAAGAAGGTCCTTTCTTCCCCTTCACCTTCTGCTGTAATTGTAAGTTTCCTGAGGCCTCCCAAACAACATGGAACTGTGAGTCAATTAAACCTCTTTCCTTTATAAATTACCCGGTCTTGGGTATTTCTTTATAGCAGTGTGAAATGGACTAATACAGGCATTCACATGCATACACACAGAGAGACATTCTTTAGAGTTAAATATTATTAGCCTTTGATTGTTGTACTAGATTTAACCCCCACTTACTTACTCAAAGACATGGCAAGCCTCTTTAGTCTATGTTCTATTATCAGTTTTTCTCTACCTATTGATTAGATTACTTCCATCAGCAGAGCTACGTGCTATTATTCTTCCCATCTTGGAAGAGAAATCTCTTTTTGGGCAAACGTTATTCTCTAGTAACTGACTCAAGGCTCTGTTTTGCTCTATAACAACTACTGAATCTATCTTGTTTGCCAATTCTTCTTTTGAACTTCTGCTAAAGATTGGGGGCATCCCACTCTACCTAAATTGTTCTTATCAGTCATCAATAATTTCTACTGTACGACATTCAATGGTTAGCTTAAAGTCACTAACATTTGTCATAGTAGGTCAATTCTGAAGATGGTGTCATCTACTGAATACTGACTAACTTGAAACACTTTCCTCATTCACTTGGCTCAGAGGCCATCAGGATATGATTTTAATCCTACCTCATTGACTACTTCCTCTAGGTCTTTTTTCTAATTCTTCTTTTTTTGTAACTTTTTAAACTATAACTCTACTTTATTAATATATAACTTTTATACACAAAAATAATTATGTAACTGAATAAATTTCAACAAATGTATATTCTATTTAATCTTCACCCAATAGAGACATATTATTTCCTTCACCCTGGTTATTTCCCATATGCTACTGAAATAACAACTATACTGATTTCTGTAACTATACATAGTTTTGCCTGTTTTTCACCTTCATATAAATATGATGTATATTTTTTATGTCTGATTTCTTTTGCTCAACATAATGTATTTATGATCTATCTACATTGGTGCATGTAACAGGAGTCATTTTTTTCTTACTGTTTAATATTTCATTGAACGTTATATGTTCTTTATACACTGGCTTTTGAGTTGTTTTCTGCTTTTGACTCCGATGACTGCAGCAGCTCTAAGTATTCTTGTGGAAGTTTTTATATGGACATTTGTTTTCATTTCTCTTAGATAAAATATCTAGGGGTAGATTTTCTGGGCTATTGGATAGTTGTATGTTTAACTTCATAAAAAGTTGCCAGTTTTTCAAAATGGTTGTACCACGTTAACTCCAACAAGCAAATTTGAAAGGTATTGTTCCTTGTTATGAAGTCTGTTCTATCTGATATTAATATAGTCATACAAACTTTCTTTTATTTTATTTTACTATCAAGCTCTCTATGTCCTCACATTTAGAATTTGTTTCCTATAAACAGCATTTTATTTTTATCCCTTTATTTTTATCTAGTCTGGTATTGTCTTTTAATTGGAAGACTTAGTCAACTTACACTTAGGGTTATTTGTGATTTAGTTGGCATTTTAAGGTGACCGTTTCACTGTGTGTTTAAGTATCCCATCTGTTTGTTTCTTTTTTTCTCCTTTTCTGTATATGTTTGAATGAATTGAGTACTGTTTAGTATTTAATTTTATCTAATCTATTGCTTTTTTAGCTATGTATCTTTGTATTATTTTTATGTTTGTGCTTGCTCTAAAAATATAATATGCATTCTTAGCTCACCATGGCCTACTTCGAATCAATTCAATGAAATTTGCCCAATAAAAAGAAGTCTTACCATAGTGTAATGTCATTTAACCCTGGTTTTGCCCTTTTTTCTATTGTTGTCATATATTTGATTTTTACCTAAGTTACAATTTCTTGTTTCTAAATGTTGGAGGGGCCTTAGATAAATCATTGCATCTTTTCAGTTTTTGATCTATACTTGTTCTCTTAATGGTCACTTGCAATCTCATGGCTTTAAAAATACTGATGATCCTCCAAATTATATCTGCAGCCCTGACCTCTCCTATGAACTTTAGACTCATGTATTGGAACTACTGCTTGATGTATTAATTAGACGCCTAATAGGAATCCAAATATCTCCTTCTAAAAGTGCTGTTCTTGCAATATTCTTTATCTCATTTAATTGTCTTTCATTATTGTCATTTCTCGGAACCAAAGTTGTTGTCCTCAACTCTTCTTTTCTCTCATATCCAAATCTACTCCTTTAATAAGTCTGGCCATTTTGGCTTTCCATATGTAGCCACAATTTGAATGACCATTTTCTTTCACCTTAATTACTACGTTCCTGGTCTAAGTCACCATCACCACACTCCTGATCGTTGCATGGTCCTCATAAGTGGTCATCCTCCTTCCCCCCTTAAGCTCCTTCAGTTTAGCAGTCGTCAAGATCCTTTGAGATGTAAGTTGGATCAAAGCCTTTCAATACAATCTCACCTCACTCAAAGTAAAATTCAAGTCCTCATTGTGATCTATAAGGCTCTACATAAACTGACTCCCTTGACCTTCTATTCCTTTCCTGCCTTACTCATTCTGCTCCTAAAACACTCATTTTCTCCTTCAGAGCTCGCAGACCTGTTCATGTTCAAGCCAGAAATGTTCACTCCAAGATATTAGATATGTCACTCAACCCCTCATCTCTTTCAGATCTTTATTCAAATGTATAAGTGAAGATCTTTGATTCTCCGTCCTGATACTCCTAGCCATCTGTATTGAATAATTTTATTTTGAAGTGCTTATCACTATGTGACCTATTTTTTTTGTATTTTTTTGTGTTGCTAATTGTTCATATCTTCCACTAAAATGAAAACTTCATGAGGGCAGGGCTATTCATCTGTTTTGCTCACTGCTGTATAAGCACAATAAATATTTTATATTCATTAAAAATACAAGAGTGAATCTTCAATTTAAATATGGGAAAACTGAGGCTTATGAAGGTTAAGTAACTTTCTGATGGTCATAAAATCAGTAAGTGGTAAAATGGAGATGAATAGGGTAACTAAATGAAGGTTAGGGCTAATGAGGGCATTTGCAGTAGTGGAAACAATGCTGAGAAAATTGGCCAATGGGTTGTATATTAGAGATTAGAAACAACTTGATGTTGATAAAGGATAGCGATAGACAGAACACCTTCTAAGGAGCTTGGATTACTATATGACAGAGGGGCTGAAAGAGTGAAGCAAAATGGTCCTGATTGCACTTGAAGAAAAGAAAATGATGAGTTATGTTCTGCATATACTGAGTTAGATGCAAGCTTTAGGAATCTAGCACTTTTTTTTCATCAGAGTGAAGAATGTGTGAAGATGGTACACATAGATGTTTAGATATCTACTATGCAACTGCCTCTGTTCTTCAAAGATAGCCATATAACCAAGTTACAATCACCTTGATTATAGGAAACTCAGACTTTCCAAAATGTTCTCATTCTTACCATGTCTGCATGCCAATACACATTTCAACTTTCCTCAGACAATGAAGCCTGTGCTACCATCATATCGCTTAACCCAAAGTGTCTCAGGCTGTGCCCAGCTCCAACACCGTCCTGAGTTTCCCTCACTCTGGTCACTGTCATTGCTGCTAAGGTTGAATCTCAGGTGGGCTGTTTTTCATAAGAGCCAGATGCACATAGCAGAGTTGGGGGTGAGGTCTTTTGCAAATTGATATCCACATCCATGCTGTGGGTTTTGTAGAATCCCCTTGCAAAATTGCTTCAGTATTGATCCACATATGAGATTGGTGAAAGATTAGAGGCTCCATCACATCTGCTTAGTTGTGCTTTACCACTATTTTGGGTATAGAATCTGGAGTTCTTGACTCTCCTCAACCTAGAGCCAACAAGATAACTCTTTTATTTGTTTATTTTTTATTTCCAACCTAGAGACTTGAAGGTACTAGCACTGCCTCCTATATCTCTCAAATCTCCACTTACTTTATAGTCATCCTCTATTTTATAAAGCCCCTCAAACTCTACAGAATCTTCAACTTCCATTCCTATCTTGGAACACCTTAACCCAAGTTTTCCAATTGAGCCTATTCACCCAAAGTTCAATGATCTAGATACATAGAAAACATTGAAACATAATTTTAGTATTTTTTGACCTGGCTATTTAGCATCATCCAGATACTCAAATATTTCTATTTCCAACTCCCATACCCAAGTTCTGATCTTTGGATGCCATCTACAAATTTATTAATTGAGAAAGCATTGATTACATAGTAGGTATTCTGCTTGACCTTTTTAAACCTTGCCCTTCCCCTTCTCCATCTTCTCCTTCTCCTTCTCCCCCTTCCCCTTCCCCTTCCCCTTCCCCTTCTCCTTCTCCTTCTTCTTCTTCTTCTTCTTTGAGATGGAGATCTCGCTATGTTGCCCAGGCTGGATTTGAACTTCCAGGCTCAAGGAATTCTCTGCTCTCACATAGCTCAGACTATAGGTGCACCACTACACCAAGCTTATTCTTTTTAATGAGATTGTTTCCTTTTACCAATGAATGTCTAAATATTGCTTTACAACTTACAAAGAGCTTTCACATTCATAACTAGTTTATTCTTTAACAAACAAGTAAAGTAGATAAGGCATGATTATCTGATTATCCCCATTTTACAGATAAAGAAACTCAATCTCAAGGTTGGTAAAGGGACTCTGTCAAATGTCACTAACCTAGGAAGCACAGGAGCTGAAACATGAACTGCATTTTTCAAACCTGGGAAGAACGTACATTTTCTCATGTTGCTGTGTCTCAGCCTAGGGACAAGTGGAAAGGAAATATTCAATAGAAGTTCTCAGTAAAACTAAAAGTATTGTGTGATAGGGTTAAATCTGATTTCTTGTAGGAGAGATACAACTGCCTCCATAAGAATTGTATCCAAGGCCTGGCAGACAGCTCAACACATCTCATTCTTCCCTTTATTATCAATAGACTGAGTTTGTGGTTTGGATGGGATTTTTATGACCATGTATACTTCATCCTATATGTATAATGTTTTGGGCAAGTCATTTGCATGTGCTTTGGGATTCGGCACTGCACATTGCAGATTACACACCTAAACTCCCTATAGCAATCCCAGAGAAAACTTAACATGATGAAGACCCATATTAATCTCCAGCAAGTTCACCCCCAGATATAATGTCAGTGGACTGGAGCTTCATCAGGGAATGTTTCCTGTTGCTACCTCACAAGGGAACCATTTGTTTTCCAAGCAAGAGAAATGAATCTTTTGATAATATTTTATTATGATGTTATCTCAAATGAGGTAATTTGATTTGATGAATGCAAATCCAGAAGATTGGCAGTTAGTATGTTTTCTCCCTTTTAAAAGTATTTGAATTTTTCAAGGAAATTCAGTTTAGGTGAATAATGACAGATACCCAATTCCTTTTGTAGGAACAGTATCATTGCAACTTGCTTGTTATCCTGAATCCCAGGAAATAGTCTTTTCTCTCATTTATAGAAGTCTTCTAAAACCTGAGTGTATTTATATAAAACCCTTCCCACCGTCAATAAATTCATAACATAAAATGAGTAAAACTGAACATATAGTAAAATTTAGAGTAAAAAATAAAGTATCAATGTGTTCAGCTATAGGTTTCATGGTAGCTTTAATAGCTAATATTAATATTATGATGAAAGAAACTTTTCCTATATATTCCCACATCTTGGGTTTAAGATACCACAATGAAAGGTCTTAGCTTGGGAACCAGGATGGGAAATTGCTAATGATATAAAAATATTTCTTGTTGTATCTCTGCACTTTTCCCAAAAGATAGACACATTAAACACCTTGGCAAAGTATTCAATGTATTTGTTAAAATGAATTCTCCATCTCTTCAATGACTACAAAGTAAATTTATATTAATGACTTTAAAATAATTTACCATTTGATGGATAGAAGGGGACTTTGATCATTTTGCTTCTTCAAGACATTACATGATTTGTCCAAAGTCATAAGTTTTAGAGATTGAAGTAAGATTTGAATTCAAGTGTTCAGTGTGCTAATTCATGTCACCTTGAAACCACTGAGGTAGAAAGTCTGCTCTTTTAAAAATAAGAAATAACACGAAATTCCCACATCATTTCTATAAATTCTTATAGTGGAACAAATGAGCTGTGTCTTCTGAATTATTAGTTGGTCTTAGAACTTAAAGTTATTTAAGATTGTCTTCTGGCTTCAAGAAGAAACAGAATCTTCACTTCTGGATGTATTACTAATCCTAAACTATTGTGTAACTTTTATATTTTAAGGTACATGATATTTGAGAGAACAAAGAGTTTATTTCATGGTTCCCATTTTTATCTTCCCACTCAATACCTGAAACTAAGTTGTGTTTTATTATTTAATTTTATTTTGTCTTTGGAGAAGTTCAATATTATTTTTCACTGATAAATATTAACACAATTCAGTGCCATTTATTTTACTTTCTTAGATAAATCAAACCCTAAAAAAATAAATTTCAACAACGAAGTTACTTGCTAGAAGTGGAAATTCAGTGTAGTCAGCCATTCTTTGGAGAGTGATCTGGAAGAAGAAAAAGGATGGGCATTATGAATCAGAGTTAAAAGCATTAGTGAAGAAAAATGTCCCATTTCCCCCCTCATACTAATGGCGTAAATGTGTTTGTGATTGTGGTGACAGTCATTTCTCATGAGGCTAATAGCTGCAATGTGTGTCCAAAATGATTCACTGCCATTCCTACTCACATGCCAAATTATTCCTTTTAAGTGTCAGTCTTAGATATTTCATTCCTCTAAATGTATAAATTTAGTCAATTCTGTTTGGCACAAAATTAGGAGAAGTAAATATTACCCTCCAGTAAACTATAATCTTGTAAGGCTGCAGGAATAACAGCCCTCTTCTTCATATTTTTAAATAAAATGCTCATCCACCCCCTTCATGACACCCAGAGGAATTTGAAAATGTGACAAGTCATGGAATCAGCTGTTAAAGGGAGACCTGCTTCTGGCTGATGGATTGAGCCAATTTCCATTCCTACTCAAGAACAATATGGTCACAAATGCCAGCGCATAAATTAGCCCCGAGTGTAGGAGGAAACACTCCCCTGCAAGCTGACAGAGTATCACCCCAAAATATCTCTGATAGCTTATAAATAAAGAAATCTGTTTCTCTGATCCAGTACAGGCAATAAAGTGCAGCAGAGAGGATGGGTACTTCAGAGGCTCAGAGTCTAAACTCGAGTTAAGACCCAGATCTGCTGTTTTTTATTTGTGTGATCTACCACAAGTCAGATAACTTCCCTGAACTTCAGTTTTCCTCATCTCAAGTCTTTAAACATATATGAAGCTATTTACCTTACAGCATAGTTGTAAAGAATAAATAATATAATGATTGTAAATGTTGATCGTTATCTAATCGTTATCTAATACTAGTTTTTCCTCCTTTTGTGTGCCATATTGAGAATGTTCCTTCCAGTAGCCAGAGTCTAGAATGGCAAGGATCAGTATAGGGAAGTTTAAGAATTATTTCCAAAATAATGCTCTTACAACTACTATTTACCAAGTGTTTATTTTATGCTGTGGGATAAGCAAAATTTCCAACATATACTTATTCCTCACAAAAACCTATGATCTAATATTCTCATTTTACAATAAAGAAGGTGCAGGTCAGAAAGGATAGAGTCTTTGACTTATTGTCAATGAAGACATAATTTAAAGCCTGATTCTACAGGTATTTACTGAGCTTGGCATGTGCCAGGCAATATGCTCAGGGCTGGAAACACTCGGGAAAATAAAATACTGAAAATGTCACAGCTGTACATTCTTGTGGGGAAGACAGACCTCAAACAAGTCAACATATACACAGCAACTGAAAGAAAGAGTTAGCCAGGGATGATAATAATAATAATAATAATAATAATAATAATAGAATAAAGACCTTTGCTAGGTTAAAGGTCAGAAAGGCCCAGGCCTGTCACAAAGATACCTGAGGCAAGAGGGAAAGAGAAAAGATTTCAGATCGGAAGGTTCCCTTTTGCCTTTAATTGGACCAGATTCATTGGAGAATGCCAGAAATCTGTAGGCCCCAACATTTTAGGCATAGACAAAAATGTCTTTTCTATATTATGCGAAAGATATGGGCATCACAGGGACACACAGTCATGTGGACCTGATTCACTGCTCCTTTGCTGCTACTAAATCTCAAACACTTAGCCTGCAATCAATGGTGCTCATTTTCCAAAGAGCCTGGATTATAACTATTTCCATGCAAAGCACTTTTCACACAATATATGGGAATTTTTCAGTCGGCCGTACACATTCTAATCTTGATAGCTGCCCTCTGTTCTTGGGCCTTTTCATTTGTCTTTTGTCTAGGTTACTGATCTTTTTTTAAAAGGCATTTTTCTTTTTCTTTTTTTTTCTTTTGTGCAGACATGCTCATCAGCCAGCAGATGCTCCCCTCTTGCACAAAACTGAGCAGAGGTGTCCTGTAGCTTGAGTTATCATCAGTTCCCAGCTAAGCCAGCTGGGGAGGATGGCAAATGCACTCATTGACACTCGAGGTTTTAAAGAGCAAAGTGCTACCAGAAGAGTCTTTCAAATTCTCAGATATATTTTGACTCATATGGCACTCTATTGCTGAGAAATATTTAGAGTCAATCTTCTTAGTTTATTAGAGGGTCACTGGAGAAACACAGGATCCTCAGGCAGGAGGTTAACAGATGAAATATAAATGAAACACTGCATGATCAGTCAGAAGAAAAACTCCAGGTGCACATACAGTCAACTGGTTCAGAGCTCAGTTGCAGAAGGCAGAGAGATCTGATCCAGGAACCTGGCTTTTCCAGAGTTGAGCTGTGTGTAAATTTGGGCAAGTTACTTCATAGTGTTACAAGAATGAAAGCAGATAATGCCAAAAATATTTAATTGCCTTTTGAGTCAAACTCAATTTATCAAGACATAATGTGTATAGCATTTGTATCAGCTGGTAACATAATCTTTCATGCTATATTCCATTCCCTCCCACTGCATTATTTCTCCAATGTGACCAGCAATAAGAGTTCTGAAATGCATCACATAAAATTGTTAGTATAGTGACAGATCAATAATAATTGCTCAAAAATTTTAGTTTTCTGACATTGTCCTAAATATTATTTATGACTACTGCTATTAAAGTACCAAGTGACAAGAAAAATGCTGGCTTGAGATCATCACGCAGTGTATGAATAATCTATATGGAAAAATTTTTGAGTATGTATTTAATTTTCTAAATAAAGTACCAGATATCATTCGTAAAAAGGTTTGTTTACTTACTAGTGCTATCAACCCTCATCTGGCCTCTTAATCTCCCATCCAAACTTGGTTTGTCTTCAGCACTATTAAGTTATTTTAGATTTTTAAATAAAGTACAGAGATATTAAGCCCTGCATTCTGGCAATATGCTTCTTGCTAATTCTGAAGAAGTTGAGAGCATGGTTTGGAGTCTCATCTCGCTCTGCCACTTTTCAGCAGTGTGAGAAATTGGCCACTCAGTTCCTGAGTTTCTGAATATTTATTTTAGAAATAACAATCCCTGCGTACCCCTGAGATTTGGTATAAAGATGCAAAATGACAATGGATCTGAAATTTTCATAGTTCAAAATTAGTTAGTTCTCTTATCAAAAATAAATAATGATTTATCTTACTCTCAGGAATAAAAACACATAAAATATCTACAAATATGGTAATCCCATTAGCATATAACTGCATATAACAGGCAATCAAATATTGTTTTGTAAATATTTTCTTTCTCTTGGTGATAAGTTTTTTTAAAAATTGGAGGTTTGATTTCTCCCAGTGCTATTCTGGAATCTATAAACTTTAATGCTGTTACACATGGGCTAAAAGCACCATGTGAGACTGGTGAGAGGTATGTTTTAAAAAGAGAAGATGGCTGCCTGCAGCCCTGCAAAGAGACTAAAATAAACAAACAAGATAGGTGTTCCTTCTTTAAGTGTGTGTGTGTGTTTGTGTGTGTGTATATATGTGTGTGTTTGTGTGTGTGTGTATAATTTTACCCTAAGAAATTAAAATAAAGGCTGGCTTTTTGGCAAGTAGCAAATACCTTTTATAGAGGTAGTATTTTGAGATGATATCCATTTATATATTAGTATGAGTGAATTTCAGATCCTTTTATGATAGCAGGTTCAGTTATGCATAATTTGAGAAAAGAGAAGACATAAAAGACTACAGACTTTAAAACATGAGAGCAAACCTTTTAACTTTGGCTAATAGCAAGGATATGCCCAGTAACAGAAAACATAAGTTCAAATCAATGGAAAAACACTAGTTAAAAGATAGTTAAGGCTAGCCAGCAGTAACAGAGGCTTTGAAGAAATAAATTATATAGTTTGGTACTACATAGTTTGCCTACATAGGTCTTAAAACTAATGTTTGAAAAGAAAATAGCATCATGAAATATAGCCTCTCCTAAAGGCATATTATTAAAAACAATTCCAACTTGAAAATAATATTAATTTTAATCAAACTGAGTTATATTTTAAATCAGTAAGTAAAAGTGCCAAACATATATCATATGCATACTCACTCCCACACATACACTGTGATCTGAGGTGGAAAAACAATATGGGCGAAAAGCTAAAAGGAAGAGTATGTAAACCCATGTGATTTGTTTCCCCCTGAGTAAAATATAAATAAATCTCTATTCAAAAATCATTCAGGCTTCTGAAGGTCCCATCTCCAGTGTCTGTGGAGCAGTGATGGGCTGGGTGACTACAGCACTTCTAGCATTCCATGAATAATTATCTGTGTCTGGAGTGCTTGCCAGCATGACGCGTCTTCATTTCATTAAGGGAAAGAAGGACAGGCTGGAATTGGCAATGGCAGAATTCATTTATCAAATTTTAATGGAGAAGCCACTCAGGAAGGGCGGGCTTAATGAGATATTTCTCAAGAAATTAGCCAGTTTCTATTAAAGGGCCATCTCCTCTCTGTCCCTGGTAGTGATGGATAGCAGGGGCTCTGGCACAGGGAAACCTCCCACCCTCCCCTTTGCTTTGCTTTTCTGAGATGCGTGATCATTTTTGGATGATCCAACTCACAAATGCTTGAATGAATCACTATTGTAAAGTAAAACCAAATTTTAACATAGAGAAAAGGGACTGATTTTATTTTCTGGATTTAATTCATGGAGAGAAACATACCAGCGTACCTAGGCTTGCCTAACACTAATATCACTAAAACTGCTCATGCTCCAGTTCTGCAAGCTAAAGAGGAAGTTATCTCTCATTTTTGCTATTTTTCTTGTTGTTGTAGTCATACTTTTTGTTTGGAGTAAATGCAGCCAATTTATTGCAGAATCCCCTTTTCAAAAATTTCTAAAGGTACCAAAAATATTTAATTGCCTTTTGATTCAAACTCAATTTATCAAGACATAATGTATATAGCATTCACATCAGCTGGTATCATAATCTTTCATTCTATATTCCATTCCCTCCCACCACATTATTGCTCCAATGTGACCAGCAATAAGAAGTTCTGAAATGCATCACATAAATGTAAATAAATAATCAATTATGTGGCTAAAAAATCACTATTGTTCTCCTACTGGAAAAGGAGATTTATGCCGGTGTTAAAAGAAAAAATCTGACTATTTAAATTTAGCAGAGTTTATTTGAGCAAAGAATGATTCACAAATTAGGCAGCACTCAGAAACAGGAGAGTATCAGTGAGCTCCCTGCCACAATGCAGGCAGGAAGTATTTATAGACAGAAAATGGAAGTCAACTGCAAAAATACAGTAGTGTCCCCTTGTCTGCAGTTTTGCTTTCCAGTGTTTCATGTATCCACAGTCAATCAACTTTTGAAAATATTAAATAGACTACTACAAAAATAAATAACTCATATTTTTTAAATTTCCCATTATTCTGAGTAGTGTGACAAACTCCTGTGCTATACTGCTCCATCTCACCTGAACGTGAATCATCCCTCTGCCCAGTATATCCACGCTGTCTACACTACTTGCCGGCTAGTCACTATTAGCCTTTTCAGTGTCAGATATTGCAATGCTTGGGTTCAAGTCATCCTTATTTTACTTTATATTGGCCCAAAGTGCAATAATGGGGCAATTCAGATATGCCAAAGAAGTGGTGAAGTGCCTACTTTAAATGAAAAGATGAAAGTTCTTGACTTAATAAGGAAGGAAAAAAATTATATGCTGAGGTTACGAAGATCGACGATAAGAATGGATTTTCCATCCATGAAATTGTGAAGAAGGAAAAAGAAATCTGTGTTAGTTTTGCTGTCACACCTCAAAGTATAAAAATTACAACCATGGTATGTTAAAAGTGCTTAGGTGAGATGGAAAAGGCATTACATTTTTGAGCACAAGACATGAACAGAAACATGTTCCAAATGAGGGTTCAGTAGTATGCAAAGTTTCAGGCATCTACTGGGAATCTTAGATTGTATCCTTTGAGGCTAATGGGGGTGGCCACTCTAGCTTGATTGGTTACAGCTCAGCATTTCCTTTCTTGAAACATGGTCTGATCAGTTGGCAGCAAGTGATTGGCTGAAACTTGGCTACTTGTCATTGGCTGAGCTGTCTGCTACACTGTTTGTTACACTTCTAGGTTAGATTTTCAATTTGTTTACATATTAATTTACATTGCAATTCCTTAGGTAGGAACACAAAGTAAGGAGACAGCCTCAGGCCAATGACTTCCTGTTTATTGAATTTAACATTGGGATTCTTAGTAAATTATTTACATAAAATTGGTGATAAGGAGCAAAAAGTTAAGCATGCGCATTATTTTCACAAAGAGACTTAGAAAGTACAATTGATTGTGCTCTTTACTAAAAAGCAAGAGGACATATATTTTGTGATTTATTTATATAATAAATATTTATTTATTGAGCCTTTAGTCTAAGCCAGACACTGTACTAGACAATGAAAAGATATTAGTGAATAAACACAGATTTTTTTTTCCTAAATGAACTTAGACTTTTATGAAGGATACACACCATAAATACTTGAACAAATAAATAAATACAGACTGTGTAATGTTGGCTAATGAACTCTCCGAACTTCACTGGGTTGTTTATTTAACAGATAAAAATTAAACATTTATACTTGTACAACATATGGTTAGTATGGTCAATATTGAATCAAAGTTGTTGGCATGAGGAAATTTTCTTGTACAGGAACATGAGAAGAAAATATAGGAAGTAAATAAAATTCTGTGGCTATATCAAAGCCCAAAGGAGGCCAACATAGGACTGTGAATATTTTCAATGGCAAAGAAAGACAGAGACAGAGAGAAAGAGACAGAGAGAGACAGGGAGAGAGAGAGAGAAAGAGATTTACAATTGAGGGGAAGAAAGATAAATAAGATTCTGGGGCAAGAGATTGAAGAGGCAGACAAAATGGCAAGGGAGAGCAGTGATCTTGGCAGAAATATGTTAGGTTGATTCAAACAAATGTGAATAAGTAGCTAGAAAACAGAAGGTTACAATAAGCAAGGCTGGAAATGTGTTGGGTATGAACTAAATATTTGGCTTTCTGCCATATCAGGTCTTCATCTATTTCCCAAAGTTTGCACATTCTAATAATCTTTACGCCTTGACATCTTTTTCTTACAAAAATATGTATCTTTTTTTTTTAGTTACCATAGAGTTTGCAAGGACTGTCTAGTTTTGTGGTTATTAGCCACATGTGACTTGTAAAAACTTTTACCTGCAAATGCAAAGAATTTCTTAGTCACACTAATAGTATTTCAAATGCTCAATGGGCTCACGTGACTAGAAGCTGCTTAGTGGACAGTGCAGAAATTATAGACAATGTCTATATCACTGCAGAAAGTTTTTTTTTTTTTTTTTTTTTTTTGGACAATTCTGCTCTAGAAAGACTGGGAGCTGGTTTAATTGTGCTTTTCACAGAGTGGAGGTTTAGTAGATCTGTGGAATAAGTGTTGAACAAATGTAATGAATACTGCTCAAATGACACCTTCTTAGATATCAGACCGGAGCAGGTCCTATGTAACAAGCTTTTATTGTCTGCTATGTTTCTCCTTCAGATCATTCATAACAGTGTGATTAGTCATTATTTCTGTTGTTATTATTTAATATTTGCCTCCCGCAAGTAATTGCATAGACTGTGACAGCAAGAGACCATTTCTTTCTTCTTGGTACCATTTCCTATCTCTTAACATTTTGAACTGCGAGAGCATGTTGTTTTAATGAAAGAATTAAAAAATGCTATAGGAAGGAATGGCATATTCTTATGAAGTTGGATATCACTCCACACAATTTTGACCACAGACAATTCTGTGCCATAGAAATACTTAAGGAGCAAGGAACTAGCAGAACACACAAGTGGGTAGGTTACCCCTCTCCTGTGGCTCTAACCCCGTCTGTATTAGCCACTCTAAGGCCTCACTGATGTGTGGAGTGCCTCAATGGGAGAAATAAGTCTGGCTTAGCATATTTTAGTGGACTTAACTACAGTGAAGTCCAGCTAGCCACTGAGTAGAAGCAGAATATCTGCTTTATAAATGTTAGTTTTGGGGAGTCAAGTCTGAGGCAAGACAGCACGTTCCCTGACCCATGGAGTTTCTATGGTGCTAGGGGCATGCAGTCTTGCAAAATGACTAATTATTCAGGAATATATTGTGCCCCAACCCAGTATTATGCCAGACAGAAATGTTCTCAGCCACACCTGCCAGTGTTCTTTGGGTGATGAGATACTCCCTTTTGTCTGGCCACAGGGAGGGAGGTACGAAGGCCCTGGCTGGAGAAAGTCAGCATAGTTGGGTTGTCAAGCACTGCTTTGATCAAGGAGGCAATGTTCTCATCAGTCCACGTTGGAGAGAAGGAGCAGATTAAGTGAAAGAGCTAGGTTTGAGTCTCTGACATTATTCCCATCAAAAAATGGGAAAGTGTGGTCCCCAAGGTGGGCAGCAGAAGCATCACCTGAGAATTTGTCACAAATGCAAATTCTCATGACCCTGGGGGTGGAGTCCAGAAATGCGTGTTTGAGCAAGCCACCCATGGGATTCTGAGGGGCGCTAAAGTTTGAGGATCACTGAACTAGAGGAAAAGGAAGTGATGTCATATCCCTGCCTTCACTGGATCTTGGAATCAGAGCCCAGTAATGGAGGCTGGGTACTGCTCCTGCTTCTGCCATGCAATAAGAGGATCATTTTTAAGTATATCCTTGAATAGAAACCATTTCCTAGCATTACATTTAGAATCATCAGCTACCCAAGGCCTTCTAAGACTGATCTCAGAGAGGAAGAACTTCAGATGATGAGATTTTCTGGTATTGAGGCACAACCTTGCCAGGGCTCCAGCTGGTGCCAGGAACCTTAGATCAGGATTTATTCCAGCATCAGAAACATTGAGAATTGAGAAGCACCACCTACCCTGACTCCACAATGATCCTCTCCTTTCTTTTTTTTCTTTTCCTTTTTATTTATTTATTTATTTTTTTGAGACAGAATCTTGCTCTGTCACACAGGCTGCAGTGCAGTGGCACCATCTCACTCACCTCTGCCTCCTGAGTTCAAGCAACTGTCCTGTCTCAGCCTCCTGAGTAGCTGGGATTATAGGTGCCTGCCACCACCCCCAGCTAATTTTTGTATTTTTAGTAGAGACATATGGGGTTTCACCATATTGGTGAGGCTGATCTTGAACTCCTGACCTCAGGTGATCCACCTGCCTTGGCCTCCCAAAGTGCTGGGATTACAGGCATGAGTCACTATGCCTGGCCAATCCTCTCCTTTCTAACATAGCACAGCTTCTGTTTTTTAAGTCCATAAACCGAAATATCTTGTAATTTACCACTTTCTGTCTGAAAAGCTCCTCTTCAGCAGCTTTTAGGGATTTCAAGATAGTATTTTGTCTCTGTCAATACTATATTGTTAAGTAGTTGGTCCTCCTATAGAAAAATAAAAAAAAAAAAATCCAAAGCAAAATTAAATATTAACTCACTCTGTGATGTGGGAAAACTTTCTAGTAGGAAAAACAAAAAGAATTCAAATGTTTGAACTTATAAAAATATTTTTCTCTATCTTATTTTGGTGTATTTGAAGATCTGGCTGTCATTCCTCATGAATATATTCAGGAAATAAAATTATAGGTCTTGCCATCTTCACATATCTCAGTCAGGAAGTTAATCCCATCCAACCAAAAGTCCTGATCCTAACAGTTTTCCTGTTTATCCTCAGAGTCGGTACTTACCGGAGAAAGGAAACAGCTGGTCAGCATCTTATATGCCATTGGCTTTGGCATTCTGACTTACTTTTGGCAACAGAGTTGTTTCATTACTAACTCTGTAGAAGGTTTTAGAAATGGATACTATAGAAAATGACACCAAATTTCAATCAAATAAAATTTCCAGGGGAATTTTGATCAGTTTGCTGCTGGCAAGATGATTATAATCTTTTGAGAATGAAATTCACATGGAAAGGTGATCATGACCACATTCTCACAGTGAGCTCCATCTGGACATAAGCAGCTCCCTTTCAGAAAAACAGGTCTGATAACCCCTACTGAGAGGGCTTTCCACATCAAGGCAAATTTCATGTGAGCCAACATAAACTATGACATCAAAAAACACCAACTTCCAAAAGGTGGTAACCTCTTACTATAATGCAGAGAACAGAACACAATATTTCAGCTTCACTTTTGATATGCCTATGATATCATTACTGTTCTAGGTCTGCTCCAATAAATTGTTCATTTTTTTTTTAAATTACTGTAAGCTATAGGAATTGTTTTTGTTTCAAAACGTTTTAAAACAGGATCCTTGTAGCGGGAGCTCTTAAATCATCAGAATTTTCTTCCTTGTTATTCTATAACTGTTCAAAGAAAATTAATGTTCAAGTGATGACCCCAGAGTTTATAAGATTTTTTAGTATCAAAGAAAGATTAAATTACCTTCACAGAACTGTGTTTGTAAAGGAAGAAAGAAGGGATTAGCAAGGTTTTCAGAGATTTTGCAAAAGAGGCAGAAATAAAAATAGGTAACATGAGATAGGACGATCATCAACGGTGGCTAAAAGCTAGGTAAAATATTATGGAATAGGATGGTCACATCATGTTAAAATGAACTTGGTAGATTACTTGAAATTGCAAAAAAAAAAAAAAAAAAAGTCTTTTTTGTAATGCAATACCTGGCAGTGACCACTTTAACAATGTCACCAAAATTAGTTTCACTGATAATTAAACAACCTGACAGGTCACATTCTCCAACATTATGTGACTTGAAGGTCACAGCATCTCCTGTAAATTATTTTTGCCAAGTATGTGTAGTCCAGATTTCTTCAAGCCTGAGGCTGAATCTCTATCATTTAAGAAATATAAAACATAGAGAAACAAGTTAAATAACACAGGTAAGTAATAGGCAAATCCAGAATGTAGGCACACGGTAAGGCAACTGGCCTGGTTTTCCCAAATAAACAATAATATGCATACTATGGTGGGCTGCAGAATGGCCCACCACGATGTCCATATCCTAATCCTTGGAATCAGTGAATGTCACATTTTATGGCAAAAAAAGACTTTAAATATGTGTTTAGGGTTTTTTTGTTTTGTTTTGTTTTTGAGACAGAGTCTTGCTTTGTCACACAGGCTGAAGTGCATTGGCACGATCTCAGCTTACTGCAACCTCCACCTCCCAGGTTCAAGTGATTCTCCTGCCTCAGCCTCAACAGTAGCTGGGATTACAGATGCATGCCACCACACCCGGCTAATTTTTGTATTTTGGGTAGAGACGGGGTTTCACCATGTTGGCCAGGCTGGTCTCAAACTCCTGACCTCAGGTGATCTGCCTGCCTCGGCTTCCCAAAGTGCTGGGATTACAGGCGTGAGCCACCGTGCCCAGCTTAGGGTTCTTAAGAAAAGATTATCCTGGTGTTTACATAGTAAGCCATCAATGTAATCCCAAGTGTCCTTATAAGAGGGATACAGAGGGAAACTTGGCTATAGCAGGATAAAAGGTGATGTGCCTACAGAAGCAGAGCTTAGAGGAATGTGCCCAGAGGCCAAGGAATGCTGGAATCCCCTAGAAGTGAACAGGAAAGGAGCAGACGTTCATGGACTCACTGAAGGACCCAGCTGTGATGACACTTTGAGTTTAGCCCCTTGAGACTACTTTTGGACGTCTAAATTTTAGAACTATAAGAGAATATATTTGTATTGTTTTAAGCCACTGCATTTGTGGTAATTTGTTACAGTGGCTATAAGAAATGAAAGCACACAGAAAAGGAGAAGATAATAATGATGAACAAGTAGGAAGAAGCAGCACTCTTCTGGTCTCAGAGATTAAAGAGATATAGCAACTAAAAGTGGAGCCTGAATTCTGACTCGGGCTCCAAATTATTAAAAGCAGTTATAAAATCCAGTTGCTGAAATCATTGAGAATATGAGTGTGGACTAGATATTAGATGACACTAGAAAACCATTATTATTATTTTCTATCTTTAAAAATGCATTCTGAAGTAGACTTCTGTACCTTACTTTTTTTTTTTTTTTTTGAGACAGAGTCTCACTTTATTGCCCTGGCTGGCATGCAGCAGCAGCATCTCAGCTCACTGCAACCTCTGCCTCCCAGGTTTAAGCGATTCTCCTGCCTCAGCCTCCCGAGTAGCTGGGATACAGCTCCCCACCAGCATGCCCACCTAATTTTTGTATTTTTAGTAGAGGTAGAGTTTTACCGTGTTGGTGAGGCTGGTCTCAAACTCCTGATCTCAAGTGATCTGCCCACCTCAGCCTCCCAAAATGCTGGAATTACAGGTGTGAGCCACCGTGCCCAGCTGTACCTTACTTTCAAATTAAGAAAAAAATTAAAAAGCAATGCACATACATAGTAAGAATGATAAAGTCAATATGACAGAAAGTAAATAATTGTTTAAAGTAGGTGATGTATGTAGATTCATCGCACAAATCTTTTAGTGTATGTTTAAAGTATTCTTAATAAACAAGAATTATTATTATAGAAATTATTCCATAACAACAATGTATTCTGTAAAGTATTTAAAAGTTAGTCAGTTAAAAAACATTCATTAACCAGAATATCATTTTACTAGTTAGTGTAGGCTAAGTGCCATAACTCAAAACCCCGACATTCCAATTGCTGAGCAAAATAAAATTTCATATCTCAATCATGGAACATTCCATGGAACAGGCCTTCTTATCTGAAAGGTTCCCCTGGGCAGCTTATCTGCAAGTGATGTCACAGGGCCCTGCCCATCAGCTGGAGGCAGAAGCAAAAGAGAGCAAGGATCACACAGGAAGTTTACCATGGGCCTAGCCGGGAAGTGTGGCCTATCACTTCAACCTGTATTCCATTAGCTCTAATTTAGTCACATGGCTACATCTAATTGCACAGAAGTTCAATATTGTTATCCCCCCGTGCCTTTAGAAGGAAGGCTCCTGTTAACATCTAGCAGTCACTGCCACAATCCTTATCTTTTTGTATAACTCTGTGGTGCCATGATTTCTTCCAAGGAAATCAGTTAGAGAAAACTAAGTTGTCTACAGCATTTGATTGACCACAGACCAAAGTAAAACTATTAAAAAGAAGTCATTAAAATAATCCCACTGGAAAATCTTGTTAATGAGTTTTATCTCTTATTTATTTCCTTAGAATGTAAGTTATTGAATTAAGCTAACTGAATTATTGTATCATTTTATGTACACACACACACACACACACATACACTCAACCTTGACAGCATAAATAAAATGTATTTTTAGATATTACCATTTTTTTTTCCTGAAATCATGTAAATGTAGTCACATTTGACTGGTAGCCTAGGGAACAACGGATAAGCTGTCCCTGCCTTGTACTTCTTTGTAGTTACACAGTCTCTCTGCTTCTGTTTTGCCACTTGCACTGTAACCTCAGGCATTCATTCCCTCACCATTCTATCAAATATTAGTTAAGAAGTTTAAGTTGAGTACTGTGGGAGGAACCCTGTAACAACCGGGATATTTTAAGAAGTTTAAGTTGAGTACTGTGGGAGCAACCCTGTAACAACAGGGATATTTTTATGTTCATCAAAAAAGTAAAAGTGAATATTGGCAATACAGTTAAAGGAATAAACCTCTAACTTTGTAAAGCCACAGAAATAGACTGATAAACTAAACAGAAAACTGTGACAAAATAGGAAAGTAGGTCCAAATTATTATGTCAAAAGAAAAAGAAAATCTTGGTCTGCCCAATAATTATTGTTTTTAATAAAGGTAAAACATAAGATGGTAAACACTTAGCAAAATTATCTGACTTGTCTGAACCCCCAAAATGTGTTTGAACACACACACACACACACACACACACACACACACTCACTCCACATTTTTAGCCACCCTGCGGTCCTGCTCTCAGAAATGTAGCATAATCCATTAAACAAAAGTCGGGCTCAGGACTAAAATTCAAACTTCGGTCTGAGAATCACTAAGCTGTGCTACAAATTTGCTATTGCTGGTTGTTTCAGGGTTTATAAGTTGGCATTTATTACATAAAACATCTCTTTAATAATGAAGTTTTCTATTTTAATGAGGTTTATGGCAACAACTTTGCCTTCGACATTTTGGAAATCCTGGCCTTGCTATAGAACTTGACCTAAAAGGGTGACATGACCACATGAGGGTAATAAGCCATAGGTAGCAATTTTCATACTTGACTTCAGTCATTCTCATGTACATTGATGTCCATGAGGGATTGGCTTGGCTGAAATCCAGTCATTTTGCTCAATGAAACCTCTCTCCCCCAGTTTGTCTTTTTCTGCATCATTTGTGATCCTTGTAATATACCCTTTAGATTCAACTAATAGATGTGCCAAAAAAGTGGAGTCAACACAAACTATGTGCAGGGGCGTCCTGACTGTAGAAGAGAATTGAATAAATATGACAAACCTTTACATTTATCTTTGCATAGGCAGTCACATCCACAAGGGCTGCTGGTTCAATTTCCCGTCAAGAATAGTGAACAAGGGACTCCCCAAATTTCAGATATTCGATCTATGAATAGTGATAAAGTCAGTCACAGTTGTTGTGATAAAGATAGCTTTTATAGGTTTTACAATCAAGAATGGGCTGGGAATGCTGGCTCACACCTGTAATCCCCGCAATTTGGGAGGCTCAGGTGGGAGGATCATTTCAGCTCAGGAGTTCGAGACCAACCTGGGCAAGATGACAATACCTTGTCTCTACAAAACATACAAAAATTATCTGGGTGTGGTGGTGTGTGCCTGTAGTTCCATCTACTTGGGAAGCTGAGTCTGGAGGATTGTTTGAGCCTGGGTGGTCAATGCTACAGTAAGCCAGGATTGTGCCACTGCACTCCAACTTGGGAGACAGAGCAAGAACCTGTCTCAAAAAAAAAAAAAAAAATCAAGAATGAAAATATTATTAAGCAACAAACAAATATATAACAAACAATATCTGAACGCCTTTAAAAAATTTAACTTGCACATATTTGTCAATATGTCATTATATAAAAGCTTTTGACAAATTTATTTCTTCTGCAGATTTTCTTTTTTCATCTAGACATTTTAAAGTCATAGGAACTTATCCTGTAAGAGTCTTAAAACCAATTCTTTCTTCTTTTTGCTCTTGGCATGTGGTCAGAAAAATGTCAGTCAGGATATGATGTGAATAAAAAGACTAACTTTAGACATCATAGAAATTATCATAAGTACAAAGTTGTTTGATGAAAAAGAACAAAATTGTTATCAACTTTCTCTAAAGATAGTGTATAAATAGTAAAATGTGAAATGCAGTATCCTAAGAGACAACTACCAAGTGTCAAAGCAATTATTAATTAAAAGTGTACATTATATATTTCTGTAAAATATATTTAGAGAACATCATCTACCATTTAGCATACTTTATTGATTGATAGCTAATGGTGAAACAAACTATCATTTCTCTTTCATGCTCAATCTGAAATTTCAAATTTAAAACAAGGTTATATTTTGTCTTATTTATTTGTTTTCCAAATCGTTCACATTCGTGAGGAAGTAATCCCATGGAAAGGCAAAGAGAATCCACTGTCGTTTGCTTTCAGGTTATATTTATTTCAGTTGGAAAAAAATGATGGATGCTCTGTTTTGTGAATGAGGAAGTTTATTTTTCTCTGCAATTGATGAGAATCTTTTTCTTGGATTTATTTCTCAAGGGTTATATTTTTTCCAAAAGTTTTAAGGTTCTACATATTATACCCTGGACTAGCAATACATTATTCTAAGACCCTTCAAGGGAAAATGTCATTATTCTATAATCTTAGCTGTAGGGACCATGATTTAAATTTAACAAACAAAAATATTTATAAGATTAGGAAAAACATAGCAGTGATCACCTTACCAAAAATAATGCTTAATCTCAGAGACCATGACCTAAAAATAAATGCAAAGGAATCCTTGTTTTCAGCTTTCTGAAAAATATACAGGGCATTTGTTTAGTGATTAGAAATGGTGGTACCTCACACACTTCCTGATTTAAAATTATGTTAGAAAGGTATAGTAATACATCAAACAGTATGGTACTGGCATAAAAACAGACACATGGACCAGTGAAACAATAGCCCAGAAATAAATTCAAATATATGCAGTCAAATAATTTTTGAGACAAGTGTCAAGAGGGCACAACAGGGAAAGGATAGTCTCCTCAATAAATGGTGCTGGAAAAACTGGATTTTCACAAGCAAAATGATGAAATTAGATGCTTATCTTACACCGTACACAAAAATCAACTCAAAATGGATAAAAGATCCTTTTGTGGTTCATAAGAATAGGGATTGGGATTTCACACTCATGTGTGAGATGTGCCTCCCTTAAACCTTAAGATGTTGGCACATTACCTATTTGATGTGGGGAGAAAAAAAAAGAATAAGAAACCTAAATGTTGAGACAGAAACTCTAAAACTCTTAGAAGAAAACATAGGAGAAAAGCTCCTGGACATTGGCTTTGGCAATGATTTTTTATGTATCACAACTAAAGCCTAGGCCACAAAAAAACAATAATAAATAAGTAGAATTACATTAAACTAAAACTTCTGCACAAGAAAGGAAAAAAATTATCACCATGAAATGACAGGCTTTAAACTGAGAAAAAATACTGAAAAATCATATATGTGATAAGGAGTTAATATCCAAAGGGGTTAAAGAACTCACATAACTCAAGAGTAGAAAAATAAATAACTTGGTTGAAAAATGGGCCAAGGACCTACGTAGATATTTCTCTAAAGAAGACATAAATGTCACAAACAGGTATATGTTGGTGCTCCACATATGAAAAAGTGCTCAACGTCGTTAATCTTTAGAAAATTGCAAATTAGAACCACTATGAGATACCATTTCACACCCATTAAGATAGCTATTATCAAAAAATCAAAATATAACAAATGTTGGTGAATGTATGGAGAAAATGGAACTCTAAAAGATAACAAATCTTGATGAGGATGTAGAGAAAAGGGAACTCTTTTACACTGTTGGAGGAAAAGTAGATCCAGCCATTAAGAAAAATGGTATGGAGATCTCTAAAGAAATTAAAAACAGAACTACAGTATGATCCAGCAATCCCCCTTCTGGGCATATACCCAAAGAAAATAAAATCAATACCTAACAAAGATATCTGGATGTCTGTGCTCATTGCAGCATTATTTACAATAGCCAAAATGCAAACCATCTAAATGTCTGCTGACAGATGACTAGACAAAGACATTGATACACACACACACACACACACACACACACACACACACACACACACACACAGAGGAATATTAGTCATCCCTAAAAAAGAATGAGATAGAAAATGGCTGATTAGAAGCTACTTTGGTTCATGACACTTATGGAGAGAAATGAAAATGGGCAAGTGAATTCAGCACCTTCAGTTGAAATATCCAGGTTCTTGTATTGGGATTGACTAGGCAAACAGCCCAGCCCGCAGAGAAAGAAGAAAAGCAGGAAGGGATAATGGCCCAGCTGGAAGCAGCACAGAGCCAAAGAACTCCCACTCCCAGTTAAAGGAAGTGGTGAGTGATTGTGCGACCCGTCCCAAGAAACTGTGCTTCTCCCATGCATCTCTGCAACCCATGGATCAGGAGATCACCTCATGAGCCCACATCACCAGGACCCTGGGTCCAACACACAGAGCTGTGTGGAGTCTCAGTAGAACAGCCATGCAGGCACACATAGAGACCCAGGAGTTTTACATACTCCTATCCTGGGATCCCCAGCAAGGCAGGAAATCTATCTGTACATATTCCTAGGAAGGGGCTGAATCCAGGAAGCCAAGCAGCATCACTCTGTGGGCCCCACTTCCACAGCACCTCACAAGTTAAGACCCACAGGCTTGGAATTCCAGCCAGCCAAAGACAAAAGGCTGGAGTCTGCCTGAGACAGGACTGAGTTCCTGGGGGGAGGGGTGGCTGCCCTCTCTGTGTTTCAGTAGATTCAGTTATTTCACCCTGCCAGCTTTGAAGAACACAGGTGGTCTGGACAAGGAAGAGTCTCCCACAATGCACAGCTTCCTTCCCAGATAATGGCCAGACTGCTTCTGCAAGCAGAGCCCCAATCCATTCCTCCACACTGGGCAGGAACTCCCTGTGGGGGCTTCAGCCACTCCAGCCAGGGTTCAATAGATAGTTCTCTAATCTCTGCCTGGGATGAACTCCTCGCAGGGAGGGGCAGCAGCCATCTCTGCAGTTTGGTCAACTCAGCCATTCCAGCCTGCTGGCTTTGGCCAATCCAAAATGGTCAGGAAAAGGAAGTGTTCCCCTCAATGCAGCATACATGCTCTTCCAAAACACAGCCAGACTGCTTCTTTAAGTGGGTTCCTGATCTCGTTCCTCTTGATCGGTTGAGACTCCCCAACAAGGGTCTCTAGCTACCCCCTACAGGTGTGTTCAAGCTGGCAACAGGTCTGTAACCCCCTGAGATGGAGATTCCAGAGGATGGAGTTGGCTGCCATTTTTGCTGGTTGCAGCCTTCATTGGTGATACCTCCAGGAATGGGAAAAACCAAGGCAACTAGGGTCTGTAGCAGATCCCCAGCAAACTGCAGCAACCCTATGACAGAGTGGCCTAATTGTTAAAAGAAAAATAAACCAACAGAAAACAACTCAGCAAAAAAGAATCCACAAAAACCCCATCCAAACATCAGCAACCTCAAAGATCAGAGGTAGATAAGCCCCAAAGATGAAAAAAAATAAATGCAAAAACACTGAAAACTCAAAAAAACAGAGTGTCTCTTCTCCAAATGGTTGCAGCACCTCTCCAGCAAGGACACAAACTGGACTGAGGCTGAGATGTCCGAATTGACAGAAGTAAGCTTCAGAAGGTGGTTAATAATGAACTTCCCAGAGCTAAAGGAGCATGTTATAACCCAATGCAAAGAAGCTAAGAAACATGATAAAACAATACAGAAGCTGATAACCAGAATAACTGGCTTAGAGAGGAACATAACCAACCTGATGGAGCTAACAAACACAACACAAGAACTTCACAATGCAATTGCAAGTCTTAATAGCTGAATAAACCAAGTGGAGAAAACGATCTCAGAGCTTGGAGACTATCTTTCTGACATAAAACAGGTAGATGTGAATAGAGTACAGGAAATGAAAAGAATGAATAAAACCTCTGAGAAATAGAAGATTATGTAAAGAGACTGAACCTATGACTGATTGGGGTACCCAAAAAAGATAGAATGAAACCAAGTTGGAAAACATACTTCAGGATATCATTCCGGAGAACTTCCCCAATCTACCAAGACAGGCCAAAATTCAAATTCAGAAACTGCAGAGAACCCCAGTAAGATGCTCCAGGAGAAGATCAACCCCAAAACACATACTCTTCAGATTCTCCAGGGTTAAAATGAAAAAAAAAAGTTAAGGGCAGACCAGAAAGGCCAGGTCACTTATAACGGAAAACCCATCAGTCTAACAGCAGACCTCTCAATGGAAGCCCTACAAGCAAGAAGAGATTGGAGGCCAATATTTAATATTCTTAGAGAAGAGAATTTGCAAGCCATAATTTCATATCCAGCCAAACTAAACTTCATAAATGAAAGAGAAATAAGATACTTTTTAGAAAAGCAAATGCTGAGGGAATTCATTACCACCAGGCCTGCCTTGCTAGAACTCCTGAAGGAAGTACTAAATATGGAAAGGAAAACATGTTACCAGCCACTACAAAAACAAACAGAAGTACACAGAACAGTGACACTGTCAAGTAACCATATAAACAAATCTGCAACATGACCAGCTAACATCATGATGATAGGACCAAATTCACACATAATAATAACCTTAAATGTAAATGGGCTAAATGCCCCAATTAAAAGACACAGAATGGCAAGCTGGATAATGAGCCAAGACCCATTGGTATGCTGTCTTCAAGAAACCTATCTTAAATGCAGACACACACAGGCTCAAAATAAAGAGATGGAGGAAAATTTACCCAAACAAATGGAAAACCAAAAAGCAAGGGTTGCAAATAGTTTCTGACAAAATAGACTTTAAGGCAACAAAGATAAAAAAAAAAAAGACAGAAAGGGGCCTTTACATATTGGTAAAGGGCCCAGTTCAACAAGAAGAGCTCACCATCCTAAATATTGTGCACCCAATCCTGGAGCACCCAGTTTCATAAAGCAAGTTCTTAGAGACCTACAAAGAAACTTATACTCCCACACAATAGTAGTGAGAGACTCTAAGACCCCATTGACAATATTAGATTATTGGGACAGAAAATTAACAAAGATATTCAGGACCTGAACTCAGTTCTGGATCAAATGGACCAGATAAGTGTCTACAGAACTCTCCACCCCAAAAACAACAGAATATACATTCTTCTCATTGTCACACAGCATTTACTCTAAAATTGATCACATAATCAGAAGTAAAACAGTTCTCAATAAATGCAAAAGAATTGAAATTATAACAATCTCTCAGACCACAGAGCAATCAAATTAGGACTCAAGATTAAGAAATTCACTCAAAACCACACAACTACATGAAAAATGAACAACCTGCTCCTGAATGATTCTTGGGTAAATAAGGAAATTAAGGTAGAAATCAAGAGGTTCTTTAAAACTAATGAGAACAAAGAGACAATGCACCAGAATCTCTGGGATGCAGCTTGTGTTAGTTCATTCTCACACTGCTAATAAGTATATACCTGAGACTGGATAATTTGTAAAGGAAAGTGGTTTAACTGACTCATAGTTTAGCATGGCTGGAGAAGCCTCAGGAAACTTACAATGATGGTGGAAGGTGAAGGTGAAACAAACACATCCTTCTTCACATGGCACCAGGAAGAAGTGCCAAGCAAAGGGGGAAAAACCCCTTATAAAACCATCAGATGTCATGAGAACTCACTCACTATCATGAGAAGAGCATGAGGCTAACTGCCCCCATATTTCAGTTACCTCCCACTGGGTCCCTCCCATGACACATGGGGATTATGGGAACTACAAGTCACGGTGAGATTTGGGTGGGGACACAGCCAAACCATATCACAGCTAAAGCAGTGTTAAGAGATAAACTTATAGAACTAAGTGCCCACATCAAAAAGCTAGAAATAACTCAAGTTAAAAACCTAACATCTCAACAGCAAGAACTAGAGAACCAAGAGCAAACAAACCCCAAAGACAGCAAAAGACAAAAAATAACCAAGATCAGAGCTGAACTGAAGGAAATAGATATATAAAACACCCTTCAAAAGATCAACAAATCCAGGAGCTATTTTTAAAAAAACATTAATAAAATAGACTACTAGCTAGACAAATAAAAAAGAAAAGAGAGAAGAATAAAATAAACACAATCAGCAATAATAAGGGGGATATCACCACTGACCCCACAGAAATACAAACAACCATCCAAGAATACTGTAAACACCTCTATTCTCATAAACTAGACAATGTGAAGAAATGGATAAATTCCTGGAAACATACACCCTCCTAAGAGTGAACAAGGAAGAAATTGAATCCCTGAATAGGCCAAAAATTATTTCTGAAATTGAGGCAGTAATAAATAGCATACCAACCAAAAAGAGCTCAGGACAAGATAGATTCACAGCTGAATTATGCCAGAGGTACAAAGAAGACCTAGTATCATTTCTGCTGAAACTATTAAAAATAATCGAAAAGAAGGGACTCCTCCTTAACTCATTCTATGGGCAAGCATTATCCTGATACCAAAACCTGGCAGAGATATAACACACACACACACACACACACAACAACTGCAGGCCAATTTTCCTTGTTGAACATTGATGCAAGAATCTTCAACAAAATAGTGGCAAACTGAATCCAGCAGCACATAAAAAAGCTTATCCACCACAATCAAGATGGCTTCATCCCCAAATGCAGGGTTGGTTCAACATATGCAAATCAATAAATGTAACTCATCACATAAACAGAACTAAAGACAAAACCACATGATTATCTCAATAGATGCAGAAAAGGCCTTCAATAAAATTCAAAATCTCTTCATGTTAAAAACCTCTCAATAAACTAGGTATCGAAGGAATATACCTCAAAATAATAAGAGCCACATATGGCAAACCCACAGACAATATCATACTGAATGGGCAACAGCTGAAAGTATTTCCCTTGAAAAACAGTATAAGACAAGGATGCCCTCTCTCACCATCCCTTTTCAATATAGTATTGGAAGTTATGACCAGGGCAATCAGGCAAGAGAAAGAAATGAAGTGTATTTAAATAAAAAATGAGGAAGTCGAATTATCTTTGTTTGCAGATGACATGATCCTGTATCTAGAAAACCCTGTTGTCTCAGCCCAAAAGCTTCTTAAGCTGATAAGCAACTTCACAAAGACTTGGGATACAAAATCAATGTGCAAAAATTGCTAGCATTCCTATAGACAAACAAGAGGCAAGCAGAGAGCCAAATCATGAATGAACCCCATTCACAATTGCTACAAAAATAATAAAATACCTAGGAATACAGCTAACAAGGGAAGTGAAGAACCTCTTCAAGGAGAGCTACAAACAACTGCTCAAAGAAATCAGAGAGGACACAAACAAATGGAAAAACATTCCATGCTCATGGATAGGAAAAATCAATACATAAAAAATGGCCATATTAGCCACAGTAACTTAAAAATTCAATGTTATTCCCATTAAACTACCATTGAGATTCTTCACAGAATTAGAAAAAAACTATTTAAAAATTCATATGGAACCCAAAAAGCCCAAGGCAATCTTAAACAAAAATAAAGCTGGAGGCATTGTGCTACTGACTTCAATCAATATACTACAAAGCTATAGTAACCAAAACAGTATGGTACTGATACAAGAACAGACACTAGACCAATGGAACAGAATAGAGAACTCAGAAATATGACTGTACACCTACAACCATCTGATCTTTGACAAACCAGACAAAAACAAACAGTGGGGAAAGGACTCCCTATTTAATAAATGGTACTCTGAGTGCTGGCTAGCCACATGCAGAAAATTGAAACTGGGCCCCTTCCTTACACCTTATACAAAAATTAACTCAAGACAGATTAAAGACTTAAATGTAAAACTAAAAACTATAATAACCATAGAATGAGATCTAGGCAATACCATTCAGGACACATGTACAGGCAAAGATGTTATGACAAAAATGCCAAAAGCAATTGTGACAAAAGCAAAAATTGACAATTGGGATATAACTAAACTAAAGAGCTTCTTCTGCACAGCAAAAGAAACTGTCATCAGAGTGAATAGACAATCTACAGAATGGGAGAAAAGTTTTGCAGTCTATCCAATCTGACAGAGGTCTAATATCCAGAGTCTACAAGGAACTTAAACAAATTTGCAAGAAAAAAAAACCATAAAAAAGTGGGCAAAGGACATGAACAGACATTCTCAAAAGATGACATACATGCAGCCAACAAACATGAAAAAAAAGTTCAACATCACTGATCATTAGAGAAATGCAAATCAACACCACAATGAGATAACATCTCACACTAGTCAGAATGGTGATTATTAAAAAGTCAAAAAAAAAAAAAAAACAGATGCTAGCGAGGTTGTAAAGAAAAATGAACATTTTTACATGGTTGGTGGGAGTGTAAATTAGTCCAACCATTGTAGAAGACAGTATGATGATTCCTCAAAGACCTAGAAGCAGAAATACCATTTGACTCAGCAATCCCATTACTGGGTATATACCCAAAGAATATAAATTATTATATTATAAAGACCTATGGCACATGTATGTTCATTGCAGCACTACTTACAATAATAAAGACATGGAATCAACCTAAATGCCCGTCAATGATAGAACTGATAAAGAAAATGTGGTACATATACACCATGGAATACTATGCAGCCATAAACTGGAATGAGATCATGTCTTTTGCAGGGAGGACATGGGTGGAGTTGGAAGTTGTTATCCTCAGCAAGCAATGCAGGAACAGAAAACTAAACACCACATGTTCTCACTTGTAAGTGAAAGTTGAATGATGAGATCATGTGGACAAATGGCAGGGGAGCAACACACACTGGGGCCTGTCAGAGCAGGAGAGAAAACATCAGGAAAATAGCTAATGGATGCTAGGCTTAGTACCTAGGTGGTGGGATGATCTACGCAGCAAACCACCATGGCACCTGTTTACCTATGTAACAAACCTGCACCTCCTGCACATGTATGTTTGAACATAAAAGATGAAAAAAAAATAAGTGAAATAAGCCAGACATGGAAGGAAAAATATTGCAATATTGCATACTCTTTTTATTTTAAGTGCTGAGATACATGTGCAGAATGTGGTTTTTTTACATAGGTATACATGTGCCATAGTAGTTTCCTGCATCTATCAACCTGTCATCTAGGTTTTAAGCCCCGCATGCATTAGGTATTTGTCCTAACGCTCTCCCTCTCCTTGACCCCCAACCCCCAATAGGCCCTGGTGTGTGATATTTCCCTCCCTGTATCCATGTGTTCTCATTGTTCAACTCCCAGTTATGAGTGAGAACATGCGGTGTTTGGTTTTCTGTTCCTGTGTTAGTTTGCTGAGAATGATGGCTTCCAGCTTCATACATGACCCTGCAAAGGACATGAACTCATCATTTTTTATGGTTGCATAGTATTCGATGGTGCATATGTGCCACATTTTCTTTATCCAGTCTATCATTGATGGACATTTGGGTTGGTTCCAAGTCTTTGCTATTGTAAATCGTGCTGCAATAAACATATGTCTTTATAGTAGAATAATTTACAATTCTTTGGGTAGCATGATCTTGCTTATATGTGGAAGCTAAAAAAAAATTCCAGTATACAGATACACAGAACAAAACAGTGGTTAGCAAGGGTATGAGGAGGAGGTGAGGAGGAAAAAGGATCAGAGGATACAAAGTAGCAGCTATATAGGATGAACAAGATATAGGATACTAGAATGTAACAAGTCTAGAGATATAATATCATGAGGACTATAGGTAATAAAATTATACAGTATTTTGGATTTATGCTGAATGAGTAGATTTTAGCTGCTCTTGCTACAGAAACAAAACAATGGTAACTATGAGAGACCACGAATATTTTATTTCAGTATAGTAATCTTTTACGCTCTGTATGTATCCCATAACATAGTATTGTATATCTTAAATACTCACAATAAAATGTTTATTAAGGAAAAGAAATAGTGATACCTCAAAGTAACTTTTTCTGGGGACTAGGGTGTCTTTCTCCTTAAAAATTATTTATTTGGGCTGTTATGAATTCTCAACATCATCTCCAACAAATATGTATAGAATATGTTATCAGAAAATTATCAGTAGTCCCTGTCCCACTTTTTTCTGTATAAAAAACCCTTCTACTGTTCCATGTGATATTGTGGAAAAATCATTCCTTATATCTAGAAAAAAAAAAGCCTACGAATGAGAAGACTTCTGTACTTTTAAGACGTAGCCAAAACTAGAAACTATTTACATATCTATGTGCCCTGAAATAGAATGGACAAACAAATTTTGTTCTATTCTGAAGGGTGGAAGAATATGTTCCCCAAAGTTTGCTACTTTGGTATAAGGATTATTTTGATCTAAGCAAACTCAAGAAACAACAGATGCAAGAAAGACATTTTAAACTCCCCTTTGCTTCCTAAAATTGGAGATAAATCTCCCATGTGAAAGATATACTCCCTGTACCAGGAGAAAAGAAACATTCTGCAGTGAGCGGTCATAGCCAAGAGAATTCTATATGAAGACACCTTTTAAAAATAATTCTTACATTTCTATAGCTTTGTACATGATTTTGTTACTTTTCCACAATGGCCTCTCTTCTGTCAACCTAATTTAAGAGCATTAGGGGTTTGCCACTTCTTTGAGTCTCCAATTCCTTAAGATGGCTCTGGGGTAATGTAAAACTTAAGTTGTAATTTTTTTTCCTGCTGTTCTATCTTTTTTTAAATTTAATTCTCAAGACCAGCTAGAACCCTAAGAGGGTAGAGATAAAGTTTTGCCTCCCTTGTAATTCTCACAGTGGAATACTTCATAGCAATGAAAATAAACACTGAAACTATACTCGACAATATAGATGAATTCTCACAGATATAATGTTGGACAAAAGAAGCTAGACTCAAAAGAAGATAGATATCTGACTCCATTACTATAAAGCACAATAACTAATCTAAGCTTTCAGAAATTAGGATACTGATTGTTGTTCAGGGAGTGGCTAACAACTGAAAAGGGAGAGAATAAAGTAGAGCTTCTAGAGTGCTGGTAATGTTCTGTTTTTTTAATCTGAGTGCTGGTTATTCAGCATATCCAATGTGTGAAAATATGTCAATTTGTACAGTCATGAAATATATACTATTTGGTGTGTATTTTGTGTTAGATTAAAGGTGGACATAAATGCTTTGTTACTTCTCTCACTGAGGGGCAATGTCTGTTTCCACCCCGCTTGAATTTGGGTTAGCGTTAGTGGAAATCAATAAAATTAAGAGTATGTGACATTCTGAGACTTTTAAGGCTAAGTCATGAAAAGTTTTGCAGCCTTTGCCCAGATCTGTTGAAAAACAATTCACTGGAGCCCTGAGCCACTCCATACATCTGATTATCTTGAGACTGCCCCACTGTGAGGAATCCCAAGCCAGTAGAAGAAGCCTGGGTAGACACTTTGGTTGACTATTTTCTAGTCATCACTAGTAAGACAAAAGACATGTAAATAAAGCAGTTTAAGATTTTTTCAGACCAGGCCATCTGTCAGCTGATTATCACCAACTGACTCAGTTAAGGTCACGTAAAAAACAAACAAACAAGCAAACAAAAAAACATTCAGCTGACTCCTTTGCAAAATTCTATCTCTCAGAAATTATAGTATATGATAAAATAGCTGTGGTTTAAGAAGTTTTGGGGTAGTTTTATGCACAGCAATAGATAACTAAAACCTATACTATACTTTTCATTAAAAATGCTTTTTTTCACATTTATTTATTTATTTATTTTTTTATTATTATACTTTAAGTTTTAGGGTACATGTGCACATTGTGCAGGTTAGTTACATATGTATACATGTGCCATGCTGGTGCGCTGCACCCACTAACTCGTCATCTAGCATTAGGTATATCTCCCAATGCTATCCCTCCCCCCTCCCCCCACCCCACAACAGGCCCCAGAGTGTGATGTTCCCCTTCCTGTGTCCATGTGTTCTCATTGTTCAGTTCCCACCTATGAGTGAGAATATGTGGTGTTTGTTTTTTTGTTCTTGTGATAGTTTACTGAGAATGATGATTTCCAATTTCATCCATGTTCCTACAAGGGACATGAACTCATCATTTTTTACGGCTGCATAGTATTCCATGGTGTATATGTGCCACATTTTCTTAATCCAGTCTATCATTGTTGGACATTTGGGTTGGTTCCAAGTCTGCTATTTTGAATAGTGCCACAATAAACATACGTGTGCATGTGTCTTTATAGCAGCATGATTTATAGTCCTTTGGGTATATACCCAGTAATGGGATGGCTGGGTCAAATGGTATTTCTAGATCTAGATCCCTGAGGAATCGCCACACTGACTTCCACAATGGTTGAACTAGTTTACAGTCCCACCAACAGTGTCAAAGTGTTCCTATTTCTCCACATCCTCTCCAGCACCTGTTGTTTCCTGACTTTTTAATGATTGCCATTCTAACTGGTGTGAGATGGTATCTCATTGTAGTTTTGATTTGCATTTCTCTGATGGCCAGTGATGGTGAGCATTTTTTCATGTGTCTTTTGGCTGCATAAATGTGTTCTTTTGAGAAGTGTCTGTTCATATCCTTTGCCCACTTTTTGATGGGGTTGTTTGTTTTTTTCTTGTAAATTTGTTTGAGTTCATTATAGATTCTGGATATTAGCCCTTTGTCAGATGAGTAGGTTGCGAAAATTTAGCATTCTTATACACCAACAACAGACAAACAGAGAGCCAAATCATGAGTGAACTCCCATTCACAATTGCTTCAAAGAGAATAAAATACCTAGGGATCCAACTTACAAGGGATGTGAAGGACCTCTTCAAGGAGAACTACAAACCACTGCTCAAGGAAATAAAAGAGGATACAAACAAATGGAAGAACATTCCATGCTCATGGGTAGGAAGAATCAATATCGTGAAAATGGCCATACTGCCCAAGGTAATTTACAGATTCAATGCCATCCCCATCAAGCTACCAATGACTTTCTTCACAGAATTGGAAAAAACTACTTTAAAGTTCATATGGAACCAAAAAAGAGCCTGCATCCCCAAGTCAATCCTAAGCCAAAAGAACAAAGCTGGAGGCATCACACTACCTGACTTCAAACTATACTACAAGGCTACAGTAAGCAAAACAGCATGGTACTGGTACCAAAACAGAGATATAGATCAATGGAACAGAACAGAGCCCTCAGAAATAACGCCGCATATCTACAACTATCTGATCTTTGACAAACCTGAGAAAAACAAGCAATGGGGAAAGGATTCCCTATTTAATAAATGGTGCTGGGAAAACTGGCTAGCCATATGTAGAAAGCTGAAACTGGATCCCTTCCTTACACCTTATACAAAAATCAATTGAAGATGGATTAAAGACTTAAATGTTAGACCTAAAACCATAAAAACCCTAGAAGAAAACCTAGGCATTACCATTCAGGACATAGGCATGGGCAAGGACTTCATGTCTAAAACACCAAAAGCAATGACAAGAAAAGCCAAAATTGACAAATGGGATCTAATTAAACTAAAGAGCTTCTGCACAGCAAAAGAAACTACCATCAGAGTGAACAGGCAACCTACAAAATGGGAGAAAATAAAAATGCTTTTTTAAATCTCAAGACACCAATTTATATTTTAAATGTAAATTTCCATTTAACTGACGGAAGGCTGCTAATTTATAGGCTGTTAAAATTCCTCTATCTGAAAGTACATGTAAATTATTGATATTTCTTTAGAGCTAAGGCTTAGGTCTAGTGATTATGCTTTTCCACAATATCACATCGTCTCCAATTGCATAAATATATCTTACTTGATCAATGCTTTTGACAATAATTATAACAAAAGACTAAATTAAATGCATTTCCAACAACATATGCCATCCAGAACTGATCACTCTATTACATATTAATAATGGTATTTTTACGTCATAATTTTAAGACCATACTCTGGATGATTTAGCATCAGTTGATGTTGTTTTCCTGCTTTATGACCTTAAAATGGTCTAGGCATCATCTTATTTAACCTTATAGATAAAAAATGATCCTATCCTTTTGAAAATCTTAAAACCAGACCTTTCTGTTTTCCAAACTTTCATTTAGGAAAAAAAATAGCAAACTTCAGAATTACTTTTTATAGCAATACCTTAAAAAGAAAAAAAACCCTACTATCTTTGTAAACAAAATGAATGCTTTTGTCTTATCCATTAGAAAAACAGTGGTCTCGGCCAGGCGTGGTGGCTCACGCCTGTAATCCCAGCACTATGGGAGGCCAAGGCAGGCGGATCACCTGAGGTCGCGAGTTCAAGACCAGCATGACCAACATGGAGAAACCCTGTCTCTACTAAAAATACAAAATTAGCTGGGCATGGTGGCGCATGCCTGTAATCCCAGCTACTCGGGAGGCTGAGGCAGGAGAAGTGCTTGAACCTGGGAGGCGGAGGTTGCGGTGAGCCGAGATCGTGCCATTGCACTCCAGCCTGGGCAACAAGAGTGAACTCTGTCTCAAAAAAAAAAAAAAAAAAAGAAAGAAAGAAAGAAAAACAGTGGTCTCAAGAAACTGTAGTTTAAAAGTGGTTAGCTAAGAACACAAAATCTCAAATTTAGGAAGTCATTAAAAGAGAAAAAGGATAAATAGTTTTATTATGAGCTTTTGTGCATGTGATAATGGGATATAAATGACTTTGAAAGGTGATATAAATTCTTTTGTAGACTCAAAGACAGAATGAAAAGTGACCTTAAGGAAAATAAAATAACTGCTGTCCATTACATGGCTATTTGTTCTACATATTCTACATTTTCAGAATTGGAATTGGTGCACTTGCTTCAACACTGCAACAGAATGAAACTCCAGATGCTCACAGATGGTAAGCCTACAAACTTAATTAAAACTCATACTTTATTATCCCAAAACAGGAAAATTGAGAAAGCCTTGCCCAAAGAAAATGTTTATGTTTTCTCCTTCTCATCTCCAACCATCCAGAAAACTTTAGGGGTCATGGGCATGGAATAAAAACCCCTTCTTGTTGCCAGGCCAGAGAGTACAATAGAGTTACAGACCACTAACCTAAATACTGATTCAAATTCATGTTCAACGATTATGAATTGTGTACTGTGTACCTAGCACTATATTACTGATTTAATCAAGGTTTAATGAGAGTATTATAATAAGAAATTAAATCTGCAATCTTCCATCGACAAATGTGTATTGAGTGCTTTTTTGGACATAATATATATTTGATTGATTTTTTTTAGTTAATGAAGGCACAGTTTAACCTTATTTTCAAATATACTGAAATAAAATTAATTGAATATCCTGTATATGTTTGTGTAAGTTTTAGGATCTTAGCAGTATTTCTTCTTTTTCTTGTGAACCTTTATTATGTTTTCACAATGAGTCATACCTAGGTAGACAATATTAAAATTTAGACTGTGTTAATTAATAAACGCAGTTGCTAGTCTCCCTGGATGGTCACTAATGGTGGGATATACTATGGCTAAAAAAGAGAAATATAGAAATAACAATCTATTCTGACTTTTCTGTCTTTCTTTAGTTAGTTGTTCATATGGAAGAGGTGATTTGATTTAAAATAATGTTACTTCTATTGAACAGAAATCCCATACACCCCCTATTAGTTGCATTAATTCTCCATAGAAACAGGAAAATATCTAAATTGTTTTCTTCTTGTTCATAAGGTATATATCATATGCTATCCTTGGAAAAGTTGTTTTTTTGTAAAAACAGTTATCTGTAGGCATCAAAAAGAAGGGCAGAATTCAAATTACATTATGCCAATTATTTAATGACAACTTTTAGCATAGTTATTTATCTGAATGTCTAGATTCTATGTTATAAATTAAATTAAGGTATTTTTAGACAGGGTCTCACTCTGCTGCCCAGGCTGGAGGCTGCAGTGCAGTGGCTCTATCACGGCTCACTGTAGCCTCGACCTCCCCAGGTTCTGGTAATTCTCCCAACTCAGCCTCCTGAGTAGCTGGAACTACAGATGCGCATCACCACATCTAATTTTTCTATTTTTTTGTAGAAACAGGGTTTCGCCATGTTGTCCAGTCTGGTCTTGGACTCCTCAGCCTCCCAAAGTGCTGGGATTACAGGTATGAGCCACGGTGACTGGCTCTTTAATCTATTGACCTTTTAAAAAGATTAAGTTTGAAGACTGTCACATATTTGAACCATTTTGTTTGTTTTATTCACTCATTTTGGTTGGTCTTTGGTGACTTTTCCTGCTTTTTTATAGTCAAATGCAATTTGGGTGTCTAGGATAGTTTTTATGTTTTCTAAGCAGGATGGCTTATTTCAGGCTGTTTATTCATTTCATGAATAAACTTTGGTTTATTTGGTTCATTCATTATTTGGATGTTTTTGGTTTTTGTTGTTGTGGTTTCAGTTAGGGAATCTTATTCTTACTAATGGTAATCATTTTGTCTTCACTATTGCCATATTTCTGTATTTAATTTAGTTCATTTCCTAGTTATATTGACTGGCAGTTCCAGAGAAATAGAAAACAGTGGTGCTTATAAATAGCTTTTTGGCTTTTCCTTATTGCAATGAGAATGAGTGTTCTGCTTCATATTTAAAAATGTTCATTGTTAGGCACATACTCCTCAAAAATGAGTGCCTGATTATTACAAATGGACTTGTGTGAGACTGTAGATAGCAGATATACGCATAACTCTCAAACCGGAAATAACCAAAATATCTATCATGGATAGAATGGATAAGTAAACTGTGATATGTTCATATAGTGAAAAAACCACTCATCAGGAAAAATAACAGCAAAATATTGATACATGCAACTACAATGACAAATCTCAAACTAAATGTCATGTGACAAAAGCTGACACAAAAGACATATTGTATGATCCCATTTATAAGAAATTCAGAAACAGGTAACATTGATCAAAGGAGCTAGAGATTGTGGTTAGAATAGCAGTTCCCTGCACAATGGTGAATGATCTCTAGGGGCCTTTTGTGATGTAAGCAATAATCAATATTTTAATACTTTGATCTGAGAGGTACAAATACTTCCAGATCAAATATTTGTACCTCCCCTCCCATTAAATACATGTACCTCTCAGGTCAAAATATTAAAATATTGATTATTGCTTGCATAAAAATACTTTTTTATATAGGCCTTTTCCTCTATACTTACAGTTTGCACATTTTACTGCATCTGTTTTACCTTAAATGAGTAAAACAAATTACAACAGTAAAAGAATGATGAAGAAAGACTTTCATTTTATCCAAAATAGAGTAGCTTATGGTAGATAAATGACCCCACTGAGAAAATTAGATAGATCATGTAATATTAGAGAAAACAATGTGTTTCGGGATATCAATGAGCTTCCAAGGCAATTAGGACTTGAAGAGCCAAGACCTGTGCATTCTGTGAACCATTTTTCTCTTCGTACTGATTGCAAATTCACGAAGCACAAGTGGTGGAGAAATCCAGGTAGAAGGCTATGGCTAACAGGTAAAGAAGCCAGAAGAGCTTTGAGAAATGGCTTAACTCTAAGGAAAGCTAATGTGAAATTCAGTGCAGCAAAAGCAGCTAGGAGTTAGAAGGCCAAGATCAGGGAGGATCAATCCTAAACAACGCACAGTTCTCTCTTAAAGGTATTTGAAGATTAAGCGTTTCAAGGAAGGGAACTAAAGAGACAAGCAGAAAGCCATCAAAAAGCAGACCAAGAGTATCTGCAATCTCACAGAACTGCAAAAATGCAATGTGTATACAAGCCACCAAATAATAGAAGCCCTAGTCATTGCTCAAGACTTTCAAGCAGTACTCACTGGACAGCTTCTTCTTAGTAGCGCAAATGTTCCAGAAGTAGGCAGAACCTTGCCTTGAAATTAGTCCGATTATTGTTGGGTTTAATATAGTTTTCTCTATATCAGAGGGTCAAATGAACCTTCTCCAGATAAAAAAACACATATTCCAGAACTTCCAAAACTTTTTATAAATGATGACTGACATTAAAAAATTAAACACCAGCTATACAAAAAAAGAACAAAAGGAAAACAGCTAGAGAAATCAACTTACAGATAATCCCATTGTTGAAGTTATTGGACAAAGATATTAACATAACTATGATTAGTATTTGAGGAAAATAGATTACAAGGTGCATTTTACCAGAGTTCCAGAAAACGTAAGAGAAAATATAATGGAGTGATAAAAACTTAAAAATAGAATGGTTAACACATTAATATTGGTTCATGAGTTCTGATAAAAGTACTATACTATGGTAAGATATTAACAATAGGGGAACTGAATGTAGGGCATACAAGAGCCTGTAGTCCTATCTTTGCAACATTTATGTAAATCTCAAAGTTTTTTAAAATTAACTATTTATTTTAAAGATGAAATTATTTTAATTATGAGCTTAATAAATACATTAAGAGGAATTTTGAGAGAGAAAAAGAGAATTAATTAAAACTATAAGTGATAAAAATTGAGGCATGTATACATTAAGTATATATTTTAAATATATATATTAGAATAGAACATTATTCATCTTTTAAGAAGGGCAGCCTACGTTATTGACAACATGAACGACACTGGAGGACATTGTGTTAAATGAAATAAGCAAGATACAGAAAGAATACTGCATGATCTCTCTTATATATGGAACCTAAACAAACAAACAACAAAATGAGCTGAATAAATAGAAACAGATAATAAAATGATGATTACCACAGGTGAGGGGTGGCGATGGCAAATGGGGAGATGTAGATCAAGGGGTAGAAAGTTGCAGTTATGTTGGATGAATAAATCAAGAAATAAAAATACAGCATGAGTACTATAGTTAATGATTATCTATGTATAGTACAGTAGAAATTTTCTGAGTAGATTTTAGGTGGTGCTGTCACAAAAAGAAAAACATAATTCTATGAGATGGTGAAGGTGTTAAATTCTTACCTATAGTAATTATTTCACTGTGTATGTCAGAATATCATATTGTACACCTTACACTTACAGAATAAAAATGATGACAAGTCAGTAGAAAAGATCCAGAATAATGTATGAAGAAAAAATGGATGGAACATTTTAGAAAAAAAATCATAAGATAAATATAGAAAAGAGCGACTCCCAAGAGGTAAAGGAGATAGAGAAAAGGACTTTAAGCAATATTTGAAAGAATCATACATAAGACTTTTTCACAACTGAAGAAAAACATTTATGGTTTGGGTATTTGTTCCCTCCCAACCTCATGGTGAAATCTGACCCCCAATGTTGGAGGTGGAGCCTAATGGGAGGTGTTTGGGTCATGGGGGCAAATTCTTCGTGAATAGATTAATACAGTCCGTTGGTGGAAGGTGGAGGGTGAATGAGTTCTAACTCTTATTACTTCCCACAGGAGCTGATTATTAAAAAGAGCATGGAACAAAACGTACAGTCAGATAAATAAGTTCTAATGTTTGATAGCAGAGAAAGATGACTACAGTTTGCACTAATTTAAAGCCTCATCCCTCCCCTTCTTGCTTTCTCTCTTATCATGTATCCCTGCACACTAAGGCTTCCCTTTGCCTGCTTCCATGAGTGGAAGCAGCGTTAGGCCCTCACCAGGAGCCCAATTTTTTAGCCAACAGAATTGTGAGTTAAATAAACTCTTTTTTAATAATTTAACCAGTCTCAGGTATTTCTTTACAGCAACAGCAAACAGACTAAGACAGATATCAAGCCACAGATTTTAAACACTCTGCAAACCAATCAGGATAAACATATAGAACATCACGTCTGGATACATTGATGTATCATTGTTGAAAATCAAACAAGAGAAAAATCTTAAAAGCATCCAGGAAATCAATAAAACTGATAGCTAACTTCTCAGCAAAAATGAATGACAGGAAACAATAAAATAACATTTTAAAAATACTAAAAATCAGCTGTTCCAGAATTTTATACTCAATAAAAATATTCTTCAAAAATGCAAGCAAAACAAGGACATTTCCAAACAAACAAAAGTGATGAGAGATCTTCACTGGCAAATTTCCCCAAAAATGTTTTATGGACAGTTTTCAGACAGAGGAAAAATCATACTACATAGAAAAATGGAAATGAAGGACACTGGAAAGAGTTAATATATGAATATTGGTGCTAAAATTATAATAAATATTTGTACAAAGTACCAATTTGTGATTTTCAAGGTATTGTACAGATACGACCTTTCTTTGCTTGAATTCAGTGTAAGAATCCATCAAGATGAATAGCCTGTGGAACCTTCAGAGTGACCAGGAGACTCTTTTATGTCTGTTTACTTGGATGAAGCCAGATTCTCTCTGCTGAGCCTAATATAGGGTTTTAACACAAACACACACATACATATCTATCTATCTATCTGTCTGTCTGTCTGTCTATCTATCTATCTATCTATCCATCTATCTATCTATTGCTCTCTTTCTCTCTCTCTCTCTATATATATATCTCATATAATGCAATAATAGAAAAATGGGTATTAGGATTAGGGATAAATGAAGTTAAAGTATCCTAAGATCCATGACTTGTCCACTAAGTGGAAAGGGAATGAATTTGAAATATACTACAATAAATTTAGAATAAATGAAAAGAAATAGACTAGACTTGTAGATTGCCTGCTATTACCCACAGGTGTATACTCAAGGAACCTGGGCATGAACCAGGATACATTATTTGTTCATCCTAAAAGTGTAGAGAAACATCACATATAATTAAGCAAATACGTACAATATAATACTGGCAAAGGGTGCTATAATGATCATGCACAATTTGCTAATAAAAGCAGTTAGAATTTCTAGTCCAAATACGGCAGATTAAAGTAAACTTCCTAAAAGAGCAAATCTGAAGAATGGATATAAGTTCTCTATGTGAAAACATGGAGGAATGCAAGTGTTACTGAGGCAGAGAACATACAAAGACCTAGAAATTATAATGTGTTCACAGGAATTAAAATTATTCAGACTGGCTGAAGTGCCAGTGGAAAGAGGATCATCTTGTCTGTTTTAAATATTTATGTATAAGCAGTGTATACATGTGTGTTTGATTTCTAATCATTGAGTTAGTGGCGGGAGGGTAGTTAGCATTTGAAGTACCCTAATCAAGAACACATTTGAAAATTTTTAATCAGAAGCCACATTTCAAAGGCAGTTATTACATGTGTTTGAGTTTCATTTTTGATCAGTATTAACAAGCTTGTTAATTAGCATAACAAATGATAGAAATAACTTTTCATTGGTGAATTCATGGTGTTCAAGATATTGTACAGATACAACCTTTCTTTGCTTGAATTCAGTGTAAGTTTCCATCAAGACCAATAGCCTGCAGAACCTTCAGAGTGACCAGGAGACTCTTTTAAGTCTGTTTACGTGGATGAAGGCAGATTATCTCTGCTGAGCCTAATAAAATGTTATCTGAAGCTTGCTACTTGTTGTGTCTGCCTCAAATAAATCTTTCATGCAAGGTTCTTAGGGAACAGATAATTCATCTAAGCTTTCAGAACGAGCTTAATAACATTTTTTGTTCCTTTTTTCATTAATAAAGTTTTGCTGATGTGACAGAATTATTTCTGAGACTTGCTTTCATTATAACACAGAGTTTGACAGTGAGATTACTGGGGGAAGAAACCTATGTAGATATTGCTCATTTCTAAATATTGGAATCTATCAAAACCTGCTGTCTGCGCCCCTCAAATAGTAGGTACGAATGATCGAGTTGGCTTAGATGGACTTGAACAAGTGAGCGTGTTGCATAAAACCTAGAGTACCACATCCTCTCCAGCACCTGTTGTTTCCTGACTTTTTAGTGATTGCCATTCTAACTGGTGTGAGATGGTATCTCACTGTGGTTTTGATTTGCATTTCTCTGATGGCCAGTGATGATGAGCATTTTTTCATGTGTGTCTTTTGGCTGCATAAATGTCTTCTTTTGAGAAGTGTCTGTCCATATCCTTCGCCCACTTGTTGATGGGGTTGTTTGTTTTTTTCTTGTAAATTCGTTTGAGTTCATTGTAGATTCTGGATATTAGCTCTTTGTCAGATGAGTAGATTGCAAAAATTTTCTCCCATTCAGTAGGTTGCCTGTTCACTCTAATGGTAGTTTCTTTTGTGGAGAAATAGGAAAACTTTTACGCTGTTGGTGGGACTGTAAACTAGTTCAGCCATTGTGGAAGTCAGTGTGGCAATTCCTCAGGGATCTAGAACTAGAAATACCATTTGACCCAGCCATCCTATTACTGAGTATATACCCAAAGGATTATAAATCATGCTGCTATAAAGACATATGCACATGTATGTTTATTGTGGCACTATTCACAATAGCAAAGACTTGGAACCAACCCAAATGTCCAACAATGATAGACTGGATTAAGAAAATATGGCACATATACACCATGGAATACTATGCAGCCATAAAAAATGATGAGTTCATGTCCTTTGTAGGGACATGGATGAAGCTGGAAACCATCATTCTCAGCAAACTATCGCAAGGACAAAAAACCAAATACCGCATGTTCTCACTCATAGGTGGGAATTGAACAATGAGAACACATGGTCACAGGAAGGGGAACATCACACACGGGGGCCTGTTGTGGGGTGGGGGGAGCGGAGGAGGGATAACATCAGGAGATATACCTAATGGTAAATGACGAGTTAATGGGTGCAGCACACCAACATGGCACATGTATACATATGTAACAAACCTGCACGTTGTGCACATGTACCCTAAAACTTAAAGTATAAAAAAAAAAAAAACACCTAGAGTACCTTGAAACAACAGACAGTGGTTTTAAACATCATCCAGAATGCAAATGTATATGGGAGCACAAAATAATTTTATTCAGGATAACAAGATAACCAGATTGATATTTTAGAAAAAGCAATGGTCAGTAATTTTTAAAAGATTTACAGAGAGTGGAGATGTGGAACAAATCAGAAGAAAGAACAATGCCTGTTGCTGGTTAAGGGAGAGAAATCTGTGGCCTGAACTAGGACAGTGGTAGTAGAAATGGGTTGATTGACTTAGACTCAAATTATAATGACAGGGTAGAATTACCAAAATTTACTTACTGGTGAAAGACGAACAGAACAATTTGCTGAAGATGATGAGGATGTTGAGGATCTGACTAGAAGTAGCTTAATTTATACTTATGTGCATTTTGAAAACTTGCATGTCTAGGATATAAGCATTTTCATCAAAATTGTCTTATATAATGACAAATCCCTTTATTATCTTGTAATTTTTAACTATTTCTGAATCTGATGAGAATTGTTGTTTTCCTCACTTTGACATTGCATAGCGGTGTCTACCTTACTGGCTAATTTTCAAATAAATAAATATTTATTTTTAATTTCAACTCCGTTTCTGTTTTTAATAAATTGATGTCTGCCTTTTAACTGTGATTTTATTTTAATTTATTTAATTGCACTTTTCTAAGGTTTTATCTGAGTACTTCTTAATTTTCAGTCTTTCTTAAAGTTTAGAAACAATAACTTTTGTCTTTGATTCACTCTGGCCACAGTCTATATTTCTTGTTATCCTTTTTTTAAAAAACGCTATATGATTACAGTGTTAGATTTCTTTTTGAATGACTGAAAATGGATTTATTTTTAATTGCAATAATTTGATTATTCTTTAGAGTTGACATTAATTTCTAGTTATAGTATAAATATAAAATGGATATTATTTATTTGATTGTAGTTCATATCTTCCCTGCTTCATTCTCCCCAAGTGAAATTACATGTACATTTCTAGATGTGTCCTCTGTTGTATACATCATTTATTAGTTATTTTTAATTGAGATGTAATTAACATTTATCAAAGTATACACTAAATGTATAAATTGATCAACTTCTATATATGCATATGCTTGTTTATGACAATCCAAATTAGATACATAATATTACCATTATGCTAGAAGATTCCCTCTTACTAATTTACAAGCTATATCCTACACATAAAATATTATCTTGTTTATAAAATATAGTCCTCATTTGTGTTAGGTTTCTTTTGCTTAAAACAGTATGTTTATGCAATTTATCTATGTTATTAAGTGCAGTAGCTCAATTTTTAAAATTATTATTACTATTAAGATGTAAATATGTGTCTTTTTTGTTGATGGGATATTTGAGTTGTTTCAAGCTTTTTAATGAATAGAAGTTTATCCACATTTTTGCACATGTCTTTTGATGGACGTATGCACTTAATTTTCTTGGGTATAAATCTAGAAGAGGCAAGCGTAGAGTAAATATATATTTGGCTGTAATAGAAGCCACTAAGTACATATTCAAAGGGCTGCCCAGTTTATACTCCATCAGGAAGTGTATGAGACTTCCAGTTGATACACATTTTGACAAATATTTGATAATTTTAGTTTTGCTAAAATTTATCATTTAGTTTTTGTTTGTTTTATTAATATTTTAGCCACTCAAATGGTTGTATAATTGGAATGTTTTCTTCATAAGTGATGATGTTGAACACTTTTTCATATGCTATGGGCCATTTGGATAACCTCTTTTGTGAAGGGCCTGTGTGAACCTTTTTTGTATTTCTCAATTGGATTGTTATGGCTATTTCTTTAAGAATTCTTTTGTATTATATGAGAATTTCTCAAGGTTTCCTTCTAATTACTGATGCAGGTTTTGCAATATCTAATTGGCCATCCAAAAGTATTTTTCAATCTCAAATATATTTTTTTCACATATTTCTTTTGGAAGTCACCTTTCTGGAACCTCAAATTTTTTTATTAATACATATAAGGTCTTTAATGATTATTTCTAGAATACAAATTACATTTTAAAAGCACTTTCATATTAGGTTTTTCTCATTTAGGAATATTTATTGTGATTTCTTAGATTGTCTCTCATTGACTCCATTTTCAGGCCAGTTATGTCTAAGTAATAGAAATATGGCTGCCAAGCGTGCTGCACTGTCATTGCCAGAGTTTAACTGCTTTTTATAAAGGGAACTTTTCTCTTTGCAACAATTTCTTAAAAGTCAAGGCCTGGTATTTATGGGCCCAAAGATGATCAGGGCCATCAATTTGTTCAGAGAGATGGATATATCAGTTAGCTTAGACTTGAGTTATATGCCAATCCCAAGAGTAATTACTATGATCCATCTTACCCAGACAAAGGGAAAAAGGGTGGAGTAGCATGGTTTCACCAAAGCTAAAGCACAGTACCTTCATTAGGATAAAGATGAATGAATACAAGGCAGGCAAGCTCTCCAAATGCACACTATATGTATCCTTAAGAAGCAGGTCTACACACTTGTTCAATATTTGGAGTGGGCATTTTTTTTTCTCTCAGAGACTGTACTGCTCCTTTATCAATTATTTTATTCTAGAACAAAGATAAAGGAGACAATTTATATTATTTAGAGCTTTAATTTTTCTTCATATTAGCAGTTCAGGTAAGCAGAAACTATGTGTTCAATAATTGCAATAACACCGTAGAAGCTACATTTCTGAGCTGAGAGGTGGGTTTTCTATATTTATTCTGTATCCTAAAGTTACCAAGGGACACACATTAATTAATTTCCAACTTACAGAACTCAGAAGTATCACTCAGTAGCGTCCCATCCCATTTTCCTTACAATGGTAGTTTAGGACTGACCATTCTGACAGAGAGCATGCATATTAATACCCACTATTCCTACTCTTAGCATACTGGTCCTCTGCTCATTCTCATTTCCAGGCATGAAAGTTCCAAACTCAAGGGTGATTGTACCTTATTAAACTTCTAGGATCCAGACTGAGGTAGAAAAGCTGCTACTACAAGAGCCCCTTGTGCATCATGCTGAAATAATTACTGAAAACGTTCAGTTTATGGCCTATGGTTGGCGCTTTTCTTTGATTTTCATCACTGACATAATTGTCATTATTTTTGTTCCCTTTCTCTTAGTCATTTCAACTGTGACCAGGGAGGGAAATTCCATCATATATTGCAAATCTGATTAAGTTTTATTTTTAAATGGTTAGTTTACTAAAAATAAATAAATAAATAAATAAATAAAATCACATCCATCAAGGCATGAAGGGCAAACTGAAATGTTCCTATTCACAAACCCAGCATGGGTGTATTTCTTATTCTCAGCAAAAAAGTCCAGAACATAGACTTACCCACACTTGGGTTGGCACCCACCATGCTACCTTACTGATTTCACAGTGGTGACAAGGGATGACATTCTTTCTTATAGGCTTTAATTGACAATGCAGATTTAGTCATTGCCTTTATTTAGAGCTCTTAAAAGAGTTATCAGAAAAGAAGGAGATAACTTGATTGCCGTTAATTGATGGTCTGTCCAAAGATAATTTAACAGTGGGATAACTTTCTTTACCTAATCTAAATTAAGAAACTTATTACACCTTTCCCTTTAATGAGAAGTTTTGTCAATACTTTGAGGCCTAACAGAATGACCTTTAGGAAAGAGGTAGTGTTAGGTGCTGCCAGTTGGCTTTATGAAGATGAAGAAATAAAATTTTCTTTAATAGTATACATAGTCCCAAAATATTACTGTGTCGTCTCTCTCTTTCTCTCTCTCATTTATCTTTTCTCTTTTAAATTTAGCTTATTCATAGATCTACTATTTTGTTTGGCATGGATTGTAGATAGAGCCACTGGAATATTTGTCAAGGATCTTGTTCTGTTCATAGTAGTCAATAAATGTTTATTCAAGTAACATTGATATGATTACTTATTGCTGCTGATGCCATATCTGTTCTGTGACCTAAATAAAAATTCAAGTCTTTGCTGATAATTTGGCACCGTTGAAATGCATTACATTGACTTGAAAGGAGAACAAAAATGGACCAATAAGAAGCAAGCTATATAAAATGTAATAACTCTGAATTTAAATAGAAACAAAATAACATCATGCCAAGCAGGTATTTTTGTCCCTCAGCTTAATTCGTAACAGGCATTTCTGTTCATATTTGGATATTTTTGCTAACTAGCATATTTGAAGGTTGCTGTAAGGTTGTGATCATGTGAAAATCTGAAAGGATGTATAAAACAAAAGTAACAAGGTGGCAGTGACGGGGCGAAGGAACATCACAATTCTGTGAGAGTAGAATGATAAATTATCTGAGTGGATGGTTCTAGGGGGCTCAATTTTATGGATACCTGTTTCCCCTCTAGCACAGAGCTCTCATTGTCTTACAACAGAACTCTGATCTTGAAGAGAAAATTGTAGTCAGTAGGATTGAGTCTATTCTTATGCCCTGTCTTGGCAATAATTTTAAAGGACATATGTCTTTCAAATAATACTCTTGGTTTTGATGGTGGCAACAAGAGGTCAGTAAATTTATTAATGATAGAAGGAAGAGATAGAAATATATGAAGGTGAAAATCCCAAATCACGGCAATAAACTCCTTTTCTCGCAAAGCTGGATATAAAAGGAATACCATTAGAGAAGCTTAAATCAGACACCCTCAGAACCGCACAAAGTTTCAGTTTGTGTAGTTTTTTTGCTATTTTCTTTTTAATTTAAAGGTAGAATCTTTGATAGCCTATAAGAAAATATTTACCGATTTAAAGTTTCCACCCACAATCCAGTCCAATTGAAGGAGCCATTTGTAGAGGCATGTTTATCTTGTGCTTTTGGCCTTCCATATCCTTGGGGTGACTCATGACTTCTGAGAATCAATGAAATTTTATTGACTCTGTACGCCACCTGCTTCCCCTGATGGCTTGCCCAGCACCTTATGCATACTTGGGCCATGCACTGACTATGCTTATTTGAATTGCTGTGCTTAGAGATAAGTCATTCCACAGCATTGTGAATTCCTTAAGGGTAAAGCCCATTTCTTATTCAGCACTGTATCCCCAGCAAGTAGCAGAGTGCTGGCTCCAAAGGGAGCTCAATAAATGTTTTCTAAATAAATGAGTGATTTAAGACAGTTGAAATTTTAAGTTGAGGGTGGAATGTGGTACGTTGTCTCATCTCTTTTAATTAGTCATGGAATATCTGTGGTAAATTTTCAATATAAATTTTCAGAAATATGTTCAACTGGGGGACAAGACAAAGAAAAATGAGGAGATGAGGCTGAGAGTGAAACGTAAGAGGCAGTGTTGGAAGAAAAGGAGGTGTGTTGAGGTTAGCATCTATTAATTCAGACATTTATTCTTGATTAATATGCACCACCAGATATTCTGGATTTGGAAATTTTCTTAGTGAAGGACATTTACGCAGTAGAAATAGAGTGTTGAGCAAGACAGTTATCAAAGATTGTTATTTGATAGGGGAAGATAAATTGTTAACTTCTTGCCAGTACGTAAATAAGCAAGGAAATTAGATACTGATACATGCTATGAAGAGGGTAAGAGTGGGTGAAGAGGCAGAGAGGCTAATGTGCCTGAGAAGTGCTCTCCCAAGAGGCAACATTTAATTTGAAGCTGAAAGATGAGAAGGAAGCAGTCATAGGAAGATAGAGAGAAGAAGTTTTTGAAACAGGAGAAAGAGCAAATGAAAATGTCTAATATGAGAAGAAGTTTCATATGTTCAAAAGACAGGGAAAAAATGCCACTGTGGATGAATTTGTCAAACAAGGCATAGAGTGGGTGGAGATTAATTGAAAAGGAAGAAAGAAAATAGATCTTAGGAAATTTCACAGGTAGGGCTACTATTCACTGGTATGTATTTAGGGTGCTGGTGGTTAAAACATTGAAATATTTCTACACTGCTTGATAATAAGCATTAAACCTCCAAAGAGACATTCCAGTTCCCCAGCTTCCTGTGGTGTCAAATGAGGCCCTTGAGTCTCTATCAAGGCTACACTTCTCTCTCTACCCAATTTTGCTTCCTCATCTCCCTTACTGATGATCTTAAGGTCACTTCCTAATAATCTTCCTGAGCAATAAACTCTCTCAGAGTCTGTTTTCTGGTGAAACCAAAGCACAGCATGCATTAAATGGCATCAATGATAAAATTATCATTTTGTCCAGACACTGAAATTATTTCCTTAGGAAATAATTAGTGCCTTATATAAATAAACCAGATTAAACATTTTTTTCTAAACCAAATCAGAATAAAGAATGTTTTAATAGTTTTATTTTAATATCGTTTCTATTTGGTGAATATATAGAGAAATTCATGTAAAGTGAAAACTTTATGCCAAGACAAAATCATTTTTGAAAGAATTAAATTTGTGAGTTTAAAGATATCTACTATGAAATATATAGAGCTTATGTATTTCACTTCTGACTCAAATATTTTAATATTTTATATACAAAGAAAGATAACATGATATTAAACAATAGAAAAAGTGAGCCAATTTTTACATAAATTCAAAAATAGCATTCAGTTTATATTGTGGGGCAAATATATTTATTTCTTCAGTTCAAATCTTTACTAAATTGCATCTTAATAGCTGTAGCAAAACAGCCCATATGGTAGTAACTGCATAATATATTTATAAAGTGGCAATTTTCCACATACAGGATGTGTCAATTTTCTAAGAACAGAGAAGTTTCTTAATTACTGTGGTTGTTCCTTATCGCTACTTCAGACATTTCCTTCTTAATTCAAATCTACTGGGACATAGTTTATCCATGCAAGACAGCAACTCTAAGTTTCAACATATATTTGCATATGTAAAGTGGAACTCATGTTTGCACAGTGCTTTCTACATTTAGCCTAGCAGTCTCATGGAAATCCATTCATAAAGAAAATTTTTCAAGTGTATGTACAGAAATTGCAGGTGCAGGGACAGTCTTTTTCCCCAGCAAAGGTTACTGTATTTTAAAAATATCCATTCAAAATAAAGCATATGCCAAGGCTTTACTATGCTTCAATGTGTAAATAGAATTGTCCCTCTTAGGATTTGTTGTATTTATGTATGTTCGTTCGTTCTTTTCTTTCTTTCTTTCTTTCTTTCTTTCTTTCTTTCTTTCTTTCTTTCTTTCTTTCTTTCTTTCTCTTTCTTTCTTTCTTTCTCTCTCTCTTTCTTTCTTTCTTTCTTTCTTTTTTCTCTCTCTCTCTCTTACTCTCTCTTTCTTTCTTTCTTTCTTGACAGGGTTTTTGCTCTGTTGCCAGGCTGGAGTGCAGTGGCGTGATCTCGGCTCACTGCAACATCTGCCTCCCGGGTTCAAGCAATTCTCCTGTCTCAGCCTCTCGAGTAGCTGGGATTACGTGCATGTGCCACCACACCCAGATAATTTTTGTATTTTTTTGTAGAGACAAGATTTCACCATGTTGGCAAGTTGGTCTCAAACTCCTGGCTTCAAGCAATCCACCAGCCTCGGCCCCCGCAAAGTGCTGGGATTATAGGCGTGAGCCACCATGCCCGGCTGTATATGTGTGTGTGTGTATATATATATAGATATATATGTACACATATATATACACACACATATATACACATACACACACACACATATTTCTTTGATAACTTATATAACATATATTTATTTTATAACTAGGGAAAAACTTGCCAGTGAGCTTGTGCTTGCTCAGATGGATCATGTAGACTCTGTATGTTCTGAACTCTTTTTTCTGGTTTCAAATTTAGAAGTATAATGTTAATGAAAGAAAAGGGATCAGGATATCAATAATCTGAATACAGACAGACAGAAATAGAAGATATGGAATATGTGAGCACTATGAGTGTGAAAGGATTATCTAGTCTAGATCTCTGCAAATCAAATACCTCTAGACTTCAGATAGGTTACTGCCCAGGTGTTGGAAAATAAGTAATGGTCATACTAGACAGAGCCAGTCCCTTCTAAAGGCAATCAAAAGAAAGATTTTTTAAAAAAAGGAGCAATTCTGCAAGTCTTAGTCAGTGGGCCACCACTGAGGACCCCCGCTCATCTATCCAACCTTTTATTTTTCACTGATGTGAACCCGGAGTGCAGTGATTAGCCAGCTTGCCATACTAACACTTTGTATTTTCACAGTGAAGCTGATGGGAAGGAGCTAGAGATGGAGCTGAAGTCTCCTGACAACTAGGGTGGAGCTCTTTCTCTCAGAAGTTGATACACTGGGAATACAGTAAAGATTTCTCTCTTCAACTGGACACTCCCAAATTCCATTAAATCTTTAACAGTTATTTTCAAATGCAACTAACATGTACTAGATTCACTACCATTTAATCCTCTTAGAATTGCTCTTTCCTAAATTACCCAGATTGTGAGGCAACTATGATACACAATGTCAGAAAAAAATTCTGTGTATTTATTTCACCTATGAAAAATAATTTCTGTTGGATCAATTCTGTTAATTTTCCCTGTGTTGGTATTTTTAGTTTCTAAGTCAGGCATGCTGATGCACAAGAAAAGAAAGCAATTTACAACTCTGCAAAGAAATACAGCCTCTTCCACTTCATTTATGTTTCATCTTGATTATCAACACATTTGTCATCCCCCTGTAATTTATTCATTATTTTTACCAGAGGAATATGAAGGGAAAAAAAGAAGATGAGTGCACTTGTCAAAATGTGAAACAGATGCTCTAACAATGATTGGAGACAATTAATGTTCGCTGGAAGAAGCAACAGGCTGGGTTTGTGTTTAGCTTCAGATTTTTACAGCAAACAGACTTGGGGAAAATGCAAATGTGAAATAAGGTTTTTATTTTCCAAGCAAAGAAAAACACTATTCTCTGATTACACTGTTGTGCATTTCTGTTATGATTTGACAGTTTAGATCTTTCAGCTAAATCATTAAGAACAATGGGAGCACAATATGAATTTTGAAGTGTGATTCAATAACACTTCCCTCTGAATCACCTGAAAATGTCTTAGGATGTTACATGGCTGTAAGGTAGTGGACCACCAAGCAGAATGAAGATAAATGTTTATGTCTGATCACACCTTAATTCCAACTGGGCACAAAAAAGTAAGAGCGCCTCCACCCATCTCTGCAATATATCCATTTGCTCTTTTTGTAATTGAAGTGAAGATCTTTCAGATTCATCACCTTCTAGACCTCTACAATCTGTTCCTCCTTCCTACCTAGGTACCTACTCCTAAGATTCTACTCTAGACCTTGAATCACTAAAGTCTCATTCCCTGACTATCAACTCCTATTCTTATGTGTCCTGATATGGTTTGGCTATGTCCCCACCCAAATCTCATCATGAATTGTAGTTCCCATCATCCTCATGTGTTGTGGGAGGGAGCTGGTGGGAGGTAATTTAATCATAGGTGCAGTTACCCTCATGCTGTTCTTGTGATAGTGATTCATTCTCATGAGATCTGATGGTTTTATAAGGGGCTTTCCTCCTTTTGCTTGGCACTTCTTGCTTCCACCATGTGAAGAACGACGTGTTTACTTCTCCATCTGCCATGATTGTACATTTCCTGAGGCCTCCTTAACCATGCAGAACTGTGAGTCAATTAAACCTCTTTCCTTTATTAATTACCCAGTCTCTGGTATGTCTTTATTAGCAGCATGAGAATGGACTAATACAGCTCCCTTACTTATCCTAGTCACTCACTCCAGCACTCTCAGTCTAACAATTTTCCAACCACATTGAATTCATTATTTCTATAACAAATATTCAATGATCTCCTGCCTTCAAACTCTTATGAGGATCAAACCACCCCATACCCAGTGTTAGACTCACTTCAGAGTTATGATCACAAATACCAAATGTGCCCTCAACAACCTATATGAGACTTTAGAGTAGATTAGGCTGTCAGAAAATTAAATGCCAAGCACACAATGGTTTGACTGATGTTTACCCTCATTGATATAACGGGCCAAAGAGGATGTTCTGGTCAGGACATGAGATGACTCTTCTCAACTGGCGATCCAGGGGCAAAAACTCTCTCCATCACCTGTCTTTGGCATTAACAGGGGATTAATGATTGTCTGCACCCAGCTGGAAGAAAGAAAATAAGGGGGCATAAAGAGGACTCCGCTGTTTCTCAGATGTTTTGTTTGAAAATGATACATGTTTTTCTGCTCACTTGCAATTAGATAGAGCTCAGTTCATGCCCACCATCTTTTGAAAGGCAATCTGGAAAGTGAAGTCTAGTTCTGAGGCCAGGAAAAAGAGGTGTGCAAAGTATGGTTAAAGTTTACACAAATTTGTTGACAGCAATATTGGAGAAAATCAACTAACTGGGAAACAAAAATACACTCCAGGTAATTTGAATTTGAAGTGAGGGTCTTGCTATAATAAATTCAATTTTTTCAAAAGATCTTTTTTTTTTTTGAAAAAAGCCATTTATTTATTTCTTCATGAATAAATGCAATGTTTAGAACATAAACATATCCTTATTTTATTTTCAGAATAAATTTCTAGAGAACTGGCAACATGCTCAATTGTGATTATTCAAGACTGCAGACATATAAGGTGAAAAAAACCTTCAGTAAATCTATATTGGCTGAAGGCCACATCTTGGAAGTAATTGGAAGCGTTTATTTAAAAGATTCCCTCATATAATCTTCTTTTTCTTTCTCTTACTCTTTAATGTAGTAGTTTAATTTTATGGAGATCTATTTGCATTTTTCTTTATAAGGAAAAAAAGCATTTGTTATAATGTTGACTATAAAAGTAAGACATACCTATAATAGAAAACATGAAAAATATAAAAGAGCATAAAAATGAATCAATTTAACCTCTCCACCTGGGCATGAGTTTTAAACAGTTTTATTTCCTACTATCATAAGCTGAAGTATATTATTTCTTGTGTGTCCACAGTTTTATCTTGTTGACTGTTATGTCTCCAAACACTAGCACAGTTCCAGGTACACAGTAGAAACTCAAAAATAGATTTTGAATTTTAAAAATAGAATTCCTTTCCTTGTTTCCTTCTGCACAGTTTTTAGATAGTTGAGATTGTTCTGTATTAATGAAATAATGCCTACTCAATATATTTTGCTTAACTATTTCATACATGATAAAAAGTTTTTTGTTTGTTTGTTTGTTTTGTGTTTGTTGAGACGGAGTTTCACTCTGTTGTCAGGCTGGAGTGCAGTGGCGCAATCTTGGCTCACTGCAACCTCTGCCTCCCGGGTTCAAGCGATTCTCCTGCCTCAGCCTCCTGAGTAGCTGGGACTACAGGCGCGTGCCACCACACCTAGCTAATTTTTGTATTTTTAGTAGAGACGGGGTTTCATCAAGTTGGCCAGGATGGTCTCCATCTCTTGACCTCGTGATCCGCTCCTGCCTCGACCTCCCAAAGTGCTGGGATTACAGAGTGAGCCACTGTGCCCGGCCGTTAAAAAGTTTCTATAAACACCATGTTCAATATCTGCACATAATAATCTCATATGGACATATCAGATATTATCCAGTTAGGCCCTATTTTTAATTATTTAGATGGATTCTAAAAGTTTGCTTCAAGTATTAATAATTTGGTTTTAAAATATTTTAGATGGAGTCTACTGTTTACTTGCCTAAATCTATTGACACAGCTGCACAAAGCCTCCCTATACACCGCCCCCTGCCCTTTACTTCTACATAATGGAGTTGTAATTGATTGGTAAGTCAGTGACTATGATTTCTAGCCTGTCCTTCCAGCTAGATGTGCCCAGGTGACTAGGTTCCTACCAACAAATTTAACTGAAGGTCTCACATACTTCTTTCAGGACAAACCTCATATTCACAAGATATAAGTAACCTGGGTCCCTAAATCTTGAAATGGAGCATTCACCTCTGATGATTACATGAAAGAGAATTCCTTGTTCCTGAACCAACATTACTTTTGGTTTTCCTGTAACAATAGCTAGGGTTTTTGCTAGTAACTCGTACAGCCACACACTCCATCAATGAATATGTTTTCAGCCTGCGCTAGAGACTGAACCATCTGTTGTGATCGTGATCCACAAGTGTTCTTGTCTAAAGCAGAAAACTATGTTTTTAAGAACCACTTTTCCCGTGTGCTTTCAAATCAGAGTTTACAAATGAATGAATAATAGACTGGAGGTTGATTTCCACTTGGAAATCTATCGCGTAAAAGTCAGTCTGACCACCTGCTTTGTTGGATTCAGGAATACTCTTGAAATGTGATTCTTAAATTTTGATGTGAATCAGAATTACCTGGAGGGCTTGCTGAATCAGATTGTTGAGTCCAGCCCCAGAGTTTGTGGTTCGGTAGATGTGGGGTAGGGTCAAATGCATGCATTTTTAAAAATAAGTACACATTGTAGAGTAGTTTAAGGTTTATAGCAAAATTCAGGAGAAGGTACAAATTTTCCATATACTGCCTGCCCCCACGATAACATGCATCAGTATGCTCCCAGACAATGCTGATAGTGCTGCTCTTGACGTTACACTTTGAGAACCACTATTCTTGAGGCGGCAGAGCTCAATTCTTCTGGAATGACAAAAAAAAAGGTGGGGGGGGGGCAATAAATTAAAACAAAAAATACCTTCTCCAGTTCATTTCTTTGAGTAAGTTTTAAAGTAACTTTATAAAAGTCAGCATTTTCTCCATACAACAATAATTATTCAAGCTATTTTACTTGTCTTCCTATCTCTAAATAGGTGTAAATACTTTTAACATGTAGTCTTATGGCTGCCTTTTTTTTTTCTACGCCGAGGGAGCTCTACTGAACATGTGAAGAAACTAACACTCCAGAAGTCAAATGATCCACATACCTATTGGATCATTGGTCTGTGACAGAGAATGCTTTTTTCCCTTACTAGCTCATTCCAATCATCAGATGGTTAGCTTATCGCTGATGCTTAACAGTTTTCAATGATTCACTTGTCATTAGGGCTATTAATCTTCATGGTTTAACAGAGAATTATAGACATCAAAAATTGGGAGAAAAATCTGACCACTGAAACCCACAGCACAACACTTTTCACTCCTTTATTTTGACCATTTCATTGGCATATAGGACAGAACTGCCTACTTCAGTGTGTGGGAAGGTAATGTTTAAAGATACCTATCTCAGGCCTACGAAGCATTCACCTAAAAGAGCAGATGCCTGGCAGGTAGGATGCAAGAAAAGATCCTTGATGAGTTTATTGGAAGGCTTCTTACAAACCCTTTTCAATCATGTCACTTACCCATACGTTTCTTCATAGCAAACATACAACATAAATGCTATTATTTCCATTTTACCAATGGAAAACTGAAGCACAGAGGTCAAGGAACTTGTCCAAGACCACACAGCTAGTCACTGCTAAGTCCAAGGTCAAATCAAGACAATCTGACTACTATGTCACCCACCCTGTCCTCTGGATGGAAGTATGGTTTTTCTGTCATCATTCTGCAAAATCAGGATTTGGTGTTGAAGAGGGTATCTTCACCATCAATCATTCCAGCTGCCTCTACACTGACTAGTAGCATCCATAACATATTTTAATGCCAGAAAACAAATAGTAGTGCTAATTTCAGTTCAATTTTCATTCTCTGCAGAAAGTGTATCATAAATGATTATTGGTATATAAAAATACATGCTCCAGAAGATACAGAGATAGATACTTGTAAAAGTGAACTAAAAATTTTTGCACTTTCTGAACAAAGCCCACCTCTTTTAGGTTGTAACCTTGCCAAGAAAATGATTGTCCTTTACAATATTATGTATAGTTATATGCTTTATATTTATGGAAATCTGATGTGTGACACAGAACGCATAGTGTTGGTAACTGTGAAACTTTTTTCTTGGGCAAATATCCTCAGAGAAGTGAATCATGATTTTTAATTAAGAAACTTCAATTGCATAAGTCCTACTTTCTGAATATTCAAGGTCTTTAATTTTAATGCAATACCACTTTATATAGCTGCCCTAGAAGCGAGGCAAACTCACAGCGATTCTGTATCTCCAGGTCTTAAGAGAATTACCAAAGGTCACTATTATGACCAAGACTGAAAACCTTCATAGCTTTGCTTTTAAAAAATTTAAACAGTTCACAGTAGCAGTAATAGCTATTGGCATTTGATACCTTCCCTGGAGGTATCAAAAGACTGTCTGAGTATAATGGCCTAAGGCAAAACAGCTGAACCAGGTATCTATGAGACCAGCTTCAATGATCCAGAAAACTATGTTTAGGTTGTTGTAATGACCAATCTCATTCAGAGAGGTACCCTAACAGGACACCACACATATTACCATGTTATATTTAAATACACATAACTACATAACTATCATAACTAAAATACTTAATTCAAAAATAATAAAAGATGATTGTATCATATATTTGGTGTGAAATTATTTGAGTATTTCGGAAGTTTAGGTATGCTAGCATTTAAATTACATCATTGTTAAAGTTTGGGTTGATTCATTATTCAAATATCTTAACACTCCATCTTAATAGGAAGAATGACCCCCTAACATTATGTTTTATTAGGCAAGCACTTGATGCTGTCCCATCACAAGTTTCTTGCAACTTGGAGCCAGACATCTGGGGTTTGGAATCTCTGTATTGCCACCTATTAGCTCTCAGGCTTTGGGCAAAATGACTTACATCTCCTGAGTTAGTCATGTCTTATGGATAAGATATTCACAGAGTGGGATGAGATAAGAAAGAAACCACTCATAGCATAGTATCTAATATAAGCTAAGTATAATATAAATTTATCCGTGCTTATTACAACATGGCTGGTCTTTTTACGTTAATGTATGTATGGCTACCTTAGGAGGATTTGGAAAAATGCTACTGATAAATATGTCTTTCTCACTGAGAAGTTGTTTATGCAAAACAATTTCTTTGGATAGAGAGAATTAGCAGGTAGACGCAATTAGGGATATGAAATTTCAGCTGATATCAGTTTTGCATGTCTTTAAGGTAAATTTCTTTGAAGAATTTATCTTTTCTTTTTCTTTAGGTGAATTCCTTTATTATGTAGCTTCTGATAGAAGAATGAGCTCAGAACAAATTTCATTAAAAGGGCAGAAAGGTTTTGAGACTGTTTATACGATGAGGGCAAATGTTTAACAAGGAATTTGGCACATAATTAACTGTATCCCTTTTGCTTTAATCATTTATCCAATATATAATTTTTGAGCAAATATTATGTGCCAGCCAAATAAGCAAAGAACTAAGATAAAACTAATACACATTACAGTTAATGCCTTTCTTCAAGAAGTTTACATTCGATTCTAAAACTTCTTCCAGTTAAATGTGATACACTAAATTTCACTAAAGCTATAAATTATAAATTTGTGTTATAATTGTGAGGCAGTTTTAACAGGCTTGTTATAAAAATTAATGCTTTTATTTTTTCATAAATGTTCATTATTCCTTACACTTTGTCACTAAGTAGTGTTTACAATTCCCCATTTTATAAAAATAAATGTATTGATATGGGTTGGCTGTGTTCCCACTCAAATGTCATCTTGAGTTGTAGCTTCCATAATCCCCACGTGTCATGGGAGGGACCAGGTGGAGATAATTGAGTCACGGGGGCAGTTTTCCCCATCTTTTTCTCATGATGGTGAGTGAGTTCTCCTGAGACCTGATGGTTTTATAAGGGAATTTTCCCCCTTTTGCTTGGCACTTCTCCTTGCTGCTGCCATGTGAAGAAGGATGTGTTTGGTTCCCATTAACCTTCTGCCGTAATTATAAGTTTCCTGAGGCCTCCCTAGACACGCTAAACTGTGTCAATTAAAGAAAAGCTCTTTTCTTTATAAATTACCCAGTCTTGGGTATGGCTTTATTAGCAGCATGAGAACAGACTAATACAGGTATTATATCTTCATAGCAAATATTTAAAACGCATGTTATAATCTCAGTTTTACAGATGGGAAACTGAGACACAGAGAGGTTAAGTAACTTGTCCAAAATTACATGGCTAGACATTGCTAGGGCTAAGCTCGAATCAAGACAGTCTGACTCCAGATCTGAACAACTGAAATTTTAAGGCAATATTACTCCTGATTCATGTGGGAACTAAAAATATTGGCCTCAGAAGGATCAAAATGTGTTCAGTGTCACTAGGAATCTCACCTTTATTCCTAGGCTCCTCTCTTTTGTGTTGCCTGAATATATTTATTATTCATATACACAGTGTCATTGACTAATATTGTTCTCTGCATTTCCATTTTGTTTCCTCCAAAAAACCTCCACTGAAAGATATGAGACTTGCTTGAGTGCTAATATCCCTGTCACTTTAAATATTATTTTTTGATATCTGTTTTTTATAATTTGATCTGAACTTTTCTTGTTTTCTTCTCTTTTTTGCAGTTCAAATGCAATTTATTTTTTATTGCATTATATAAAGAGTAAGTCTGATATGGTGTTATCATAATAGCTAGTACATAAGTTGTTTTTTAAAAAAAAATACTTAGCTTGTACTGGCACTGGAATAAATGCCTGACATGTATTATCTTATTTAATTCTCATAATAATTCAGTAAGTTTGGCACTGCTTTTATCATCATTTCATAGGGTATAAAATGGAGGCTTATAAAAAACAAAAAAGTAGGTCAAAGCATTTTATAAAGCGGTTGGCTTTTAAAATGCAAAATAAACATGTCAGGATTTAAGTACAAGATTAGGAGAGGCCAAGTGCCAAACTCTAAAGCACTGGTGGTATTTGAAGAATAAAGACTTGGATTTCTGTTTGGGTTCCAGCTGAACAGTGTGTACTCAAATGAATTACTTGGGTTCTTTGACTTTAGTTAGCTATCTTTAGTTTAAAATGCACAGCATTGCTTCATTGATTGTACATTTATTTATAGTGCCTACTATGTGCCAAAACCTGAATAGAAGATGCAAGGATGAATAAAATACCTTTCATCAATGACCTTAGAAGGCATGGTAATATAATATTTATATTATAGAGGCATGCAATGATTGAACAAATCAAAAGACAAGACAAATCAAAAGACAAGTGATATGGAGACACACATTGCTATTGTGTAGTTGAAGACTGCGGGTGGTAAAAAGAAGTGTGTACATGGGGTTTCCTTCTTAGATAGAGCTTTTGTGTTTCTGTTTTACAAATCTGTGGCAGAAATCCATGCCAAGGAGAATATTCTGAGTCATGCAGAAGGTCAATTTTAGAAATGCTTTTATTCATGGACACCTTCACGAAGAAATTGTTATATTTTCCAACTGAATTCCAGAGAGAATGTGACAAGATAGGTGGAAATGTATTCCAAACTGCATGCATTTTATCTTGAGTTTGCTAGTCACATGTTTAATATCATAGGCTATACAAGTAACTAGGATTCCTAAATAAGAGACTTAAATATTTTGATAATTTCTACAGTATTAGTAAAAGTAAATAATTATCCATGCATTAAGGTAATTATCAACAGTGTTTGGAGACATGTTAGTAACTGAGGACCACTCACTAGATATTATAGCATCATTAACAAAGAGTACTAAACATTTGACAAAATAAAGTTATTTATATCATCTCTTCAGAGGTTTGAAACTACTATTTTAAGATGTGCTGCAGAGAAATCTAAATAATTTATTTGAATGACTGATGAAATGAAATGCATTCTATTTAGACTGGTATTAATATAAATACAGGATTCCTCCAGAAACACTTCACATAATTACATCATTTATAATGTTAAATTTAGACAATTTTGACACATACTAGTTCTAAGTTGGTATTTCAAAACAGTTCTCAAAATTAATACTTCCCTACATTAAGATGAGGCTCCACTACATGAGAATTACAAAATAAGAGAGAAAGGATTGCAACAAATTAAAAAAATAGTCATTGCTTTGATTTTTAAAAGGAATGAAAGCAGAATACAATCACGTTTTCCTCTGTGATCTGGCTTGTTTTGTTTTGTTTGGTAGCTGATTCTACTTCCTGCCATGTACTTCATTTTAACCTTTGGACTTTCTTCCCTCTGAGTTCATTATTTAATTACAGGACATGCAATCCTTTGGGCTTCATCCCCAGCCTCTGCAGTTCCCTCCTCACTTGACCTCCCTAGAAGCCTCAAAGCTCCACTCTCTAATCTTGTTCTCAGGTTGGAGGGATTATTGACAGATGCCCAACTCCCTTGGGTTAAGCGTCTCTTCACTTATGTTACCAGTGTAACCCTGCCTGCTACCATATTCTTTCTGATCTCTCTGTTTCTGTGTCCTATCACATTGAGTTAATTTTTCTATTATTTTCTATGGGCCTAGGTCCTTCATTTTAAGTGGTCTTAAGCAAGGCAATGTTTCTCAAACTTCATTTATTTTTGTATCTTTGTCATGATTTTCGCTATTCAAGTTCCACTTGTATTGCTGTTTACATAGTACACTATTTTTAAATTAATTAGTATTTTTTTTTACTTAATTTTGCACTCTAATTTCTTTGAAAATAAAACTCAATATCTAAGGTATATGAAAAAAAACCCTTACCTTGCAAAAAAAGCAACTACAATTTAAACTCCATGAAGACAAAAATCACGTGATCAAAGTCTCTTCAGATACTGTTGCATATCTCAGGACGTTTGTTTGACGAATATGGGAATTAACATGAAGTACTGAACATAGCAACAATAAACTGAAGTTCTCTCCTTTCTGCAATCAGAATGACCAAAAGAAAACAGGATCAAAGTGATACATTTAAACCACAGTGCAGAATTTCTCTAACCTCTAATTTCTAACATAATTTTAAAAATAAGCAATACATATTAAACATAATAACCACTGACAACTCAGTGAGGAAAGGAGCATGATTTAATGCAATCAGCTTCCCAAACTGATGATGCAGGGATGGGAGCAGAAGAGTCTGGAACAGAATAAAGGGGTACAAAAGAGCTTAGCTCCTTACCCCAACTGTGCTCCCCAAGAACCATAGTGACAAGATGACATTACTATTTCCTGGTATGAATATAAATGAAAAAACATAGATATTAAAAGAATTGTTCCATTTAATACCTAAAAGGCTCCTGGTTTATGACTATGTATTATATAATTTTGTGTAGAGTTTTCTCAGTTAGCTTTTCAGCATTTCTTTCTTTTGCTGTGATACTGCATAAAACACAAAATATAAAAATTATTAAGGTGAGTCCTGCTCGTAAGGAAGGTTATGTACCAACCATCTCTATGATTAATTGAAAAGTCTTTATGCTACAAAATGCTTGCCTATGTGGTCTCTGAGGTTCATTTTAATTTATATACCCTAAACTATATTCAGTTTCAGTTACAAAATCCTTTAATAAAAAGAGCTGCCAAAACTTTTCACGATTAAAAAGGAAGTCCTTCTAAGCTGAAATTTTACAAAGCACATCTTATAGGTGATGATATATTAAATAAAAGGTTACTTTAATAATAATTTTTTTGCCAGCATACCTTCAATGCCATATAAATGTTTCCTATTCAATTACCTGCTCACATTTTTCATCTTCACTGATTTTGCAATGATCAGAATATTTCTCTTAAACCCCACTACATTAATCCATCAAAGTGCTTTTTTCATTAGGTGATGAAATTTCCCACCCAGAATATTGCCACGGAGGATGATGACATTTCCTATTGTTTCCACTTTACACTGTTATTTGTGAGGATATTTTTATTCTTCTAACCTCCTATTATTCAGGAAGCATAAGGGATTCATGATGCAGAAGGGAAAATTAGAAATCCACCGGAAGCAGACCCTTTGAATCTTTCAAAGGACCCTTTTCTGCTTATCCTCAGTCTCTCACAGATTTACCTAATTAATCACCTTTCTATTGATTAATTACTCACAGCATTTTGTCAGTGGAATGTTCATTTACTGCAGAGCCAAGCTCACAAAGGAAAAAAATAAATAAAACAGTCCACATTGTACACATTGTAGCAGGCATCAGAACATCAAACAAGGAAGATATCAAAAGCTCCTCTGAGGAGGATGATGGCTGAAAAACATAAACAGACTCCCTTCAAAGACTAACCTACTCAACAAGGTAGCGCCTTATACCAGATAGTGGGTAGAGAACACTCATTTCTTTGATTCAACTTTTATGCTGTTGGTTTCTTCTTTTGTTTTTAGGTTACCTTAATATTTTGATGACACACAGCTAACAGATTTGCCAGGAGCATTCTAAAGGTTTCATCAAAATATGAAATGATAAAGAATAGCTGCAATTGTTACTCTGGGTTGGTACTGAGAGCAATGACTTCTGTGTTGAACTGAGGGGAAAGAAAATCTTTATCTCCTCAAAATCATTTCCTTTCACCTCCTGGAACTCCTGCATTTGCATCATTGCCTCTTTACTATCTTACTGATATTTGCACACTTTGACATCTTGATGAAATTTGAGAGTACCAGATGTAGGGGCTAGCTTTGGCCAACCTATTATTCTGTGATAGCAAGAAGAGTGGGGAGAGTACGAGAATAGGAACACTGAAGTATTGTATCACCTGTTTTACAATTTAGCTTAGACTAGTTCTGCTGATCAAACAATTCCCTAAGTAACAGGTACTTATTGATTTGTGTATGGGAAGTAGGCTAGTTTAGAATAAAGATCTCTTCCTCTACAAAAATATGTGTTAGCTACGAGAATGCATGAATAAACCGTGATGCGCAATATGGTAAGATAGTGACTCTCTGTACAAGAAGAGGTTTTGAAAAGGGAATGTTCAACATGGACTAAAGCAGTAAGAGGCATTTTCTTGTGAAATATCAATAGTTAACAAGGTCTTAAAATGTAAGTATTGTTTTCTAGGCAGAGATTGTGTTTTGGTGGGAGGTGAAAGGGAGGGCAGAACAAGAAAGGCAAAAAGGTCCAGGAATCCAATAATGGTTACAACTGGGCAGAGCAATTCTGGCTTTCTCCAAGTTTGCTTTTAACTCCCAAGGCAGACAAATGGAAGGAGTGGAAAAAAAGTTGGGCTTCAGGCCGTTAACAAAAAGGGCTGGAAATATTGCCCAATTTTATGCATTAAATCTACATCCACTTAGTTAAATAATTAGAGGTCACTATGACTGGAAGTATGGAAATGTCGCAAAACTTCATGCTTGAGATGGGTAAATGGTGCTTTGGCATACAGGAGATTTGTTTCACTGAAGCTCAGACTCTCCTAAGACCTGGTAGGTCTAAAAAATTCCACGATATTTAATTGTTTTCTTCTGGGGCTCATTTTGTTCTTTTGAGGCTGCTTTCACTATCACAAACTTGTACCCAGTGTTGCTCAAGAAATTGAAAAGGAGGTGGATTACAAATGCTTATATTTGATATGGGGAATTAAATGTTGCACATACACAGGTACAAATCAAACCAATAGGAGAACACCAAGGTCTCATTAGAATCATGTGAAAAATGCTGAGTTTGTTATAAAACATGCATAAGTGTGTCAATGTGTAAATGTTTGATATTAGTGATTATTAACAGGGTACAGCTAAGGAGTTGTCCCCCCTCCCCATACTTCACACTGTTCAGGCCTTTAGGAAGCTTTTCCTGACCCCCAGTATAGGGTTAACCCTTACCCAAACCTCATGCCACCCTCTGGACAAACCCATAGTCCTCTCTATACATCTCCGTGAGATATCTCTTCATAGTAATATCACTGTGAAATGTTTTAATTTACTGTCTTTCTTTCAGATTAGAATAAAGCTCCATGAAAACAGAGACTCTGACTACTTTGTTTTTATTTTTAGATGGAGTTTCGCTCTTGTTGCCCAGTCTGGAGTGCAATGGCACCATCTTGGCTCACTGCAACCTCCGCCTCCTAGGTTCAAGCAATTCTCCTGCTTCAGCCTCCCGAGTAGCTGGGATTACAGGCATGCACCACCATGCCCGGCTAATTTTGTATTTTTAGTAGAGACGGGGTTTCACCATGTTGGTCAGGCTGGTCTCAAACTCCTGACCTCAGGTGATCCACTTGCATTGGCTTCCCAAAGTGCTGGGATTACAGGCGTGAGCCACTGTGCCCAGTGACAACTTTCATTTTTGTATCTAGAATAGTATTTGGCACATTATAGGTGCTCAATAAGTATTTATTGAATTAGTGATCATATGTATTTTGCAGGACCTTTCTTTTAAAAAGATTGTGGCAAAACAATGGACCCTCTCTGTAGAAACAACTTTTTTAGTGGTTATTTACCATGAAAATAACATGGAAAATAATATATAAAAGGTAAGCATAGTGTATACAGACATACTCTTCTGTTTTGAAAAAAGGAAGCTGAATGACGATAATAACAGACACAAGAGCCTGAACAGTACTGAATTATAAAAGGAAAGCTGAAAATTGGGCTCACACCTGTAATCCCAGCACTTTGGGAGGCCAAGGCAAGTGGATCACCTGAGGTCAGGAGTTAGAGAGAAAATTGGCCCTGACTCATAGTTGGGACTCAGTAAATGTGTAATGGACTTCACCGTCTCTAAATGTAAGAGTTGTAGAGCACTTTACAATTGCCACTTGGTAATACCAGTTACTCAACTGTTCTGGCCTTTAAAAAATATGACTTTAAAATATTGATATGAAACAACAAGATTTATTGCAATACCTCCCCTTATCTAGAGAACTTAGACCATCTCATCCAGAACACACATTTATGTGATGGGATGATGCCAGTTTAATTTATCACTGTTTCACCAATGGTTAAAATATTATCTGACATTGAAGGTCTCAGTAATTGCTGATCAAATTAATAAAAATATTAGTTATTTAGACTCCATACTTTGAAAAATTTGGTCTTAAAAACAACCAACTTTCCACTGGTTAAACTTACCCCATAAACGAATTGAATAGCACTCTCTACACTCCAAGCCTATATGATTTGTTTACCTTTAAAACAACATTGCTAAAATTATAAAGATAGATTTTGAGAACATCGAGGAATTAAGGAGGTAGTAAGTTTAGCTGGTTAAGTTTGACCTGAATTTTAATTGTTGACCTTGAAGCAAGTTACTTTCAAGTAAAAAATTCAATGTCTCTTTGTTTAATTAGTTTTGGGTGGCTCAATTTTTAGACTATTGTTCCTGTTTTTCTTTCCTCAGTTTTAATTGCCAATTTAAGCTCTGGACAAAATCTGAAAATTTACAACTGGAATTTTACAAGAAGGCCTCGTATTATAAAGTTTGTTGCTTGGTTTGTGAGACTTGGGTTGTGGACAGTTTGAATAAGGTTTTCATAGAAAAGCATCAGTGAAAGAAAGAAAATAAAATATATTTTAAAGTAACTTTCCTCCTTCCAATAAAACTTCTAAAAGTCAATACATATGACTTTTTCAAAAACATAAAAAAAAATGCCAGATATAGGGCTCTTCACCCAAAGATTAAAATAAGTTTTTTTTAAAACAAACAAACAAACAAACAAAAAGAACATATGGCTGAAATAAAAGTGCCTCTTGGTAGAATATGCAATGAAAGTGTAGGTTGGGTCCAGAGAAACAGTTGTGTGCAGACATCAATTCTCAGGAGACAATGAGGAGTGAAGCAAACAAGATTGAATGGCGGAAAGTTGAAAGGTGATACTGTTGAAATAGAGGACTTAGCCTCCATGAGGAATTTTAGACCTGCCATAATCCTTCAAAAGTTGTTATTTAAAACTAAGAGGCCGGGCCCTTGAACTGCTGCATCAACCAGTCATTAGATTAGTACTGTCCCTGGGAAGGGGCATAATGTTGAGTTTGGCTGAGGATAAGACCTGAAGGGGGATTCAGCTAAAAGCAATCAGCCCACACTAACATGAGCTAAGGAAATACACAGCTCAGTGTGTGCAGAGGATCTGGATAGCACCTCACAGTGTCCATGACAGAAAAATGTATATTATTGAGAAAAGATAATATCTACAGAATCCTTCTTTTGATTTTATGCAGGAAACACAAAAAGCCTATAAGAAAGAGACATGTTGTGTTATTTGGAAAAAAGAAGTTAAGAAAAAGCAGCAGAGCACATTAACAGGAAGCTGAAATAAAAGCTTCTAGAGATAAAAGACTTTGCCTGTCTGATTCACTAAGGAAAAGCATTTAAAATAGCCTGACACTTACACATGTTCAAAACTTATTGGTTGACATAATGAATGCATTAGTTATTCTTAAGTTCTTTCTGAATCAATAAAAATAATTTGCCTTTTAAAAAATATGCAGATTATTATTCTCCTGTGGTTACTTGGTTGAAACTTTTGTAGCCTCCTTTCTGTAGTGCACTGCTTATTCCGATAAGAAGAACAACCCTGATATGGTTTGGCTGTGTCTCCCCCACCAAATCTCAAATTGTAGCTCCCATAATTCCCATGTGTCATGGGAAGAACCGGGTGGGAGGTAATTGAATCATAAGGGCGGGTCTCTCCCGTGCTGTTCTCCTGATAGTGAATAAGTCTCATGAGATCTGATGGTTTTATGAAGAGGAATTCCCCCGCACATGCTTTCTCTCTTGCCTGCCACCATGTAAGACATGCCTTTCACCTTTCACCATGATTATAAGGCCTCCCCAGCCTTGTGGAAATGTGAGTCAGTTAAACCTCTTTTTCTTTATAAATTATCCAGTCTTGGGTATGTCTTATTAGCAGTGTGAAAACAGACTAACACAAACCCCATGGCAATGGAGGGGCTCAGCAGTCTTCTCAGAAGAGAAAGAAAACAATCATGCAAAGAGGTAACTGCAGGTCTTCTTCAGGATCAGGTTAACTTCACCAGAGCTGCATCAGAGTTTGGTTACAAACTCAGGCTCAATAATTTAACGGTTGTGTGACCAAAAGCAAGTTTCTCAATCTCTCCCAGTTTCTGTTTAATGACTGCACAATTGGAATGTTAATACAAACCTCACAGGCTTGTTGTAAGTTTCAGTTAAGATAATACTTGGTAAATTTTTAAAATAACTATGCTGAAGTGGGAAATGACCTTTTACCAAAAGCAGATAACCTAGGAATCAGAAAAGAAAAGTACAAATGTAATTTTTTAACTTTGAAGAGAACTTTAATTTATAAAACAAGAAGATATTTACAATATTTCAAATAAGGCTAATATTTGAAATATATTAAAGCATTTTATGAAACACTAAGAACAAAAACCAATTTAAAAAATGGAAAAAGGAGACACAGAGGTAGTTCCAAGAAAACAAAGCACAAGCAATATATAAACATTTGGAAAAAATGTTCAACATCACTCACAATTTAAAAGTAAAAATAAAAATGACAATATGATACATCTTTCCACTTTTCAAAAAGAAAACCTAAAAAGGAAATAGAAGAATTTATAATATACACTGTGTTGATGAATTTTCAACAGTTCAGGTTCATGGCTGGTGTAAGTGTAAATTAGTACGAACTCTCTGGAGAATAATTTGGAAATAGGTATTAAATTAAAAATAAACATACCTTTTGACAGTGATTTAATCTCAAGGAATGTATATTACTGATAAATTTGTGTCTGCATGACTATTTGCTACAGCATTATTTGTTATGGGAAAATGGCAAAAATAACCTGCATTAATGAGGCATTAGTCAATAACAGGTTATGTTTATACATTTAATAAATTAATTTATGTTCTAAAAACTATAAGAAAGATATTACAGGTGTTTTCATGAAAAGAAATTGTTAAATGAAAAATAAAAGCAAGTATAGAAAACTGGAAAATACATTTCTAACTAGATAAACAATTATATAAGGATATGTGTAAGTATTGTTGTGAATTGCAAAGAAGAGTTTTATCTGCAAATATTTTCCTACAGGAGAGGAGATTGAGGATACGGGATGAGAAAGGGACATATTTTTTCATTATGCACATTTAATATATTTGTATTTGTACAATATATGCAAAGATTATTGTAAAATATATAATACAGTTACTTTAAAATTTCAGAGAGCATGAACCTGGTCTGTCTCATTTATTGAGATATCCTTATTATCTGGAGCATTGGCTGCCACATAATACACGTTCAATATTATTTAATAAATCCACATATACATGTTAAATAGAGAATTTAAGATTCCCATTACATATCTCTAGCTCAGAATCTTCTCTTGAGTTCTAAATATGCATTTCAACTATACTCTGGAACTGTTACTCAAATGCCTCATAGCTTCCTTATAGTTAGCACATTCAAAACTGTGTTCCATGTCACCTCCCTTCTATAAAATTTTTTTTTCTATGCTCTATCTTAATTAATGGTACTGTAACTCCTTGATAACACGAGCTAGAATTTGATCCCTTTCACCTTATCACTAATGTTGTTCACCTTAATTTTGATCATCTTTGCTATTGCAAAAGATTCCTTTTGAGGTGGGTAATCAGCAGGACTTTTTTCTGACCACCGCTTAAGATACCACCGATGAAAACAGGATCTAGTCAAAACCAGATACGGTAAAGAAAATAGCTCAAACCAGCTGAAACCAAGATAACAAGGAAAGCAACCACTAGTTGCCTCAATGCTTATTATATGCTAATTACAAGTCTTTAGCATGCTAAAAGACACTCCCGCTAGTGCTGTGACAATTTACAAATGCCACAGCAATATAAGGTCCTGGAAGTTACCTTATATGGTTTAAAGGAGGAGGAACCCTTGGTTCCAGGAACTCCCTACCACTTTTCTAGAATATTGTGAATAACCTGCCCCTTATTTAGCAGATAATTAAGGAGTAGCTATACATAAAGCTAGCCAGCAAGCGACAGTGCTGTTCTGCCTATGGGATACACCTGCTCTACAGAGCAGCCATTTTGCCGTACTCTGTGCTCTCATAAACTTGCTTTATTTCACTGTGTCTGGCTTTTGAATTCTTTCCTAAGCAAAACCAAGAATCTTCCTGAGCTGAACCCCGATTTTGGGGTTTGCCTGCATCACTTCCATTCGTCTTTGCAATATCTATATCTATATATCTATATCTATATCTATATCTGTATCTATATCTGTGTCTATATCTGTATCTATATCTGTGTCTATATCTGTATCTATATCTATATCTATATCATCTATATATCTATCTATATAGCTAGAGGGATATTTCTGAAGTACAATTATTATCATATAACTTCCCATTTTAAAACTGTAATGACCGCCTGAAGGATAAAGCTGTAACTGTTGCCTGTGGTCTTTGTTCTAACTTAATAAAATAAATAATAAAGTCATACCTGTGGGCTTCCATACAAACACTAAACTGCTTTGATTCTACATGTGACTTGTTATTTCATGCCTCTGTGCCTTGAAACGCCCTTTTTTATGTCTTAATTGCCCTTTTTCCCTCTTTTTTCCCTGGAAAATACCCATTCATCTCTTTATGTACAGCATACATGTCACATCCCTTGAGAAGATAAGATATTCATAAGTTCTCAAAGGGACTTCTGCTACTGCATTATAAAACACTGAGGGAGATCTCTGCATGTCTCTTTCTCCACAGGACTGTCTCTCAGAGTCTTGACAAATAAAAGAACTGCTGAGCTGGAAGAAAAAAGTATGGTTTGGTCAAAGATCTCCTTGGTTTACTCCAGAATTAGAGAGCAAAATAAGTTTCCTCTTACAGCATACTTTCCGTGACAAGATGGTAATGAAACAACCATAGGCAAAAAACTCCCCATTGTGTTTAATTTCCTAATCCCTCAGAAAGCAAATTTATAATTCTCTTTGTAACTTTCTAATCTTAAATGAATTTTTGGTTAAAGTTGCTTTACATTAGCTTGCAGTAGTCTGTAGGTAGTGAGAAATAACAATTAATTCCTAAGCTCCCCCACCACCAGTTGGTTGAACAGAGCTTCTCCTGGCCAAGGGGACCTTAGAGAAACCTTGAAAACTGAATATCTTGGTCATGACCGATGGGAGGTCAGACACACCTCCTTATACACCATCCTGTGCAAACCACCATCTGCCTTTCTTCTCTAAGGGCTAAACAGAAACCAGCCCTTTCAAAAGACTCCACCACTGATATCAGCCAACTTCCTGATGTTGCCTCTTCTTTTTTATTTTTGCCACTGACCACACACAGAGTGGTTCTGGCTTGTCTACAGAGAATATGCAGTGAGGGTTTTCATATCCTTTGCTTCACCTTCTGACATCAGAAGGCCAAAAACCTCCATGCTCATATATGCCAAGGCTGCCATATATATATATATATAGCACATATATATGGCGCATATATATATACATATATGGTATACATATATGCATGCATGCATACATACATGCATACATGCATACGTACATGCATACATGCATGCATACATACATGGCATATATATGCCAAATATATATATATATATTTTAACATGGGACCCGTGGAGAGGCATGAAGCTCAATTGCACATGTACATGTTTCTCCTTCCATAAATATTCATGACTTTTCTTATAGCTTATTCAATATGTATATTTGGCCACTTTGCTCAGTATAAATTCCTGTTCCTTTTACCCTTCCCTGAAAGTGTCTGCTTCTGGCTCTTGCTGGAGGCTATGCTTCCTAGCCTGTCAAAGTGGCCACCCTGCAGGCTGCAACTACCTATGGGAAATAAAGTTCTCCTTTCCAAATTTATGAACCTTGTCATTCTTCAGTTGTCAGTAGAAATACTTATTTTCCAGTACATTTCAAGGACAGTTAAATATGAAAAGACGGTGTTCAAATCTTTGTCTCTGACCTCTGAAAATATGCTTCAAACAGTAAAAATACAATGAGCAAGTTACAACAATCACAGTTATATATTAGTTGAAGATCAGTTATCACACTGTCAAATATATGTGCAAATTTTACCTGGTTTATTTCATCTTAGAGGAGCAGAAAATGTTTCCTTATGAACAAAAATTATTTCATAATAGAACATTCATCATTTATGTAATATAACCTCTTTCAGAGCAGACAGAAAGCATTATTACAGCTGAAAGGCGACTTTTGAAAGGACTAAAACTGAAAGTCAATTTTGCCTTTTCATTTTTAAGACTTCCCCAAATCACACACAATTTCTAAACATTATTTTCCACTATTATATATACAGAGAATAAGTCATAAAACTAAAGATTTCACCTGTCATATGAATTTAACAGTCTATAAGTATTAATAATAATAAAGTTATAGCTTACTCTCTTTATGTTTTTTTGTAACAACCAACCAGTAATGCACAGCTTGACTGATTGTTGAATGAACAGAAGTGATAACTGCACAGTTTGCATAAATGTCTAAAATAAGGATCAGCAAACTGTGGTCTGTCAACCAAATCCAGCTATCTGCCTGTTTTTGTATGTCCCATGAATTAAGAGTAGTTTTCACATTTTTATTATTTAAAAAAAATCAAAATAAAAATATTTCATGGTGCATAAGAAATATATGAAATTCATGTTTCTGTGTTCCTAAGTAAGGCTTTATCAAAATATAGCTACACTTCTTCATTTACATATTGTCTATGGCTGCTTTTGCACAACAGTGGCAAAGTTGAGTATTTGTAACAAAGACCCTTTGGTCCACAAAGTCTAAAGTATTTATCTGACCCTACACCAAAGAAAGTTTGCTGACTTCAGATCTAAAGCAAAATGGATATGTGAGCATTTCTCAGTGAGAAAAAAGAATTCAGTATAGCACGTGAAAATATTTTCTTTAAGACTAGTGTAGTTTGCATGGCACTGTATCCACCAAATGACATGATTAACAACAAGTGTGCACTTTTCATAAAAAATCCTTGCTGAGTCTTAACAGCATTAACCTGACAATTAGTTTCTCACATTTTCAACCCCTAAGTTTCCTAGGAAAAGTGAGGAGGGAGAGGACATGAAATGACCTAACGTTTTATAAAATCATTTATCGGAAAAAATGCATGCATCATATTATCCAATAGTATAAAAATTCAATATATTTCAGGTGAGTATACTTTGCTTTTGGTTTATAAAAATTGCAGATTTAGCATAAAGAATGTTAAATGACAGCAACAACTTGAAATCCTTTCTTGGGGGAATGTGTAGCATATTGTGTATGAGAAACGTATACAAATCTTATAGTGTCTATAGTGACATAAGAAGATATATAAGCAAAATAAAAGAAATAGCACAAATATATAGGCATCTGAATAAACGTGAAAGCCATTACTTCTTTTGTTCTGGGATGTGACTTAAACATCTTCATCCGTCATTGAAACCTATAGACCTCCAGTGTTAATTTAAACTTGCTGACAGTTGCGTGGAAGGAATGGTGTCAAAAATACATTGATATGCTTTGCACACCCCTTAGTTAAATGCCACTCAGGGTTTCCAACACGAACCTTTTATTGACTGAGATTTCACTTCCGAGGTGAAGATTGGCAACTCACCATGCCTGTTTGTTTTTGATTGGTTATTTTTTTGGTGCAGAGTCAAATAAATGGCCAAGTCAATCAAGAGATTTGCAAATGCTTTCGAATTTTCAGGGTGCAAAAAATGCTTTCTGTTTGGAAGGACAGCAAATTTAACTTCACATTACAAGGCCCACACCTCTGTCATTAGAAGCACCATTTTTCAAAAGGCTCCTGTGTAGAAGACTGACAAAAAAAAAAAAAAAAAAAAAAAAAAAAGGAAAGTGAATCCTGGCCAACATTCTGACAACATCTTCTTCCCTTAGGGATTTAGAACAAAATTGTTGCCATTAGTTCATAATGTGAATTGATGCCACAGGATGCTTTTAGGAGAGAAAAATCTGAAAACAAGTGAGATATTATATCCATCTGAAAATGCTACAGGCAAAAGGTGTTATGATTTCTGACAAACTGTGATGTGGCTTTTAAATAAGTGACTCTCAATCTCAAATTCTAACGCCTCTTGCTATCCTATATTCTAGGTACTATAGGTATCTTGCTCCTAAAGAACATTGCTCATCATGTGGGTACCCATGGTGAGTACAAATAGATGACTCACCTTTAAATTCTAAAAATAAAGTAAGAATTTACATGTAAAAAGCATAAAAATTAAGTTTAAATTGGGCATACATTTTAGCTTTTTACCATGAACAAGTGAATGTGAAAACAATGAAGACACTAGAAAATATGTGTTTTGAATAGTATATTCAAAATTGATATGTTCAGAAAGAAAATGTGACATCGAGGCAGAAGAATAGGGTCTGGAGGCAGGGAACCTAAGGCTGATTCGTGCTGACTCTTAGAACTAAATCGAAAGGAAAACCCCAACTTTTCACACCTAAGTAACAAAAGGACCAGAAGCTACTCCCTTTGCAAACCAATCAGATGTTTTCATAGGAGTGTAACTTGTAACTTCACCTCATCCTCTGATTGGTTGCTTTCCACAACCAATCAGACTGATTGCAGGCCAAAGTCTTCGTTTGCATAGGAGTGTAACTTTGTAACTTCACTTTAGCCTCTGATTGCAAAGTGTAACTTTGTAACTTCACTTTAGTCTCTGGATGTGGAGTGCAACTTTGTAACTTCACTTTAGCCTCTGATTGCTGGCCACTACTTCAACTGCATGGGGTGTACACCAAGTGGCCAATGGGAAACCTCCAGGGCATATTTGGAACCCGGAAGATTCTGTGACCAGGGCCTTTGAGCTGCTGCACAGTCCCCCTCCCATCCTGTGAAGTGTACTTCCATTTTCAAGAAGTCTGTTTTTGTTGCTTCATTTTTTCCCTGCTTTTCTGTGTGTTTTGTCCAATTCTTTGTTGAAAATGCCAAGAGCTTGGACAACTTGCAGCCAAGACCCTCTATGGGTAACAATATTATTCAATAAGATGATTCTAATGAATTTGTTATTTTATGTAGTCATGAAAATGAACTCACAGGCCTTAAAAATATTTGATAAATGATGCTAGCTGAATCATGAAAGCCCATATTTAACTCTCTTTATTAATTGACCAGAGAAAGCAATATTCAGTTGGTGATTATAATAATAAGGAAATTCCTCTTACTAATACGATCATCAATAAATCTATTCTTAAGGTCTTACTATGTGCTTGATCCTGTTCTATAGAGATACAATTAATATCCCTAGTATATGTACTATGAATAACCCAATTTTACAGATGAGGACATGGATAGAAAATCGGAAGTGTGTCATCAAAATCCATATTGAGAAAATGGCATGGAAACGAAGAATAATGTGATTAGGCTAATCTAACATCTTGCTTAAGTTATCAATAGACACTCCTCGTGGATTTTGAGTACTCAAATGTTTAGGATTTAGTAAAAGCACTCATCCATAAAACAAGATTGATAATATATTTATGATAGGAGGCAATCCAGAAGAAAATCAATTCTCAGGTTTATTATATATATATCAGTCATTATTATACTAAATTTCCTCGGTATAACTGAGTATAGATGTTGGAACCAGAGGAGATGATAGAGTCACAACTCTTCTTATTAGCTTCAGGACATCGATTAATCTGTTTGAATCAGTTATTTCTCCATCAAATAAAGATAATGAAAACATGCACATCACAGCCTTGTGAAAACTAAAGAAGAAATGCAATTAGAATCATCTTTGTGAGATGTACAGTGCCTATTTTACAAATTATTATGGATACAAAAATATACATATTATTCTATGTAATAGAAAATATTCTACCAATAAATATGTGGTGTTATTCATGCATACATCAGTTTTTATTTCATTATTTAATATAACATTATTTCTTTTTATAGAATCAGGTCATAGAACCTGAAAAGAAAACAATTGTTTTAGTCTTACTGTTAGTTATTGAAGGCCAGTTAATTAGCACTACTTGAATGCATCCTGTATTTGTTTTTTCAAGTTTTATTACAAACTCCTTTTGTTGCTTTTTAAATTTCAGAGACTACTTTTGTAAGTTTTAATAGGAGTTTTAAATACAATGTGATCAATATAAATGCATATTTTCTGAACAACTAGAACGTTTGTAAATATCAGTGGTTTACCCAGTGAAAAACTAATACTATTAAGGCCATAAATGGAAGCTAGGTGTCTTTTATTAGCCAGATGCTGTAACTGAGATTTGGTTGGAATCCTTGCTAGTAGCTGGTGTTACTCCTTGCATATAATCCTCACTTTTTGTTTTTTACATGATCATGCCTTGTTATAAGCGTGAGGTTGGCCATCTATGACATGTTCATCGAAAGCAAATTAATTTTTGTTGGCCCTTCACTGCCAGTTCAGTTAACAGCACAAACATATACTATATAGAAAGAATACTTAGCATTACCCAGCCACAGATAAAATGTTTGCTTATGCACAAAAGTTCTAAGTTATCACATTCAAGAAGCAGAGTGAGAAGACGAAGTAAAGGAGGAAAGAAAAGTGATTTTTCCCCCATGTACTTGGCTATCTGGATGCCTGTTTTCCTTATATTTCTATTTATTCCTTATATTTCTATTTATTCCATTATTCTATTTATTGGACCCAACGGCTCTCTTATAACCAATGTATCTTGCTAATAAGTTTGATAATAACAACTTTGGTGAAACGTGAGAGAGAGCGCACAAATTAAAAAAAATTAAAAATATGTCATTTGATAGACTAAAGACTTATCCACTCGTATGTAGAAAAGGACTGATGGTAGCTACTGCTTAGAGTGAAGAATGGGACATAGTTTGAGAGAGAACTCTAAAGTTGTGTTCTTGCCTCTCTTTCACATTGCCTTGGGAATGATCATTTCCTACCCCCAAATCCAAAATAACTTGCAGTGCTGATTATCTTGATCAAGAGAAACTAACTACAAGTAAATGATAGGCAGCTACTTAATTTAGATCATTGAATAGGAAAAAAGATGAGCCAAATTTTCACTTAAATATAAGGGCATAATAACATTTCACAGAAATTTTGCAAACAAACCCATTTTGAAAACATCTCTGGAAGAAGATTTAAATTAACAAAAATGAATTCAGGAGGCCTATACCAAGATATACGAAAGAAAAAATCATGACATAACTTAAGAAAGTTTATTGTTGTTTGAAAAATCAAGGGTAAAATGAAAGAAAAACAATATAACCATGAAAACATTTAGAACTAAGTCTTTAGGTAGTATGAACCCTTAGGTTGGCATAGGAGAGCAGGAATAAAGAAATATAAGGTACTAGCTGAATTAGGGGAGAACATAGTACTGATAAATCTAAGAAGGTAGAGTAATAAATGGTAGTATGGATCTTAAATAAACATAATTAACATAAAAATAAACACAGAAAATGTAAATTTTAATTAGCAGAAAAAGTAATGTAAGTAAATGAAGTAAAGGGGAAAAGAACATTAAAAAGAAAGCGGAAGAGATCAAATTTATGAAATAAGATGACAAAGAATTTCTAATATGTTCAGGAACTAACATAAATTTCACGTTAGCCATAAACATCAGAGAATCTCAATTTAAGTTAAAATAAAATCTAAAAAATTATTTACAAGAAGCACACTCAAAAAAATAAATGAGAATTTATACCATGCAGTTAGGGAAAGGGAAGAAAGAGGAAGGATGAAGAAAGGAAGGAAGGAAGAGAGGGATGAAGGGAGGGATGAAAGAAGGGATGAAAGGAAGAAAAGGAAGGAAGAGAGGAAGAAAAAAATTTAGTACCATTTTAATATCAAGCAAGATAAAATGCATGGAAAAAATATCCTGAGAGACAAATAGGAACGGCAGTATACTGCTAAATAAAAAATATAGCAAGAAGATGTAACCCTCCAGACCATATGTAAACCCAATATATACCATCAAATAGACAGCAGCCAGAAAAGAAATAAATACTAAATAATAGTGTGTGGATGTTCCAGAACTTTCCTCTAAAGAAGTAATTAAGCAGAAAAACAGAGTAAAAGAAAATGTGAATAATAGAAGTAAAAAAATTAACCTGATAAAAAGTTTACACCTGTGAAAACAACTTTAAAACAATGCAAATGAAATCTATTCTGAATAAATGAAAACGTATTCCATGTTCTTAGGTGGAGCAACTCATTATAAATCTTTCAATGTTTCCCAGATTAATCTGTAAGTTGAGTACAACTGTGGAAATAAATACGGACCAACAAAATAAAAACAAGAAAAGACCATTGACTCAGAGCTTGCCCCACTTAGGGAGTCAGCCACCATCACTTTTGTTTTGGTAGAGACTAAACGACAGCAGAGGAGTGGGAAAACTTTATAGTGGAAGAAACGGAAGGCTTCAGTTGCACCCTGATTGAAAGCTATTGGTATGAGGAAGCTGTATGCAGCTAACTAAAAGGAGGGCTTCTTATGTGATTGTTAGGGTGCGCATATTTAGCTTTTTCTGGTTGGTTCTATGCTGGAAGTAGGAACAACAATAGGAGAACTGCCAGTTATTAATGAAGTTCTCGCTGTTTAGGGCCTATTGTCACAGGGGTTACTGTTTGCCCTCTTAGATTGTTTGCTAGAGATAGTGGTCTGACTTCCCACAAGTCTCATTATAGCAGGTTGGATTCTGGGCTGATTATTGCAGATAATGGGTTGGTTTCTTAAGTTGGTTGCTGCAGATTGTGGGAAGATCAGAGTTCTGTTTTTATATATGGCCCTAACATTGTTTATTTCTTTAATCAGTCACAGTGAAAATAACTATGGGAGATTCTAACAAATGTATTCAAAATGTTATATTAAATATTTAAAGACCATAGAAAAATCAATTAATTTTGAAAATGATCAGAAAGCAAGGACTTGTGATAAATACATACTCAAGGTCATATTAATAAAACTATTGTTAATAACACAGTAGAACTTAAATAAACATATGAAATTCAGCAGGCGTTTCAGAAAAAGTTCTATGTTTGGGAAATTAATCCTCCATGATTTAAACGGCACCAAAAAAATAACTGGTAAAGGACAAACTGTTCAGGAGATTTCATTAAGAAAACATTTTCATTAAGGAGCAAATAAAACTAAATCCTTACCTATGAGCATAGAATTGTCAAGATAAATCTATAGATCTAACAGAAAACAACAAGGGAAATATCTTTTAAAATAAAACTGCAATGGCTAGGCGCGGTGGCTCATGCCTGTAATCCCAGCACTTTGGGAGGCCAAGCCGGGTAGATCACAAAGTCAGGAGATTGAGACCATACTGTCTAACACAGTGAAATCCCGTCTCTACTGAAAATACAAAAAATTAGCCAGGCGTGGTGGCGCGCGTGTGTAGTCCCAGCTACTTGGGAGGCTGAGGCAGGAGAATGACGTGAACCCGGGAGGCAGAGCTTGCAGTAAGCCGAGATCACACCACTGCACTCCAGCGTGGGGGACAGAGTGAGACTCCATCTCAAAAATAAATAAATAAAATTGCAAAGGTACAAATATAAAGAAAATAAATACATAAAAACATAAATTTGCAAAATTAATCATCTTTTCTTCGTGGAAAATGAGCAAGTTTAATAAATGTGAGATTAAGAGAAGATACTAGCATTTTCTAATTTATATAGTCAGTAATTGATGAAATTTGAAATTTACCAGATTATCACAAAAAGAATGGCAAGAATCCAAATAGAAAAATAAGCCACAAACACCAAGAAGGAATTTATAGATGGGAAAAGTCAAAGGGCCAGTGCTATGGTCTGAATGTGTCCCCTGAAATGTTTATTTTGAAAATTAGTCACCAACATGACATTATTAAGAGGTGAGGTTTTTAGGAGGTCATTAAGTTACATGGGCAAGGTTTTCATTAACGGGATTAGTGCCCTTCCAGAAAAGGATGAAAGGAGCTGACTTGTCCTTTCACCATTTAAAGACACAGCAAGATGCCATCCTTGAATGAGAGATAGCAAACCCTCATCAGACACTCGATCTGCTGGCACCTTCAACTTGGAATCCCCACCCTCCAGAACTGCACAATCTATTATTTATAAATAGATATTCCAATCTATTATTTATAAATTGCCCAGTCTAAGGTATTTTTTGTAGAAGCCCAAACAAACTAAGATAGGCAAAGAAATATGTCAATAATTCCCCACATTCACTGGGGGAAAAAAGCAAAATTGCAACAATAAAGTATCACTCTCATCCAGCAAATTGGCAAAGATTAGAAAGTATATACTGCCAAGCACTGGGCATGTTGGGCTTGTGGAAACCTTCATGTACTACTCATGGGAGTATAGACTGGTGCAGCCATTCTGAAGTGCAATCTGGCAGTTCTTTGTTAAAATCAGTATGTGCATCTCTAGACATCCTAGACCCACCATCTTTCCTTCTTGGAATACATCCTGGAGAAATGCTAACCTAAGAACCTAAGAAAGATGAGGATGATCATCACAGTGTTGTTTGCATAGCCAAGCATTGGAGGCAATTAAAACAGCACTGAGGAAATGATTAAGTCAAATTTAATGGGTAATCACTGTGGAACACTGCATAACAGTAGAGGGAATGTACTAAATGTGCACACAGCTACATGTTAAAATGACACTGCTGAGTGAAAAAATAAGCAATAAATTTATTGAAAAAACACCATTATATAATCTATGTGCATTTTATTAGATCACAGGAAATAAAATGAACGCACTGAACACACTGGAATGGTTGCATATTGGAGAGGGGAAGAGTAAGGATGAGTTTAAAGGAAATGAGCAAATTAATAAATGGAATTAGAGGGACCTAATGTAAATCAGCAATGATAGTATTAACTAAAAAGCTGTAGAAACTCAGAGTTATGCTCTTGAGGAAAGAAATGAATAAATGCATATGAATTAAAATAATTTAGTCTGCCTTTTCCTAGCAAATAGAAAACAATCAAAAGCCCTAATGAGAGGGCAATATGGTCACAGTGTGGGTGCCAGCAATATCATTACCAGAAACTGAAGGCTGACAACATGAGTAGGAAATATCCCAGCCTAGAAAACAGAAAGCTAGAGAGTTATTAGCATACTTATAAAACTGAATATATTCAGTATGAAGGATTATTTTTATGGAAACAAAATGAAACACAAACACAAAACTAAGAAAGAAGAGCCACAGATCACCTTATCTGATTAACTTCATCCACTATCCAAACTGATAACCTATGGGTGGATGAGCCGGAGGTTCTAGGCAGTTTGCATGTTCCCTCTGACATCCTATTAGTCTGTGAATAATCTTGGTCAGGCTAATAACTCACTCATAGCCACATTGTTCATAATAGCCTGTAGATATATACAGAAATAGATTTTAAGAAGAATTTTTTTACCTTATTTTCCAAAACTTTAGGAAAAATAATGTGCTTACTTCAGAGCGATTTAGAAATGAAATATATATTTTACACAACTTCACCTATTTCATTTAAATATTTTCTTTCAACAGATGCCTATATTGTTAATTTTTAATTCTACCAATATCTATTAATTATTTGGGTCTGACACGGTATTGGATGCAAAGAATAAGACCATGAAAAAGTTGTGGTCTATTTCCTTGGGAAACTCACAGATGTTAATGTATAAAAATTAGAACCAAAATTGTAAATAGAAAACAATCAAACAGGGAAATGTCATTATCAAGGGAGGAGAATGGATTAGGCAGAATAATATCTGAAAAAAAAATAAGGAAGTTTTAAAGAGTTTGACTTCATCAAACGTTGAGATATTTTTCTAGCAAGGGCTACTGGTACTTGAGAGGGAGTCACAAAAAGTGGTAATTAGTGCAGTTGAGACTGGATTATAAATGGTTTTAGATGCCATGACCACGGACTTAAACCTCATTAGAAAAAAACAAACAAACAACAAACAAAAAAATAGGGAATATCTCAGATTTTAAGCAGACAGTGATATGATTCACTTTGCATTTTTGAGCAGTAGCCCAGGCAATGAACACTTTGTAAGCTGAGAGTTAGAGTGTAAGATAATTATGGGAATATGGCCCAATAAGTGCATTTTATCTCTAGAGAGAGAGAGAATATGCTCCTATTTTTCCCCCACTCACCCCCAAGTACTCATTAACATGTTTCTTCTAAAAATGTGCATTTTGAAATCTATTCATGTCTTACAGACATATTCTCAATCCTAAACATTTACTAAACCATGAAGCTCAAATGTGAGTTTTATTTCTCTGTTGGTTTATTATAAAAGGGCTCATTTTCACTGCTACTTATTAATTTGATAATTTTGCATTAGTTTTTAAAAGGCTCAATCAATAATTAGGTCCTCGTGTTTGTTCAACCAAACCATTTTACTCTGGGGGTGGCAAGAAAAAAGTTAGATTGTTGTAGCTCTCTAGCAAATGATTTTATTCCTTTCCCTCTAATTTAATCTTCCATTGCGATAAACAAAGGACCGGGTGCAGTGGCTCATGCCTGTAATCCCGGCATTTTGGGAGGCTGAAATGGGCAGATCACTTGAGGTCAGGAGTTTGAGACCAGCCTGGCCAACATGGTGAAACCCTGTCTCTAGTAAAAACACAAAAAATAGCCAGGCGTGCTGGTGGGCACCTATAATCCCAGCTACTTGGGAGGCTGAGGCAGGAGAATCACTTAAACCCAGGAGGTGGAAGCTTCAGTGAGCCGAGATCAAGCCACTGCACTCCAGCCTAGGCAACAGAGTGAGACTCCATCTCAGACAAAAAAAAAAAAAAAAAAGAGAAACAGAGAAAAGAAAGGAAAGGAAAGGAAAGCAGAGGAGCCTGGAGAGGAGGGGAGAGGAGAGGAGAGGAGAGGAAGGTACAAAAGAAACAGCAAAGAGATCAATGGCTCGACTTTAACAAACAAATCTTAAACCTGTACAATCTGATGACGTGTATTGAAGTAGCAAAATTGAGATATGTTATTTCCTTAAATAGGCTAATTTTTGTCTAAAAGCCCTGGACAAATTTTCTTTGTTACAAGTAAATTTTGCCAGATATTTTATATTTATTTTTTCTTTTAGAAAGAATGTATAACTTCCTTTTCCTTTTGTGTATGCCCTCACTCCATCTTCTTCATTTTAGCTCTAGCTAGCCTGTTATTAAGATTGAGATCATGATTAAGATTGAGAGTAATTTTGGATAAAGAAAAAAGTCATCAATAAAAACAAATAAATATATACTTTATAGGCATTTTTCCAGCAACCGCTAGTGCTGTTTATATGCTGTTCAACACATCAGCATTATCAGATGATAAAGATACCATATAATGTTTTGTGTTACAAAATATTGAAAATTTACTTCCACAATTATGTTTTTATTAATGTAAGTTTATTTTAGAAATGTTGGCAAACACAAAATATAACAACAATTTGAATAATCTATTCTTCCATTTCTGGAAACATCTTTTGTTTATGACATTCCAATCTTGATTTTATATGTTTATATATCTTGCAAAGCAAAATTCTATTTCACTTACCAATATCACATACATTTTCTCATATTATCAAAACAAATGTCTTGAAGCATTTATTTCATGGGTACAAATTATTCTATAAAAATGGATGCTGTCAAATGAAGAACTATAGCACTTTTGTGAACCTGGGCTGTGGAGTCAGATTACCTGAGCTTTAATCACCACCTCACAACTATTGACATGTGAACTTGAGCAAATTCCTTAGCTTCTCACTGCCTCAATTTCCACATATAATAAATAGGTATAAAAACCAATATCAGTTTCATAGTGTTGCTGTTTTAATTAGATGATTTTATATATGTAGAGCAATGGCCAAGAAACATATGAAAAATGCTCAAAATCAATAATGATCAGGGAAATACAAATCAAAACCACAATGCAATAATACATTACTCCTGCAAGACTGGCCGTAATCAAAAAATCAAAAAATAATAGATGTTGGTGTGGATGCGGTGAACAGGGAACAGTTCTATACTGCTGGTGGGAATGTAAACTAGTACAACCGCTATGGAAAAACAGTGTGGGGAATCCTTAATGAACTAAAAGTAGAACTACCATTTGATCTAGCAATCTCACTACTGGGTATCTACCCAGAGGAAGATAAGTCATTAAACAAAAAACATACTTGCACATGCATGTTTGTAGCAACACAATTCACAATTGCAAAAATGTGGAACCAACCCAAATGCCCATCAATCAACAAGTGGATAAACTGCGGTATGTATATACGATGGAATACTAAGCAGCTATAAAAAGGAATGAGCTAATGGCATTCGCAGACCTGGATGGAAGTGGAGACTATTATTCTAATAGTAATATTAGAGACTAATATTCTGAAGTAGCTCAGGAATGGAAAACCACACATTACATCTTCTCACTCATAAATGGGAGCTAAGCTATGAGGATGCAAAGGTATAGGAATGACACAATGGACTTTGTGAACTCAGGGGAAAGGGTGGGAGGGTGGTGAGGAATAAAAGACTACAAATTGGGTTCAGTGTATACTACTCAGGTGATGGGTGCTCCAAAATGTCACAAATCACCACTAAATAACTTACTCATGTAACCAAATACCACCTGTTCCCCAAAAACCTATGGAAATGAAAAAATTAAAAAAAAATAATTCAAGGAATGTGTTTCCTTTTCTTATTTGGCAAAAAAAAAAAAAAAAAAATTGCAAAGGTATGACCAATATGTAGGCAAAACAGAGCTATTGGAGGATTCCAGACTAAAAGTTGCATTAATGTCAACTTCTAGGCCCAAAGGGTTTGGTTAACAGAAATCAGAAAAAAACAAATAAAAGAATGTTAAATAAAGCAGACTATGTTGAGAGACTAGTGACCTTTGGTTAAGAGCACAGCCAGGTTGAGGCATCCTCAAAGTGAAGGAGGCAGGTGAATCTTATTTCACACTCCTTCCTCCCTAAGACTTCCTGCTGTAGCTTAAGGCATGCAAACACACTGATGTAGTGCATATAGATCAACTTTCTGGGCAGAAAACAAAAGGAGAAGGATGGAGAATAATGAGAGGAGAGGATGGCAAATGGAAGAGATCCTGCACAGAGTTGTACAAGTTTATGTTGCTCTTGACAGCATTTTTACCCTGGATGTAAAGTATAGTAGTAATCAAAACTAGTGATTGCTGGATAAAGCTATTCATCCTCACGTACAAAACTAACATGAAAAACACACATTCCCAATTCATCAAGAATGAAGTAGTAAATATTTTTATTACAGTACATTTTAAGCTAATTGACCTCTCTGTTAACAGACAAATGTATTCACTTGTAAAAGAAAAAAATGTATTATATTCAGAATCCAAGGAAATGGAATCATAGAAGATTAAAGTGAGCAAGTTAGCAAGGATCAGAGCTCTAAGTTTAAAGCAGCATATAAATTGATATAGACGCTAAGAATTTGGCATGAGTTTGTATAGGGTAATAAAATTCTGTGCAACTGATCTTTTCGATGGAAAGCTGGAAAAAGGAAACACCTCTCCGGAAACCTGTGAATCTCACATACTATACTCAGAAAGTACATATCTTGCATAGTAAGTTTCTTTCGTTAAAGATAGTTAACCTTATATATTTTTAGAGTGATTAAGTGTGAATCTTGTAGGGAAGAATGGGATGATGATAATTATAAAGATGATAGTAAAGCCCACCATTCATTAAGACATTTTCTCCCTGATTCTGTGATAATTGGTGTACACATGCTGTCAAATTGAGCCTTGAAATAATTTCATTAATATTTCCTTTTCACAGATAAAAAAAAATGCTTATGAGAAAAAGGAAGCCACTCACTATGATGTAGTTACAAGGAGACATAGTTGGGATTTAAGGCAATTAGTTGATTCCACAGCACCAGGACTTTAATGAATTAGGATATTTTCAGTAATCAGTATCTTTGGGTTGAGTCAAGCTAACCAAATCCACAAGAGATTATGAAATAAACTAGAGTTTCATAGTATTGTCAAATTTGTCAAATTCTGCCGTATATGTCAAAAGCAACATAATATTTTACTGATTGACCAGCATACTTTCCTCTGAGAAAACTATTAACTAATACTAATTAGTTAATAAACAATGAAATAATTGTTTACTGAACAGAGAGTTAGTTAAATAATCTTGATGGCTAAATTCCAAAAGCCAGATACATCCATCTCTACCATTATTTTTCTGGGACTACTGTAAAAAATTACCACATATTAGGTGGCTTAAAACAACAGAAACGTATTCTCTCACTTCTCTGGAGGATGAAAGTATGAAATCAAGGTGTTAGCAGTGCCAAGCTACTGCCAGAGGTTCTAAAATTATCCCTTGCCTCTTCCAGCTTTTGATGGTTGTCAGTATTCCTCATCTCCCATGGCTTGTGGCCACATCACCCCCATCTCTGCCTCTCTCTTCACATTCTTTCTTTTCTCTTTCTGTATGCTCCTCTTCGATCTCTTATAAGGATACTCAATCTTGGATTTAGGGGCCACTCAGGTAATTCAGAATTGTCTCATTTTGAGATTCATAGCTTAATTACATCTGCAAAGATCTTTTTTCCAAACAAAGTCACGTTCACAGGTGCCAGGGATTTAGACATTAATGTTCTTTTGTGAGATTGTCTTTCAACCAACTATTGACACTATCTGCTTGAGAATTGAAATGCCAATGGTCATATGTCAAGCTACTCTGCACTGAGGAATAAGGAGGATGGACCACAGACATAGTATTTTCTCCAGTTCCTTTTTTCTCAATGTTATACAGAAACTTCCTCTTTTATTAAATAATCTGATTGATTTTAGAGACTGAAAGAGAGAAGTGTGATTACAATATAATATAAAAAAATGTATGGCAGGATATGAGTTTGTAGAGATAAACAGAGACTAGATAATGCTGCATCTTGGAAGCCATAGGATAAAAGCATAAATTTTATTCAAAATGAAATGGGACACTTACAAATAGGGAAAGATGTCTACATTTTTACCCATATTTAATTATGGCATCTCCATACATGTGTCCAGCATGATTATACATGTCAGTGAGTGTCCAGATTCCAGAACATTTGACTTATATCCTTCATGGATGCAATCCTGGAACTTTAAGTACTACGCTAGTTGAGAAGACCTTCCATGGGGGCCAACACAATGTGGATAGTAGATAAAGTTACAATTTTATGTTTCTATGCTTGATAATTCTGTGTTTCCATTCATCTTTCTAACTGGTTTCAGTTGCTAACTGGTTTTTAGTGCTAACTGGTTTTGTTGAACTGATGAATCAATGGTCCTTGTGGCAGAGACAGGGGTAGCATTTCTTTGTCAGCATTTCTAATTTTGCTTTGTTTTCCATTTAAGTAAGTTCTGAACCTTACACATTCTGCATTCTGTGTTATAGACCCTAGGATGTACTAAAGCACCTTTGCTCTCTCTTTCTCCAACTCCCACTCTATTATATGCACATTTATTGTTGCCCTTAGTGTTAAATCATCATTCTCTTTCCTCTTTTGTTAGCCTTCTCCCAGACCATTACCAGGTCACCACACAATCCACTCTCCTTCTTTCCAACAGCTTTAGAATCCCATGTCATCCTTCAACTAACTAGTCAATGATTAATTAAAACACAGATAAATATCTCACATTTATACACGTATTTATTTCTCTGCATAAATGTCTAAATAGTCTCATTCTTGAACTTCCCTTTCACTCACCACTTTGCAAAATATACTGATTTCAGTGTTCATATAAAATGTTAGGAGTTTATTTTATGTTACTGCTCAATGTTTGCACAGTTGTCTGAATGGGGCCCTCCATCTGTCCACACAAAGGAACAGACATTCCACATTATGTCAGTAGGTTATTTCCAGTGACATGTGGATTCAGATGGAATGTGAAAATAAGGCTGCAGAAGGTTTGATCCATATGTGAAAAATGAAAGAATATTTATGTTAATAGCCATCTTATTATCTGACTATCAGCAGCATATGTTGGTCCTTCTATGGTAAGGTGTCAAAAATTTTATAGGAAAGAGAAGATACAGCATATGACATTTCGGAAATTTACAAAACAAAATGAGTATACATCACCAGAAATAGAAACCATACAGAGAAAATTGAAGAGATCTGGGCCTTTGTCAGGGCCAGTGTGCATGGATTATCTACTGCCAAAGAGTTCTGGAGAGTTTTGAGCTACCACAGTGTATTGAAAGTGTGGTGCTGGTGATGTTTGGAGGTTGTTAAAACTTGACTCCAACATTCCTATTTTTCACCTGTTAAATGTAGATGCTGATGTCTTCCCTTTCCAGGACTACTATGAATATTAAATAAATTTGTATATGCAAAATTTCTGGCATACTGAATAGTTGCTTATATGTCAATTCCCTGCCATCTCCCCCTCAACCTGAAGGTAGCAAATGTAGCCTTGGTGTCAATATTACAAATTTAGCATCACAAGATTTGTGTTTTGATGACTATTTCAATATGTCTAAGGAAGCCACAGTTTGTTAGACAAACAGCTAACAATCTGGGTTGGTAGCTATGCGTAAGGCAATTTTAATACATGTTTTTAAATTAAAAAGTTAATTATATAAATAGAATAACATGCCCAATGAATACATTCAAATTTAACCATAAGATATATTTAGAAACAACTTTTGTAATTTAAAAAAAATTAATTTTAGGGACAGTGCCGTTTAAGCAATCCCATTTTTCTTTTTGTTAATGTCTTTTAAAAAATGAAACTAATAGGCTGGGCATAGTGGTTCACACCTGTAATCCTAGCACTTTGGGAGGCCAAGGTGGGCAGATCATCTGAGGTGGGGAGTTCGAGATTATTCTGGCCAACATGGAGAAATCCCGCCTCTACCAAAAATACAAAATTAGCCAGGCATGGTGGCGCAGGCCTGTAATCCCAGCTATTCGGGAGGCTGAGGCAGCAGAATCGCTTGAACCTGGGAGGCGGAGGTTGTGGTTAACCGAGATCACACCATTCCACTACAGCCTGGGCAACAAGAGTAAAACTCCTTCTCGAAAAAAGAAAGAAAAAAAAAAAGAAAGAAACTAATGATGTTTCTCAAATTAAACACGTATCAGAAAAATGTATATTTAATTATAGTGTAATATTTCTATAAGCAATGCCAGAGGTTGTTACTATGAAACTTCTAGAAAATATGGGATTAAATATGTATAATTTGAGATATATGATCATATTTTTATGTATTTGTTTTACATAATTGTTTGCTGTTTCACATAATACACTGAAATTACAAGGTCATGATACCTAATCAATGTAACTATAAATAAAAGCTTGTGAAAGCTAAATATGCTTTCATCTGATTAATCTCTCAGCAAAATTTTATGCTATTGATTACCACCCCACCTCCACTTAGTGAGACATCTTATCGGTAGCCTTTCATGCCTCTTCATATTCATGCTTTTCTCTTTCCTTGCTGAAGAATCCTTCAAGCCTTTTTTTTAAGGCTCCTGTTTCTTCACCATATCTCTAAATATTATAGTGCTGCTGGTCTCTGTTCTTAATTCTCTTTTAATTTTATACACTCTGTATAGAAAATTTTGTCCAGTTCTATGATTACAAAGACCATCTCCAGGTGGATGAATCTTCAATTTAAATCTCTAACACTTATCTCTCTCTTATACTCCAGGCACATACCCAAGTATCTTCTTGATATCTCCACTTACGGTCTAAAGTTATGTCAAATTTAATACTTCCAAAACATGTTACAAACATTCTTCCCATCGAATTCACTTACTGCCAAGTTTCTCTGTCAAAATAAATGACACAATCAGTTGCTCAGATCAAAAATATATAATGCATTCCATATTCGTCTTTATTTTTACCTGTGCTGTATCTAGTTGGTCCTACCTCCAAAAATATTTTAAATCTAATCATGTTCTAAATGATAGGCATATTTCTCCCTACAATAATCTTCTAAGTGTTTTTCTTATCCCCACTTTTGCACCTGGCATTCTCTACTACCAGAGTTCATTATCTAACAGAAGCCAGATCAATATTTCTAAAGGAAAATTTGATCATGTAACTCCCCTATTTTCAATGACTTTCTATTCTACATAGAATAAAATTCAAAATTCTTATCTTAGACATAGAGCTTTACATGCCCTGGCTCTGGCGTTTTCCATCTTCTAGACATACTGGTTGTCTTTTTATTGCATAGCTTTTACCTCTATATCTCAGGGCTTTTTCTCTTTATTCCCTGTTTTTTCTAATGCTTGTCTTATGGCAAGGCATATAATCGCCATCCAAAATTAACTACTATTTTCATCTATCATCTTTGCATTTTGCTTCAAGATTTCTTGAGAAATAATCACTCTATTAATTAGTAAAATATAATACACACTTTTTGTAAAGACATTAAATGCGTAATAATAATAAATGTAAAAATTATGCATTTAATTCTAGAAATTACTATTGTTAGATTGTGTTAACATTTTTTAGACATATCTCTACATTTATATACAGGTAGAAGGACAAATAGTTAGAAAAGATAGTAAGTAGAATAAACATTTTATATAAATACCTTCAAATGAGTCTATATTATAAATACAATTTTAATAACAATAATTAGTTTAATTTTACTATAAGAGACAATAGAAATTGAAGGAAGTTTTGAAGTCCAAATGAAAGTTTTGATAACAGACAAATCTGATGCTCCTGAGGCTTGTCTGTTCCCTCCTTGTGGTACTTTACTTAAAAGCAGAATCATCAAACATGTCTGTGTTTGGCAGAAATAAGACGCAGCTAACTGACACAAAGCCGCCTTTATGACAAGGGTGCTTCCATTTTTCCTAATTGCATAGATGTTCCCTTTACCTTCGACCTTATAAATATGTAAAGCGTTATGGACGCTGATTCCCTCTACTGGAATATTGCCGTTTCTAAACTTTGAGATAATGAGTTTTGAGGGGAGGGCATGTTCATAACTAATTCTCTCCAGTGAGTTTGTTGTGGTTGTTAATTCCCTCATACATCCTACTTTATATTTCACAGCATGGTCCTGCCATTGAGTGTCATGACCCTTTAATGGTTTCTTTTAAGGTTTTCTAACAAGTACTCTAAGTTTGTCATGGCTGATAATATCTACCTGTTGCTGGTTCTTTAACATTCTCCTAGCAGAATGCAGTATTCTTGGAAATTAAACTTTTTCTCTATAATCTCCATAGACCTTGTTCTGACTTCTTCTAACTTTAAATATTGCAAAGAAGAAATCTAAAGCCAGCCTGAATTTCTCACCATTGTAGTTCTTATTTCCTTCTTCTATTTTGTGGCTAAGATGCACACATGTATTTTGTTGCTGAAGCTCAATAACTTAACTAGCATAAACTTGGTATTGGTGAAGAATTTGCATCATCATTTTCTGATACATAATATGCTCTCTTGATACGATAATTAAAACATTCCGTCCATTCAAATAAATTTATTATATATCCAACTTCAATTTCAGTTTTGTTCAGCTCTCTATTTCATGACACCAATTGTTTCTATACTAGATCATTGTGTATATTTTCAATTCCTAATAGGTTACGTTCACATTCTTTAATTTACATATAACTTTAATCTGTGTTTACTAAATTTAAGAGTTAACTTTTAGTATTTTAGGTTTTAGACTCATTTGTTTCCAAACATTTCTAATTTATATACTAGTATTATAATCATACTATTTGCCTTCAATTCCTTTATTTTGTTCTCGATTTCCCTTTTGATTTAATATTGTTTTTTATTGTATAGTTTGAGTTCTTATTTTTTCAAATTCATATTCTTATGAACTAGTTGTAAAGCATGAAATGATTAAGAGGATTTACCTTCTGTTTCTTGAGGTATGTTTCTTCTAAAACTATTCTTTTTGCCTTTTTCTTTCCTTCTTCTTTATATACCCTCCTCCTCCCTTCCTTTATTCCTTCTTTCCTTTCTTCCTCCTTCCTTCTTTTCTTTCTTCCTTCCTTCTCTCCTTCCTGCTTTCCTTCATTCTTTACAACATATCAGGCCTCAATCTGTATTACAGAAAAGAAAAACAAACTGACCTCCAACCAGTGCAAATAAAGTCATAATCTATCAATCAAAATATGTCAGAAAATTTTTTAAAAATCGTAGTCTGTTATTTTTGTGTTGCAGCCACTATTGTATGGCCAGAAAAAAAATGGAGAAATGAACAGGAAAAAAAAACAGTTGAAACAATAGTCTTACTAAGTTAAAAATTTTTTTTTTCTATCTTCCTGGAAAGTACTACATATTTTTCCTGGGAGGATTGGTAAAATGATGGATTATTCCTCTAATTTAGGGTTTAACTATTTGGCTTTCATTTATTTTGTTGACAAAGGGCATTAGTGAAAATTGCCAGAGTTTTAACTCTTATGTATGACTTCCATGGAATCTCTTTTTAATGGATCTGTATGCATTGCTAGTTTCCTGGTCATCATCTTTAAGTGTATTTCAGGAGGTTGTGCCCCTTTTCTCCATTGGTTGCTGATAGTGCTTTCTTGTTCCCATTTCTTGTTCCCTGTAGACAACAGGGAAGAAAATAATCCAAATAATTTTCTGTCTTCCAACTCAATGCTGTAGCCTGCCTGACTAATATTGATTTCTTCAATATGAGCTAGTGTCTATGTCCTCAGCCACTGTATAGATTGGCTGTTTTCATATGCTAAGAAAGATTGCTCATTTACCTATTTCCCCAGCCCTGACCTCTTACCTCATCAAATCAGCGCCAACATGATTTGAGCACAAAGTACTAAATTTTTCTTAAAAAGTGCTCTAAAACTACTTATTCTTACTTTACATCTTCTTACTATTTCTAGCATAGGGCCATGGGAATGAAAAGAAAGTCTGAACTGGAGAAAAGCCCAGCAGGTGTTTAATTTAAAAATCCTATTGAATAAAAGCCTCCACCACTGGTTGGTATCACTAAATTCTTACCCCTGGACCTGTGTGGAGATTTCATGGACAGGAAAAGTAAGGAAAAGATAATTTATAATGTAAGATTTGCCATTGTCCACAGTTTTGTTTGTGTAAAAGACTTTATTGACACAGATTAGTTACTGTAGTCAGGAGACTTTACCTCCCTTGGCATTTGTCCTGATTCCTTTTTTCTCTAGGGAAAATAAAAGGTATGAATGGACAATACAGATGTATGAATTGCATAATGAATGCAAAGTCAAATATGGACATGTTAATGTCTTCAAATACCACACACATTTATTGACATGCAGTGACTGCTTTAATAGACAAGCAGATTGCCTATGTGCATTGTCCTCTATCTACAGATCGTTAAATACTCGATATTTTCAATCCATTGAACAGGATACACAAATTTCTCATAAAAGAGCACCTTGTGGCTGCGCGTGGTGGCACATGTCTATAATCCCAGCACTTTGGGAGGCCCAGGCGGGTGGATCACCTGAGGTTAGAAGTTCAAGACCAGCCTGGCTAACATGGTGAAACCCTGTCTCTACTAAAAATACAAAAAATTGGCCGGGCATGCTGGTGTGGACCTGTAATCCCAGCTACTCGGGAGGCTGAGGCAGGAGAATCACCTGAATCGAGGAGGCAGAGGCTTCAGTGAGCCGAAATCATGCCACTGCATTAAAGCCTGGGAGACAGAGCAAGACTATGTCTCAAAATAAAATAAATGAGCATCTTGTAACCTACTCTGCAGAATTCCTTAAAATGTGGATTCTTGGGCAAGCAGCTGTTGACTAGCTGCTGGAGTTTTTAGAGTGAAAAATCACAACGATTACTATTAGTATCTACAATTCCTAATTCACCTACTGGATACATTGACTAGTATTCAAAGACTGTTGAGGTATATTTGATGATAATTGACAGATTTTCCTGCTGGTAATTATAATACGATCATGAAAATATTGCATTGATCATGACCTCCAAGAAGAAAAGAGAACCTAAGATTTTCCTGGAAGTACTATATTAAGAAGGTTATTCTTCTTATGTATTTACATCATATTTTATCAAGAGGCCTTGCCCATCTTGATTATACTTTTTCCTGCTGTCTCTTTCTTCAAATTCTGGATCTTATCTTCTATCATATCCTTCTTATTTACAAATTACTACATAAGTGCTTGACTTTTAAAATTAAGACCACTTAAATTCAATGTGTATTTTTAGTCAGAGTTTACTGTCATTCCATGTCCACTTAGGTTCTCTCTCTCCTCATTTTCTCTGTTTATTAATATTTAGGGCCAGTCAACAGCACAAATTAATGGGAAATTCCTCCTTTGGCATTACTCAGCCCTTTGTTTTAATTTGGTTAGTATTAAATTATTTTAGTAGCAAAGTTATCATTCAGTGGGGACTAAAGAATTTAAGTGCTTTAAGTTTTATACTTCCTCTAGATAAAAATATATTGTTCTCTTTGGGAGGCTGAGGCCGGCAAATCATGAGGTCAGGAGTTGGAGATATCAGCCTGACCACCATGGTGAAACCCCGCCTCTACTAAAAATACACAAATCAGCTGGGCATGGTGGCAGCCTCCTGTAATCCCAGCTACTCAGGAGGCTGAGTCTGGAGAATCGCTTGAACCTGGCAGGCTGAGGTTGCAGTGAGCCAAGATCGTGCCACTGCACTCCAGCCCTGGCAACAATGCGAGACTCCTTCTAAAAAAAAAAAATTGTCTTTTGCTTAAAATTATTTACATACTTGAAAGAAATGAATTCATCTGAAAAGCCAAAAAAATTCATCTAACTTTCCTTATCACCTATCATTCAAGGGCAACAATGCAGTTGAACAGATGGGGCGTATAAAACAATGAATACCTACATTTTTAGATGCATTTTTTTTGTGTGTGAGAAGTTGTGTTAGGTCGTTCTTGCATTGCTATAAAGAAATACCTGAAACTGAGTACATTATAAGGAAAAGAGGTTTAATTGTCTCATGGTTCCATAGACAGTATGAGCATGGCACCAACATCTGGTCAGCTTCTGGGGAGGCTTCAGGGAGATTGTTCTCATGGTGGAAGGCAGGTCACATGGCGAGAGCAGGAACAAGGGAGTGTGGGGGATGTGCCACATACTTTTAAACAACCAGATCTCACGGGAAGTTACTCACTATCTTTAGGACAGTACCAAGCTATGAGAAATCCATCCCCATAATCTAAACACCTCCCACTAGGTCCTGCCTCCAACATTGGGAATTACAATTCAAAATGAGATTTAGGCTGGACAGATATCCAAACCACATCAGAAGGCATTGCAATTGCAGATTTTGAAGCTTACATAATAATTTAATTGCCAGGTAGTGTCTGAGATTAGTTTTCTAGAAAGAGCTTAACTACAAGGTGTTGTTAAGTTAACGGTGCATTCTATCTAAACTCAAATGTTGCTACTGAAATTTAATAAAAATCAATACTTAAAAGCTGAGATGTCAGAAAATCTACTGAAGACCACCACCACTTAGTAAAATTTAGTAATTCTGTACTTTTGGTATTCCAATGAATAAACCTCCTTGAATTAGACTGACAGGACTTCCTACTATTATATTTTGCCTTCAGGGAATACTAATTCAATGAAACTCCATTTTACTGATGATTATTTAGTTTGCCGTGTTCTGGACATATTCTTCCTTCTTTCCTCTGATCCTTTGGAAAACTATTCATGCATATCAGTCCTACCTCTACCACAAGAATGGTAGTTAAAGAGGCTCTTCGACTGTGTTTTTCTTTTGCTTTTCATGTTCATGTTCAGTGATTTTTAACAATAAAGAAGCTACTTTTTTATGGTAAGTAAAAGAGGTGTTTATTCCTATGCCTAGTCTTTTTCCCTTATTTATTTTCCTGTCATAAAAATTAATACACACACAAACTCTAACTCCATATTTCACCCATTCACCATGTGTTTTGGAGAAATCCGTTTGGAGACTTGATTATAAAACATTAACACAGTATCAAAAAGTTCCATACTGCAAAAGATGCTCTGAAGCAGCTTTAATTTAATTAGCAGATTATTTAAGAAGAACATCCTTTGATGTACAAATGCTGCTCCCAGAAATTCGTGTGCTAAATCTGCCATCAGAAGCACAGGAGCACCTTTGTAACTCCTACATTAAAAAAAGAATCAGAAGAAGAAAAGAAAATGAAAAAGCCTACACGAAATCAGACATCATAACATTCTTAAATTGAAAATTAAAGCTATGCTTTTCCATAAATAGGTTAAATAAAACAAACCCAAATATTACAGCTGTTTAGGGCTTCAAAGAAAAGTAATAATACATGATGAAAATAGCAATGACTCACATTTGTTTCATTCCTTATGGTTTGCAAAATTCTTTAAAGGAAATCTTATAACTTATGCTTGGAATGACTCTACGAGATAAGCATTATTAAATTCCAAGTTAATAAATGTGGGAATTAAGATTAAGGCAGGTCAAGCAATCTAAGTTCACAGAGGCAATCAAGCATGATAGCTTGACCTGCTGCATACCAATACTCACTTTTTCCAGAAACTGAAAGTTACTTATCGAATTGACAGTTTCTATAAATATAAACTAACTCTAGAGCTCCAAGCCACTTTCACTTGAGAGTAAATATTATTATATCATCTTTTAATGATCCCTTAAATGACCCCGGTCACTGTAGTAGGCAGAATTTTTAGATGTCTTTCATGATTCCTGGCCCTTGATGTACACAGTCTTCATGCTATGATTTTTGGCAAAAGAAAGATTATCCTGCCGCAGCCTGACCGAATCAGTTGAGCTCTTTAAAAGTAGAGAGTTTTCTCTGGTTGGTTGTAGAGGAAGAAATCAGATAAACATACTTCTGCTGGCCTAGAAGAAAATAAATAAATATGCATGTTGTGAACGGTCTATGGATCCCATGTAGTAAGAAATTACGGGTGGTCTCTGGGAACTGAGAGTGGTCTCTGACAACTAACAAGAAAACAGGGACCTCAGTCATACAGACGCAAGGAGATGAATTCTACCAACCAGTGAGCTTGGCAGAGGGCTCCAAGTCTCACGTTATAGCTGGTTTATATCTTGATTACAACCTTGTAAGGCTCCGAGTCAACTCATATACAGACTTCAAATGTACAGACAATCTGGTCAACTCATATATGGACTTTTAATGTACAGAAACCTTGAGATAACAAATCTAGCTGTTCTAGGCTGTTAAACTTCTGGTGATTTGTTAGGCAGCAATGGAAACAAATACTCATCTTACTTACTTGATGACAATAGTATACACATCAAAAGTAGCCTCCCTTCCAGGTGATAATAAGATTCAATGGGGAGATAAAAAGACGGAATTAAAAAAATTTACACTGGACAGAGAAAATATTAGACTAGACAGAGATTGTAGGTCTATTTTTTCCCAGTTTTACTGTCATAGACCATCTTTGTAAAGACATACTTCCGAAATTACACAAAGATGTCTAAGTATCTTTCTTAATAAGTACTTCAGCATTGATCTGAAGCATCACCTACTCTTTCTGGTTGCAGATTCCCCACAGTATTTTTATTCTGTTTATTCTTTTCGCTGGACATTCCTGTAATGCTTTTCTCTTTAGTAAATATTGATAATTGGATAGCTTATTTTACTTTCTCAGTGCATTGTGATTCATTCAAAGGATTACTTGAGGCTTGAATAATTGCTTTGTGGTTCAGGCATACAAGTTGCGTTAGCTGTTTCCCATATGTGAAATAACCATTCAATGTTCTAACATGTGTAAACAAATGAGAGTGTAAATCGTATCAGCCTGTAATACCTCTGAGAAAAAAAGGCATAGGATCAATACTCTCTCAAACAAAAGTTATTCTGTGAATTTTAATACTGAGGTTATACAGGATGCTAAATGCTATGGGAAATACATCTTGGACCTCAAATAGTTTAAAGCCAGGTGCACAAATATCCAAACCACATCAGAAGGCATTGCAATTGCAGATTTTAAAGCTCACATAATAATTTAATTGCCAGGTAGTGTCTGAGATTAGATTTCTAGAAACAGCTTAACGACAAGGTTTTGCCAAATTAATGGGGCAAAAGACTTTTGTAGAGATTTTGTCCATGGAAAATAATGTGAACTTTTGTTGTATTTGCCTAGATTTGATAAAATATATGGAATAGCAGCTAGTTTTCAACTGTAGGCCTCATTGGTATGGAAACTGATCTTCCTCCGGTGAGAGGATTCCTAAAGCAAAATCTATCAGTGTGAGAATACAGTGATTGACTAATAATACCTGCAATGGTCACGGAAAATGACCGTATCCCCATGAATTAACTACAACTATGACAACCCTGAAATAACTACAACTACTACGCACAACGTGAATTGAAAATATGAATCAATTATGGTAAAGATTTTAAGAAACAAAAACATGAAATTGAGGGAATAATTCTCATTTCTTAGCTTTATGTTCTTCAATTATTATACAGATTGATCTGAGGCAATGGATACTTGTTCTTTCTTATACAAGTATAAACAACATAAAGATTTCCCATTATATTTTATCCTAAGATCTATTCAGACATTTGAGTAAATTATAATTTCCAAAATATCTTCCCATCTTAAAGCCAATATTTTTCCTAACTGGGTAACCCTCTAAATCTTGTAATCTCTTAATCAGATTATTCATCTTTATCTTAAAATAATTGATTAATATAACAATGTCTGGGAATGTACATACAAAAGGTGTTGCATGGGGAATCAAACCATTATTATTATTATTATTATTATTATTATTATTATTGAGATGGAGTCTTGCTTTGTCTCCCAGGCTGGAGTATAGTGGCGCGATCTTGGCTCACTGCAAACTCTGCCTTCCAGGTTCAAGCTATTCACCTGCCTCAGCCTCCCAAGTAGCTGGGATTACAGGCATGCACCACCATGCCCAGCTAATTTTTGTATTTTTAGAAGAGACGGGGTTTCAACATGATGGCTGTGCTGGTCTTGAACTTCTAACCTCAGGCGATTTGCCTGCCTCAGCCTCCCACAGTGCTGGGATTACAGGCATAAGCCAGGGCACCCAGCCCAAAACATTATTATTAATCCATCATTGTGTGCAGCTTTTTTCTCCACTTCTACTCTGTGCAGTTAGGAATTGTACAGGAACATCAAAATGACAGCAGTTACTTTACTTTTCTACATCTCAGAATAAGACCAAATTCAACACTATTTGTTTTTCCCTATTCATAGGATAAGAGTGGGAGTTCTGTGCTAATTTAACAGGTATCTAGGTCCTGAAATTCTTTTTATCACCCTCATGTTTCATATAGAAAATAGAAAATGGAGATTAATTATGCTATAGTTCTCAAAAGGCAACTGATGGAACCTATAGGCAAGCAATAGCCTCTGCAGGCCTGGAAGGTTCATGTCTCACCACTTCTTACTCTCCAATGGTCAACATCATTAGCACCATAATAGCATTTGGGAGATAAGGTCTATACCAGAGATGTTGCTTTTGTTTAGTTTGAGTTTGTCCCAAAACAACAAGTTTAATTGAAGACATGAGTAGCAGAAAATGCTAACTTTTTCCTACTTCTAACTATAGAACCCTGTGTCATCTTCTTCTGATTTCAATGACATTTTATAAAAAGTAAATGAAAAGGCAGCTGAGCATTCCTGAACACAGTTATGAAATGTGGCCAAGGTGTCCATGGTTTGGATCTATAATGTGAGGTTCTACAACATCGTATTTCCAAGATGAACATATGAACCTAAAAGATTTCAGCATAAATACATCTGTGACCTGCATAGCCAGAGGGGTGGCTCATTATATCACACACACAGAGCCTGTGTAAAAACAGAGAGGTACAGATGCCTATCTGCTATAATTTGATGGTGCACAGGAAGATCCTTTTCTAGAAATTATCAGCTTGTCTGATTATCAATCCACCATTATTGTCATTAGATCATGAATGCAATTTAAACTTCAGTGGGTTATTTTGCTTTTGCATAACTTTCTATCTAATTAGAATTCTATTGATGATAATTTTAGAAGTATCTCTACAACTAATCTGTTTCACCTCCTCTCTGTTTTAGTCCAAGAATTCAGTTATCTTTGACATGGATTTTTTTTTCAAGCTCCCTAACTGATATCATCATGTTAAGTACAATAGTTAATATTTATTAAGCACTTATTATATGCCAAGCTCTGTGCTAAGTGATTTAGATGCAGTAAATCATTTAGTCCTCAAAGCAATCCCATGAGATAGGCAATATTTTTACCTCCATTTACAAATGAAGAAACTGTGAAGGTAACACAACCCATTGAGTGATGGAGCTGAGCTCGGAACCAGTCTCTTCATCACTCCAGTTCATCTGCACTAAGAGTCACAATCTTAGAAGTCCTTAGGGGCCAGCAGGTAACAGAAGTGCCTAACGATGCAAGCAGTTCCTAAAGGGCTTGTGTTGTGCTCAAACATAGTCACTGTCTAGTCACATTATCTTCTTTTAAAAAAATTTTTTTTTATTTCTATAGGTTATTGGGGAACAAGTGGTGTTTGGTTACATGAGTAAGTTCTTTAGTGGTGTTTTGTGAGATTTTGGTGCTCCCATCACCCGAGCAGTGTACACTGCACCCAATTTGTAGTCTTTTATCCCTCACCCCCTTCCCACCTTTTTTCCTCCTTAGTCCCCAAAGTCCATTGTGTCATTCTTATGCCTTTGCATGCTCATAACTTAGCTCCCACTTATGAGTGAGAACATATGATGTTTGGTTTTCCATTCCAGAGTTACTTCACTTAGAATAATAATTTCCAGTCTCGTCCAAGTTGCCGCAAATGTCATTAATTCATTCCTTTTTATGACTGAGTAATATTCCATTGTATATATATATACCACAGTTTCTTTATCCACTTGTTGATTGGTGGGCATTTGGGCTGGTTCCACGATTTTGCAATTGCGAATTGTGCTGCTATAAACGTGTGGGCAAGTATCTTTTTCGTATAGTGACTTCTTTTCCTCTGGGTAGATACCCAGTAGTGGGAATGCTGGATCAAACAGCAGTTCTACTTTTGGTTCTTTAAGGAATCTCCACACTATTTTTCCATAGCATTTGCACTAGTTTACATTCCCACTGGCAGTGTAGAAGTCTTCCCTGTTCGCTGCATCCACACCATCTATTTTTTTTTTATTTTTTGATTATGGCCATTCTTGTAGGAGTAAGGTGGTATTGCATTGTGGTTCTGATTTGCATTTTCCTGATCATTAGTGATGTTGAGCTCATTATAGATTCTAGATAAAAGTTTTTTGTCAGATGTATAAATTGTGAAGATTTTCTCCCACTCTGTGGGTTGTCTGTTTACTCTGCTGACTGCTCCTTTTGCCATGAGAAAGCTCTTTAGTTTAATTAAGTCCCAGCTATTTATCTTTGTTTTTATTGCATTTGCTTTTGGGTTCTTGGTCTGGAAGGGTTTTTCCAATGTTATCTTCTAGAATTTTTATAGTTCCAGGTCTTAGATTTAAGTCCTTGATCTATCTTGAGTAGATTTTTGTATAAAGCAAGAGATGAAAATCCAGTTTCATTCTCCTACGTGTGGGTTGCCAATTATCCCAGCACCATTTGTTGAAAAGTGTGTCCTTTCCCCACTTTATGTTTTTGTTTGCTTTGTGAAAGATGAGTTGGCTGTAAGTATTTGGGTTTATTTCTCAGTTCTCTATTCGGTTCCATTGGCCTATGTGCCTAATTTTTATACCAGTATCATGCTGTTTTGCTGACTATGGCCTTATAGTATAGTTTGAGATCAGGTAATGTGATGCTTTCAGATTTGTTTTTTGTTTGTTTGTTTTCTTGTTTTTGTTTTTTTGTTTGTTTGTTTGTTTTGCTTAGTCTTGCTTTGACTCTTTTTTGGGCTCTTTTTTGGTTCCACATAAATTTTAGGATTTTTTTTTTCTAATTCTGTGAAGAATGATGGTGGTATTTTTATGGGAATTGAGTTGAATTTGTAGATTGCAATTTGCAGTATTGTCATTTTCACAACATTGACTATCCATCCGTGAGCATGGGATGTGTTTCCATTTGTTTGTGTCATCTATGATCTCTTTCAGCAGTGTTTTGTAGCTTTCCTTGTAGAGGTCTTTCAACTCCTTGGTTATGTATATTTCTAAGTATTTTATTTGAGTTGAGTTTTGATTTGATTCTCAGCTTGCTCATGTTGGTATATAGAAGAGCTACTGATTTGTGTACATTAATTTTGTATCTGGAAATTTTGCTGAATTCTTTTATCAGTTGTAGGAGCTTTCTGGAAGACTCTTCAGGGTTTTGTAGATAAACAATCATATCATCAGCAAACAGCAACAGTTTTACTTCCTCTTTACCAATTTGGATGCCCTTTATTTCTTTCTCTTGTCTGGTTGCTGTGGCTAGCACTTCCAGTATATGTTGAAGAGGAGTGGTGAGAGTGGGGATCCTTGTCTTGTTCCAGTTCTCAGAGAGAATGCTTTCAACTTTTTCGCATTCACATTATCTTTTAAAATGCAGCAATGATCAAACAGAACATGGCCTAATAAAGAATAAGGGCCACTAGTTATCAATTTCTGGCATTTTTCTCTATGCAATAATTAGTGTAATATTGTTAAAACAAATTTGGTTATTTAACTCTTCTGAAACTGTCACTGGGCACTGCACCATATTTGAGATTAAATATACAGGTAATTGTCCTGCACAAAAGCTCTCCACAATGTGATCTTACATTATCTCATACCCCTTAACTACCTGGCAAGACAGCCTGTGGTTCAACTGCGATGACCATCTTAACTTTTTCTGATTAATGTTTTCCTTTAATACTCTGTGTCTCTGCAATTTCTGTTCTCTTGACTTAAAATACCCTTCCTTCATTTTGACCTGAATAATTCCTAGTCTTCCTTTAAAACGAAAATCATACATCACCAGAACTTTATAACCATTTCTAACTCCTATTAAAAACTCCGTATGAAATTAATGTGAACACAGCCTAATAAGTGTTACTCTAATGGTATAGACAATATCAGCAGGCAAGTATATAATCTGAGTGGTTGAGTTTGCCCTAAATTGAGAAATTATTGAGGGAGTTATCTAAGGCATTTTAACTGAAGAAGGGTTTGAAGAATAAATAACTATGATTTCCAATTAACCTGATGTGTTGTGTCTCTGTTTACCTATTTAAAAAGAGACTCTTATTTCCCTGGATTTCCTGAGGACAGTTGATTAAGCTATCATTAGTATGATTATAATCTTCATTTACAGACTGCTGCAGCCTTTCTTTTGTGTCTTTGAGGACTGCTATGTATGTATGCATACATACATATATTTGTTTAATGTTTGTATACAAATTGGGCTGGAAATGAAACTTTCAATATTTTAAAATGTGAAAAACTGCATGATCCTTGTTTTGTGTACTATTATCATATCAGTTTTATGAACAAAATGGCATACTACATTTTTTTTCCTCACAGAATTACAACAGAGTACCGATCTGAGCATCTTCATGGGCTTTCTAGAGAGCCAACCATTGCTCTCCATAGTATTGGATGTCCCTGGCTTTGTAGAACCTTTCTTTTGTTAATAATAATGGCAAGTCAAGTCTCATGAGTTGTTTATTCCTGGGTCAGCCCTTGGGCATATAGTAGTGCTTTCAGCTTGTTTCTACTGTGTCTGTTTACCCCTCTCAGAACCTCCTTGGACAGGCTCCAACACCACCTCTCTGTGGATCTCTATCACAAATGGCCCTCATGTAGTCTAAGTAGAGCTGACAGATACATTCAGGACAAATACTTAAATTTGAAATTTAAATAAGCAAGAAATAATTATTAGTATAAGTATATCTCAACTATTACACATAATATTTATCACAAATACATTCATTGTTTATCTGAAATTCAAATTTTACTGGGCACCTATATTTTTCTTGGCCAGATTTGGTAATACTCAGTCCAATATACGTTAACATAATCTTTGCCCTAAGAAGCTGAAAGGATAGTCCTGAAACAGATATCTCTCTATTTGCTTCACCATCAACACTTAACCAAGCAGTCTTTCTGAATTAGAATTCCTAAGCAGGAGTCAGACACCAGAAAAGCTACTGTACTTCTCTTTTGGACTTGAGGTCAAAAGAGAAAGAAGGGAAAGAAAAACAACTATCTTTTCTATTTGGGAATATAGGACTCATAGCACACCTGCAGTATTTTTTTTAATTAACCTTAATAATTCCAACAGTATAATAACCCTACTCTAACCTTCAATCTACTCTGACCTTTATTTCCTTTGACGTTGGTGAGGGGTTAAAAGACTCATAATGGTCTTTGAACACCTTTCTTGTAAACGCAGCATCATGGTCTCTCACTTCACTTTGGAATGTTGACCTAGGGATTGGTACTTTAGATAAAACTTCCATTTAGATATCCTACAACACACACACACAGCTCACAGTTTTACTGTTTTGAAAAATATATGTGTTTTATTTTCTTCTATATTTGAATGATTTCTACAGTGACTACATATTGCTTTATTATGTTTAAAATAGTGTCAGAGGTGTTTGAACAAGAGCAACTCCATCTTAAATAGGGGCTGGGTAAAATGAGAATGAGACCTGCTAGGCTGCATTCTCTGGAGTTTAGGCATTCTTAGACACAGTCTGAGATAGAAGGTCAGCACAAGATACAGGTCACAAAGATTTCGCTGATAATACAGGATGCTGTAAAGAAGCCCATCAAAACTTGCCAAGGCCAGGCGCAGAGGCTCATGTCTGTAATCCCAGCACTTTGGGAGGCCGAGGCGGGCAGATCACCTGAGGTCAGGAGTTCGAGACCAGCCTGGCCAAAATGGCAAAACCTCGTCTCTACTAAAAATACAAAAAAGCCTGGCCTGGTGGTACGCACCTGTAGTACCAGCCACTCAGGGAGGCTGAGGCAGGAGGATCGCTTGAACCCGGGAGGCAGAAGTTGCAGTCAGCCGAGGTGGTGCCACTGCACTCCAGCCTGGGCAACAGAGCGAGACGGAACACAATGGTTTACAAATGCCATGGCAACATCCAGAAGTAACCCTATATGCTCTCAATGGAAATGGATCTCTCAGTTCCAGAATTGCCAGCCCTTTTCCTGGAAAACTCATGAATAATACACCCCTTGTTTCACATATGATCAAGAAATAACCATAAAAATAGCCAACCCATAGCCCTCAGGCTGCTCTGCCTATGCAGTGGCCATTCTTTTGTATCTTTATTTCTCTAATAAACTTGCTTTCACTTTATGGACTCCCCAAATTCTTCCTTGCATGAGATCCACCAACCCTCTTTTGGGATCTGGATCCAGCCCCCTTTCTGGTAACAATGTATAAAGTAAATGTAAGTAGTGATTAATTTATGATAAAGTAAAAAAATACAAGTTTCCAATCTTCAAACATGTTTTATGCAAATATTTAATGATAAAATGTTCTGTAATGAAGTATCATGAAATCTTCATAGGCCACATAATCCACGAATGGCTATATAATTTCTAAATACATCAAATTGTTATGTATTCATGGTGGGATACTGGGTTAGTTTTGTTTTGCAATTTTTTTGTAATTTTTTGAATTATTACATATTGTTTTCACAATCTGAGAAATGCCAAAATTATTAATGGAATGATGTAGAACTAATTGAAGCTCAAACTAAGAATACACTAGCATTATAGCTATATATGTCTGACTATGCTAGTTTTCTTTATTGAACTTAATATTCAACACATTACTTTTCTAAAGGGATGAGAACATGGTCTTGTCTCCACTAATTTTCTATAGAAAAAGATTCTGAGGTTGAGGGCGGTGGCTCACGCCTGTAATCCAGCACTTTGGGAGGCCAAGGCGGGCAGATCGCTGGAGGTCAGGAGTTCGAGACCGACCTAGCCAACATGGTGAAACCTCATCTCTACTAAAAATACAAAAATTAGCGGGGTTTGGTGGCCTGTGCCTGTAATCCCAGGTACTCTGGAGGCTGAGGCAGGAGAATTGCTTGAACGCAGGAGGTGGAGGTTGCAGTGAGCTGAGATCGAGCCACGGCACTGCACTCCAGCCTGCGTGACAGAGCAAGACTCAATCTCAAAAAAAAAGAAAAAGATTCTGGAAAAGCCTGAATCTTGGAAACAAATCCATAAATGGGAGTTCATCTTGCCTAGTTTCTTTTTTTCCTTCTCAGGGTCAGTGAGCTTTTGTTTCCCCTAATACAAAAGTTAATCTCCATTGATTTCAATCTCTAATACCTTACTTCACAAATCCAACCTATACATCACTCTATTGAATTGCAAAAACTTTACCATGGGCAATGAAGTTAACTGCTTTAAATGACTTTACAGTCATCAAAGTGATTAAAATAAGTTAAAATAGGTAAAGACAGAAGCTTTCGGCTTGTCATAATTTCATGTGGACCGGAATAGCCTCACTGTCCCTTGCAAAACAAGAGGTTCCACTTCTAGCCATTTGAATAAGAGATGAGACTATCTATGTTTGGCAATAATTGCCTTTAAAAATGAAACATATTGCTATTGATAATGAAATATTGACTCAAGTACTGGGCACAGAAAGGAAGATTTTAAAATATCCTAAATTTCACATAATAAATGATCATTGATCCTATTATCTAAGATGGAGAGATGACCCTGGAAGGTAATTTATTTTCTATAAAATTCTATTCTGAAATCAGGAAATGATATTACAGTTTTGCTTAAAATTTGTCTCTTGAATCTCCCAAGATTTTCAGTATGGAATTTTACATATACGGCTAATCTAAATTATTTCATTGAACTCAATTCTTCTCTCATTGGCCCATTTAATAGAAGACAAAGACAATAATAACTGCTCTATAAAACCCAGATGTAATCATCTTGAATACCTTTTAAAGTGGTCTCCTTCCTGTCTTAGGTAGAAATCAAAGCAAAACAATTTCTTATAACTATGGAAGTCTGTGGATTGTTCTGGTGATTTCAAAGGCAGAGCAAGGGCAGTATTTTCTGTATATTTAATTTCAGTTGTGGGAAAAGATTGGAAGGGTTAAGAAGTCTCTGGTCAGAAAGATTCACAAATGGAACAGTAAGGCATCCTTTATCACTCACCACTGGAGCACCTGGGCCAGTCTCTTCCCCATCTAGGTTTGGTGGTTTATTTGCTTGACTGTTTTCTCTAAATAGAGAAAATAGGAATACTTGCCTGCTTCTTCTCACTTTCAAATCTGAAAAGGTACATGAGGGAACACAGTAAATTATAGAACACTGCATAAGGCGTTATCTTTTTAAATTATACTTTCTAAAAATGACCCCCCCAGTTTCTGTAGTCACATATAGTAGGCAAAAACACACTGGATATCCTTCAATAATTGAAGCTGTTTACTCAATATGATTCGAGGAGTCATCAGCAATACTTTTCCAGAAATCACCATAATTTTAAAGGCGTTTTACCAATATCTCACAACTACTAGTAGGTATTTATGTTTCCAGTACCCAATTATTTTCTTGGATCAATGGTTAGAGCCTCTGTGTTTTCCCATAAATGAACATCTATGTAGGAATTGACAGTTGTTTGCAACTTACTAAAATGAAGCTAATGGACCTTTTTCTACATAAATTTTGAAAACGGGATCATGGGACTAGCATGAGTGTCCTGCATGTCTGATTACATACATGATGCTTTATATGAGGGATGGCAGGGAGATAGGATAAAGGAGAACCATAAAATAAGAAAGAAAGCAACATGATCTCCAAAAAGAACCCTGATTTGGTATCATAGACTGGATGTGTAAAGTTAAACAAGTTATTGAATCTCTCTGAATTTTAGTTTCTCCATTTTTAAAAAAGACATATGAACATATATTTCAAAAAAGGTGAGATCACTAAATAAGATAAGGTTTGTGAAGTGCTTACCTAAAACTAAAATATTTACTATAACCTGCAACATAGTACGTACTTAAAAATTTTGGATTCCCTTTCCCCTACCAAAATGGTATGGGTATGTTCACTTAAGATTCATCTCCTACTGATGACTTTACTTAAAATTTATCTAGAAGTTTTCATTTATGAGAAATCAGTTTTTTTAAAAAATAAATCATCGGTTTTCATAGCCAAATTTTTCTGTAACTAAGTTTCATATACATTAATTAATCTTTTCTATATTTAATGTCTGATAAGTTATATTGACATCACATGGATATTATCTGGAAGATGAATTAGCATTTATAAAAAGGCTAGAGATTAGAGTTCACATTTTTGGTGGCTCTGAAAACTATTGTGTCATATAGGCCCAAAATATTATTTGTCATCTATTCAATGTAAAGTGATTCCCATAGAAAAAAATATATATATGAATTATAGAGTAAGAAAGGCACAGACTCATTGTGCCTCAGGAAGGCAAAGGCTTTCCCTTACATCACTAGACATTGTTAATCTGGATCATATATACTTGTCAAGTGTTGAAAAGTTCAGGTAATTATCTCGGGTTCTTAACAAGTGCCATTTATTTGTCTTCATTTTATTCTAAGTGGAGGTCTTTTGATTAGTTTCTCACTGACTCTGCTGGTTCTACTGGCAGATTTTTCCCTGCATATTTTTGGAGCAAAACCAGTTCTGAAAAGGAATATACGAATTAAGACTGCATTATTCTCATTTGATGGAATAATCTCAATCTTCTAAGATTTTCCTTCTGGGCATTTGTTTATGGTGCACCCTTGGTTTGCCCAAGAGGATTTTTTTAAAATAATTCATTTTCCACAGCTAAACACTTTATAGACACATGATTCCTATATGGCAGAAAATGTGTGGTAACTACAAGATTATGTGAATAAATGCTGCTTCCAGTTTGAAATTGCCAATTATGAAAAGAGTCTTAGATGCCTTTCCAAATAAGATAATCGTGCCAAGATATTTTCTGCATGATCTGTATTTTTCTGAACTTTAAGGAAAAATCTATACAATTTAATCCACCTAAGGAGAAAACACAACCCGATTTTCAATATATATATATATACACACACACAGACACACACCACCACCAAAAAACTTGAATAGCCTAACAGTCCAAATGTATAGCTTCTGGATTCAAGGTTCTTTTCTATCTGACCCTAGCTTTCCCTTCTACTAGTAGCCCTCTGTGGTTCTTGAACCACAATTGCATCCTGCCTGTGACAGACTCGTTTGCTTGCTGTTTCTCCATTGTGAGCGATGAATGAGGTAATGCCAAATTTAAGTGCTTTCATACCAATAAAACATTATATAGCTTATGAGTTATTATTGTTATTATTTATTGCCCATTTTTTTCACCATCTAGGTCAAGTCTGATTTCTTCCACGAAGCCTTTCCTCACCAGCCGAGGTCACAGAAATCAATCTTTTTTTCTAAAATGCCATCGGAAATGTGATACCTCACTTGTGCCACTTAGAATGACTCATGGCCCAAAGTAGAGTGCAAGTTCAGCAATAGGAGAGGCCAAGTCACATTTATCTTTGAGTCTCCCACCGTGTCTGTTGCAAGGTCTCGAATAGAGTAAGATTAATGCATATTTGTTGATGACTATGTGCAGTACCCAGATGTCAATTCAGGCCTTTTAATAAACAGGTTACTCATTTAAACAGCTTGTATATTCCACGTCAATATAGTCAATTTTTTTTTAACTTCCAGGGAGGTTTCTCATGAAAAACCAATGCAAGAATACCAAGAATTAAACACGTATATTACCTGTTGTTTGAATGATATGCTAATATGAATGCAATTTTAAGGGGTTTTTTTTTGTAGCATTACTTCAATATCTGCTCTCGTTTGCCTTACAAATTCTACCTGATACCACACAGTTCATAACCTCATGTTTTTCTGCTCAAACAATGTTTTCCAAATATCTGAGTGCGGATTAAATTGATCAGGTAGCAAACTGGCTCAAATAAAAAGAATTTCTTAGTATCATTTTATTTCAAAAACGTTCCCTCTTTTATGAGTGGGCACTATTTCAAAAAAATCAATCTGGGCCCTTCCAGTCTTGCTGTTATGTTTTCCTTTTAATCAGGAACTTATGAAACTGGAAACTGTATTTCATATTTGAGCATCCCAGAGGCCTTCTACTCCATATCATATCCCCTCTCCTATTGTCTTTCCAATCCACTTCCTGCTGTCACTCTCTCCTATTGCCTAGCCAATGCATAATCCCTTTAAAACGCAAATATTGATATGTACAATAATGGAATTTCTTGTATAAATAGAATTGTGAGATTTACAGGAAAATGAAAATCTAGTCTTTGGAAAATGCCTCAATAGCAATCTGTGATATATATTTTTTTAAACAAGGTCAATAGGGTAGATGAAAATAGTCCCATTTATACATAAACACAATAGGTGGATTTTCAGTTATCTCTTTAGATGCAATTCAGTCCTGGCATGGACAAGTACAGACTATATCTTTTCATAGCAGATTATAGTGTTACAGAAATATCACTAGATTAAAAGCAAAGGCTTCAAACCATCTTTAAAATTTGCCAAGTAATTTAAGATCTTTTGTTATGAACGATTTAAAAATTAATACCATAGTTTATCATAGCTTTTTAAATATCAAATGACAATATTTAGTTCACAATTGCCCTAAAGCTTTGGGACTTATTTTTGATCAACCATTAATTAAAAGCTGCATTTTATGTTATTTATTATTTTAAACAAGCAAACGTATTGGAAAAATAAAGATCAAGATGTCCCCTTTCTCTGTTATTTGAATGGCTTCAAGATAAGAAATTTCTATCCAGCACCAGTTGCAGAAAAGGCTCTGACACAATAAAAAATGTGCCAGACTGGTTTCTGGACAGAAAACAGCCTTACTTCCTTTGCCACCTATGGGTTTCTTGCGGTCAATCTTCTTTTTGTGATGTTGTCACTCGAAGTGGCACCAGGACTGTAAATTTTGCTTGACATTGTTATGATGGATGGATTACTAAGATGTAAATGATGTAAACATCTCAATAGCATTAAGAAGTCAAACTCATGTTGATTGCAGATGTGTGGTATGTCTAGACATAACAAAACAATAAAGAGCTGCAGAGAATAAAATTAATCCTATTCAAGCCCTAATTATAAGAATTATGCATTAAATTGGAATAAATAACCATACTTAAACTAAAACTGAATTAAAGTGACAATAGCAAAATCCTGAAATTATTTGGTTGTTATACATTTGATGTTGTTAAAATAGGTCTTAAGGATGAACCATAAGAATAACAAGGTTAGGTATTTAAATAACCCTCAAACCAAGACATGCATTGCAATATTATTCTCACCACCAAAAATTGTGGTCTGGTCTAGAATTTCCACAGAACAACAGTAGTAATTTTACTTCTGTGTCTGATTTCGGCAAAGCATAACTGTTCTAAATCAATCTCTATGAGCCTTCTTTTTAATTCTTAGAATCTTAGAAAATGATCCTTTCACTTTAATCATTAGATTCCTTTGTACAAATATACTTAGTGTTTAATTCCTATCCAAACCACAGGTGTTGGCCATGCCGTCATTCTGGTTTCAGCATAAAGTAATGGAATTCACCAATCATATTATTTAGAGTGAAAATTAAATTGTCAGTTATTTAAAATAATTTAAAATTTAAATAAATATAATAACTAACTATGATTACGGTAAAATGCCTTCCCCGTACAGTAACACTAGAAAGATGAAATCTTTGTATAAAATAAAATAATTTGAAACCAAAGAAAATGCCAGCCTACGTTAAGTCATATTTAACAGAAAAAGCACGAGTCCAATCAAACCAGTAGATGCTTGGAGCATGTGGAAATGGCATTGTATTCTTAGGATGCCAAGAAGAGGCAGCAGCTTTATTTTTTTAAATGTGATCAATACGGAACTGTTAGCTTAGCATTAAACAGGAATTGTTTGGGAAATATAACCTTGATCAAATGCAACTTCAGACAATTACATAAGGCAAACCAATACTTCGGGACTTTGAGTAGATGCAGGTGTTAATGGTATGGTGGTTAAGAGTATTGTTTTTGGAGCCAGACTTCCTGGGTTCAAACCTTGGGTCTCCCACTTAGTAATTCTGTTTCCATAAGTATATAATTGAACTTCTTAGTTCATCATGTGAAAATCTGAAATGATGTTAGGGTTCTCGTGAAATTCAAATATGTTAATGCATAGAAAGCACATAGGAATGCCTGGCACAGACTTTGCATTCCATAAGTGACTTTGCATTCATTCTTGCAAGTAGGACTTTTTTTGCCATGATAACATCTGTAACACTTCTTATAGCATCCTCCAGTCTTGAGATTAGACCAAAGTTCCTCATTTCAACCACAGAAGACAGAAAATGATTCAAATGACTATTTTTCTAATTCTCCTGAGGATGAAGAATTAAGAATCTTCTGACACATAACTAGTACCATTCTAGCTGCATGGGAGAGTGGTTATTTCAATACATACAATGGATGCTGTGGTAGGCTAAATAACGTACATCCCCGCTTCTCCAAAAACTGATATCTACATCTTGGTTATGGGCTGAATTATGTTTCCTCTAAAATTTGTATGTTGAAGACTTAAACCCAGGTACTTCAGAAAGCAACTGTACTGTAGGATCTCTAAAAAGGTAATGAAGTTAAAAAGGAGGCTATTGAGGTGGGCCCTACTACAACATGTCTTCTGTCCTTCTAAGAAATTAGGACACAGATACATACAGGAGGAAGATCATGTGAAGACAGGGCGAAGACAATCACATGCAAACCAAGGAGAGAGGCCTCAGAAGAAACAATCGTGTTGACATCTTAATCTCAGACTTCTATCTTCCATATTCTGAGAAAGTAGATTTCAGTTGTGCAAGCCACCCAGTCTGTGGTGCTTTGTCATGGCAGGCCTAGAAAACTACTACACAGCAACTCAGAGACTTTACTGTGCAAATTAATATATTAGTGTCCCAAAGTAATCAACTTCTTTTTTTTTTTTTTTTTTTTTGAGACGGAGTCTCGCTCTGTCGCCCAGGCTGGAGTGCAGTGGCGGGATCTCGGCTCACTGCAAGCTCCGCCTCCCGGGTTCACGCCATTCTCCTGCCTCAGCCTCCCAAGTAGCTGGGACTACAGGCGCCCGCCACTACGCCCGGCTAATTTTTTGTATTTTTAGTAGAGACGGGGTTTCACCGTTTTAGCCGGGATGGTCTCAATCTCCTGACCTCGTGATCCGCCCGCCTCGGCCTCCCAAAGTGAGTAATCAACTTCTTAACTTTGTGAAACTGTAGGATATTTTGCATTTCTTCTGTGTTTTTTTCACTTTATTATAAATGTCCAGAGAGTGAAAGTGGACATAGTATGCTCGTGAGATTCATCCCTATTTTTATACAATAGGTAGAGCTGCAGTTTATTTGTTTTAACTGCTGAACAGATTTGGTTTAATGAATACATCACAATTTATTATTCATTCTACTCTTGACAGATGTTTGCATTTTTTCAAGGCTTGCTGGTATCGGCATTTTTACAAATGACTTTTGGTGAACATACATCCATGTTTTTGTTGAGTATTTACCTAGAATTAAAAGTATTGGGTCATGGAGTATGCATATGTTCAGTTTGGGACAGTACTGTGAAATATTTTTAAAGTATCTATTTGTACTTCTACCAACATTGCTTGAGAGTGCTGATTGTCATCAGTGTAGCCTTTATGATGGGTTGGTAATAATAACCTATTTTTGAATTAACTTGAAGTAATTAATGATGTAACATTTTATTAATAATGCAAACCAGTTTTATTAATTTTTAGTATAGAGTTTCATGAGTATATTTATCCTCATGACCACCATCACAACAAAAACATAGAACATTTTTATAATCCTCCCAAATTTTCCATGCCCATTGTAGTCATCCCACCTATCTTGAGCCACAGGTCCTCCTCCCATTTTCTGTCACTACAGATGAGCTTTGTGTTTACTAAAGTTCTACATAAAATGCAATCTTGCAGTATATACATCCTTATTCCCCCTCTTTCACCCAGCACATTTCTGCTATCCATTCCTCTTGTTCTGAATATCTATAGTTCATTCATCTTTGTGGCTGTGTATTCCATCGTAAGCATATACTACAGTGTGTGCTATTTTTTTCAATTTTGATGGGCATTTGGATTATTTACAGTTTTAGACCATTACTAGTGATATTTCTTTCAACATTCTTTTACTAATATTTGTGCTACCTATTTTAACTTTTCAATAGACAAATAGCTGGGAGCGAAATATTTGGGTTGTATGTAGACATTTACGCAGCATTATAACACAATGCCAAACTCTTTTCCAAAGTAGTTGGACTATTTCATATGACCAACATCAATATGTCAGAATTAGAGTTGCATCTCATACTTTCTAATACTTGATATAAGTATTTTTAATTTATCAAATATATTTTAGTTACAAATAATTTTTTTCAGTTGGTGTTAATCTTTAAATATTATTATAGTCATAAATGACTTAAAAATTAAGCATTTTTACATACTGACATTTATATAATTTATGAAATATCTTTTAAAATGTTTTGCCTATTTTCTATGAAGCTATTCTCTAACGATTGAATTCTAAGCATTCTTTGCAGATTCTGGATACAAGACCTTGGTTAGATAAATGAATTGAAAATATTTTCTTTCAGTTTTTGATTTTGGTGAATTTTAGTTTGTTAATTTTTTCCTTTGAAGAAATATGCATTTTGTGTTTATTTAAGAAATCTTTACCTATACCTGAATTATAAGGATGTTTCTTCTGTTAATTTTATAGTTTTAGCTCTTGCTTTTAGATCTGTGATGGATTCACAATTTTACATGCATTCATGTGAGGTAAGAAACAAGTTTCCTTTTTTTTTTCGTACAGATGTCCAACTATTTCAGTACCATTTATGGAAAATGCTACTTCATCTTCTTCTAATTTTTTTCACTGTTTCAGATAAGAAATCTTACTCATTCTTATTTGTGTTCTTCTATATTTAATGTATCATATTTTCTCTAGATGTATTTGAGATATTCTCTTTAATACCAGTTTTCAGCAATTTGCTCATGATATGCTTTGGTGTGGTTTTCTTTATGTTTAAATCTGCTTGGAACTTTCTGTGCTTCTTGGATTTATAGGGTGTGTATGTTTTCTATTTGGAAAACGAATGGCCACTATATTTTCAGATCTTTCTTCTTTTTTCTGTCTCTACCTCTTTTAGAAACTCCTAATCCATGTAACTACTTGGAATTGTCCCCCAGGTCACTGAGGCTCTGTTAATTATTTTCTGGTATTTTTTTGTCTGTGTGCTTTTATGATATAAATTTTATTGCTGTGACCTTAGGTAGTCTGATCTTCCCTTTATTGTCTAATCTGCTATTAAGCCCATCAGTATCTTTTCACATTTTAGATATTTTATTTTTAATCACAAAATTTTGTTTTTTTATCTACTTGCAACTTTTCATTATATTTTTGTTATCATTTAAATACTTGAACACATTTATAAGAGCTACTTGAAATTCTATCTGCTAATTTAATTACCTGTTATTTCTTGCTCTACTTCCGTTAACTCCTTTTTTCTCTGGTTACCAGTCACAATTTCCTGCTCCTCACGTATTTAGTAAATTTTGAAAGAATACTAGCCCCCATGAATGTTGCATTGTTGCTTGATGCTGTTTGTTATTTCTTTTTAATTTTAAATTTGTTTTATTTAGAGTCAGAAAGATCAACTAGGAGAAGTTGATCTTTTCAAGCCAAGGTTGAAAGTTTCATTTTTTAGGGTAGGTCTAGGATAACTTTTACTCTAGGGAAGTGGTTCTTGATTACGGCTGATTTTGCCCTACAAAGTACATTTGACAATGTCTGGAAATATTGTTGGAAACAACTGAGGAAAGTTACAGGTGCCTCGTGGAAGAAGATGGAGATGATGCTAAACATCTTATAGTACACTGAACAAGCCCCACAACAAAATATTTTCTGGGCCAGTATGTCAACAGTGACAAGGCTGAGTAACACTGCTCCAAGGCCAGGTTTGGCCCTATTACGAAGCTATGTCATTCCCATGGTTTATACTGAATACCCTAGGTATATCATGAGGTCTTTAGTTTTGCTGGTTTGTATGTCTCCCAAGCTGGAATTAGGTCTGGGAATAGTTCAGCTTTCTGCCAAGCCCTGTGCAGTTTCACCCTCAACATGCAAAACTCACCATTCAGCTTCAGAATCAAGGGGTCATTTTGATTTCGGGAGCAGTTTCTCTGCATAGCTTCCCCCTTTCTGGTACCCTGCCTACAAATCCCAGATGTCTTATCCTCGTTTTGGTTTCTTTATGTTGTACCCTGCTTGATTATTCCTGTGCTGTGGTCTGGAAATTGCCTTCCAACAGAAAGCTGAGGAGATTCTAGTGCTCGCTTTGAGTCTTCCCCATCTCCCAGGGAACACATCCTTGAGCTGTGTGTTGTCCAATAGTAGAGAATAGTTGTTCCGCATCCTTTCCCAGATTCTTAGTTAGTTTCAGAGGGACAGCAAGGCTGTCCCAACTATTCTCATCCTGGTTGAAATTGGAAGCACCTCCTATTGGTTTAAATTTCCATTTTCATGATGATTTATTACATTGAGGACCTCTTTTTAATGTGCCCATTGGCTTTTTGTATATCCTGTTTTATGAAGCAATTATTAAATTTCTTCTCATTTATCAACTAGTCTGTCATTTTCATATTGATTCCTAAGATTTCTTTTAATATGCTAAACACAAGTTGTCAGCTGTATGTTGTACAAATACATTCTCTCAATCTGTGATGTTCTAATTTTTTAATGTTCTCTTTTCATGACGTGTTCTTAGTTTTAATAAGGCCCCATTGATCTTTTACTTTTTTCCTTTGTTATTATTTCATGTTCCTTGTAAGAAGCCTTTGACAGCTTGGGGTCATAAAAATATTTTCTTATGTTTTAGTCTAAAATCGATATTGTTTTACCTTGAACATTTATATTTATAATTCACCTGAAGTAGACTTTTATATAAGATGTGCAGTAGAAGTGGAAATTCAATTTTCCCAGCACCATTTAATAAGAAGGCCATTCATTCTTCACTGCATGTCAGTTAATCATATATGTGTGGCATGGTGCCTGTACAGTCTATTCTTAATAGACTATGCTGTATTTCTGCGGCTTTGCTTAACATCAGTTTAAATGAATATCATGCCTTCTATGTAAGTCTCCAAGGTTTATTCCTCTTCTTCAAGATTGTCTTGGATATCTGGGCTTTGCAGATTTCCATGTAAAATTTACAATTCACTAATTTTCACATGTAAAACAAAAACAAAAACAAATCAACAGCTTTAATCCTTGAGTGAGATTCTATAGAAGAATGAACAAATATTTGACTTCTTAGCAATGTTGCATACTCCATTAACTGAACAGGCTATATTTCTCCAATTATTGTGATATTTAAAACTTCCTGATGTTGATTTGTGTTATTTAGTATAGAGGTTTTATAATTTTTTATTATATTTATTGGTAGATACTTGAAGCTTTTTGATGACATTTTAAGCTGTATATAATTCTCAAAAATTTCATTACTATTCATGAGTGGTGTATAAAAATAAAATTGTTGTATATCTACAATTTAACTTGAAACCTTGCTAGATTGCTTATTAAAGCTCAAAGTTTTTCTTGATTTTCTATGTACATATCATGTTAAATGCAAATTGTTATAAGGTTATTTCTACATTTCCAGAAGTGAAACTTTTTCTTTCTTTCTTTTACTGATTACTCTAGTTCACCATTATGTCTGTTGTTTGTTAAAGGTTTTATTTAGATACTCCTTATTGGATTAAGGAAGTTCTTTTCTAATTACAGTATGCTATGAGATGTTTTTAATTATTTATATATGTTGAACTTTATCAAATGCTTTTATTTCACCTATTAAGATCATCAGTTTTTCTATAAACATAGAAAATAAGCAGATGTGTTTGTTTTAATTTTATAAATTAAGATATATGCAATAGAATCTATCCTTCTTCATTCACAATTCTGCAACTTTTGATGAATCATATATTCATGTAGACACAACCACAATCAAGGTATACAATAGTTGTATAGTATTTAAAAATTCTCCCATGCCTCTTCAGAGTCAATCTCTCTCCTCATCCTCTGGCCAACACCAATATTTTTACCGTCTGAATAATTTTGTCTTTTCCAGTGTAAAGGATATGATACAGTATGCAGTCTGTAGGTAGACTCAAAGTCTGTCTTCTTTCACTTAGCGTGATGCCTGTGATGTTCATTCATGATGTTGCAGTACCAGTACTTGCTGCTGAGTAGTAATTCATTGTGCAAATATATCACAAGCAATACTAAAGAACATGTGGCTTGTTATTAATTTCTGTTAATAATGAATAATGCCTCTATAAGCATTTACATACATGCTTTTGATGTGACCGTACATTTTTTATTTTACTTGTATAAATACCAGTGAGTGGAATAGCTCTAATGTTATGAAATATTATCAAATGGTTTCTTAAAGTCGTTTTAGCCACTTTGCAGTATTTAAACCAAAAATATATCAGAGTTCTGTTTATTTTGCATCTTTTTCTTTTTTTACATGGAGTTTCACTCTTGTTGCCCAGGCTGGAGTGCTGTAGTGCGATCTCACCTCACTGCAACCTCCACCTCCCAGGTTCAAGCGATTCTCCTGCCTCAGCCTCCTAAGTAGCTAGGATTACAGGTGCGTGCCACCACGCCCAGCTAATTTTTGTATTTTTAGTAGGGACGGGATTTCACCAACTTGGCCAGGCTGGTCTCGAACTCCTGACCTCATGATCCACCCGCCTCGGCCTCCCAAAGAGTTGGGATTACAGGCATGAGTTGGTATGTCAGTATTTGTTGCTTTTACTGTTCATTTTCAACCATTCTAATGAGTGTTTATTAGTATTACATTGTGGGTTTGAATTCCATTTCCCAAATGGTTAATAATATTGAGAAAATTGTGTTTGCCATCTATATATATTTTTGGTGATGTGTTTTTCCAAATTGTATGGCCATTATTTTAATGGGTTGGTTGTTTTTGCATTCTTTAGTTTTGGAATTCCTTTACATATTCTGGATACAATTTTTAAACAGATATATGACTTGAAAATATTTTCTTACAATTTGTGGGTTCTCTTAATTATCTTCTTTTCCATTTTTTAAATGATATCTTTCAAAGAGCAGAGGTTTTATATTTTGATGAATTGAAATTCATCATTTTTTGGTGTATGTAAATCATAATCTTAGTATTCTACCTAAGAAATATACACCTCATCTAATATTGTAAGGATTTTTTTCCTAGGTTATCTTTTAAAATGTTTATGGTTTTTGTTCTCATATTTGGATTTATCATCCATTTTGGGTTAATTTTGTATATAGGACTATATCATGCTGTCTTATACACTGTTACAGGATACTAAGTCTTAAAATTAGATATAATGAGTTCTGGTCTTCTTTTTCATAATCATTCTTACTATTTCAGTTTATTGCCTTTCCATACAAAACTTAAAATTAGCTAGTATACTAATATGAAAATTTTGGCTGAGGTTTGATTGGGACTGCATTAAATCTATAGGTTAGTTTGGGAAGAATTCTCAACCTAACAATATGGAGGTATCCAATTCAGGAACACAGTATATCTCTCCATTTACTTAGTATTTATTTTGATTACTTTCATCAATGCTGAATAGTTTTCGTCATCAAAATCCTGCATACATTTTGTTAGATTTCATGTAAATATTTCATATTTTTGTAGAGATATTATAAGTGCTACTTTTTGAAAAGAAATGGACTTTCAACCATTCATTGCTAACATAGAGATGTACAATTAATTTTTTTGAATAATTAACTTGTTTCTTGTGATCAGGAAAATAACTTACTAGTTCTAGTATTTTTTTGTATATATATATATATATATATATATGTATTTTACAATTTCTACATAGGGATGGCATCATAAGAATGAAGAAAATGTTTTTTTCTTTCCCTCCAATCTGTCTACATTTTATTTATTTTCAATGGCTTATTGCGCTGCATAAGACTTCCAGTATAATGTTTTATAGGAAGGTTGGGAGAGAATATCATTGCCTTCTTACCATTGTACATTATGTTAGCTATAGGTTTTTGCAGACTTCCTCGAACAGGTTTATTCTTAGTTTGCTGAACATTTTTATCATGAATATATATTGAATAATGTGATATGTTTATTCTTTATCTTTTGAGATCACCTTTGTTCTTTTTAGTCTATTGATGTGCTGATTTACATTGATTTTAAAATACTGAAATATACTTGCATTCTAAAATTCCCATTTGATTATTTTGAAGATAACAATTATCTGGTTAAATTATCCATATTTCATCTTTGTCTTCATGTTTATTCTGTATTCTTGAAAATTTTATTATATTGTCCTTTGTAATTAAATCCAATTTCTGAAACATTTATGAATTCGCATGTCTTGTCTGTTACCTCCCTGAGATTTTAGGCATGCTGCCTGTGTTATAACATGTGAGGTAATTTTTTATTACATCTGAAATTCTGCTTAAATAATTTTATGCCAAGACAATCATCTTCCAGAGAAGTATTTGTCTTCCGATTTATTAAATTTGTAGATTGTGGACTGCTTGCATTAATCTGTGCTTCGTCGTGGTTAGGTTGTTCTCTTGGTAAGGCTCAGTTTTCCTTTTGTTTTTACCTGCTTGTCCGGGTTTTCAACAGAGCCTGGAGTTTTCTTTAGGGCCTCCAGCCCCTGATGGATATGGAACTCTGCTTGTCTCTGGAGACTTGACAGCCTCACTTTTCTTTTCACCATCATTTTTCCTAGGATTTTACCCTTCCAACCTATATTGCCCCAGAATATGGCCAGTGCACCCATATGGCAACCATTTATATTCTTGAGCCCACCCTTCAAAGTCTCTGCCCAAAATTTGAACACGAGTAGCAGCCCTCAGTGGATAAATTCTCTGCTTTGTGCCCATATCCATGATCAGAAAATACCATCATGGCAAAACTGTCTTCATATGATTACAGCCTTTTAGAGGTTCTACTCTATCTGGAATGCTAGCCCATCTAGTTCTCATTGCATATCTACCTTTCTGCTGTCCTCAAACAGATTTTTCTTTATTATTCTCTGTAGATTTTTTTGGTGTGTGTGTGTGGTTGTGCTTAACAAGAGTATTGTTCTGTTATTAGTCATTACACATCATCCACAGACATTCCCTCCAATATTTTTTACAATGATATCAGATACTTTGTCTTGTTTAATGCTTTCTTTAATTCCCAGATCTTAAAAAGTGTCTCACACATAGTAGATTCTCACTGAGTATCTGCTAAGTGAATGAATGACCAATATATTTCCAACTAAAAGCCGTCCATCAAAATATTAGTTGCCTTATTTCGAATGTGTCAGTTTAATGCTCAAAAACTATAGTTTGCCATTATTGTGTCCTAACAATTTGTTGGTCATTATAGGTTTAGTTTCTTGAAAATCTTGAATTTTTTCTGTAGTACTAAGAAGGTCTTCTGTCACTATCCTATCTTACCTTGTTGAAGATATTGAAAAAGAGAGAATACAAGAAGAGGGGACGCCTGCAATAATCATAGACACACTTACTGAAAATGTTCTGTGTAATATACATTAAAAATGAGACTTCTACTTCCTCAAATATTTGACTTAGATATTGAATTAAAAGAAAGGTTTTTCATGAAATAGTTACATATATATAGGCAGAAATGTCAGTGATGATGTTTGTGTAAATGTGAGAAGATAAAATCAGAATACCAGTGAATATACTCTCTCAAAATAATGTATCATAATATATAAATAGTTCAGTTGTTTCTTGTTTCTATTAAAGTATCTTGATGTATTTTGCCTGCATAAATGACCTCAACAGAAAACAGAGAGAGAATTGCTTCCTGGAATACGTTTATTTGAAAACTATCAGTTAAATTGATTTCCTTGGAGGTCAGTGAAATCAAGAGTAGGAACCCACAAGAAATATTACTCGCCAAATGAGCAAAAAAGATCTTCTTGTGCAATGTTTACTTTCAGACCCTGACACAAATCTAAAGAATTTAAACTTCATTTCGAGCTTCTACGGTAAGCACAGCATTTTTGAGTTGGTTATGTGACATTTTATTTGACTGAGAATGTAGCTAAAGAATTAATTATAATAACTGTCATACAGACAGTTACTTAGTGGGCACAGTACTTATGTTACAATAAACCTGACACTAATACTTTAGTGTTAGAATTTGATCATTTTACGTATTCTGAGCTGTTGCAAGGTAAGTGCTTGTTTGTGTGTGTGTAATGTCTATTTTTTAATATAATTCTTTGCAAATGCCTGGAAGAGATCTCCAATCATTGCTTTTATTTTAATGTGTTTATTCTCACCTTACTATCATCAGTGACATCACTGGCTTATTACTGCATTTATTAGAAAAAAACAACACAGGGCCTTTTTCTAGATTTGGAAACTCATAAAAATTCTTCTGAAATGTGCTCTCAAAGACTAGGCTGCAAGTTTTACATTACATTTCACAGCATGAGATAAGAGCTTTAATCTCTCAATCTGAACTATCCAAATGACCCTGGGCTGCTCATTTTAGATTAAAGCTCTAATGGTCCCATTGCCTGTTGCAGCAAAACTCCATTCTTCACTTGTGTGAAGCATCAGCCTTAAAGGGACCACAGTTATTATTTAAGGACATTTCAAAAGGAAAGCTGACACTACCAAATAAACACATTTAATGAAGTGAGATTACTGGTCACTAAGGCGCTAATGAACTGTAAGATTAGCTGCAGTGAACAAAATTTATCCCACGTCCCCTCCTGCCAATATCTAGGACTCCAGCTGGAGAGATAAGACACAGGATTCATCCAATATTCAATCCTTCAGTGGAGAGAGGGTTCTTCCCATATAGCCCTGTGCTGACAAAATGGCAGCTGAATCCTAGATCAGAGTGAATATGAAGAGAGAGATGTTTAAAATTAATCATTAATCTCTTTTTTTGTCTCACATATATGAAGGGGGGAATTCCTCCTTATAGTCATTGAAATATGCAATTTATATATATTACTATAAACACTTAATTTTCTTAAAAGTTTTTGCCACCAGGCTTCTCCTTAAGAAATCAATAAACATTATTGATCTATATATAAGAAATACTGTAAGATTGCCTAAACCTGTGATGGGCAAACTATCATGATGAAATTAAACAAACCAAAATATACCAGCAATTACTTGGATATTTTCAAATAAACAGCACAGACTACATCTTCTCTTCCATGAAGAAGGAAGAAAGGAAGGAAGGGAAAAGAAAGGAAGAGGGAGACAGCGGGAGGAAGAAGAGTGGGAGGGAGGCAGGGAGGAAGAAAATCACAGAAGAAGGGTTTTAAGTGATGTACTAATCAAAGGTGTAGGCATGGTCTATTGATCAGTTTAGCAGTTTAAGTGGCAGTTATGCTTATATTTGAAAAAATATATACTTTGTAGTCTGTTAACTTTGGTTGCCTAAAGAATTGCTGCATAATCAATTCAGCTACAGCAGTCAGTATTGATCAGAAAACAGACAGATTGGCTGTACAGGGGCCCAGTACATTTGCTCACCTACTGTGATAAGCAGGGCCTAGTTAAAACTGAAAGAACTGTAGAAAGTTTCAATTCATTAAAATAAAACAAACAAGGAAAATAGTCCCATAGTTTTTATTTGACAAATCAGTTGCTAATGTAACTTTATGATGTTGCCTGTTCTAAATTTATATTATCCTAATGCTCACCTGGTAAATGTATTTATGAAGTGATGCAAGTTACTCGACAATATTATGAAAGTGTTGCATGGGCATTTCCTTTCTTCCCCTTAACCTTCCTTCATGCCTGCTCCACTGGGGCTGTTCTACAGAAGCATCACCATAAGGCTGCTTAAAATCATAACTTCAGTACATTCTGGTTAAGGAGGTAGAGAGAGAACAAGCGAACAAGCTCAACATATTTTTCCAGTGGGATCAGATCGGCTTTGCAAGATTTCAACGGTTCAGTTATTTTCAGCCTCCTGGAGGAAATTCAATGTCAAATGCACTTTTTTTTTTTTTGTTTGTTTGTTCAGTGTGCTCACTTCCCACCCTTTGTTCTGCAAGCCTCTTGTCTTTATACTTTCTGCATCTGCTTTTATTACATTTCTAACTGGTCATGAATCCCTGCTTCTTGTGTAAAGAAAACAAACTTACCTCTGTGAATCATTCCTACATTATATCCAGAAACAAATGCCAAGTTGGAATTAAAGAACAGGTAAAATGTGCAGTAAGACAGAACCGCAACTTGTGCCTCGTATCAAGGAACGCTTGTGCTTTTTCTCAACAACATAAGCAATAATAGCAATTCTTTGCCTTTTTTCACTTAGCTTTTTCTTATACTACATGTATTTTATAAACAACCTCAGACCACAGATTCTTTCTAGAATAAAACTATGTAAATAAAGTTCAGATAATTGTTAAATTTACAAAGAACTTTATATTTAATCCTTGCCAAATGTCCCCACTTAAAAACAGAGTTAGTGAAAGTCAAAGATACTACATAACTCACCAATATCATATTTGGAAACATAAAAGCTTAAAAGCTAAAGTCTTTTAGAAACTGAAGTCTTCATAATTGCCATAGTTCAACTATTTCAGTCTTCATGAACAAGCCCACCGTTTTTCTATTTATTTATTTATTTATATTTTATTTGAGACAAGGCCTCACTCTGTCTCCTAGGCTGGAGTGCAGTGGCACATTCGCGGCTCACTGCAGCCTGAACCTCCCCGTGGTCAAGCAATCCTCTTGCCTCAACCTCCCAAGTAGCACGGACTACAGGTGCACACCACCACACACTCAGCTAATTTTAAAATTTCTTATAGAGATTTCGCCATGTTGCCTAGGCTGGTCTTGAACTTTAGGACTCAAGTGATCTATCTGCCTCGGCCTCCCGAAGTGCTAGGATTACAGGTGGGAACCACCGTACTTGACCCACCATTTTTAGTATGGCACTTAAGGCTTTCCATAGTCTAGTCCATGCCTTCACCACTGACTCTATTTTTCATAATCCTTCATATTTCTGCCATGTTTTCTTGGAACAACAAATTGCCCTTTAGTTCTCTGATGTCTTTTCTTTGATATTCTATTCTTTGATTGTCTCTCACAGGCAATTACTTTGGCTATCTTGTCCTTTCTAATTCAATTCCTCCCTCTGCCTGGACAACTATTTTTTTCTTTTACTGATTACGAGTATGCAACAGGAGTGCCTAGTCTAGGTAAAAATCTCGTTCTACTACTTCTGGCTGGGAAACCTTGGATAAGTTCCTTCAGCTTTTTGTGCCTCAATATGCTCATTCACAATCTGCGAATGCTAAAACTACTTTCCTCATAGGATTGCTTGCAGATTAAAAGTGGTAATCCATGTACAATTTGTAATCCACGTAAAACATGTAAGAACCAGAGACGAGAGACTGCCTAATTCATTTTGTATTTCACACATCTCTGTATGATAAACTACTAGATCCTGATATATCTTTTTGCTCCTTTGTGGCATTCATAACTATTTCCTCTTCTCAATTTCCTCTGCCAGTTATATAATCCAGGCCCTTGTCACTAAGTCTTTGGATTTCTGTGATTTTATCCTAAGTGCTCCACCTGCCACATTTAAGATATTCTCCACACCATTGCAGTTTAGTCTTCCTAAATTGCAAATCTATCAGCTCACTCACTTGCTTGACACTCTTCAACAGCACCCTGCTGCTTTCAGCTTACATAAGGCTCTACGTGCTTAAACCTCTGCTTCACCCTCTAATGACATCTCCCTAAGTGTACCTGTATCTCATAACTTACAGAGAATGCTAAACAATAGTGAGTGAATGGATTCAAAGATGTTCTGTTGTACATTGGGTCATAGTATAAGCGTATCCACTGGACACAATATAATGACGTCCTTCTAGATCTGTTGTCTGTGAAAAAGGACCCAATCTGTTTTAGGCAGGGTTGGAGCAGGAAATATGTTGGCTGCAGGATAATCAAATGCTTTTATTATCCTTCAAGGGCTAGTGATACTAAGAATCATTGGAAGGGGAGGAAGAAGAGACTAAAAGCTATGCCCTTCCGCCTCACACACTTTCCTTTGGTTTGTTTGTTGACACACTGTCTTGGGTATTACAGACCTCTGTGGCATTCTTTTTTGTTTTTTTGTTTTTTTTTAAAGCCCTTGATATTTCTTCTACTTAAAAAAAATTGAGTATAAATACATGCAAAAGGTGCAAAAAATGCACTTAAATTTGTGTTTTTAACGTTTGTCTACATTCATGTAAATGTCATCCAGATTAAGATAAACATTTTAAGAACCCAAAAATATTTATTGGTGCTTCTCTTTCCCAGTAAATACCCGGCCACACTCCAGAGCTGACCTGACTATTCAGATTTCTTCCACATTAATCAACTTGGACTCTTTCTAACTTCATAGAAATATAATTATATGGATATTAATATTATATCAGTAAAATTATATGTGTATTAGTAAAGACTACATATTAATATAGACATAATATGTAGTTTTTATATATAACTTTACTCTTGCCTCAAAACATCAAAATTGTGTCCAAGACGCTTTGTGTGTCAGTACTTTGTTCCTTTTCATTCCTGTGTAGTATCCCAGTATCCCAATGTATACAAATGCCACAGTTTTTTTCCATCCTCTTGTTGATGGATAATTGGGGTGTTCCTTGTCTGAGGCTATAATGAATAAACATTCTAGTATGTATTTTTGTAGGATATATTTATTAATTTCTCTTCCATATATATTTACTTAAAAGTGAAATTGTTTAAACATAGGATCTTGTGGCCTTTTTGCCTACTTCTTGTTTTTCTTTCTTCCTACTTCTTTTAAACATTGAATAACACTTCCTGACTCTTGTGTCCATATTACCAAATTATATTATTCAATTGTTCTTCTTTTACACCGTCTTCATTTATCTTTAACTGGATACCTAATCTTGAACAAGTAAGAAATCTAACAATACAAAGAGTGATATATTTTTCCTTAGTTTAAAAATTAGATGGATTTTGAGGTTCTCCTTCTACTTTTTAAGTATATTCTGAAGTATTACAAATCATTGATATATGCCACTAAAAATTCAACCCTTGTTTGGAAATTTTTTTTATTTTGGAATTTTATTTGTATATTCTCATCACTTAACTTTTGACCCCTTACTGAAGTGCTTGTCTATGACTGTGCCTTAAGTTCTTTTAGGTTGATTAGCTTGACTTAACAGGTGAATGTTCCTTACATACATTGTATGCATTGCTATCTTCCAAAATGTTCTTTTTCCTTTACTTTTTCTTAGTGCTTGGGGGATTGGTAGCTCCAAAATTAACACTTGCAATTGTATCCTTAAAAAAAAATCTCTTAGAATTCTAGCTTCAGTCTGTTGAGCCTAATACCAAATGGCTTAGGCAGACTATTCAGTCTTCTCAGTGACCTTAACCTTTTTCCTGGTTCCAAAATAACAGGATTTATGTCTTTGTGATTCTTTGATTCGCTGTAGAAACTGCTTTAATGATTGCTGCAATGAAGTCTCATGTTTCACTTTAGCTGTAACATTTTTGGAAGGAAAACATGAGAACTGAAGAATGCTTCAGCAGAATTTCAAATAAAAGAGAAAAATAGGGCTTTTAGTGTTAAGATGCTAGATAATAGTGTTTCTTTGTTCTTTCTTGGAAATACCAGTGATAAATATCAGACAGAATGAAGCATATGATAAACAAGAACAAAATCTAAAGCAGGAAAGTAATCTTGATCCTGCTAATAGTGGCAATAAAATCCCAGTCACACTTACATGTAAAATGGGAACTCCTTACTAAAATATATAGAATATTAGAAATCATTCCAATTTTATGCTTATTTAGATGTGACGAGACATTTCACACAGAATCAGAGATGATCTCGTACAAATAATTAATTTTCTCTGTTTTACCCAGGACAGAATCAGACCACTCTCTCCTGGTTATCAATCAAAAATTTCCAATTTCTAGAGGGTCAAACTAGTAAGTTGGGCAAATATTTACAATGCCAAGTTTCTCAAAAGAGCTTCTACGTGTCCTGCCCATTTTCATTGTCTGCCTTCAATTCATTATAACTTCATTGATAAGAAGTGAGACCCTTTGTGGCCTTTGAGAGAATTCTGAAGGTTTAGGTAACCGAGAGGCTACAGGGTGCTTTTGTGGCAGTGAAGCTTAGAGTTTAACACAGACATCACAACTTTCTACCTTAGCAAGGTACTTACAGCACAAATACAATCAGAGGTATAATGAATAAGTAGAATATAGTAGAATATCATCATTCCTGTATAGTATATACAGGAGTACATACTGTATACAGTATATACAGGAGTATATACAGTATATACAGGAGTGTATACCATATATACAGGAGTATATACAGTATACACAGGAGTATATACAGGGGTATATACTGTATACAGTATACACAGGGGTATATACTGTATACAGTATACACAGGGGTATATACAGGGGTATATACTGTATACAGTATACACGGGTATATACAGGGGTATATACTGTATACAGTATATACTCCTTTTGAAGACAGTTGGCCTGGAAGTTAGACAGAATGATAATCCTCTTCTGAGTCTACCCTAATGGTTATGTGACCTTGGTTATATCAGATATATTCCATGATCCTTGCTTTCCCATATCCATGAGACAGAAATAATTATGTCTTCATCTTACAAAATTGTAATGATAATTAAATTAATAATGAATATGGAAAACCTGGCATCATAATATGCATCCTAATTTAGCTCCCTTACAAAAGTGCTTCTTTATTTTGATTTGATTTTGTATCTTTATAAATGCTGGTAGATGCAGAGAACACAATGGAACTTTGGAGGGCAGTATGCTGTAGATAAAAGAGGATAAAATAGAGATTGGAGTCACACACACTCAGCTTGCTGTGGCAGCTCCACCACTGACTTTCGAAAGTTGATTAACCCTTGAGAAGCTTCATTTTTTCAACTATGAAATAGAGATAATAATTACCTAACTGGGTGGTTTGAGGATCAATCATAGGGGATGATACACAGGAATGTGTCTGGAATGATGCACTTTGCAATAGCTTAAAAACAGTAAATATATTTTGTAATAGAATTTCTTTTTCAAAAATATGACCCTGTATATATCATATTTTCCCATCACTCTTAGGATGGTATTAAACTCTTCTCACTGGACTTGCCCTGCTTACCTCTTAGATCTCACCCTCGACTCTCTTCTGCGTTTACTCTTCTTCAACCATCCTGGTCTTCAAATAAGCCATGCTCATTTTCAACTTAGGACTTCTCCTCCTATCTTCAAGGCTCATGCCCTCACTTCTTGCATACCTTTCCCCAAATATCTACTCCATCCTCCTTAAAATCCTACTCCATCACTTCCTCAAAGTATTCTCTAATACTTTACTATGTCATATGCGTTTTATATACTGATATGGTTTGGCTCTGTGTCCCCACCAAAATCTCATGTTGAATCATGATCCCGAGTGTTGGAGGTGGGTCTGGGTCGGAGGTGATTAGATCATGGGGGTGGTTTCTAATGGTTCAGCACCATCCCCCTAGTGCTGGTTCATGAGTGGGTTCTCTCGGGAGAGCTGGTTGTTTAAAAATGTGTAATACTTCCCGCTTAGCTCTCTCTTCCTCCTGCTCCAGCCATGTAGGACGGGAAGGCTTCCCTTTTGCCTTCCACCATAAATGGTAGGTTTCCTGAGACCTCTCTAGCGATGTTTCTGTACAGCCTGTGGAACTGTGAGCCAATTAAACCTTTCTTTTTTTTTAGACGGAGTCTTGCTGTGTCACCAGCCTGGAGTGCAGTGGTATGATCTCTGCTCACTGCAACCTCTGCCTCCTAGGTGCAAGCAATTCTCCTGTCTCAGTCTCCTGAGTAGCTGGGATTATGGGTGTCTGCCACCATGCCTAATTTTTATATTTTTAGTAGAGATGGGGTTTCACCATGTTTGCCAGGCTGGTCTTGAACTCCTGACCTCAGGTGATCCACCTGCTTCAGTCTCCCAAAGTGCTATGATTACAGGCATGAGCCACCACATTCGGCCCTTCAGGTAGTTCTTAATAGCAATGTGAGAATGGACTAATACATACACATATTGAAATTTGAAATTATAACATGTGTCTATTTGTTTTCTTATTTATTATGCATCTCCCTTAGAGAAGGGAAGATTCCTGTTCTGTTTTATTCCTCCGAATTCCTAGCTGTAGAATAGTGTTTGATGTAGTAGTCATTCAATATACATGTGTAGCATGCACAAATTCATTGATCCATCAAATTATACTTAATATTTAAGTATACTAGAATTCTTTTCATTCTAGCCATTATGCCCATATTCTAACCCCAACACACACAAAGAAATATTATATGCAAAACATACCATTTATTACCGTACTCATCTTACAAGGCAGACATCTTTAATGTTCACATCAGAGTTATAAAGAGCCCCAGTTATATTTCTTCTGTATTCACAGTAGTGTTAAAGGTAGACTGAAAAAAAAATAATTGTGCTAGCAAATACATTTTGACAACATGAATGCACTTTATGCAAATACCACGTCTTCCTTAAAATGGATAATATTGTTGAATCACATTACTACCTCCTAATGGTATCTACAAATTGCCGTAGTAATTTTCAGTTTTTAAAAAGTAGGAAGTAGTTCCTTCCTTTTTTTTTTTCATTTTAAAAATGGTGCCTTCTTTACTTTTTAGTTTCTTCTACTACAATCAGAAAATTGTGTGTGGTATTGAAATTTCTCAAGGTAAATGACTTTTGTCCTAATCAAATGTCTCAACTTTTTTTTGTTACCACTTAATTACCCACAAAAGTAGTTTATTGCCTTCTCTGCTGCTGTGCCATAACTGCCAAACTTTAATTAGCTTGGCAATTCCTTTCATTTGAGGCCAAGATTTCTTCAGAATTCTTTTCATATACTCCAGTGAGTGAGTGAATACTATCCCATTCTATCTGGACAACTGGCAGTTAAAGAAAATAATCAAACAACTTTCTGAAACAAGGATAAAGCAAGGACAGCAAGAATGCAGTCAAGTATGAGTTAAAGATTCATGAATACAGTATTTTGGTAGATTCTTGATGTGCATATTAAGGAACATAGTATACATGTGGGTCTTTCAGGAAATCTATGGAAGTGCATCACATCCATATAAGAGTATACTTGAGAATGCCCACGTGAAGATTTGTTTGTGGACATCAATAAACACTTACTGAGTATCTACCATATGTACTCTTCCAGATTCTTCATTGATGTTCATACTGAATTCCTCACAAAAATTGATACATTATTGTCCCCATGTTATACAAAAAGAAAACAGGCTCAAACAAGAAAATAGGTCTTAATTGTAGATCATAGATCTGATCTTACCACCCTCTGGAATATAAGATATAAACCTGCTTTAGAGGAACTTAAAATCAAAGAGGGAAAACAGGGTAAACACAGCAATATTTGTTTAATAAGGTATAACAATAGAAGCTTCAAGGCACTCACTATAGGTCAATTTCTGTGGATAAGAAAACCTGGGATGATTTTATAAAGGAAGTAAAACTCATACCAGGCCTTGAAGGATGAGTTAAATTTACTTGATGATGCCCCATAACATCTAAATGCTTACTCTGTGCCAGGCACTATTCTGTTTATATTTTATTGATTTGTCAATGTAATCCTTAGAACAACCACCATATAAAGTACATCCTATAATGTTCCTCATTTTACAGTAGAGAAAATTAGGTATCATCATGGTAAATAACTCACCCAAGACTAAGCTTTACTGAGTGCCAGAGCAAGGATTTGAGACCAGTTAGTTTCCAAGAATCTGCGCTTTCAGACACTATTTTTCTCTCATAGGTGAAGAGAAAAGCAATCTAAAATGTTATCTATTTATTGGTTGTCTTCATTTCTTCTCCTCTCATTCACACTTAAACCAATTCCATGTATGGTTTTCGTACCCTAAAGTTCATTAAAACTGATCTTGTCAATGGCACCCATGGCCCCCACAAAGCTACAGGTGGTGATCACCAGTGCTCCTCCTCTTGACCCATAGGGAGTATTTGGTTCAATGGTTCACACTGTTCCCTTCATTTGATTTCTGGGGACCACAATCTTCTACTTGTTCTAGTACATAACTGGCTTTTTTTGGGGATTCCTTTGGCTAGTTATCTTTAAACTCTAAATATTGAGATGTTGTATGCTCAGTCTTGAGACCTCTTATTTTCTTTAGAAATACACAGTTCCTAGTGATTTTATCCAGTCTCAGATATATAAATAGTATTTATACAGTGAAGACACCTATGCTTTTGTCCAGACTTCTCTGGACAGAATCATCAGGCCTTCTCAGCATATTTTCTTGGCGTCTATTAGAAATCTCCCATTTAATATATCCACATGAACTCTTGAACTGCCTCCTAAAACCAGCTCTACTTGAAATCCTTCACATTTCAGTAAATGGTAATTCTACTCTCCAGTTAGTTATGCGAAAAAAAAACACACACACATACACACACATTAAAATAAAGTTGTATTATCCATGGCTGCTACCTTTCTCTTTCACCTGGCTTTTAATCCTTTGGCAAATCCTCTTTGCCTCCCTGCTCTTCTTTAAATTTGCCACTTGCACTGCACTCCCATTTAAGGGTTTTTATATTTGATTATTTATTTTGATTGGAAGTCCCTTTCGTCAAGAATTCACTTGACTTTGACTTGCTCTCTCACCAATATTAGATCTTCCCTAATTGTCACATTTTAGGTCTTTGCTCTGTCACTCATCCGACAATATTTATAACAGAACATTCACAGACCTCAGTATGAAATTCTGCTTCCCCCTTCTCTGCTTATGTCTTTCTCCATTAAACATTTCACACTCAGATTAGATTTATATTTTACGTAGTCATTTTCTGTCTGCCTCAAACCTCCTTAAAATGTAAACTCCACTGGAAAGGATACTTTTTAAAAAATTTTGTTTAGTGCAATCTCTAAGGCCTAGAACAATGCCTGTCACATAGAAGGCATTTACTAAATATGCCTAAGTAAGACATTTAGTAAATATCAATAAATCATTTCATAAACCAGTAAATTCATATCAATAAATAATATGAATGATATCAATAAATTCATATCAATAAATGAATGAATAAGACAAAAGTTTAATATGAGAAAAAGCCTATGGACAGAAAATTTCAAGAATTAAGAAGATTTTGTAAATGCTTTTATTTGACAAAATAAAAGAAAACAATCCAAAATATTAGTGGAATAAAGCAGGGAACTTTTTTCTGAGTTTTATGGCTCTACACTTACAGAAATGGTACAAAATGTGAACATTATTGATATAAATATCCCTTTTCATGGTTTAACTTCTCTGTTATATAATAAGAGTTTTTTTTTTTTCATTTAGAAACTGGGGAAATAACTATGCTAGCTCCTGTGGTTGTTATGATATTAAATATGTTATAGAACAAATTAATACATGTTAAAACACTGAGCGAGTTCATGGGAAGTGGGAAATGATCAATATAAATGATATACTATCATTGTAATAATTATTTATTGTTGCTTTTATTAGGATGAATTTTATTTACAGGCAAACGAGGAGATAAAACATAATGTCTCTAAGGCACAGTTTACTACACATCAAACAAAAAAACTACCTAACAAACAGCAATAAACATGGATGTAAGAGATAATTTTTTTTTTGTCTTTTTGAGACCAGGTCTGTCATTGAGGCTGGAGTGCAGTGGTACAAACACTGCTCACTGAATCCTCAACCTCCTCAGCTCAAACAATACTCCCATCTGAGCCTCCAGAGTTGCTGGCACTACTGGCATGCACCACCCCACCTGGCCAACTTGTGTATTTTTTCATAGAGGTGGAGTTTCACCACGTTGCCCAGGTTGGTCTTGAAATCCTGAGCTCAAGTGGTCTGCCCATCTTGGCCTCCTAAAGTGCTCTGGTAACAGACATGAGCCACCACACCCACCCCTTAATCTTTGGTTTGTATAAGTTTTTGGCTATCACTGACTTAATATTGGATTTTAGAGTATTTTTACTTCTGAAAAAATTTGCTAGTAGTATGTATTAAACTCAATTCATAAAACAGTAAAGGTTTAAGACATTTTCAGGACAATTACACTTCAAGTATTTGTCTGGAACCCTAATTTATTCCACAAATAGATATTAATTAATAAATCTTAGGCTTTCCCTTTCTTTATTTTCTTCCTTTTTTATTTTTCTTTAACATGATATAGAAGAACAAAGAATTACTTTATGACTGAAATGCATCACCTTGGATAAAGCCATGATGACTCCCTTATATGATTATTTTAATGTTGTGACTTCCTTCAGAAAAAAGAATATTCGACTGTCTCTGGCATTTTCAGAAAGACTTTGACACAAGGAAATAGAATCTTTTTTAACTTTTTATTCATAGTATCATTCTCATTTACGGGATTCCAACTAGTGTTTCTAACTGGTTATATAGAACACAGGGATTATTCAGACAAAATATGAATCAAACCATAGTCTGCGCTTGCAGTAGACAAAATGTTTGGATAGTTTGGCTGATTATGATGAAATGATACAACTAGGATCATAAGTCCTTGGAGCAAAATACTTTAACAGATTGAGGTTTCACTAATGACATACAAATAAATATATTGTGGATTTTTCAGAAACTTTTAACTTTAAGAATGTATGAAATAAACTATGTGGATGCCAAATCAATTGATAAATGGACAAAAAAAGAATTAACTCTCAAAGTAGTGCTGTCCAATACAAATTTAATGTCAGTCACATGTGTAATAAAACATTTTCTAATAGCCACACTGAGAAAACAAAAAGAAAAAGGTAAAATTAATTTTAATAACATATTTTATATAAAACAGTTCTCCAATATATTATTTCAACATGCACTCAATATAAAGGTATTAACATATTTTATATTTTTATATTAAATCTTTGAAATCTGATTTATAATTTACAATTAAAGCACTTCTTAAATCAGAAGCTAATTTTGTTTATTGGAAATATTTCATCTGTATTTAGATTTCTTAAAATTTTAGTTTTGCAAAATTATATGCACAAACTCAAGTTGTTCAAAGCACTTCTAAAAGTATTGCAAGAACTGAATTATGCTCCCTTAAAAATTTACTTCAATATTTGTTTTCATATGGCCATAGTGTCCAAAGCAATTTACAAATTCAATGTTATTTCCATCAAACTACAAATGACATTATTCACAGAATTAGAAAAAACTATTTAAAAATTCATATGGAATCCAAAAAATGCTTAAATAAGCAAGATATTCCTAAGCAAAAAGAACAACTTTGGAGGCATCACGTTACCCAATTTCAAACTATACTACAAGACTACAGTAACCAAAACAGCATGGTACTGGTACAAAAACAGACACATAGACCAATGGAACAGAATAGAGAGCTCAGAAATAAAGCCATACACCAAAACCATCTGATCTCTGACAAAGTCAACAAAAATAAGCAATAAGGAATGTATTCCCTATTCAATAAATGGTATTGGGATAATTGGCTAGCCATGTGCAGAAGACTGAAACTGGACCTCTTTCTTACAGTATACACAAAAATCAACTTATGACGGATTAAGATGGACATAAATGTAAAAGCTAAAACTATTTCTATAAACTGTACAGTTACCTAAGAAATACCTTCTGGACATAGGATCTGGCAAAGTTTTAATGACGAAGACGTCTAAAGCAATTGCAACATAAACAAAAACTGACAAATGAGACCTTACTAAAATAAAGAGCTTCTTCTGCACAACAAAAGTAATTATCAACAGAGTAAACAGACAACCTACAGGAAAGGAGAAAATGTTTGCAAACTATGCATCTGACAAAGCTCTAATATCCAGAATCTATAAGGAACAAATTTACAAGCAGAAAACTAACAACTCCTTTAAAAAGTGGGCAATGGAGACTTAACAGACTTTTTCAAAAGAAGACATACATGCAGCCAACAAACGTATGGAAAAAAATGCTCAACATCACTAATCATTACAGAAATGCAAATCAAAACCAAAATGAGACACCATTTCACACCAGTCAGAATGCTTATTATTAGGAAGTAAAAAGTAACAGATGCTGGTGAGGTTGTGGTGAAGAGAGAAAGCTTATGCACTGCCGGTGGGAATGTAAATTAGTTTAGCCACTTTGAAAAGCAGTGTAGTGATTTCTCAACTTAAAACAGAAGGAATATTTGACCCAGCAATCCCATTATTGAGTGTATACCCAAAGGAATATAAATTATTCTTTTGTAAAGACATATGTTCATCGCAGCACTATTCACAATAGCAAAGACATTGGATCAACCTAAATCCAATGGTAGAATGGATTAAAAAATGTGGTATGTATACTCCATGGATTACTACATAGCCATAAAAAAGAACAAGATTATGTTCTTTGCAGGGACATGGTTGGAGCTGGAGCCCATTATCCTAAACAACCCATTGCAGGAACAGAAAACCAAATACTGCATATTCTCACTTACAAGCGGGAGCTAAACTTTGAGTGCACATGGACACAAAGAAAATAACAGACCCTGGGGCCTACTTGAGGGTAAAGGTAAGAGGAGGGAGAGGATGGAAAAACTAACTCTGGGGTACTGTGCTTATTACCTGGGTGATGAAATAATCTATACACCAAACCCTTGTGACACACAATTTACCTGTGTAAAAAACTTGCACATGTACACCTGGACCTAAAATAAAAGTCAAAAAAAAAGTAACAGAGCACTCCTATTTTTCTGTTGTTGTTTTTCATTTTCATGTAGAATGTAGCTCTTGAACTTATACAACTTGGGGGGATGGGGGAGGGATAGCATTAGGAGATATACCTAATGCTAAATGACGAGTTAATGGGTGCAGCACACCAACATGACACATGTATACATATGTAACAAACCTGCATGTTGTGCACATGTACCCTAAAACTTAAAGTATAATAATAATAAAAAAAACAAAAAACTTTTTTTACATTTAAGTGTTATCTTAAAAACTTACTGTACAAAAATTTAACTGATTTTCTGTAGAGAGATTTTCCCTGTGTTCTTGGATCCATTTCTTATTCTTTTGAGACATGTTACCCACTGTGATATTAACATATTGTTATTATTATATGAGTTGGAAGAGCAGGAAACTGATTTTTGCTTCCTAAGGAGAAGTAGAAGAGATATGTGCCAACGCTTTTATAAAAATTTCCTTGACTTCCAACTTGTACTCCTGGCAGTATAAGTGCTATAGTAACATCTCTTCATATAAGTGGGCTTCTAAAGAGCTAAAAGATATTTAAGTGAAACATAAATGTATAAATTTACAACTATTCTGAAAAATAAATAATTCACTTAATTTTTAATAAACAGCAAATTAGTTTCAAATTCCATCTGTCCAAGATAAAGAAATGTACAAACTCTTGTGTCAACTCTAACATTAACATTGATTTTAAAAGATTAATGCCCAAATTAAAAAGCAACTTAAAAATTATCAATATCAATACAATTTTTCTTATAGTTTTCAGCCATTTTACATAGCAATGTTAATTAAAATGTTCTGTATTTTGATTATTAGAAAAATGTGTAGAATTATTGTTTGTTTATATCTTGAAAAGCTTCAATTTCAACCCAAATCATTTTACCTGTTTAGATCATAAAACAAATTTTCCTTTCTTGGAGATTCAAATTTAAATCATTTATATGTAGTCTAATATCTCACACAATTCTTTGCCACTATTAGTGAATATTGAGAAAATATTCATTTTGTTTCAAGAAAGACTTGAATTTTAGTTAACTTCAGTAAATCTGTAAAATTCTCTCAGGACTCACTGAACATTGTTAAAGAGCCCAAGATTTTAATATTTTTCAGTAGTTCCATAGCATTTATAGCATTCTTAGCATTTTCTTCTAAGTAGTTGACAGTTTAACAGCTATATCTATGACACTTTTCTTACAATCTTTTCCAGAAAACTAAGAATATTTTTAATGTGCATCACACAGTGAAACAAAGCTATAAGACAGTTTATTGGGATAGAATTAATTTTTTTTCTTTACCTGAAATTCTTCCTTGAAAACCACAAATGCATTTTTGGAGAGTTGAAAATTTTTGGAGAGTTGAAAATTTAAAAATTATCTTTATAGATTTCGAAGTCTTTTTAGTTAATGTGTACCCAAAGTACTAATCAGGCAGTGTCTTTATATTACATAATGAATGCAAATCTAAAAAGAAGTACTTACAGTTGTTCAAATTTTGAAGTAATTGATGCTTGATATTATTAATAAGATCTTGTAGTCCACAGGAAATTATTTGGTGGCTTAACTAAAGGTCATTCGCATCTTGCAAAATAAAGTTATTTTAAGTCTTCCCTACATGATCTTCTAACAAAACTTATATAAGTGAAATAATAATTTCATTTACTGTCTCTCCGTCTGAGATTTTATTCTTTTTTTCATATTTACCTTTTTGTGCAAGAATCCAAATAACTTCTAGCTGGCCCAAGGTATAAGCTTAAATGGTTAAAGAGTATTTAAATAATTTTGTTGAATATTTAATTATAATTGCAATAATTGATTTCATTTTTTTTACTATTGAGAGGAAACCTCTTATAAAATCATTAGGTACTTGCTGAAAATATTTCTTAGCATTGTCTACTATCTAGTTTGTTTTTTCCTTTTTTGAGCAACAAGAACTTTTCATTTGTTTTGCTTTTTATCAGCAAATTGCAGTATGCCTTCATAGTGAAATTTATGACGTACTTTGTTCTAATCACTTTTATACTTGAGATACGTTGTCAGGAACTTTCAGGTCATATTACTTGGTTCTGCATCTTCACTTAATTCTGCATCGGTAACAGTTTTTTCCTTAAAATTTAAAAGTTGTCTATATTTACTTTTTAAACTAGGAAAATAATTATTGCTAAAAATCAGTAATTGAATTTAAATGCTAACTACAATTACATAGATATAATTGTAACTCTGGCTCTCTGCATAAATTATTCAAATAAATGTTTTGCAATGTTATTTCAGTGCATAGCAAAACTTATCTGATTAAATCAACCCATTAACACTGACTATATCAGTGATATATTTATGTGCAATACTAGATATAAGGCAAGTGCCTAACTTGTACACACTGATACCACAATGATACCTTTCATGATGCAATGGTTAAAGTGAAATTTAGACCTACCAAAACAAAAAAGATGTGCTTAACATAAACTCACAATGTTTCCATTTTTAATTTTTAAAGTTACATTTAAATGAATTAAATGAAATAAAATTAAAATTTAGTTTCTTATTTACACTAGCTAGAGTTTATGGGCTCAACATTCACGTGTGTCCAGTTGCTCTTATAACGGACCATGCAGCTCAGGTTATTTAAAGAGCATGTAAATTTTTTTTACGTGGTTGAGTTGAAGATGAGAAAATTTCTCATATGTACTTTCTCATTTGTAATTTTAGTCAATTGAATCTAAATGATATGTGTGTGGAGAAGGAACATAATCATGTCCTTGATGGTTCTTGATGACTAGTCTAGGAATCTTTATGGTTGAGTTTGATATTAAAGGTTCTGAGGGCTCTTTGGGTGTCTCTCAATCACAGGTTTCCCACATATCAGATGACAGGAATTAAACATATCTATCTTTAATAAGTCCTCAATAAAGTAATAGACATAATTACAAGTATCACTATTGGCAACTGACTTAAATCAGTGGTCTCTGATCTTTTGGCTTCCCTGAGGCACATTGGAAGAATTGTCTTGGGCCATACATAAAATACACTGACACCAACAATAGCTGATGAGCTAAAAATATATATATGTAGTCAAAAAATCTCATAATGTTATTAAAAAGTTTGCAAATTTGTGTTGGGCCACATTCAAAGCCATTCTGGGCTGCTTGTGGCCTCTTGGCTGCAGATTGGACAAACTTGACTTAAATAATAGGCAAGGGACACCTTGAGACAGTGATATTATTTTTATGCAGATTTTAATGCTTTGGATTAAAGGCAAAACATCCTAAAGATGTATTAGCTCTGTTTACTTCTGTTTCACCACAAATCTGCATTTCCAATTTGAATAACTTCTTTTTTTTGCAACTTTGTGTTTTTATCTCACTTTTTTTGTTGTTAAAAACTTTCTCAAGCACCCAATTAAACTAAATGTAATTGTTTTCATTCTGATGCTTTTGTAAATAATTGTTTTTGAAATATTTATTCAGGATAGACTGGATAAATAAAACTTTGGATGGACAAAAATTAATGGGAGGTTGTAAATGGAATTACAAAAAATATATAAGTTGCTCTCTGGGAATATTTTTACTGGAAGAGACAAATTCTGGAGATGGCATGATTAATAGATATCATTAGTTTACAAAGGCTGAAAATCAAGGTTACCTAATGGCCAATTCACTCCTCAGAACAGCCCTGGCCAGAATCAATATGAAAATGATCATTCTTTCTTCATTTGAGAGAAGCATGAAGTGCAGTGTCTGTGTAAATGTGTGTGGTGGTGAGGGCCAGGGGTGGACTGGAATGGGCCCAGAGCAGAACAAACACAGGCATCACATGCAGGCTTTTATTTGTGGTATTTTCAAGGTATTTAATACCAGACAGAAGACTTTGGCTTCATCTTCCTTGAGTCTAGTTGCTGTGGAACATAGTAAAGTTTAACAAATAAATGATAATGGAAGCATGTGTCCCTTGGGAAACCAGAGAAATAAAAATGAATGCTACCTTTCCCATTGTTGGTAAACAGACCGATGACCTCTGCAAATTTAAGTAAGAGAAATCTATTAAATAAATTAATTCACCTTTACTATATCTAGCAAAGCTTCAATTTAAAATGGAATATTTTCACACAATTTCTACAAAAAGATAGAAATTACATAAAATCGACTTTCATAAAATATTAAATATTTCTTGAATTAGGAAATAAATATCTATGTTAAAATGTGTCTTACTCTCCTGGTCACCTTGGACAGATAACTTCTCTGGTCCTTTAGCGTCCTTATGTATTTAATAGTATCTACTGATATTTAATATTAGAATTATATAAGCATGTAGCAAAGAGCCAGGTAGACAATGAAAAACTAAATATAACTAAATAACTATCATATTTATTTTTGTAGTCAATGACATTATTATTGGATAGTATAATTAACTCAAATATAGAAAAATAGTGAATCAATGTAGTATACTGTATATATGTGTGTGTGTACATATATATAACACATGTATGTGTATGTTAGATAGTATAGTATATGCTATTCTATAGCATGTTTATTAGAGAGATCTATTATATTATTAAATATAATGAATAAAAAGTTCATTTCTCCAAACTGTGAAATATAGTAGCAAGAGCACTACCCATTTATCTGAAGTCTTGATTTCCAGTTCAGCTTTATTATTTGTTAATTTTATGATTTAGGCAAGTGATTTGCCTTCTGTTAGCCTCAACTTCTTCTCCAGAAAAAATAGAATTAGTAATATCCTTTCTGGACTTCTAAAAAGGCTTCTTGAAATATTCAAATAAAAAAGTAGATAGAAAAGTATTTTATATTTATGTGAAACTTTCCAATTTTCAAATATTATTATCAAAAATATCATATTAGGTAGGGAGAGCGGGTAAAACAGGTCACTAAGACTATAGAATTAAGATAGAAATTAAAGAAATTAAGGAACAGCTAGTATATAGCTGTCAGAATGAAAGGAGGGATACTTTTACTCTCTTTAGACCTGCCTGGAGCAAGTCATGACAACTAGTAGAGAGGAAGTCAAAATGGTTCCAGATTTAAATTCAAGTGCTGTCACTAACTAATGGCCTACTGGGCGTAATACCTAGCTTACAGGGTTGTTTTAAATGTAAAAGAAAATGTGTTTTTTAAGCACTTAATACAGTGGCTGGCACATAGCTCTCAATAATTGTAACTAATAAAAATTAATTATGGAGTAATCCCACATGCACGTTAAAAAAATCTAGAGATTTACCATGCTTTAGTCAATAAAAAGGCAGAATTTCAGAGATATGTGGATCATATGGAAATATCTGTCCCAATGATTCAGTATGGCAATACAGTCAATGCAACTATAATAAATTAAAACCAGATTCATCATACCTATAAAAGTAAATACAACCAGCAATAATGACAAATATGAATCACACTGTTAGAGTCTGCCTCTGAATCGAAATTGCTTGGCCAGGTAGCACCTCATTAATTCTCTTACCCTCAAGATAAATGAACCAATTTTATAATCTTAAGAGCACCGAATTATATTTCAGAAAATAATCAGAATTATTGATAGAAAAGAACATACTTGAAATCTCCCTGATTCCAAAAGGCTTTACATTTCAATGCAAACCCAAGGCATTTTTAGAGGTTGAATTCTATTTATGGCTGGATTTACAAAAAAAAATCTTGGTTAAAAAGTAAAGGATTGAAATGTCTCATAAAAGGGCACTTGGACATCAAATGACTCTTACTTGACTGTCTTTTGATGACTTTAATATGAATTAATCACAGACATAGAGGTAAAATTTCCCTTGAAATACAGATTGAGTTTTTAAATTCATAGGATAATATGCTTGGAACAAATTCCCTTTGAGAAGGCAACTATAAAGTTCGGGTATTTTCAAGTACTGTTTTGCACCAAATCTGACAGAAAACAGGGCACATTCTACAGAAGCAACCAGAAAAAGAGATTTGTCTTTTACTAAAATTCTTTTGGATTTGCTCCTGGAATTTAATGATTAACATTGGCCTGTGGAAGGCAGGATATCGGAGTCATGTAAAATGTGGGTTGAATTTGATGATGCACAAGTTTCAGAAAGAGCTCGGAGAAGACGATGGTTCTCTGAGGTGCTAGAGGAGTGGGTTATTTAATTTGGAAATGAAGTCTGAAGAAAAGCTTGTATGTAAACCGCATGGTATTATCGCTAAGCAAAACTGAGGGTAAGATTGAATCCTCTACCCATGCAATATGAAAGCGTCACATATTACATGTTGAAAGTGTTGAATTTACATGAAAGATTTCATTTTGGGGCATAAAACTAAATTGTTGCCCTGCCAGATGATCTTGAAACTAACCATACTTGGTGATAATATTTTTACAGGCAAATGTCTCTAACTATAATCAAAGATAACGCAGCACAATTTAGATAGAATATTGGAAACTAGAGAAATCCTGTGAAATTATTACTAGAATAGTTTTTCACATTGTCTTCCCTTTGGAGGTTTTTCTCCCATGAGTTTTCAGGCAAAAAATGATGAAGAGGATGAGGAAAAGGAAAATGATGCTGATGGGGGTGGTAGTGATGATGACAATACGATTATAGCTGTGTTCTTACATGAGTTGAACTAGTCAATAGAAAGTTTCTTTATCTCAACGCTTTTCTAAACATTCATAACTTTTCTTGCACAGAAAATTATGTATTTGTTACCTAATTTAATATTATTAGAGAATAATCCAACTGTGGATGCATAATTGAAAACTTCCAGTGCCTCATCTCAAATATATTTTTACATGGGCGCAGCCTACATAAATTCACTAGGAACATTCCATTCAGTAAGAAGAATTCAACCTCTCCTAGCTTTTCTTTTATTCTTAGTACAGCAACCAATTTGTGTATGTTTTCAACATTAGATCCAGTGTAATAACAATGTCTGCATTTTGAGACACGAAATTACCCAGAAATCACACCAATAATTTGTCTAAACTTAGAGCCTTTAGACAAAATCAACCTATTTTGTTTTCCCATCTATGGAAATCTTACTCAACTGAAACACAGTGTGGAGTTTTACTAGACTTATTGACCACTGAATACTCTTTTTCCATACCCTTCTATCAAAATCTATTATTTTATTAGCCCTCCTTCTTTTTTTATTCCTTAGGTAAAAATGTCTGGTTGTTTAAAGTATGATCTTTTTAAAAGATAGTTGCATTTCAGCATTTCACCAAGAGATAAAGCCTGCATTAAAATAATCAGGGAAATAAAATATCAGCAGCAAAGCATAACATTTTGGTGGGGAAGGACATGAGCTGAAATTCCCTTAAGGTCAGAGTATAGGAAAAAAACTGATTATTATACGTATCTGGACTTCATTTCTGCTTCGTAACTTGATCTCCATGTATATGTAAGAAATAACTATGCCTCAGTAAGCCTTGTTGTAATGACTAGACAGTGCATGTGAAAATTCTAGTCAATTCTTCGAAGATGATAGATTTTCAGTATGTATGAGTATCCAGTTCTTCCCAGTACATTATGCTTGAAAAGCAGTTGCAAGCATCTGACTACATTATTCAGTTATATAGCCAGAATGACTTCAACATTTTCCTTTTGTCCTAACAGATGGATGATATGTTGGTCAGAAAGCCTAGAGATAGATTCTTTTTTGCTCAAATAAGTTTTAGATATAAATCTTGTCTTCAAGTTTTCAGTGTCATGAACTAATTCATTTCTCTGTTGTAGGCAAATTACTTTTTCTGGTTGGACATGCTTCTCTTTAGAGTTCAAACACTGCTAGGTCTCTAAAATTCCATATACTCTTTTAATCTACATACACAGGGCTTTCTTCAGTTCAGGGAATGTATCTTTTTAAAAATTATTTCTTCCTTATCCTTCTTTTCTACTTTCATAACGTCTATTAGGGATATTACATTTCTAGATATACCCAAGTGTAATCTCTTTCTTTATGATTTTTATCTCTTGATATTTAAGTTAACCATATTCTTCTATTTATGTGCTTAATTGCTTTAATGAAAAATCATGTTTTTAGCTCGAAGAGGTATACTTCAGGACAAGAGAGGGCTATATTTGAATCTATAATTTAAAATCTCTAAATCTCTTATGAGTTTTCCTTTTTAACTTTGTATATAAAGAGTATAACATATATAAAATGCACACTTGTAAGTGAGCAACTAAATTTATTTTACATATATGTATATATATATAACATATATATACACAAATTGTAATCAACACACAGAAGAGCATATAGAATAATCATCCCAGAAGCTTCTTTTATTCCTTACATGGTGCTTCCCTCCAAAACTACCATTCTGACATCAGCCATCATTGAATAGTTTTGCCTCTTTTTGATTTCCTATAAGTGGAATCTTACAGTAGACTGTATCTGGCTTATAGAATTATGTTTACAGTATTCATCCACATTGTTCTACATAGCAGTAATTTACCATTGCAGTGTTTTACTACACTGTAAAAAGACAACATACATACAAACATTAATAAAACATCCATATATTCTATTGTTGATGGAGAGTTAGGTTGCTTCAAGTTTTTGGTTATTATGCACTATGAACATTTTGCACATGTTTTGTGGAAAACATGTTTCTCATTACTGTCGGAATTCTGGAGTAAAATTGCTAGACCATTTTGGATAGGTATTTTCACCACTAGAAGATAGCACCACTTTTCTATTTTGGTTGCATTAATTTTTATTCTTATCATCAGTGTAAAAAATGAATATTAAATATTCTTATTATTTTTAATTCAATTTAATTTCTATTCTTCCTTAAAGTGCCTGTTAAGACAGTGTATTTTCTGTTACTTCTGACGAATCTGATTTATTGCTGTTGAGATTTTTTAACGGGTTGTTATTATTTTTGGCCAACATATTAGGACTCAAGTCTTATTGAAGTTCCGTAAGTGACAGGAACTAAAGAAGTGGAAAAGGAGATGTTCTCTCTCCATGTGGGCTGTTGACAGAATGACCATGACTCTGCTGAGGCACCCGGAATATGGCACCAAACTCCCTTGCTTACGTGTGCTCTTCAGTTTTAGGGTCATAGAGATCTTAGTCTATAATAAGTTAGTTTTTGGCTTAGGCAGACTAAGCACAATTACACTGGGACAATGTCAGCCTCTACAGTGAGGTCAACAGGTAACTGTAAGCCAAAGTCTTCCTACCGTGAGGAAATGTTTTCAACCCTCTTCACAAGGCTTTAATTCTAGAATTCAAGTGCCACTCTTATTCACAAGTAAAAGAACCACACTATTCTTTCCATTTAACTGTAGTAAGCTATTGATGTTTCTTAGAGCAATATTTCTTTCAGCATGGTAGTTACGCTGACAAACCTGCCCCCTCTCTCGAACACATTCTATGTTCTACATTTCTTTCAAATGGCCTAAAAGTTTTATTTTTTATTTAATGCTGAGAAGAAGCAGTAACATTTTATGCTTATAATTTATTCAGTTACCATCAGAATGATTTTCTCTTTTTAGAGACAAATACTGAATTTGTGCGATATTGAAAGAAGAGATATTTCAAGCTGCACCTTGTACCTGTTTGACTTATACAATGACAAGTAAAATTGTTTATAAGATCATATGTATTTGGACAGCCAGAAAAGAATGTCAATTGTTAAGTACAAGTGGTAATGTTTGCTTGATCTCACCCTAAGCCTCTTGCTAGTGGCTGACTTTTCAATAATATTGTATTATAAACAAAATGCAGTCAAATGTTGATCTCTGGAGCCACTTGAGGTTTTACAGCTTTCTGAAACCTATCATAAAATGTAGACTTGCGTATTTCCCTTGATATATTTCTTGTAGCTCAGTTTATGGATGGTTTATAAATCATTATATATATGTATATATGTGCAGAAATATGGATGAAATATAATCACATATATTCCTTCTTCCACTATATAATTCTAAGAATAAGTTAACCAATGCTCTTTACATAAGTTGGAGGTTAATTTTACTTGCAATCAGTTTTGGTCTAGAATATTAATTCAAGATGTTCTCTATTCTAGCCATCTCCCAAGAGTAAGAAGTTTTAAATCATAAGCACATAAACCTGAAACTATCCCAAACAGTAATTCATTAATCACATGCTCAGAAAATATCTCTCTATTTCAGGGCTTTGGAAGTAGAAAATATAAATGTAGAACAATAGAGTCTCATGATAGAATGAAACCCTAGAGGTCATCTAAACTTAACGACCAATTCATCGCTTGAATGTTGTCTACAGTCTCAGCCAAGGGTTGAAAATTTCCAGAGTGCTCTCAAAAAGTATAATTATCTCAACGTTGAAGTAAAATTTTGCTTCAGGAAATGGTTACTGTGGTCCTTAATTGTACCTTCAGGACCAAACAGCACAGGTTAAAACTTTCTTGCAATGATAACTGTACCAATATTTAGGGCCATTCTTCAATCTCCCTTGTGACTTGCCTTCCTGGCTTATACTCCAGTTCTCTAATCAATTTCCTATACATTAGGTTTTGATTCACTTGTCAATTGACACCATCTTCTCTATACACTGTACTTTGTGGCAAAGATAAATATTGCAGATGTAGTTTTAAGCTGTTCATGAGAAACATGCCTTCTGTATTGACACTAGACAGTCTTCGAAGTGAGCTAATTTTGCATTAATACTTTAGCAAAAACAAAAATGTACAGATGAGCATATGAAAATTGTTTACTTATGTAAATATTATTAAAACATCTAAATTTGTTTCACATATTGTTTTTAAGCCATATTTCTATCATTTTAAATTGAGAAGTTTGTGAGATGTTAAGGTCAGCATTAGTGGATGGCAATAAAGGATAGATTCAGAACTGATTAAATGCAAATACTATATTTAATACATTTTATCTTCTTAATTCAATCCATCGTTTTACTCTGTTGATATCCTGTTGGATTCTAATTGAGTCCTTCTTTCAGGTTTATATGATCCTAGAATTTGGTAAGTGTTTTAGCAGTACCCTTATGTAAATCCTTAATTTAGAATTGTTCAAGAGAGCAGTTTTAAACAGAATTATTTCTAATTTTATATGTATTCCATATACTTTGAATAAAACCATGTAGTCAGTTGTAAAATCATCCAAATAGCAATATTTGTTTATTTTATCTGCTCTGATAAGACAATTTCTTAAAATGTTCTGCAGTTCTGAGAGGATCTCATGGCATCATGGCACGTCCCTGATTGCTAGTGTGCCTTTGACAGAGCTGGCCAAGGAGAAAGCTTCTTTCTTCATCACAGCTTTACATCTGTTTCTCATAATGCATTACGTTTTGTTGAAGAGGACACATTTCCCAAATAAAAGTGGGCCACCAATCTAAATATTTTCCATCTAGAACATTCAAATAATTATAAAATCTAATTCATTAACATTTATATTTTCATCAAGCTATCAGAAAAAATTCACGTTAAGCAAATACAAACTCCTCACATTTCCAAGTTTTCTCTATTCTTGAAATATAAGTCCCACGCCATTCACAAGTTTAGGTTATCATTCACTTAACAGTGCTATGGTTTGAATGTGTGCCTTCCAAAATTCAGGTGCTGTCAATGTTATAGTTTTAAGAGATGGGACTTCTAAGAGGTTAGACCATAAGGGCTACTCTCTTGTGAAGAGGATTAGGATCCGTCTCAAAGAGACTTCATGCAGCATTTGGCTCTCTTGCTCTTCTTCCTTCTACCATATGAGGGCACAGCATTCTTCTTCTCTGGAGAATGCATGCAGCTTCCATAAGAAAACTAAACCTGCAAGTGCCTGGAAATTAGACTGTCCAGCCTCCATAATTGTGAGAAATACATTTCTGTTCTCAATAAATAAATGAGAATAATAGTAAACTGGAAATAAATGACCCAGTCTGTGGTTTTCTGTTATAACAGCACAAAATTAACTAAGATCAAAATTGGTACTGGGGGTAGAGTTTCTATATAACACATACCTAGAAATCTGGAAGCAGCTCTGGAACTGAGTAACAGGTAGAGGCCAGAACAGCTTTTAAGCAAATGCTGGACAAAGTCTATATCGCCATAAATGGATTGAAAAGGGTGATTCTTGTAGGAGCTCAGAAAAATAGCAGAGTTGGAAAAGCCTCATACTTTTTAGAGATTATTAAGATAGTTTGGACAGTGAAGACTCTTCGGATGAGGTCTCAGACAGAAACGAGAAGCAAGGTATTGGAAACTGAAAGAAAGGTCATCTGTGTTACAAAGTGGCAAAGAACTTAGCTGAATTATGTTCATGATCCAGAGCTTTGTGGAAGAACTTAAGAGTTTAGAATTAAAATATTTGGCAGGAGGAATCGCTAAGCAGCAATATGTTCAGGGTGCTACATGATTTCTCTTAACTGCTTATAGTAAAACGCAAGAAGAGAAAATATTAAAGATGGAATGTATAATTAAAAGGGAAGCAAAACATGAATATTTGGAAAATTCTTAGCCTGCCTATGTAAAAAATATATATAAAAAAAGACTTTTAGGAGAGAAAGCCAAGGATGTGGCTAAGCAATCATTTGATAAGGGCATTACTATGAATAGATTGATGCCAGGTGCCATTTATTAAAAAAAAAATTAAAAAATAACCCCAAGGACTTTTATAGATATTTGAGACTGCCAGAGGCCCTGGGAGCCAGGACCTTGAGGGCAGAATGGTTTAAAGAGAGGGGCCCAGGGCATATGTGGATGTTGGGCCTCACTGGCCAGGCTACCTCAAGTCTCTGCTCCCCACATTTTGACAAAGCACTCCTCATCTGCACCAGCTATTGCTCAGGTGGGCCTGGGTACGGCTGGGGTTGCTGATCCGGGGGGCACTCTCAGTGAGCCTTGGAAGCATTCACATAGTGCTAATTTCACATGCACACAAGAGCTATGGAGTCATAACTTCCTCCACCTAGATTTTAAGTGATGCCTCAGAGAGCTTCATGGCTCAGACAGAGACCTGCCTCAAGGATAGAGACACAACAGAGTCTCCACTAAGGCAATGCCCAGTGGAGCCATGGGGTCAAGTCCACTGTAGTGAGCCCCTACTAGGGCAATGCTTAGTGGAGGCATGGAAGCAGGGCTACTCCCCCAAACCCCAGTCCTGTAGAGCCACCAGTGTGCAGTGCCAAACTGGAGAGCTGCAGGCACCTGATTCCAATGCATGAGAGCTGTGGTATGGGCTGTGCCTAGCAAAACCATGTGGGTGGGAGCTTTGGTGAACCAACCCTCACCCCAGTGTGTCTGGAAGGTGGACACAGGGTCAAAGAAGGTATCTCCAGCCTTAAATTTTAATGTTCTTTGTCCTGTTGGGTTTTGGATTTACTTAAGATGTGTTATTCCTTTCTTCATTTATATTTCTCTCTTTTGGAACAGAAATGTCTGTCCTTTGCCTGTCCCACCATTGCACATAACTTGCTTGATTTCACAGGTTTGAAAGCACATAACTTGCTCAATTTCACAGGTTTACAACTAGAAAACAATTTGCTTCTGGATGAAACACACTCTTGTGTCTCATCCATGTGATGTTTAGATGAGACTCAGTTGATGCTGGAATAAGTTAAGACTTTGAGGGGGGCTATTGGGATGAAATAAATGTATTTTGTGTCTGAGAGGGACATAAATTTGGGGGGCGGGGACAGGGGCTGAATGCTATGGTTTGAATATGCTCCCTCCAAAATCCAGATGTTGCCAATGTGATAGTATCAAGAAGAGCCTTTAAGAGGTGATTAGGTCATGAGGGCTCCTCCTTCATGATTGGGATTAGGGCCGTTTTAAAAGAAACTTAACACACATTTGACTCTGTTGCCTTTCCACCTTCTGCCAGTAATAGCCCAGATTTTCTTTCCTCTGAAGGACACAGCCCTCACCAGATAACTGAACCTGCCGGCACCTTAATCTTGGACTTGCCAGCTTCCAGAACTATGAGAAATAGGTTTCTGTTCTTTATAAATTACTCAACCTGTGATACTCTATTATATCAGCACAGAATGAACTAAGGTAAACAGATAATTTATTGCCTAATATATGAGATAATTAAAAACTGGTGATTTTGAAACACAGGATACTATTCCTGTCCTCCACAAATGTATCATCTTGAGTAAAAGATTAGAAGTCAGAGTGACTATTTAGGAATCAACCTATTTGTCCATGAATGGATGATTGGATTAAAAAATGTGATATACACACATACCCTGGAATACTAATCAGCCATAAAAAATAAGGAAATCATGTCTTTTGCAAAAACATGGATGGAAGTAGAGATCATTATCTTAAGTGAAATAACTCAGAAACAGAAAGTCAAATACTTCATTATAAGTGGGAGCTAAATCGTGTGTACACATGGAAATAAAATGTGAACTAACAGACATTGGAGGCTTGGAAGGGTGGGAGGTTGAGGGGATGTGAGGGATAAATCATATTTTACAGGTACAATGTGCACTATTAGGGTGATAGTTACACTAAAAGCCCAGACTTCACCACTGCACAATGTACCTGTGTAACACAACTACATTTGTACCCCTAAATGTATGCAAATAAAAAAATAAACACATAGTTTATGAAGATAGTATTAAAGTTAGATTGCTCTGATAGAGGAATTTTGAGAGTGGGTTGATTTTAAAAAAGGAACATCTTATAAGTCAACTTCCTTGAGGTTTAGAATTTCAGGAAAAGAGAAAAAGGGGATCGAAAGAGAAATTTTAAAGGCTGTGTTTTTCTTCTTCATCTTTTTAAAAAAATATGATTCAACTCAACTACTGTAATTCCTTCAAGTATTTAATAAATAATTACATTTCAATGTTTTGTTTTATTGGCTTTTTTGATGTATTAATCTGCTGAAGCTACTCTCAAATGATGGCCTGGTGAACTTAGGTGACATTCTTATCTTGGCCATGTTCCAGAATAAATTCTCTTTTATTTTGAGCTATGTATGCATCCATATCTCTATGTCCCTTCCAAAGCATCAATAACCCAACAAAAGAATTACTTTACCTTGCTTTCCCAGTGTGGAATTCATAATTTTTAGGGGCAACTTCTGGGCTCTGGGAAGTGTCAACACTAAGCTCAATAGTGGCAAGGTGACAATAAAATTGATGAGTGTAGACAAGGTATTGTGACATCCTGGATATCGTTTCTAAAAATGTGTCCTTTTTTTGAATTGGCCATGTAGATTCTATCTGCATAAACTTTCTCTGTGAGTCGGCCACCAATGTAATCCATTTGTTTTCAGGTTAGGAGTTGTTTAATAATTAAAGATACCCTTAGTCATTCCATTTAGTACTGAGAAGACTGCAAATAAGAAAAGGGATCACAAATATTTCTGAACTTCATACTTCTAAAAAATAATATGTACATGACTATTTACTGGAGCTTTATGAAACTAAGTTATTACAACACTAACAATGCCCCAGGCATTCTTTTAGATATTTTATATCTATTTACTTTAATCCCCACAATACTCATCTAAGGTAGCCATTATTTTCCCCATCTTGTAAAAAAATTGAGGTTTGTGGAGTTTATTAAACAAGATATCTTGTTTCAAGTCTTACAAATGTTAACTATTAAAGTCAGAATTTCTAAAGAAGTTCATTGTTAATTTCAAAGTCCCTGTCCTTTCTGTGAGGCGTATAAACTTTTCTCTGGAAGGTCTGTATTACCTATGAATAAACCATCTTATATATTTCATAGCCTCATTACTACAGTTTCCATTTATTTTATACTTATGGGTCCTTTATTTAAATATCTGCCAATTCTTTCACATCACTTCAATTTTGGAGGACTGATTATGAAATATTTTCCCCAAAAACCAGAATAGCAGAGAATATCAAAGAATATAAGCTGCTTGCTTCTTCTCACTGATTTGTTCATTGTTTTCTCAAATGGGAGAATACTGGAAAAAAAGAGAGAGGATTCATAGTTCAGTCGAGGGTCAGAAGATTTTTGTAAGTCCAGACCTCTTTAAGCAACTCTTAAAGTAGGTTAAATGTTTCACAAAGCCCCAAAGAGCATTGCAAAATCCTGCCCTTCAATGAAGTTTAATATTATTAGAGTGAGGAAAAATTTAACCTCAGATGGGATAATGTACACATTTTAAGCATTCAACCATTATTTCTGATGCAGACATATCAAAGCATCAATGAGTACTGTAAGACATATTAAACAAAGCATCAGTCTCTTTCATTACTGCCCCCATCCTATCAAATTTAACATTGTACTATCTAAATAAAGTGTTTGTGGTGGTGCTTCTTAAGCTTTTTTAAATTTAAGATATTATCAAATAACTACTACGTCAGATGAGGATTGAGTTTTTCTTATACTTCTACCATAACACAAATATTCCTGAATTCCATATGTGTGTATATATATATATATATATATATATATATATATATATATATATATAATAACTTTAGTTTAGATCAATATTCAGTATTTATATTGCCATATTACCGTGGCTAAATAAGTGAGGTACATAAATGAGCCATGTATCACATTTTAATTACTTATTTTTCTCTTAAAATTGTATTTTGCTTAGTTTTTTTAACCAGTATTACTATGCTATTCCTTAATTTTCTTAAGATTCTCCCAGTAGATTGGTAAGATCCTCTCAAGTTCTTGATCAGCTCTATCTTCTTGTAGACCTCTTTCTGAGATCCATTGACCTGCTGTGAGAGGGACGGGTACCTATCACTGTGTAATTTTCTTTTTCTTTCTTTCTTTCTTTCTTTCTTTTTTTTTTTTTTTTTTTAGGTGAGCCCATTCTCAGGTAGATTCTTGATGAAGGGCACTTGTACAAGTGTGATCATGTCCTTTGACCATCTTCACAATTAACTGATGGCTTTCTTGCATAGAGAATTCCACCTTTTGTCCGGAAATTCTGTCTCTCTTTTCTTCTCTCTCTGTTTCCTCTACTTTTTCTTTTCTGTTTGCTTGCCTTTGTTTCTGCTTTTCATATAGCGCAGTTTTGTGAATCCTCAGAGGTCTGCTCACACGTAACAGTGGGGCACTAAAGCCAGTCCGGAATCAGTGCACACTTAGGGCTTGTTGATGTGAAATATCTGGACGGGGCAATTCCAATGAAGATAACAGATCTTTCTTATGTCTTTAACCAGGGATTCCCAAAGATTGCTCCCCCTCTCACTCCCAGAAACAAAGGAGATCTTCCCTCCAAAACTTTTAAAATGCAGGGTTTAACTTGGTTGAAATTGAAAAGACAAAAGGTTGGTAGTGAAAACTAAAGACAATAGAAAAGTTATAAGATATATTCATTTCCCTCTGTGGTACTCTCCAATAAGAAGCACACAGCACTAAAATGTGTGTGGGTGGTACATTACTCAGAGATCGCTTCTCTTAATTTAAAAGATCGGTGGTGCCCATACTGTTTATTTTAGCTAGTACTGTCATTATTTTTTAATTTTCTTAATTATATCAACTCTAAAGTAAATTCTCATACTTCAGCAGACATTGAAATAAAGCAAAATATTCCTAGATGTTTTTTCCCCTTCCATATAGAAATTTGGAATCCTAAGTAAAAAGATTTGGAAAATGTGAACAATATTCAGCTCTACTAGCTCTGCTCACTCTCTGTAAGTTAAATGGCAGTAGGAGTGGTGAAATTATTTAATTATATATAATAATTCATCAAAATTGCCAATTACCTCTAATGATATATATGCATACAAATGAGTTTTGGATGCAATTTATCTTTTAGTTATAACATAGGCTTGTGTTCCTTACTCTATTACTGTTGTAGGAAGCTCTTATGTAAAAAGAAATTACAGTGCCTATCTTTCTGTTCAGCATAATGTGGCTTACAAAGAAGAGATTGTTTCAATATAGCCAGCTGTCTATTAAACACCTTTTATCTTCTGAAGACTGTTTAGAGACTGTTTAGTCATTTGTTGGGTTAGAGACAGCATATGCAAGATACCAAGTACAGTGATTTGAAAATAGTTGAAACTAGATAGTTTATTGTTGCTATCATCATTTTAATTATTATTTTTATGGAGCTCTACATATTAAAACATATCTTCTATTAAAGAATTTTGAAGATATGCATAATTACAATTCATTTATTACTTTCTGACATAAAGTCAGAGATTCGCTATGAGGAAAGGGAGAAATTTCTAAAAGCACACCTATTTGGAGAAAAAAATAACAATATTGCATGTGGCACCTCTTAAAATTGATGATATGATGCTTTCTACACAGGTTAAGCCAAAATACATAAGTAAGATATACCCATATGTATGGGGTTCCTGGCAAAGTGTAAGTTGCCACTCATGTCTAATGAGCACTCAGGCTTCCAAAGGATTTTATAGTGTGATTATTAATACTATCATGTTATTTACATGGCATTCAAGGTCTGGCTTAAATGAATGTAAGAATCTAGGCAGACAACTTATCATGGTGTTCCAGACATGGACAAATGTCTTGTAGAAAGCTCTTATGTAAACAGAAATTGCAGTAGCTATCTTTCTGTTTAGCATAAAGTGGCTTACTAAGAACAGATTGTTTCAATATACTCAGCTGTCTATTAAACAGCTTTTATCTTCTGAAGACTGTTTAAAGAGTGTTTTGTAAAACAATCCAGAAAACAGTGAAAAATGGTCTCTGCATTATTTACTTGGCATATGGAGATACAGCTGTTAAAAATAGCAATCAAAAATAACCAAACACACACATGTATACAATTACTATAAAGCTAAGGTAGAAATGATGAAGCAAAAATACCTGGTAAAAAATGGAGGAAATGGAATACCACTGCATGACAAGGAAAGAGGGAGCACATCCGGAGAAATGGTTTCTAAGCAAATTCTGTAACAGAAAGTTTCCCAAGATATTCATATCTTTTTAGCAGAAATTTAGTTCATTCTTAAGACATGTCATATATAGAAAAAGAGCTTCCTGGATACAAAAAAAAAATCAAGAAGTAGAAGTGTTTCATAAACCTTAAAGTAAGATTGATTTCTCTGAAGAAGTTTTCATTAGGGTAGAGAAAATTCATGACAATTATTTAGAGTGGGTATCACCTTGAAAAGTCTTGGTGGTCAAAACACCAATTATTCTACAGATGACCGATGAAAACTATGGAAAGGTTTTGAAAATCTCTTTTATGATATATCCATTATATTCCATGAGAGATGCTCAGACATTTTGAAAAGTAACGCCTTTTAAAAACTGAGAATCTAAAACCAATTTCAAATTACTTTTTAAATTTTACCACATTTTTTGACTGTATATGGCATGTGTTCACTCTATTTTTATTACTAAAGGTGATTTTTGCCTGTAAAGGCATACTTTAAAGTATGCCAACCTATGCCTTGAACTATGATTATTACTGCAATTTTGTTTTTATCCTCTTTATCTATCATAAATAAATGAATATCTATTATCTATCTATCTATCTATCTATCTATCTATCTATCTATCTATCTATCTATCTATATTTAAAGTATGACCTCACTCCTATGGCCGTCTTTAAATCCCAAATTTATAAAATGACTCCACAAAGATTGTTGACAGGATAAACTTGGAAGGGGTAATTAATTTCTGGAAGGGGTAATTAATTTCTAGAGAGAGATTCAAAGTTACTAGTATTTATGGATTTAAATTCAGCTGCATTATAGTGTAAAACCATGATATATGCTGTTAATACTTCACAGCTCCTCAGGATAAAATAAAACCTTCATAACATTGCACCATTCAATATTTTAAACATTTTCTTATGTTTTTCTGAAATATGTATTCTTTCCTAATCATCCAAAATTATATAAAACAAAAAAAGACTCACATTTATTTCATGTTATGTATAGATGCCTTATGTTTATATGATTTAATTGTCATGTAATAACTATTAGTAACTCCATTTTAGAGGCAGAAATTGAGCCTAAGAAGCAGGTTAGTGTGCCTTTCAATGTGTTATATTGGTTAAAGGTCATCTTTATCCATGTTTAATTGTTCATTTTGTTTCTTTGGCCTGCCATCTGAAATATATTTATCAATAGGTATTTATGTTAATCTAGCTTATAAGAAATAAGAAAGTTTTCTGTCCTGTAATCTACCTCAAGAAGTACGTTTCACAAATTATCTAATATAGTTGTCTCAAAGTCTAGCACTGTTTAATTTCAATGCACCTTATGGGCCAAACAATGGTCCTCACTTAATTCTATTTCTTTGATGTCTTTATTTACATCTTGCTTTTAAATAACATATCCCAAGAGATTAACAAATGACAAAAAAGAAAGGAAAATTTTAAGCATATGCTCTACACTTAGCAATAAACAAGAAAAACATATTTACAATTTAATGAGAAAAATCAATGACTCCATAGATTCTGATTCTCTTCTTTTCCCAAAATATTTATTCACTAATTGGCACAGTAGACTCCTACTAGGAGATTTTGCCAAGAAATGTGTCAAATATATACTCAGCAGGGTGAAGTCGAGAAATAAAATAAATATAGTTTGATATACAAAGATACTTCTTTCAAAAACACTTTATAAATCTTTGAACATTCCTGGGAGCCTATTTGCCAATCCTATTTGACCAAATAATCTGAAATTCCATAATTGTTCACCATGGATGGCTTCAGATAAAAAATCTAGTCTTTTCTAAACTAGAGTCATCTTCAGCTTCTTCTTTGTACTACACATGGTTTTGGGTAACAGGATAAGTTCAGATAATGATATTAGTCTGTAGGCTTGCAACAGATGCTATTTGCTACTGGGAGGAAGAAAGAGAGAGAGGAAAGAAGTAAATGAGTTTATCATTAAAAGTAGACAAATAGGTTTATAGTGCTCAGAATCTGAAGTAAAATTCTATACAAATTTAAGGCTTGGAAATTCATTAAATTTTACATTCACTGGATCACAGAAAATGGAGACTCGATTTATCCTAAATAAATAGAATGAACACCCCTAACCATTACTGCCTACTGCACATATTTTCTGATTCAGCCTTTGGAATGCTTGTGTCCATCATCATATAAGTTTTAAAACAATTAGGGAAGCTCAAGATATATTTGTAGTTCCAATATCCCTCATCCAAGTGTTGGATTTTTGAAGGGAAAGATTTCATTCCAATCATTTCAGAACTACTGTGCCTTTAAGGGTTGGTACCTTCCATAAAGCAGCACCACAGCAAATGCTTGTTAAAGGTCAACTTTGCCTTTCATAATTCAGAGATGTACATAAAGCAGATGATTTAATTTTTATCACACCTTCAGTAAGTAGGTACTATCCCCATTCAAGAGATTCTAAAAAAAGGTTTAGGAATGTTAAATGTCTTGCTCACACAAGCTCGATTCTGTCTGATTCCACACCTGTACTATAAATACTATGTCTAAATGACTTTTACTGGAGTGTAGGCCAGAAATGTGTCTTAATCTGACTCAACGTGTCATATGTAGGCAAGTTTTCTAAAACTGAGATATGAACATTCCTTAGAATTAAGAAATACTAGGTGCAGGGCTTACTAGTAGTAAATATTTTTAATCATATGGCTATATAGCTGGGACATTTGAATCTACACTCAAAGGGTATCAGTGGTTGCCTAAGGACAGAGGGATTATAATGGGAAGGGCCAGTAGGGACAAATAATAAATGAGCATGAGGATACATTTCAGGATGAGGGATAGTTCATCATCTTGATAGTCATTATGATTTCACAGGTGTGTGCATATGTCAAAACATATCAAATTATATATTTTAATAGGTGTAGCTAATTGCATGACTGTTATATATCAGCACATCTGTTTTAAAAAGGACACTACTAGGAGAATGAGAAGACAGGCCATAAATTAGAAGAAAATATTTGTAAATTACATGTTTGATAAAAGGTTTGCATTCAGAATAATTTTTTTAATTTTCAAAACATTAAGAAATAAGCTAAATATTTCAACAGATACTTTTACAAAGACACATGGATGCCAAATAAATACACTATACAACGTCCAAAATCAGTAGTCATTAGATACATCCAAATTAAGACCTAAGTTAGATACTCTTATCACTTATCCTTGAGAAAAGAAAGAAAAAGAAAAAAAAGCAGGGAGAATTTGACAGTACTAAATAGTTCTGCTGAGGAAGTGGAGGAACTGGAACTCTTTTATACTGAAAGGAGAATTGCAAAGTAGTATAGACTATATGTCAAACAGCTTGACGCTTTCTTAGAAAGTTAAGCAACTGTTTAACATACGGTCCAGCAATCCCAGCTGTATGTATTAACTCAAGTGAAATTAAAACTTATGTTCATGTAGAAACATGTATACAAATGCTTATAGTAGCTTTATTTATAATCTCCTCAAACAGGAAACAAAGCAAATGTTCTTCAGCTTGTGAACAGATAAACAAACTGTTGTACAACCATACAATGCAGCTGCATAGCAATAAAAATGAATGCATTTCTGATACATGCAATAACATGGATGAATCTTAAAGGCAATACACTAAGTGAAAGAAGCCAGAGTTTTACATACTGTATGATTCCATTTGTTTGAAATTATGCAATAGGCGAGATATTAAGGGCAGAAAATAAATCAATGATTTCCAGTGTTTGAGAAAGGATTGCTACAAATAGGATAAGAGAATAAGTTTGGATAACGAAATTGTCCTGTATCTTGAATATGTGTCGGTTATGTGGCTCTATGTGTGTAACTCATGGAACTGTAATTTACTTTATGTAAATTATATCTCACCAAAACATGCACAGATTCGTAGAAAATCTGATGCTTATGACTAATGGAAAAGAAGAATTAATATATTTATCAGTTAGTGTATCCTTCCTTATACTTGCTCACCTGGGTTTTTGTAATAAAAAACTTGATGACTTAAAGTCATCAAGACATCAAGACATCAAGTCACATCAAGACATCAAGACATCAAGTCACAAACTTGATGACTTAAAATAATGGATATTTATTGTCACCATTCTGGAGGCTAGAAATCTGAAATCAAGGTTGATGTTAGCCAGGCCATGCTGCCTTTGAAGGCTCTAAGGAACAATCTTCCCATGCATCTGGCATCCATAAATCTTCTCTTCCTTCAGCTTCTAATGTCCCCAGCTGGTTTTTGTTGTTGTTATTTATTTATTATTTTTGTAATTTAATTTTATTTTTTGCTTGTGGCAGCATAACTCTAATCCTTGCCTCCATCTTCACATGACTTTACTCTCTGTGTCTCTGTGTGTCCTCTCCTCTCCCTATGAGGAAACCAGTCATAGGATTTAGGGCCTAATCCAATAACTAATTATGTCTATAAGGACCTAATATCCAAATAAAGTCACGTTCTGATGTTCCAGGTGCACATAAATTTGAGGAGACAGAGAGGGCACTATGCAACCCACCACAATTCTCATAGATGGTATGCAGATGAAGTTACATTTGGAATAGCAATTTGATACGTGTGTGTGTGTGTGTACATATATATATACATATATATGTATATATATATGTGTATATATATATATACATATATATGTATATATATGTGTATATATATATACATATATATGTATATATATATGTATATATATATATATATATATATATATATATATATGGAACTTTTCTTCATAGTTAATTACTTTAAAGAAAAATCTCAATGCTTGAGATCCCCATAGCCTAATTGTGTATAACAAATTTTTAACTGAGCAAGGATATACACAAGAAGGTCTAGGCTCAGCATCCAAATGTAGCAGTTGGGATACATTTGTCAAAAGATCAAAAAATTTCTAATCAGAAATTGTGAGAGTATTTCAAATAATGTTAGCTGGTTTTATGAAAATGTCAGAGAACCATTTCATATTTGGTCAGAATTTCTGTGCAGCTTTTGTTGAGAAGCAATAATTTCAGTAATTCTGGTTAAAATTACTTTATCTGCTAATCTCCCCACACCACATCTGGTTCTAGTATTCTGGCCAAATTCCTACAGAAAAAATAATTATGTTTATGGAACTCCCCCCTGAGAATAAACAGATAAGCTTACTTCCTAATAAAAATATAAACATTTCCTCATACTCATCAAACACCAAGTCATACATTTTTGTTCCTATATAAAAATTCAACCCTAATTCTTCACCTTTAGCTAAAAGAATGAAGCAGAAATGATGTTTTGGCAATTCCAAGCCTATGCCTCGACTTTTTTTATCTCTTGGAACCCAGCCTAAATAAATCAGGACAAGTCTATTGTACAATGAAAGACATATTGCCTATTTACCTCGTCTTTCCCATTGAGAGACAACAATTCCCAGATAAGTTAGGCCATTCTAGTCTAACAACCTTTGGCCCAGCTGACCCATATATGAACAAGTCCAACCAAGATCAACCAAGGCTGGCTCAGATCAGCAGACTTGACCAGCTTACTTAGAGATATGAGAGCAATGAGAGTGTTCATTGTTTTTTTTTGTTGTTGTTGTTGTAGTTTGTTTATTTCTTTATTTGTTTTGAGACAGAGTCTCATTCTGTCACCCACGCTGGAGTGCAGTGGCACAATCTCGACTCACTGCAACCTCTGCCTCTTGGGTTCAAGCAATTCTCCTGCCTCAGCCTCTAGAGTACCTGGGACTATAGGCGCGTGCCTATATGTTTTGTATTTTCTTTTTTTTCTTTTTTTTTTTTTTAGTAAAGACAGGGTTTCACCATGTTAGCCAGTATGGTCTCAATCTCCTGACCTCCTCCCAAATTGCTGGGATTACAGGCCTGAGCCACTGCTCCCGGCGACAAGTGCAAATTGTTTTAAGCCACAAGTTTTACAGTGGTTTGTTGGCCTCAATGGATATTGATATAATAGGGTTACCAGTATCTTTAAGTACTAGGAAAAATAGTTATTGAGTACTGTTAGTTCAATGGCAATATGCTTCCACATTTTATTTTATGAGAGATATGCAAGAAATTGTTAGTATGTTTTTAATAAAAGCAAACTTTTCAATTCTTTTCTAAACCAATGTACCCAATGGTCAGTCATTTGCTTCTGATTCTCTCTTTGATATCTGATTTTTATCAAATTGAGATTCTATAATTTGTTTAAGCTAAAAACTATTTTTTTCTTTTCTACTTTTCATGTATATTCTCTTACTTTTCAAAATATGACCATGACAAAAGTACTGAGTGCTTCCTATGGCAATAGCCAACTGAAACATTCAACTATGATACCAAAATTATCTCATTCAGATTATGGGATGAAAATATGTGACGGAACCTATGATCTTACAATTTGCCATTCAATTGGTCATGCCTCTGCTTTTCTTTTCTCTTTAGTCATCTAAAATTTTTGGCTAGTTCTCCTTCCATTTCATCCTTAACCTGTAATCTTTTCAGTCAAAGAATCTTACTACAGTGATGTTCATTTTCAAGCAATGTATTTGCACCTTTCAGGTTATGTCAAATTGCAGCCACTAAATTGTTTTTTTCCTGTGCTAACTGTAACACAGATTATGCTTTCTGTCCACCTGACTGAAAAATGCAGAACGCAAAATTCACCAGATACTTTTGAGGAAAGATCATTTACTCACTGTAATGTGTTAAGTCATTTCATGATGATGATAGTAGAAATGATAAACAATCATGGCCAGGCCAGTATGTGAAATAATTTACACTGGAAGGTCACTGGAAAGCTGTCCATCTTTTTGGTATGGCATTTCATTATTAATTTACTAGCAGAATTTTCTTTCATATAAAATGAAGACCTACAGCAATGGCAGATTGCTGATAGAGACACTATGAAGTCACAGTGGTATTTTTAAAATTGTTAATGTTCAACATATAAAGACTTCTGAGAAAATGAAATTGACATTGACGTCAATCAATGTCAAGCCCTTATCCTCTCTCAGTAGTTAACATCAAAGCTACACATATTTAAAAGTCAGTTACTGTTTGGTGATTATGGCTTGACAAATAGACTGGTTTTGTCAGATCCCAAAATATCCATGCATCTGTATCACATTTTTGACATTAATATTCCCTTCTGTGTCCCCACAGAGGCCAATAGTTGAAGAAACCTTGAAGAATGGGCTTCTTTTTTTTTTAAGGACAAAACGATTATTTGCTCTATTAGTAGACACAACTTGTAAACTTCCTCACTATTCTAAACAAAGTAGGAAGATAATAAAAATCATTTTCCGAGGTGAAGTAATAAAAATGGAGCACACCAATAAGAATAACAGTATCTCATTTGCAATCGTGATCTCTCTAGGTTAAGTGTATTGTGTATTTTAATTCCCTGTAATGCATATGGGAAAGCTTTCGTACTCCATTCATACTTCCTAGGATTAAGGTTTTCTATTATAGGACTTAATCAATGTTAAACACCTTTCTTCTGATTTTTCTTATTTTATAAAAAATAAAATAATCCAAGTATATCTTCAAGTCATTACACTGTTTGTCTTTCTGTGACAACTATGAGCGCTAACAATTTTAACTCCACCACTTGCCTTGAACATAACTCCAGAAATGCAAATGAGAATGAAAATACAGTGCAAAACTAATCCCCCACTAAGAGGAATACCATAAAGGAAACTTGAAAGATCCACAGAAGTTGATCTCAAGCCAATTTCCACACACACAAAGCTGCGTAATCTTGACTGTATGTTAGATACTTTGTGTCAGAGGGTAGCAGCTTGCACCAAGGCCCACTCATGAAGCCATGTGCCCCAATTATCCACCTCTAAGACCATTTCCCTTTAGTGAAAACATAGCTAATATGTGCAATTTAGGGTATCTTTGCCAATTTTTCTTTCTCTAAAAGCTGTGTGGTTATTTACTGTCATCCACTCACTATAGTTTTCATGATTCCCAAATTGTGATCAGAATTTCTGAATTTAATTGGATCCCTGTTTGTACTGCAAGCAGTGGTAAGGTACATCATAAATTAGATTAGGTTTCAGTTCAAGTGAGCTACCTTTCTTAATTCTTCATCTTTCATCTATAACCTGTAAGCACTTTGCAAAAAAGCAGTTTATAGACCACTCGATGCAATTAAAATCATAATTTGATACACAGCCTAAATATATCTAATCACATAAACTCTTAATATGCAGCTTTTCAAATGATCTTAAATGTAATATTTCAGTTAATTTTATTTTAAGTTTTTAAATTTTGATTATTTCAGCACAGAAAAAATTTGAAAAAAGATTTCCATTTAGTTTCCGATACTGTTCTGTCTACGAGCTTACCCAAATAGTACTACTAACCTGGTAAGTATCCATAGTGTTTTTTAGATTTACTTTGGTAGACAGAAAAATATCCTTATTTAGCAGCTGTTTAAAATATGTAAACAGAATAACAGAATTACTTCAATTCATTGGTAGAATGCCCAGCTTTAATCCACTAAGTCAGTCATTCATATTTAGTAAGTGATTAAAAACACCTAATATATGAAACAAAAAACGCAGAACTGGATTTACAGGGGATTTAGAGACTATGAAGACATTATTTCCATTTTATCCTTGCTTACATAGGGAAAATAATACAAATTAGTATAATCATGTGTTACTTAACAACAGGGATAAATTCAGAGAAATGTGTCCTTAGGCAATTTTGTCCTTATATAAATCTCATACAGTGGACTTACACAAACCTAGGTTGTACAGCCTACATGTCTAGGCTATATGGTATAGTCTTTTGCTCCTAGGCTATAAATTTATTCAGAATGTTGCTGTACTTAATACTGTAAGCAATTATAACAGAATAATAAGTATTTGTGTATCTAATCATATCTAAACATAGAAAACATACAGTAAAAAATATAGTATAAGAGATAAAAAATGGTACACTTGTGTAGGGCACTTACCATGAATGGAGCTTGCAGGACTGGAAGTTGCTGTGGGTGAGTCAGTGAGTAGTGAGTTAATGGGATGGCCTAGGGCATTACTATTGTACATTACTGTACTTTATAAACACTATACACTTAGGCTACACTAAATTTATAACAAATGTTTATTTTGATAAAAAAATAACCTAGTTTACCATAAGCTTTTAACTTTATAGGCTTTTTCTTTTTTTAAAAAAAGTTGACTCTTGTATAATAACACAGCCTAAAATGCAAATACATTGTATAGCTGTGGATATGGTTTGGCTGTGTCCCTACCCAAATCTCATTTTGAATTGTAGTTCACATGATCCCCACATGTTGTGAGATGGACCCAGTGGGAGGTAATTTAATCATGGGGGCAGTTACCCTCATGCTGCTCTCGTGACAGTGAATGAGGTCTCACAAGATCTGATGGTTTTATAAGGGGCTTTTCCCTCTTTTGCTTGGCACTTGTCCTTCCTGCCACCGTGTGAAGAAGGACATGTTTGCTTTCCCTTCCATCATGGTTATCAACTTCCTGAGGCCTCCCCAGCCACGCTGAACTGTGAGCCAATTAAACCTCTTTCCTTTATAAATTACCCCATCTTGGGTATGTCTTTATTAGCAGTGTGAGAATGGACTAATACAGCTGTACAAATATATTTTTTCCCTTTTATTTATTTTTTTGAGACAGGGTCTTGCTCTGTTGCCCAGGCTGGAGTGATTGAAATGCAGTGGTGCAATCACAGCTCACTGCAGCCTTCACTTCCTAGGCTCAAGCGATCCTCCAACCTCAGCCTCCTGAGTAGCTGAGACTAGAGTTGTGTGCCACCACACCCAGCTAATTTTTTTATTTTCTGTAGAGGTGGGGTTTTGCCATGTTGCTCAGGCTGGTCTTGAACTTCTGGGCTTAGGTGATCCACCAGCTTTGGCCTCCCAAAGTGCTGGGATTATAGGCATGAGCCACTGAACCTGGCCTTTTTTTCTTTTTATACCTATATTTTAAAAGCTTTCTTCTATTTTAAATTTTATTTTATTTTTACTTTTAAACTTTTTATTAAAAACTAACACACAAACACACACATTAAGCCTACACAGGGCTAGGATCCTCCATATCACTGTCTACACCTCCACATCTTATCCCATTGGAAAGTCTTTAGGGGCAATAATACGCATGGAGCTGTCAACCATTATAACAATGACTTTTTCTGGAATATCTGCTGAAGGACCTACCTGAAACTGTTTTACAGCTAAGTTTTTTTTTTTTACAAGTAGAAGAAATACATTCTAAAATGACAATTTAAAGTATAGTATAGTAAGTACATAACCAGTACCATAGTCTTTATTATCATAATCAAGTATCATGTACTCTATGTAATTGTACGTGCTATACTTTTATACGACTGGCTGCACACTAGATTTGTTTATATCAGCATCACCACAAACAAGCATATAATAAGTTGTACTCTAACATTATGATGGCTATCACCAGGAGATAAAAATTTTTCAGCTCCATAATCATCTTATGATACCAGTGTCATAATGCAGGTCATTGCTCACTGAAACATTATTATGCAGTGCATAATTGTACGCAAAAACACAATTCAGTAATACTGGTTTGTGGTGAAAGAGTTCTACTATGAGAAACTTACTCTAGTAACAGCTCTGCTACTAGTTAAATGTAAATTCTTTTTTTTTTTTTTTTGAGACGGAGTCTCGCTCTGTCGCCCAGGCTGGAGTGCAGTGGCGCTATCTCGGCTCACCGCAAGCTCCGCCTCCGAGGTTCACGCCATTCTCCTGCCTCAGCCTCCCGAGTAGCTGGGACTACAGGCCCCCGCCACCACGCCTGGCTAATTTTTTTGTATTTTTTAGTGGAGACGGGGTTTCACCGTGTTAGCCAGGATGGTCTCGATCTCCTGACCTCATGATCCGCCCACCTCGGCCTCCCAAAGTGCTGGGATTACAGGCATGAGCCACCATGCCTGGCCAAATGTAAATTCTTAAACAAGAAATATATCTTGCTTGTTTCCTCAATGACAAGTCATTTGTCTTATAAGTATCTCTTAAATACAAGATTTAAAATAGCATAGGCTAGAAGTTATCTAAATTCCATGAAATTGAGGTATTCTGAGATATTCTATGGACATTGAGAAAAAAGTATATATATATGATATATATATATATATCCATATATATCATATATATATCCATATATATCATATATATATATCCATATGTGTGTGTGTGTGTGTGTGTGTGTGTGTATATATATATATATATATATATATATATATATATATATATATATATATTTACACTGGTATTTACACTGGTTCCTATGAGAGATATTATTACCCAGAGTTCAATAGTGTTACTATTGGGTGAACATTTCTTTCATGTCTTAGTTTCCTTCATGCCTGATCCAGTCCATTTGTAACTTAAAGTATTTCTGTTGTGCTATGTTGATTTTCATATGGACACATTCAGCAAAGCAGAAGCTATCTCTCCAGTACATCTAAGTTGCTAACTATGCAGTGTAGTAGTAGACAAATTAATGAAAAATAATAATTATGCTTTTCTGTATACATAAATTTCACTGTTCCGTGCTTGGTTAGCAACTAATGAGATGGGTTCAATGCAATGAAAATATGAGAAAGGTCAGAATTACAAAAATAAGAAAATGACTCTAGTTGACTATTCAAAATTAAACACAAACTTATCAAAAAACAAAACACCTACCATCAGAAATCACTGCAAAAAGCATGAACTGAGGCCCAGAGATGAAATCACTATCTCTCCCAAGAGAACAACACAAATGCTTCATGTCATTAAACTGTCCAGGTAGAAGCTTAAACACCAAGCTAATAAAATATGTTGAGAGAGAATTAAGCTATTCAAGTTACTTTTCAAAGTACAACTGTGCTTCAGAAAACAATTAATCATACCCAGGTGCAATATATTTCATTCTGCCAACAACAGTCTGTGACAGAAAAGACTGAAGAGAAAATTAGCCTCTCCTTTTATGGAAGGATGGACTGATTGTAGAGTTGTTGATAAGCACAAGTGCTGTTTGCGCGTGCATGTGTGTTTGCCTCTGTGTATCAGTGTCTGCGTGAATTTTCCCTAACAATTCTTTAAATCAGTTTAAAATGAACAAACCAGCCTTTTGCTGATATCTTAAATGTATTCATTTTTTGTCATCAGAATCAGAGTTATTGTAAATCAAGTGGGCTTCAAGTCCAATTTCAATGGAATGCAAACTTCAGAAAGACAGACAATATCAAATATTTTAAAGCCAAGTCTTTTCTTAGGGAGCTGGATGTGAGGAAATATAATGAATCTGGCAGTTCTCATCCAAAGATAAAACTGCCCAGTGACCTTAATACCCCAAAAGAGTTCTCTCTGGGTAGAAAAAAGAATTAGAATTCATCTTTGCAATTTCACTTAACTGACACATCCGTCAGTGTCTATTATGATCCAGCTGACCCACCTTGACAGAAACTCCAGCTGTATTTCCAGGATCTAATGAAGGGCTGTTACGTTGCATTTCTTAAGTTAGGAGCAATCTTACATTTAATATCTCAGGTTAAAAAGGACAGAAGCAAGTGTTGGAGAAGGCTGTGGTTTTTATTTTGTCACTAAGACTTATCTCATTACTTGCCTTTCAGCTGTTGAAAGAAAAACTTAAAGATGATTTTAAACTTTTCGTAGTTTGCCTGTAACTGTGACCCTACAGAATGAGAAATAGCTGCAACATTGTTTGAGATTATTCTCATTTGACAATTTCTTCCAAAATAACAAAGATTCCAGTGACTCTGTCTCCACTCAATGAGGATCCATCTGGAGGCTTGTATTTCCACGTAAAATAATTCCAGAAAAGTTTGGTCATATTTAATATTTTAAGACTAATTAATTGGAGTAAGATTTAGGTTACAGCTGTCAGTTACAGTGATTGATGCTGGAGATCATTTTCCACTGAGTACTGTTTTCTGCTGTGCAAACTGAAGACAGAGCAAAATAATTCTGCATCCATTTTTATTTCTCTTGAAACAGCTATTGTAATAAATGAAACTCAGGATCCTGACAAGTTCTTTGGCTTAAGATTTTTTTTATCAGTAATGCCATATGGATATTACTTTTGCTATTTTTTCTTTCATTTTTCATTTCAAATATTTTTCTTCTTTTCTCCTGTAGTTGCCATCTGAGCTGTAAGGGAAGTTATGTGATTCTTTTCTCTTGAAATGGACTTGAAAAATCAGCTCAAATGGACTGAGATAAACTAGTCACCTGGATTGAGAGAGTAGGTGGAAAGTGTGTAGGAGATTTTTACCCTGGGGTCAACATACTGGGAAAATTTAAAAGAGGACAATTGCATTGAACTTCACTAAGTTTTCCCCGTAGAAATTCTATCCAATATTTCTTCTCTATGAGCTATTGCTTATAAATTGGTTCCTGGACTCCCAGGTTATTTCTGTTGGATATTTATCCTATTATGGGTTCTTGGATGTTCTAGTGCACTGTACTGGGTTAAAGTTTTCTGATAGCAGTTGCCAGCTAATTGAACTTCTCAGTCTTTGAAGCTTTGATTTCCTCTTTGAAAAAGGTGTCCCTTTTAAAGAGTGTAGTATTTCAAGCCACACACCTTTACTCAACTTACTGAAATTTATGGAAAACAAATTGTGCTTAAATTACATATTTATTCATTTAAATATCATTTACTGTCAGAAAGAATGTGAAGTCTTTTTCATATCCTTTTGAATTCATGGGAAATGATGGATAAAATAAATTAATTTATATTTTATAATTGTATTATTTAAGGTATCACAAGATTGGTCTCGTGAAATAAATACAATACTTGACTTCAAAAATATATGTGCTATCTCAACTAATTGAGTGGAGATCATAGCAAGTCAAATAATTTGTTGCCTTCATGATTTTTTGAGGGAATCTTACTTTTCAGATAACATGAAATGAAACAAACATATTCTTGTATATTTAGCAATTATTTATGAAGCACAATGTAGTATTAATAACAATAATAATAATACCATGTGGGGCATAGTGGCTCACTCCTGTAATCCCAGCACTTTGGGAGGTTGAGGCAGGAGGATTGCTTGAGGCCAGGAGTTCAAGAGCTAGGCAAGTAGTGAGATCCAGTCTCTACAAAAACATAAAAGAAAAAAATAAGAATAATATTACCAAATATATATTAAGTATTTAATTGTCAGGCAGAGTACTAACAATTTTCTAAGCATTGGCTTGTGGTATCTGCCAATTTCATCATAAGTAGATAATCTTTATACTAAAGATGATGAAGTGAAGGCTCAGGCATGCTAAACAGTTTACTCAACATTCCCACAGTAAGGATGTCACAGAGATGGGATTTGAATCTGAGTGGTTGGTACTCAGGTGCTATTATGCCTCTCTGTGTGCCAGGCCCACTGTTACACTTGGATATCAAAGCTTGAACCATTTAGGGTAACAACCCTTACAAGGCTGTATTTAGGAAAGGGGAAAATAGAAAAAGTTAGAAAATTGTAAGTGATATGACAGAGAAAAGTACATATTATTATGAGAAAAAAAAGAGGGACTCCTAACCCAGGCTTAGGAGTTAAAGGAAACTACTAAGAGGAAGGGGCATTTATACCAAGAACCAAAGGATGAGCAGGGTTGGCCGACGAACTAGTTGTTGGCGAGGAGGAATAATGATTGCGTTGGTTAGGGCCAAAACTGAAATGGATGATATCCACAAAATAGGATAATTTAGAGCTACTTTAATAAAAGCATATTTATAAAGTGTCAGCGTGGTATAGGGAAACCTCAAGAAGAGTGTAGGATCCAGGGACTGGGAACAGCAGGGCTCTGTGGTGTTCCAAGGTGTGTAAAACCAAAGGGAGGATTTTATGAAGAGTGCCAGATGAATAAGGGCTGGGTCATCAATATTCTTCCTCCAGTTGCCTGTCATTGCTCCCCATTTACCAAGCCAGCTGCGTGCCAGAGGGTGCCAGATGTGTCCAAGTAATCTCCATAGGGCGTGCTCTGCTGGCACTCAGCAGTGAGAACGATGAAGGCAGCAAGTAGCACAGGACATAGACGAGTCGTTTCAGGCAGCAAAAGCAGAATGTATGAATGCTGAAAATTGAAGGACATAAAAGAGACCCAGTAAACCTAAGCATAGAATATGCTTGAGAATGGGATGGTACATGCGATTGTTTGATGCTTTGGGAGATAGTTGGAATGGAGGTTAGAAAATCAAGCTGTTGCCAGATTATTTTCAAACTTTTTAATCATGCAAAAGTATATTTTATCCAAGGAATAAGACAGAGACTTTGAAGGGTGTTGAGCGCAGGAAGCAACATGAATCTATTTGTACTTTAGAAAATTCACTCTGGTAACAGTATAGAGAATAAATATGAGGAGTAAAATCTGGAAGGGAAGGAGTCCATTTAGGCAACCAATTTGATGCGTTCAGAAATGATGGTGGCATAGATTAAGGGGCCAGGAAGATAAAGAGAAACAGACATATGTATAGACATATTTAACCTACACACATTCAAATACATATACTTAGCCAAAAGTAAAAGAATAAGTAGGAGAGGGAGAGAGAGCAAGTGAGAGCATGAACGCTACAGAAATAACAATTTAAACATTGGGCAACTTCAACTGCCATTTCAAACAATAAGTAAAGTAAATATGTATGTTCCAAAGAGAGAGTGCAATGGGAGATATAAATCTTTTGTTCATTAAGTCAGTATCAGTCTCTACTTGTCTAAATAAATAATTTTTTATATGTAATTTCTACTTTTTGTACTAAACTTAGATCTTAACACTTGTGAAAGAGGAGACTTCAAGGTTTTTAAGAGGTAGAATCAATTAGACTGATGAGCATATATAAAGGATGAGGAAGACAGAATAGCTGAAGGCAATGTCTGATCCCGGTCTAGATTACCTGGTGGATAATCATGCTCTTTACTAAAAGGGAAGACACAAGGAGAAAATATTTGGAATGGAAGAAAGTTTAGGTCTGTACACACAAAAAATTTGATGTACACTCCTAGACGTGTACACAAAATGTTGATTTTACTCTTGGCTAGATGAGCAAGTTGGTCAGAGCATGTGAAAGGGCTCACTATTTCAAACTAATATATAACAAATTCTGCATGTTACACATCATGTTAATACATGCTATGAGTATACACTCATAGGAAGGCCAAGCCTCATGTAATTACATTTAAAATACTGTAAAACAGTTTTTGTAGCCAGCATGCAGACATCCGAATTTTAACAAAACAGATTAAGAAAGTGTTTCCAAAGAAATTTGGGAAGAAAGAGGCTCCAGGAGATTTCTGATATTTAAATATTCTGTGTTCTTCAATTTCTAAAAATATAGAATTTCATAAAGATGAACATATTTAGCTAGCCCTTCATTCTACTCAGCCATATCTCTATTGAGAGTCATCTATTGAGCAACATGGCCCCTATGTACATCCTTATACTACAAGTTTGTCTACATAGTGTTCAGTCGGGAGTGGAAACAGAGCGTAGGATTTTGTGTTTGACAGATTTGGGTTTAAATCTCAGCTTTATTAATTACTAGCTGGGTGGCTATGGGAATTATTTTCAAACTCTCTAAGCAAGTCTCAGTTATCTTGTTTCTAAAATAGCAATTAGATAATAGTACCACTTGATTCTTAGGTTTGTGGTAAAAAAACAAATGATAGCGTAACCTCTTGTTAAAACCAAACAGAATGTAATGACACATTTAAGAGGAACATTATCAAAAGTAATTACAACGCAAGTCTAGTTTTTGCTTACATAGCTTGAGAGCAGTTGATATGTCACTAGAATCAACATGTTTGTGAAGTGACACTTGTGTCCTGAACAACACGGAGATGTTCACAGTTTCCAGGAACCTTGGCCACTAGGAGGGTCCCAATGTTTAATTAATTGTGTAGTCTGATGAAAAAGCCTGCTCACCTGGGTGATCTTGAGTGAATCCATTCTCTGCAGATTGAAAGAAGAGTATATTGCCTTTCAAATGTTCCTGAGCTGCAGCAGGAGAGTCACCTAGAGGTGTTGCTTAGCTCCTTGACAATGGAGCTAATAGCCTCCCATTGTCAAGCAGGTCATTCCAGGAACATTAGCAAAATAACATACTACCAGACCTTATGGACGTTTATGTTCACATCCAGATAGTCTTGGCACAAATGGCAAGAATCTGCAGTTATTTCAGGCTACATTGTGAAACATTATGAAATAAAGCCATTACGGTATTTACACAAGTACTAAACGCTCATCATTGTATGCAGCCTTGAGAAATGTACAAAACTGAATATATTTCATAGCTATCGCTATCAAATAGTATTCAATTAAATTACAACTTAATGAAAGTCTATTGGGCTTTTCTGAGAGAATTTCGAGTTACATGGATGTTTCATAGACATTAAGTGTAAGTTTCTTTCTTGTTCTGAAATTTCACTGTATTGAATGCATTTAATCAAAGAAGAAAGCCATTTGCTGAGGCTTTAGAAAACTTTCCTTATTATACCAAGATTTTGATTGGTTCTAACTGTTCTAGCACTTTAATGGAATGTGATTTGTAAGAATTAAGAATAAGAGGTTTTTTTTTTTTTTTTGTATTGGATTCGGAATTTTAAGTATTAACAGAAAGAAGAAGAAAGAAAAAAATTCTTTTCAATTTAAAAGTACTTTATCCATCCCCAGATAATAATGAAGACATACTAAGTAAACATAATAGATGCAAGAAAACAGACATTTAAAATAAATAAATAAATCTGTCTTAATAAATACAAAAAAATATGTAGATGGTAAGCACAACTGGCTCAATGCATACTGACAACGGATTTCCCACAACTTAGAATTTATTTATCTAAACCTATAAATCAGCAGCTGATGTTTCAATTTTTAAAAAGTACAGGTAATACCTAACTTACAATGGTTTGACTTAACAATTTTTTTTACTTTGATGGCATACATGCAATATGCACTCAGTAGAAACTGTACTTTGAGTACTCAAACAACCATTCTGTTTTTCACTTTCATTACAGTAGTCACTAAATTGCATGAGATATTAAATATTTTACTGTAAAATAGGCTTTGTGTTAGATGATTTTGTACAACGGTAGGCTAATGTAAGTGTTCTGAGCACATTTGAGGTAGGCTTGGCTAAGCTATGATTTTTGGTAAGTTAGGTGTAGTAAATGCTTTTTCAACTTACAATATTTCAACTTACAATAGGTTTTTCAGGATGTAACCCCATCATAAATCAAGAAGCATCTGTATGCAAACTGACAAATTTGTGTTTGCATCTCTCTACCTACCACACAAGCATTTCAGACTCGTAGGGACAAATTTATGCCTTGTTCTTCTGTAAATCATAATTTCCTAGGATACAATTCCCCAGGGTGTTACATGCATTAGACTTGACAATCAGTAAAACTTATTGAGTAGACTTAATATCATCATGAATTTGACACATTATTTTTCCTAAAATATTCCCTACACAATAAGGTTTTGGCATAATAGGGATCTCATATTCTTATTTTTAGTCCATTTTGCACTGCTGCAAAAAAATAGCAGCATAAAAGATTGAGTAATGTATACGTAATGGAAGTTTATTTTCTCACAGTTGTAGAGGCTGGGGAGTTCAAAATCAAGTTGCCAGTAGGTTCAGTTGACTGGTAAGGGCTGCATGTTTTGGAGGAGAGAAATGCGTGTCCTCATAAGGCAGAGGGTTAGGGCAAAAAGGGATAAACTCCCTCCATCAAGCCCTTTTATAAGAGCACCTAATCTCATTCATGGGAGAGAAGACCTCATCACCTAATCACCTCTTAAAGGGCCCATACCATCCCTTTGAACGTTAAGTTTCAACAGCTGAATTTTGGAGGGGACACATTCAAACCATAGCATCTTCATAATATTATGAGACAACAAATGTAAATTCATTTCATTAAGGTTTGTTTCTCCTCTTTGCTCTACATAAAGAATACAATAAGGTATAAATTAAAATTCACCAGTAATGTCTCTTCTCAGAAAAAATAGATTCATATAGTTTGTCACCCATCCATCTAGTTTCACTTATAAAATCAAGCCTTAAAATTTTTTCATCCCACAATTTTTAAATGTTAGGCTCTGGAGTTAGTCAGATTGTTTATTTTACCTTGCTTAAATCTACAAACTTTTCATTTGATCCTATACTGTCTGCAAGGTGCCATGAGATGTGCTTTATACATGTATTTATATTTATTTGTAAGAACATTTTTCCTATTTATGAGATAGTAGAGGATTCAGTCAGCAAAATTCTTTGTTTTAAGTAGTTTTGTATTACTATTCTATTTGAATGAAATCTTTATTATCTCATATAAACATATCAAATCTTTACTTATCTGTGATACAAATTGCTTTGTTAACTGCCTTCTTATGTGATATAAAGAGAAGTTTGCAATTTAAGTATCCATACTATTTTCTCCTATTTAAAAAATCTTCACTAGGAAATATTGTTAGTTTAATCATTAGTTCATATTTTTCTCATTTTTTTCTTTTCCTGAAGAATATGTATTTCCTTGATTTGACACCTTATCTAAATTTCTGTTTCTCAAAAGTGTAACGATGTTACTTCAAGGTTGTTTCATTTCCTATAAATGTATTATTTTCCCTCAGCCTCCTGACATAATAATATTTTGTCTGACTTCTAATAATTTATAATTACCAAATTTAAATTCTCTACTTTATTCACCTATTTAATTTGTATTCTATACAAATGATAAGCATTGTGGAAGTATGCATATAAAATTGATTTCATATAATATGTTTTATATTACAGGAAAATATGTATTTTCTACTCTCCAAAGCTCCAGTTCTTACTTGTTTTAAACCCTATCAGTGATATAACAAATGATCAGTTCCTAGATTTTTTTCTCAAATTAACCTATTATGTTGAAGCAGATCTTGAATACTGTGTGTGGGGGCGGGGAGGGGTGGTGTGCATGTGTGTGTGTGTGTGTGTGCATGAGACTGAGAGAGACAAAAAGAGAGAGATGCCAGAGAAAGAAATTCCCCTTTTGACTTAAGCTTTGCATGAAGATATATGAGAGATACACAGGAGCCCTAAGGCAGTGAGGCAATGGATATTTTGGTTCAGTGCCCATTACTAAGATACTCTTCTCATTAATTTAATTTTTAAGACTCACTTTCACAGTGTATTCTAACCTCTTATCCAAAACTCAATACCAGAAATATATTACTCATCTAAAAATATTCATATTAAAAATGTTAAAAAGTAATGGCAATATTTAACCTACATAAAATTGTGTCGATACAGTATAATTTCACTGAAGGAGGAAGTACCTCCTCTGTTTTTTGTGATGGTAGTTTTTAACGTCTTTATCCTGTGTCTCCTTTCCCTAGCAACTTATTTGCTCATGGAACACAGCAGTGCATTTTTAATACAAGTTAAAATCTTCAGCAACGATTTCATTTGTCTGAAGTGCTACTGTCCCATTAATATTCCCAAAGTCTTAGAGTGTAACCAAAACAATTAAAATGTGTGAAGCAAATTTAGAAATAGTATCTCCTTTATCCTAAGATCAAGTCTAACCTTGTTGATGAACTGAGTTACTGCTTCAATGTACTAAATTGGTTGTTTTCAAATATTGTATTAACAAAAGTGAACTATGTTTTCATTATCTGAATGTTTTATTATAAATATCCATAATATCATGTGATAAGTAATATATAATCACTATATAAAAGTGATCCAAAGTGTAAGGAAGAAGAAAATTTAGCCCACTAGAAATTTCTTATATAGTAAAACCATCCTATCTGTTGCACAATCCTGTGAATTTTCAAAATAGCATAAGGAAGCATAAACACCTCTACCATCGAGTTATGTAAAGAACAATTCTTTCATGCTGCCCTTTAGCAGTCAACCGCTTTCCTCATGCCCACACATAAACAACCACTGAATTTTTCTCAACTCTATGATTTTTTCCTTTTGATTTTGCCCTTTTCAGAATTTTATGTACCATATGGAGCCTTTTGAATTTGGTTTCTTGCACTTAGCACAATGCATTTAAGATCGATCCATGTTATTGAATATATCAGAAGTCAATTCTTTTATATTGTTGAGTAGTATTCCATTGCATTGATATGTTTGCTTATCCATTCAATAGGTAGTGACATTGCAGCTATTTTCATTTTTTGGCAATTATGAATACAGCTGAGATAAACATTTACATACACAAATTTTCATTTTTTAGGTAAGTGCCTAGAAGTGGATTACTGGATCATATGGTAATTCTGTATTACCTTTATTAGAAAAAGACAAACGCAAAAATCAATAAGGATTTTTAAATGTGCACACCCATCAGCAATATGTGAAAATTCTAGTTTCTCTGCACCCTCATCAGCACATGTTATTATCAGTTTGTTGATTGGTTGGTTGGTTTTTAGTCATTCTAATCATAGTAGTGGTAATGTGCATATTGAGATCACATTGTAGTTTTAATTTACATTTTCTTGATTTCAGATGCTGACCATCTTTTTGCGTGTTTATTTACTATCTGTATATCTGATTTGGTAAAATATCTGTTTAACTCCTCTACTTGTAAATTGATATTTTTATTTATTTTTGTTGTATTTTGAGAGTTCTTTATATATTTTGGATATAAGTCCTTTGACAGATAAATGATTTACAAACATACTCTCCCATTTTAAGACTTGCTTTTGCATGATCTTAACAGTGACTTTCATGTGAAAATATTTTTAATTTAGGTGAGATATAGTTTTCAAGTTTTTTCTTCTATGGATCATGCTTTTGGTATTGTATCTAAGAACTCTATGCCTAACTCTAAGTCATATATATTTTTCTATTTATTAAAGTTTACAATTTTCAATTTTATATTCTATGATCTATTTTTTTTCTTAATAAAGTATGAGGTAGCCACCAAGATTTATTTTCTTATACATTGATAACCAAAAATTTCAGCACAGTTTCCTCAAAAGGCTGTTGTTTCTTCATTGCGTTGTCAAAATGTATCACATTGACAAAATTTTTGTAGGTCTACTTTTGCATTCTATTTTCTGTTCTATCTATCTATCTATCTATCTATCTATCTATCTAGACCGACAAAATTTCCGTAGGTCTACTTTTGCATTCTATTTTCTGTTCTTTCTATCTATCTATCTATCTATCTATCTATCTATCTATCTATCTATCTATCTATCTAGATAAGTATTATCTATCTGCATAAGTAGATAGATATCTATAGATATCTACTATGCAGATAGATATCTACTTATCTATCTGCATATCTATTTTTTGTGGATACTACATTGTCTTTATTACTATAGTTTTACAGTAAACTTAAAAATAGGGAGTACATCTCCCAGCTGCATTCTGCATTTTTCAATTTTTATTTTAGCTGTTGCAATTATTTTTCTCAAAGACATTTTAGAATTAGTTTGTCAATATTTACATATTCTTAATGAAATTTTGATTGCGATTGTGATGAGTCTATAAATTAATTTAGGGAAAATTGAGCCTTTCCTATTCGAACATGATATATCTCTAAATTTATTTTGGTCTTAATTGATTTATTTAAGTGGTTTTCAGCAGAAAAGTGAGATACATTTTTAAAGTTTATATTTAACAGTTTTATTTGTTGGTGCTACTATTAATGGTGTTGTTTATTTAAATTCAAATTCCAGTTGTTCATTGCTAGTATGTAGGAATGAAAGTTGATTTTCACATAGTGATCTTGTATCTAGTACCCTTGCTAAACTCACTTAGAAGTTTCAACACTCTTTTCTTATTTTCCTTGGGATTTTCTGTATAGTCAATCATACTATCTGCAAGTTGAGACAACTTTATTTATTCCCTTCAAATCTATGTGCTTTTACTTTTTTATATTTCCTTATTGACCTGGCTAGAATTAACAGCATGATGGTGAACAAGGGTGGTGATTATGGATATCTTTGCCTTATTACCAATCTGGGAAGAAAAGCATTTAATTTTCATCATTGTGTCTGAGATTATTTAGAGTGTGTTACAAATGTTCTTTACAAGATTAAATATGTATCCTTTTGTTGCTGGGAGTTTTTATCTCGACAAAGTATTAAATTAAGCAAACAATTTGTTCTCTGTTGAGTTGACCATATATTTTCTCTTTAGTTTCTTATGAAATATATTGGTTGATTTTGAGTGGTGAATTACCCTAGTATTCACAGTGTGGACGTGATTTGGTCATGATGTAATATCTTTTTTATAAAACAGTGGATTTATCAAATATACTTGCTTCTATGTTCATGAAGTATAATGGTCTGTGCTTTTTCTATTAATTATGTCTTTATTTAGTTTTGGTATCACAGCAGTACTGGCCCAATAAAATAAGTTGAGAAGAGTCACATGCTGTTCTATTTTCTGGAAGAGATTTTGTATACTTGGTATTATTTCATTTTTAAGTGATCTATAGAATTGACCAGTGAAACAATATGAGCCTGAGGTTTTCTTTGAACTATGAATTCAATATATTTAACAACCAGAGGACAACTTATTTTTCTTCTTCAGTAAATTTTGATAGGGTATATCTTTCAATAACCTGGGCCATTTCATCTAAATTTTATAATGGGCAAAGGGTGGCTATCAGTCTTTCTTCTTATCTTCTTAATAATTGTAGACTCTTTAATGATTACCCTTTTTCAATTCTGAGAGTGGTAAGTTGCATTTGACTAAAGGTTAATCAATGTAGTGAGCTTTCCAAAGAAAAACAGCTTTTAGTTTCAGGTATTTTTTCTAGAGCATTTCTGATTCTATTTTTATTTCTGTTTTATGTTATTAAACGAACTTATCTTCATTTTTAGTTGCTTTCATTTAACTTGTTCATGATTTTCACCTTTCTTCTGGTAAAAGCTTAAAATTGACTTACAACCTTTCTTCCATTCCAAGTTAAATTTCTAATGCTGTGAATGTTACTGAAGCTACTTTCGATATGTTACTATTTTATGTTTATTCAGTTTAAAATATTTTCTAATTTTTCAGAGAGTTCTTTTTGTATTGTTGTGTTGTTTACAAGTGCATTATTTAATTCTAAGTGATTAAAATATTTTCTGTTATATGTCTGTTATTAGCTTCTTATGTAATTATGTTATAGTAAACAAAAATACTTTGTACAATTTATATTCTGTTAAATTTGTTAAGGTTTCTTTTATGGTCCAGATTATAGTATGTCTTGGTAATAATTTATGTTCACCTGAAAATAATTCTGCAGTTGTATGGAGTGTTCAATAAATATTAATTAAATAATGTTGCTGGATAGTGTAGCTTAGAGTTTCTGTAATCTTGATGTTTCCCTACTCTAAAAATTACCCAGAAATAAATGTTCAAGGATCCATAAGTAATTATGAATTTGCCTTTTTCTCCTTCAAATTTAGTAAGTTTTTGCTTTAATTATTTTGAAGCTGTGAAGTTAAAATATTGATGCACATTTTATATTGTTATTCTTCTTGGTGAATCAACATTTTTATCATTTTTTAACAGCCCTCTTTTTTTCTGGGTGATTTTTTTGGTTCTAAAGTCTATTTTGTCAGATATTAACATAGCCATATAAGCTTTTGAAATTTGTGTTCATATATATACAGATTTTGTGTATAAATCTCTATTCTTTTTTTAAATAATTTTGTTCTCTTCTCTCTGTCTTCTGTATTCTGTAATTGAGATCATTCTGTTTTGTTTTGTTGATGTTGTTTTATTTCAGATATTATAATTCTTCTTTCTAATATTTCCATCTGTTCTTTTTTAATAGTTTGTATTGATCTGCCAAGAAATGTGACCTTTTGATTTATTTCAAGAATGTTCATTATTACTTCATGGAGCACAGTTGTTATAACTATGATAAAGTCTTTGACTAATAATGTCAATATATGGGTCATTTCAGAGTTGGCTTAGTCTCTGGTAATTATCTTTTTCCTTGAGAATTTGCCATGGATTCCTTTTTCTTTGTATTTTGAGCAATTTTGGATTCCATCCTAGATATGTATTATTTTCTTTACAATGTAAAGAATCTAGGTCTCTTTATAATCCTTTGTAGAGTGTTGATTTTATTTTTCTTTTAGAAAGGCATCAACCTGGTTGGGTTTAGGCTGTAATTCGTACCTTGCATTTTGTGCGTGGTCATTCCAATGTCAGTTTAATTTTTAGGGCATTTCTAGGTGCACATGGCCTTACCCATACATCTGTAGGTCAGACATAACAGCCTAAGGCTTAGGTAGGTTGCTTCATACAATACCAAGGGACCCCCTTTCCACAATATCTGGCTTCCAGAGTTATCTTTTTCTGGTACTCGGCCTATAATGCCAGGGTTTTTCTCAGAATTTTATCCCTCAGCACTATCTCATAGTCCTTGTGACTGGGACGGGCATCTGGACATTACGGTTCAAGGAAAGAGAGGCAGAAAAGAAATAACAGAGATTCGCTTATGCTCTTTGACCCATGACAGATTTTTTTTTCGCTTTCTCTGTACAGAAATATTGCTGTCTGCCTCAAGGATTTACATGCGTGCACCACGGCTCTTGTTCCTGCAAATGAAGTTCTGCAACTGAGGTCACCTTCAGCAGTAAAAGAAAGAAAAAAGGCCGGGCGCTGTGGCTTATGCCTGTAATCTCAGCACTTTGGGAGGCCGAGGCAGGCGGATCACGAGGTCAGGAGATCGAGACCATCCTGGCTAGCACAGTGAAACCCCGTCTCTACTAAGAATACAAAAAATTAGCCTGGCGTTGTGGCGGGTGCCTGTAGTCCCGGCTGCTCAGGAGGCTGAGGCAGGAGAACGGGTGAACCCGGGAGGTGGAGCTTGCAGTGAGCCGAGATCGTGCTACTGCACTCCAGCCTGGGCGACAGAGCCAGACTCCGTCTCAAAAAAAAAAAAAGAAAGAAAAGGAAACACCTTTATTCCAGAGGTTCCTTTTCCTGGTGTCCTAACCAGAAATAGATTGATACTGTCGTACCTCAATTCACTGTATAGCACTGCAGAGGGCTGCATTTATGACAAATCTGGATGACAAAATAATAATAATAATAATAATAATAATAATAATAATAATAATGAAATGGGAAATAATAATGAAATAATAATAATAACAATAATAATGAAATGGGAATAATGAAATAATAATGAAACGTTCCCTTGCCCCCCTTACCCCCTCGCTGCGGGGCATATGATGGGGGTGTGGTTCGCTTCTTAGGCGCCCATCTGCTCAAACCTCTAGGGGGAGCATGCAGACAGGCAGCTTGTGGGGCTCCGACCTCAGGGCAGTGTCTAGGGCTGAATGTTTACAGCTGAAGCTCCAGCGGGGGTGTGTTACAGTGTGCTCTTACAGTTTAGCCATCCATGGTCTGCTTGTGTTTATCAGCTCAATTAGACCCTCTGCCTTATCACAAGGAGAGAAGGCTTTCTGCATCCTGGGGCTCTTACCCTAGTGAACCGGAAAAATCGGATCACACGTGGGCTTGGAGAAGGAGTGCAAGGTTTTTTATTGAGTGGTAACTCTCAGCGAGGTGGATGGGGAGGCTGAAAGGGGGATGGAGTGGGAAGGTGGTTTTTCCCCTGGAGTCGGGCCTCGCGGCTTTTCACCGGGCTCTTCGGCTTCCCTGACCAAACTGCATTGTTCCCCTGGTCGGCCTGCTGCAGTCTGCTGGTGTCTGCCTATGTGTTCTTCTGCCGTGTGCTCCTTTCGACGTCCTCTCGATGTCCAGCCACTTGTGTGTTCTTCTGCCGCTGTGTTCCTCTGGTTGTCCAGCTGCTGTGTCTCTGCCCAGTAAGGGTCTTTATAGGCACAGGATGGGGGCATGGTGGGCCAGGGTGGTCTTGGAAAATGCAACATTTTGCCATAAAAACAGAAATGCCTGTCCTCACCTAGGTCCGTGGACACAGGCCCGGTAGTGAAGCCAGAGTCAGGGACTATGCCCTTCCCTTCCCAGCACTTTCCTGTCCCCCTCACATAAGAAAGAGGAGGAGGAGGAGAATGGAGGAGGAGGACCCATGCTTGAAGAACAGAAGAAGAAGAAAAACTCACGCTTAAAGGACATTCTTCAAGCTTGGCTCCTATCTCCATTCTACCTACTATTAACTTTTCAGAATCTTAAAGAAGTTGCTTTTTGTATTTCATTCAGAGATTTGAGATTAATACATGACAGATTGAGGTTGTAATGTACTGTTTGGGCCTTGGAAAGTTTGCTGAAAAATCAACTTGCAAAGGCCAGTTTAATAGCAGAAAAGACATACAAATTTATTTAACTTGTATATATGAGAAATTGTCCTTTTTTATGCTTACATTCAACAAAGTATAGACAACAAGGTAAAATATCATTGGACATAAGGGTCTGATCCAATGCTAATAGACAGAGTGGGGAAACCCAGCAAGGCCTGTCTGCCTAGATTCTTTATGGCCCCTCTGTGCAGGATTTCTTCCTTCTAGGTGTGAGGCAGGACCCTCTCTGGGATCAGTCTTATGATCTACAGCCAAACAAGGTAAGTGAGATAATTTCTTTGTGGACATTCTTCTTTACATATAAAAGAGGAGGGAAAGTTAGAGTAAGATTTTTGGGTATTATGGCTGGCTTTGGTGGAAAATTCATTCTGGTTTCTATGACCTGCCTTGGGTAAGAGGGATGGTAGTTTTTATGGCTAGCCTCAAGAGAGAATGGGACTGAGAGAAGGAGGGCAGGAGAAGGTCAGAGAGAAGCACTTTTGTTTCCGAGGCCTTCATTTTGGGGCATTGTTTTCTGAGCCCCAACAGGATCTACTCCATCTTGGCTGGCACTAGAAAATTTGCAAATGAGTTTTGTATCACTTGTATATTGCTTTGTTGTTAGACATTCAGATTTATATAAATTTTTCTATTACAGTGATGGGCATTTTATATACACATCTCTAATAGCCAGCCTCCATATTTGTTCACCTTTCTAATTATTAAGAGAAATTTCAAAGTGAAGCTACTAGGGCCAGGTTATAATGAGATTTTAGAAATATGGTAAATCTTGGCATATTTCTCTCTAAAACAAAACCCAACCACTGATACAGAAAGTGCCTCCATTTCCTACTCTGAACAGCACTGGGCACAATCACTTTTTAAAATAATATCTATACTGATAAGTAGAAAAAAAGTTTTGTTATTTTTTTTAATTTGTAGTTTCTGGTACTAGTGGGTTATATTTTTAAACTATAGCTAATAACTTTTGACTTTTCTGCCTTATGGATTCTATTTAATTTATACCATGACCTACAGGATTAAATTCTATTTAATTTACACTAATTCTTAAAAATTCATTTTAATTTTCTTCTTGGTGGCTCATGCCTGTAATCCCAGCACTTTGGGAGGTCGAGACAAGCGGATTACAAAGTCAGGAGTTCGAGAGCAGCCTGATCAACATGGTGAAACTACGTCTCTACTAAAAATAAAAAAAAAAATTAGCTGGATGTGGTGGCAGTCGCCTGTAATCCCAGCTACTTGGGAGGCTGAGGCAGCAGAATCACTTGAACCCAGGAGGCGGAGGTTGCAATGAACTGAGATCACGCCATTGCACTCCAACCTCGGCAACAAGAGTGAAACACCATCTAAAAAAAAAAAAGAAAAAAAATAGAGAGTCTTACATTGTTGCCCAGAATGGAGTGAGGCAGCACAGTGATAGTTTACTACAGCCCCAAACTCCCAGGCTCAAGAGATTCTCCCTCCTCAGCTTCCCAAGTAGCTGGGACCAGAGGCATGCCCCATCTTGCCCAGTTAATTTTTAATTTTTTTTTTTTTTTTTGAGAGGGAGTCTCGCTCTGTTTCCCAGGCTGGAGTGCAATGGCTATTCACAGGCATAATCATAGCTCACTGCAGCCTCAAACTCCTGGGCTCGAACAGTCCTCCTGCCTACAGGTGTACACCACCATACCTAGCTAATGTGTGTGTGTGTATGTGTGTGTGTGTGTGTGTGTGTGTGTGTGTGTGGACAAGATATCACTATGTTTCCCAGGCTGGTCTCAAACTTCTGGGCTCAAAAACTCCTCTGTCTCACCTCCCAGAATGCTGGGTTTACACTCCACCTGGCCTGATTTACAACTATGTTTAACATTATATTATAGATCTTAACAGTTTGCCACTTTTAATTCAACTGCTATTGTTTGCCTTTTTATTTTATTCAAATGCCTTTTTGTGGTCTAGTAAAATTTTTTACTTTTAATATAGTCACTCTATTGAAAATTTCTTATATTAGATTTCTACCTTGATGTTGCACTTAGAAAGCTCTTTACTGCCTCTTATTTACATAGAATTTACATATAGATTTTTCTAGTTCTTTTGGCACCCAAATTTTATTTGATGTAATATGTGAGGTAAAGATTTAATTTTTATTTCTTTTTAATTCAAGCATTTTGAGAATGATTGAGTTAATGGGTGCAGCACACCAACACGGCACATGTATGCATATGTAATAAACCTGCACGTTGTGCACATGTACTCTAGAACTTAAAGTATAATAAAAAACAAAAATTTGAAAAGTTTTTTTCTGATTAGCTATAGCCATTTAAAAGTATAGCCATTTAGTAGTCAAAAGATACATATAAATATTTGTTAGGAAGCTTCTGAAGCTTGTAATTAACTTACAGCTGTTTTGAGTTGATAATATTCTAGTCAAAAGTTAAGAATTTGGTCTACTCTAGACAGTCATGTGTTGGGCTGAATGTATGATTTTTTGATAAATCTTTTTGCGGTGTTAAAAACATCACTCAAATTCTTATTAGTACTTTGCAGCATCTTGCTTACTTCGGTGGTTCATAAATTTGGGAAAGACAGAACTAAAATAGTACTCTTTATTTCTGAAAGTGATACAATGTGATTTCCTAAGAAGGGAAATTAATAGTGCGGGGGTGGGGGGCGTTATTTTTCTTGGGAAGAGGAATCAATCCAGTTGACTAAAGACCAGGATATTGTAATATATTAAAATCACATTCATTAGAAAATATGTTTTTCAAACCTCATCTCCAACTCTCCTTTTACAAATCTTAAGCCATCAATGAAATAGTCCAGCAACAAATTGCATGAGCATTTCATGGGAGAAAAAAATGCAAACAATTAAATCATGACCACAGACAATTTTCTAACTTAGCTCTATGAAAGTGATTGAACTCACCTTCTCCCTAAATATTAACCAATTGTACTAAAACATTCTTTCACCTGCCTTCTGACTGGCCTGAGTCGCAAGCACAGGATTGAACCTCTCCAAACTATATTTGCAGAGTGTTAGACAATAAACAATGAATCTCTTTTAAACTTAGAGGGGATAAAGCAGCTTTAGTATTCATGGGATGAGCTTCAGTATTGCCTTTTGTTTCCTGGAGCAATTTAGATTTTCAGTTATTGCCACGGGCAGAAGCTTTGGGTGCTGGACTAAGCTTTGGCAGGTCAGGGAAATAAGACAAAAGGGAGGAGGGTGAAATCAGTTGAACCACAGGTGGAAAATAACATTAGATTCTTGCAGACATAGTGCAATGAGGGTGTTAGCTGCTGAGTGTTGAAACATCCCATTAAAAGTTACAGTTTGGATGATCTCATCCCATTATTGTAATGGGACAGTTTATTAGATGGATGGTTTCCTTTTTATTGCTGGTCCGGTCTCACATGATGCTGGGGATTTTAGTATTGTATTCACATTGCAGTAGATTCTGAGCAAGAAGAAAATAAGGAAATAACTAGCTCTGAGAATAACTGGCCTAATCCTGGGTTATATTCATGTATAACTTTACCTGGAATTCCACCAAGCAATGTGCCAAAGAATGACATATATATGGAAGAACAATTGAACAAATGCCGCAATGTAGCCTCAGGCTTAAATTAAACCTGAACAGAGTCAAGATTGACGGAGGCAATTGGAGCTGCACAGATGTCTATCTGCAGTGGGTCAGGAGGGCTGGGAATTAAAGAATTCTAAAGTGGTCTGTGAAAGACAAGTACAGGAAGCCCAAATCAGGAAAATAAAGTTTCTGCCTCACCTTAGCATGAAAATTTCAGTGAGCTGTCTTTGGGATTGTCAGATTTAGCAAATAAAAATACAGGACACCCTGTATGTGAATTTCAGATAAACAATGAATAATGTTTCAGTCTAAATATGTCCCAAATATTGCATGACACACACTTACATTAAGGAAGTATTTGTTATTGATCTGAAATTCAAAATTAACTATGAATCTTATATTATGTGTGGTAAATATAATCCAAACCAACTCCTACTTCCCTATTAATCCATGCTTTTTAGGTTAATAATCTGGGGTGGTCTGGGTCACGCTGAATCTCTTGAGACTTTTTCAGTTCTGATGAAAGAGAGTCTGTTGATGCTAGCTACAGCAAGTAGACTAGAAGATTCAGTGCAATTGCAGAACATGAACTTCTCTTAGGAAACTCGCAAATTTATCAGAGTCCTCTGATTATAGAATAAGTTTTTATCATACATATCAGTGAGCCTGACTTAACCACTTCTGCTTTATTAAAATATTCTTAATAATGATGAAATACCATATTGACATGAGATTGACATAGTCTATCTCATCTCGGTCCTCACTGGTATGATACAGTAGAAAGACTGTATCTACAAAAAATATACACTGTTGGAGAAATTAGGTAGTTTAAAATGATCGAAATCTTCTGAGGTTCCCCCTGGATTAGAACCAATGAGAATCTCTAGATAAATATCATATCTAGATCATAGTAGTCTTAAATTTTCATAGTCCCTACAAGCTTTTCTCCACTCACTGCTGATATTATTTTCATTCTTTAGGGCACGGAAAACACGCACATACAGTCTTGTGTGAAATAATTTTGTACATCCTGGTGATGAAGAATCATCCAATATTCACTGATAGGCTAATGATTTTTTGACAAGTACACGTAGGTGATACAAGATATGCAGAATAACTGTGTCTTAACCTAGTTTGGACACAGGTAAAAATTTCTGGAAAAATAATTAATCTTCAAAAATAAAACATCATTTCTTTGTAATAAGCTAATATGAGTAACATGAGATGAAGTTAAAATTGTACTCAACAGTTCTCCCTTTAAGACCTGCCTTGCAGCATTGGGGCAGTGAGTCATTGGTCCAGGTGTGTGTATTTCACCCTCCTGTCCTTGGACCAAGGTGGTCTGCAGTGAGTGGAGACTGAGTTTATGCTCTCCCTAGAATGGAGGTACAGAACTGCCTCTCCCACCCACTCTGACTTTCTTGATTGAAGGGACATGTATTCTCCCAGGTGGCTGAGTCTCTACTTATTGATGATGATATCACTTATCAGCTTCGGGTGTAATAAGCTGCCTTATTGACTTCTGCCTTGTCACTCCTGCAGCTAGCTCCTTGTCACAGGCATCACTGCATTGCATCAGTCTGTCTTTGCTTTATTGGTTTATTGATAGTTCCATCCATCTTCTCCAAGAAGTTGACAGGCTGACATTTGCCTCTTCTTTCTTCCTGCAATATTACAGCCTGCGGGATAGCTGCCTGAAGTCCCCAGAGTTTCTCCGATGGCCAGTATGCAATCCTCCCCACTACACTGAGGGATGCTACAAATTTCTGTTGCAAAATATGGAATCGCTGACAAATCTTTTTCTGAAAGATTTGAGGTGCTGAGGTGCAAGAAGAGACTATTATTTGCCCTAGTAACGATGACAAAAGAGCTTCAGACTGTTTTTGCTGGTGTTCCCTGCGAGAGCTCTCTGATTGTTGCACTGACAGAGCCATATTTACCCCCAGATATCAAAGCAGAGTCAAATAGCCACAGGGGTGTGAACTGGTTCCCTTCCACTTTGTGCAACATCAAAACCATGTCAGAGGAGCTCTGACAACAAGAATCTTTAGTACTGATAGAAAGAAAAAATTAATTCCTACTACAAAAATCATTGAGTTTCAAAGACAAAATAATGATAACCTGATTCCTTTTTAAAATGAAGGTCAGTGTTTATGCCTGTGGCAGGTGGGGAAATCATTTGACTTGTAAACTCAGCATGTTTGACCTAGAACTTTCCAAAGAATGAAACAGCATGATGTAATAGAAGCTTTTATGAGAAAAGAAAATATGGATTATATAATGGGAAAGTTTTCAGGGGTCCACACTGTTATATATCATTAAACATGTATTGTTATCCCATCCTTATTAGCTCTTATCCATAAACACCACCCAGACAACAGCTGTAGAAGATAAATCAAGTTCTATTAGGTGCACCCAAAAGTATAGTTTTAAAAAAGTTTTTCTTTAACTCAAATTGGTGACTTTAGGAATTTGTAGTATTCTATGGATGAGCTTCACACCAAAACTCGTTAAATATGTTGTTTTCTTTTGCAGAACTACAAATGCCTGCCAGGGGTGTTGGAGAAGAAGTTTTAAAAGTGGGAACAAGAGCTTTTAGCCATTAAATAATGATGATTGTTACATGACTATTGAATGATTTACTTTTTATTAAAATCTGTATTAAAATTTCTGTAACTTAAATTTTAATTTCTTAGTGACAGATGAAGAAATTGAGGCATCAGAAAGATAATTGAGTTACCAAAGTGGACACAGCTAGAAAGTAAGATCATCTAGTCCTGCTTTCTCTTCCTCAAAGCCCAGTCTGGTAACTGCTGCATGGCTTTATCTGCACCTGATGAATATAAATCTCAGTTTTTTATTCTTAAAGGTTGAATATTGAGATATCTTAAGCACACCATTTTATGTCTGGGAAGAACAATAAACGCAAGCTTTAAACTAATTTGATGCTTCAGAATGATAAAGGAATGGAGCAAATAAAAAAGTAATTATGAGAAGCTGGTAAAATGTCAATAGAGAAATCTTTTATTTTTTAATCTAAAACATGGCAACATAAATTTACATTCAACTCATTTCTCCATGGTTTCACAAAAACAACTAAAGGGTCCCCACCATTACCTCACCAACTTTAAAAGTCTCTCTCTATTATGGGTTTATTCCATGCTATAATTGTTCTTGGAATATGAAATTTAGTATTCTATACTCACTCTTCCCTATTAACACATATTTAGAACTTACTTGACATTTTGTTTTTTACTTTCTTCAAAGATGGCAGAATAGGACATTTTTAATAACAATGCCCAGAACAGCATAACATTATATGTGAATAGCTTAATATCCACAGTAACATGAACTCAACATTATATATTCAAACAGACACTTTAAGTCAAGAATAGTATCCTCATATCAGAAACTAAATACAACTACATGACGTGTTTCCACAAAGAATTGATAAACCACAACAAAGGGGGAAAAGTCTTTGCTCCATGAATCGAGTAATAGTAATGACTTAAAAACAAACTGGAAAGCGTCATGCTGATAAAATATGACATATGCAGTTATTTACTAGAATTATTACTTCACTCTCAAGTATCCACATAATAACCTCTTTTCTCTGATCTCCTGTCCTGGCATAAAGAGAACACTAAGTTAGAGCTGAGCATTCTATATTTGCTATGGTCTAAATGTTTGTGTCTTCCCAAAACTCCTGTTGAAAACCTAACCCCCAAGGCAATGGCGTTAGAAGATGGAGCATTTTAAGAGGCAATTACTTGTTGAGAGTGCAACTCTCATGAATGGAATTAGTTCCTCTATAAAATCGGTCGAGGGAGCTCACCTACTTTTCTTCTGTGTGAGAACACAGTGGGAAGGTGCCATCCACAAGAAAACAGGTTCTCACCAGACACTGATTCTGCCAGTACCTTGATCTTGGACTTCCCAGTCTCCAGAACTATGAGGGATATATTTTTGTTATTTGTAAACTACCCTGCTTATGATATTTTGTAATAGCAGCCTAGATTATCTAAGACAATATTCATTTTCTAGGGCTTCCATAACTAATTACTGTAAACTGGTTGGCTTAAAATAACAGCATTTTATTATCTTAGAGTTCTGGAGGCTAGAAGTCAAAAATCAAGGTGTCTGCAGGACCATACTTTCTGTAACACTCTTGGTAAGATCCTTCCTTGCCTTTTCCTAGCTTCTTGTGGTAGCCAGCAATCCTTGACCATTCCTTGGCCTTCATCTGAGCCAGTTCAGTTTGTGCTTCCATCTTCATGTTCTCTTCTCAGTGTGCATGTCTGTCTCTGTGTCCAAATTTCCCCTTTTCATAATAACATCAGTCATACTGGATTAGGGCCCACCTTAATGACCTCAGATTAACTTGATTGCTTCCATAAAGACCCTATTTTCAAGAAAAGTCACATTCTGGGGTACTGAGAGTTAGGACTTTAACATTTTTTTTTGTGAACACAATTCAATGCATAACATATCATAAAGGGAAGAGCAAATGTTCTTCATGACTGCAGTAAAAGTGCTAAGATTGCCCTTTGGTAGAAGGAAAACGTGGGAAAGCACAAACCTTCATCCAGTCTTGTGACAGATACTGTCACTGCAGACCAGGACAGGCCTATGTTTTCTATTTCTGCTAGTCTTGGAAACTCCTTGTCCAAAATGGCCATGATGACTTTTTTCTGTACACGCTCTAATCTCTCACAGCAGTAAAAAGGCTATCTCTCAAAGTACAGTTGAAAAAGAATTTATACCTGTTTCCATGAGGTGCCTGCTGTATCAGCCTCCATAGCCCTCTGTCCTTGGTAAGAAGATCAGCAAAGTCTCCACTTATTTCAGCCTGGTACACAAAGGGTTTAGCATGGACAGTGAGATGACACTTAAGGGAATTACTGGTCGCTAACACCAAACTGTTTCTTAGCAGAGTTAAGGTAACACAATTCTCATTTATGTTTCTGAGAAATAATAAGTCCTTGAAGTGAGATGGTGCCTGGATCATTTAACTTGAAGAAATAATGGAAAAAGAAGTTACTCTGTTTAATCTGAGCCATACTAAAAAGGACTAAGTTTGACCTCTAAAAAGAATGAAAGAGTGGTTATGCACCATCGCTTTTCAAACTTTGGGCATGAGAAGCATTTTTACAGAAAAAAGCAGTAGAGAACCCAGGGTTCTGCACAATCTCCATTTGTCTTTTACATCAGGATGAAACAGACAGGGATCAAATTAAGAATAAGTTGGAGACATCCTGTTGCCAGGAGAACGTTCTCATTTACTAAAATTCAATTAAATGCAAAAATTGCTCATTAATAATATTGGACTATAATGTTATTTGGGAAAAAAAGGGCGTCACTTAAAAAGAGTGAGGTAATTCATTGCTTTTTCTGTCTTTATGTTTATACTTTCTCTTTATTTTTAGAAACAGTGTATATAGCCTGTGTCTAAAGTAATAATTGCTATAAATCAAACTAACAAGTATTTATTGAGTCCCTACTGTGTTCAAATTGATGTACTTGGCCCTGGAATACCAAAGCTAAAAGATCTCAGCTCAAGATTGTTTCAATTTTTTTGTACTCTGTAATGTCAGTGTTAAGCAGTACATCACAAGTAATACAGACAACTGCTTTAAAGGCCAGGAGAAACAAATGTGGCCAAATGATATTTTATTAAACTAAAGAAAGACCGTGTGGACAGATAATTCCTGCTGTTAATTGGAGTTCTTGAAATAAAATTTAAACATGGTAGAGGCATTTCTAAATATTTCAAGTAAAAGCAACAATTTTCCTTTGATTTTATTATTTCTCTCCAAATTGCCTATTATTTTTCAAGAACTTTCAAACTCTGAGATGTGAGTATATAACTTGAGTTTAAAAACAATGTTTCTGATTTGGGAAATTGATCAATTAATAAAATAGCACCTTTATCATGTAATTTTTGTCCTTACCTCTGTTATTGAGTGATAAAATCATTTTAACTCAAGTCCTTCCCCTTAAAATTAATTGGAGATATAAAACACAAACAAACAGCCATAATAGCAAATGTTGTCTTCTGTATTAATAAGAGTAACACGGGCTCTAGGAAGTTAGAAGAGAAGGATATTATGCCAGATAATCTTATCAGAGTAGAGAAGGTCCTCCCTGATGTTACGAGAACCAGATGTATGTTGCTCAGTATCATTGGTCCTCATTGCCCTCTCACCCACTCCCCTGGGAACACCGAGTCTTGGAGGAAAAAAAAGTGGAATATTTGTGAGCACAGTTCTTATACATCATTTTTTCCCTCTCAGTGGATCTGAACACTCCACTTTGAAAAATCATGAGTTGTTATTATTCACTCCCATGACTTTTATTAAATCTTATTCACATGATTCTCTTAAAATACAGCTAAAAATGTGACAGTTCCTATAAGCTGTGCTTCAAAGCTAGACAAACCAAGATCTCCCCAACAACTAATTATCTTCATTTCTCTATTGTTTATTCCAGACCATTAGTAGAGAAGCAATGAAAGCACTTACTGATAGAGTGTGTGTTGCGGGAAGTCAGTGACCCCAATGGAGGTACCTGCTGAAGCCGTGACAGAAGAAAATAAATTGTGAAGATTTCATGGACATTTATCACTTCCCCAATCAATACTCTTATAATTTCCTATGCTTGTCTTTACTTTAATCTCTTAATCCTGTCATCTTCGTAAACTGAGGATGTATGTCGCCTCAGGACCCTGTGATGTTTGCATTAACTGCACAAATTGTTCATAAAGCATGTGTGTTTGAACAATATGAAATCTGGGCACCTTGAAAAAAGAACAGGATAACAGTGATGTTCCAGGTACAAGGGAGATAACCATTAGGTCTGACTGCCTGGGAGCCAGGCAGAACAGAGCCATACTTCTCTTATTGCCAAAAACAGGTAAGAGAAATATCGCTGAATTCTTTCCCCAGTAAGGAATATTAATAATTAACAGCCCTGGGAAAAGAATGCATTCCCAGGGGAGCCTCTAAAATGGCCGCTCTGGTGGTGTCTGCCTTATGCAGTTGCAGATAAGGGATGAAACATGCCCTGGCCCTCTGCAGCGCCCCCAGGGTTGCTAGGATTAGGAAATTCTGGTTCTCTGCTCTTGAACCCTGTTAAGATGTTTATCAATGACAGTGCGTGCACAGTGGGACATGGAACTTCATTAGTAACTCTAGTTTCACCCTGACCTTGTGATCTTGCCCTGACCTTCTGCCTTGTGATCTTTTGTTGCCCTTGAAGCATGTGATCTCTGTGACCCACACCCTGTTAGTACACTCCCTCACCTTTGAAAACTGCTAATAAAAATTTGCTGGTTTTATGGCTGAGGGGGCATCACGGAATCTGCCGACATGTGATGTCTCCCCCGGACACCCAGCTTTAACATTTCTCTCTTTTGTACTCTTTCCCTTTATTTCTCAGACTGGCCAACACTTAGGGAAAATAGAAAAGAACCTACATTGAAATATTGGGGGCTGGTTCCCCCAAAAGTGTGCATTCACACTCTATATCTCTATCTATCTATCTATCTATCTATCTATCTATCTATCTATCTATCTATGAGAATCTGGCCAGATTGTTTCTCTAGTTCTTCTAATGACATCATCCTGGTCTTCTTTATGATATTTGAATATGAGAAAAGTTCTTTACTCATGAGACTTTTCCTTCTTTGCTAGGATTACCTTTCTAGTATCTATACTGTTATTTGTTCCATTACTCACATGCAAAGAATTTGAAGACTACATTAAAAAATAGCTGAATTACTTGTTTTCCAGAAAACTCATGTATTAGTATAAAAACCTTTATTTTTTTTTAAGATTTGTAACAGGCAACAGCCCTTGGCTCTTTTTCCTATTATAACTATCTTTTTTATTCTTTTTCTTTCTCAATTTTTCTTATCAGCCAAAATGTCACTAGCTGTCTCCTTTAGGGATCTCATTACAGCCTGTGTCCCACAGATTTTCTTGTCAAAGATGTTATACTGGTCCAGGTTCTTCACTGTAAACAGCAAAAGCCAGGGCTCTTAAGAAGAAAAAGAATTTAGGAAAGAATAACAAAAATCTCACATACACTAAGGGAAGTGTGGAGAATCAGGATGTGGAAGTGACAAAAATCCTACATGAAGAGTCAAGTTGGGACATTGTTGTCACTTCTGCTTGGACACAAAATTCACTAGATGCCACTGCCATCACCAACTCTGTGTCTGGTCAGCTGTGGTTACCACTGTTGCCAGTAGTGACATGATTTCTCCATTTCTCCTTGGGTCACTTACTCTACAGTCAAAATCATGACTGTAAGTATTTAACTGGCCAAACTATGCCCATTATCTAGTTGCCAAGGGCCAAGGAGATTAAATAGTGGGCATTTGTAGTTTTTAAAGCTGCAAGTGAGGTTCTGCCTTCCACCAAGATCGTTACCATGGCTGACTCTCCAGATTCATAAAAGTATAATATCCTCCTGAGCATCCCTGACCTCCCTGAAAAAAAAGGACATCCAAATTACAACAGTCATCCCTCTGTAACCATGAGGGATCGGTATCCTGACTCCCACAGACCCCAAAATCTTTGGATGCTCAAGTCCCTTACATAAAATGGTATAGTATTTGTATATACCCTACACACATTCTTCTGTATACTTTAAATCATATCTAGATCACTCATAATACCTCCCACAACATGGATGTTATGTAAATATTTTTATACTTTATTGTTTAAAGAATAATGACAAGAAAGTCTGTACATATTCAGTACAGACACAATCATGTATATTTTTTCTTTTCACATATTTTTCTTTTCACATATTTTTGATCTGCAGTTGGTTTAATCCATGGATGATGAACCCATAGATAAGAAGGGCCAACTGTATTGGAAATAGTCTACAACATAGGCACATTATACAGAAATGACTGGATTGTTGCCATTGTTTCTGTCCTTGAGAAATTCTTTTGGACAGTTAATTTGGACAGAACATCAACAAATTAAAACATAGTGTTTTAATATATATCATAAGATGTTTCACAGATAAATAGATTACTTTGGGAGGACAGATACAGGTGCAAAGCATTCTGCATATTGTAATCTGGGAAGATTGCTATTTGTTCAAAGAATGTGCCTATTTAATAATTGCTATTGTTCTTAGCTTATGGATATATGTAAATTCTTTACATTTGTTAAAATTTTCAAGCCTCCAACCAGCAATGAGAGACAGATGTTGCTAAGGCCATTCTGTAGCTAGTGATGAAAGAGACTTCTGCAAAGTTAAACAATTAATAGATGTCTGAGTCAGAATGTAAACTCAGGCTTTTATACATTTTCTTTGTCTTCTAACCACCATACAGAATAAGAGAAAAGAGTGAAAACAAGGCCAAGCTCAGTATTCATATAAAATGGCCTGGGAAATTTAGAGAATTATAAGAAGCCAGTGAAATAACCATAACAAAACAATTTTATTGAGGCTTAATATAGGCTAGATATGGATTTAAAAGCTTTCCATGTCTTGTTCATTTAATACTTATACCAACATAATGAATTAAGTATTATTATTGAAATTCTGATTTTACATATGAGAAAACAAACTCGTGATAAGGTCAAGTCGCTGCCAAGATTTCAGAGTTAGTATGTGTTTTATTAATCTATTGCTATAAAACAAACCAAACTAAAACTCAGTGACAAAAAAGCATTGTTTTTCATAATTCTGTGGGATTACTTGGTTCACCTGGGAAGCTCTTTGGGCATGAATGGGTTGGGATATTCAAAATGGCTCACTGACACACCTGGTGCCTTTGTGGAGATGGCAGAAAGACTGAGCCTTACTCTCCATGTAGCCTCAGGGCTTATTCATCTTTAGGTGGACTCTCCATATGGTGGATATTTCCTTCTGGCCTCTTGAGCAGGGTAACTAGATCTTTTTCATGGCAACTTAGGGCTCTTGAAAGCATAGAAGCAGAAGCTGTCAGACTTTCTTAAGGCTTAGGCATAGAACTGAAAAAGCTTCATGCCTACTGCATTTTATCAGCTAAAATGCATTATGGGGCCAGACTCAATTCAGTTTGTGAGGGGAATATGCAAGAGAATGAATTTGGGGAGGCAAGGTGTGTGGGGGCTACTTTTGCAGACCTGACTTCCATAGTACTACATATTGTGTAGCTAGGGTTCTCAGCCAGGCACCATGACTCTGGAGCTGTAACCTTCTTGACATGAAGTTGGGAAATTTAGGAGTAAGAAGGATGGAAAAGTAAAGAGGAATGATATGTAGGTAGATGTATATATAGAGATAGATACAAATATAGAGATATATGTAGAATCATATTTTGAGGCTGAAAGCAAAAGGTATGCATGACAACCAAAGGGACATTTTTCCTTGCTGTTTACTTGACCACCAGTAATTCATGCTTAAACTTGTTCTTTATAACTGTATTATGTACTGAAAATGGGGAAAATTATTTTGTTCTAAACAAAAATGTTGATCTTTTCCTCATAAATCAGGAGCACTGCTTCTTTCTATGGTTCACATTAATGAAGAAATGTGCCAGATTAAAGGTAGGTAAAGATAAACTCTTTATTGATCAATTTGTTCTGAAATCAGATTCTAAATTTAATATACCACTTGCTATGGCCTGCATATTTGTGTCCCCACAAAATTCATGTTGAAATTCTAACTCCCAAGGTAACTGTAGTAAGAGGTAGGGCTTTTAAGTGGTAATTAGATCATGAGAGCAGAGCCCTTGTGGAAAAGGCCCAAGAAGACTTCTCATTGCTTCCACCATGTGAGTATGCAATGAGAATCCACCACCTATGGGTCAGAAAGTGGGCCCCTCATTAGACACACAATTTGCCTTGATCTGGGATTTCTCACCCTCCAGAATTCTGAGAATAAATTTCTGTGGTTTATAACCTACCTAGTATAGTATTTTGTTAAATCAATCTGAATACAGTAAGATACCCCTCATCTACTCTGATTCATCTTTCATTTTCTTCCCTTTATAGTCTTTAATTCTAAAAGTAGCATAAATGTTTATTGTTATGTGTTCTCACAAATAAATGTGTTCTTCCCTTGCTATTTTTTGAAATGCCCATAGGTACCACAATGATGAACACACAGTTAAAGAATTTCACTTAAGATAAAAAGACAGCAGGCCGAAGAACAACTGAAGAACATGTGTTGAGGAAATCAATGATTTGCGTGACCTGCATTGAAAAGCAACAATAGGTTGGGTGCTGTGGCTCCTGCCTATAATCCCAGCACTTTAGGAGGCTGAGGTGGGTGGATCATCTGAGGTCTGGAGTTCGAGACCAGCCTGGCTGACATGGTGAAATCTCGTCTCCACTAAAAATACAAAAATACAGGCATACACCTGTAATTCCAGCTACTTGGGAGGCTGAGGCAGGAAAATGGCTTGAACCCAGGAGGTGGAGGTTGCAGTGAGCCGAGATCGTGCCACTGCACTACAGCTTGGGTGATGGAGTGAGATTCCATCTCAAAAAAGAAAAAAAAATGAAAAGCAACAATACAGATAAGGAATAGGAGCTATTAAGTCGAGCTGCCAAAAAGTTTAGTAAAGTGTCAAATGGTGGTAAATTTGGTGCAAGGTTCTGCAAGAAATTTTCAACTGAAAATGCATTATTTTAAATTACTATCGCCTGTTGACTCTATGATAGCATTTGCCATTATTCAATATCAATTCTAAATTTTCACAAATAAAAAAGGAGGAATTCTCCATTTATTCAGCAACTGCATTCCAAAGCATTTTTGTGAGTTTAATGTCATCATCTTATTTAAATTAGATGTAGTAAAATTTCTGTTCCTTAACATAACGTGTGATTATTTACTGATTTCCTTAGAGCAAACTAGCTCGTCAGTGCTTCTAAATATTATATTCAAAAACAAGCAAATGAGCCCTATGATCAGGAAAACGAGAAAGTTCCACTCTATAGAAAAGTGCTTTTTGTCAGGTTAAATCAAAGGTCTACACAGTATTTACAATGAATTTGAAAGAAAATGTCAATATGCCATCTTTGTAAATTTCATGTTCATGAACAGAATATTTGGAAAAGTTATGGTAGCTGTCTGCAAAGCAGGTGACTCTGTACTTGCTAATTCTATCAGTATCTCACAGCAAATTCTACGATAACTTTTTGTATACCTTCAACTAAAAGGTTTATGAGCACTAGAAGGAGGTTTCTAAATGATCTATTTTTTCATTAGAAAAGACATGAAAATCAAATCCAACATTTTTTTCAATTAGTGAGTATCCCAAACCATTGGAGACTTCAGAGGGTTATTAGAATGTCAGTAAGACTAAAGTTGAGGTAGGTACCAAAATGTCAACTGTGTCCAAATATGAGATGGCATTTTTATTTACACTATAGTCTCCATAATGCTTCTTCATTCTTGGATTTAAGAAATCTTGGGATACTCTCCAGACCCCAAAACATATTTCTGTTGTTTGGAAGTAAGAATTGCTATATTTGTTTTTAAAGGGACCTATACATACACAGAGAAAGTAAAAAAAAAATGACACTTTGGTCAATCCTTTATTTTAATCATTTCTTTTATAAATAAAAGAAATAACTTTTTCTTTCTTTAATTTAAAAATTTCTTTTTACCCCTGAGAAGTTTATATGTAAAATGAAGGAGTAGCATATAAAGAAGGCATATCTGTGTCTATAATTATAATCATTAAATATAGTGTTTACAAATTTGGGTTTAGAATCAAACTCCTCAGATTTAATCATAGGTCTCCCTCGTAAAAGTTATTTAACTTCTCCAAACTTAACATTTCTCAGTGTCACTCATAAAAGGATAAAAATCATATTTACCTACTCTTACTTAATTATTCAGAAATATATGAGTACCTATTGTGTGCCAGCCACTATTCTAAAAGCCTGCAATAGAGAACAAAATAGAGTCCCTATTCTCAAAGTACTTACATTCTAGTGGCAAAGACAATAACAACTTTGTGAAATAAAATTACATTAAGTATCAAATACTAATAACAATATTTTAAGCCAAGTAAGGGACAAAATATGAGGAAACATGTAGTAAAACATAATATGACATAATATGGTTAAATACTCTTTTATAATAAAAATGCCCAGCAAATGATAGAAAAGAACACCTACAAACCAATAAAAGTCATCTGTGAAAAATCCAGCTAACATCATACTCAATAGTGAAAGACTCAATTCTTTCCCCTTAAGATAAGGAAGGAGACAAGGATTTCCACTCTCACCTCTTCTATTTAACATTGTACTAAAGATCCTACCAAGACAAGTAGGCAAGAGAAAGAAATAAAAGTCATCATGAGTGGAAAGGAAGTAGTGACAGACATCAGATTATATAATCTTGTGTACTGTGTGGTCTTGTCTGTACAAAACCTAGAACTACACATGAGTGTTATGCATCTTTTGTCTTCTTACCCAGTCAAATTATGATGAAACATTCCCAAACGGTCTTTTCAAGCCTTCAAAAAAACTCATAATAAATTACATGTGAGGATTTATGAGGATTAACTTGTTAAGCTAAATTATAGTGGTTTGAAATTTACACTAAAATAACTTGTTTTGATTTAACATCTTGATAAGTAATAATATGGGCTAATACTATAATTTGGGGAAGCAAACATTTTATATATGATATAAAATTTACAGGAATAAACTCTCAAACTCTCAATTTCTAATTTTTTTCTCTTTCTGTAACGTCTCTTTAAAATCCACACAATAAACTTATCTAATGCAGTTGCGCACAGCAGCTCTCTCATCTAAATGAAGGAATTTCAACCTTTCCCTGAATTGAATTAATGACAGACAGATTAACAGGAAAAAAAGGCATACATTTTTATTAATACGCATAAGCAAGGGGGAGTCACAAGAGAGCGATTACCAAATAACCCAGAAGATAGAGATACTTATATATCCTTCTTCATAGGGGAGAGGGGAGATGGGGAAAAGTAGGCAGTTGTTTTGAGGGATAGTAAATGATTATTAGGGAGAATGAATGAACCCAGGAGACAGAAATTAAGTTGTAAGTGTTTCATTTTAGAATTTGAATGAGCCAGAGAGGCAGACAGTATCTCATGAAAAACTCTATCCAGGTGTGGTTGCATTTCTTGGTCTTCTTTTCTGTGGTAAATAATGAGATTGCAGAGAGGGATGAAAAGGAATTGTCTTCTACGGTGGGTCTAGTCTTAAGATAGATAAGGGAAAGAGAGCCTCTTCCAGAATCTGCTGACATTCAAGTACCTAAAATTTGAAATAATGAGCATACCAGGATGCCATATTTTGTGGTAAAATTCCTGGGATTTCTTCACAAGTGTTCCTTAGAGAAAAACTACTTTTGTCCATTTAAAAAATTTTTATTTTCCAAAGCTACTGTAGAAATATTTTGTCTTATACAACTTTATATACATGTGTTTTTCTGTCTTATAGGTTTATATGCATGTGTTCTTTCTTATTCTTATTTTTTAAGTAAACATTGCCATACCCTGAATAGTGTTGTGCAATTTGGATTTTGGCCCATAAAAACACATATGCAGCATACTACTTAATAATTACACAATATCTCATGTATGGTTTTACCATAGATTTTGTTTTTAAGCATTCATCAACTGACCATAACGTAAATGTCTAGAAGCTTTGGTTATTTTATGCAGTGACCCAGTGGGTATTATTACACATGCATAGTTTATCAACTAATAGGATAAATAGCTGGACTATAGGATAAATACTAAAAATTAAACACAGTAGAGAACGTGACTTAAATATTGATATTGTCAAGTTGTTCTCCATAAAGATATATGAATATGCCTATTCCCTAATACCCTCTCTTACTGTTGTCAGATTATTTTATCGTTTTGCCAAATGAAAGCTGAAAAAATGGTTCCATGTATTTTAACATTTTCAAATATGAAGAAAAGCTGAAATGATTTTATGTGAATATCAATGTGAATACTACCTAGATTGTAACACAAAGATATTACTTCAAGATGAGAAGTAGTAATTTAATTTATATTTTTCCCGATATCTACTCATTTGTCTCCACAATTAAAAAAAACTCTCTATTTTAAAATTAACTTTTATACTTCATTTTTGTATTCATTTGGGTATATCTCTAAATTTTACCTTTTTTTCCATTTAGACATTATTTAATTATTTTAGTTGTTGAAAATTTAGAATTTGGATTAGTATTTATTTTATCTTGTCTCCATCTCATTCCCATTAACCTTCTTTTAAATGTTTTCTTGACCCTTCTCGGATGTTTATTTTGTGACATCACCTTTAAGATCATTTAGAGAGTTTGAAATCCTCCTTTGGTAATTTTGGGAAGGACCTTGCTAAATTGATGCATTTATACAGGATAATTGGCATAGTTAGACTGTTTAATTTTGATATCAAAACATGATCTGCTTTTTATTTGTCCAAATTTTCTTTTGTCCTTCAGTGTCATGTTAGTTTTCTTTCTAGGGATTTTGTATAGTTCTTCAAATTTCTCCTGCTATTTCTTTTAAAGTTGCTATTGAAAATGTGATTTTTAATTTCAATTATTTCTTCTGGCTGCCTAACATTTGACTATATGAAAGCAATTTCTTTCTGTATACTATTGTTTACCCAGCCATTTCTCAAAATTATGTATTATATTTACAGATTTTCAGTTGTTTTTCTTTGCTTTTCCAACCATATTGAGACCGCCAGGTGAAAAGGGCTTCCCGGTGAACCTCGGACGGGCCTGCGCACTGGGAGAATGGGGTGGAGCCACGGAAGTTCGCGCCATTTGCAGAGGGGAGGAGCCCAGCCTCTTGCGTTCCTGTGTGATGGGGCCGGAGCCAGTAAACAGGCTTCCTTCTCGCTCTGCTGTAAGTTTTTCTCTTTCTCCCTTTTCACCCAAGAAGTTCCGTTTTTCCTACCCTTCTACGTGTCCGCGAGTCTAATCTTTTCTGGCCATATGACAAGAACCAGGATTTTCCTACAATATAATTTGTAAGAATATACAGTTTATCTTCCTTCAAGTTTTTACCTTCCATTGCTGTTTCTAAATGTGTCAACAGGTATCTCCAGGATAATAGAAGAATAAAAATTCACTTCTGGTTTTAACTCTCACTGGAGTGCCTCTACTATTTTCTCCCATTGCACGTTATACTTAATATGGTTGATATAGGAACATATTTTAGTTATATATACATATATTTGTGTATATATATACAGATAATGCTAATCTTTTAAATAATGCATAGTTTTATAAATAAATACATATATTTACTTATCTTTAGTGTGCATATAATCATATAGCCATAAAAACTACATGAGTAAATATGTAATATATGTACATATTAAGAAAATATACATATATTTAAAAATTTAAAATATTGTTTAAATGAAAAGATACTGAATTTTATCAGTAACTTTTCTGTATCTATAAAGATAATCAAAGATTTCAAATCTGTGAATATGAATATTTTGTCAGTAGATATCTTTAATTACTGAAACATGCCATACTTAGATAGAGTGTATCATTCTTTTAATGTGCCTCTAGACCTTGTTTTAGTGTTTATAAAGGATTTCTATGTCAGATTCACAGGTAAAATTGGTTTCTAATATTTGGAGGGGGGTGGTTTGTGTTATCTTTGCTGGTTTTGAGTATCAATGTTATGCTGGATATTTTCCTACTTTTTTTACTCTTTGAAATAATCTAACATTTTAAGTCATTTGTTCCTCAAAAGGTTGGAGAATGATTAAGCCAATGAGCATCTTATTTGTTTTTTTTCTCTTTCTTCTTTGGTAATGATTTGTCTGTTTAAAATTTCCAACTTTCATGGGGTAAATTTTGGTAATTCATATTCTAAAAAATCATATATTTCATCTAGGTTCTAAAATTAAATCACATAAAACTGAGAGAATTGTTTCTTATGGTCTTTTATTTTCTCTCCTGTCTTTGGTAAATTCCGCATTGCAATTTCTTATTTTACATATTTATGCTTCCTTCCCTTTTGTCCCTTTATTATTAAACTATTGAGTCATCTGTTACTTTTCCCTCAATGGACCAAATTTTGGATATTTTAGTTCTAAATTTTTTTTTTTTTGCATTTTATTCTGCTTTTATTTGTATTCATTTCTCTATTTTTTATTCTTTAGTTGGTTATTTTTGGTAATGCTTGGAGTATGCTGCTTAACTTATTTACATTCTTTTAAGCTTATTGGTACGTGAATTTAAGACTAAATTTTCTTTTTGGCCATGTTTATTCTTTCCATATATTCTGATTTATAATGTCTTTTATTATTGTCATTTTATCCATATTGGGCACTATTGGTTTTTATTTTTATTTGAATCCAGTGATTCTGGTGATTGATTTTTTGTAATGAAAGTATTAAAATACCAGTTGATAACATCTTAGATATTTTCTTTTTGATTTTTGTTTCCAGCTCTGTTAATAATTTCTAATTTTGCTCCATTGTAAACAGAGAATACTGGCCATGCAATTACTTCATTTTTTTGTCATTTATTAAATATTCATTTCTAATTGTAGTACTATTCCTTTCAAACTTTCTCCTCAAATAAAACAGTTTAACAATGAAGCATGCCAATCTAAAGTGAAGAACTGCATGCCTTAAAAAGTGAGACCTTTGGTTGAAACACTGCTAAAGCAATCATGAGAAAAATCTGCACCAGCTACTTCTGTCAAACCAGCTGCAGCAATTGGGCACAAAAAGAGAGTGAAAATGGCTTGGCTCTCACTAAGCAGTTACAGGGTGTCATTTAAAGAACATCGAATTCACAACCACACAAAGACCTTCCTGGAAGTGAAGGTCATCATCTTTCTAGAGATGTGACTTGATTTTGATTTCCAGGTTTCTGTTGTGTGGGTTGTTGTTTGGTTGTTTGTTCTTTTTTTTTTTTTTCTATTTAAGAAGCACTTCACTTCTCAAGCATGACACTGCAGGGCAGAGCTTGATTTCCCAAGATCAGAAAATATTTATTGTTTCCTTGTCATTCTGTCAACATTGTTTTATTACTTGTCTTAGTTTGAAGAGAAAAGAAGAAATAAACAAGAATCATGCGATGATACCTAAAAGTATGATCCTTTTTTATCATCTGCCTAAGTGTAATGGTCTCAGATAATGTTTTCATCACATAGTGAATCTTAACTAAAACTCTGGCATCAGGCTCTCCTGCTTCTCAGTCCCACAACATAATACAGTTTCCAAATGTACCAAGGATGATACATAACACAATAAAAAGAGCTCAACCAAAATTTGAAATGCTGCTTTTTACAAATGGTCTTTAATACCACATTCACACACACACACACACACACACACACACACACACACATTCCATAGTAACATTCACTTAGAATCATCCTTAGTCCATACTAGAGTTTTCTGGGTTACAAGGAACCTAGAATGAGCTGGGATAATAGAATTGGATCTTCCTAAAGGAGACTTGAGCATTAATGCTGTTACTGAGAAATAAGGTAAACTTCAAAATCCTGGTTCACTGACATTCTCCTTGGTTGGCACCCTTTTCACCTTCATGTTAAATTGGAGCAGCCAACTTCTTACCATGTATTGCTAAAGTTCATTCAAATGAGGACAGAAAAAAAGATCAATACTATTTAATTTGTAAAAAATTCAAAGACTGAAGACAATTTGTTTTCCAAAGTCGAGACTAGTTTGTCTCCAAGCCCATCCTGTCTAAGCTTCATGTCCTGGTGAAGTGAATTCCATTTTCCCTATCCCTCGTCTTCCTTATCTTCCTTCCCTACACACACACACACACACACACACACACACACACACACACACACACCCCTCATTGGAAATCAGTATTATATTTTGTGACCTTTAGAAACAAAGAAAATCAAAAATTCTGCCATCTTCTTTTGACCTGAACAAAAGGCTCTTGGGACTTATGTAAATGTAATAAACATTTATTAGGAAAAGTTTTATCTTAGAGTTTAAAATTTCTCATGTGAGATTTTATTAGACTTATCATTCACATATTGTAATGAAGCAAGATGATTTCTCCTGGAAATTGTTCCCAGTGAGAGCACAATTATTAAATACCATCATCACTGATAATAATTAAACTTTTATCATCTCAGTTTCAACCCTGTCAGATCAAGCTCCCCAGAGGGGTGACTATGTGTGAGAAGCTTTAGAAAATGGTGTAGTGAATAAACAGTTATAAAGCTAACAAAACAGCTGATTAGCGACAGAGCCTGGGAGTCTGATCACTGTGCTAATGCCCTTCTTCAAAAGTCTATTTTATGTTTTCACTTACTACACTTCTGACACCAAATGTATGGTTTTTCTTACACCAACCAATTCTCCAGACTGTAACCAAGTGTCTACAATTTAATTCAATTCTGACCCTATCTACCCAGAGTCAGTGTCAGACTCTACATGTCAAGTAAGGGCTCAGTCCCACAAAACTGCCCTCACTTGGCAATTCTGGGCCCCTCCTACTTTTGACCTACTGCCTGTAAAGTTGGAAGTGTCCCACAACCCACTCCTCAGGTTTAACAGTTTGCTATAAAAGATCACAGAAGTCAAGAAAACACTTTCCTTACATTTATCACTTTATTATAAAGAATACAACTCAGGAACAGCCAAATGAAAGCAATGCATAAGGCAAGGTATAGGGCAGGAGGGCAGAGCTTCTACATCCTCTCCAGGTATGCTGCTCACCCAACACTACTATGTGTGCACCAACCCAGGAGCTCTCTGAGCCCTGTCGTTCAGGGTTTTAAGGAGATTCCATTACTTAGGTATGATTGATTAAATCACTGGACATTGGCATTTAACTCAATCTCTATCCCCTGTCCCCTGTCTCCCCTGAAGTAGGGAATAAGGGATCGTTCCAAGCCTCTAATCATCTGGTTTGTTTCTCTGGCAACCAGGTGTATATTTAAGCTATCCAGGCTGCCACCAGAGTGATTTCCTTGGCATAAACTCAGGTATGGTTGAAAGAGGCTTATTACGAATGACTAAAGATGCTTCTCTTACCCCTATCACTCGGGAAATTCCTAAGGCTTTAGAAAGCTCTTGTGCTTGTGCTAGGAACTGGGGAAAAAGATAAAATACATATTTCATATTATGTCACAATATTGCAGACAGTTTTGCAGCATGGCTGTTTTATTTTTACTGATTTATCCAATGTTTGAGAAAGTTAATCCCCTCCCATTGAGGAATAAGAATGCTAGGAATAAAATATAAAGCAGGTTGGAAGAAGAATAACATAGGAGCAGTTATTAGAAGAGAATTAATCATAGCTGTTATTTTTAAGCATCAACTCAGTTCTAGGCACTTTTAACTTTAAAACACTTAGCAAGTGCTAAGTAGGGGCTTATCAATATAAATGATTTACCAGAAATCCACTTACCTAATTGTAAAAAACAGTAGTTAAATCCAGAGCTGTTACAGTAGGTAGCTAGTCAGACATGAGCAGGGTAGGGGAGGGCTGAACACTCCCTACTCACTTACCAAGATATCTCAGGTGATTGTTACAGTATCTCTCTAAAATAACAATTGGTTGCAGCCAGCACCAGGAAAAGGCAGTCTCCCAAAGGATAGAAACACCTGAAACTAGTGATCAACTGCTTCTTGATAAGATTTCAGGAGTTGGACGAGTGGGCTCAAGCATGCTCACTAAGAGGCGGAATGGTGGCGTTTAACAGGTATAAGATCATTCTTGAGCACCTCGAGTGAGCATGTGTACAATTTCAGTACAGACACTGCACATGCTCCTCTGCCAAGTGCTGGCAAGCCCCTGTGTATGCAAACAGCCCACCCCTAGGGAAGAATCAGGGGAGAAGGGATGCAACCCTCTCCCCTCGGAAGTATGCCAACATGTAATAACCCTAGTTAAAGGTCAAACAGGGCACTTCATCTCTCAAGTCACCCACTTGACCCTCTTCCAAGTGTACTTTACTTCTTTCTATTCCTGCTCTAAAGGTTTTTAATAAACTTTCACTCCTGCTCTAAAACTTGCCTTGCTGTCTCACTCTGCCTTATGCCCCTCGGTGGAATTCTTTCTTCTGAGGAGGCAAGAATTGAGGTTGCTACAGACCCATATGAATTTGCTACTGCTCACAGAGCTACCTGCTTCAAAGTACATGCATAGGTTTTTGTTTTGTTTAAATACACTGTGATATTTTTTATTTGTGGGAGGAAGGAAAAAATACACGTAAAAGAGACAGGCCGGGCGTGGTGGCTCACGCCTGTAATCCCAGCACTTTGGGAGGCCGAGCTGGGCAGATCATGAGGTTAGGAGATCGAGACCATCCTGGCTAACACGGTGAAACCCCATCTCTACTAAAAACTAAAAATACAAAAAATTAGCCCAGTGTGGGGGCCCACATCCGTAGTCCCAGCTGCTCCGGAGGCTGAGGCAGGAGAATCGCTTGAACCCAGGAGGTGGAGGTTGCAATGAGCTGAGATTGCACCACTGAACTGCAGCCTGGGTGACAGAGCAAGACTCTGTCTCAAAAAAGAAAAAAAAAAGAGAGAGAGAGGGAGAAATGAATAAGAATCTGTTTATGTGATGTTGGTAAATATTTGGCTGCAGTTAATTTCATCGCAGCTGCTTAAAGTACTCAGTCATTAGCGTGGTTGTCTTGAGGATAATCTAGGTGAGGATGCCTGGACTAAGATTGCTGTGATGTGCACAGGTAATCAAACTTGTGCAGTTGACAAAGATGAGACTAAAACATGGAAAAGCAAAGTATAATTTTGCATGCTGGAGAGTTTGCAAAACTCACCAGCCTCACTGATCAATAAAAGTCAGTTCAACCATACGGAGCCTTGGGTGCAGCCTCTGCCTTTGAATGGATAGGACCTCACAGGACCACACCAAGTTAGAGACAAAATAATCATATATTCACAAATATTAGGGATGCAAACTTTAAAAAAACCCATTTCCTTTTGGGTATTTTGCTTTGTCCTCATTCTTTTCCTTATCTGATTTGAACTTTATAGTCCTGTTTCTTAATTTTCTTAAAATTTGAGAAATGGATGTCTCTAAATGTCACCGAAACACAAATTTTGGGTACCAGTTCTGGAGGATGAACCAGCCAATAAGCCCCAAATCAGGAGGCTTCAGCAAATGGAAACATTTTTCATGACCATAAACTTTTAACTTTTCCACTATCAGTCTAATTGGTTAAAATAGAAATAAAGAAAGGGAACTGTAAATAGCTCCTTGGAGGTGAGGAACAGTCCAAAGCAATAGTGGAAAAAAGAGGCTGGAGGAGGATGAGGAAGGAAGAGACAGTACAAAAAGCAGAGTGAACAAGTGAAAGAAATGTGAAACTTCATGATTTACTATATGATGATTTAAGCATCTTGAAGAACTAAATAGAGTGGACTTCTAAACCACTACTCATTCTTTTGTTTTTATTAACCAATCCAGCATTCCATATAAAGATAAAGCATTTTTAACTGATTGATTTATAGTTTTAATGCTAAGACTTCAGGTCAACTCCTCAAAGTTAATTTAAGAAAGAAAGAGGTGGAAGAGGTAAACAGAGGGAGAAGAGAAAAAGGAGAAAAGTGCTTTAGTAAAAAGCAGGAATATTTATACTAGAACATAAACTCTGAATTTCAGACAAGTAGTCATTTGTAGTGAGCCCATTGTAGGGGACCATGAGGATGTCTCTACACCTAAGGATGTCTTTAAACTTACTTCTGTCCGTACTTAGAGTTTAAATAGTCTCCCATATTAAGCAATTCAAAAATACATACATGAACACACACACACACACAGTGAGGCAGTCTTCTATTTTCTTCAGGTAATCTTTACTCACACTGGAGTTAGAATTATATGGGTTACTAGGCAAATCTCTGGACTGTAAAATGTGTGTTAGCCATGGAAGCAAGATTTAATATTATAATAAAAGTTGCTCCAAGAAGAGGGCTTAACACTAAAAGGAAGACGTAGTTCTCCTACTCTGAAGACGGCAGGTTCTTTAGACACTGGGCCAGGGAAGCATTATCTTTATCCCCGAGGGTTCACCTCCATGTTAGTCTGTTCCTGAGTCTTGCTTTCCATTCTGAGCTGCCATTGTCTCTTCCTGAAGGATGTGTGGGTTGCTGTTTGTTCCCAGGAAGACTGAGGTTTCATCCTTGATGTTAATCCTTTTGCAAAGTTAATGGTTTGCCTCTTTATCCCTTTACTTAGAGTGTTTCTTTTGAAGTTCCCCATCACAAAGTTTGTATTGCTGTTTCTCAGTGTTTGAAATCTTGTTAGGTACCAATGAGATCACAATTTGGCTCTGCTCTGTAAAAAGCACTCATTTCATGTTTCACAGACCTCTAAAAAGGTTTGTCCCTTGGAGGACGTGGCATATTATTTGACATTAATGTTCATGGAGTTAAGTGATCATCAACGAGATAATAGACTCCATGGTAAGGGCTGCTGAACTCAATTTATAACATGGCAAAAGAGTCTTCTAAAGAGTAACTCAAACATTGACTTTCTGAGGATCTTTAGAATTTTTGTCAATGCTAATGGCAGCAGCACGTGGGTGTGGCAAAACTGCTACTCTATTGACATGATTCTGCAAACCCCATCTGGGTAAAAAATTACAGCTGTTTTCCTATAGATGGATTTTTCCATGAAGCTAATGAAGCTTAAATTTTGGGAATCTTCATTTACATGGACCTCATTCTGGGCAATATAATTTTAATTTGTAATTTTCCATTTTTAATAAAGTAGGTGTCCGAAATTGTGTAAGTTTCAGGTAGGGTTGACAGATTTAGTTAAAACCAACAAACACATAATAAACAAAAATTCAGAACATTAAGTTAAATTTGAATTTCAGATAGACAAAAATATTGTTTTTAGTATAAGTATGTCCCATGAAATATTTTCCATGCAATATTTGATAAATATTTATGCTAAAAAATGAAACATTGTTTGTCTGACAATATTCAAGGTCCTGGGGAATTAGCAGTGAACAAAACAAACAAATAATGTTCTTTTCTATTGGAAATTATAGAAATTAACCCAATAGGTGAAATATATAGTGTGTATAATATTGATTTTATTTTTACTGAGCAACTTTTAATATGCTTAGAAAAGCTGAATTAAAATATTTCCCTACAGGTATAAGAAGAAGAAGTAGGAGAAACAAAATAAGGAGGAGAAGAAGTAAAATAATTTGAGAAGGAATATGAAGGTAATATAGAAATAAATTTTGTTTTCAATATTAGGCTTTATTTTTAGAGCAGTTTTAGATTCACAGAGAACTTCTGTATATAACCACTTGCCTCTAGATTAAGCTAAATTTGAGTTTATACTGATTTCTCCAAAGCCAATCTATGATTGCTTGGATAATGCTTATCTCCTTCCCTTGCTTTATCTGTAAATTCCTATTCCAACAGTGAGAAGTTTGGCTCTCACCATCCACTGTTCCTTTATTTAATTGTTCAATTCCAGGGCATATATGCAGTAGTTTCAAAGTTGGTAACTAGTGCTTGCCAGGAGGCTACTTTACCAAATAGAGTACAGTGCTTACAGGCAGTTTCTTTTGCCCTTACTCTTACAGACTTTACTCATTTACAAAGTTACTCAGCTCAGCATCTTCCTCTCCTCACCATCTTCGGTGAGATTGTTTCAATAATCTACTAGAGACACAGGTGTAATTTCACCATTATTTGCCATACAATGAAATGTTCCTGTTGCGCATGTGTTATTTTGGAATCCCTGGACCTTCTAAATGTTTCTTTTTTCTTACCTTTTAATTTTAAAGTTTACCCCCTTATGCTTTAAAGTTACATGGGTTTTGGGTCAAATGGTATTTCTAGTTCTAGATCCCTGAGGAATCTCCACACTGACTTCCACAATGGTTGAACTAGTTTACAGTCCCACCAACAGTGTAAAAGTGTTCCTATGTCTCCACATCCTCTCCAGCACCTGTTGTTTCCTGACTTTTTAATGATTGCCATTCTAACTGGCGTGAGACGGTATCTCATTGTGGTTTTGATTTGCATTTCTCTGATGGCCAGTGATGATGAGCATTTTTTCATGTGTTTTTTGGCTGCATAAATGTCTTCTTTTGAGAAGTGTCTGTTCATGTCCTTCGCCCACTTTTTGATGGGGTTGTTTGTTTTTTTCTTAACAATGAGATCACATGGACACAGAAAGGGGAATATCACACTCTGGGGACTGTGGTGGGGTGGGGGGAGGGGGGAGGGATAGCATTGGGAGATATACCTAATGCTAGATGACGAGTTAGTGGGTGCAGTGCACCAGCATGGCACATGTATACATATGTAACTAACCCGCACAATGTGCACATGTACCCTAAAACTTAAAGTATAAAAAAAAATTTAAAAAAATTAAAAAAAAGTTACATGGGTTTTGACAAATGCATAATGTCATGTATCCACCTTTATAGTATCAGGCAAAATAGTTTCAATGCCCTAAAACAATACTGTGCTTCACCTATTCATGCCTTCCCTTTCCTTAATACCTGGGAATCAATAATCATTTTAATGTCTCAATAGTTTTGCCTTTTTTGAGACATTGTATAATTGGGAATATATAGTATATAGCCTTTTCTTAAACTTAGCAATATGTATTTAAGATTCCTCTATGTCTTTTTTGTGGCTTGATAGCTCATTTCATTTTTACCACTATATAATATTCCATAGCATGACTGAATCCCAGTTTGTGTATCCATTCATATTGGAAGATATCCTGGTTGCTTCCAGTTTTTTGTGATTATGAATGAAAGTGCTATAAATATTCATATGCAGGATTTTGTGTGGGCATAAAATTGTAACTGAAATGGATAAATAGCCAGGGACACAACTGCTGGATTGTATATTAAAACTATATTTAAGTTTGTAAAAAAACTGCCAAAATATCTTCCAGAACGATGGTACCATTTTGAATTCTCATTAGCGATGAAAGAAGGTTTCTACTGTCCCATCGCCTATTCAGTTTTTTTAAAGCCATTCTAATACTTATATATCAATAGCTCATTTTTGCTTTAATTTGCAATTTTCTGAGGATAAATCATATTGAACATTTTATGATATGCCTAGAAAAGCAGAGTTTTAATAGATATTTTAAAGAAAACATTTGTAAAAATAGAGTGATACCAAAGCAATGATTAATGTATAATAACTAATAGTAATAAACTTTAGGATTTAGAATTACCCTGTAGCATCTGTGAAGGTAGGAAAGTAAGTTATATATAAAAGAATGCAACCGGAATTTTGCATATTTCAAACTTTACTTGGGTAAAGTTCTCATAGATGGAAAAAAAGATAAATTTTATTCTGTTTTTATTGTGATGGATGACTCAGTTTTAGTAATTTGAGAAGGATACCCAAGGATAGTTTCCCAAAGTTATATTTGGGTAGTTAAGAAAGGCTCTTTCTCAAAAAAGAACTCCATATTGCTACAGTATTTCTACTGAGGCTAAGTGCTCAGTGCTAAGATTCACCCTTCTCATAGATGTATTAATACAGGCAAAAATACCAAGAGACCCTGTTAGACAGGCCCCATGATTATCTTCTTTTTTTTTTTTTAACAAAAGCTAAGAAATAGACAACCTAAATATATTATCCGAAGTCCACAGCAATGTGTGACAAATCCGAGATTTAAAATCAGGCTATATGGCCATAGAATCTGGCTTTTTAATCACCCCAGCCTATCACCTATCTTACACAACTTGTCCTATTACAAGTCAATAGGAAAAGCTGAGAAAGATAATAAAAAGTGAGACTTTTCTGTAAAATGAAATTGTACCATCTCTTGAAAGAATACAAATTCTTCACAGTGAGTTAAATAGGTATGATAAAAACTCACCTCTTTGTGGTTACAGAAATCCAGAATTTTAGATCTGGAAGAAACCTAGGAAAACATTCTGAAATTTCCATTTTATAAAAAGAGGACTTGGAAGCCGGAAACATACATTGTCTTTCCAGAATTGATACAAACTTGGGTTAACAGCTGCCATAAGTCTCTGAGCTAGTGTTGTTTTTAATGACATCATTATTTTCTATAAGAACATTACAAAAATTGTAGATTAACATTTCTTTTAAAATCATTTTGGTTAACCTGTCATTTGGGGAGTAAAGCCTCAAAATGCTTTAATTGTGGGGAAGGAGCTAGGACTGCACTTACATTTCTTATCTCTGTTGCATCAGGTAAGTACAAATAAAGCTTGCTGTGGGCTGGCTGCCATGATAAACCCTTATGCTAATCATCATTTCATTTAAATATAAATTATTATCTTGCTTCCAAAGGAAGTCACGTAAATCTAACTAGCAAAGAGTGTTTCTGTTTTCTTTCCCAAGTGACAGAAGGAGTGCCTCAATAATTTGATCCTCATTATTATAATATCAAATGAAAACTCTTGTGAATGAGGTTGCCTTTATTTTTTTAAGAGATCAGGAAGAAGGTGATAGCTAGCTGTGTGCTTTTAATTCCTTGGGTTGCATCCTGGTCTCAGTACAAGACCAGAAAATGAAAAAAGGTAGCTGGAAATAATGCATCCAATTATTTTGTTATTTAGATTTTATTGGTGGAACAGAGAAAGGAAAAGCAGTTAAGAAAACAAAGCTCAAGGTAATTTCAATTCATAGCTTTCATAGCGTTTGATAAATCTTCCTGGGAAATAAATAGCAGCAAGAGACAGTGAGCTGGGGAATCCTTTCAGTTTGTTTTGTAAATGGGGAAGTATATTGGAGTGTAATTAAAAGCTTAAATAATATAATTAATGAAATTTTGAGTGTGTCTATCACTAGATATTAATTATCTTGTTGCCACTATAACAGATAATGGCATCATTCTTTCTGATTAGTGTGAGGTACACATTCCAAATATGGATGCTATGGAACCAAAATGAATTGCTTACCAAACTAAATATTTTTTAAAAAACAGACATTTTCATTAATACTAACTCAAGGTGTTGGAGAATGATGAAATATGCCAATGAACATGTTTTCTTCCTGGCTAAAAATCAAGCTTATGAAGAATCTAATAAAAAATAAACTTTGCAGAAAAGGAAGACGATGAAAATGAATTAATACTACAAGAAGAAACACGTTATTTAAAAAGAGAGGAAAAGAGCAATATACTGAATTACAAAAGCAAAAATGTTATTAATAGAATGTAAGAAATCCTAGCAAGAATCATGGAAATAAAAACAAGCAGATGTTAGACAGTGGTGTTCTCTCAAGCCTAAGTTCTATCACAAGTCAGCTTATTCACAGAATGGCTTGTGTGTTAGCTTGGCTGTCTAGATCCCATAGGGAAGCCAGAGATCACCTCCAACCTCCCTTTAACTCTCATGTGGGCTCTTCAGCTGGATCTAGAAACCAAATTGACAGCAGGCAAGCTAACAAGAGAAAAGCATACAGGTTGTATTAGTTTTACATGTACACGGGGATGTTTACAAGAGCATGAAGTCGGATGTTTTTATACTTTTTAGACAAAGAATGATAAATTCAAGAAGAAATGACATAACAAAGGTGATCTGCCTAGAAGTAAATTTCTAGGAAAGTCACTAGCAGATATATGCAAGGGAGGGGGCTGTAAAACTAGTTGAAGATAAGCGTTACTTTGGTAAGCATAATTATTCAGGTCCTCTGAAGCCTCCAATTCCCAGTCTCTGATGATAAAGGCTACTTTCTTCTTCTGGCACAGGAAAAGTATCCCTCCCAGAGAAATCTTTACGGCTTGTGCACACAGCAAGAAACAAGCTAGATAGCCCTTTCTAAAACTGCAATTTCTGTACTGTTTTCAACTTGAAAGAATCAATATACTAATTAGGCATATTTTAGAACGGCACGTCCTTCATGCCTTCAATCTCTAAGATACTCAGTTCCAATACAGAACATGAGTCCTGGGTAGGAGACCCAGGCCATTCTTGACCCTGTAGTGTTCCCATGTGCTGTTGTTTTAGGAAGACATACTTCTCATCTGTGTGTCTAAGCCATAGAGTACCATGACCCCTTGGAGATAATAATGCCAGACTCGGAATTATTGGAATACTAATGCTGCATAGTCCACAAATCCCAGTGATATATAGCAAAATTGATTTGTCACACATCTCACCACAAGGCTGTCTTATCTAGCCTGTGTACAACTAGGCAGCTCTAAGTCATATGTCCCTTATTCTTCTCCTGGGCCCAGTAGGCTAGCCTAGGCATGCCTATCTCTTGGCCATGGCAGAAGCACAAGAGTGAGTTTGACTGTACAAGTACTTTCCATAAGAGTATTTTTTTCCTAGTAATATTATGCCTGCTAACATTGTATTACATAGAACAAATTATATGGTTAAGTCTAGACTCAAGTGATAAAGCAATACCACTATACCTCTTTAGTGGCAGGTAATACAAAGTTACATTGCAAAGGTCAGCTTTATAGGAAGTGGTGAAGGGTTGTGGCCTTTTATGTAACCTACCATAGGAAAAAATCAAACCTATCAGCAGCCATATTGAACAAAAATAGCAGGAAAATGGTTTCCCATAATACTTTCTATAATTTAGGTTAAGTCTTTCAATCACTCTGTAGTTAAAATGATTAGTTACCCTATCATGTAGTTAGTGTCAATTGTAATTATTTTGAGGTTGCAAATTACTCTTGCAGGTAAACAGATACAGTATTAGGAGAAAATGTAGGTATGTGCATTAACTCTCTTATTTTGTCTTATTTTCAACTTACCCTTACCTTTTTCAACTCTCACTTAGAAAACGTGATTTTGCTATGTTTACTTTCATGAAGCACGTCAAATCTTTCAAGGATGATATAAAATATTAACAAATTATCAATATGAGATCTTAAAATCAAAGTTAAAGTGAAAAACAAAATTAGAATATTATCTAGTTTTTCTCCCACACTTTACAGATGATATAACCAAACTACAAAGAAAATATATGACTTGTAAATATTTCGATGAGATACTTCGGAAGAGAAGTTTTTTGGTGATGTGCTATTATTTTATATTTCAGTTTATTGGGCAAGTTGTTACAAAATAAACTAGTTTGCTCCATCATTTTCCTTGTACTATATCATACATAATTACTGACCCTTATGCAAATGTCTACAAAAATCGTGTACTGAAAAATGTTGATTTTATTTTATTGCTTTTTATCAACACAAATAGGTACTTTATTTCTATAAAGAATTTTCTAATTTTAAGCTTCTAAATACTTTCTCTGCTTTTCTCTGCTTAAATATATTTCTCTTTCTAAATGTTACTTCAAGAATTGTGGATAAGAGTTTATTCAGGATTATTTGGCTATATTATAAAATACATTTGTTTTAAATATGCCCAGAAACTGAAACTAGCCTGAGAAGGAAGATACTGAGTCAGATGGAGCCATTTATATATGGAGATCCAGGATTTATAAGATCCATACCATTGAATTTGAAGTAAGGATACGATCAAGCTGATAATCCAAAGTGCACTAACTTCTAAGGACGGAAATGTTTCTCTGGGGCTATCATTGCACCCTCGCTCTCTGGAATTTCGGTATCATGAGAACACATAAGTAAGAGCCAAAATTCATAGGGATTCTGCCTGGAGAGGAACACAGGGATTCTGAAATAACCATGACATACATAAGTACCTCCAATTATTTGCCTCTCAGACAAAGCCAGCAGCTGTTGAAATATGGTAAGAAAAATGGTTCAGGGGTTTTCCCCCATGACTCAAGACAAGCATTTACATTATTTACACACTCAATGTCTCTTCTGACTTATGATTGCCTTACAATCTATGGAATATATTTAGTGTCCCTGTGGAAGCAATTATACATGAAACATCAACATATATTTATATAGTAGACAGCACTTTCATAGGTCCCTGCAGTGTATTTTAACAGTAGTGGAAACTAAAGTTTTGGTGTAATGTGTTTTTATCTATCATTCAGATCAAAGAATACCCAGTACTTGAAAAGTTTAGAAAGCAGTTGAAAGTTACATAGAGATGTAGAAAGCATTAAAGTGGTAGAAATTAATTAAAAGTCTTAGAATATATGAGCTGTAATTAGACTGGGTTTTAATGTTTAGTTTGTTAATATTTAAATATAAACCTCACAATGGAACTTGGCAATTTAAGAGATTTACAGATAATTTATCCTTAAAAGTATGAAGGATGTCTGTTACTCAAATATCCATCCCATTAAATTGAAAAGTTTTAAGTATTGATTCTTCTGTAAATAATAGAAGACTCCATTAAATTCCTTTACAGTTCTGTACATCTAGACTAAAATGAAACACCAAAATATGAAATTATCTCAAAATGAAAACATCTCAAAATTGAGGAATTTACTTTCCTACAATTTGGAAATTTTTGATAATTAAAAAAACAGTTATAGCATGAAAAGCAAATAGGAAGAGTACTTGTATATTCACTGACATTAAAGCCTTCTTCAAATATATTACTAAAGAGAAAGATAGGTATTGATTGATATGAGCTTCAGGTAATATTTTGCCTACAGCATGTCTCCAAAAATCTACTAGATTTTTAAAGTAGTGTAATCTATTCAATAAAGTTAGCTATTTGGATGTTAGTCTCTCCGTATGCCAAGGAAAAAAGTGTTACTATCTACCTATATAACTGAGTTTAATAAGTAAATAAAGAGATCATTCTTTTAAGATACGTTAAATGTTTCGGGTTCATGATAACATTTGTTGCATGACATTAAACCACAACAACGGAAAAAAGTATGAACTCATTTGCTATTATCTAACCATATTAAAAATATTTTACTCATAAAAGTTTAAAGACATCAACAGTAATAAAATAACTTAGAAAACATCTTGCATATGCAATTCTTGAGAAATAGTTATTTACAAAATAACTAACTGGTGAAAGAGCAGGACATCTTAATAATTCAGTTGGTAAACTTCCACGAATTAGATAAACCATTAACACTCTTTCAGTAATAAACATTCTCTGTGAATAAAGAGAACTGAATAAAGAACACAATGTTTATATTCTTTATTTCAATAATTCAATTTCTAAGAATAAAATCTTAGAGGTCTGATTATTCTTTTCAAAGATTTATACTTAGATAAACCAAAACTACACACAATATAAATGTTCATTTTTACAGGAAATATTTAAATAAAGTGGGCCTATGCATACTATAAAATACTATGAAGCTTTTAAACTAATGCTTATAATTTTTTAAACAAATAGACAAAAATATTATGATATAATTATAAGTGAGGAAGGAGGCTATGCAGTTTATATACATTATTGATCTCAATTATAAAAAACGTGCACCATAAATAGAGAAAAGGAAATGATCTAAAATGTCCATATTTGATGGTGGTTTTGTTTTGGGTTATTGCCATTTTCTTTTGATGATATATATTTTACAACGGATCTATATAGTGCTATGGTTATTTTTTAAATGTTTTAAAAATTAAAACATAAAAATATATCATTAAAAAACCATAACATTACTAAGTGTAATGACTTGTCAATATGCTGGAAGTTTAGGAAATTTTCTTCACCGAAACTCTGGATTTCTATTTTGTTTTCAGGACACTGGGTTACTACGTATAATTTGAGGATATGAGGAATTATTTAATTTAATATTAAATTTTCTTGTTACAATTTGGAACTATTATATTTTAAGAATCTAGTTAATTCCGCACTTCAGGCAAATCTTTAAGTCTGCAATGTTTTGCAATGCAATGAGAGACAGATAGATGGGATGGATTTAATGGTACCAAAGATGGAAAAGTGAGTGGCAAGGACTAAGACCATCCTTGCTGACAGGAAAGCAGGAGCAAGAGGAGATGCTCTTATTAAAGGATCATCCTACAAAACTGTCCTTGCGGTTTACTGTAACTAATGTTTCTAATGCAATCCTAAAACTACATAACACTGGAGGTCATATTAGTCAGCACTAGGGGAGAAATGTCTTCTGCTGAACAACATCCTTAACACCCCTCAGCAGAATCAGAGAATGCGGACAGAAGAAATGCTCTATGAGCTGGGGGAGTTTTTATTAGAAAGGACTTATCCACTTGGAAAAAAAGCAGTACAGCAGAGGCTAACACCACCAATCATTGAACAGAAAAAGGATTGTAGAGTCATAACTGGGAAGAAGTGTAATTCATCTAGATCGTTCTTCAAGCTCCAGAGGATTGTTATTCATTCACGGATTGTGAACTAAATATTTCTCTTAAATGTAAAGTGGACCAGAGTTAGTTTTTTCTCCCTATGACTTTGGTCAGATGGCCATGGATTTTGTGAACATTCAATAAATATTTATTAGTATTAATGGTTCTGTATCTTCAGTGAAATATTGTCCTGCCCTATAATCCTTTCAGTTTTCAGTCTAAAATTTTTTTTCACAACAAATTTTAACCTATTCTATATTTGTTGTAAATGGAACATTAAAAACTGAGAATGACGAATGGCCTCCTTAGACTGTTGCTTCTCATGTACAAAGTCATATCACGGCCACTGTTTTCTCTGGGTTTTAAATATTTACTAATAGTCTCTATTTTTAGTCCATCGTCACTCCATCTTCCATGAAATCAATGCCAGTAAAACATCATTGGAATCTATTGGCTACAAAATATTCCCCTGCGCTAAAGTCATGGCATAAAAGGTAAAGTATTATTTAGTATTATTTATATTTTTATTAATAAAATTTAGGAGGCTTTTTCTGAATCTTTTATCTGTGCACCCAGAATTTAAATCTCATTTTTCAACAATTATTTATTGCTATATGTGCATGAAGAAGGACACTTTTTGAGTATTAGACTAGGCAAAATTGTATCTTCTTAAATCACAAACTAACCTCTCAATGTGTTTGCCTCTTCTTAGATGTTTCTCATAGCTTGAATTACTGACTGTGGCCTTTTTCATTTCCTATAGTTCATAATGTGATTAGAGAGCAAGGGCATTTGGTTGCATATTATAATAAAATGATTGATATCTATTAGAGTGTCTTGCAGAACTATCAAAAAGAAAAAAAACTCATCCAATTGTATCACATAAAAACAATACTCTAATTTTTGGTACTTTCAAGAAATAACCTCACCCTAATGTTACCACTAACATATTAATATCAATTAATAATGGGCTGGGCATTAGCTAATGAGAAAGTATTTTGTCTTTTAGATTACCATTAATGGATGGAGATATAGCCTTATCATTAGTAGTTTTAAAAGTGAATGTAAAATGTGATTTTCATTCATGCAATATTTTGAGGCCTCCAAGGCCTGGTACTTTAAAAGCCTAGTACTTCTTTATGCAGAAGACTTCTACAATTCAAAACAATTCATCTCTTTAGGGTTGAGAAGTAACCAAGCCTGGCTTACTACCAGGTAGAATCATATAACTTTGCAGCTACCTACTGTATTCTCTGTCTTAAAGAGCCACAGTGCACATTAACATATAAAGGCTGTGGATGATCCTGCAGAAAATGCAAGTGTTTAACTTTCTTAGCCAGAGAAACTATGTTGTATTAAATCTTTAGCCTCCTATCATACTCATGTTTTTCAGAAAACAATTTACAAAATCTAATCTAACCCAACCTCTTTGTTTAGGTATAAAGAAACAGAGGAAGTGAATGGTTAAACATCTTGTCTAAGATTACGCTCTTACTGGCAGAAATTGATGTCAACTCAGATATGCTGACATAGATATATACGCTGTCACATCTCCTTGCTCACCCTGTGTTCATTAATCATTATTCTGTAACTGTAAATTAAGTATTTTTTTCCCAAACATACTAGCACTTATCAGAAAATTATCCTCAGGTTTGGTAGACAGCTACAATCACTTGAAGGGATTCCATCTTTAATAATGACAGTTTTTGGTATGTTAGTAACTAAATCATGCTGAAAGAGATTGATTGTCCTCCATAATGAATGGTATGTAGTGCTTTTCCAGTGAAGTTTCCATAAAGCATAAAGTCAAATATTTGTCTCAGTTCCCAAGACTTGAATTAGATAAGCAGCTTCACCTATACCACCAGATGTCATGTCAAACCTCCGGTTTCATTTTAAATATCTGCTTTTTTCATTTGCCCTGTCCTCTAAAAAATCAAACAAAATAGTCTTAGAATTCCTTATATTCAAAGTCACTTAGAGTAGTGAAATCAATTTTTATCAGTCTTCTTTTTGCTTATCTGATAATTTGGAAAACTCAGCAAAAGCTTTTTTTTTAATGAATAAGGCAAATGAAAAAAAAAATGAAGCCAACCGTGTTTTTCCATACTGTATGGGAGTAAGTCATTCAGTAGTGAAACGATCCTCATTTCTGAATGAAGGATTATTGTAGGTGGAGCCATTCATGTACCTTCAATATATTCATTTTATGGAATTTACCAACCCATTATACAGCATACAGTCCTGACTTTCAAAAATCTCATAATTTCAAAAGAGAGATAGATACATAAATAAGTAAATAGAATGCAGTGTCATAAGTGCTATACCAGAAGTGTGTACAGGTGCGAGGAGAGTGGAGAAATTCCAGGGAACCTAATGTCAAGCCTGTGAGGAAGAACTTTAGCACCATTACTCATTCTTTTTCCAACTTTCTTTCCTTTTCTGTTTAAAAGAATTAGAGGGAAAGGTGATTAACATATATGTGCTAGAAAGGCATGGGTATGAGTGTATATGTGCACGCCAGTGTTTGTATGTATGTGTCTGTATACATTACTAACATTTACCCCAGTCTGAAAAAAATTTGTTAAAAGAAAAAATTATAAATGTTATTGCCAGGATAATAACTGCATTCAAAGGAAGGTCATTGGTATCCACAGTCATTGATTATTCTGCATATGAAGAAACAAGCCCACTCATTGAACCAGCCCCCATTAGCACTGCCTCTACCCCTGCTTGTCAATGCTAACATGGAATGCATTTTCTTTCTTGCCTATAGCTCACTCTTCAGAAATTTTATTTGACTTTCCCAGTGTCTACTTAGAATACAGATGGAATCTAAGCAAAGGCTCTAACCCTCTCTCTTACAGGTTCAATAAACACTCTAACCAGTCATTCATGTAGCTTGATGACTTGTCCTTCCCTGGATTGTCTTGTTGCTAAAATTCAGACAGGATGCCAGACAAACTTAAGCATACCCTGAGAAATAAAGTTATAAGTTAAATCATTTTGTTCTGTTGGGAACTCATGAGCAAGAATCACTTACTAGCTTTTTAATGATAACATTTTTAGAATCATACAGAGATAACATTCTTTTCAACAGCTAATTATCGGAAAATAAAGAAACCTCAACCTAAGCCATGTAAATTTTAAATCATATTTATGGATAAATCCCATATAATGGAACAAACCTAAGACAGCACCATCTTTTCCATTCTCCTTGTAAATAGATAACAGTAAATATGACAGTATTAGACAACCGAAAAGTGTGATAAAAATGAGTTAATTGATAATATTGAAACCTTTTTCTCCATTTATAATTTAGTTTATCAGGGACTGGCAGTAAACTTGAGTGTCTGTTCTGAAACTCTTTATTATCCCTCCCTATCTGTAAAATCTGTAATTAAAGCAGTTGGTATTAAAATAAGCAAATAACAAAAAACAGAGGCCAAGCCCACCACACACTACTTCCCTAAACCACCAAAATTCATTACGTTTTACTGGAGGTTGCATGACCTGGATTTTATGTGTTTTCTTGTATAAAGTACAGGGTAAGCATACAGACATTAAGGGGAAAACAAATTTCACTAACCCTGTTTCACCATAGTGACAGAGAGAGGGTATTACCTGGAAGAAATAAGATTTACCACAGCATCTCAGCTTTTTCATCCTATACCATACCTCTTTCCACATTCTCAAGTGTACTAGGGTTCTCCGGAGAAACAGAACCAATAGGATATATATATACACACACACACAGATAAATAGATACATATATAATATATACGTTATATATATACATATTTTTTTTTCTTTTCTTTTCTTTTCTTTTTTGAGATGGAGTCTCACTCTGTTGCCCAAGCTGGAGTGCAGTGGTGTGATCTCGGCTCACTGCAATCTCTGCCTCCCAGGTTCCAGCGATTTCTCCTGCCTCAGCCTCCTGAGTAGCTGGGAATACAGGCGTGCACCAGCACACCTGGCTAATTTTTGTATTTTTTAGTAGAGATGGGGTTTCACTATATTGGCCAAGCTGGTCTCAAACTCCTGAACTCATGATCTGCCCACCTCAGCTTCCCAAAGTGCTGGGATTACAGGCGTTATCCACCACACCCGGCCATATGTATTTTTTATTTATAGACACATACATGTTTTATATATAGACACATTATACACACACATACACACACACATACACATATATATATATGCAAAAAGAGTTATTTTAATGTATTGACTCACATGATAATGCGGTCTAGGCCGGGCGCAGTGGCTCACGCCTGTAATCTCAGCACTTTGGGAGGCCCAGGTGGGCAGATCACGAGGTCAGGAGATCAAGACCATCCTGGCCAACACGGTGAAACCCCGTCTGTACTAAAAAAATACAGAAATTAGCCGGGGGTGGTGGCACATGCCTGTAATCCCAGCTACTTGGGAGGCTGAGGCAGAAGAATCGCTTGAACCTGGGAGTCGGAGGTTGCAGTGAGCCAAGATCACCACTGCACCCAGCCTGGTGACAGAACGAGACCCCCATCTCAAAAAATAAAAAATAAAAAATAAAAATAAAAATAAATAGATAATGCAGTCTAAGTCTCATGATCTGTTGTCAGCAAGCTGGAGAAGAAGGAAAGTCAGTGATAGAGTTCTAAGGCCTGAGAGCCAGAGAGCTGATGATGTAGGTTTCAGTGTAAGTATGAAGACCTGAGAATAGGAGCTCCAAGGGCAAAAGAAGATTGATATTCCAGATCCAGCAGTCAGTCAGATAACCAGCCAATCATCTTTTCCTGTACATTTTTATTCTAATCAGGATCTAAATGGACTGGATGATGACCACCCAAATTGGGGAAGGCAATCTATTGAGTCCACCAATTCAAATGCTAGTATCTTCCAGAAACACCTTCAAGTGCACCCAGAAATGATGTTTAATCAGCTATCTGATTTCCATGACCTAGTCAATTTGACACATGAAATTAACTATCACACCAAGTCTGTATCATAATTTGTAAAAGCCCATGAAAGCTTTACATTATCATATTTCCCTTAAGGCTCCTATATGTTCTGTACTATATACTTAATATTTACTTGGATTAGTAGGAGTGTGCTGGGGAATCAAAATTTTACAGTGGACATCTAGACTATTTGCATTTAAATCTGCTATTACTATATAAAACATGAAGCTGAAAATAGACTTATGGGTCAGGTTACTTTCATCTTCAAATAACAATAGTAAGACTTAAGCATCTAGGCATCCAGATCCCTGGTTTTATTGTACCTTTCATATGATGATCTTCAGTATATTGTCTTTGTAGTAGATTGACCTCTTACTGGCAGAAATTGATGTCAACTCAGATATGCTGACATAGATATATCTGTTCCCTCATGCTCCCAAATGGGCTGCCGTAGTGGCATATATTGCTTCGGTACGCACTGCAGCCAGAGCTAGTAGAAACTGGTTGTTTTCTTTATCAACAATGCTATGGAGTTAGACTAAGAATTCAATAGTATTCCTAGTTACATACCATAATACTCTTCCATTTCCAATACTGGATGCCCATTGACATGGATTCTGCTATCTTTGTATTATAGTGATTCCTTTTTTGATGTTAATAGGGTTAATAGATAAACAAGAGGTGCATACCAGATCAAATAGCTACCTATCCACAAGATTACTCGGAAAAGCACAGGATTTATTTGTTACCTATGCAGCCAAAGTTGCATACCCTTTAATCACATCATTCTATCACCAGTATTATTGAAACCACAAGAAAGGTAAAAAGACATCTTTATAATTAGGGGCATATTAATAGACATAAATATTGACTCTCTGTTGTGGGCCTGAAGATACTTTAGTCTAATTTTAGTGACTTAGGGAAAATGTGTGACTCTTTTAAGCTCACAAATAACTGTACATCATGGATTTATTTTCAATGATTTCCAGGTTTAGACATTTCTGTTCTCAGAAGGTTCCTGCAAAGTCAACTTCTGTATTCAACATAAAGTATAAATTTCACTTTACTTCCTCATATACGGAAAATTTCTATATTGTTATTTCAAGTGACAGGCAGTAAATTGGCAAATTCACAGCCCAAGATCACAGTAGCCCTAACTATATCAACCTTTTTATTCTTGATATTTCCCAGAAGGTCCAAAATTTGTGTGTCTTTTTAGTGGAATTGTTATTGTTTGTTGTGTCACAACAAACAAATGATACCAGTTCTCAAATATTAAGATTATATTGCTTCAAATAGTGACTTTCTACCAATTAATTTATTCAAATGGAACTTGGCGTAACCTTAACAGATAAAGGTCAAGAATATATGACGAGAATATATTTATCAGTGATATGATCAAAGGTTAAAAAGTTTAATGAGCTGAGTTATGAGGAGATATTATAAGGCAGAAATAAATTGAATATGAGTAAAAAAATCAGTAAAGTTCAGTGAAAATCTGAAGAGAAAGTTAAATAGTCACGATATGTCTACATTCCTATAGTGTTATTCTTAACCAAAAAAGTGCAAAACATTCCAACTGAACATTATTAAAAATATGTACATACTGTTACCATTTTACTCTGAAATACGTCACCTTATAGCTATGACAAAGACCTGAAGTAGATTAGCAAATAACATGACAATGGGCAAAAAAGAGACCATTTTAATGGCATGACCAATTACATTTCATACAAGACCTAGGTAAATTCAACAGCAAGAATGCATGAAAAATCAGAATTATCACCTCTTTGTCATTTACCAGCACAAAACAACCATGTTCCTCAAGAAATAGAGACAAGATAGAATCGAATTTGAAACAAGATACTGCGTATAAATTATTCCCATCAATGCCTTATGAGTCTCATTAAGTTTTCTCTCTAAGGAAGGATGATACAATCATTTACATCATAGGATTTATTCAATTTTTTGCCTATTCCATTTTCATTATTATTAATCCAAGAAATCTGGAAAAGATATTACTGTTCCAAGTTGCTTTCACGTATGACTAGCTTAACAATAGGAGATCTCAGATTGTTTAAGGACACATTTTCTTTTAGATAAGGCAACATTTTCACAGAATTCTTTTATCAGACACTTGGCAATTCCTCCACCTTCTGAATAAGAGCCTTGCTCAGCATATGTGGGAAATGAGACACTGCACACATTGGTTAAACTAGAATTCAAATAGTTAGCCAACATGTGGAAGACATCAGCAAAAGTTATTCCAATGATCTCACATTGGCAAATATGGTACTCTGACTGGTTCCAGAATAAACAGATCATTCGACTTGAGTGCGCAAACCCTTGTGTGAACACATGTAGACACAAAGGGCTTTGAACAGAGTAATAGGGCAGAGCATTAGCCCAAGAAAGATGGAAGATGTGAAACTCTGGATGGTGATACTTATGAAAGATAACCCACATCATTGCTCAAATAGCTGAGTCATAAATACGGGAACTCGGTCAAAGGAAAAATATTGTAGGGGAGAAGAATAGGAAGTAAGGTAGAATTAATTTCCCACCTCACCTAAACTCCATTCATATGCATGATGAGCCACACTAAAAATTTAAGAATTGAGAAAACTTGGAATGTAAATGAACTTTTGTTAAAATTCACCTTGATAAAACATACAATTGGGGTTGCAGGTGTGGGAAAGGCCGGACTCAAAGACATTGAATGTTTAGACACGATGATACTGGTCTTTTATTTCCTGAAGGCATTTGGCTGCCTCCTTTCACTGACAAGCTCCCTAATAAATAATATTAATGTGAGAAGAAAGATACTTGTTTATTGAAAGTCCCGACCAAAGAAGCAGGAAATACCTTGGGTGTAGCCAGTCTTTGGACATTCGTCAAGAACTCCTGAGAGTTAAGACAGAGGTTTGGCTTCATGCAAGATCTTTCTTATTTGTTCTTATTTGGAACATTACTTTTGATTTAGAAAGTCAGTTACTAATGTTACCAAGACTAAGAAAAATATATATACCACCCTTTCCCCATTTTTCTTTTCAAAATATCCAAGTTATATTTGCACATATTTGGGGAAGAAATTAAAGATTAAGATTGCTGTTTGAGACTTTTTCTGAGTTGTAGAAAATAACATTGTACCAAGAAAAAAAAAGAAAAAAAAACATTAAGTCTTTCTGCAGTCCCCACATAAAGTCATTCACTTAGTGATTTTAGATTTAATTCAGCCAATACTGTCTTAACACTCACATGAATTTATCTGTTCAATGGAGAGTATAAATCATCATAAATATTCTTAATAGGAGTTGGGCCAAAGGGCTTATTTGAACTCAGTTAATTAATTTTTAAATAGGGCACAATCTATCAATGAATTCCATATTTTTAAAAAAGTAAAGTTTAGTCACAAGGAAATTGGATGTGGGTGAGAGGACAGGATATTTATTTATTTCTTTTGGGTTTTATTGTTTTCATTCTGTTTTTCATTAATGTTGCATAAAAATATTATATCGAAAACATTAAGTGCAAATTAACTTTGCTCCTTTGCTAAACTTCTAAAATAGATGTATTAGTTAAGATTCCATTCAGTGGGGTGTAAGAGACACCCAGAGTTGTTATGGCCAAAACAGAAAAGGAGTATATTTATTGCCTACATAAGTGAAAGTAAGCAATTCCCTATTGCATGTAAGAGCTGACGGTGAAGTTCTCAGAGACATAGTTTCCAGCTGACCACTTCACAATACCTTAGGTATTGATCTTATCCTAGATTGTGTAATCTGGGCCTTACTCTGCTAAACAAAGATAGAGGAAAAGAAGAATAAAAAGAAGCAGCAGCAAAGAACAAGCAACAAGAGGACCTTAAAGATGATTTGAGAGGATGACATAAAAAATTCCCATTTATGTGCTATTGACAAGCTCTTAGTCTTGCTGCAAAGAAGGCTGACAAATTTGTTCATTATTCTAGGTGTCTTAAATTCTATTATTATAGAAGAAGGGCACATTGCAGAATAAATAATTATCTGTCTATCCCATAATACATCTTTTTTGGAAGCCTGTGACAGCAATCCATATTTTTCTCTCTAACAATCCAACAAAATCAACAAGCATGACCAGCACAAACAACAATCTGACATAGTTATTAATATTCCATCAGAGAATAAATAGGTAAATATATTTTTACTGTGATATGTGACTTATAAATTCTAAAGAAATAATAGAATGTACCATAATGTTCACTTTAATCTAAACTTATTTGCTTTTCAAGTCCCTTGAACAGATTTTGAACAGATTTTGCCTGGGGATGCTTCAGATATGTTTACTGAGTTAGTATAAAAAACTTTAATAATCATAAGATCCAAATCCCTAAATTGGAATTTCTTTTAGGTGACATATTTTCATACACGACAGAAATGAGATCCAAAGAGTGAGTTAATCAAAATCACATAAACGCTTGTTGATCTTCTGAATGTGCAAGCTGAGGACTTTTATACTTTTATATTGTGACTTATTTTTACTGTGTAAACCTGAATGTCTTGAATTTTTCTAAATGTTCTGAGTTTATATTCCAAATTTAGAATATAAAAAGATAGGTAACATGCAAGCATATAAACCAGTAAATCAAAATATAGCTGTATTTGGTGCCCCTAAGTCTCAAAGTATATTATTTTTACTATTAATATTTGTCCAATGACTATTAAATAGTGGCCAAAGAATTATCAAAACAATAAATAAATAAAGCAGTGAAGAATGAAGTTCTTCATTGTTTCTGAATCAAAAAATCTTTAATGTTTATGCTCATAATTTCAAATTCACCTCGGCTTAGGAGAGTGTTACAACATTCAGGAAAAATCAAATAAAAAACCATATGTTTGTCCATATGTGTGGAGTCAAAATGTCATGGGAAAGTTGGAGCTTTTAGAAAAGGTGGGCATTAATCTTCTTGCATAGGAAGTATTTTGATGAGGTTTGATGAGGTTAATGAGATTGACTATTGCCTTAAACATTCTTTCTTCAGTTTTGAGTTTTAACTATCTGTATTTTTGAAACCAGAAGGAAGTGGTCTTAAAAAACAAGAAAATGAAATGAGGCATATTGCCATTTTTTGTCAGGCCAGAAACAAAAGTACATCTTGGAAGTACAGGTCATGACAAAATATGTTTTATTTAAAGCATGTGACTTAGGAAAGATTATCACATTAATAGAGAGAAGGGAACAGTGGCTTGCCTGATACATTTATATTTTCAAGGACAAGAGCAGTAGTAGAAAAATGTGTGAGTGTCTCCTCCTTCCTGCTGGATAATTCTGTTTACTCTTTTCAGAGACTAGATTCTCTCATCTGAGAGGAAGAAATTTAATATGTCTAAGACCTAAGCACCTGTCAAGCTACTCCAAAAGCATTTTCTAAGGGTTCTCAAAGGAAAACAACCTAAGCTTGTATTAAAAACTCTTTTAATTCCATATTCCCTTCTGATTGGCAGTAAGCAAATTAAAAATGTTGAGATCATTAGTATTTGGTGAGATTCAGTTGAGATTCAAAATGTAAACCAGTTGCCTTATTCAGTATACTTTATGGTGAACATTCTAGAAATAATCTAAAACTATGAGAAAAAATAGACCAGATATTGTTTTATGAAACTCACTAAGGCTTTTAAATATGTATTGAGAAAATTATGTATTAAAAGAGGAGAAGAAACAATCTGCCTTGTATAAATGCATACATTTGAGGGTAGCTTATGCTAAATATGTTTGATATAATGAAATTCTGCTGATAAAAAAATTCTCACATATTAGTTACAAAAGTTAATTTATTTTAAAATAATTCACTCAGGGTAAGTTTATTGAGAAACTATGTTGTGCTATTTACTCTAATAGGTGCTGAAGATTCAGTGGTGACCATTTAGAATATGTCCCTGCCACCAAAAAACTTATTTTCAACTGGTAGGTGGGGGGCAGGGGGATAATAAGTGTACATAAAGTATTTAACAAAGTCAGCAGTCATTAGTAAACATTACCATTATAGTAATGATAATAATAAATATTACTATTATTGAAGTTGTCTATGAGGATGAAACAAGAAATGTAATTTCAGGCTGAGGGGGCCATTTCAATTTATGCCTAAATAGATCTTTATTGTGCAGTTATGTAGTGTATTGTTACAGATGGGATTCATTGGAGATAAGAATATGAGATAGATTCACATACAAAGTATTTATTGTGAGTGCTTTTAGAATGAACACATGTGATAAGGAGAAAGAAACCAGTTGAGAAGAGAACAAAGTGGGCTGCAAAAAAGTTATAGCTTCAGCTGGTTTTATGGGGCACTCTGAAGCCAGAGTGTTACTCCAGAGTCATTGAAATTGGGACAGGAGAGCCAGGTTTTGTCATCATTGCATCCTTCATTCATTGGTTACACACAATTAATGGAAAGGAAGCATGACCTTGGGAAAGATGGTAGTCTTCAGACAAGATAAAACCCCAGAATGTTGATGGCTGAGGGCTTTAGCCAACAACAATTTCCAAGGAGAATAATTTTTCAGTCTGCAAGCAGATCTAGATGACACAGCACATTGCCCGCTACAGCTCACCCTTCATGTTGCCTAGATCTATTTGTATAATTTCTAGCAATAGTTTCTCCAGGCCTCTTGAATGATTTTTGAGGGAAAACAATATGAGAGGAAGGTTTGTGCAAAAAACTGTAACTCCAAAGATGGAGCTGGTCATAAGGCCACAACTGATATTCAGTATTTCCTCCTTTAGTGCCATTTCTAGATTTAGCTTGTGCTGTCCCTCTATTGATCTGGGGGACTTACCTAGTGGGGGGTGATGCAGAGCTTCACTGACAATGATCTGAGCCCTTGTCACGATGTTCTCCTCAGGCCATGCCTGCTACATTTGCACATTTACCAACAAAACTGGGGAAGGGAATGACACAAGGCCCTCAAATGGATCCGCTGAAAGCCAATTTTCTCTTTGACCCCATTATATCATAGAAAACTCACTTTAGTTTCATCCTAGATTATGTGTAGAGAACAAATTACAGGCAGACAAGGATGAAAGCTGGAATGGTTTACTATTCAAATACAGAGAATAACATGGGTGCTTAGGCCGAGGTGGTTGTAATACAAATGGTGAAATGTAGTCAAATTCTGTATACTTTCTGATGGCAGAGCCAACGAATTTGTTGATAGAATGGGTGTGAGTTATAAGATGAAGATCAGAGTTGTGAATGATTGTTTTCTAAAATGGGAACAAGTTGAGGACTAGATTTTTTGGCAGGAAGCTGCTTTTATGTACCAAAAGATTCATCTTAGAAACAAGATATTCTATGTTCCTATAGAATGAGATTTTTACTTCAGCAAAATATTTGACAATAATACTAATCATATTCTCTAGTAATAGTCTGTGCAAACTAGTTGAATGATATCAGATACCCTCATATACTGGGTCTATTGGCCAAATAAATTTCAAAAATGTTTTAGAAAACAGAATAAGAAAAGAAATTCACAAATGACTCCAGGAGACTTCTTTATCTCTTATTAGTTTTCTACTTATGTTTTCTGTTCCAGTAATACAGAACAGATAGTAGTAATTGAAAAGATCATGATATCTTTAAACTTTATGCAAAACTCTTCATTCCTTACAATCTGCCTTCAAAACTTGCTGTGATTTTTATTCTTCCAGAAAACCTTTCCGAACATCTCTATGTTCAGTCTTTTCTGAAGTTCTTAGGGTTGGGATACTGACATGTTTCATGGCATTTTTCTGATTGTATTGTGATTGAATTATCTCACTGGATCTAGAGCTTCCTGAGGGCAGCCAATTGATCTGACTAGTGCCTAAATCTCCGCTACCTTGGGCATTTCCTGGTACAAAGAAAGCACCTAATACATATTTGTAAAATATATAGGTGACGCCAATTTTGTTTTTAAAGGAAAGATTACTTCTTACTACTTTAGATTGTGTTGGACAAATTACTTGGGAGTCAAATACAGAGCAGGTGTAATTGTTCAAAATAATTACATAAGTAATTAATTTTTAAAAAATTTCAATGAAATACATTTCTAGAGATTCTGATTTTGTATTTTGAAATGGGGCCTCTGATTATTTTGATGTAGATTTTTGATGGACTAAACTTACAGACTCACTGGCTTACAATTCTCAGAGAAACTAAAAAGCAAAAAAAATCTCCATCTAGCCAAGTAAAGTAGTATAATTGGCAGTTGGAAGTCTAAAGATGAAAAGAAGATTTGAAACCTGAATTATTATTTTTATTATAAAAGGTCAAAATGTACTTACAACAAAAATGCTTTTAAAAAGAGCTAAAGTAGAATTGCATTGTGAGTAATACATAAAAGATATACCAATTTTACATTCTTATACCTACAAATTCAAGGGCTTTAATTTGAAAAAGTTCAATTAGCCAAAATATATTGACATTTTCCATTGTTATTGTTTTTAGCCATCAAAAATTTATGATTATATAAAGGATTTTAATATCTAGGCCCCATGCATTAGAGTTAAAATTTTAATTTTCACTAATTTCACAATGAGATAATTTTTTTAAAAATGATTTAATGTTCCAAACTCTGAAAGATTGGCTTTATACATAAGAATAAGGACTATATCCATCAATTTCTTTTTCTTATGGTGAAGCACAAATGTCAGAACTCCCCAGATAAATTTATGACTTGATTCCTGTTAAGCTTGAATTGTCTTCCTATTGCTTTTCTAAGAAATAAAATAATAGTTTTTTCTAGAGGAAAACATTCCTAAAAACTGGGTGTTTTTCAAATCTATCTCTGAACCAGAGAAGAACTGACAAGCATAAGTACCCAGAGTGAAAACACATAGAGATTTATTAGACTCTGTTTTTAGCAACATGGGAAGACACGAAATTAGGATATCTCTAGGGAAAATTGAAATGCTATATGTGTTAATATTTCTAGTTCTTTCTATCAGCCAGTTCTTAGTAAATGGCTATGAGACTTTAAGTGCTTTAAAGTACACAAAGTACTACCTCTAAATGTAATGTCTTTGGCAGTTAAAAAATCTGTTATTTTTTCAAAAGAACAGATCTCACGTTTACCCTTGCATTACTTGAACTACCTTGAGTTGCCAATAAATTGAAACGAATTGATAAATATGTGGATAACTGGCTGGAGCCACTCAGATATGAGTATTATCCAAATCCCTTTCCAGATGTTTTTTATTTATTCTGCAATACACGGGCAGGTTCCATACATCTTTCCCAAGGCAAACAATCATTTAGCAATATACCACCATCATACATTGCTGTAAAATCCCAAATAAGTAAATGGGAAATAGGAATATAATTTATGATGGCTTTCTCAGTAACTCATTTTACTACTTTTGGTTTATCAAGTCAGATTTCAAATGACTTTCCTGCATCTAGTTCTTTTCTATTTTATTTCCTCTTGTAGCTACAGGCAAATTAATCTTCCTAAAACTCCACTTTGATCATGTCACCTTATATTCAAGAATCCATATGACTAATTGTGATGGTTAATACTGAGTGTCAACTTGATTGGATTGAAGGATGCAAAGTACTGATCCTGGGTGTGTCTGTGAGGGTGTTGCCAAAGGAGATTAACATTTGAGTCAGTGGACTGGGAGAGGCAGACCCACCCTCAATCTGGGTGGGCACCATCTAATCAGTGGCTATGACAACTAGAATATAAGCAGGCAGAAAAATGTGAAAAGAGAGACTGGCCTAGCCTCCCAGCCTCCATCCTTCTCCTGTGCTGGATGCTTCCTGCCCTCGAACATTGGACTCCAAGTTCTTCAGTCTTGGAACTTGGGCAGGCTCTCCTTGCTCCTCAGCCTACAGATGGCCTATTGTGGGACCTTGTGATCATGTGAGTTAATACTTAATAAACTCCCATATATATATTCTTATATATATATATCCATATATATATTCCTATATATATTTCCATATGTATATTCCTATATATATATTTCCATATGTATATTCCTGTATATATTTCCATGTGTATATTCCTATATATATTCCTATATATATTTATATATATATTCCTATATATATTCCTGTATATATTCCTATATATATTCCTATATATATATTCCTATATACCTATATGTATTCCCATATATATATTCCCATATATATATTCCCATATATATATTCCCATATATATATTCCTATATATTCCTATATATATTCCTATATATATTCCTATATATATTCCTATATATATTCCTATATATATATTCCTATATATTCCTATATATAGTCCTATATATATATTCTTATATATAGTCCTATATATAGTCCTGTATATATAGTCCTATATATATAGTCCTGTATGTATAGTCCTATGTATATAGTCCTATGTATATAGTCCTATGTATATATTCCTATGTATATATTCCTATATATATATTCCTATGTATATATTCCTATGTATATATTCCTATGTATATATTCCTATATATATTTCTATGTATATATTCCTATGTATATATTCCTATGTATATATATATTCCTATATATATTCCTATGTGTATATATATTCCTATGTGTATATATATATTCATGTATATATTCATATATATATATTCCTATGTATATATATATTCCTATGTGTATATATATTCCTATATATTCCTATATATATATTCCTATATATATATTCCTATATATATATTCCTATATATATATTCCTATATATATATTCCTATATATATTCCTATATATATATTCCTATATATATTCCTATATATATATTCCTATATATATTCCTATATATATATTCCTATATATATTCCTATATATATATTCCTATATATATTCCTATATATATATATTCCTATATATATATTCCTATATATATTCCTATATATATATATTCCTATATATATTCCTATATATATATATTCCTATATATATATATTCCTATATATATATTCCTATATATATATTCCTATATATATATTCCTATATATATATTCCTATATATATATTCCTATATATATATATTCCTATATATATATTCCTATATATATATTCCTATATATATATATTCCTATATATATATTCCTATATATATATATTCCTATATATATATTCCTATATATATATATTCCTATATATATATTCCTATATATATTTTCCTATATATATTCCTATATATATTCCTATATATATATATTCCCATATATATATTCCTATATATATATTCCTATATATATTCCTATATATAGATATTCCTATACATATATTCCTATATATATTCCTATACATATATTCCTATATATATTCCTATACATATATTCCTATATATATTCCTATATATATTCCTATACATATACATTCCTATATATATATTCCTATATATATATACATATATATATTCATATATATGTATATATATATATTCATATATATATATTCATATATATATATTCCATTAGTTCGGTCCCTCTAGAGAACTCTAATACATGAATCATTACTTATAAATTAAAAGATTTATAAGTAATTGTAAATCTTTCCTGGTCATACCTTTAATCACACTATCTATTCATTCTTATCATACTTTCTTATTGAACCTCAATTGGGGTTGATTAAAAATCATGGCCACAATGTTTTACATCTTCTTCTATTAAGAAGTAGCATCGTTTCCCCACTCCTTGAATCTGGACTGCTGACATAACCTGCTTTCATCAATACATACAGTAGAAGTGATATTGCACAACTTCTAAGGCTGGGCTTTAGGGCCTTTGAAGATTCTGTGTTTATCCTCTTAAGATATGACCCTGAGAATGCCCCATAAGGAAGGCAGTCTAACCTACTGCAGGAGGAGAGGCCATGTGGAGGACAGATGAAGCATGCTTGCGGATGGCCAGTACCAATTGCCAGATGAGCTGACCCTCCACCTAAGCACAGCCACAGGAGTAAACCCAGGTGAAACCAGAAGCAAAACTGCCCCTCCTGCCCCCAAAATTGTGATGACAATAACAATATGAAGTTGTTTTAAGCCATGAAGTATTTGTTGGTAAGTACTGGTAGTTTCTTACCAGGAAAAGTAGTTGATGCATCAGGCATGTGCTAGAAGCATTTCAAAGTGCTAGGTATTCATTAATAAGAGGTAGACAAGGACCCTCATTTCATAGAGCTTAAAGCCTAGAAAGTAGAGAATAAGGATATATATAAATAAAAAATGGACTAAAACACCATAAATAAGCGTTTCAAGTAGTGATACATTTTTGCACAGGAAATTTAAACAGGATATGTAAAAGAGATAGAAAGAAGGCAAGGAAAACACGTTTTGATGTAATAAATCAGGAACCCAGCACCAAGTCAGGCCCATAAAAGCCTTTTCATTCAGTGGCATAATGTTTTAATTTTGTTTCTGTTGTTTTGCTTTTAATAAATGTGAATACTTTTAACTAAAACATGCCCTCTTAATGTAGATGATAATCTTTCACAGGCCCTAGTATCTTACGTCTAGACACTTCATATATTTTTTTATTCTTCTGGTTCTGAAGGTGCCTTTTGTCTAGAATGTTTTGGTTTGTATAATTCTGCGCAAATACACCCTGGTGTTTCTTTATCTCTACTTCAACAGCTCTGCTCCACCTTTAAAACTCAGTAAAATCTCATTTTTTTCAATAAAACCACCACTCCGTCCCCCCAAGCATAACCTCAAGAGAACATTCTCTCTTTGAAATTGTAAAATTACAACATCCTCTCTCAGTAAAGAGCGTAACACCTATTTTGGTGTTATGGCGGTTCTGGTGAAGATTAGAGATGATTTGTATAAACTTTTCTGCATAGCACCTGCCACAGCACAATTAAAATAAATGATAGAAATCATCATCGCTATGATCATCATTATTGTTATTGTATTGAATCCCCTGCTCATTCAAATATTATTTATTTAGTGCCTTTAATACACCAACTATAAGGCTAGATGCTGTGAAGACAGAAATGAGTTATCTTTCTATCCTAGAGAATTATGCTGGGGTGTTGAGCAGAATCGGTGCAGCACTTAGATCAGGGCACCTTGGGCTTTATCCTGAGTCCTATGCCTTGGAGAAAGAGCTCCTGTCTTTCTCCAAGCCATGCCCCTCCCCATGGGGTCAGTAGTCTACAGGGCCAAGAAACATGCCCACCCAGTTGCCCCTTCTAGACCAGGGCTTCTCAAATTGTCTATGGTGAAGAACCAGTTTTATTTTGTCCTTTAATTTCCAATCTGCTGTTTACAAAACTTTTGTAAAATATAATAAAAATTAATTACTAGAGAAATGAAACCTTAAAGGTTGCATTCGTAAAATGCAACATCTAATTTTTTATTGTTAGATCCAACAAAAATTAAATTATTTTGCCAAATTGCTATCAAAGTTTCTACATCCTTACATCAATTCCTGCCCTTATATTGTTGCAGAACAATAACAAACTTTCCACAAACTGACAGTAGTTTGTAGACTGCATTTGAGTAGCACTGTAGCAAAAACTATGTTTAGGATCCTAGGACTCCAGAATTTCATTGAAAAATAAACAACAGTAACACATGTTTGGGTTAAGAAACCATAGCAGAAAGGCAGAATACAGAATGAATTTAGGAATTATTACTGAGGTAGAAATGGAGGGTACCTAATTCTGCCTCTAATATTTATTGGATTTTTATCATTTAAGTTTATCCTAAATAAGAATCTCTTTGTGTGCCTGTAAGATGTGGCAGGAATTAGCACACATTTGTGCTTAGACTAGCAGTAGTATAGGGTCTCAATGGTAATTTAGGACTGTCATACTCCCTCACCTCACACCAGTTCCATCATTTCTCCATTGTTCCTGTTTATGTCTCTCTCTCTTATCTTCCTCACTTACCAGAAGGTAAGAACTACTTGTTAGGTCCTTTGAATTCCCCATACCGCAGATTACTATTCCTTGCAGACAGTCAACATGGAAGGCTATGAAAAGTGAAAGGCTGGAGTTCCCGAACTGTGTACCAAATTCATTCCACTATGCCCTGATAAATTTATAAGGTCACTATGGGAAAGTTTAAATACCCCAGGGAAGTACAACAACAACTGTCGGACACCTCAGAAACTATTAGGTCTAAGTAGCTTATGGTTTCAAAATGAGATCACACTGCTTTCCTTTTGATGATGCCATAACTATGCAAAAATTTTGGAGGTTGCTAAGATACAAATTAAGGACCATGTGAAAATCAATGTGGAACAAAAATTATGCTGATAGGATCCAATCTGATTCCAAGCTTTGAGAAGCTGTGTAGTGCCCAACAGGTATACACATCTCATTGTGGTATGTGATTGTGGTTGTGTAAACATGAAATAAAAATATTTTTTCATTGAATTTATTTTTTTTTAAATGGCTACTAAGTTCAGAGGACATAAATGCTAACTAACATTCTTGGACATAACTACTTAGTGAGTGAAACTGTGTGGTGTGGTATTTCTTCTGGACTGGGGCATTGTAAAAAATTAGTTGAATAGTAAGGATGCCATAAACCAAGAAAATCAGGGAGTCTCTTGTATAAGATCTTTAAATCTCTCCTTTATTGCTTAATGATTGCAAGGGCATGGCCATTTTTTTGTCAAATAGGGCTTCTCGTATTATCTACCCCCAAGGTTTTCTATAAGGATTAAGTAAAATAATTCTTAGATCATTGTCTGGTATATAGCAAGCTCTCAATAAATGTTAGCTATTATTATTTTTTGTTTTCAACTCCACCTCACATATTTTCAAGGCACCAAGGTACTTCAGAAACCCAGTATCACAGCTAATGTTTTGTGGCTTAAAAAAATCCCTCAATCGGTGGGGTGTGGTGGCTCACGCCTGTACTCCCAGCACTTTGGGAGGCCAAGGAGGGTGGATCACGAGGTCAGGAGATCGAGACCATCCTGTCTAACATGGTGAAACCCCATCTCTACTAAAAATACAAAAAATTAGCTGGGCGTGGTGGCGGGCGCCTGTAGTCCCAGCTACTTGGGTGGCTGAGGCAGGAGAATGGCATGAACCTGGGAGGTGGAGCTTGCAGTGAGCAGAAGTCATGCCACTGCACTCCAGCCTGGGTGACAGAGTGAGACTCAGTCAAAACAAACAAACAAAAAAAACCCAAAAAAACAAAAAAACTCAATCTATTAAAAATATAAGTATATTCTAATAGAAACTATAGGTACCCCCCCCTACCTGTTATAGGATGAGATAATTAGATGAATGGATGCATTAGACTACATTTTTCTTGTTTTGTCATTTTCCATTTTATTTTGAACAGGTAGTTTTACAGAAACTGGCAGATGTGCTGCTAAGAACACAGCTGGATAGAAATATATTATGAACAAAGCTATAAAAAGACAGCTTCTCTATTTGTCTGAATCTCTCAGCTACATGGTCAGTGATGCTTAAGGAAGACTAAAAATACGTATAGCTATAGCTTTATGGAATCGGCAGGCAGGACGCCATTAGTATGACAGCATTTTGCTTCAGCCTCAGGTAAAAGCAACTGCCTGCTTGAAATCCTTTCCTGAGAGTGAATAAAGCAGGTGGAAGTGGAGAAGCTGAGTTGATATTCAAGCTTACTTCCAGGTGGGAGAGGTCAATAAGGGTAACCATAAAGCACTCTCCAAGCCAGAGCCAAACCACTGCCTCCTGCTAAAATGTGTTCTCTTTGCAGCTGTTTCCATGTATTTATCAATCAAATAAAAAGACAGTGCCAAAGTGTAACTGTCCACCAAGACCTCTCTTTTCCTCATCCTGCTGAATTTTCTTAAATGTCCTCTTTCCTCTCCAGGTTTACATCTAGAATATGTGGTCGCTTATGCTCTTGCTCATCCCATACCATGTCCTTTTCTTGACTTTCTAAAGCAAGAGTCAGCAAACTATTTTTGTAAAGCGTAGGAGGTTAAATATTTCAGGCTCTGTGGGCCACACAGTCTCTGTTGCAACTACTCCAGCTCTGCCACTACTATACAAAAGCAGCCATAGACAATATACACATGAATGCTCTTCCAGCAAAGACTTATTGACAAAACCAGGCAGTTGTTTGGACTAGGCCCATGGGTCATAGTTTGCCAACCCCCGTTATAAGGTAAAAAAGAGAATCTAAATGAGTGATATGACTACCCAAATGGACTTAGGGTTTGAGGGTATTAATGCAATTTTATTTATTTATTTATTTTTATTATACTTTAAGTTCTAGGGTACATGTGCACAACGTGCAGGTTTGTTACATATGTATACATGTGCCATGTTGGTGTGCTGCACCCATTAACTCGTCATTTACATTAGGTATATCTCCTAATGCTATCCCTCCCCCCTCCCCTCACCCCATGACAGGCCCCAGTGTGTGATGCTCCCCTTCCTGTGTCCAAGGGTTCTCATTTTTCAATTCCCACCTATGAGTGAGAACATGTGGTGTTTGGTTTTTTTTGTCCTTGTGATAGTTTGCTGAGAATGATGGTTTCCAGCTTCATCCACATTTCTATAAAGGACATGAACTCATCGTTTTTTATGGCTGCATAGTGTTCCATGGTGTATATGTGACACATTTTCTTAATCCAGTCCATCACTGATGGACATTTGGGTTGGTTCCAAGTCTTCGCTATTGTGAATAGTGCCACAAGAATTGAAAGCCAAGAAGCCAATGACTAATTCTCATTAATTCACTCATTCTTACAAATTGCGTTGCTTGTATGCTATAAACAAAACACTGATTTGAATAAACTCCAGTGCTGCATTATATCCATGTTAGCATGGAATGTTTATTTCCTACTCATGATGTTTTCTCCTGTAATGAAAGAGCTCTTTCCTCTCATTCATTCTTCCCAAGAGTAGAGCAGTGGTTTAATATGATTAGTGATTTTGAAATAAAATAATGGGCATGTATAGTTTAACACCTTTCTCTTGCATTATGTTTGGAAGTGAGTTGCTCCAGAAAACTAATACTCTTTGCTTCTGGAGAGGGAGGGAGGATCTGCCACAATTATGTGAGTCTGCCTGGTTTGGGGGATAAGTTTTAGAGAGCTCATATGCCTTCAGATACAAGGTATATCTTACTATTTAAACTTTATCAATCATAAGGGTGATATTTTGGTGCCCATAGGGTTTACCCTTTGTCTTGTTTCTTAATCACTTTGGAACTCTGCCAAGAAAGAAGGATACTCTATAGTGGGCTGCTTTAGAGACCTCAGAATTGATCAAAACAATCACGGCCAGTGTTCCCAAAGAAACCACAGAGGGGCACAGGTATTTATTGAGAAAATTAAAGAATTATAAACTGATAAGAACCTAATGGTAGAAATCAAAATAGCCAACAGGGAATATAACAAATGGATGTTGTCTAGTCTTGTGAGTGGGAAGGTAGTGAGAGTTGTCAGAAACAGACTCTATGAGGAAGAAACATTTGAGTTAAGCTGCAAAGGATGAATAGGCTAAATAGGCAAGAATAAGGCTAGATGGCTTTCTGAGTATTGAAAATAGCATGCAAAAAGGCTCTGATAACAACAACAAAAAAATCATATTTCATGGTCAGTTTTGCTTAAAAGTTGGGCAGAGATAAGAGGTGAGAGATGATGGTGAAGATGCAGAAGGAGCCAGTTCTTGGAGGTGCTTATAAGCCACTTAAATATTCCAGGTGTTATTTAAAGAGCAATGGGGAGCTATTGAAGTTTTAAGTTTTTAAATGGTTCTAGATAGTACCATTCTCAGATCGAATTGAAGAAATACTCTAGATACTTGGACAAATAGAGTTTAATTAGGAGCAAAAGTAGATGGCTATTGAAGATTCAAAGGCCTAATGAATAATCCTTAAGCCCCCATCACCTTTTTGTTCCTCTTAACATTGCTTGATGGTCTTGTTTTATATTTTACTGAGAAGATGAAAGAAATCAGCTGAAAACGTTCACACACCTCTATTAAATTGCCTGTGTCTCTATCTATGTTCTGTTCCTCTCTCTTTGAAACTATGGAGAAAAGTTTTATCCTTCTATTTAAGACTAATTCCACTATCTGTTAATTAGATCTCATTCCCACATACCCCACCAATCATCAGCTTTTCCATTTATCTGCTCCCTTTATTATCAAAGTTTTAGAAGTTAACTTTACTTACTAACCACTTTTACTGCTCCAGTTTTCTGTAGAAAACTCCAGTGATGCTTTAATTTCTACCAATCTAACCGCTTTTACGAAAGTCACCAATATCTGCATTAAAAAATTCAATCTTATTGGACCTATCAGTATTTGAAATATTTGATCACTACCACCTTCATGAAACACTTTTCTCTCTTAGTTTCTACTTAGGATTCTACTTCCTCTTCTTTTCTCCTCTATATTATTGGCTGATCTTTCTGCTTCAATATCCAAACCTTTAAAAATTAGAATGCCCCAAGGCTGAGTCCTTACATCTTTTTTTTTTTTTTAACTTTCCTTCATTTCCTTTCCCTTTCCTTCCTTTCTGTTTTTTTTTTTTTTTGCATTCCTTCTCTGTCTAAATAAACTTCCTTGCTATTTTCATTAACTCTCAAGACTTCACATATCATTTATTTTCTGTTAACTTCCAATTTAAATCACATCCCCAAATACTAAACCGATATGCCCTACTGCTTGTTCAAAATTCAATCTCAATTGATCACTTATCTTCCCTACATATTATAAAAGTGCCCTTCTCATAGAATTTCTCAGTACATGCAAACTCTATTTCCTCTATTTCAGACCAAAACCTCTTGGTGCTCTTCATTCCTCTATGTCTCTCCCATCCACATCCAATTCACTAGGAAATAATTTAGGCCATACTTTCAAAATGGGACCAGAATCAAATGACTTTTCTGTTTCTCCACAATTACCTCCTGGTCTCAAGTCAATTCTCATATCTTTCTAGACTCTACATGCTCTACCCTCGAACTGTTCTCTTAGCTTCTATCTTTGACTCCCTACATTTCTCCACATACAGACAGGAACATCTCTGAAAAAGTGAATGAGAAAATGACATTTTTGTTCAAACCCTCAAGTGATTTTCTGTCTTACTTTGAGTAAATTAGAAAGATCTAACCCTAGTCTACCAGGCCCTAAATGGTCTAGCCACATATCCTATCACACTTCCCCTCTCTCACTGAACTGCAGCTATGCCGGGATCTTTGATGCTCCTTGAACACATCTCTTACCTTGGAGTCCATATACAAGTTGTTTTATTTTCTGAACATTCTTCCACCACATAGCTGTGTTTTTCTCTTACAATGGTTCAATATGATATATTTTTTCTTTCTTTTTCTTGAATTTTTAGTTTTCTTTTAGTGATGCTTCATGGTAAGACATATTTAAAAGGTATTTTAGGAGACACTTATAAATTAGTTACATAAATACACATATATAAACCCTAATACATTACAACAAAAAACTACAAAACAAGGTGTAGAGTCATTTTTACTATGTGAAATACTCACTTGAAATTTTCTTTCTGGATTCTACTTTTTTATACAATTTATTACAAATGCTGGCCTTCACTCACTGAATGGATTATGTGACTCTAATTTTCAGTTTAAAAAAAGCTGCCACATAAAATGATATGTGTCCAATGGTAATTATTTATTGGATTTATTCTGCTTTATTGTTTGTAATACCACTTATTTTCATCTGATATATCAGATATTTACTTATTTGTTTACACCCTGCACCCTTGCCCCACTAGAATAAACACTCATGAGTGCAAGAACTCTGTTATCTTCAGAGCTGTGTGTTCTGTGTCTATTATTACAATGACAGACACTTAGTAGGGCCTCTATAGACATGTGTTGATAAACTGAAACATGAAAGTATTCATGAGATATTTAGTAGGTTAAACTGAAAAACATTTGCAATAGATTAGATTTAAGGCATTAAGAAGAAGTTGCAAGAATCTGCTTTATGATTCTATCTTACAATTAGTTAAATAGTGATTCTATTCCCCAAGGGAGAATATCCAGCTTGGGACAAAGGATCTGCAGGACGAATATGATTTTAATTTTGAACAAGTTGAGGTTTAGTTGCTTTGGAAAATCTAAGTGAAGACACCGAGCCCTAAATCACCTGAGTAAAATCTGCACAAGTTCTAGTAAAGATATTCAAATCCAAAAGTTGAAGTTCAGTATGACATTTTAGTACTTTTTTTCTTTCCCATTTCTCTTTCCCTCCAGAGCTTTTTTTTCTTAAAAATCACAAATCTAAGAATATAGATTACCTCCTCTTCTACATGTTTTGAAATATGAGGTTATACTTTCTCATTTAGAAGCCACAGAAAATCATATTAAAAAAAATTTAACTTTTATGGCTATACACATATATAAGGAGAAGATGAAATTTCCTCCAATTTCCCTGACAAAACATATAGGAATTCACAATATTATTGTCAGAGAGATATTTGACTTTATAACTCAGAAATTGGATGGGGCAGATATGAGATAAATCAGGGCCAGTGACTTTTCAAGCTATTGAGATGAATAAATTTTACTGAGTTCAGGCAATGTTATTGCAGGGGCTGAAATCCTGGGCTTTCTGGGCAGAAGGATCTACGAGCGGGATCGTGGGTGAGTCAAGCAGTGGTATCCTTGGGTCTAATAAGGAAGGTGATCAATATTGTCTTTCAAGCCCAGCCACCATCTCCAGGGCTATGCCTCTCTCCTGTCTAAGCTTGCTCTTAAAACAAAAAAAGTTAGAAAAACAATAAAAATAAAAGACTTTGTTGAAGATAACTTGTGTCAACATTCTCTGAATGTTCAATAATAGTATTTATACATTATAGAAAATATAAAGTTTTGATTAAATATGCTCAAGAATTGCAAAGTTAAACAATCATATAGGTTGACTTACTACAGAACTCTTCAATATATGACAATGTGCATTTTAAGTCTCTGAGAAAATTATCTAATATTTAGATTATCCAAAACATTTTTGACAATGAAATCTTTTGTTTTTTCAGGAAACATTTTAATAAATAATTTATGGGACATATTATATTTTTGAGACATACTGGTATGAATTATTTTGTGATGGCTGCTATATTAAAAATAACATTCTTGAAAATGGAAATATCACCAAGAAAGACCCGGATTATTGCAAAAAGATCATTGGGCTTAATTTTCATTCTCAAGTCAGGCAGTGAACATTGTGGCTTTTTATTTGTAAAAAGAGATAGCAGTTATCCTTGAATAGAGAACCAAAAAGAAGAAAATATTATGTTCCGCAGAGTTACAGAGTGTTTATAGATCTGAAGAGATTTAATTTGTGAGTATTTATTTTTCCCTAACATTTTTCCCATTTCATTTTATTCACCTTTTTCTCTAAACTTAAAAAGCACTGATGAATCACTCATTCTCATTTAACCCAGGAATTATTACCAGGGAACTCTTTCACATCTCACAATGGAAACCATTTAAGACCTTCTGCAATATTTATAATTTGCAAACACAGCTTTCTAAATTAAGTTCAACTTTTAAAAATATCTATGGCTAGAATTTTAATGGCTCATTTGCGAGAAAATTTTCTTTATCTCAATTAAGGCAAGATTTCTTACCAAAGCTACCACATTGTTTCTACCCCCTCAAGCATTTATCCACCTAGTTACAAACAATCTAATTACACTCTTTGAATTATTTTTAAATGTACACTTAAGTTATTATTGACGGTAGTCACCCTCTTGTACTATCATCAAATAGTAGCTCTCATTCATTCTTTCTATTTTGCTGCACCTTAACCATCCCCACCTCATCCGCACCTCCTCCCCACTACCCCTCCCAGACTCTGGTAACCATCCCTTTATGCTCTATGTCCATGAGTTCAACTGTTTTGATTTTTAGATCCCACAAACAAGTGAGAACATGCAATGTTTGTCTTTCGGTGGCTGGCTTATTTCACTTAACATAATGATCTCCAGTTCCATCTGTGTTGTTACAAATGACTGGATCTCATTATCTTTTATGACCAAATAGTACTTCATTTTATATATATAAATATATATATATGTATGTGTGTATATATATACACACACATATATGTACATATATATGTGTATATGTATATATGTATGTGTATATATATATAAAACATTTTCTTTATCCATTCATCAGTTGATGGCAACTTAGTTTGCTTCCAAATCTTGGCTATTGTAAACAGTGCAAAGGTACCACATTTACAGAGTAGATAAGAACTGGAGTACCACCTGTATGTTTCTATCTCCACATTTTGGGTAGTCAGATCAAAATGTACTCATTAGACATAGAAACGATCTGGTTGCAGAAGGGAGGTTCGATCACAGGACTACCAGGAACTTTGCTATTGTTGTTACAGATAACAGTGCAAAGATAACAGTACTAAAGATATTTCTAAAATTAGTGCTTGGCTTTACTTGAGTTTTTCATGAAAATTTGAGCAAGATGATTAAAGGGGGAAAATTGGTGTCTCTTTTTTAAGGTGAAACATGAAGATGATGGTGGACAGGTGAGCTACGCAGTTCGTGGAAGAACCAGGTACGTACCATTGCTGTAAAGTTTTGAGGTAATTTCAATGCTATAAATGCTGTAGCATATTTAAAATACTGTTGTTATTTTCTAACTATTCAATAATGCCTAAACAAGTTGCTACATAGGAATCATCCTGTACTTAAAAAACAAAAACACAAAAAAAAACCCTCTGACTGTTGATAAACCTGTATCCAACCATAGCACACAAAGCTAAACGAGAGAAATTTAAAATTTTATAGTGTTTCACTTGATTATTCAACCAATACTACTCAACACTTGCATGTGAGGAACCATGCCAAAGTGAGGGGGAAAACACTCAAAAAAGATTGGAGGGAACAGTTTGTGGTACTGACATAGAGTTTAGAACTGTACTGATTCAACCAACCAGACTAGAAAACCTCATTATTTAGGGGGCATTTGTTGAGTAGAACACACAGAGGCTTTTGTCTCAGAAGTGGGGAAAAATAGCCCTAAAGGAAGCACAGTCCTGTTTCCTCCTAACAAATCTTAAAAGTAAGATCTCTTTCTACCTCCAAAATCAAACTCTTTCCAAGTTTGTACTCCAGAAGAAAGCTTTGAGCCTTGAATTATGCCCTAGAAGAAAGCTAAAAAATACTAATAGGAATTTAAAAAGAAAAAAAATCTAGCTCCCAATAAGGTAAAATTCAAAATGACTAGCATCTAAAGAAAAATACTAGACATTCAGAGAAGCAGGCAGATATCACCCAAAACCAAACTGAAGCTATAACAGATTTAGAACTAACAGACAAGGTTATTAAACAGGGATATATATTCAGGTGAACTGGTGAGACAGAATGAAGAAGGTGGAAAAATACTGAAGTTATAGGTCTCCACCCACAGCATTATTTTTCTCACTCATGCCCACTAGTGACATAGGGCATGAGTGGATTAGTGCACCAGCTTCCTCAGCTCTCAGTTGAGAGCGCTCTTATTTCTTATGTCTTCTCGAAGCTCTGTAATGAGAATGAGATCCAATTGCTCAGAATGAATGCTGTCTTGGCAATTCAACCTTTATCCTTGTGTCTCTCTCTCACTTCTTTATTCTCCTAATTATGTCTTATAATATCACTTTTTAAATAAATTACTTGAACTCAAATGCTTGCCTTGGGATTAGCTTCTGGAGGAATTCAAACCATGACAGTGACTTTTTGGGAATTTTTGTACTAAATACGTAGCTGAAGTGTTTGCTGATACAAGGAAAACGAGTGACAAGCTGAGTCAAAATCTCCATGATTTAGGCTCTGCTTTCCCGTATTCATAAGTATTTGGATATTTCAGATAAACAAATGATATTTGCTTCCATTTGATTCTCTGTCTCACAAAGCTGCCTTTACCCTTTTTCATTATATGTTTTGTCTGTGAGCAGTAGAAGAGACGCCTGAGCAATCAGTTCTCTTTCCTCCATAAATACACAATCAATTCTCTTTCTTCATTAAACATGAGCATCTTCTAGCAAACACTTTTAAAATATCCTGATGGCTTCCTAGTTGAAACACCCAATTGCTAACTAGGACCTTCACCTTAATGAGAGTTGAATTTTAAATAAGAATCTGCCAATATATTTGTGTTTGGAAATTATCTTCCTCTTCTATTGCAAAAAAAAAATTATTCCTGCTAGATATTTTCCCCATTTCTTCATTTTTCTATAGGCACCAGAAGTCTGTTGAGATAAGGCTCATCAGGTTATCTTTGCAACTTTTTTCACTTTAAGCTAGTATGTTAACATTATCAAAATGTAGGATTTGCTTTTATTAGTGAATATTGCATCACTATATTCCATCTAAGCAAAGATGAAAGGGATGACTCTGTGTGAATACTTGTAGGATGCAGTGGAAGAAATATTCTGTGATCAGTAAAAGGTCTTCCATTGATAAAATATATATTAAGACTTTCTATCATGATTATGAACAACTGATATGATCATCTTTTATTTTTTAATATTAATATTCTGGAAAGTCTACATCTCCTGAGGTGCTAGGGGAGTAGTATGGAATTTTTGTTCATTAGAACAAGCGTGGTTAGTTTGAAATTAGTTTGCTCTTTGGGGGAACAAACCACTGTGTTTCATCCTGGGAATTATCATTTAGTCCAGCTGCCTAAAGCTATATCCTAGCAGAATATAATAAAGATTTGGAGGAACTCCCAATTCCTTATCGGTTACTATATTACATAGACGCTTTTTATAAGGCAGTGGAAGAATTGTTCAGAAATCTACAAAAGGCATTATTCAAATAAATATACAACAAAAATACTTTCATTTCATTACTGAAATAATAATTAATAGTTATTGCCCATAATTATTTTTCACAATTAATTAAATGAAGTAGCTTTGCTCTATTTCAAAGCAAAACTGAAGTCCCTTAATGACTTTACCATTTGGAAAGAGTGGAAGAGAGGATCATTCATTGTCTAACCTATGGACATGATCTCCCTGGAAGTAAACCCATCTTTTTCTTTTATTCCCAAGATGATTGAAAGTGAGGATATATGATTATAACTTTCCCTTACTAAATGGGGCAAATTATTTTAATTAATATTATAAAGTAGCAGATATATTTATCTGAAGTAGCATCATGCTTTTCTTTTCTGGTTGAAAATGATAAACATTATCTCACAATGGAATAAATTAAGCCTTACAGAACTATGTTTGCCTAGTAATGGTATATCAATTCTGTTTTCTCATAAATGAAGAAAGCATCACCAAAAAGAAAATGGCTAATGGGCAACCCCACTGGCTGATGCAATACTACTGAAAGTCCCTAGCATATCCCATCATCTAAAGGAAAACTAATGACTTAAATATGAAATGAGTTTATTTTTGCGTGGCATGTAGAGTAGAGGCTGACTCATAGAACTAAATAAGTTAGTTACTGTTATTGTAAATTTTTGCATTTGGGCATTATCCAAGGCAAAATGAGAAGAAAGAGGTCTTTTTTGTTCTGGCTTTTCTTTCTTTTTTTTTTGGATTTAATAATCTAGTTTTAATCAAAGCAATTTGCATTTGGATTTTGGAGTGATCCCTCCTTGCTAAGGAAGCTATGTACTTCATGCTGTGGAAACCGGCAAATACAGAATGTAGCTTGTTTCTTTGTTTTCTTAGCCTTGAAGATGACCAGGTAGAGAGACAGAGTGAGACCAACAGTTTTTCTGATTTCCCTGCTCCTCCTATTCCTTCCTAAAAATCAGACTCATTGTGACCAGTAGTCTTGAGGACTCAAGCTGAATGACAGAGAAGTCAGCTCAGACAGAAAAGAAAAAAAGTACAGAAGTCGAGAAGATCGGAGATGAAGAAAACGTACAAAATTATATATATATATTTATATATATAATAACATGACATATCTATGTACAACATGGCTGGGACAGTTGAAGAAACTATACAATGGTGTTCAGCATTTTCCCCTTCCCACATGGACTTTAAGGATGACAGCATGAGGAAATGGAGCAAGAAACACAAAAATTATATAGAATTACAAGTGACAGTCAAGGAGTTTGGGGACCAAGGAGTCCAGGGATCCTGCTCTCTCCATTCCTTCCTCACCAACTTTTTCCTATCCAAATTGAATGACAGCCTGAACACTGAATGGCCAGTCAGGAGGAAAGTATATACACACCTCATCCCCGCACATGCACATCATTAAGTCTATCAGTCATTCTCAGTGGGCCAAATGTTTGGCATATCAGAATTTGTGATGTGAGAGGGCAAGAGGATTACAAAATCTCACTCTCTTGAACATTAGTTCTCACCCTGGCCCTCTCTATCATAACTAGCAAGTTGCGTTCAATAAGATTCTAGCCAAGCTGGTGATAACTAGATTGAAGATGCTGGTCACCTGCAACCCCTTTCCTCCACCTGTTCATGAGTCAGCATAGCTACCTCTCCTCATCATAAAAGAACTGGGTTGCTGAGTTCTGGGAATGCAGAGATTTCTCAGTCTTCCTCTCCCTCCCTAACCACTTTCCCCAGCTTCCTCCAAGGTGAATCATCTTCTAAGAACCTGCTCCTCCAGCCCTGCAGGAGTACTCAGCCCCAGGGGCTAGCTCAGTTTACCCTTCTTCCTCTTTCCCTAACAATATACCTGGCATCAGACTGCATCTGAAACATGGGTCAACATATGTGCATGACTGAGCATGTTTCCTTAGGCCTGCAGCTCTGCTGCCAGAGAAGCTTTTTAGCAGCTAAGGCCCAGAGGTAGGCTGGGAAAGTGGGCTGGGTCAGAGGCAAGAAGCTTCCATGGCTAGCTTCCTAAGTATTTTTTTTTTTTTTGACCCTCAAGACTGTGATATCGATAAGATTCTCTTGCCTGAATTTATAATCCCCAAACCTCAATTTACTCTCTCCTCATGCATCCCTCAAATGGTTCCCCTCTGTAGTACTTTCCCAATATTGCAGAGCAGAGGTTAACCACCCACGAGCCTTCCTCACTTTTAGTTTTACAATGAACAGTACGGAGTTTTTCTGCTGGCAGTTATGACTTCAGAATCAGAATCAATCTTACATACATTTAACTCTATTTTACAGATGAGGAAATAGAAATCCAGAGAGGCTAAATGACTTAACCAAGGTTATACAACAGCTCTGCTGGGACTGAGTAGAGTGAGAACCCAGACATCTTGACTCCTAAACCAGTGCTCTTCCCACTATACCATGATACTTTCAAAAGCAACATGCTGGAAAAGAGAGAGAAGGTGCCCATTTTCTGTGAATAATGTTCATCAATCTTTACATTACTTGAAAGGCAGAGCAAACTGTAAGAGATACTAAGTAATGGAGGCTAAGGGGGCACTGTAGTTTTAGGCAAGCAAGTCAATTTTTCTTTTTAAGGATTCTCTAAACTCGCCATAATGGAAACATGAAGCAATAGCAGCCGAAGGGACAGAACACTTAGAAGCACAGAAAACATGTCTCATTCAATCTACCTTTCCCAACTATGTTAGGTTAGCCTTGGGATGTTAAACCTGCCAAATTATTCCCAAGGCTCAGCCTAATCAATTTTGGGACATTCTCTCCCAAAAGGAGAAATCACATCTCTCCAGTTTCTCACACAAAAAAAGCATTTGCAGCATTGTCCAATCCTAGCCTTTCCTATTTCTGGGCCCTACCTGGACTACAGGGAGTGTGTGGAAGTGTCAATCTAACGAAAGAAATAAACTTAGAGCCCCTTTTCAACCTACATTACCTTCTCAGCAGCCCCCAGCAGAATCACAGTCATTTTTGGCTAGCAAGCTGAGAAGATCTGACTAGGTGCCCATTTCATCCCTGCCTATAATATATAAAAGTCCAATGGTTGAGGAAGGGGAGGAGAGGGGGTCTCAGGTTACCCCGCAAGCTTGCTGGTGACGAGCGAGGACTTTCTCTGGGGCAGATCCTGTGGGGTGGGATGTGATCACCAGTCACCAGGTTCTTGTCTGGTCCTGCACTTGGCAGCTGCTTATTCTTCATCTTGGCTTTGGCCATGTTGTAGTCTCCTGAGTCAAAGTACTTTTGCCCTTTCTGGAGTCTCTTCATGAGGAAGTCGGAGCCTCCAGGCTTTTGTCCTAGGCTTGGGTATTTGGCCTTTAGCTTTGCCTCTTCAGCTCTCTCAGGGAGAATACCTTCTTTCTCCTGCGTGTCCTGCTTCTCCTCGCCGGCCTCCTCTGCAGGGTTCTCTTCTTCTTGCTTCTGGGACATGGCGGGACCGGGACTGTGGAGTGTAAGGGGCCCGGGAAGGCAACCGGAGAAGGGAAGGGGGAGAGGAAACGGGGACAACCTGCGCTGCTGCTTCGGCTCCTATCACTAGGGTTGCTCAGTTAAAATGGCGGCCTTTGCCCCTGTTCTGGCTTTTCAACAGTATAGGTTTAGTAAAATAATGGCAATGACACAACAGCAATAACAGTCCAAGAGCAGTTGGCATGGTTGGTTTAACCCCTAGCGGATTCAGAGCATATTTTTAAATTTATTAATTTGGTCAATATAGTTGCTTTGGAATTCATTTAATGAATTTAATTTTTAACTTTATGGACTCTCCATTTTGTACTAACTTCTTATGTAATATAGAAAAATATATCTCATTTGGATTTCAACCAGATTAATATTTTCTACAAACTAGAGTGTCTTCTAATTTACCAACCTAGCACTTATTCTATATCCAACCTAGCACTTATTCAGTATTCCAACACTGTGAATTCCTAAACTGTCCACTTTTCCTTATATAAACAGTGATTATGGGCGCCATAGCTTTGTAGGTTGGGCATTCATGAGGACCTTGAAAGTCACATTAATCTTCTTGATTATAGCAATCACCCTAATCCCCTAGTTCAGTGTTAAATTGGCTGTTTTTTTCTTAATATTAAAATAGATCATTGTTACAAAATATTTTCCTGTAACAAATATTTCAACCTCATTTCTCTCATTTCTTCAGTAAAAATGTTGTATTCTTTCTCGAGTAGAGTGAACTCTCGTGTAGTCTGGTTTCTATCCTCAGATATTTTCTGACTTCATGGTAATAGGTGTTATTCACATTAAATGAGTATAGATGTAGATTAACATCTACATCTATAGAATATATGTAGAATAACAGCTGACCACACTTAGAAAATAGGAAGTACATAATAACGGTTGGTTATCATTGTCAAGTACTGACATTTTTTGCCAGTCCTTTGATCTGGCATTGGAGGACTGATACAGATTCATTTTCCACAGTCAGCTGATGGGAGGAATCTTACAGTGTGTTGCTTCCCATGAGAGAGAGAAGTCTCTTATTAAAGATCATGAATAGTATAGCCACATGTTGGAAAATAAAAAAAAAGTCAACTAAGGAATTTTTAATTCCAAGTGATTCTTATATTTTTATGTATTATATACATCCTATATATTTTAATATATAATATATGATATATAAAATATATTATATGTACATATAATATATTTTATATATGATATATATATTTGATATATATATGATTTATATATGATATATATTAAAAAATCATGTACATATTATATATTTTATATAATTATATTTTCCATGTCCCCATCAAGCTATGTAATTTGTATTTCCTTAATTTTTTTGCTACATTTACTATGGAGGTTTGGGTTCCTAGTAGTCAATCTAAACTGTTTCCATTTGGCTAAAGGAAGTTTTAATTTTATTTTATTGGCCAAGAAATATACCACGTTTACACAAACCAAATTGTTCTTGTGTAGGATCTCCAACACAAGCATGAGGATAACAAGATTGTAACTGTAGTAATACTACAATTACCTGAATGTGAGTCTACTTCAGTTCAAGGACCATTCTAAATACACCTCCTAACTTATAACCCAATAAAAATATGCATTTCCAGAACTACATAGAACGAGAAAATAGAGTTCATATTTTATTGGGTATTCATTGAATTTTCTTTCACTCAACATTTCTTACAGGGGTCACATGGCCTAGATGCTACCCTAGATGAGAAAGAGTCCAATGGTTATCAACAAGTTCTGAAAGGCAAGGCCTAAGGTACTGAAAATTATATTACTCAAAGCTGAAGGCAGCAAATCTGTTCATGTTTACACAGTTGGGAAAGTGGACTTGTGTTTTTTACAAGCAAACCAGTGACCAGCCAATGGCAGGAGACCTTCCCCACCCCTAAAGGTGATGCTCACCTACCGTCATGGGTAAAAGGAAGCTCTGGCTCGAATTCCTCATGTATTATTCATGTGTGATGCCACCCAACGTGATTCAGAGAAGAAAATTCTCAGTGTGTTCACCAGAGGTGATTACATGAGAATAAAGCACGGCCTGATTTTTTTTCTTGTTCACAGGAAAAAAAAAAGAAAAGAATGTAGAATTTCTGATGTGGGATTGTTTCGACCTTGGAGAGTGTCCGTATGAGACACATGTGTGGTATACAAAACACCTTTAAGATTTAATCAGAATTGTATATCTTTCCAAATTAAATTGATTGCTCCCTCAAACTCTTATACATCATACCTGTATCACTTTTTTTTTGTTTTTCTTTTTTTTTGAGATGGAGTCTTGCTCTGTCACCCTGGCTAAAGTGCCATTGTGCGATCTCGGCTTACTGCAATGTCCACCTCCTGGGTTCAGGCGATTCTCCTGTCTCGGCCTCCCGAGTAGCTGGGATTACAGTCCACGCCACCACTTCTGGGTAATTTTTTGTATTTTAGTAGAGACAGGGTTTCATCATGTTGGCCAGGCTGGTCTGGAACTCCTGAGTTCAGGCAATCGGCCTGCCTCGGCCTCCCAAAGTGCTGGGATTACAGGCATGAGCCCCTGCACCTGGCCCCTGTATCACTTATTTAAGCACTTACAATTCTATCTTTATAGATAAAGATGTATATATTATATATTTTATATAATATAATTATATTTTCCATGTAGTCTATTTTGTATCTTTTATTGTATTTGTTGTTTCTGGATGAAACTCAAAAGCTCCTGTGAGTAAAATGTGGATGGCGGACATTTCTTCTATCATCCAGTTAAATGCAGAGTTGGTGCTTCATTTACTTTCTACAACCTTTGAAGTTGAATTGTTTCCTTTGAGAAGTCTTGGATTTTGATTCCTTCTTATTTTCCCAAAGTAAATAAGGGTCATTTCTTTTTCATTAGCCCTCTTTAATATTATCTTATTATTCTTGGGTAAGAAAGAGCAGTCAAATGCACATACTTTAAATTTATGTTTAAAAAATTGAGATACTGACATACAAATCAGTTGTAGCATCAGGGAATCCAAATTAAAAGGCTGAAATAATGGTGGTGAGGAGTAAGAGTAGAAGTATTTAGGTCAATGAGGAGTGGTATGGGAAAAAAGATTTATACTCTATTACTGTCTTTCACGTCAGCAATTGTGCCATTAACAGCAAGTATTAAAAAAAACTGCAAACAGAAAAATAATTCTGGCATTGAGACATACAAATTACAGGAACATGATATAATCAGAGCTCCTGATTTGTATCCCAGTAAACCACAATATCATAGTATTACTTCAAAGGGCACAATTAGTCTTTTTTTCCCCAAATATGAATAGCATTGACAGTTTGTGTATAAGCGTTGCCATTAACATTTTCTCACGTACAAGATGCCATCTTAAAGTCAGACTTCCTCCTGTCTGCACATGATATAGCTAGCCACTCAGGGATATGGATGGCTATAGGCAGAAACCCACAGAGTTTCAGGTAACCAGGCAATTTCAGTGTGTACATTTATAAAGAGGTTGTTAAATTTGATGTGATAAATAACAGTTTAATCCTTCTATAAATTTATATATTTATGTATGTATGTTTAGTGTGATTCTAAAACTAAAACACACACATTCATTTTTATTGCAGCATTCTTAAATTCATGAAAGTAAGTTGTATTTCACTTTTTAATGTAATCTTAACCAGGAAATCAAAGGAACTTGAGGAAACTGTGCTAGAAATCCTGAACTCAAACTGTGAAGACACAGAACTTAAAATATGAAGACCTAGACTCCAGTTGCATTCTAGTTTATTAACTGCACAATGTGAGACGAATCATTTTTTTCTGAACTTCAGTACTTTCATCCATAAAAGAGAACTCATATTTTGTATTGTCATGCGAGCAGATGTTTAGTACTTGAGAAAACAAACTCTAACGTTGTACACATGGAAAAAATCACAGTCTAAAACAATTCTGACATTTTTCCTCCAGGCACAGCATTCAACAGATATTGAGGGTCCCCTGACTGCCATGATACATGCTGAACACTAGAAATAAAAGGATGAATATGTCACACATTGCAATATACACTTTATTATCTGATATGTACAAAAGAATGTATATATGCAAATACACAAATACAAATATTTGCACTCATGCATAACACCCCAAAATATTAACAGTCATTATGATGATGTTAAACTTCTTTGTTCAGGCTTTATTTCCTAAATTTTATATAATATGCATGCCTCGTTTTAAGTTTTAGAATCACACTAAACAAAATAATTATAATTTATTAATAATTTACTAGGATAATTTTATGTCACAAAGAAATTCACAGCATATTTGAACTCATTTTTACAACAGGAATTTCTAAGAAGCCTCATTTTTTCCTTCCTATCACAAACAAGTCAATATTTTATTTCCTCATCTTTAAAATTAAAAAAATAAAAGTACCTCCTAGGGCTGCTTGTAGTCCACAAAGTTCTATGCAAATGTTTGTTCTTCTGTTTTCATTGTTACTATTATTGAGAGAGTGACTTCATTGTTTCTAAGAGAAGATTAGGAAAATGTATATGTATTTTTCTTTATGTGAAGTCTTCATGGAGAAAATGGCATTTGAATTTTACCTCGATCAGGAGGGCATGGGTGTTACGGAAGCCAATAGTGGAAAATAAAGATTGAATGGAAGTTGGGGTGGTCTCACCCAGGGCACTGGACACCGGATGAAAAGTTGCACATCACAGCCTTTGCTAAGGGAGAGTCAGCTTTCAGCAAGCAATGGTTCAGAGCATCTCAAAGAAGCATTCCCTGGCTCTTTAACCCCAAAGGAGAAATGATATTCTTTTATTTGAACTTATGGGATACTACTAATATGCTATTTTTAAAAAAGGAAAAATGAAGCCTTTCTTGATACCTGCTCCACCCCTGAGGACACAAGACCAGTTCATTTACATGTCCTGGAGTCACTTGCACGCAGCACGGTGCACACTCCTGTGAGGCTTGCCCAGGACAGCATGGGAACGCTACCTATGGGCACCTGGTTCAGGAGACCTCAGATGTAGCCTGCACACCTAGTTTGAAAGCCCCACAATGGTTTACACAGCAGCGATGGCATGGAACCTGATGGTAGGGATGAAATGAACTCTATACTATCAGTTAACCATCATTATTTACCATCATCTCTACCACTATTAAGTTAACCCTTGCTTTAAGCAACTACTACTGTTAAAAGACTAATTTCCTTAAATTGGCAAGATGTAAATAATTTCAAAACTTATATTAGCACAGATTTTCTGAAAAACAACTTGGAAAACATTGTATGTACATACATGCATGTGTACAGAATCCTAAAATCTTAAAGTAACTGAATTTGGACCCAGTATTTTTATCTCTAGGTCATTTCCACTAAGAAAATAATTAGCTGCTTGTACACAAATTTTAATCAAAACATTTTTATATTGCTTATAATGTTAAAAAAATATAAAACCCCTAAATTGATGGCTATCAATCGGGCTGTATTGGCACTTTAGGTGAGCAGTTCTTCATTTGTGTGCCTGGCCTGTGTATCAGGAGATTTTACATTCCTTTCATTCATCCATGAAATTCCAGAAATGTGCCTACATCAACCTTTGTAACAACCAGGAACACTCCACCGACGCATATTTCTATCCCCTTAGGAGAATAATATTAGCCTTGTTTGAGAAGCTGTAGTCTAAACATGTGTAATGGGGCATTAGTTAAATAAATGTTGGTATGTTCATTTATGAAACACTTATAATGTGTTTTAAAAGGTTATTTCTAGACTTAGGAGTATAGTTGGTATTATAATTTATAATACACATACAGAGACACATATACTCATGCACAAACATATTGGGATTTTACTTAGATGCTTCCTAATACTCAATAACACACACAAGCAAGGTAGTTAATTTTTCTAATGTGTCAAGAGGTGTGTGGTTGATAGTCTTGGTATCTTTTATCAGCCAACAATATTCTGTGGTTTCTTCCTTAAGGTCGCAAGACAATTTCTCTCATTTTGGGAATCATATCTTTATTCCAAGAAAGAAAGAAGAAGAAAGACAAAAGGCAAAATGTCAAACAGATTTACTTTTTTTTCAAATCCCATCAGGCAGATCTGTGTCACATGATTACATATAGTTACAAGCAAGTCTTGGGGGTTGAATCCTTGTAAAAAGCCCATTGGCAACCCAAACAAAATTAATATTTTGTTACATCAGAAGAAAAGGATCCTTGAAATAGGAAAAGCTACCACCAGTGCCTGCAACTTTACATAAACATCCAATCATGTTTCTGTTTGCTTTTATAGCCATTGGTCTTTTTCTATAATTTTCATGTTTCTCTCTTAATTGTACAAGCATAGCACGCATTGTACTTCCTCCCTAACATTGACTTTCCCTCTTCTGTAATGGTTACACATAGAAGAGGTCTTGGCTAAAAGAAGCAATATTTACTCATTAAAAAGAAATTGTATGTAAGCACTAGGAAAGATGGAAGATGTGCATTACAGGAGAAGGATGTAGAAGGACCTAGGTTCAAAGAAAGAAAACAGACCATCTCAAGTAATACGAGGAGGGAAACGCCTGGCAGTAGGGGTGAGAATTGAGAAGACCCAGTGGACAGACATAGGAACATCCTCAGGCCAGGATCAATTGCTAACATATAATGTGGAGAAATACTTAAAATCTCAAAAAAGAACAAGAAATTTGTCAGATGCCACCAAGTAATTATGCTTTCTTTGTAGTGCCATTTTGGCAATCTGACAGCTTGGTACAAAGGCAGACACTGAGAGAAAAGTGCTGTTAAGGCTGATGCTATTGGACTTTCTGAAACATATTTCCTAGTTGTAACTTAATACTATTAATGAACTTCATTTCTTTTCTTTTCCCTCTTCCTAAGAGGCTGCTTCATGAGCCATACTTGAGAAAATGTGAAGTGGCAAAACTCTCCTTGGAGGATAATTTTGAGAGAGGAAGAACATGGTGGCCTTTGTTACTTTCTCCTTCTCAAAACATCTCAGAGATTTCAGGCTTGGAAAGTGGAAGCCAGTAAATTCAGATATTAAAAAAAAATGAAAGATGCATACTCTCTTTTTCCTTCAAAAATGCAACAATGTGCATGAAGACTGAATGATAGGAAAATCAATGTAAACTTTTTTATTGAGCTAGTTTGTCAAAGAGATTTAATTAAGCTCTTTATGTTCTTATTTTTTTCTTTTCTACTAATCTCCAGGAGGCAAGAAATATTTATACCCACACAAAATAACAGAAAATTATGGTTTTCTGTTTCTGCGTTAGTTTGCTAAGGATGATGGCTTCCAGCTCCATCCATGTCCCTGAAAAGGACATGATCTTATTATTCTTCATGTCTGTGTAGTATTCCACAGCATATGTACACCACATTTTCTTTATCCAGTCTACCACTGTTGGACATTTATGTTGATTTCATGTTCTTGCTATTGTGAATGTTGCTAGAATGAACATACGCATGCATGTGCCTTTGCGGTAGAATAATTTATATTCCTTTGGGTATATACCCACTAATGGGATTGCTGAGTCAATGATATTTTTGCCTGTAGGTCTTTGAGGAATCACCACACTATCTTCCACAATGGTTGAACTAATTTATCTCCCATCAACAGTAAATAAGTATTCCTTTTTTTTCTGCAGGCTTGCCAGCATCTGTTATTTTTGACTTTTTAATAATAGCCATTCTGACTGGTGTAAGATGATATCTCACTGTGGTTTTGATTTGCATTTCTTTAGTGATCAGTAATATTGAGGGTTTTCTTATATGACTGTTAGTTGCATGTATGTTTTCTTTTACAAAGTGTCTGCTCAGGTCCTTTGCCCACTTTTTTACAGGGGTCTTTGGGTTTCTCTTGTAAATTTGTTTAATTTCCTTGTAGATAATAGGCTTTTGTCAGATGCATAGTGTGCAAATATTTTCTCCCATTCTGTAGGTTGTCTGTTCATTCTGTTGATAGTTTCTTTTGCTGTGCAGAAGCTCCTTAGTTTAATTAGATCCCATTTGTCAATTTTTGCTTTTGGTGCAATTGCTTTTGGCATCTTCATCCTGAAATCTTTGCCCATTTCTAGCCCAGAGTGGTATTGCCTAGGTTGTTTTCCAGCTTTTGTATAGTTTGGGGTTTTACATTTAACTTTTTAATTTATCTTAAGTTGATTTTTTATATGGTGTAAGGAAGGGGTCCAGTTTCAATCTTCTGCATATGGCTAGCCAGTTATCCCAGCACTATTTATTGAATAGGGGAGTATTTCCCCATTGTTGGTTTTTCTCAGCTTTGTTGAAGATCAGGTGCTTGTAAGTGTGCAGCCTTATTTCTGGGATCTCAGTTCTGCTCTATTGTCTATCTATAAGTCTATTTTTGTACCTGTACCATGCTGTTTTGGTCACTGTAGCCCTGTAGTATAGTTTGAAGTTGGGTTGCATGATGCCTCCAACTTTGATCCTTTTGCTTAGGATTGCCTTGTGTATTTGGGGTCTTTTTTGGCTTCATATGTATGTTATGTATATGTATATGTATAGTTTTCTTTCTAATTATATGAAGAATGTCATTGTTAGTTTGATAAGAATAGCATTGAATATGTAAATTGCTTTGGACAGTATGGGAATTTTAATGATATTGATTCCTCCTATCCATGAATATAGAATGTTTTTCCACTTGTTTGTGTCTTCTCTGATATCCTTGAGCACTGTTTTGTGGTTCTCCTTCTAGAGATCTTCCACCTCCCTAGTTAGCTGTATTCCTAGGTATTTTATTCTTTTTGTGGCAAATGTGAATGGGATTGCACTCCTGATTTGGTTCTTGGCTTGGCTGTTATTGGTGTATAGGAATGCTATTGAGTTTTTAATGTTGATTTTGTATCCAGAATCTTTGCTGAAGTTGTTTATCAGCTGAAGGAGCTTTTGGGCTGAGACTATGGGTTTTTTTTTTTTTTTTTTTGACAGAGTCTCACTCTGTCGCCCAGGCTGGAGTGCAGTGGCACAATCTCAGCTCACTGCACCCTCCGCCTCCTGGATTCAGGCGATTCTCCTGCCTAATTTTTGTATTTTTAGTAGAGACGGGGTTTCAACATGTTGGCCAGGCTGGTCTCGAACCCCTGACCTCAGGTGATCCTCCTGCCTCAGCCTCCCAAAGTGCTAGGATTACAGTGTGAGCCACCACGCCCAGCCATGGGTTTTTCTAGATATAGAATCATGTCTTCTGCAAACAGAGAAAGTTTGACTTTCTCTCTTTCAATTTGGGTGCCCTTTATGTCTTTTTTTTGCCTGGTCATTCTGGCCAGGACTGCCAATACTACATTGAATGAAAGTAGTGAGAGAGGGTATCCTTGCCTTTTGCCAGTTTTCAAGGGGAACACTTCTATCTTTTACATGTTCAGTATGATGTTGGCTGTGGGTTTGTCATGTATGGCTCTTATTATTTTGAGGTAGTTCCTTCAATATGTAATTCATTGAGAGTTTTAACATGAAGTGATATTGAATTTTATTGAAAGCCTTTCTGCATCTATTGAGATAATCCTGTGGTTTTTGGTTTTAGTTCTGTTTATGTGATTAATCACATTTATTGATTTGCATATGTTGAACCAACCTTGCATCCCAGAAATAAAGCCTACTTCTTCATGGTGGATTAACTTTTTGATATGCTGCCAGATTTGGCTTGCAAATATTTTATTGAGGATTTTTGCATCAAAATACATCAAAGATATTGGCCTGAAGTTTTCTTTTTTTCTTTTCTTGTGTCTCTGCAAGGTTTTACTATGAAGATGATGCTGGCCTCAAAGAATGAGCTTTGGAGGAGTCCCTCCTCCTCAATTTTCTGTAATAGTTTCAATAGCAATGGTACTAGCTTTTCTTTGTACATCTGATAGAATTCAGCTGTAAATCCATGTGGTCCTGGGATTTCTTTGGTTGGTAGGGTACTTATTACTGATTCAATTTTGGAGCTTATTATTGATCTGCTCATGGAATCAATTTCTTTCTGGTTTAGTCTTGGGAGGGTATATGTGTCCAGGAATTTATCCATCTCTTCTAGGCTTTCTAGTTTGTGTGCATAAAGTTGTACGTAGTAGTTTCTGAGAGTTATTTGTGTTTCTGTGGGGTGGGTGGTAACATCTTCTTTGCTGTTTCAAACTGTGTTTGTTTGGATCTTCTCTCTCTATTTTTATTAGTCTAGCTAGTGGACTATTTCATTAATTTCTTTCAAAAAACCAGTGAAATATTGATCATTTGAATGGTTTTTTTGTGTCTCAATTTCCTTCAGTTCAGTTCTGATATTTATTATTTGTTGTCTTCTGCTAGATTTGGGGTTGATTTGCTCTTGCTTCTCTAATTCTTTCAGTTGTGATGTTAGGCTGCCAATTTGTGATCTTTCTAATTTTTTGATGTGGGCATTTATTGCCATAAATTTCCCTCTGTGCACTGCCTTAGCCGTGTTTCAGATACATTGGTATGTTGTATCTTTGTTCTCGTTAGTTTCAAATAGCCTCTTGATTTCTGCATTTATTTCATTATTTTCCAAGAAGTCATTCAGGAGCACATTGTTTAATATCCATGTGGTCGTATGGTTTTGAGTGATTTTCCTAGTCTTGACTTCTGTTTTTATTGTGCTGTGGTCTGAGAGTGTGTTTGATATAATTTTGGTTCTTTTGCACTTGCTGAGGATTGTTTCATTTCTGACCGTGTTCTTGATTTTACAGTATGTGCTATGTGGCAATGAGAAGAATGTCTATTTTGTTGTTTTGGGAGTGGAGTGTTCTGCAGAGGTCTGTTAGAGCCATTTGGTCCAATGTTTAGTTAAGGTCCTGAATATCTTTGTTAATTTTCTGCTGCAGTGATCTGTCTGATACTGTCAGTGGAGCATTGAAGTCTCCCACTATCACTGTGTGGGAGTCTAAGTCTCCTTTTAGATCTTGCTTTATAAATCTAGGTTCTCCTGTGTTGAGTGCTGTATATGTAGGGTAGTTAGGTCTTCTCATTGAATTGAACCTTTTACCATTATGTAATGGCCTTCTGTGTCTTTTTTGATCTTAGTTGGTTTAAAGTCTGTTTTGTCTGAAATTAGGGTTGCAACCCCTGTTTTTTTTTTCTGTTTTCTTCATTTGCTTGGTAGATTTTCCTCCATCCCTTTATTTTGAGTGTATTGGTGTCACTGCATGTAAGATGGGTCTTTTGATGACTGCATATCATTGGGTCTTTCGTTTTGTTCAGATTGCCGCTCTTTGCTGTTTAAATAGAGCATTTAGCTCATTTACATTCAAGGTTAGTGTTGATATGTGTGGATTTAATCCTGTGATTGCATTTTTAGCTGGTTATTATGCAAGCTTGTTTGCGTAGTTGCTTCATAGTATCACTGGTCTGTGTATTTAACTGTTTTTTCTATTGGCTAGTTAGTCGTTTCTTTCCATATTTAGTGCTCATTTCAAGATCTTTTGTAAAATGGGTCTGGTTGTAATGAGTTCCCTAAGAATTTGCTTATCTGAAAACAGTCTTATTTTTTTTTCATGTAGAAAGCTTCATTTAGTTGTATATGAAATTCTTAGTTGAAAATTTTTCTCTAAGAATGTTGAGTATAGGCCCCCAATCTCTCTTGACTTGGAGGGTTTCTGCTGAGAGGTTTTTTGTTAGCCTGATGGGGTTCCTCTTCAGGTAACCTGCCCTTTCTCTCTAGCTGCCTTTAACATTCTCTTTTTCATTTCAACCTTGGAAAATCTGATGATCATGTGTCTTGGGGTAATCTTACGTAGAATCTTGCAGGAGTTCCTTGCATTTCCTGAATTTGACTATCGGCCTCTATAGTGAGGTTCAGGAAGTTTTTATAAATGATATCCTAAAATATGTTTTCCATGTCGTTTGATTTTTGCCTATCCCTTTTGGGGATGCCAGTGATTTGTACCTTTTCCCTCTTTACATGATCCCATATTTCTCAGAGGATATGTTTTTTCCTTCTCTTTTTCCTTTCCTTTTCTTTTTTTTTTTTTTTCCTGACTGTTTTATTTCAGAGAATCAGTCTTTAAGATCAGAGTCTTACCTTAGCTTGGCCTATTCTGCTGTTAAAACTTGCAATTGCATTATGAAAATCCTGTAGTGTGTTTTTCAGCTTTATCAGATCAGTTAGGTTCTTTTTTCATCCTGGCTACTTCATCTGTCAGCTCCTGTATTATTTTATTGTGATTCTTAGGTTCCTTAGATTGGGTTTTGATGTTCTCTTGAATCCTAATGATTTTCATTCCATATTCTGAATTCTATTCTTGTCATTTCAGCCAGCTTAACCTAAGAACTCTTGTTGGAGTACTGGTACAATGATTTGGAGGACATAAGCCACTCTGGTCCTTGGAGTTGCCAGAGTTCTTGAGTTAGTTCTTTTTCATATCTACATGTAGGTGTTCCTTTAACTGTGATGTAGATTAAGTACAGTTAACAGACTTCTTTTCTGGATGTTTTCACGTAGCTGAGCCTTTGTGCAGTGTTTTTATTTATAGCTGACTTCTTGTCTTTGGTTTCACAGGTTATATTAGTGAGGTATTTTTGGACTTAAAGCTCAGAGGTATGATCCAGTAAGTAGCACTTAGGCATAGTGGCCAGGTAGTTGGCTCTTGCTCAGTCGTGTGGCTCTCATATATTTCTTCACAGTTGCAGTCATGTTCCCTCTCAATGCTCTGCAAGTGTGGGCTCTTCTCCCACTTGACTGCTGGCTGTAGATTACGGCTTGGCACTCCTGAGCTGCCATCCACAGCTCTGGGGTGACGTTAGGGTTTATGTTTATCATCCTATGGAATAAGAGTGGAGCATGTGCAAAAGAGAAAAGCACAAAACACTGAGCCTGTGTTCCTGGATAAGATCCTAAAATATGTTTTCCAAGTCGTTTGCTTTTTTCTCAATTTTGAGGCAGCAGAAGAAAGGACCTTAGTAGTGGTTGTAGCCAACGGTCTTTTGTTTATTTCCTGGGGGCTCCAGCCCAGAGAGATGCAGGTCAGTCATTGCTCATTGCAATCAGTCTGGGATGGGGGTTCTAGCACAGTCTTAAAATAGGGTATTAGGCAGACAATATGATTCACTGGGAGACATAAACACAAGTTTTCATTGATACCCCTGACTTCCTGTGCCATATATATAAAATTTAGGAATGCCAAATTTATACAAGGTTGTATTGTCTCCTGTTGTTTCTTTCTATTTTCCTCTCAACTCTTCCTCTAAAACAAAACTCTTATTTGTTGTAACTTCTGCTGAAGGTAAACCTTTATTAAATCTGACCTGGGAGCTAAAAGATCTTAGTTTCAGTAGTGGCTTGGGTGTCTGCCATCTGGACAATTTTGTTTATCTCATCTAGGGTTCTTGCTTATCTTCAAAATTAGAATCTTAGAGTAGTCAACAGTGTTTTTTGAAAATGTTGAAATTATTCTAGATTTTATTAGAATTCTAGTGTCCTCCTTGCCATAAAGAGAACAAGGTCATTCACCAAAACTTTTTTTCTTCTCATCATATAGTTCTAACAATCAAACTTAATGCTTCTTTGGAAAGAAAAATGAGCAAAAATATAGTTAACTTACTTCATTTTGCTGGTTTCTGTTTCCTGTTACACTGGTACTCTTCTTTTCTTCCTAGACAGTTTCTTTCATTCTTTTCTCTCAATTATGGAACCCCTGACTTGCAACTGACCTGGGCCCAGTGAAAGCTAATAGTTCCAATCCTGGCTCTTTGCCCAGTTGCATCAAAGAAGACCACACAGTGTGTACCTTTCTTGGAAGAACGTTTAGAAGCAAAATTACGTGAGTTAAAAAGCAACAATCTTTTTAAAATTCCTCATGTTTGTTTCAAATTGCATAGTAAATTTTGCCAGACATAATATTAAAACCAAGTAATTTGCTTTAACCAAAAAGAACAAGATGGTAATTACTAAAGCAGATACCAATGTATAGGAAGAAACATCTACAACATTCAGTTTAGAGCAAAGAGATATTTCCAGTTAAGTTGTCCAATTAAGAAAAATATAATTGATACTTGAAAAAGAAGAACATAGTTGGAAGGCCCACAGTTCCCAATTTCAACACTTACTACAAAACTGCAGTAATCAAGACAGTATGGCACTAACATAAAGTAGACATATTGGTCAATGGAGCAGACTTGAGAGTCCAGAAATAAACCATTGTCTTCTTGGTGAATGAAGTTTTAACAAAGACATCATGAGAATTAATTTGGGGGTAATATAGTCTTTTAAACAAATGGTACTGGACAACTGGATAACAACATACAAAAAATGGAGTTGGACTTCTTCCTTATGCTAAATACAAAAATTAACTCAAATGGGTTATAGACCTAAACGTAAGTGCTAAAACAAAAAACACTTAGAAGAAAATGGAGGAATAAATCTTTGTGACCTTGGTTCAGGCAGTGTTTTCTCTATACCAAAAACACATGTTAAAAATATATATGTGTGTGTATATACATATATATATATATATATATGCACGTTAAATATATATATATATTTAAAAGCACATGTTATATATATATAGAACTTGATCAAAACTAAAACATTTTGTGCTGCAAATTGTATAATCAAGAAATGAAAAGATAAACCCACAGAATGGGAGAAAATATTTGCAAATTACATGTCTGGTAACGGATTAGCATCTAGAATACATAAAGTATTCTTACAACTCAATAACTAAGAGATATATAATCCAATTTTACCCAGTAGGAAGGTTATAATGAAAAAGATTGACAATGACAATGCTGGAGATTATATGGAAAAAGTAGAACTCTCACATAATACCTGTAGGAATGTAAAATACTGGAGCTTATTTGGAAAACAGCTGGCATTTTCTCGTAAATTTAAACAAAGAGTTATAATATGACTAAACTGTTTCACTCTGAGGTATACACTCAAGAGAAATGAAAAACGTATCTATGAATGCTCACAGCAGCATTATTCATAGTTGCCAAAAAGTGAAATAGCCAAATGTCAGGCCAGGCACGGTGGCTCATGCCTATAATCTCAGCACTTTGGGAAGCTGAGGTGGGATGATCGCTTGAGGCCAGAGTTTAAGACCAGCCTAGGCAACATGGCAAAACCTCATCTCTACAAAAAATCCAAAAATTATCCAAGCATGGTGGCTTGCACCTGTGGTCTCAGCTGCTCAGGGGGCTGAGGTGGGAAGATCACCTGAGCCTGGGGAGGTTGAAGCTGCAGTGAGCCATGATCGTGCCTCTGCACTCCAGCCTGGATGACAGAGTAAGACCTTGTCTAAAAAATAATAATAATAAAATAAAAATTTAAAAAAGCCTCATGTCTATTCTGTTATGTGATGAATGGATAAATACAATGTGGTGTATACATACAAAGAAATACTTTTTTCAGACATTAAAGCAGTGAAGTACCTGATACGTGCCACTACATGGGTGAATCTCAAAGTCTTTATGCTAAGTAAAAGAAGCCTGTCACAAGAGACTATATATGGTATGATTCTATTAAATTAAATATGTAGAAAAGCACATCTATAGACAAGAAAAGTAGATTGATGGTTCCCTAGGGATAGGAAAGGGTGGTGGGAAGGGGATGGGAGAGAAGATGGGGGAGTGGTTGCCAATGCGAGTGGGGTTTCTTTTTGGGGTGACAAAAATTTTCTGAAGTTAGATTTTGGTGATGGCTGCACATCTCTGTGAATATACTAAAAACCTCTGAATTCTGCAACTTTCAATGGCTGAAATGTATAGTATGTGAATGATAGCTCAATAAAGCCGTTTTTTGAAGAAGAGTAAGATGGAATTGACTAAGTTAGCCACCAATACACAGAAAAAATTAGGCACAAGATTTATTTCAAGCAAACAAGTACTTTTAGTGTAGTTGTCCAATTAAGAAATAAACATTTGACCACTTAAAAAGTTGAATAATAAGTAATTACTTTCTTATCTGTGGAACAGAAATTTGATTTTCATTGCCACTGTCATATAACTGTGTATATTTCAGGCAGGTGCAAATAAAAAGTATAACTTGACCATTCCAACTGTTCAAGTCTGTTAAATACCATAGGATTCAAAATGGATGCATTTACAATTTAACTGATAGACGGATAGATAGATAGATAGATAGATAGATAAATAGGTACATAGATCAACCAAAATAAAAGGAGTGCCTATGTAATCAATCCTAAAGTATTATTTTTGAGATCCCTCTGAATTCTAATTTTATTTAATATGTTTATTTTAAATGCTCTGTAGGAAATATTTCCATTGTCACATGGATTCACTTTTATCAGCATAGAAATATCAGGGCTGATGTAAAATCTTGTGAGAAAATATGTAATTCTGACACCCATGTAACATATAGGTTAAAAAAAGGAAAAACACCTTTCTCAAGAGAACAGTTTCCCCAGAATTAAAAAAGGCATTAATTTCAGCTTCAAATTAGTTGTTCCGAGTCTGTGTTTTGCTACATGGCATGAGGCCAGTTGCAAGAGCATTTGCCTTTCTTTCACAATGTGTTGAAAACTGGTTGCATCCAGAATTGGAAGATTACACAAAGCTGATGGAAAAATGATTAGCTGCCTTAATACATATGCAGCTCTTACAGTTTTTTGAGGCACATTAATAACCTAGAAACTGTTGAGACCCTGGGTATGTTGACAGAGAAATCCTCTTTTTTTCCTGCAAAATTCCTGTTCATTGGCTCTTCAGTGTGTGAATCCATGTGCTATTAATATAGAAAAAAGAAATTCAACTCTTCTTCAATTTAGCATTAATGAAAAACAGAAGAGAATACATTTGACTATCTATGAGCCACTGTTTCAAAAGAGAGAAAGAAGATAGATTATACTAGTTGCAAAATGCAGTTTCTGTTTAATATTTTGAGCCAGATGAACCTCATTACCTACATATTAAGTAAGGTCTAGGACTAAAACTCAACTATACTTGAAACTATGCTTGATATAAACCAGTAAATATTTCAAAGAACTTCCCTCCACCTTCACCGCAGAAGACCAACTGGCATAAGTTAACAGGTGTTTTGCTTTGGTTTAATTTCTCCTTCCACAGTTATGAACCCACAGGCCTGATGTCTCCAATATGTAGACACACACACACACACACACACACACACACACACACACACAATTTATCCTTGATTTCACCAGGGATACAGAAACATTAACACAGAAAATGGTGAAACTCATTTACCTGAAATAAATTCCTTAATGTAATACATCATTTGTTACTGCCCTTTATTTGCATGTCTTGGATCCAAAAGAACTGTCTGCATCACAAAATTTCCCTCTTAACCTGGGACTAAACACATCACATCCCTGGGAGACAGAAGGAGGGGTTTGAATAGTACCACCAGTAGAGGGCAGTGGCGTACCATGCACAAAACTTGGCTGGAGCGAATGCCTCCAAACTTGCCTTGCAACCTGTAGTTAATAAAAACTGGGCAGGAGAGCAAAGTAAGTGGGTTTAGATTTATTTCAACTACATAAGCAAGAAAGTTATATAGCTCCCCGAGAAAACTCCATCTGTGGAATTCACAGCAGGGCAAAGTGTGCTAGTGATCAAAGGCTACGGCTCAAGCTTTAAATCATTGTTGCTCCAGAGGCCATTTTCCTCACACTCCTAACCTCTGCCCATGTGGAGAAACTTTTGAAGACAGGCCCAAGTGATTTTATATTTTTAATAACAAAAAGAGGGTTGACTTTTTGATATCTGGTTGGGATAAGTGGACAATTTGTAAAAGAAGATCTAAATTCAGAAGATATGGACTCTCTACAAGCAAGATGAAAATACACGGATTATTGTACCAGCTTTGCTATTAACAAGTTGTGTGATTTTAGATGAATCTCTTAACTTCTCTGAAACTCAGTTTCAATGTTAAAATGTGAACTGCATGAGACAATTATGAAGGCAACTCCAGCTCTAATATCCTATGATCGTTTATCTCCGATTTGGGGAGTCACCATCAGCCTCCCTCGCATTACACTCTGAAAACGCATAGAATTGCATGTTTAATATCCTTTGAATAGGTGACATAGGAAGTGCATCTAAGGGACAGTGAAGTGCTATTAATTTTTCAATGATAAAGAGATGAGGTTAGATTAGATTGAAGAGAAGTCTACTCTGTCTACCCACCACTTTGTTTTTTTTCTCTCTCTTAAGTGTTGCTTCCACATAACTTGCCTGAAAGCCAAATTCAGACATGTCTATCTGACCGCACTCTGGGAACATTACCTCAAATATACATTTCATTAAGATTATATTCATTGATTTTTTTTATCATTTAATAATTTGCTAGTATTTAAAGCTTAAGAAGCTTATCATAAGAATCTTGATTTCTGGCTTTTGATAAAAAAGCAATCAAATGAACAGATGCCAGACAGCCCTGGGAACTCATTCTCACATAGCAAACAATTGCCGAAGCTGAGGGATGCTGTTCCATTTGGGGTCATTCTCCTTGTTTCACCTGGAATCTTCTTGCTGTAGACTTCTCACTCTTAAGTGGCCATTCCTGTCCACTGTATGCATTATAAGTGATCCTTGGATGGACACCGATAAGAAAGTCTGGTTTTGGCTTCTATCATTTGCAAGAAATTTTGCTCCTATTTTCTTCAGTTTCTTGATGGAGTTGTATTGCTGCTCAAAGACTTCCCCCTCCCTCTTTACTTTGTTTTTTTCTACCTAATGATATCTGATACTAGAGGTACTAGCTTACAGGTTTAAGGTATCCCTATTCCCATCAAACAATAATATACACCTTCATTTTGCCAGCATTTCAGTGAAAAGTTCTTAAAAACAAAAGCCTTGGTGTTCTGAAACAAACAAACAAACAAACAAAACACATTAAGAACAATGGAACTTATTGGGTTCAAAAAACCCAACAGTTAGCTCCACAAATCTTACCACCCAGACCATCTATACTCAAATAACAATAGCAAATACTACAAAGATAGACATCATTTACTGGTTACCTATTATGTGCCAATCTTGTGCTAGTGATTTTTAAAGTCTTTATTTTAAAAATGGAGAAATCCAACCTCTGGAAGGTGTATTGATTTGCAATGACATGAGACTTGAGGAGTGAACGGGAATTTAGATACATAAAGTCCAATCTTTATTTTACAGATGAGGAAACTAAACCCAAAGATGCTAAGATTTTACAATGGATGTCGCACTATATAGCTCCAGTGAGCCGATTTGAAATACTGAAGTTGGTTTGCTTGCCCTATCATTAGGCATTCTATCTTACTAATTTCCTGTTGTTATTTATGCTTATGCCCATCTTTCCTAATGGATGGTTAGAGCCTTTTGGGGACATGGACTATCCATTATTAATCCGTGAATCCACTTTAGTGATTCTTGTTCAACTTGCCCCATGATACTTAGTGGTAGTAAGTCCTATGATGCCCAGGTACTACACCAGGGCAGATATCCAGATGCTGTGGCAGACAGCCAAGTGGCTGCTATGACAAAGACTGCAAAGCCAAATGGAACATTTGATGGGGGCATGGCAGGGGCCCCAGAGATGACAGCTGTGCACACAGTTTCCGCTGAAATTTTCAAGCACTTTTGGGAAGTAAAAAGAGACTAAAGTGACAATATTTGCAAACAAAATGCCCTGCAGGCTTATTCCAAATATCCAAGCTGCCATGCTGGAAACAAGCAGAGTTCGTTAAGAGAAACATCCACCGGTCACCCTTTCAAGCCTCATTGACTTTTATGCACAAAATGAAGGCATACATGAGGATGGTGAAGTGATAGAGCCAGCAAGTAAGTAGGAGAGGAATCACAGACCACTGCAGGGGTTTTAATTAGTGCTGGACTTTGAAAAGCAGAATCAGGGTTCCATCCAAGTATGCACTTCTCCCATTATGAATGTATGAGCATCAACACATTTCCCAAATAATCTAGTAGTCTTGAGTGGCTTCAAGGACAGTACAAGCAAGGTGAAATTAGCTCTGAGAGGAAATATTCAACTTTAAAGAGGTTACAATATATTAACCAAGGAGTTTCTTATTCTACTTTCTGCAAATTTTCTGCTGGTGTCTAACACTCTGCTTGACACACAGCAAGTACCTTATGCACAGAAGGCATTCCCAAATTCAAGGACTGGGAAGTACTTTTATTTTTATGGACTACAATATTGAATACTTCAAACCACTAACATGATCCAGATTACACAGTTTGTGTCAGGGTTTAAATCTTAGTCTCCTAAATTCAAATGAAGTCTGTTAGTTCCTAGATGCCATATGTACTGCATTACTAGGAATGAATAGCATGAAAACTTTGTAATGAATGTTTTAAAAAAGACCTAGGGTACTCATCTTCTTAAAGGCCTTTGGTTCCAAAAGAAAAGTTTGACCATTTGTTTGGAATAAAATGCAAGTCCAACACCATTTTCTCAGATTATCCCATTTTAGTCCACCTATTTGGATGGCTATAACAAAATGCCATAAACTATGTGGCTTATAAAGAACAGAAATTATTTCTCAGAGTACTAGAGGCTGGACTGTCCAAGGTCAAGGTGCTGGCAGATTCAGTGTCTAGTGCGGGCTTATTTCCTCATAGGGAAAGACTTTATACTTCCCTTTCATTTCTAATTAGATAGGCATTATAAAGAAGAAACTCGTAGTAAATAACCTGTGGTCAGCTTCTATTTACCTGCTCTGTGACCTTAGGCAATACATTAACCTCTCTGTGCCTTACTTCTTGAGCTGTAAAGTTGTGATCATAAAAATATGTACCTCATATTTTTATGAGGTACATATTTTACACTAACCATACGGTTAGTGTAAAGATTAAATTACGTATATACATTTAAATTAAATTATGTATATACATAAAAGATTAAATTACATATATACATTTATATAATAAATTAAATATAATATATATGCACAATTTAAAACAGTGCCTGGCACATAACTATTATTAATATTAACAAATAATTATAGATTTTAAAATAAGTTAATTTAACAAAATTTAAGATGAACAAGAGCTGATTTAGATTACTTCTTCAGAAAAGCTTTCAGACTCTGCTGTAAGTCATCACAGTTAATGACCAAACAGCTCATTTATTTCCATTTTTTTGAGTTACATTATCTATTTTTGCAAAAACATGTGAACTATTCTGGAGCAGAGAAGTTTGCTCTATGGTAAGAGGCTAGAGAATTTCCTCAGCTACTCAGGACTTACTTTAATTTTACATTAGGCAATGAAAGTCAAGAAGATTGTTCCAGGGACTGAAACATGTGACTCCACAGGGTACAGAAGAGTGGATCTTTGTGGAGGGGGTGAATATTTTTGGACATTCTAAAATTACACTTGTGTTCAAAGAGTGTTCTACTCTACAAATACGCCAACACATTTTCTTTAATAAAGCAGTAGTTCTGAGTGACATTAACAATGATACAGCATGAGACATATATACATCGTAGAATATTGTGCATTCATAAAAAAGAATGAGTTCATGTCCTTTGCAGGGACATGGATGAAGCTGAAAACCTTCATTCTCAGCAAACTAACACAGGAACAGAAAACCAAACACCACATGTTCTCACTCATAAGTGGGAGTTGAACAATGAGAACACATGGACACAGGGAGGGGAACATCACACACTGGGGCGTGTCAGGGGGTCGGGGGCAAGGGGAAAGATAGCATTTGGAGAAATACCTAATGCATTTTGGGCTTAAAACCTAGATGATGGGTTGATAGGTGCAGCAAGCTACCATGGCACATGTATACCTATGTAAGAAACCTGCGCCTTCTGCACATGTATCCCAGAACATACAGTAAAATTAAAAAAAAACAAAACAATGATACAGCAAGGCTGCACTGTGAATTGGGAAGTGGAAGTGGAACGCCCTGCCATCCCCTCCCTTTCCTGTCCCCAGTGCTCTCCCGTCTCTGGTGGAGACCTGAATGGCAAGGGCCAAGATACAAGAAAACCAAGGTGATTTCAGCCTATAACTAGAAAAAGCCAGAGAGGGATTATTTAGATTTGCCTAGCAAATGGGAAAACCAGAAAAAAAAATTAATGAACATTTAGTTGAGTCCTTTCCTCTTTTCTGGAAAATAGTGATGGGATTTGGTGCCCTTTGGGAGGCTGGCACATGGTAGATATGAATGTATGTTCTCCCATGTTTCTGAACTATCCAGTTCATCCTTTCTCTCTCTCTCTCTCTGTCTCTCTGTCTCTCTGTCTGTCTTTCATTTTCCACTGCCATAAACCTTTTGGAGCATAATATTTTCAAGTGACTGAGAAGCATGAGGTTAAAAAACAAAAAAGACTGACCTATCCTGTCTGTGACCATAAATAACTCACTTTGCCACCCTAGGCGGTTCTGTGAGCACTCCACTACCACACACACACACACACACACACACACACACACACACACACACACACACAGAGAGAGAGAGAGAGAGAGAGAGAGAGAGAGAGGGAGAGAGAGAGAGAGAGAGGCACAGGGCTTCTGGGTTTTTTTCTATCAAAGAAGGAGGCAAGTCAAGGTTTCCTTCTATAATAATTCTGACATTCTGTAATTTATATGACCTCTAATAAAGTTGTTCTTCGTCCAGTGTGGTTTGTAAGTAGTGAGTGTTGTCAAGAAGATTATTGAGTGAAGAAAGACAGGAATGGGAAGGATACTAGAAAACTCAATCACAGCATCTTGGATTGACTTGAGAAAATGGGCAGAGTATGAGACAAGTTAATCACAACATCTTGGGGACTGACTTGAGAAAAGATTTATAAAATACTCATGTTGGGAGAATTGAACAGAAGCTTATCCACCTGGTTTAAAATGTCAACTTTCATTATAACGCAAAGGAATTATGGAGGTAAGAGAAAATTGATATTCATCATGTGGACCCAAATGTGAATATTTTTGCACCACTATCAGTAAATGTGTGTGCGTATATAAGAGTTTACCTCCAGTATGTATGTATGTATGTGTGCATATATATATTCACACATGGTATTTATAAACCCTATAAAATATATACATAATAAACATATATTAAATATTTTTTTACTCGAGGAACTCAGTGGTAAAAAGGGCAAACAGCTTACCCAAGCATTTTACAATAGAGGAAATAAAGATGCGCAATAAACATGTAAAGGGTGCTCGATCTCATTGCAACCAAGGGAATACCTAATCATAAAATTACAGAGTGTTACAGTTTCACACCTACCAGCCTGGCAAAACTATAAAGCCTAACACTACGAGGTTATATAGGATGTCGAGCAAAAGGCCTGAACCAAGTGTTGGTGGAATATGGAGAATGGGAATTCTCATAGAGTGTGAATAATGTGTGAAGTGTTGAAACTGCTTCAGAAAACTGCTTACCATTATCTAGTTCATGGACAATATCATAGTCTAGGATCCAACAAGTTCACTTCTTGGTATATCCATTTGAGGATCTTGTGCATGATACATGTGCAAGAATGTTCATAGCAAAATTCTTTGTAATAGCCCATGCAAAATTATATGGTCCAGAGAGATAAACCAGCTTTTTCTTGTCTTTTTAAAATTCTGTATTGGATTAGAAGAACACTGTTTGCCTTTTCAAAAAAAGAAAGTTTGCTGTTCTTAGGTAAAGAAAAAGGGAAAAGAAGGAAGGACCCTGGATTTTATACAGTGAACAGAATATTTAAGTTGGGTGGCAAGGGACTGAAGAAGACAATGCCTGCTTTACAGATTTGCCAAGGGTTCCTATGGAAGATGTGACGTTGTGCTTTGGGAGAATTTATCAGAACTATGTCACTCAGGGTCGTAAGTGCATGGACAGCTCTGAAGTCAGGGCAGGCTTCTCTTCCAGGCTTTAGCATAGAGTGCATTCCCACTGTCTGTCTTGTGGACAGCCAGCCAATCGAAAACAAATGATTACATTATTCCCATAATGATTCTGACAAGCCCTGCCTACGCTGTTTCAGGGAAGACTATTTTCCTTGTGTATCTCTCCTTCAATGACATTTTAAAAACCTCATACTTCTGTTACATATACAATTCTATCTTTGAAAGAAGTTAAAAAGTAAAGCTTAAGGTACTATAGACTGATCTTTTACAAATGTAATTTAAGCTTAGTCACAGAAACTGGAGTAATTATTGCAATTAGCATAACTCATAAAAGTGCTGCTTTAACTTAATGTAGCAAATATTTATTGAGTTCCTACTATTTAATATATACAAGAGACAATTCATCGAACATCCAGTTCGTCTGTTAAGTTCAATTGGGTGATGATGTATTATTTACTGGATCAAAGGAAGTGTTTCTAAACATTTTAAGAAAGGTAAGAATAGATATGGGATTGTCTTTAACTTTATTTTGGGCATTTTACTAGACATGCTTAATATTTATGTCTTAATGTCTTACGTTTCTTTGTAATCCTTTGAAGATTTGTTTATTCACTTATTTATTCGTTTTTGGTATGGAAATATCTTTGAGTGGAGAGGGAGAACTGCCCCCCAGTGTCTCAGTGTATACAAAGCACAGCTTCCTAAAATATATTTTTATGTTAGAAATTTGAATAGATAATTTTAACTTAATTATGTTTAAACTTTCATAAATAAGAAAATATTTTATGATGCATACTACATAGCCAAAGTAAGTAAATAAGTAAATACACTTATTTTCTCTAAACAGGACTTAGCTACTTTCATTGAGATATGTTATTCATTAGTTCACACATTTGTTCATCAATTCAAAAAGCATCCATTGACTGCTTTCACTCTTGGAATGTGTGCCCTAACATTGCTTAGACAGGAATAAAAACGATGTGATTCCACACTTTAAGAAGCATATTACTCATTTGAAATCTGGGTTTGGAAAATTTTTAAATGTGGAATTTAGGACAATGTAGAATCCCTCATAGACCATAATTAGATTTATTTAACATACAGAAGAATCTAAAGCTTTTGTCTACTCACTAGTTTTACTTCCTTTTAATTTTACATGAAAAAAAATCTCAAGTTCATTATAGATGTAGGTGACAAAAGAGGGATAGCATTTGGAAATTACATTTGTTCCAGACTTTGAAAGGCACATGTGATCTAAGACCTTTGGGCTTGGCAAAGTGAGAGCTATCAAATGGTGGGGACATGGAAAAGGGCCATCCTTGCTGACAGTTGTATTTCTGAGTTACAATACTGCCTCCTTCCTTACTGTCAAAGTATGCTGTGGATATGGAGCTGTTTTAATGCTCCAAAAAGGTAAGAGGTGTGCTTTGAAGATGATGATTAGCGCTAACCCTACATGAGCTCATTTTATTATTTGAATTCTCTTAAATAAGATAGTATGTTGTCTCATTGTAACACTAAAATAAGCTCATTGTAGAAAATTTATAAAATACAGAAAAACATAAGTAAAAACCGACTAAAGGCCCTACACCTAGCCATAAACATTAAACATGTTTTTCAGATTAATACTCATTTTTTCCAACTAGAGAAACAACTTTGAAAATTTCACACAATCTTACACAATTAAAGCACTGTTATCCACAGACATTTTTCCTGTATTCCTGTGTTACGGTAATTTTACCATCCTGTGTAATATTTTTGAAGGTATACTTCTTAATAATATATGTCTGAATAATACTTTTTCTATGCAAGTGTTATAATTTATGTATATTAGAAAATCATTTACGACCTAAACCTCAGAACACTTTTTAAACGTTACATAACTGCAAAACACTCTTGAAGTAGATCAAATATAATTAATCCACTCTCAAGTGCTCTAATTGCCTTAAATATTTTCATCATTAATTAGAAAAAGAATGGGGACCCAAGAACACTGCTTTTGTATTATAGCAAGACTTGTTCGTAGATTCATTAATTTAAGTTGTTTCTTTTTACTTCACTGTTGTGATGTTTTTAAGCATTCCAAAGTTTTGTACTACTGGAGAAGGGCTCTGTTCACAGATTCTTTAATCTCTGGTATCTAGTACTTGTATTGTTTAAGATTGGGGACACATTACTTTATATATGGCTCTCATTTCATGAAATATGTTCAAACCCACTACCTCATGACCTTCACCACTATTTGGCTTTGTCCTCAATGTTGAATCTTTGGGGCCACTGGTATCCTTTGCTGTTAATAGTGACACTTCAATTCTTGTACTGAATTGCTTCTCCTCACATTCAGTTGCTCTGATTTTGGGGAAGCTAATCCTACCGTATGCCCCAGAGTGGTTAAAATGTCCCATTCTGGTGGGCTCCACTGCATGTGGCTCACTGGGGGACAATGACACCTGTGTAGAAGTTTTCTGAGAGTTATAGGAAAGTAGTTTCATTCCTTTTCTCCCGAACTACCTGAAGAGATGCTTTTCCATGTTGGAGGTGTTTAAAGAAAAATTAAAGTTTAGCCTGGGCAACATAGTGAAACGTGGTCTCTACAGAAAATAAAAATTAGCAGGGCATCATGGCCTATGTCTGTAGTCCTACCTACTCGGGAGGCTGAGGTGGGAGGATGGTTTGAGCCCAGGAGGTTGAGGCTACAGTGAGCCATGATCATGCCACTGCACTCCAACCTCGATGACAGAGCAAGACCCTGTCTCAGACAAAAAAAGAGAGAGAGAGAGAGGGAGTTCCAGGAGAAAGGTATGTTTGGTATTGCACTTTCTGCATGTTTTCTTCTAGATTTTCTGATTGTGTCATTACCATAGTAACATGGTTGTTATTATTGCCATTTTTTCTTTCGTTTATTCTATTATTTTCTTGACAACCATGTTGTCAAGAAACCAAGAGAGTAAAGACGAAGATAGTAAAACTTTACTGAGAAAGAAGCCAAACCCAAGGGGAAAAGAGGACATAAGAGAGAAAGAGAGAGTAAAATAATGTCTTCTATGACGTGAGTTGCCGGGTGAAGCCCTCCCTGTGGACTTTTTAATACTAATAGCAAAGTAATTGCTTTTGTTTTTAAGTCAGTTTGTATTGGTTGTTTTATTATTTGCAAATTTAATATCCAAAATGACACAGACATAAAATTTTTAAAATGAGGCTTTTTCAAATTAAAAAAATCTGACATCAGTAGAAACAACCTGCCTAAGATAACAAAAATAGTAAACATTACAGTCAGTAATTCTATTTATGACTTTGGAGTCTAAACCGAAAGCTGTATTACCCCTCTCTCATAGCTGATTGCTTGTCTCAGCATACTTGCAGTTTAAAAAAAAAATAAAGTGAAAATTTATTATCACTGTCAGAGAGAAGTTTTTGTTTGTTTTAAAAATACTTTTCCTGCAAATGCTCATTAGTTATTTCTCTATTGTGTAGCTAAGCAATTTTGCAAACAATTATCTACTTTTCTGACCACCAGGAAGAGCTGAATACAGCAACTAGATAAGGCTGTTTTATCTTTATTTGTTCTTTTGTTGTAGTTGTTGTTGCTTGTTTTTTTAAGTGGGTGTGAATCTGCAGTTGTGTGTGTGTGAGTGGGTGTGAGTCTGCAGTAGTGTGTGTGTGCTTGAGTGTGAGTCTGCAGTGGTGTATATGTGAGTGGGTGTGAGTCTGCAGTAGTGTGTGTGTGCTTGAGTGAGTGTGAGTCTGCAGTGGTGTGTACGTGAGTGGGTGTGAGTCTGCAGTGGTGTGTGTGTGAGTGGGTGTGAGTCTGCAGTGGTGTGTGTGAGTATGAGCGGGTGTGAGTCTGCAGTGGTGTGTGAGTGAGCGGGTGTGGGTCTGCAGTGGTGTGTGTGTGTGTGTGTCTTCTGGAGGATAGGGGATTAGGCTGTTTTTCTTACTTCCCTTTGTAGGAGAGGAAATATGATTTGGTGACCTAACAGGTTGTTGTTCCCAACTTCAACAGCTAAAACCTTAGACTCGATAAGGCCTCCCTCATGAATCCTATAACCTGTCTCTGCAGGCCCAACATAAAACAACATGAGCAGCGTTTCAGAAAACACGAATTTTCCTCCGGTGATCAGATTTTCACACAGACTCTGTCTCCTTACAAAGTAGTCCTTTACCCCTCTTTCACTCTAACGTTGCAGGTGGCAGCAGTAAGCATTCATTTCAAGGGCAGAGGGATCTTTCCATTCAGTCAGGCACTTTTAAACCACAGGACTGTTCTCCCTGTACCACTGCCAAATTCTTCCCGGCAGGAGTTTGAGGGAAGCCTAACAGGGCAGAGATGTATCTTGTTTGCTGGCTGGATTTGTTCTCACCTAACACAGCTAAGGCAAAGCCATCTATTATTGTCTCCTGGTTTTGAATGTTGTCTGAGGAATATGGATAGATAGCTCAAGTTCCAGCAAAGATTTTTAAGTCAGCCTACGTGGATCTTTCCTCCCAAGCCCCACCACTGCAGCTCCAGGCTAACTGTTGTTTGTCTTGGGTTTTTGTTCAGCCTGGGGCTTTCCAGTTACGAAGGCTGATTCTAAGACTCTTACATAGTGAACTTCATAAATCTTATATTTAGTTTTATTTTGCCAATTTCCAAAATGAGATTTAATTCATTGATTGACTCATTTTTAACTCCTTCATGTTATGTGGATTCCTCTCTAACATTTTATGAAAAATATTTAAATTTACAGAAAAGTTGGAAGAACTAAGAACACCCATATATATATTCTCTAAATTCAACAATTTATATTTGCTACATTTGTATTTTAAATTATTTATATTTATCTATCTGCCTATATTCTTATTCATTAATCAATTAATCTCTTTTTTTGGTGGGAGGGATCTTTTAAATTAAGTTTCAGACATTTCGGCTGAGTGCGGTGGCTCACACCTGTAGTCCCAGCACTTTGGAAGGCCGAGGCAGAAAGATTACTTGAGGTCAGGGGTTCAAGACCAGCCTGGCCTACATAGTGAAACCTTGTCTCTACTATAAAAAAAAAAAAAAAAAAAAAAAGAAAAAGGAAAAGGAAAAATAAACCAGGCATGGTGATGCATGCCTGTAGTCCCAGCTACTCAGGAGGCTGAAGCAGGAGAATCACTTGAACCCAGGAAACGGAGGTGGCAGTGAGCTGAGATTGTGCCACTGGACTCCATCCTGGGCAACAGAGTGAGTGAGACTTCATCTCAGAAATAATTAAATAAATAGAAAGACCTCAGTACTTTATACACCTAAATACTTCAACAATATTTAAAACTTACAGTTTCTTTATTCTTCGTATAAAATTTATATACAATGAAAAGCACAAGTCATAAATGCACTATTGAATTTAAACAAATATATACACTTGTACAAACCAATTCTCTCTTGAAACCCAGAAATTTCTCTCATATACATTTCTAGCAATTCTTGCCCGACGTCCCCAGAAGTAACTATATTTTTGGTTTATGTCAACACAGAATAGTTTGGTCTATGCTGTAACTTTATGTAAATGGTATCACTTTAGTTTTAAATTGCTTTTATTGGATATAATATTTTTGAGATTTATATATGTTATTGTGTATATTAAAAATTCATTCATTTTCATTGCTGAATATTATTTTATAAATGAGTATATTGTGGTTTGCTTGTCATTTTCTTACTGATGAACACCTAGTCTATTTCTAGACTTTGGCTTTTTTTCTTAGTGAAGTTTCAGTGAAGATTCTTGTACAAGTATTTAGTAGACATAGTTTTCTTTTGTGTGGAGGAGGGAGTAAATATTTTGAAATAAAATTATTGTATAGCACAATTGTCAATATTTAGTTTCATAAGAAACTGCCAGACCTTTTTCACACAAAGTGGTTTTACCATTCTACACTCCCCCCAAGAAGAGGACGTTCTAAATGCTCTATATTCTGGCCAATATTTGGTGTTGTCAGGTTCTTTAAATGTTCATGTTCTGGTAGATAATTAGTGGTATGGTTTTAATTGGAATTTTCCTAATAACTAGCAATATTTAGCACTTCTTTTTGGGCTTATTGACCACATATATATCTTCCTTGTTGAATAATCTATCCATATATTTTGGCCTCATTTATTTTTATTTTGACTGAATAAATGTTTATTGATTGCCTATAATGAACATAACAGAATCTAGGAAAAATACAGTACAAACAAACAAACTAAAACTTCCCAGACTTCTTGCTCTTGTAGAGCCGATGAACTGGCTAGATAGTCAGAAAAATAAACAGAAAATCACAGTTCAGTGATTGCTGGGGGTGTGTGCATCAGTGGGTCACCTGACTCTTTCTTGTTGGGAAGTGGTAAGAGAGGCCATCATGATAGGGTGGGAAGATATGTCTGTTATTGATGGACAGTGTATTCATCCCCTAGGGCTGCTGTAACACATTTAAACAAACTCAGTGGCTTAAAAAAACCCAGAAATTTATTCTCACACAGTTCTAAAGCCTAGAAGTCTAAAATCACAATGTCACAAGGTCATATTCTCTCTGAAGGCTCCAGGGGAAGACAGTTATTCTTTACCACTTCCTAGCTAATGGTATTTGCCAGCAATCCTAGGTGGTCCTTGTTTTATAGAAACTTCACTCCAATCTCTGCCTTCCTCTTCATATAGCCTTCTTCTCTGTGTCTGTATGCAAATTTTCCTCGCTTTTCTCTTATGAAGCTACCAGTCACTGGATTTAGGGTCCACCCTTATCTGGTATGACCTCTTTTTAACTTGACTATATCTGCAAAGACCCCATTCCAAATAAGGTTGCATTCACAGACACCAGGGATTAGCTCCTGAATATGTGTTTTGGGGTCACACAATTCAACCTGCAACAGATTGCAATAGAAGGGTTAATCCATGGTGCATAGAGTCCTAAATTAGATACCTGAGGCTATCAAGTCCTCCTTCCACCTATAATTCGGTTAACTTCCGAAAAATTGAGCAACTCATTTCACCTTTTTGCACTTCATGTGCTTCATTTAAAAAGAAAGAAAAAAGATATGATCATTTCTAAGATTCTTTGTAAATCTAGTTTACAAAACACTATGATATCATGTCCTGCTGACTCAGCCATCTCTACCTGCAGTCTAGCTTGAGTATTCCTCCTGGATAGTTCTCTAGCATCCTGGGCATGTTGATATCACAGCATCTAACACAGTGTATTACTACAATTACTAAATTGTAGTGCACAGACTTTCTTTTGCAAGAAAAACCGTGATGTTATTTTATTCTAGTTCATTGATGTTGCCTTTTATTTTAGATCAATTTCATTCTCTCATTTTGTATATGGAAAATATATCTGAAATTACTTGAATTCAGTAAATGCACTTTGTTCACCCTGCTTCTCATTGTTTCATGTCTATCAGTTATCTTCCTGTGCCAGTTTTAACCCCCTGAGGTTAGTATTCTGATTCTGACTGCTCGAGTGAAGAGAATATCTAATCTAAACAGTCAACTCTCATCACACTTTGTTCTTTTATTTTGACAAGTATGGTTTAGTTTTTATTTATAAAAATGCCTCCCAGTAACCAGTAAATGCACTGCAATATATCCTGTGAAAACAACGGCATCTGAGTAATATGAGTCAACACAATTTCCTGAAAATAATCTAGTGTACATATTGGTCAGGAAGATAAATGTGGTTTGCATAGATATGCAAAATTACATTGCACATTTAAATTAGTCATGCAAATGTCCCTCTACTGTGTTCCTGAGAGAAATAAAGAAAATAATTACAAATGGTGGTTAGTGCTAAAGAGGAAATAAACAAAAGGATAAAGCAGGAATTAGGGATGGGGGAATACACAGAGCAAGTGGTCAGGGAAGGTCTTGCTGAAGAGATGACACTAAAGCTAAAACATGAAAGATGAGCAGGACCCAGCCTGCAAAGTGCAAGTGTGTGTGTGTGTGTATGTGTGGGGTATGTGTATGTGTGGTGTGTATGTGTGTGGGGGGTGTGTGTGTGTGGTGTGTGTGTATGTGTGGGGTGTGTGTGTGGCGTGTGTATGTGTGGTGTATGTATGTGTATGTGTGGTGTGTGTGTATATGTGTGGTGTGTATGTGTATGTGTGGGGTGTGTGTGTGTAGTGTGTGGTGTATGTGTGGTGTGTGTGTATTGTGTGTGTATAAGTGTGGTGTGTATGTGTGATGTGTGTGTGTATGTGTGGGGGTGTGTGTATCTGTGGCGTGTGTGTGTATGTGTGGTGTGTGTATGTGTATGTGTGGGGTGTGTGTGTAGCATGTGTGTATATGTGGTGTGTGTGTATGTGTGGTGTGTATATGTGTGTGTGTGGTGTGTATGTGTGATGTTTGTATGTGTGGAGGGTGTGTGTGTGGTGTGTGTATGTGTGGTGTGTGTATATGTGTGTGGTGTGTGTGGTGGGGGGAAGAGTTTTTCAAGGAATATGAATACCACATGCAAAGGAAAAGGCTTGGCAAAATGATAATGTGGTCAGGCTGAGTAATAAAAATAGTTGTACACAATGAGGTTATGTAAGGTTTTGCCATAAGCCAGGGCTAGGTCATGCAGGATTTATTATGTCATGCAATAAATTTGGATTTTCTTCCAACTATTCTGGGAAGCCACTGAAGGATTCTGAGATGAGATATGATGTGATTTGATTCAAAAAATAACTTTGGCCATATTTTTGAGAAATGATGCTGAATTGAGCTGGACCAAGGAGACTATGTGGAAGGCTGTTGAGGTAACTAGATTGAAAGATGCCATGAATCCTCAAAATTTGAAGATACTTGTACTTTAAATGAAAGTACAGCGAGTCGTGTAGACAGGAGCATGTTTGAAAGTTTGTATAAGAATACTTAGACTACTAAGTCTCCTTTCTCACTAATCTCAGATAAATAATTGGACTCCCTTCACTATCACAGAACATTAAAGATTTATTCTCTACCAAAGTTTGTTAACCTGAGAGATTCTAACTCAAGGGCACAAATAAAGGGGATGAAATTACACTCATAAGAAGGGGATTAAGGTAAATGTCTACACACAAAATAGTGAGAATCTTAAGATTTTTCTACTCATCTTCAAGAACATGAATGCCAGGCTTACACTGCCTGGGAAATATATTGGAAAATTCTTCTGGGACTACCAATTACTTGATAAGAAAAGACCTTTAGCCACGAATAATTAGAGAACTCCAAGAGAGTCCAGCCAAATCATTTTCTTTGATCCAGAACCTGCACTTTCCTGATGGATTTTCAGTGCATCACTTTTAAATGTGACAAACATCAAGTGGTTACCAAATATTTGCAGAAGATCTCAAACAGTAAGTATTTAAAATACCGGAGAAATCATGCAAAAGGCATTAGAAAATCATATGGACACGAGAGAAAAATGACATATTCATTAAACAGCAATGGATTGCTCTACAAAATGCAAACATTCGGAGATTTTAAAAAGTCCTTGCAAAATAAAAATCAGATAGCAGATATGAAAATTTAATAGAAAAATGGTAGTGGCAATACAATTTATAAAAGCTATAAAAGAAAAATAAAATTATGGTAATTTAAAAATATGATTAATCTTCTCTGTTCAGCAACTCAGTATCTGAAAAATAACTGTATCAGAAGGAATTAAAATAAATAAAAAGAAAAAAAAATTCAAGGAAACTTCCCACAACTAAAGTTCATGATTTTTCAAACTTAGACGACTCTTCAGTAGAGTGACTATCTGCCCTGGTTTGCCTGGGACTGGGGTTAGGTATTCTTGGGATGAAGGACTTTCAGTTTTAAAATTACAAGGGGCCCAGGAATGCTGGGAAGAGTTGGTTACCCTACTAACCAAATGCCAGTATGGCGGATAAAAGACTCATCCCAATGATATACCATCATGGGACCTACGGGACAAGATGAGAGCTTATATAATTTCAGAGATGACTGAAAAGGCTTGTATACAAAGGAATCAGAAAAGGTATCAAACTGCTCAATAGCAGCACTGGAAGCTGGAAGACAATGGGGCAAGGCTATCAAAACTCTGAGAATAAATACTTTCTAACCCAGAATTTTATAACTAAATATGTTTTCAGATATGAAAGTTCTAGGAAAATTTTCCTTATGCCCTTTTCCAGGAGAATATACTCCACTAACATAGAGAAGTAAGCCACGAAAGTAAAAATTATGGGGTCTAGGAAAATGAAAATCTCACATGTGAAAGAAAGAAAAAGAATTTCCATGGTGAAGGGAACAGAAATATCCCAAGATAATGTCATTTCAACAGCCATATTGAAGGAAACAACGGATCTTCAAAAAGGATATTACCAGGAAAAAATGCTTAAAATTAGTGAGAGAAAATTTTACTTATGATAGTGCACTAGGGATGGTTCCAGACAGAAAAATAAGTAAATAAAAAGAAAGTTTAGAAAAATAACAAAAAACCTATACAGTGCATGAATTACTTATGAGTGTTTACCTAATCACAATAATAGAAACACATCATAGCGTTCTACTAAAAATGATGATACAATTTTAACAACAGGAAGGAAAAAGATAATCTATGTGTGAAGTTATGTGGGGACAATGTAAGAGACATGGTAGTCTCAGCTCCTTTAATAGGAAATCAGTAGATTTCCCTAAAACTGGAATAGTCATGCAAAAGTGTAAGACATATTATTTAGAAATTAAGAGGCAAATACCAGGGTATGGCAGCAGGGAGAGCAATTTGAAAGAGGTGCAAGCTGTTGTTTTTAGAAAAATGAGAAGTAAGGGTGAGGAAAGATAGTTTTAGGAGACTACTATATATGTAGACCTTATAAAATCATTTGGTGTGTGTCACTATTGTTGTGATGACAATAATAACACAGAACTATCTGTGAGTGGGAAAGATAATTAAAAAAAAGTGGTGGTATGTGAGCCTGCTGAGATGTTAAATAATATGAGGACAGCAAACTGTTCATTGAACTTGGCAACAGATTTTCATGGAGACCTAGACAAGACAATAGTCATTGGAGAGGTGCAGGCAGAAGCCACACTGTCCTGTAATTATGAGTGGTTGTAAAAGGAGGTAAATCAGACTTGATTTATATTCAAAGTCTGAAACTGAATAGTCATTCTAGATCCAAAGTGCCTTAGTAGCAAGAGTATGAAAATCTATTCTGTCATTTTTGGTTCAATCAAGCTTCAGGGAGGAAATGATGATATCCTTAAAAGGAAAAGTTAAGAAATTTTTTTGAAGGTGCCATTTACACAACGTTAAGAAAACTGGCATAGGATAGTGAACACATCCCAGGGTTAGAAGAGAGGAAGCCATGGCCAGGCTTAGGCCTAAAGGGGTAAGGGGAGGGTGTGACTGCTGAAGTCCTACAAGCTCTGGGGCTAGAGTAGTGTGCTACCCTTCTAGTGTTATGGCCCTTGCAGCAATTGCTGCAATATCTCTCCTCATTTCTTCTCATTTCCTACCAGCACCTGCCATCATAAACTCAATTAGTAGCCAAAAGTCAAGGCAGCCTGTATGATGCAAGCCATGGATGTTTACCTTGGGATAAAGCACACCAGCTAAGTTTGAAAAATGTATTTGAAAGGACAAATAGAAACTACCAGCACAATACCGTGAATTTAAATGAGCTACTGTCTTGGTCCATTTTTATTTGTCTTTTAAATGTTCTCAATTTTAATTGACTTTCTTACCATGTACTTCTTTATAATGTCTATGTATTCATACTTTTGGTTTACTAATTATTTGGCTCACTCATGATTCATGAGTTATGTTCACTTTGTGATTGATTATTTTGCTTCATTTCCTGTAAACAACTGCCTGATTTTTTACAATTTCCCAATTCTGCTTTCTAAGTTGAAGAATCTCTTTGAATCGGATCTTCATTGTTTTGATAGAGCTTTATTCTCCAGACCATCTCATAGGTCATTGGCCAAGCCCTAGATGTCCTATCTTCAGTCCACTTACCTCTGGCCAGAGAGGATGTGCCATTTATAAAAGTATGGCAGTTTACATCCATCCTGCAAAAAGGGCCAGAGGTTAGAAAGATTGCCTTAGAAAGAGAAGAGAAGAGTGTAAGAAGATTCAGAGTTAGCATTTATAAAGCTAAACTGATATGTATAAAGCACTGTTATATGCATTAACACCTGTATATGAAAGAAACAATATGAAAACATACATGTTAAATGACTTATCTAAAATTTCCTAGCAAAATTATAGCAGAACCAGACAACATAGAAAACCAAGTACTTATATTGATAGAGCCTAGAAGATTAAATTTGAAAAATATAATGTTATATTATTAGAAGACAGAGCAATACATAAAGAGATTATATAGAAATATGGACCCCACGAATTATAATCTGAGGTGAGAAGAAATGGAACCTACTACAAGTGCCCAGAAGAAGAGAGGAAGAAATGTGGTTAGAAACATAAAATATTAACAAATTGGGAAATTTAACATTTGCAATGGTATAAAGTGAAATTCTAAAAAACCATAAATCTTTCATCCTTCCTGTCTCTGCTGGGAGAAAATAGGCCAGGTGGAGACTTAAAGGATTGGAACTTGAGGCCCTATGTGGCTCCTGAAAAAGGCACCATGTGATGAGATTGAGAGCTTAAAAGGTGAGAAGAACCTACTGGGGTATGGAGGGTGGGCAGAGAAGACAGTGGGGGAGAAATAATGCTCAGGCATTGTAGATTTGAAAACTATGCAGATGACGTGTACTGTAAAGAATGTTTTTAGAAATTTCTATGTACATTCTGTACACAGATCTGGGTCCCCATCCTTGGATGTAAAAGACAAATAACTAATCACAGTCAGGTGAGATGTTTCAGTAGAACTTTTGACTAATCTGTTAATAGATCTTTTGACTAATCTACAACAATCTGTTGTAAGGTTGTAAGTAGCATATCTTGAAGGAATCCCTCATCTTGAGTCATTGCCTGACTCGAAAAAAATGCCCAGTTGTTCCTCTCCCTCTCATCCCATTCATTTAATATAATTAAGCCACTTACCATTTAAAATGGTAGACCGAAGGTTAATTATCTTGAAATATGTATCAAGAGAATGAACTTTAATATTTTTAGGCCAGTAGTTAGGCTCCAGGTGGGCTGGAAATAGAAAAGAATACCTGTCATCTGGGTTTAGAAAGTATTGTTACCAATGGGCATGTGTGACCTGATCATAAATATGTTTAGTCTAGAATCAAAAATGGTGGAAATGGAAAAGCAAAAACCTTCCAACAATCCATCTATAATTACATTTTGGAGTCCTTTATTTCCTTTATATCCCAGTTGTTCCCTTCCGTGCATTTTTAGAATCTGGATCTTAATTAAGAAATACTGAATTGTGTCAATAATGGGAACCATTTTCTTTTTCTTTTGTTCCAAACGATTTTTGCGGATCAGGTTTAAAGCATTAAAAAAAAAGTAGTGTAGCATCTTTTAGTTATTTGACATGCAAATGACGAAAAGTCAGAAGAAAGTCAATATAATACAAAATGAGTATCTCTAACTGGTCATTTAAGACAAGATAGATCACTTAATTTGAACTGAGGTTTCTCATCTATTAATAAAAAAGATATAACATCCTTTGCATTCTTAGGTTCTATTAGGCACAGGGAATTTCTGTTCAGCACAGGGAATTGGTTCCATTTAGGTGCAAGGAATTTCTGAGGTGTATTTCATTGATGAAGGCAAGGAAAATTATGACAATTTACACATTTAGATTCCTCAAAACACCCAGCTCCCTGGTGAGCCCTTAACATAAAAGGACTCAAGTGGTCCATATTTAGTTGCCTACTGGTATTTGGCCTAAGACCTGGATAGTAAGATAGAAAAAGCCTTTTTTTTTGTACAGTTTCACCAGCATCTCTTATTTTCTGACTTTTTAATAATAGCCATTCTGACTGGTGTTAGATGGTATCTCATTCTGGTTTTGATTTGAAATCCTCTATTGGTCATTGATGTTGGGCTTTTTTTTATACGATTGTTTGCCATATGTATGGCTTCTTTTGAAACGTGTCTATTCCTGTCCTTTTGCCACTTTTTTATGGAGCTGTTTGTTTTTATCTTGTAAATTTGTTTATGTTTCTTACAGATGCCGGATATTAGACCTTTGTTGGATGCATAGCTTGCAAATATTTTCTCCCATTCTGTAGGTTGTCTGTTTACTCTGTTAATAGTTACTTTTGCTGTGCAGAAGCTCCTTAGTTTAATTAGGTCCCATTTGTCAATTTTTGCTTTTGCTACAATTGCTTTTGGTGTCTTCTTTATGGAGGAGGGAGAGGATCGGGAAAAATAACTAATGGGTACTAGGCTTAATACCTGGGTGAGGAAATAATCTGTACCACAAACCCCCATAACACAAGTTTACCATGTAAAAAACCTGCATTTGTAACCCTGAACTAAAAATAAAAGCTTAAAAGAAAATCCTAAGGAAATTCAAATAAAGTATGGACTTTTTTAAAAAATAGATAGGTAAATAAACTAAGAAGTATTGACTTAAAAAAAAAAAAGACAGGAAAGGCCATTTCTCAAAAAAGCATTCCCTGGTGCTTTACTCTTATTTCACATGGAGTTACATATTTTGATTTCTTATTTGTAAACTTAACTGTTTCCAAAAATCAAAATAAGAATAGGAATCATGAGCTGTGTGGTGAGATGGACACTACCAAAAAGATGGCAACGAATGATGAAGATATTTGGCCTGCCATGAGGCCTTCGGCTGTCTTGTGATTTACAAGTTGTTCTCAACTTCCAAAGATGTAGGAAAAATCCTTTTTCCTCTCAAGAAAAGGAAGGTTTGCTGCCAGTAGTTTCTCTCACAGCACATCTATCCTACGATTCCGAGAAGTATTTTTTTTTCTTTGTTTTATTCTCCCCTCTGGGATCTTATATCATGAGAGGAAAAGCAGGCCTGATGGGAAACAAAAGCAGACATTTTATGGATTGTAATTGATGAAAGAATGAAATGCATTAACTAATTGAGAACAGAAAATTGGAGCTTGAGATCCCATTAGAAATCTCTTCTACTTCCTAGATCTTTTTAAAGATTTCCAAAATGCTTTTGGTTGGCCCCCTCACTGCTTTCCATCTGCTGTGTTTTTCTTTTTTTTTTTTTCTAGCTTCCCATTTAACCTGAAACAATTAATTTACTCATAAAACCAGGCAGATAATTTTTTTTCAGATAGCTTAGAAGAAAAAAAAGAGAATGAATTTCTAATTAGGTAATTATCCATCACCTCATGCAACTAAGGATTTATCATTACTTCCAATACCACAGTAGCGTGAAAAATGGAAAAGAATGCAACACCATTGGGTTTCACAGCAGCAGAAATGTTCACCCTGAAGAAACATTATGGCCCTTAGTCTTTCCTGGAACGATCAGTCATTGTGCTTTGGCTGAGATCAGGATTAAGGCTATTAACCCAGAACTATGTAGTTTGCAAAATACTTTTCCATGCTTTGTTGTATTCATTCCTCATGTAGGCCCTACAAAATTAATGATATTCATCCATTTTGCCAATTAAAAAAATGATCGCTGGAAGATTTATGAGAATTGTCCATGGTTATCTACTGGAGAGCACACATACCTAGCAACATTCCCTTTACCATGCAGACAGTGGACACTCTCTCTTAGACTTTGGAGAGGACAATGGTCGACTTCTTCTTAGAGTTTAAAAGCAAGTGCCTAGGGTAAACTGCACTTGGTTCCTTTCCTAGAAGGAATTATGAAGTGTATCTTTTATTAATTGGTATTGCAATCTTATCTCTGCTCTGTTTCCAGAAGATGATGCCAATTCCTAGGAGCCCCATTTCTGGGCTGGAAGTTTTGACCAGGAGACTTGACACCATTTGGAGGTAGAGGTGGTTGGTTTGGTTCATGAAAATTTTCCACCCAGATGCAAAAAGACTATTTTGTAGCTAATATATATATATGTACATATATATGTGTGTATATATATGTATGTATACATGTATATGCATGTATATATATGTATGTATACATGTATATGCATGTATATATACACATACATATGTGTGTGTATATATAATATATAATATATATATGTTATATATATTATATATTAGAGACAGGGTCTCACTCTGTCACCCAGGCTGGAGTGCAGCGTTGTGTCCTAGCTCACAGGACTCACAAGATTCTGGGCACAAGCAATCTTCTAACCTCAACCACCTGAGTAGCTGGGACTATGGGTATGCACCACTGTGCCCAGATAATTTTTTTTTTGTAGTGATGGGAGTCTACCTACAATGCTCAGGCTGGTCTTGAACTTCTGGTCATAAACAATCTTCTTGCCTCAGCCTCCCAAAGTGTTGAGATTTCAGGCATGAGGCATGGTGCCCAGCCTAGCTAATGATTTTAAAGTTAGTGGGAGATTGGATGTGAAATCTTCACCACATTCTGAGTGTTAAGTCTAAATAAGCAAGGGCATTGCAGACAGAAGACTAAGTCTAATTAGAGCTCTACTGTGAAACTGTGAATACGTTGATTTTATTCATAAGACTTAGTTTTTCTGTACCTCATCTTCACTTAGAAAGTGTGGAAATATAAACCCCATGCATATCAGTTCCTGTCTTAAAACTCAACCCACATTTTTTTCCTCCTCCAAAAAATATTTTCTAAGTACATAGTAATGGCCACTCCTACCTTTGTATCACCAGTATTTGCATATGGATCATACATTTGTAAGGGCTAATATTTATCAGGATAGATAGCATGACTATTATTCTCTCTATGGAAACCGACATTCAGAAAACTGAAGTGACACTCAATGTCACACAGCTCATGTTCGAATGGGTAAATACTTAAATTTAACATTGGCTGATTCAAAGCCCCTTCTCTCCTTTTTTTTTTTGGCTTTTGTTTTTGTTTGTTTTTTTGAGACAGAGTTTTGCTCTTGTTGCCCAGGCTGGAGTGCAATGGCACGACCTTGACTCACTGCAACCTCCGCCTCCCACGTTCAAGGGATTCTTCTGCCTCAGCCTCCAGAGTAGCTAGAATTACAGGCACCTGCCACCACACCTGGCTAATTTTTGTATTTTTGGTAGAGACGGGGTTTTACCATGTTGGCCAGGCTGGTCTCAAACTCCTCAGGTGATCCACCTGCCGCGGCCTCCCAAAATGCTGGGATTACAGGCGTGAGCCACCGCGCCCAGCCTAAAGCCCATTCTCTTAATAGCATGCACTATATACATGTTTACACTAAATTTTTCTATATATTTTTCTTAACAGCATTTATCAGCCTAAAATTCTAACTCGCTACTTGCTACAGGTTATACTTTTTAAAAAGTTACATTAATAAATATGCTATTTCAAAATTGTAGAAAAATTATACAATAGATCTGAAAGTATGTAACAAAAGCACTTAATAAACATACTTATTAAAGTAGATCTGAAAGTATTTACCATAAGCATGATATAAATGGAGAATATTGCTATTTTGTTGAGCAGCAGGAGAGAGCTGTAGTATCGAAGGAAATGAATGGGTTTTCTCTTTTATTTTGCTGTAGCAGCATTGCAGTGAGGATAGAATCCTGAAGCCCTACCTTTTTTCACCTCCACAGACAGCCAATCTTCAATTCAGGAATTAATTACATGTGACTAATTACTCACATGAACTGTATCATTTAACCTCAGGCAAATCACTTAATCTTTCTGCACTTCACTTGCCTCATCTTTGAAAAGAAACTGTGAGCTAGATCTTCTTTGATGTAGTGGTTCTCAAACATTGCTGCATGGTAGCATGATCTTACAGGTTTAAAAAAAAATTAAATTAAATTAAATTAAAAAAAAAAAAAACAAAAAAAACCTAGTGCTTAGGTAATGCCCTGTAACAAGTAAATCAGAATTTCTGGGGCGTGGAATCCAATCATCAATATTTCTTGAAACTCCCCAGGTAACTTCAGTGTGCAGTCAAGTTTGAAAACCAGTGTTCTAACATCCCTTTAAAATCTAAACATTTTAAGTATATATGTATTAGTTCAGATGGGGAGAAACCAACAGAATACCATGGAGTAACTACTGAACTCATTTTGGTAATCATGGTAATGAAAACATGTTTGATGTAAGTGGAAGGAACGCGCATGAAAATTTCTCCATTCTTATTTTGTAATAAAAGTAATGAGGAAGTAAGCATGTTGGATTGCTGAACACCATGAGATTAAATTCAGACAGTGTGGCCCAATGGAGAGAGGGCAGAAATAGATTTGAATTTTGATTTTGCTGCTTACTGACTTTGTTTTCTTAGGCAAGCCACCTAAATCAAAGGAGCTCAAAGAGAGAAAAATAAAAAGACAATTAGAGTGCTTCTAGGGTATAAGTGCTGCCTATGATAGACTTACATGCTATGGAAGACTTTCGTAGAGGAATCCTACTCGGGGAAGGGTTCAAGGTGGGGGAGAAATGGCATTTACCAAAGGGTAAATAGCATTTACTAACCCAGGACAAAAATGGTGAAACAGTGACCTTGACGGCTTAATGGATATCCCAACTTAGACGTGACCAAGTGCATAACATGTTTACAGAACTGCAAGTCCTTAGGTAGGAATGGAATTTAGAGTGTTTTCAAGTTGGGGACAGAGAGTAGTTTCAAGTAGAAAAAACTAAAGTTGGTGAGGTGAGCAAGAATTGCATCAGGCCAGGTATGGTGGCTCATGCCTGTAATCCCAGCACTTTGGGAGGCCAAGGCAGGCAGATCACGAGGTCAGGAGTTTGAGACCAGCCTGGCCAACATTGTGAAACCCTGTCTCTACTAAAAAAAAAAAAAAAAAAAAAAAAAAAATTAGCCTGGCTTGGTGGCGTGCGCTTGTAGTCCCAGTTACTCAGGAGGCTGTTGCAGGAGAATCACTTAAACCCAGGAGGGGAGATTGTGGTGACCCAAAGTTGTGCCACTGCACTACACCCTAGGCAACAGAGTGAGACTCCATCTCAAAAAAAAAAAGAAAGAAAGAAAAAAGAACTGGATCATGAAGAACATTGCATGCCACATTAACCAGCTTTGAATTGATGGGGAGTTTAATAAAGAAGCTCTGAAAATTTCCAAGTAAAAGAATGGCCTGATAAGGTGTATATTTTCCAGCTAATTTTTGTGATCTTAGTGTAGGAAATGGACCAAGGGTAAAGAAGAGTAAAAGAAGAGCAAGTTGTGCAGGCATCCAGGAAAGACGTGATGATGGTCTAGAGCAAGTCAGTGGAAATGGATTTCTGCAATATTTAGAATGGAATCAATAGGCTTTTATGATTCATTGGCAAAAGGGCCTGATGGAGAAAGAAGTCAAAATGGAGGAATTAAATTGATGACAGTAGTGGTAAGAGTACAGGAAGAGAAAATAGTATGAGGATAAATATGACCAGTTAAGCTTTGTAGATGTTAAATCTTTGAGCTACTCAACCAGAAACGTCTGAAGCTCAGCTGATACTTATTTGGGAGTCATTAGCATTTTTATGAAATTTGAATTTCCTTCTACTCCTTCATGCAACCCTGAGACTTGGATTTCTGGTACATTTCTATAGACTTCCTTTATCTTGCTCAGAGACACAAGGTCTGATAACTCTGAAAGGCATGCCAAATACTAGCAGGAAAATTTCACAGTTTGAATATCATGTGAGTTACCTTGAAAGGTAACAAGAAAAAGATCTACTAAGTTGAGAAGAATTCAGATTCTTGCTGACGTAACTGTCATTTCAGTTCCTCATATCAAGTGTTCAGATATGCTTTTATGATCCACAATTTAGCAGTGGAAACTTCCTCTATTAATTATTCTCCTTCTCTCTTCTTTCTCTTTCTTCTCTCTCTTTCTCTCTCTCTCTCTCTCTTTCTCTCTCTCTCTCCCTCCTTCCTCTCTCCAGATACCACATAATCTATAGCTACTGTCATGTATCTCATTCATTTTTATTGAACTTCTCTGAATAGTTGCCTGCACACAGAATTTCTCTTTCCTTACATTTCGACAGTCCATATGTTGCAAGCTGGCCCTTGTCTTTGCACTGAGACTCTTATTGAGATAAATCGGCACAACCTCTGAATTCTCAAGGCCCTTGGGCTCAAGGTATCATTTTTCCTAGGCCTTTATTCACCAGTGCTCACCATTACCCCTCTGCTATAACTCCTCTTAGATCTCACGATGCTTCTCTGACTCCTGCTTATTTCTGAGCATCTCTTCCTTTTCTTATTTAGACAGATATTGCACACTGTTCTGTTATCAGCCTGGTACTTTCCTTCTCCTCTGGAGTTCTAATCCTCTCACATTGTGTCAAATAGTAACGATAATGCAATCAAATCCCCAATCTATATGCCCCATTGAGACATCTATTCTGTGTTTTAGACCCCCATCATGCTATGTGTAAGACATGTGTTTGTGTAAGAAGACAGCCACACATCCTCACATCCTTTAACATTTTTTTTTTTCACTTAATGTGGTGAGTTTGTTGTTTCATTGAATGTTCTGCATTCCATCTCATTAACTGGGCTGTGTTATTCAACTCTTTTATTTTTTCAAATTTATTTTAGATTCAGGAGGTACATGTGCAAGCTTGTCACCTGAGTATACTGCATGGTGCTGAGGTTAGGGGTACTGATGATCCTGTCACCAAAGTACTGAGCACAGTACCCAACAGTAGTTTTTCAACCTTTGCCCTACTCTCACTCTTCCCTTTCTTAGTCCCCAGTTTCTATTTTTGCCATCTTTATGTCCATGAGTATCCATATTTAGCTCCCACTTGTAAGTGAGAACATGCAGTATTTGGTTTCCTGAGCCTACATTAATTAGTTTAGGATAATGTCCTCCAGCTATATCTATGTTGCTGCAAAGAATATTATTTTGTTCTTTTTTATGGCTGGTATAGTATTCCATGGTGTATCTGTACCACATTTTCTTTATCAATCCACCATTGATGGGCACATAGGTTGATTCCATGTATTTGCTATTGTCAGTAGTGCTGCTATAAACATGAGAATGCATGTGTCTTTTTGGTAACTCTTTTTTTGTTTTTGTTTTTGAGGTAGAGTCTTGCTCTGTTACCCAGGCTGGAGTGCAGTAGTGTGATCCCGGCTCACTTCAACCTCCACTTCCTGGGTTCCAGCAATTCTCCTGCCTTAGCCTCCTGAGTAGTTGGGACTACAGGTACACACCACGATGCCTGTCTATTTTTTTTTTTTTTTGGTATTTTTAGTACAGACAGGGTTTCACTATGTTGGCCAGGCTGGTCTTGAACTCCTGGTCTCATGATCCCCCCGCCTCGGCCACCCAAAGTGCTGGGATTACAGGCATGAGCCACCGTGCCCTGCTCTTGATGATCTATTTTAGCATTGTTCCTGATATCAAGAAATCTTTTCAAAGAAAATGAAAGAAACATTAAGGAGAACTTCTCCCCTTCCTCTTCTATGACCCACTAGCTTCTTTCATATATCAAAGTTGCTTGAAGCTGAGGTCTTTCTGCAAATCTTTAAAATCACCATCTCTTTAGTCTGTAATGAACCTGTGAGCTCCCTTTGTGACTATGACCCATTGATGACTTTCTTCATTTTTTAAGATGGTGACATTAGAACCCAAATTGGTAGACTCAGTCACATGGTGTGGGGTAAAAAAATTTGTGCATTGAAAATAATAGAATTTCAGGTTTTTTTTTTTTTTTTTTTTTTTTTTTGAGAGAGTCTTGCTCTGTCCCCCAGGCTGGAGTGCAGTGGCGTGATCTCAGCTCACTGCAAGCTCTGCCTCCCGGGTTCACGCCATTCTCCTGCCTCAGCCTCCCAGGTAGCTGGGACTATAGGCACCCGCCACCATGCCCAGCTAATTTTTTGTATTTTTAGTAGAGACGGCATTTCACCGTGTTAGCCAGGATGGTCTCGATCTCCTGACCTCATGATCCACCCACCTCGGCCCCCCAAAGTTCTGGGATTACAGGCATGAGCCACCGCGCCTGGCCTAATAATATTTAAGTTTTAATTTGGCTTTGCCACAAGCAGAAATTTGACATTGGAAAATTGCTTTTCTTCTCTAAGTCTCACTTTCCTCTTCTGTAAATTAAGGATATAAATATTGCCCTTGTGAGAATGTTGTAAAGAACATGTGAGATATGTTTGTAAAATGGTAAGCAGAGTGCTTGGGTCCATAAGTAATAATTGTTGAGGTTTACTTTTGTTTTTTGCTTTCTATTTCTGTTATTATTGTATTTTAGGTCCCTGTTCTACTTAGTAAAATTATATCTTTACTAATTGGTTATACTCTAAAATTGTCCTTGTTAACAATTGATGTGTGTGTGTGTGTGTGTGTGTGTGTGCGCGTGTGTGTGTATGTGTGTGTATGTATAGTGGTTGGGTTGGATTGGGGAATACAATGGTACAAAAGTGGCCTCTACCTGTGCAACATATAAAAGTTAATGCTGAGGCAGGGACTAAGCATGACCTTCTCCGTTGCTTATTCTCACAATGAGCAGATACCTGCATTGAAATAGCCTTGTCATCATGTTTCCACATTGCCAGATACCCTAGAAAATGAGATAAATTGAGGGGCATTAATGAGAAACATTAATACCTGTTGATATGTTGTAGACATTTAAACGTTGAGTCTAATGGCTTGCATCTTGCCTCTCTTTGGCTTTACGCAGGTGGTGAATGCTGTAAATACTTCCATTCTTTCTACACCAGGTCTTGTGCTATTGCACCATCAACTAATAAAGTGTAGATGGACCATTACTGGAAAAAAAGCAAGACTGCAAACAGAAAACTTACGTTTCTCCGAGACCTAGTATTACTTTTCAGATAGAATACAGAATATTTAAGTTACAAATTTCAACAATGGTAACTCAGAGGCTATGTTTTCTGAATGACACTAGACTAGAGACTTGAAGAAGTAAAATGATTTGGGAGATTTTCTGCTCTATAAGCTCTTTTCTCATGATAGCATATGACAATCAAAATAAACTTTTTTGTCAAACCCAACTAATCCCCAGAACATGTCAGCAAAACTGAACTTGAGTTACCCTGAATCACTGCATAGAAGAATGAAGCCCTCAAGACAATCTCATTATTCCATTGGATCACTCTTTGTTTTCAAGTTTTAGTGGAAATAATTTTTTATTATTGACTACTAAGATACTGAAATAAGTCAAATATGTGAAAATAAATTAAATGTCTCCCTAGACATATTAAACTCTGGAGTGAACACTGTTTGTAGTTAAACTCTCTCACCATGACATATGTAAAAGCATCCCCAGCCATCTGACATATCTTTCCTGTCTTCTCTGCCTGTTGTCTGTCTTCTTGGACACAGTTCTCTTGACTACTGAAGTTGTGACTTCATTTTTCATCTTCTATTCTGTTCTTTGTCTGCTTCATTTAATAACTTACTTGCTATACTTGGTTAGTCTTTTGTGTGGAAAATAATGTGGAGAGTAGTGTTTTGCAATGTTTTATACTGATATGACATTTATAGACAACACTAGTGGTTTATATGTGAAAGGACTGTAATAATTGCATAGTTGTTTTTGTTTTTGTTATTGTTTTGAGCATAAACTTTGATTTTGAACTAATCAAGTTTAAATCTCAACTCTACCACTTAATCAAACCAGCTGACTAGTAAGTTTCAGGAATAGCAGAGTCAGTAGACAGATTATCTGAGTTCCACTCAGAAATTTACCACTTATACATTTGTGGCCTTAGGCAAACTATTTATACTATTTATCTGTAAAATGGGAGTAAAAATATTCGATTTTTTGAGGAGTCTGAAAAATATAGAAAATAAGGTGCTTTCTTTTTGTCTTCTCCCCCAAAGTAAAGAGATTTATAAGTCCATATGTGGGTTGATGCTTTCCCCAACAGGTCCCATGTGGACAAGCCAGTAAGAGTTTTCAACTTGGGTGCCAGCAGTAACCGGTTATACAAAGGAAACTCAACATTCCTCTTCCCCAAAGTAAACCTATTGCAAAAACCCCTTCCATCTAATAATAGCAACTCAAGGTTAGTAAATGTGATTTATTTCTCTGTCTTCAACACCTATCATAGTGGTTAACCGGTTATAGGAGCTTCACAGACGTATCTCAAGGAATGAATAAATAAAACAACAGATAGTTATCATTATCCTGCTAACTTGGCAGGCACTCTTTCTGGATTTTTATATTAAGAAAGAATTGAAATGATCTCTCTCTCTTTTCCTCTCTCTCTCTCCCCCTTTCCTCCCACCCCTAAAGCACATATACTTAACCCTTCCTGGGTCTCTGGGCAAACAAGTGAGTTTCTATGGATTAATAACAGAAAATAATTCTAAACTTCATCCTGCCATGAATTAACTTCAGAAATGTGGCATGTAACTTAACCTGCCTGTACTTTATGCAAGTATAAAAAAGCTGAACTATATTTTCAAGGCTTTTTAAGCTCCCAAATGATGTCACTGTTAATATTTCTTGGCAAAAATTAGAAGTTTATTCTATAGTTCCAGAACAACAAAGAACAGCTGATCGACTAATCCAGAGGCCAAACTTCTAACCTCAAAATGGTAGGTCTTCAACTTCTGAGGTAATGCATCCTGCCCTAGCACTGACTTTTAACAATCAAGAAAAATCATCAGTTCTTCTCTCGGCAAGTTCTGTGTTCTATATACAAGTCTAAGCTCTTCTACAATGAATGGAACTGCTTTTCATGCTTTTCATTGCAATAAGTAGCAGGGGCAGAGGAAATAATGAGTACTTCCTCAAAAACTTGTCTCTGCTGTTTGTGTGGGGATTGTGGACATTTTTCGCTATCCACTATTCTGGAAGTTGAGTGTCAGACATGAAAAGTTCAAGCTTTTGTGAAAATAATCTGCCCTTCCCTGAGAAATCAATGCATCATAATGCTTTCAATCAGCAGTAATGAGCCAGTGTGTCTCTTTCTCCTTGGAGCCTTCCTTGTGTTATTAAAAAAGTAGTTTGATAAAAATAAAAATGAAGGCTTAACAATAGAACATGAAATTAAAATTAAATGGATTTTTAGAGTCCCCCAAAAAACACCAAAATAATAATAATAATAATAGGCCACAAGTAATGCCTTCATGGTTTAGAAGAAGGTCTCTCAAAGGGGAAAAAATATATATGTGCTGAAAACATACAGTGATTTATAAAAATTTGTTAATTGTCCAACTATTTCTGACTAAGAAAGGCCAAGAAATATCTCTCAATCACGTAATTATGTTAAATTTTAGCTCTAAGTTTTTATCCAAATTTCTAAGTTTGGAAGGAAGAATGAATTTTTAAAATCTGTTCATAGATTTATTCCTTTACGGTAGTATTAAGAATGAGAAAAGAAACTTCTTCCCTCATTTCTGGTCGTTTATCTTCATTGGCTTTGCAATCTATGCATGTCTATGTGGCACTTTGTATTCATAAGACACAGTGCCATTATCCCGTATGATAAACTCATGTTTCATAGAAATGTAATTACAATCACACAGACCTTAGAAATATAGACTTAAGAGAGTAAAATGCTATAATATTGTCAAATAACAGGAATTATTATGGCTGTTCCTAATAATAGCATTACTACAGCCCCATTGGAGATTGCACAGAATTTCCTTTAAATAGAGATTATCCTAAAATACTTAATTTTTAAAAGGAATTGTTGAAAATAGATGATAATGATCTATTTTTTTCTGAGAAAGGGGATAACAACTATCACCTAAATTTTATTTTGTTGTATTTTAAATTAGGTTCAATACTTACATTACATTATAGAATTAACAGATTTAAACCAGAAACATCATTTTAAGAATAGAGTTGTAGATTTTTTTTTTTTTTTTTTTGAGATGGAGTTTCACTCTTGTTGCCCAGGCTGGAGTGCAGTCTTGGCTCACCACAATCTCTGCCTCCCGGGTTCAAGCGATTCTCCTGCCTCAGCCTCCTGAGTAGCTGGGATTAAAGGCATGTGCTACCATGCCCAGCTAATTTTTGTATTATTCTTGTTGTTGTTATTATTATTATTATTAGTAGTAGTAGTAGTAGTAGTAGTAGTAGTAGTAGTAGTAGTAGTAGAGACGGAGTTTCTCCATGTTGGTCAAGCTGGTCTCAAACTCCTGACCTCAGGTGATCCACCTGCCTCAGCCTCCCTAACTGCTGGGATTACAGGTTTGAGCCATCATGCCCGGCCGAGTTGGAGATATGTTTTAAGTAAATAGAGATATATATGTAATTAGAAGTCTAACTTTCCTTTTAAATAAGATATTTTCCAATGAAAATATTTCCCCACTTTTTCCAAAAGTGAATCATGAATTCCCAGCAATCCCTCTTTCAGTTGTCTGCATCATGGCTATGCTTTCTTCTAGATGTAAGGGTTTGCATACAATTTATTATATTAGAAACACATGACCTTTTAATTCAATCATTAGGCAAGGTTGTTTCTTTTTCAATCAGTAAATATCTACTAATTTGCAGAAGAAGAAATATGAGTTAAATGGTTATAAAGAGATTTTGAAAAGATAAGAATAACCATTTTATAGTCATCTGGGACTGTGACCAGCAGAACAAAGCCAATAGGAAGAAATGATCTGTGTGTTCTGGAGTGAAGAAAGATTTTTCTTGCTGTTTATTTGTTTTGATTCAATATCGTTTAAGCATTTTTGCAAGTTATAGAGTACCACCTTGATACTCATTTTAGACTTTAGGAATACCAAATCACACAATAAAATAACACACAAACACACAAATAAAATAAAAATAATGTTTTTATTTTAAATTTTAAAATATCGGTATTTATCCCTAGAGCCAAACTTATGTATCTCTATTGAAAATATTTTAAAATATAAACAGCATTTTCTCAATAGTGGTAATTTACATAAAAAGGTACTTAAAGGGCAGGTGCCAAGTGGGAAATATAGTCTGAGGCCTTAGATAATCATTAACTGAATGTACATGAACATGAAAAACTTATATGCCCCAGAAGAGCTTCAAAATACTAAGTTAAACATTCTAGCTTGGTTGTATTTTATAACTCTAATATTCAAGTCAATTGCATCTGTATAAAATTAACCTGCACAATATTTTCATGTTCTCTCTGCAATTAAAATGATATAATCAAATCTCACCTTCAGCTGCAGTCTCAAGAATTGTTCTTAAGTCACATAAAACCTTTCATGCAGCTGATATTTTGTTTACATTATATGAATTTGAAAGCAGAAATAATTAAAAGATTTAGTTGGATAGCTATATGTTTCCCAATTGGGTGTTTGATGTTTTCAGCACAGTATCAATATGTTTTGACCAACTTATATAATTTTATCAGGACTTGCCTGATTCTTGCAATAAGGAGGTTAGAATAAGGCATACACAACTGCTCTTAATCTTTTGAAATGATTTGAAATCCACATTTAGAAATATAATGAATAAATAGCTCTCTTTTACATCATTATTTTTCATGAAATCAGAACCTTTTGTATTTGTAGTATAATAAACAAATTAGTTTCAACCAATAATAGTGATGAAAATGATGATGATTGTGGTGAGGCTAACATTGTTGGTGATAGTATCTGCTAGTTGATTCCTAAACACTAAAACCATCTTGCAAGGTAGTTATGAATAAGGAAAGTTATGAATGAGGAAACTAGCACTGACAGTAAATGAATTCCCCATGACAGGTGACAGGAGAAAAACAGCTGGCTTCAAAACCAGACTTTAACTATCCCACAGATCAGTCAGATAGAACAACATAGGACAGATAGGTAAAACAGTCAAGAGGACTAAAAGTGGATTAAGATGAAATAATTGATTTGATCAATGACATTGTTTGAAAAGGGTTGATCTCAGTAATGAAGTAAAGAATAAATCAGTAACATATAAATGCAAAAATCATCACAGTAATTTTGCTTATTTATGAAAAATTGAAACAACTAGGAAAACAAAGTTCATAAAAATAGTTTTAATATCAATGATTTAAAGGATACCTTATTTGTAATTATGTCAAACTTTTGGGAACATTTTTCATGTCAGATTATCACTGAAACTATAGGTCTCCATGATTTAAATCTACACATGCTATTCATAAGCTTTGCAATTAGTCATTCTATACAATAAGAGATATAAACTTAGAGTCAGGAAACTGCTACTTATTATTGTTGCATTGGCTTTTTAAAGACTTGATATATTTACATATATAATTTAAGGAAAAACATTAAGCACAAAGGTATGTCATTCGATGGTGGCATTGAATTAAATACTCATTACATGTCTTCTTATTGTTAGGGAAAGTACATTCACAGTGTCCCTATGTTGAGTGACAGTATGACGTCAATGTGGAAAGAAAGCGTTCTGTAGCAGAACTGCCTGTATCTGCTGGGAATCTCTTCTGTCTACAACCTCTATGATCTTGGGGAAGGTGCATCATCACTCTATTCCTTGGTCTCTCCTATGAAATGAAAATAATTTATTTCCTCATAGGTTTGACATGAGGATTAAATGAGCAGTATAAGAAAAGTGCTTAGAACAGTGCTTGCCACATATAACTATGTTATTGATATTATTTCTATTATCATTTCACCAGGTCCCATGGAGTTTCATACATTTTCCAGAGTTACAAAACCTGGCTAACACTGAGTCAAGTTAGGAATCTCAATCAATGTCTTTGACCAACTTAAAGTGTTTGTAGAATGTTTGATGTACCTAAGAGTGAGTAAAATGTGAAAGTCAGTTGCTGGAATTGGTTGAATGAGAGTGTCGGGTGAAGAAGGCAAGACATGCAACAGAGGAAGAGGAATGTGTCATCCAAGAGGGGAAAAGAGAAATACTATTACTATCTGTTGTCTTGGTGGTTCTCATGAGGAGTGAAAGGAGAATTGCTAACCTGGAAGAAGATCAGAGAAACACACTATACAGTCCTGCAGTCCTTCACCAAGTAGCATGGGATAGAAGCTCTGAACATCAGCATAATTTTGAGGCCTAAAGTGTAAGAATTGCTAGAAATGCTGTGGTATTATTAATTAATTAATTAATTAATAATTAATTTATTTTTGTATTAACTTATTTTTATTTAGAAATGATGGTAAAGATGATGATGATGATGATGATGATGCTTACAATAACAGATACTCAAGGTTAAAAAATAATTGTAAAAGTTCAAACTTACATTAGAGTAAAAGTTATCCTGGGTGCTGCAACCTTTGTCCAACATGACTCATGTAACCAATATTAACAGTGTAACCACAAAGCTTTGTAGTGGAATACATGTAGGCAATTATTTTTACCCAACAAGATATACTAGCATTGGTTTTTCTCTGCCTCTGTTTCTGATGAGTTGTTCATACAATAGAGGCTAGATAGAATATTCAAGTCAATATAATACAAACACAACTACCACTACATATGGGCTAGAAGCAGGAACCCCATCACCCACCTAGAGAATACAGAAGAATTGAGAAAGTGAAGAGAATATTGTCAGGATATTGGAGAAGAGATTTCTTTGGCGATGATGGGCACTCAAGTGAGATAATTAGCTTAGGGTCACCTAGGGTCCTATAAAAAGGTAACCCAGCAGATAAACACTGCAGGAGTATTTAACGATGCTCAGGGGCCTGAGAAATGGTAAAATTACACCATCACCCAGGCCCACGGTGCTGCATATATCACTACATCTCATCCCCTGCTGCCCCCCACACTGCAGCCAGAAGTTGTGAAAGGCGCGCAGGAGAGAGCAGAGAAGCAGCAGGACCTCCCCTCTATCTCCACTGTCGGTGTCCCTACCGAACAGGGTCCTAGATGGGTAGGAAGGAAGAATTTAACACTGAGTCAAGTTGGGAATTTCAATTGATAGTTTGACTGATTAAAAGTGATTGTAGAAATGCCTGCATTATCGGGCGGGTGCGGTGGCTCACGCCTGTAATCCCAGCACTTTGGGAGGCCGAGGCAGGAGATCACGAGGTCAGGAGATCGAGACCATCCTGGCTAACATGGTGAAACCCCTTCTCTACTAAAAATACAAAAAATTAGCTGGGCGTGGTAGCCGGCGCCTGTAGTCCCAGCTGCTTGGGAGGCTGTGGCAGGAGAAAGGCGTGAATCCAGGAGGCGGAGCTTGCAGTGAGATCGTGCCACTGTACTCCAGCCTGGGCAACAGAGCGAGACTCTGTCTCAATAAATAAATAAATAAATAAATAAATAAAAAGAAATGCCTGCATTATCTACAAGTGAGCAGAGAAGTACAAGTTTGTAGACTAGTTTTTAAATTAGCTGGGAAAGATAACTCCCTCAGAACAAATCTTAAAGGGAGAGTAGGAAATATATATAATAAATCTAGTTTTTTGTTTGTTTGTTTTTTGAGACAGAGTCTCACTCTGTCGCCCAGGCTGGAGTGCAGTGGTGTGATCTCTGTTCACTGCAACCTCCACCTCCCGGGTTCGAGCGATTCTCCTGTCTCAGCCTCCTGAGTAAATGGGATTATAGGCAGCCACCACCATGCCCAGCTAATTCTTGTATTTTTAGTAGAGGAGATGGGGTTTCACCATGTTGGCCAGGATGGTCTCGATCTCTTGACCTCGTGATCTGCCTGCCTTGGCCTCCCAAAGTGGTGGGATTACAGGATCAATCTAGTTTTTTAATACAATGCCTTCACTTCCCCGTGCCCCTCTTTTTTTCTTTTTTTTTTAACTTAATTGCTTACAAGACGTATCTTTTCTGTATCAGCACATGTTCATAACTCTCCTTTTTTTTTTTTTTACCAAATGTATAAAATGGACCAATCTTTAGATATATTATTGTTTCTTTTGTTCAAATTTCTTTGAATATTGTATAATCAGTGATTATTTAAACATTTTGTGGTCGTCTTCTTGGTCCATTATTTCTTGGGCTGCTGGTCCTTTCTTTATAATATTTAAGATCTTTTTTATTAAGAAAATGTTACTTTGTTTTTAGTAATCTTAAAGTCATTCTCAAAGATCTGGCAGCTAGTCAGTGTTCCTCTGTTGTTTGTTGCCTTGGAACTCAAACAAAGGGCCTGATACATGCTGTTGATCACAATAAGCTGATCCTTTACACCCCACTATTCCACCAGAAGTCAACACGCAATGAAATGGTTTAAATTCTCGCTTGTGCAATGGCTGAACTAGCTGTATTTGGCCTTGTTGAAAGCAATGGCAGGTACCACACTAAATCATTTTGAGGACTTTTCTCTATGAATGAAAGAGGAAAAGGAGGATGTGTAACCATCGGAGCCTCACTTAATGTCAGGGAGTCAATGCAACTTCCTCTCCTTCAGGCTGGAGGGGCAATTTGAGTGTGTCATGTAGATGCACAGGTCTCTTGTATTTAATCTTTTCCTTTGAAGGGCAAAAAGCAGAAGAGCATGTTTGCTCAGCCCCTGATTTCAGCACCTCCATCACATAAGTCATTGGAGGCCAACAGTAATCACTCCTCGTCTCTCTTCTCTCACCAGATACTACTGTTAGCTCTGGCTTTAGAACCGAGCCGCATTCATGACTGTTAACTAGAGAAGTGGCTTACCAAGTCTTCACCTTCTCAGAAGTCTCTCACAATCAGCATACTCATTAAAGCTTTTACTTCCCAACACAACAAATTTGCATGCCTATTTAAGTTAGTTAGTTCCAAATAGGAGAAAATGCCTGAATAAAATGGAGTTTAAGAAAATGTCACTTTGTTTCTTTAATTTTTTTATTGAACTAAAATATGCACTAATAAAAGTATACATTCCATAAGGTAAAGCCTGAAGAACCTTTGCAAAATGAAGACCCCTTTTAACTAGTAATGTGACTAAGAAACAGAATGCTACCAGCACCCGCAGATGCCTCCTTCTTGACACTTTATAGTAAATAACTCAAAGGTATCCATTATTTTGACCTTTAATGGCATTACTTTATTTCATCCTTCAAAAAAATAGAATTAAACTGTGCATACTCTTTGATATGGCTTCTTTCTCAAGTTAGATGCATTCGTATTTTTGGGTGTAGTTGTAGGTCATGGATTTTACTGAATTCTAATGTATGAATATATCATATTTTAGTTCTTTAATTACATGACTTATGGGCATTTGAATTGTTTCTAGTTTGAGCTCTTAAAAATAGTACTACTACATTCTATACATGCCATTTGGAGTCTATTTTATTTCAGCCTCTAAAATTAAGTAAAGTGTCTTTAGTGAAAGGGGAAAAATATTCTGCTTGAATCTAATTGATGGACACTTAAAATATAAGCCTTAGGATGACAGATTTGAATATCATGATTAAAATATACACTTGAAATTAAACTCAAAAAACTGTAATCCTGTAACGATAAAATAAAAATTATAGTAAAAAGGGAAAGTTAATCTTTGTTTTAAAAATAACAAGTACCAAAGTCATGTAAAGAAGCTAAAAGTACTGGTCTTGAATTATGGCTTCATCAAGTGTTGGCTTTTTGAAATTAGAGAAGTTATTGGAATGTCTTTGTGCCTCAGTTTCTTTATCTTTAAAATGGGGATAATTGCAATATCTACCTTGTAGGATTGTTAATTCATATAGGACACTTGGAACAGTACCTGAGGTGTGGTAAACACTAGTAAGTGTTTATTTTTATTATGCTGAATAAAGGCTGTAGATCAAGAATGTGTCCCAAAGTTGTGAATAGAGTGTCACAATGTATCCAAGAATTGTGAAGCAATGATTCTGTACAATACAATAAAGTTTAATTATTTACAAAAATTTTTCAGCTGTTTCAGTTGCCTTCCCAGCATATTTTATTATTTTAATTTTAAAGAGAATGCTGCATCTCAAATTATTTATTCAGTTAGAAGTTGACTTTTTCACCCAGAGATTAAAAAAAGTAAGATTCATTGCAGCAATCGAGACAACACATTAAATTAAAAATATATAAGAAAATCAGGATAAATTAGGCAAATAACTTTAGTACTGTGAGAAAAAGTAAAGGTAAAACCAGTTCATGAAATTTATATCATGTGTTAGTGTACAGTTACTGCACATTAAACAAAAATCTACTTCTGAGTATCTTAGTAGCCAAATCCAAGTAAAAGGCATAATTAGTTTTGAGATTCACCAGGCTGTTAATAACACATCCATTAATATTTAGACACACATCGTTTCACACACACGTATATTCTCTCTGACTTTCACGTATTCACTTATATTCTCATGCACACATATATTCACAGGTACACACAAAAACATACCCACCCACAGTTGCTACTCAGTATATGCAGATTTTCTTGATATTGAGGTCTCAAAAACATTTTTCCCCTTTATAGGAAAGATACAGTGAGATAAAGTATCCTCCATCCCTATGTTCATCTATACAATACATGAAATAACTATAAGCTATAGACACAACATAACACCCCATTTCAGGGAAATCAGCTCTCTGAGAGGACAATATAGTCACATCAAAGACATATATTTCAGTTCTCTGATGCTCTGGCTGGATGTAGGAGGAATTTTTGCCAGCAAACCTTCAGTCGTTACCAGTGTTCACAACGGCAATAGAGAAATTGCAGTCTTTTAGCCATGAGACACCTAATTTTGAGAAGTGTAACTCCCTGATGTTGGATAAAATGAACTTCCTATGTGACATATCCCACTGTGTCAAGCTACTGGGTATAAAAACAATTAAATGTCAGAGGAGTCCTTGTACAAGCTCTGAAAGCACAGTGATTGAGCTTTCCCACTCCCACCTCCTTCAAGATGGGAGATGTTGGTTAACTTTTTAACGGCTTCCAACCTGTTTCCTTTCTGTAAAATTATAGTAATAATATCCATCTGAAAGAGCTTCTGCAAGGATTAAATGAGATACTCCATGTAAGTTGCTGGACATAGTAACCAATCTATAATAAGCATTCAATGTTAGCAATTCTTTCTGGTAATTAGCCTCACTATTTGTAGCATTTGTTTCAAATTCATGACAAAATTAAATACCATCTGCCTAGAAGGAAATAATATGATCTTTATAGATAAAAGCCATGCATTTTGCTTAGAAACAATGCATATTTTTTAAGAAATGATGGTCTAATCACTTTTGTGTTTTATAGAGCTCAAAATGATTAGATAACTTGTTATGATAAAAATGCTTGCTGACCCTGCCTCTCAAGATTAAGGTGTAAAGTCTATATCAGCAGCTACATAACCCATATTGAAGTAAAACTACTTTCGACATGAATTAATTGACTTCATATTTATTTCCTTACAACAATTTTTTTTGTATTTAATCAATATGATTAATCCATATGATTGATACAAAGAGAGATCAAAATGGAGTTTCTTATGTCTTCCTTTTCTGCATAGACACAGTAACAGTCTGATCTCTCTTTCTTCTCCCTACACTCTACACATAATCTAACAGTATTTCTGAAAAACTTTCTCTAGAAGGTGGTAAAGTTCATTACAAATATCACTAGTTCACAAATAAGATTAAAGCTGTCTCTTCCATGAGTGTATGTATGTGTGTGTTCATAGGTAAGAGTGCATGGAGCTTCAGAAATGCAGACTTACCTTAGACAAAGAAGAAACTGGGAAAAAAAATTAGACAGAATGGCCAGTAAAAATTTGAACCTAAAACTATAGGGGAAAACACTTTACAGTTGGGAAAAATGCATTCTGAGCTAAACTATCAGAGATTACAGAGTTAGCATGGAAAAGAGCCATTTTTAGATAGATTTGAGGTGATATAACTAGTAAGTTCTGAACCATTTACTCAACTATAGATTTGCTGACCCATAATTAATTTTTGATTCTTAAATGATTTTTAACTTTTTAATGTAATAGATGCCCATTTGGGAAGCAAACTCTTAATAAGTACCCCCAAATATGAGACTGATACTGAGATACTTTGTTTGAGTGGTGGCTAGGGATCCTGATGCCTGACCTTAACTCTCCCATACCACCTACAAGCATTGATGAACCTCAAAGAAGCCCTAGATTTTTAGAATAGCATAAACTGAAAACTCTGTTGTATGCTATAAATTTTTATAGTCATTTAACTTTTTATCCTTGACTCTATCCTTTAAATTGAAGTATCATATTTTTGCCCATAAAACACCACATAAAAGTACAGTAGATATTGTTATATTTCTTTCTAGAAATTGCAACCTATAATGTAACAAATTATGTTTTCCTTATAGCCACACAACTGACTGATAGATGACAAATTGAGAATTAAGGCCCAGGTCAGCCACACCATGACGCCATGTTTATAGATCTATTTTTGTTGTCCAGGGATTAGCTCTAGTGTATTATAACCATCAGGGCAAAAACTGTTTCTTGAACCAACAATTAAGTAAAAGAAAGACCATATAGGCACCACTAATTCCATTCCTCATTCTTTAACTGTGAATTCTAAAGACTTTCCTTTAGGTTGCAAATATTCTCCTTTCTTTGTTAAAAAAACAAACAAACAGAAAGGTCAGGCATAGTGGCTCACACCTGTAATTCCAGCACTTTGGGAAGCTGAGGCAGGCAGATTGCTTGAGTTGAGGAGTTCAAGACCAGACTGGGCAACATGATGAAACCCTGTCTGTACAAAAACCACAAAAATTAGCTGGGTATGGTGGCATATACCTGTGGTCCCAGATAGGAGGCTGAGGTGGGAGGATCACCTGAGGCCAGGAGGTTGAGGCTGCCGTGATTGCACCATTGCACTCCAGCGTGGGCAACAGAGTGAGACCTTGTTTCAAAAAATACAAAACAAAATGAAACATACTGTTATAATTCCTGTCATGGAAAATCCTCAACCGTGCCTCCTCTTTTCTAGCTCCTTTGCAATAAGAGGAGCCTGTAAAGCATCCATGTGTGGTCTTCATACTTAAGGGTGGAGTTATCAGTGAGAGAAGCAAAAAAGTCAATTTTCAGCTTAATGTTAGTTCTGCTTTCTATGCTATTACCTGATTGAAATTAGAGATGCTGAAGCATTATTTACTCTTATGGAGGACCAAGGTTGAGGGGAGGCAATTGGACCCCAAAATAAAGAAAACATAAGGGAAGAGGATTTGTGTTATACTGTAAAAAGGAACAAAAACTTGGTATCTATAGGCATTCTTTTTATTTTTTAGCTGTACATTGATAAGGTCGAGGTAGAATATATCTTCTGCTTGAGAAAGTTCTTAAGGCTTGGACATGGGCCAGGGCTTCTGTGTAATTACTTTCATTTACACACTTAGATGCATTTTAGTAAGAGAGTATAAGTAAAAATAGATGTGAAAAATAATGGAGATCCAGCACTAGATAAAGCAGAGGATAAAACTACTGGAAAGCTTTGAACTAACAGGGTGAGTGGCCATGGCAAGGCATCCTAAACTTTTTAGATTCCAGTTTCATCTCTAGAAAAACAACTTGCTAATTGTCCTGGCTCATAACCAAAGGACAAAGAGAATGCAAAGCAGCAGTCATTGAATGCTGTAATTGTAGTGAAAACCTTGATTATATTTGGTTCTCATTTCAAAAATGGTAAAAACATTTAAGATATATAGTACGGAATTGAAATTGTGTCTCCACAACAATGCTGAAGCAATAAAGATACCTGCATTTTACCTAAAATGCTATAGAGATGATAGAAATCCAATAATAAAAGTAAGATAATTGTACACAGATTTAAGAACAAAAGACATATGATCATTTCAATAGATGCTGAAAAAGCATTCAATACAATTCAACATCCTTTCACGATAAAAACTTTCAACAAACTGAGTATAGAAGAAACATATTTCAGAATAATAAAGGTCATTTATGTAGAACAAACCCACAACTAACATGATACTGAACAATAAAAAAAATGAGAGCTTTTTTTCTAAGATCTGGAACAAGACAAGGATACCTATTCTCACTGCTTTTATTCAAAACAGTACTGGAAGTTCCAGCCAGAGCAATTAGGCAAAAGAGAGAATAAAGGACAGCCAAACTGGAAAGGAAGAAGGATACTTACCCTTTTTTACAGATGACATGATCCTATCTTAAGAAAAACTTAAAGACTCCACCAAAAAAAAAAAAAGGGGTTACAACCAAAGAATGAGTTCAATAAAATTTCAGGACACAAAATCAACATACAAAAATCAGCAACATTTCTATACACCAACAAAAAACAATATCAAAAAGAAATCAGAAAAGTAATTTTATTTGCAATAATGACAAAAATATAAAATACCTAGGAATAAACTTAATCAAAGAAGTGAAGAAGCTCTACAATGAAAACTGTAAAACACTGATGAAAGAAATTTAAGAGGACACACAAAAAAGGAACGATATCTTGTGCTCGTGCTCATGGACTGGAAGAATTAATAACATTAAAATGTCCATACTATTCAAAGCAATCTACAGACTCAATACCAAAATACCAATGATGTTCTTCACAGAAATAGAACATAATTATAAAATTTGTATGGAATTACGAAAGACCTTAAATAGCCAACATAATCCTGAGCATAAGGAACAAAGTTGGAAGCATCACACTACTTGACTTCAAAATATATGGCAAAGCTGTAGTAACCAAAACAGTATGGTACTAGGATAAAAACAGACACATAGAGCAAGGGAACAGATTAGAGAACCCACAAATAAATCCACACACTCACAACCAACTCATTTTTGTCAATGGAGCCAAGAACATCTTTTGGGAAAAAGACAATCACTTCAATAAATAGTGTTGGGAAAACTGGATATTCATGGGCAGAAGAATGAAACTAGACCCCTGCTCTCAGCATTCCCAAAAATCAAGTCAATATGGACTGAAATATTAAATGTAAAACCTGACACTATGAAACTACTACAAGAAAACATTAGGGAAACACATCAGGACATTAGTCTAGGCAAAGACCTTTTGGTTAAGACCTCAAAAGCACAGGCAACAAAAGCAAAAATGGAATTACATCAAGTTAAAAAGCTTCTGTACAGTAAAGGAAACAATCAACAGAATAAAGAGATGACCCATAGGATGGAAGAAAATATTTGCAAACTACTTAGCTGATGGGGGATTTATAAGCAAAATATATCAGGAACTTGATAGCAAAAAAGCAATTAATAATAATAATCAGATTAAAAAATAGGCAAATGATCTGACTAGACATTGCTCAAAGGAAGACATACAATGGGCAACAGATATATGAAAAAATGTTAATCATCACTAATCATCGGGGAAATGCAAATTAGAACAACTATGAGATGTCATGTCATCCCACTTAGAATGGCTATTACTAAACTGACAAAGCATAACAAATGCTGATGAAGATGCAGAGGAAAGGGAACATTGGTATACTGTTGATGGGAATGTAAATTAGTATAAATTAGTTTAGCCACTATGGAAAACAGTATGAAGGTTATTCAAAACACTAAAAATAAAACTAACATATGACTCAGCAATCCTACTACCAGGTATATATCTAAAAGACAAGAAATCTTTATATCAAAGAGATATCTGCACTCCCATATTTATTGCAACATTATTCACAATAGCCAAGATATGAAGTCAAGGTAAGTGTCTATCAATGGATAAGTGGATTTTTAAAATGTGGTATATATGCAAAATAGGACACTTCAGCTATAAAAAAGAAGAAATCTTGTCATTCGCTGCAACATGGATGGAAGACATTATGTTAAGTGAAATAAGCCAAGCACAGACAAACAAATATTGCATGTTCTTAACTCATACGTGGGAGGTAAAAACGTTGCGAGTAGAATGCTGGTTACCAGAAGCTGGAAAGAAAAGGAAGGAAGGGTTTGGAAGAGAGGTTATTTAATGAGTACAAACACAGCTAGAAAGACTGAATAAATTCTAGTGTTCAATAACACAGTAGAGTGACTACAGTTAACAATGATGCATTGTATGTTTCAAAATAGCTAGAATAGAAGATTTGGACTGTTTTCAACACAAAGAAATGATAAATGTTTGAAGTGATGGATGTCTTAATTACCTTAACCTGATCATTACTTACTGTACACATATCTCAAAACATCACTGGTACTCCATAAATATGTACAATTATTATGTATCAATAAAAAAGAGCAAAATTGTAACATAAAACAAAATAAGGATACATCGAAGATACTCCTGGGGAATAATTGTGGGAAATGATGTCATAATATAATCTATCTTCAGCATGACCAGAGCAGATACAAAAAATCTATAGAGAAAATCTTAATTCACCAAATCTAAAAAGAAGTACTGTATATTTGCAAGTTTTTCACAGCAGAAGTTATTTGCAAACTGCTCTTTTCACTTCCTAAATAATGGGTCATCAAACTACACTCCTCAGACCAAATCTGGCCTCTCAGCAATTTTTGTAAATAAAGTTCTGTTCCAGCAGAGCCACATTCATTCATTATATGTTGCCTTTGACTGTTTGCAAAGTATGACGGGAGAGTTGAGCAGCTGCCACAAAGATCCTGTGGCCTGAAAAGCCTAAAATATTTACTATTTGCTGGGTTAAAATAATTTTTCCAACCCCTGTTCTAAAACATATTTTATGCTTCAATCCAAACACATGCAATAGTTTTTTTTTCATTTGTTTGTTAGTTTGTTTTTGAGACGGAGTCTGGCTCTGTCGCCCAGGCTGGAGTGCAACGGCGTGATCTCGGCTCACTGCAACCTCCACCTCCTGGTTCAAGCGATTCTCCTACCTCAGCCTCTCGAGTAGTTGAGATTACAGGCATCTGCCACTAGCCCAGCTAACTTTTTGTATTTTTAGTGGAGATGGGGTTTCATCATGTTTGCCAGGCTGATCTCAAACTCCTGGCCTAGTGATTCGCCCGCCTCGGCCTCCCAAAGTGCTGAGATTACAGGTGTGAGCCACTGCGCCCAGTCATAATAGTTAATTAATAGTATAGTTAACGTTTTTATACATCAGAATAGGAATTGGCAAGGTATGTGATGAAAGTATAAGACTATATCCAGTATTATATCATTAAGGACTAATTATTAAAAGGCCTTCAACTTTTACCTTTCAACTAGTTGGGAGTATAAATTCCTTTATAGCTTTTTTATTTATGTAAACAGAATCTGTTTAAATATCTAATTATTCCTTTTATATAAGGACCATATAAAGAACTCAAAATGGACAACATGCTTGTCAGTAGCAAATGAAGAAAACTATTAAAGAATCACCAGAATTACGGTCTTTAGACAATGTTTACACTTGCAATATTAAGCGAAGCTTAACATTTTGAATTGCTTTTCCATGGGAAAATATACATGCTTATGTATATATCTGTTGATTTATAGAGAAGTTCTATAAATTAAGTCTCCGTAACACATTACATTCCCCTTTAACATGTAATAGAATTCTCTGAAATACACACCTATACAGGCAACTTTAAAAATTAAAGCTACTCTTAAAAACCTAACCTACAAAAAATTGTTATATTAGATCAAAAGCAAGACATGAATCTAAATTAGAGGGAAAAATTTGTTCATTTACCTCAACAAACTGTCCCCAAGGTATTTCTACAAGTGATGTTGCTGGAATTCTCAAATAGATCTTTCCAATGTAACTGCTTTTACTTATTTTGGTGCATTATTTTTTATATGTTTATATGTATGTAAAACAAATTAGGTGCAGTTAAGTAACAAACTAAAGATACTTTGAGTTTTCAATCTGCCACACCTCTACTTTCCACTAACCTAATATTCATTCTCACTATTATTTCACACCTCTTCCATTCTTTTGTCTGAATGCTTTTAATGTTAATTTACCTTATGTCAAAGTGGTTATTTGCCTTTCAGAACCTTGTAAGATGATCTCCAAATAAAAAGCTCCTTCAAACACCAGCTTTGGTCATGAGGCTACCAGTGTGGACATTGTATTTAAAAAGCCACATTTCTCAGGGTCAGGAATAATTTTGGTGGGGTTTATGGGGAAGCAAGACTACGTATATACTAACCTCTGACTTTGAAGGAAGTGGATTGAGTTTCCGAAAAATTATGCATTACTAAAACTTTGGCGTGTGCCCTATTTTCCAAATGATGTTTATCCCTGTGGTCATCATAAAGGATTGCTTTGCCATTTTAATAATCAGATCTGCAAATTTCCACTTGGCATCAAATCCAAACAATCCAATCTGAAGGTGATTGACTTCCCTGTTTGTGCATCAAAATCTATTCAGCCATATGTTTTACCTCTCCCCCTGCCAAGAGTGAGCATCTTTTTATGATCAATTGTCAAGTCTGTCCAGGGAAGCGTCACTAATGTTTAGACAGGAAAGCGTAAGTCATTCAACTGCAGTCATCCTATACCCTCTTATCTAGGTTTGCTATTTTGCAATTACATATTTTTTAAGATGAAAATCAGTTGAGCTTTCCCTGAAAATATTTGCTAGTGTCAGAAAGTGCCTTCTGACCCTGAACAATATACTTTTCTAATTGCAATCAAAATGAAGCTCTGTTTATGTGTGGGAATAACTTGGGCATCAAGACTGCCAGGGATTGAAAGATTCCATACTTTCCTCTTCAGTTTAGAAGCCTATATAGAATCATAACTTTTCTTTCTAAAATGCATGTGTTATTTTCTGATAGAATCCTGGGAGCTGAGGGGGCTGGGGATTGGAAAACACAGTTGTATAGCTAATGATCTTTACTGTAATCCTTGCCTCATTCCCCTTTCCAGCATAAAATAACATATTGTTTAATGAACATAAGAGGATGAGATTTTAACATGGAATTGAATTATACTGATAACATCAACTAGAAAATTTTATATCCTACGTTTTAAAACAAATGGAAAATATACTAGTCGTCATTGAAGATTGCAGACAAGTAATAAAGGTAGATAATTATTCCCCTGAGAGAACATTTCTAGCTATCAGAAGCAGCCTTTGGAAGATAGTTGGTTCAAGTCTTATTGTGAAATGAAATACAAACAAAATAGCAATAAATAGTTTATTTTGGAATTTTTTTACTGCTAGCAATAGGATCTTATGTTTTTATTTTTTGTCAAATTAAAATTTGAACAATTTCCTTTTGGAGTACATACTCTCTAAATATAATGTTACAGGGATTGTAATTTAAAAAGAAAATTGATGATTATTTTAGAACACCGATGGAAAGCCTTTACCTACTAGACTAATTCCTTTGTAGTTCGAGAGTGCTAAATTCAGGAACAATGAGTGCTTTGTGTATGTTATTTCATTAACAAGGAGCACATTTATAAAATCATCAAGGATCTGTAATGGTTAAAAACATCTGTCAATTTTTAGTTGTCCTAATGTAAGAACTCCAAAATTGTATTCAGTTCTGAGATAAACTGAAGGATGAGATATTTTGGCTCTGTAGTAACATTTAAGAAACATAGTCTGGGAAAAGTTAGTAACCATTCTTGCTTATCACATACATTTCCAGTAGTAGAGTGATAAAGAATGTCAACTTGAAAATTTGTGATATTATATTTCTTGGCCTTACCTTTTACAGAGTACTTTTTTCCTATTCTTTCTACTCCTTTTTTCCCCTTCACCTGTGTCAAATAGGCTGAAATCTTTGGCTAGAACTAAATCTAAAGACAGAAAAATAGCTTAACAAAAACAGATATCTGTATGCATGCTTTGATTAATCACATGGAAGGTTGTAAAAGTTATGTAAGTATAAAGAATTTAAATATGAATGGATTCATATAAATCCATTCAAGTGAAGTGTAATACAGTTAGAAAAGTTTAATGGAAGTGTGAGTAAACAGAGTGTGAGCAGTAGCAAAGCGTTCGGGGAGTTTCTATAAAAGTGTAAAAGTATTTCACACTTCTGCTGCGCAGATTCCCCTGAGCGGGACACATTTCCTACTGAAAGGTTTGCAGGGAAGCATGATCTTTATAACAACCTGCCTCTGACATGAGCAGAAAGAGAACAGTCTCCAGTGACCAGAGTATTCACCCTTTGTCCTTAAAACATGCTGCTGTTTCCCAGCGTAATTTTCCATTTATAATGATAGGTACTATTTAGTTTGGTTTTATTTTACATGTAGTCTTTGAGGCCTTTATACCACAAGGATTAGAGAAGTTAACAAGAATATAGTGAGGGATTTAAGTCAGTGATACTTGTTTAGCAGGATCATGAAACTTAATGAGCCTCTTCAGAACTCTGTGGAAAGAAGTGCCGGTGGCGGTTGGCTAAGACATAAATCTGGGCTACACCAATGTTGTCCCTGAAGTCATCTACTATAGACAGCATTTTCTTCTCCTAAATTTTCTGAGAGGAAAATGACAATAAGCACTGTCATGTACTGATGTTAGAAAAGGTCTCATTTTGCTCAATGTTATTCTCTCTGCGATTGTTTCTCATTTCTACCGATTATTGTAGTGGAACAATAGCAACAAAAAAAGCCCCTGACTCGTGGGAGAGAAAAGAAAGAGGCGTTTTTCATGCGCGTCCATGTGAAGAGACCACCAAACAGGCTTTGTGTGAGCAATAAAGCTTTTAATCACCTGGGTGCAGGCGGGATGAGTCCAAAAAGAGAGTCAGCAAAGGGAGATAGGGGTGGGGCCGTTTTATAGGATTTGGGTAGGTAAAGGAAAATTATAGTCAAAGGGGGTTTGTTCTCTGGCGGGCAGGAGTGGGGGTCGCAAGGTGCTCAGTGGGGGAGTTTTTGAGCCAGGATGAGCCAGGAAAAGGACTTTCACAAGGTAACGTCATCACTTAAGGCAAGGACCGGCCATTTACACTTCTTTTGTGGTGGAATGTCATCAGTTAAGGTGGGGCAGGGCATTTTCACTTCTTTTGTGACTCTTCAGTTACTTCAGGCCATCTGGGCATATATGTGCAAGTCACAGGGGATGCGCTGGCTTGGCTTGGGCTCAGAGGCCTGACAGCGTTAGTGATAAAATATGAATGTGTAGTCCTTCATTAAAGGTAGGATAATACCTTTTGATCATTGGTCGGTGTGATTTTCTTGAATCCATGGTTGTGTTCATGAACCCAGAAATGGTGCTACAGGAAGAAGAATGTCAGACTAGAGAATGCAAAGGTAAAATATTCAACATTAAGAGACTATTTTAGAAAAATTATTAAGAATAGTTGAAGACTAGTTGGAGATTTGTGCCCAAGTTAGTAAACAAGTTAGGCAAGGAACACAGATGCACTGGAACATGCTCTATTTCAAAAAAAAAAAAAAAATTACATCTTTTGCCATTGCCTCATCATCTTCATATAATCCAAGAACTTTACTGGGGTCCAGGCTTTCTTAGCTACTGCTGTTGATGTATTCAGGAAAAACCATGTTAAATGCTGCAAAGAATCTTAGCCAGAAGACTGAGTATTTTTCTGGTCATTCTTGCTGGGAAACCTTTAGTGACAGGAAGTTGTTTATATTCATTCAGTAGCAGGACACTCCTCAATAACTGTGTTCCAATTCATTTCAGGTATAGAAACTCGAGATTTATTTATTTATTTATTTATTTATTTATTTCTGAGATGCAGTCTTGCTCTATCACCAGGCTGGAGTGCAGTGGCGTGATCTCAGCTCACTGCAACCTCCGACATGCTTGTTCAAATGATTCTCTTGCCTCAGCCTCCGGAGCAGCTGGGATTACAGGCATGCACCATCATGCCCAGCTAATTTTTGTAGTTTTAGTAAAGACAGGGTTTCACCATGTTGGCCAGGATGGTCTCGATCTCTTGACCTCGCTATCTGCCCGCCTCAGCCTCCCAAAGTGCTGGGATTACAGGCGTGAGCCACCGCGCCCGACGTAAAGATTTAATTTTATGAGGGCTAACAGTGCTCTAATTAGGAACTTATTTCGAGCTGCAAATGCTTTTCTAAAGTTTCTAAGTTTTAAATATCCATTAGTGAGTAAGTAATACTTTGTTTATTGGGTTCTTTCTCTGTATACAATGAATTAAGTCAAAGATACTTTTTCTTTGAAGTAGAAAACACAAGACAAACAAATGAAAATAAACACAAACCCATTATGGGCTCAGTGTAAATTAAAAATAAAGAAACATGGAACAATAGAAGAGAACTGATATTTAAAATTACAATTCAAGAAAAGCTTTCAGAAATCAAAAAAGACATAAATTTACATATTGTAAAATTTCACTGGATATGTGGGAAAATTTATTCTAAAAAATCAGTTCTGAGAAATATTATAGTGGGTCTACTGATTAGAAAGATAAAATATAAATTCTCAAGGCCTGTGCTGGGGGGTTGAGGGCAGAGGAGAAGGGACAAGAAGAAAACTGAAAAGAATTAGACTGATGTCAGACTTTCCAAAAAAAAAAAGAAAAAAATATACAAAGCAAGCCAGAAAGGTAGCAGAGTTTTATTTTTTAAATTTTAATAAAACAAATGTAAGTGCAGTGAGGCTACCAAGATTCATCATGAATCAATACAAACATTGGCTGTTATTTTCAACAGATCTCCAAAGAAAGAGCAGCAAATGTGGAGCAAACTCAAAACGACCCTGAGCTCCAGTCATCCATGTAAATGGCTACACAAGCAACATGTTAGCACCTCTTCTCCCCACTACCCCATGTTGAGCTGAGTCCGCTCAGAGACGTAAGGGGGTAAGGAGAGGATAAAGAGGAATGTTTTCCTCCAGAGCCTTCTTCATGTCTGGAGAACTGTTAGATGTTCTTTTGGAGAATGGTGAGTGCGGATTAATGCAGTTTGCATAGGTTGTAGGGGCCTTTGATCCAAGCTATCTCTATCAGAATCTCACCACAATGCAAAATTAGCTGAGCAAATTCATCATCACTGGGCGAGTTCCTAGACTCATTTGTGGCCTCCTGAGCTACAAGTGGAAAGAAGGTTCTTCTGCTGATAAAATAAGAAGTAATGACTATCCTGGGGCAAAATTCAACACAACATAAAATAAAAATCAATAATAAGACATTGTTACATTAATGGAATTGAACTATGATTATTCTAGCAACTCAACTTTCTTACCAAGTAGACGTTTGTCATGGGCTCATACTCTTTATATTTGTTTGTTCTGTTTTATTATTATTATTGTTATTTTGTTTTACTGTTTAGATGGCCACAGCAAAAGTCAAGGCCTGAGTGGTGAAACATCATCTTTTAAAAAGTTATTCTGCAAGATATTAAATTTCCATCATGTACAATGTTTACAAGGGCTGACTTTTTAAAAAATTGAACTCATCTTTCTTTATTAAACGATTTTTAATAAAAAATCATTGCTTTTAATAAAAACATTTTAATAAAAATCATGTTGCTTCATTTTATTTTTGCAATTCCTGGATGAAGTAATAACAGCTAACACTTTCGCAGACTTACCACATGGCAGAAACTCTTTTTTTTTTTTTCTTTTGAGACAGAGCCTTGCTCTGTCACTCAGGCTGGATTCCAATGGCGTGATCTCAGCTCACTGCAACCTCTGCCACATGGGTTCAAGTGATTCTCCTGACTCAGCCTCCCGAGTAGCTGGAATTTCAGGTGTATGCCACCATGCCTGGCTAATTTTTGTATTTTTAGTATAGACGGGGTTTCAGCATCTTGGCCAGGCTGGTCTTGAACTCCTGACCTCATGATCTGTCTTGGCCTACCCAAAGTGCTGGGATTACAGGCATGAGCCACTGCCCCCGGCCTAACTCTTCCAAGGACTTTGTAAGCATTAAAACTTTTAGCTCTTCCAACAACATTGTGAGGGAGATGCTTCTATATCTCTCCTGTCACAAATGAGAAAACGGAGGCAAAGAACAGTTAAGCTGTTTGGTTAGGATCAAACAGCTGAGAAGTAACACAGCCGAGAAGTAACACAGCCAGATTCCATGACTTATTCCCTGCTCCAAAGTGACTCTGCAGAAAGCAGTACAGGCCTTTCTCTAAAGAAGTTAGTGTTGCTCACACAATGTAGAAATAAAACCGTAAGACCAAATTAGACACCTGACAATTGAGACTTCCAGTTGCTAGGTGTCCAGATATTTTTCTGAGTACAGAGAGCCTGTGATTTGAGGGCAGTGGCTGTGCCCCATGCAATTTTGCATAATTAGCAGCACTTTTCACAAGATTCAGAATAAACATTAACAGATGCTTATTAAATCAGTTTTTCTTTTTAGCCCTCCTTGACTCTATTTTTTAGTGAGTCTGTCCTGTTTACTCGTGTCCATTTGACCCTGCACCTGCCTGCCTGGGTGGTTGCAGCCCTGGACTTTCCAATTTACCAATTCTCTGCCACCCATCCTGGAATGACTTTTGCAGAGAGTGCCCTAGCCTCTAAAATCATTCCTCTCTTTAATTCCAGGATTAGTTGGGAAGAGATAAGATTTAAAAGGCAGATAATTTAATATTTTACTTTCTGGAAAGTTTTGTTGCTGTTTGTCCTAAAGAAGATTTTCATGAGTCTCTAGTGTTCGGAGTAAAGCACAAAAGCAGGGTGACAAAGGGATAAAGATTTAAGCAAGAAACCATCTCCCTAATTTCTGGCATCAAGCAGTGTTGTCAGCTCTTTACTCTGCCTGCATGGGTAAGTGTGGTCCCATGCAAAGAGCAAGTTGTAAAAAGGGGTCCTGTGACCTTAATTCCTTTTTGATGGCAAACAATCACTCAATCTGGATTAGACTCTGACTTACTACTCTGTCCCTTCCTCTAGGCTTGGCTCTTACAAGAATTTCAAGATCTGATTGCGCAGTGCTGGTTGCATTTTCCTGACTATACAATGCTCCTGGACTTTGTGGATGCTGTTCCTCTGTTTGGAATAACCTTACTCTTTCCTTCTCCCTACTCCACGCTTCATCGTCCTTTATGAAAAGTGCTGGGCATGAGCAAACTCCATCTCACTATGAACTCATCAGGCAGCATCAAATGTCTCTCTTCTGTGCTCACATCAAGTATTTATTCCCTAAATGTCTCCCTAGCAACTAGAGTGAGTCCCCACTTCATAAACTGACAAAAAATTGCCTCTGTATATAGTTTTTAAACTTATGTAGAATGAAAGTTTTAATTTGATTTTTTTTCACACATACTTTTCCTTTGCCTTATATTTGCAATTTTCTAAATTCAAAGTATTATCTCTTTCAAGCTGTATGGACACTAAATTCTTCTTTATTAAAGTCTGTGTAAAAAAATAGAGTGGGATTTAAGGAGGATTCTTTTCTTTTACTGCATTTTATGAGGGAGGGAGATGGATAAAATCTCAAATTGCTTAGAAAATTAACTCAAATATATAATTCACTTTGCCTATTATGAGCTGCTACTAAGGATATTTCTAGTTTTGAAGATGGGATAAGAAATAAAATCACAAAATATATTTTAAATATCGTGTATTTCAATTTAATTCTCTTAAATACTTATTCAGTATTTACTATAGCCCAGGTACTATTCTAGACATGAGAAATACAGAGCTAAATAAGAAGTTCACGGTGGAGATTAGGAAAAAAGGTAACAGTGAATCTGATTTAATATTTTGTAAATATAAATTTCCAAAAAGCAAATTAACCAGTAATGGATGCTAACCTATAATGTATTTTAAAGTCTTTAAAAACTCATTGTTTCTTATCATGTTTACAAATGACTATGATCCTCTATGACTTCTAGTGTTTGTGCCTTTCAAAACAAGAGCCTGTACAGCCTGGTTAATTGCAGATACTTGAAGTGGATCAAACTAGAAGATTCTGGGAATGGATAATAGAATAAAAGGAGAATATGGGACAGTGAGAGAAAAGGTTGCATAAAGAATCTGTGCCCTGATGAGGGTCTTTAAGTAATCCCATTAATGCTGGTACAGCAAATCAGGCTAGGATTTGGCTCCTGCATGTGTCCTTTCAGATGGATTATTCGTTATCTTCAGAGCATCAGAGAGAAAGAAAAGGAGGCCAGGTTAGGGGAAAAGTGACAAGTGTACAAAGAAAAGGAACGAAGGAAGGAAGGAAAGAAGGAAGGAGAGAGGGAGGGAGGGAGGGAGAGAAAGGAAGAGAGTGGAGAGGAAGCAAGAAAAGTATCCCTTGGCCAGGCGTGGTGGCTCATGCCTGTAATCCCAGCACTTTGGGAGGCCAAGGAGGGCAGATCACCTAAGGTCAGGAGTTCAAGACCAGCCTGACCAACATGGCGAAATCCCATCTCTACTGAAAATACAAAAATTAGCTGGGTGTGGTGGCGAGTGCCTGTAACCCCAGCTATTAGGGAGTCTGAGTCAGGAGAATCACTTGAACCCGGTAAGTGGAGGTTGCAGTGAGCAGAGATTGCTCCATTGCACTCCAGCCTGGGTGACAAGAGCAAAACTCCATCTCAAAAAAAAAAAAAAAGTGTCTCTTATGAAGTGTACCCTTGTCATGTATTCCTTCATCTTGAAGTCAGTACTTTCCATTGAGCCAGTATCTCTAATCCTTCATTCTCTCACATTAGCACTACCAAACTCTTTTCAGAAATGTCTTCTCTTTTTTTGTCAGTCTTAAAGTTCAGTTTTGTTTCCTATACTTTGGTGCAAAGAAATAAATCTAACTGGAGCCTATTTGTTCAGGTGGTTTGGAACAAGTCCAGTGCGATGCCCTCTTCCGTGGAGACATGGCTGAACATTAGAACATTCTCTCCTCTGTTTCACGTGTTTTTTGCAGTTGTCCAAGAAGCAACTGTAGCCACTCTTAGAGAGTGCAAGGGGCACTTCTCCCCAGTGGTCTGAATGTTGTCATTCCATGTCCTATGTGTGTGGTTAGTCCTTGCCACGGACAATGCTATCTATTTATATAGAAAATCATTTTCAATCCTAGTATTTATCTGAGAATGACCTAGAAGGTCTAGAGAGTATGCTAACTTCGTCAGAGCAAACATATTTTCCTAGGAAGCAATGCTTACAGGGGTAATTGTACTTAGATTTTCAGATGCTTTATTTTATTAGCAGAATTTATTAGTAAAAAATATGAGAAGGGGAGTTTGGTAGTCTTAATATTCAGAGAGATGTGTTGGCATGACTGAGAATCTGGCAACTTTTCAAGAAGATAAACTGCTTTATTGGAACAAAAACTGTGTTTTTATTCCAATAGAACTGAGTAAAAGCTCAACATCCATTCATAGGTATAAAAAAATCAAGTTAATAGATCTTGGTCTCTAGCTAAGACATGGTCCATTCTGCTCAGATTTTATTTATTAGAGTTTAAATTCTTGCTGAAGAGAGGATTAATCCCAGAGCCTGAGGCAACTTTTGACCTGTAACAAGTGGCCACAGCTGTGGGGACTGGAGGACCACCGTGGCTAGGATCAATCATATTTCCTTATGTAAAATAAAGACAATCCATGTGTGCTATGGCCATCATAATCTCTTAGATTAGCCATCCTAATATCCATTCTGGAATTAGGCCTGCAGAATCAAAGAGTTATTTTTAGTCTGTTCGAATAGCAAGGCATATACTATTCTGGGTAAGAAATGAGGATGATTTCATCAAGTGAAGGGAAACCAAACAACTTTAATCAATAAAGCAGGCATATTTCATATGAACTGTAGTAACACAATGTTTCGAATGTGGTGTACACGTTATTTGGATGAAATTCTGAACTTGGCATCCCTCTACAGCATGAAATTTTGGCAAATTCTTTTCTTGTTTTCCATTACTGTTAGGAATAAAAAGTATGCAAGAGGAGAATATAAAAGAGAGATAAATTCACTTGTAATGTGTTATGAGTTCCAATGAAATAAGTATTATTTCTTGTTGTTTTTCAGTTGTTCCTCTGCCCTGGACAGTTTTTGCCCTCTCCAGACTTTGTGGGATCCTTTAATCTATTGGAATAAAAACACAATTTTCTCAGCATTTCATGATTATAAACTCACAATATAAACATTATAGTGACCTATATAATGTTGTTAACCCTGTCTTTAAGATAAAGTAAAATCACTTGCCTGAAAATTTTGCAATCTCTAAATTATGATACTCTTTCATAGTAGAAATCATTTTTTTTAAACAGGAAATTTTTGTTAAATAAATTATGACATTAACATGAATGCTTAAGTGGGTTCAAGTGAAACCAACCTTATGATTAAATGCTATTAAAAATGTTTTCATATCTATTTCAGATTAGTTGTTTGTTGTTTCTGAGACAGAAGTCCTAACCAAATGTTAGTATGAAAAAAAGCAACTAGTCCAACTATAGATATTATAATCAGAAGCAGATTTCTCTTAAATAAGAGATAAAATATAAATGAAATATAATTATCGTGTAAAATGCAAGTATAACATAAAAAGTTTTCATTGAATTAATTCATCATTTTCAGTAAAGTTATTTTAGTACCTACTATAAGCCAAATCATAATATTTCTCTGCATATATTCTTCTCAAAACTTCTCACTGCCATTAGTGCAAAGTCCAATTTTCTTTCCATGTCCTTCAAGTTCTAACTTGACCACATTCTTCTCTTGAACTAACGAACAAATGTATAGATGTTTCTATACATCTCCAGAGCCCAGAGTTTTCACTTACTGTTGCATCTCTTGGCAACACTCCTTCCCTCCCCAACCCAGCCTCCAACTTCTGCTTTTTAAATGATTGGTTGTTTTTCATCCTTTACAACGGAATCCAAATGTCACTCCCTCAAAGTGGCAGTCTTTGACTCATCTAGTTTCTTTTTCTATTTCAAATGTATTTGATAGTTTATTGGTTTAAATAGACATCTAAATATATGAACATATTATGATTGGTTGCTATACCTTACATATCTCTTAAGCTATAGGTCTTCTTCCATCTGTCTCATTTTATTTTCTTGCAACATATTACTATTTATTGAAGAACGTGGATCAATTGCTCTGTAGTGTTTTCTGTGTCTACATTTTAATGATTGTGTCTCTGTCATTTTAATATTTGTGATCTTAATTGCTTTTTTTCTGTTAAGTACTTACATTTTTTTCTTTCTCCACATTCTGGATTTTGTACATAGTGTATCCTGTATATTGAGACATGCCCATCACTCAGTAGTTTTTTAATATGTACGTTTTGCATGTCCTAGATGCTTCATATATAATTGTGAAGAGTTATAGTTTGGTCTTTAACAGGGTATAGAATCTCTAATGAACAGGACACAGTTTTCGAAAACAAAAACTTCAAAGTCAAATGAAGGTGTATTTTTAAATCTACGTCACCATCCAATTTTGCCATATGAACACATGGTTTCATATGTATAGTCATAGCCCTGGCAATGTACTTGAGAACATGAATTTCTCTCTATATAAAAGTAAAAGAAAAATATACAGCCCATATATATTACAGAAAAAGAAAATATTTAAGTTTGGAAATTTTTGAATAAAATCATGATAGATTTACAATGTCTCATTATTCCTAGCATACAAAAGTGCTTTTATTCTTGGTTGCCAATTTTGTGAGAATCAAGCAATCCTCACGTTTTAGAGGTTGCAAAGTTTTCGAACAAGTGTTTTTACTTTATCTTAAAGACAGGGTTACCAACATTATATGGGTCACTACAGTGTTTATCTTGTGAGTTTATAATCATGAAATGCTGAGGAGTACCTATTCTTATATTGTTGAACTCATAAACATTACTTTTAAAAACATAGGTCTTAATAGTATTATTTTTGAAAGGAGAATAAAAGGGTTGGGAAATAGTAATAAAAATATTGCTACCTTATACATTGAAAGTTTATGATTCAAGCTGTGTTTATAGTTTAGCAAATAACCAGATAATGAATAAAACTTTATTTAAATGCTTAGATGATTTGATGTAACAATATCAAATAGATATCAGATATCAAACATGTTTTTAAACTTCTCTGATTTTTTCATCCTTAGAAATGAAACTTCAGCAGCTTTCAAAACAATAAAATAAAATCAAAATATTTAAGCTGTTATTTTAATTCTGTTTGGTCATTCTCTACAAAGATATTTTAAATTATGTCTTTGCTCATTTTTTTCTTTCTGATTTCCTCTTTTATTCCATCTCTACCTTTCAAAACTTACTTGAAAACCCTATCATTTCTATGTGGGAAGCATTTTCTCAATTCCTCCAAGGGATTATGATCATTTGCTCGGTTCCTATAGCACCAGGTGTGTTTCCAGTGTTCCTACTCTGTCCAGCTCTGTTTTATGTATTTGTCACAAGTAATAAATTTTAATATACCTGGGAGCAGGTAGTGTTTTTCATCCATCTTTGCATCCCAGTAGTACCCAGCATAGATTCCAGGATGCCATTTTCAGTAAATCTTCATGAATCAAATGTCCTATGACTTTAATTCCAGAAGCAGTATAAAAAAGGTCAGATCTTGAGAACTAGCTGGAGAGGTCAATTATGGTTGACAAATGCAGGGCTAGTAAATATAGTTCCCTTTATGAATAAAGCATTTATCTTTTGGGTTCTGATAGCAATAGGAAAAAAAACTAGAAATTTAAAGCAATAAATTAGTAACAAAAGAACTGAACATTCCAGTTGATGTAATTTGATATTATAACCTATTAAATATAAAATAACTTAAATTTCCACAAAATGCCTCAATACCTTGGTGACTTATGAAGGAAATTTCAACTCAGATGAAGCAATTCTTTTTCAAAACAAAACTTCTGCCATTTATTTATCATTTTACTTGTTAAATTACATGCAGTATAACCAAACTTTTTTTTTTAATTTTTAGACATTAAATACACAGGTAAATAAAAATTGAGCCCCTCCCTTGGTCTTTAGACAGAGCATGAAGCTAAATCAAATGTTTCACCCAGAAAAATGGTTGAAGAAAAGCATGTCTAAAATTTAAAAGTGTTCAAGATTTATCTCAAACTTTAGATGTTGGGGACGCACATCGTTCTCAATAGGATCCTTTTTTTTTTTTTTTTTTGAGATGGAGTCTCGCTCTGTTGCACAGGCTGGAGTGCAGTGGCGCGATCTCTCGGCTCACTGCAACCTCTGCCTCCCAGGTTCAAAAGATTCTCTTGGCTCGGTCTCCCAAGTAGATGGACTACAGGTGCCCACCACCACACCCAGCTAATTTTTGTATTTTTAGTAGAGATGGGGTTTCACCATATTAGCCAGGCTGATCTCAAACTCATGACCTTGTGATCTGCCCACCTTGGGCTTCCAAAGTACTGGGATTACCGCACCTGGCCTAGGATTTTTTTTAAGATTCAAGTTAGAGAGATATCGGAATCAAATAAAATGAGCAAGACAGTGATGTCTTGAAGGGATATAGTGATAGGGAGGGGTGTGTATCTAAATGGAGACCTGAATATTCCATAATGACAACACAGGGATGAGGACCTTGAAAATGGTTTCAGAAACTATGATTATAGTTTTATTAATAAACTAAAAGTGATCAAATTTTTCTTATAATTACTATTGTCCAGAAAACATTACTGAATATGTATTTTATAGAGAACAGAGGGTATATGGTTAATCAACATATCAATGAATTCAGTGAATGACAGAAAGTTAAAACCAGTCATCTGGTTAAACGAATTAGATACCTGTAAGAACTGGAGGTCATTATGTTCTTTTAGTGTGAAGAATAGTCTCAACCTCTCTTTCTTTTTAATAGTAATACTTTATTTATTTATGTTTACCTTTTATTTTAAGTTCTGAGGTACATGTGAAAGTTTGTTATATAAGTAAACTTGTGTCATGGGGTTTTGTTGTACAGATTATTTCATCATCCAGGTATTAAGCCTAGTATTAATTAGTTCTTTTCCCTGATCCTCTCCCTCCTCCTATCCCCCACCCTTCCCAAAGGCCCCAGTGTGTGTTGTTCTCTTCTACATGTCCATATGTTCTCATCACTTAGCTCCTACTTCTAAGGGAGAACATGTGGTATTTGGTTTTCTGTTCCTGTGTTAGTTTGCTAAGGATAATGGCCTCTAGCTCCATCCATGTCCCTGCAAAGGACATGATCTTGTTCTTTGTTTGTGGCATAGTATTCCATAGTGCATATGTACTTTTGCATCCATGTTCATCAAGGATATTTGCCTGAAATTTTCTTTTGTGTGTGTGTCTCTTCCAGATTTGGTATCAGGATGATACTGGCCTCATAGAATAAGTTAGGGTGGGGTCCCTCCTCCTCAATTTTTTGAAGTAGTTTCAGCAGGAATAGTCCCAGCTCTTCTTTGGACATCTGGTAGAATTCATCTGTGAATCTGGTCCTGGGCTTTTTGTTGTTGTTGGTAGGCTAGTTATTACTGACTAAATTTAAGTGCTCATTTTTGGTCTATTCAGGGATTAAATTTCTTCCTGTTTCAGTCTTAGGAGGGTGTATGTGTCAGGAATTTATCCATTTCTTCTAGATTTTTGAGTTTATATGCATAAAGGTGTTCACAGTAGTCTCTGATGAAATAAGGGACGGATGGAATAAATTTTTACTTCTATGGGTCAGTAGTAATATCCCCCTTGTTTCAGATTATGTTTATTTGAATCTTCTCTCTTTTCTTCTTTATTAGTCTAGCTAGTGGTCTATCTATTTTATTATTTTTTTTTTTCAAAAAGAGCTCCTGGATCCGTTCATCTTTTGAATGGTGTTTTGTGCCTCAGTCTCCTTCAGTTCAGGACTGATTTGGGTTATTTCTTTTCTTCTGCTAGCTTTGCTCTTAGGTCTCTAGTTCTATTAGTTGTGAAGTTAGGTTGTTAGCTTGAGATCTTTCTAACTATTTGATGTGGGCATTTAGTGCCATACATTTCCTTCTTAACACTGCCCTAGCTGTGTTAGATTCTGGTATGTTGTATCCTTGTTCATATCAGCTTCAAAGAACTTCTTCATTTCTGTAGAATAGGCCTAATCTTTATCATTCTTCAACATTGTATTGATTCTGGACCTTAGTGTATGAAACAGATTTATAAGAAATGAGACCAAATAAACTATTAAAATGTGTTATAAACACTAGAAAATTATTTCTTCATCCAGAGTGCTTACCGTTAGAGAAATATCATATTGTTATAATCATTGATTATGTTGATTATTTGCCACCTCTCACACTAGTATATATTAAATAGATTAGCTTAGAAAATGGTCCTTGTAAGCTTTGATGTTTTTCCCTTTTCTTGGCATTTTTCATCACTTTAAGTTAGACTTACATTATGTCTCTCCCAGACTTCCATAATCATTTCCTAATCATTCCCCTTTCTCCTAGTGCACTCCTCTTCAAACATTTCTCCATGTTGTAGCTGGAGTTTTCTTTCTTAACATTCAAATATAATTATATCACTCCTCTGCTTAAAATTTGACTCTCTCTCTGTCTGACTCCGAACACTCCGCTCAGAATAAAGAACAAACTTTGAGGTGCAGCAATTATCCCTGCTCAAGTAACTCTCCCTTGTAGCTGCACTAATCTATTTACTGTTTCATCGAAAATTGACTGAGGTGGGGCGCGGTGGCCCATGCCTGTAATCCCAGCACTTTGGGAGGTTGAGGCGGGTGGATCACTTGAGGTCAGGAGTTTGTTACCAGCCTGGCCAACATCATGAAACTCCGTCTCTACTAAAACTACAAAAATTAGCCGAGTGTGGCGGCGTGTGCCTGTAGTCCCAGCTACTCAGGAGGCTGAGGCAGGAGAATCATTTGAACCCAGGGGGTGGAGGTTGCAGTGAGCCAAGATTTCACCACTGTACTCCAGCCTGGGCGACAGAGTGAGATTCTGTCTCAAAAAAAAAAAAAAAAAAAAAAAAAAGAAATAAAAGAAAAGAAATATTGATTGAATATGTCCTCTTTCAAATACTATGCCTATGCTTTACATGCATAATAATACTTATTTCTTATAGTGGACACTGTTGATGTCCCAGCCAGATCCCTTTATTGGCCCAGTTACCACTGCCAGTTGCTGTGAGAGCTAATAGAGATATGTGAGCTGCTAATAGCTAATAGAGAGGTGTCCTCCATCAAATGGGAGCCACCTCATTTTTGAGGTTACACACTGCTCACTCCCACCCCTTATTTTACCCCCAGCCAATGACTGACTGACTAGGTTACCAAAGTCAGCCATCTTCCTCAGGCTGGGACCAACTCTGGATATTTCATGCCCTTAAGCTTCCCATGGGATTAGACCGAGGCTGAAGCTCATCTCAAGTTGGGACCGTATTCTTACTTAACTTATATTTTCCTGTTTTATCCTTGATTTCCATGACCCTTCTGAAAACTCTCTCTCTACGAACCCCTGTGACAGGAACTTGCTTGTCAGACTCTATCTCTAGGAAACTTAATCTAAGACAGATAGTCTTCAGGTGAACCTAAAGGTGGTGGTGGTATTATTATTGCTATTTTATAAATGATAAAACTAAAGTTCAAAAACAATGTAACTTCTTCCTCTGTTCTTTTATAAAAATTAATAAATTGTTTAAAAATACACAGGAAATTTTACTATAGTGGGTCACAAGCACAAATGACTTCAGAGTTGAGGCATATAACATGCACATGTACGAGCTTAGGAATAAGACAATTACCGGTGGAATCGTTGTTGAAACTGAATCTCAGATCACCGCAAAATCCACTCAGATTTTGTGATTTTTAAATATTTTTATACTTTATATTATCATATTATTCATGTAGTTATAATATTTGCTCTGTTTGAGACAGTACACTAAATGATTTAGTATGTGATCTGTTTGAGCCTCCCCTGTACCATGTAGACCAGTCATTCGGGGTAGACATCTCTTTCCTCCTGTGGCCTTGTGGGCAGAGCTTACCTTGTATTGTCATGGCTAACAATGGCAGATTTGTTCCCAGCCTTCCTGTGGCTAGGGATGACCATATGATCCCATTCTCTCCTTCAGAACCCTGGAAATGAGTCTTTTCCCCGATTAAAAAAAGAGGAACAAAGAAAGATGTCAAATAAGAAAGTGCAAGCCATCATTTCTGGCTTTTCTGTGAGAATGTGATATATAGACTGCTGCATCCAGTTTCAGACCACAAAGGGTGACAATGACAGCACAATGGGAATGGAGAGCAGAGAGGTGGAAAGAGCCACGGCACTGGATGATGAAGTTGGACACAGGTACTGAACCCACTCTGAGGCTTCATTCTTCAGGTTTCTTGTTACATGAAACAAAAAATAGAAAACACTCTTGTTTGAGCCACTTTTCAAACAGGAAAAGTGTTCTCTTACACGCAGCAAAAAGCATTGTAAATGATATAATAGTAGAAAAGTAAGCCTCAGAGAATCTTAGTATCTTGACTGATTTTTGTATAAGTAGTAAGTGGCAGTGTTACCGTTTAGACTCAGGTGACCTGACACTTCTCTAGAGAGGATTTTTCCTTCCATTGAACATATGAAGGCATCCACATTTTTGTACAGTTCTCACTAGGCTTCTTCTAAATACTAGGTTGACCAAAGGGTTCAGAATGCCTGAATTTCTCAGTAAAACAGTATGTATAGGGAAGGATTTTCCTAGAAGTACAGAGGATGAGCGAGCACCCAGCTCATTTTTATGCACTATAAATTTGAAAATAAATCTTTGTCATCTGAAGTAATGGGATCTCAAAAATAACACACTCTCCTACCTCCTGTTCACATTTTCCTTGAGGAAAAAAAAGAAATATCCTATTTGAGTAAAGAGCAATGTAATCTGGATGTTGCTACTCAAACTTTCAGGATATAGGTATTATTTTCCATACTCAAGAGATTTTCAGAAGGCACGTTTAAACAATATGGAAAGTTTATGTCTTTACTTCAGCTAATGCAGTATGTAGAAAAAAGTGAAGACAAGACTATTTCCCTAAAGAGGTCTCCAAATTGTCTATGGTAGGTAAACATGTACAGATTCAAATAGAGATTTGTATAAAATTACCAAAGAAGGCATATACATCAAATAATATTTTTTGGCAAGTGTTTTCTGTTTAAAAATTTGGGTTTGGAAGAGTGAATCATGTTTATGATCAGCTTTGCATTCCACTGGAGTTTTATGTGTCGATTGCAAAATGCTTACTGGTTCTTTCTGAAAGATGCCTCTGGATGAGGCTTGATAATGATGGTCTTATTACTACAGTAAAGTGCCCTTCTAATATATCACAGATAATTACTCCTGTAGCAGAAAAGCCAGAAAATCATAAATACCCAAGGGGATAAAATTTAAAATGAAGATATTTGCTACCAAGATTAAATTAAATTAAAGCAAATGAAGTATAAACATTTGATTATTTTTTGAAAAGTTCAGTGATTTCCTAATCATGAGGTAGGAATTATTTCCTCTGGGAACATACCAGAAGAATTTGAAATCTTTCAAACTAATTTGTCTGATAAAAAGTAGGACTCTGTCTTTTATAGTTCTTTGAAATTTAAAATGGATTACTATATGCATTTTCTCATTTCATTGTTATAGCTTTTCTGTAAGGAATATAGACTAAGGATTATTATTTCATTATTTTACAGATTAAGTAAATGAAACAGAAAAAGGATACTTGTCTGGGATCACAGTCAGTAATTGGAAGATTTTGGTCCAATCCCTAGAATGGTATTTTACTGTTTTTACAAATGTCACTGATAGAAGTTTTAAGAACTGAGTTTGAAAGGAGCAGAGTTTTCTGCAGTTTCCTGTTTGGGGTAGTTAAGCAAAAGAGGGGCGCTTTTTAATATTTAATAATTTTTTTTAGATGGAGTCTTGCTCTGTCGCCCAGGCTGGAGTGGAGTGGCAAGATCTTGACTCACTGCAACCTCCACCTCCCGGGTTCGAGAAATTTTCCATTTTCATCATTATAGAAAAATACAGAGGGCTAAGAATCAATTATCCTCTCCTAAAATTGATAAAGGGGAAAGACAACTAAGAAGAGATAAAATCCTATCATAAACCGGAAAGATTTTATATCTTGATCTTAGTGATAAGTATATAGGGTATCTGCATGTGAAAAATTATCAAGCTGTATGTTTAAGATCAGTATACTTTACTAAGATTTATCTTAATAAAAATGTAAAAATAAATGCATAAATATATCTATACATGTATATGTACAGGTATATTCAATGTATATTCACATACGCAATGATTACATGTAGAACTTTTCTGTATATAAAATTAATATTACAGTGGAAATTTTTCCATTGCTTACTTTGTTACAGAGGCATAAAGAAAACCTTCTGCTTTTTAAATTGCACATATGATAATTTGTTCAAGAAGAATATAAAATCTATTGTTGGTCATACATAAAATGCTCAAATGACACAACCATACTTTTTTTGAAATTGTTTTGCATCCTTCACTTCTAATGCCTAGAAGACCAATGGTCACAGAGAAGATATTCAATAAATGTACGCCCAATGATCAAATCAAAGAAACTTCAAAAACACAGGATGTGCCTTTGACAAATCTTATAAGCTCCATTTCTTTCTCCCTTAATATCGGAAATACATCTCAACCTGATGTGCTTCTTGGCTGTCCAAATCACCAGGTCTTTTTTGGACAATCCCCTTTCATGCTCCAAAGCTTTCCATAAAGCTATGTCAGTTTGTCCCAACAAAGCCTATGTGCATACAGTCACCATCTTGACTCATCTGTGAAGTGATCTCAGACACCTGTAAGGAGATGAGTAATGTTGTGAGTGTGTGTGAGCATGTGTGTGTGTGTGCTGGTTGGCATTGAGGTGTTGACAAACAAGGTCATAGGTATATTAGTGGATAGTTTCCATATCATAATGAATCTTTACATCATTGCAAGATAAGAATTAATCTCAAAGTAAGTAAATATTATGCCAACATATTACAATTTGAAATAAAGTTGAGAAGAAAAATCAGGTTTGTCTCACTCTGCAGATGTCCTGCTGTTATTTTGTCATCCTTCTAATTCATAATCTACTAGAATTATAGAACCTCAATGTGGCTTTGGAACTTTCTTATGATAAATGTGTATATATTCCTAGAGATTCCTGAGAATATGGGCAACATAAAACGTTTAGGTCTGCAATGTACCACATATACAAAGGTGGTCCCATAAGATTATAATATTGTATTTTACTTTACCTTTTCTATAGATATGTTTAGATACACCAGTGGTTACTACTGTGTTATAATCATCCACAGTATTCAGTAGAGTAATGTGCTGTACAGGTATATAGCCCAGGAGAAACAGGCTATACCTTATAGCCTATGTGTGTAATAGGCTGTACCATCTAGGTTTTTGTAAGTACAACCTGTAATGTTTACATAATGTCTACTTTGTCTAACAATGCAATTCTTAGAACATATTGCCATCCAGGTGAAGTGTTCAGTGTTCCACAGATAATGAAATAATCTGGACTAAAATGTAAATCTTGTAGTTACTATTAGAAAATAATTTCTTGTATAAGAAGGGTTAAGGCACTAAATGTCCATCCAATAATACACGGCCTCTTCAAGGAGCTAGTAACCATTTTTAAAAAAGACTATTGGAAAGAAAAAAATTACAAACGTGAAGTAAAAGATCCTTAATGGTGCCATAATCCTGTTCCTCCCTTATGTGTATCATAGCCACCCACACTCATTTTACTGTATTTCAATCATCTGTAATTTTTCATTTCCATGGTAGATACTGAGCTTTGAAAGTGAAGGAGTTGTTCTTTCTGTTACTTGTTTGCTTTTTAATTCTGAAGCAGGACTTGGCACCTACTAGGTGCTCAGTACTGTTTGCTCATTAAGTGAAGAATAAATGGTCCATTGGATGGAAAGTGGAATTTCAGTTACCATGATAAGTATTATTTTTTTATTCAGGGAAGTCTTTTGGGGCCTCTTGAAAATATCACTTATGTGACAGCCTACTTAACCTATATGTAAGGACAGTGGCCAAAGCAGAAATAAGTCTGTCATTCCCAAAGGAGCTATCAATCATTGTAAAAACTATGCATGATCTATTCAAGGGAGAAAGATACAGTGTCTTCATTCACTAGATTTCATTCCAAGAAAAGAAAGTTGGTTAAACAACTTAGAATGTTGGCCAAAACAGACATGTTAGTTTAAATTGGTCTGTGTAATCAATCATTTGGAAAAGATTATTAGATTCTACTATAATTCATTTTATATGTTAGTTTATAAAAATAATGTTTTTTCTTAATCTCACATGGAGAAAAAACAAAACTGTCTCTTCCTTCCACTTTGCTTATAAATGACCAGATCTAGCCTTCTCTTCTCAAGCATCCATGCTAAATGTGTCCTCCCTGGAGGCCTGGCCGAATAAGATCAGATACAAGGCCAAAATGAATTTTTTTCCCATTAGTGAGTATGTTTGCTACGTGGAGGACACTGTGTGGGCTTGAGGTCATGGATGCAGATGTAGGAAGTTGTCAAAGGGATAAAACAGATTTCATTAGCTAGAAGTGGCTGAAATTTCTCTCATTACAATCATAGCAAGGTCACAAGCGTGATTAAGAATGCATATTACATATTGGTTAGGTTTAATTATAAAAGGTAGTTTGTCAAGTCACTGGAAAATGTTAACAAATGCCATCACTACTTGTAATGACATTGCAAAACCTCGAAATATTTGCAGTTGTCATCCACCTGGATCTTGTGGTCACCATGAGAAATATTAACACACACTCATTGGAGAAGAAAAATTGATTACTAGTGTATGTAATTAAATAATTAGGCAGATTAACTATTTTTCTCTTTCATGGTTAAAAAAGGTTCTTACAAAAACAAATTTATTTGTATTTCACTGAACTTCACACTGCTGAGGAAGAAAAAGATCAAAGCCCCACATCCATACCCTACAATAGTGAAAAGAGATTATGTCATTGGATTCTGCTTTGTCTAAGACGAAGAGTTGCTCTGCTCAAGGTCGCTGTATACCCTTCTGATGGCCAAAACCTCCAGGTTGCCTCCCCCATCTCTAATGTTGAATGGGAATTCTAGTGTCATCAAGGTGCACTCAGAACAGTTTGGCACACTTAAGAAACCTTAAGTGCCAAACCTTAAGTTTGGCACTCAGCCTGGCACGGTAGCTCATGCCTGTAATCCTAGCACTTTCAGAGGCCGAGGTGGGTGGATTGCTTGAGCCCAGGAGTTTGAGACAAGCCTGGGCAACATGGTGAAACCCCATCTCCACTAAAAATACAAAAAACTAGCCTGATGTAGTGGCATGTGCCTGTAGTCCTAGGTACTTGGTAGGCTGAGGTGGGAGGATCAACTGAGCCCAGGGAGTCGAGGCTGCAGTGAGCCATGATCACACTACTGCACATCAGCCTGGGCAATGGGAGTGAGAGACCCTGTCTCAAAAAACAAAAAACAAACAAACAAACAAAAAACAAAAACAACCCTCTGTACTGTCATCTGCAAAATGCCCCCATCCCCATGATGATCCCCTAAATCTACATCTTTAGACTGTGCTGTGGTACGAGGAAAAAATGTCACTACCCACATAGGAATAAAAAGGCAACTTTCTTAACTACCTCATTATGAGAACAATGTAGAATTGGGCAAAATATATTTCTTTCTGGCAGTTTTACTCAGAGTGTCAATATCTTCACTAAAATTGTCATGCAAGGTTTACTCAGTCCCAAAATCCACCAGTAAAAATATCTGGAAGGATCTTCTGTTTAGTTTGTTTTTTCGTTTGTAACTTGACAATAATATTTTTTTCCAGAATGACTTAAAGCCGTACTATGAAATGTGAATTATATATAGCTGTCACTAGAGCTACTTTTATGATCATAATACAATAATATTCAGATATTCTTTTCTTATTGTGTTTTAATGGTATTGCTAAATCTTCATAAGTAACTACTTTAAATCTTTGGCATATGATAGCTAAAAGTCTTTTTTTCCCCGATTTTTTCTTTTTTTTAACCATAATTTCCATTTTATTGTATTTTTTTTTCTAGAGGGTAGTTTTTCTTCAGTTTTTAAAGACTCAGCTCCTTACGTGGATCTTGGTGGAGGTTGGCGGGCAGCACCTTGGGTCTAAATTGGGGTGGGGTGTTTGATCCCTCCACGCTTCACAAGAATGATTCCTTTCACAAACAGCTGTGAGGAACACAAGCACTGGAGATACGAGCATCAGAAATGCCCTTGATAGCTGTGGACTCTGCTGTGTGAACTTAATGGCCTTGTTCTTGGACCCACATGGGACACAGTTTGTGGAGCGAATAAGCTGCATGTAGCTGTGGCCCTTTTTGGCATGACTGTTATTCCTTCTTTTTTCTTTTGTCATTATGCAAGCAAGGTTGCAGGAGAAAAGAGTTTTTTTCTGACCTATATCTCCTTATCTCCTTCTCCCTTCTCCTCCTCCTTCTTTTTTTTTTTTTGATACAGAGTCTCACACTGTCACCAGGCTGGAGTGCAGTGGCGCGGTCTCAGCTCACTGGAACCTCCGCCTCACGGGTTTAAGTGATTCCCCTGCCTCAGCCTCCCAAGTAGCTGGGATTTCAGGCACGTACTACCATGCCTGACTAATTTTTTTTTTTTTTTGTATTTTAGTGAAGACAGGGTTTCACCACGTTGGCCAGGATGGTCTCGATCTCCTGACTTCAGGTGATCCACCTTCCTCGGACTCCCAAAGTGTTGGGATTACAGGTGTGAGCCACCACGCCCGGCCTCTCCTTCCTTATTCTAATTTATGTAGGTGTTCTTTTATACATAGGTATGTGCATGTGAGTCTTGCTTTCTATTAGTCTTTGTGGAATATCTCTGTTTGTATATCTGCAAAAATTGATGGTTCCTTCTCTCCAAAGTTTTACAATTGAGTTGAAAAAAAAAACAATAGAATACTGTATCTGTTGTGATGCCAAGAATATTGATACTCTTAGGGAGCAATTGAGTACCGGAATGAAGTTAGGGAATCCAGTGTTTCAAGGCTGTCAAGTGTGCTGTAAAGGCTGTATAGGATGGAGATAAATACTGGACATATGGCAAGGCAGGCTGAAGACAAACTGGACAACCTTTGCATGTCAGGGTGAGTGATTTCAAATATTTCTACATGTCTACAGCCCCTTTGTAGGTTTTTCAGAAATAGAGGACATTATCCAAATTTTTGCTTGAGAAAGAATTCAAATTCAACTGGAATTAGACTCTATCGGCTTATCTCCAAATATTTACACTAAGTGGGAAACTAAAGGCAAATAGATGAGAATAAATATAGATTATAGGAAATGCTGGTTACAGATTATAGTTAGAGAGACTTAAGGTAAACGTCAATTAGGATGAGATAACAGAAATTTATGCAGCATTTAAGTGCAAAAAAATAGCACTTGGCGACTGATAGTGGAAGGTGAGAGAGGATATCATAGTCTGCTCATGCTACTGTAACAAAATACCATAGACTGGCTAACTTTGGCTAAAATAACATAAATTTATTTTCTCATAGTTCTGGAGGCTGGGAAGTCCAAGATCAAGGTGCCATCCCATTTGGTTTCTCATGAAGTCTTTCTTTCTGGCTTGCGGACAGCTGCCTTCTGAGTGTGTCCTCATGTGGCAGAAAGAGAGGGAGCGAGCTCTCTGGTGTCTCTTCTCATAAGGACACTAATCCTATCAGATCAATGTTCCATTCTATGACCTCATGTAACCTTAATTACCTCCTGATAGGTGCTATCTTGAAACACAGTTGCATTGGGGGTTTTAGCTTCAACATGTGAATTTTAGGGAGACACAATTTCTTCCATAACAGAGAGGAAGACACCGAATCTGGCTTGTCTCTCTTCAGTTTTCTTCTGCATTACAAAGTCCAAATTTTTAGGTCACATACAAGGTTTAGCATTTTGTTTTAATCTTCCAAACACTGAAAAGAATTCTTTAATTAATATTTTAAAAGCTGTGTATTTTAGCATTGGAAATAACTTTGTGTAGTAGTAAAAAGTTGTTATCAGCACCAAAAAATAGAATAAAATTTCAGGAAATTGAAAGACAGAAGAATTCTCTTCTCTCTGTGAAGTTTCTCCCTTCTACTCTATCAGTTGCTGCTCACTTGACAGCCACCAGCCAGGCTAAGCTGCAAGTTCCATGTCATCTCCAGACTTCAGGCAGAGACTAAGTGGTCTTCTAGCTCCGTAATGCAGAGAAATATCATAACACTACTTTTTATTTTCATATTCCGTTAAGTCTACATACAGGCAGTCTGGAAGTCAATTCAAAAATTCTATGGTTTTAAAACCCCAATTGAGAAAAGCTTATTAGTCACCTGGAAAAGTTCAAGGAGAGGATTTAACTCCTTTGGCTGTATCATTTTGGGTAAGAAATGATCTGCCAGGGAGGAAATCGTGTCTAGTGTCAGAACCCAGTTTGCCCTGAAAACCTGGCTTTCCTTCTTCCTCCTCCTCTGTCTGATTAGGAAGGGAATGGTGAAAGTGCCTGAGGTAGAAACTTACAAGCATCTGATGGTATGGCTTTGAAGCCGGTTCTTAAAGATAAATACTGCTCTTCACTTCCAATATCTCTGGCTTAAAGTAAGTAACAGTTGGACTATTTCATTCTAGGCTTAACACAGTATATATGGGTCCAAGCTATTCAAAATGCTACGTTGAGGAGTCCTACATTCTTTCAATATAAGATACATGATTCTGTCTCTTATTTCACAAATAAACAGTAAGCAATATATCAGTTTCCTCAACAACCCTACTATCATCCTAAATTATCTGCATTTTTAAAAACGTTTAACACTTGAATGATTCCTAGAATTTTTATGATTCAAGGATGTTATATTGTGTAATAGGAAGAGCTGTTTACTTGGTGGCTGCCTGCATGTCCCCTTCCCCTGTTTTTAGAAAACTAAACTGGTGTGAGTTGCTAATTGACAATGGAATTAGATAAATTGTGGGGAAATGAGACACCTTTGCATTTCGTTTGATCTTAGACACAGAGGTACATGTCCACTAAGTGAGCATTTATGTCCAATATCTTGATTCCCCCAGGATAAGATGCTGGTTGCTAAAGTAGCTAATTTGTGCTGATCACATCAAATTAAGCAATTCTTTGATATTTAATACAGAATTTACCATACAGTGAATATAAGTGTAACTGAATTTTTATTTCTCTTCCTGTTGTTTTCTGGCCTATGATTGCATAATTGGGTGAGGGGAAGCATTAGAAGAACATCCAGAGATTTGGGGATTATTAGCATGAATCTTAATACATAAGCAGTGCATTCAGTCCTGAGTACATTACATAAATATTTTACAACAGTTTGTTTTCTTTTATTTTTAAGCACAGTTAATTATATATATAAATCTTATATGAAAGAACTTTTCAAGTAAACATAAAGCAAATTGTTCAGGATATTTGTCCACTTTTATCAATTGCAAACAAATCATTTAAATGAAATCTGGCCATGTCACCAGTATGTTTTGTTTCCAAAATTAAAGTCTAAAGATTACCCCAATTCTGGTAATTCCATTCCCTTCTCGATGGACTATGCCTTGTTTTGTTGGAATGGTTGAAGTAAAAGCTTAACTGAAGATAAAATTAGGAAGTAAAGCAGAGACTATTACTTGGTTGAGAAAATTTTTATTTATTTTTGTAATAATTTCAATACTTATTTTAGATTCAGGGCATAAATGTGCAAGTTTGTTACATGGGTTTATTGTGTGATGCTGAGGGTTGGAATATGATTGATCCTGTCACCCAGGTACTGAGCAGAGTCCCCAAAGTTTCATTTTTTAACATTTACCAACACCTGCCCTCTGGTAGTCCACAGTGTCTATTATTGCTCTTTATATCCTTGAGACCCAATGTTTAGTTCCCACTTAGAAATGAGAACATGCAGTATCTGGTTTTCTGTTCCTGTGTTAATTTGCTTGGGATAAGGGACCACAGCTGCATCCATATTGTTGCAATGGACATGGTTTTGTTCTTTTTTATGGCTGTGAAGATATTTTTATAAAGAGGAGATGAATATAGGAGCAGTGGCTTACACCTATAATCCCAGCACTTCGGGATGCTAAGGTGGGAGGATTGCTTGAGCCTGGGAGTTCAAGACCCGACAGGGCAACATAGTGAAACCCCATCCTTAAAAACTTAAAAAAAAAAAAAAATCATGGTGGTACATGCCAGTAGTTCGAACTACTCAGGAGGCTGAGGTGGGAGAATCACTAGAGCCCAGGAGTTTCTGGCTGCAGTGAGCTATGATTGCTCTGCTGTACTCCAACCTGGGTGACAAATTGAGACCCAGTCTCTTAAAAAAAAAAAAAAAAGGAGATGAGAAAGTAGGTAGAAGCTGTAGGAGATGTAGGATCAAGTGGGTTTTGCTTTACTTTGAATGCTTGTTTTGTTTTGCTTTTTGTGAAACCATGCTTTTTATTTAAGATGGGCTATTCTACAGCAAGTTGATGTGATGCAGAGCAAACTCCAGAGTAAAAGAGTAAATGAGAGAGAATCCAGACTGCCACTGGTGTATAGTTAACAACAGTTCCATTATCATTAACGATTAGTTTGTTTCATTCATTGGCTATTCGTTACATGTAAATGTGTGTATCCAGTTCCAGGTCCCAGTGACTCAAAATCTGCCCCTTCCATTCCAATTCATTTCATTTCTGCCCCAATTTTATATAAAAGATCAAGTTACAAAATGATGAACTCACAGATATCTTACTGAATTTCTCGTATTTAACATCTATTGTTCACATGGCTTACTTGTATTTGAGCCTCCAAGTGTCAAGATGCCACAGTGGGAGGGAGAGGAGAAAGGCTTGGGCAGGGGATCAGAGAAGGCACTGCTTTTGGACATGCTTCAGTCACAGCACTAGATGTTCCATGCATATTACTTCATTCAATCCTTACAGAAACCATGCGAAAGTATTAGGGTCCCCATTTTATCTATGAGGAGACTGAGGCTCAGAAATGTTAAGCATTTGTTAACAGCCATACTACTTGGAAGTACTGGTTTTAAAGTTACAACTCTATTTCTTCCAAAGGAGGATCTCTATTTCCTCCAAAGGCTCACCTTTGTTCTTTTCATCACACTGAGAAATATCGCTTTTCGGGGCAGTCAGAAGCAGGTGGTGGGGAGAATTTGGCTTACAAGGGTATAGAGTATGGCTGCTGGCTGAACAACATCAGACACAGGACAGATGACTGCTGATGTCTGCGTTTTCTCCCACTATTATTGTCTAAATAAAATTATAGACCATTACCTGATGATTTGTAAGAACAGGTACTAATATTTTCCCCATATGTTATAATCATAATCAGCTACCTGAAATAATTATCAAAATTTCCAGTGAGTTTGGATGCCATTTGATATATGCATGGTCCTGTCATTTGAAGTGTTACTAGCATCACTCCACAGATATATTAAGCTCATTTATAGCAATCCATTCTTTAACTTTTATCATTGAATGAGAGCCCAAACAAGAAAGAACTGAAAAAATGTGGCAACATATACATAGACTGCCATCTGCCAGGGTGGGCTCTTGGAAAGTCAGCAACCATTCCAGGCTTCCTCTCTTTTTAGAACTGGACTCCATTTCCCTTGGCCTAAAGGCAGAACAAAAATCTCACATTCAAATACCTCAATTCAGTACAGCAAAATCACTCAGACTGTGTATGAATGGGTAGGAGAGTTTATTGAATAATCCAAATGTCATTGCTTTTCTTTATATTCTCCATTGTATGAAGCCAGCTGCCTTTTAATTTCTACTATATTTGTAACACATATTTGCAAAAATTTTCCATAACATTTTATTCCTGACAGATGCACCGTGGTCATATATAGCTGGGTCCAAATTGTTTCCATTACAGAAGAAAAATGTGGATTTCAGAAAAATATTTTTCCTCAGATAAACCATGAAAAACTTTCAAGGATGCTGGATTTTTTTTTCTTGTAAACAATTTCAGCTTTCATTTGTCAGATTGCCAAGAGCTTGGGATACTTTGGTAAATTGAATTGAAGTTTGCTTTTTGAAATTAACTCTTTGTGTCTTTGGCTTATTACCTTACTACCAGGATAAAATCAATATTTAACAAATTTAAATTAGTTGCCTAGCTTTACATTATGCATTGCTGAAAATCAAAGATTGGTAAAGGGTAAAGCATCTAAAGCAATATTAGGTCTGCGAATGTAGGAGCTAAACTCTGTGGGAAAAGCTGTAGAATGTTTTGTTCCAAAGCACAAAACAGGGAAGGAAGAGCTGGAACTAGAACCACTTGCCAACCCTCGGTACTGAATTCATTTCTCTATATTATTGCTTAACAGGCACGCCTGGTCTGCAGATGAAGAGCTTAAGAGTTTGGTTGAAAATAAAAGTTTTCAACATATTTAAAATAAACAATTCTATCAGTTGAGGATTTTGTTTTTGTTTTCCACTCTATCTAAAAGTCCCAAACTCTGTGGCTTTGTGTTCAGTCCACTTAATAACTCTAAGTTATTTAATAAGGCTCAGTCTATTAATTTATTTTATCAAAGACCTCATATTTAAAATGGCATTTTTATGACTTATTTGTAGGTTACATCTGAATGTGTCCTAAAAGCAAGCTGTATTAGTCTGTTCACCCACTGCTATAAGGACATACCCAAGACTGGGTAATTTATAAGGGAAAGAGGTTTAATTGACTCACAGTTCAGCATGGCTGGGGAGGCCTCAGGAAACTTACAATCATGGTGGAAGGGGAAGCAAACACATCCTTCTTCAGGAGAAGTGCAGAGCGTGAAGGGGGTGGGCTGTGGGAGAGCGTCTTATAAAACCATTGGATCTTGTGAGAACTCACTCACTATCATGAGAACAGCACGAGAGTAACCATCCCCATGATGCAATTACCTCCCACCAGGTCCCTCTCTCAAGATATGGGGATTATGGGAACTACAATCCAGGATGAGATTTGGGTGGGGACACAGCCAAACCATATCACAAGCTAAATATGTATGCTATTGTAAATGCATTAACTGATGGGATGGGAGGAAGAGAAAATTACAGCACATTTCACCTCCATTTTGTAAACTTGAGTTTCTTTCTTTCTGATTTATTATGAGTCAGATAAGATCCAGAGATCCACGGAGTTCTGAAAATGTCTCGACAATGAACATCACATTCCACAGTGAGAAACTCAGCTCTGATCTGGGAACTTGGATTCTCATTCACCATGCGCAGTCTTGCTTACTCCCTAACATGTCTTGTTTTCCTTCAACATCATGGGAACTTTCTTTATTTTTCCCGTCCGTTAAATAGACCTCTCTTTTTCCCGAATTTCTGATCCCTTCAAGGGCCTTAAAATTTAATTTAATCAAATCAAGTTATAAAGTGATGCAAATAAAATATTCCCATATATTGGAACAATATTTATGTATAAGAAATGATAAATTTTAAGAAACTCTTAAAAAGATTAGAATATATGAAATGTCCCACCTTCAAGAATTTTTAAGTGTATTCTTGGATAATCACTCAATGGAATTTACATAATTTTTTAAAGCTTGTAAAGACCTGCAATAATATAAAAAAGTTTCTTTTATTATGTAAAGTGAAAAAAGGACACACACTTTTATAATTAATATGACAATTGTGGAATAAAAAACTTTGCATAAAAGTGCTAGGATTTGCCCAATATATATTAACAGTATTTTCCCATGGGTAGTGGTATTATTTAAAGGCACTTCCTACTTTTAAATATTTCTTAAATTTTATTTAACTTGTTTATTCAGAAAAATACTTATATATCATGAAGTATATAAGTCATGTTTTCTACTAAGTGTTGTAGATAGAATTGTGATTGGGATAGGTAAAAGGAATTCTCCAACTGCATGCTAAGACTAATAAAAAATCACAAATCAAAATAACCAGCACACAATTAATTAAGTACTATGATGGCAAACGCCGTTTTCTAAGAGAATATAAAGATCAGTGCCCCAAATTTGGAAGGCAGGGTAAGAAAGGGAGTCTGGAATAGAATAGTTTCAGCTGCAATTAATAGAAATTATGACACAGCATGTTTTAAAACATAATAAATATATTGGCTTATGTGGTTTGAATTGCATCTCTCGAAAATATATTTTGAAATCCTAACATCTGTACCTATGAACAGTATTTGGAAGTAGGGTTTTTACATATGTAATCAAGTTAAAATGAGGTCATCCTAGGTTAGAGTGGGCCCTAATCCTGAATGGCAATGTCCTTGTAAAGATTTGGAGATGGACACAGAGGAGACACATACGCACAAAAGAGAATGCCATGTGAAGATGGAGGCAGATACTGGAGTGACGCAGCTACAAGCCGGGAACTCCAAAGATTGCAAGCAACCACCAGAAGCTAGGAGAGAGGCATGGATCAGTTTCTCCAGCAGGGCCCTCAGAAGGAACCAATCCAGTGGACACCTTGATTTTGGACTTCTGACTGTATGACCTGTGAAAGAACAAATTTGCATTGTTTTAAGTCAACCAGTTTGTGATAATTTTTTAATGAAACCCTGATAAACTAACATAGATCATATAATTGGAAACCTAAAATGCAGGTACAGTTCAGAGCTAGCTTAACTCAGTGGCTGCCATTTTATTTCTTCCTTGTATGGTCAGTTATCTGTGCCTTCTTCTTGGTGATAGCATTGTCCTCTCTTAAATAAATGACTGTAGCAGTTTGTAGCTTTACAGTCACACAACACATGCAGAAGACGAGTTTGTCTCTTTGCATGTCTATTTCTTTAGAAAAGAGAAAAAAGTTCCTAGAAGCCCCTCACAAACTTTAGGTTGTGTTTCATTAGCCCAGATATCTACTTCCAAGTCAATATCCTTGGCTAAGAGGATGCTGTGAGTAATTAATTCAGCCTGGCTTCTTGCCCCATTCACTGGAAAGACAGATAGTATGGCTTCTTTACAATCAGGCCATCTTAGGGTCTTGGAAGTGTCCTTTGCTGAGGCCTATGGGCTCTATGGTGGCCAAGTGGACAAGAACAAGAGCAGTCATCTTTCAGGTAGGAGGGTAGGAGTCCAGGGTTGGGGCTGGGGTGGATGGATGCTGGGGAGGCAACAAACATGCCACTTTTCAGCCTAGGTCAATCCCCAGCTGAGACGGAAAGACGTGAAAGTTAAATAGGATTAACATGGCAAAAGAGGAAACAGCGAAGGAGAAGGTCCCTGGGGAATTGGGACACCTATGAGGTTGAGGAGAGAGAGGAGATGACAGGTAGTGGGCAGGGCCTTTCAAATCCCCTTAAAGTACTTTGACTTTATCTTAAGAACCAGTAGAACATTTTTAGGAGAATGATATAAGCATGTAGTATTATTAGGCTGGTGTTTTCAGTAGGGTTTCAGTGATGAGAATGTCTTACAAATTAAATCTAGAAATTATAATATTGAGTGGGGGAAGTTATTGGAGTAATTTAGGTAAGAGAGAATCGTGGCCTAGCCTGGAGTGTTGGCCTTCAAGATGCAAAGAAGAGGATTAATTTAGATCCATAGAGGAGGAGACATGAGCTATTAAATATTTAAATGTATTTAAATATGTGTGTGTGTAAATACACATATACATGCACACACATGTAAGTACTAATCAATTACCTCACCTGAACAGAAGTTGGTTTATATTAATGTCAAGCTGTTTCATTTTGTATGAAAGCTGAAAAATCGAAACACAGGCTGGGTCATTAGCTGCTCCTTATCTACTAGCTGCTACCACCTTCTTCTACTCATAATAGCTTATGATATTCTGACTTGACTAAAATGGCATTTAACTGAAAAAACACAACCTATTTATCCTACTTCCCTCAATAAGTCTTCTAACTTACTATTCACACATGCTACAATCTCATCAACAGCTCTGAATTCTGCTGTGACATACAATCTTGTCTACAAAAACCATCCAGCATGCACAGGGATTTGTTTAATGGGGTCTTGTCTAGACCAGCTCACAAGATGCCCCTATGCTCAATACCATGGGGGAGTGTAGCCAACCACCACCATATCTGCATGCATTAGATAATAAACTCTTTTATTCTAAATTCCTTTTATTACTCCTCCATTCTTCCCGTTCTTCTCTACTCCATTCAGAAAATGTGAAGTACAACAAAGAGGTAATGGGATACCAAGACACACACAGAACCCCTTGATCATACAGAAAAGAGAAGGATTTGTACCAACTAGAAACCTTTTCCCTGGAGTAGTGAGGGGAAAGGAGGGAAAGAAGTAAGGGGGGAGAGTGGGAGGAAGTAGATAGAGAAATAAAGATGTGCAGGTTTTAAGTGCATAAAAAGGAACGAATACTAAACATCTTGCTTCTTAAAAACAACACCAGGAAGATATCAGTACTCTCAAAAGGCATAACTGTGGTAAACATCTGGGCAATTAGAATCATAGACAATGTCACAAAATTTGTAGACCCTGGGCAGATAAGTAAATAGCAGAACTCTCCTGGACTTAGAGAGGCCTTGTCCACAGGCACAATTTTTATTTAACCTGAGTGAACCCATATCAGGATGGATGAAGATTCTCTTATTTCTTTCCCCAGACCTAGGTGCAACATAGGACTCCATAACTGTGTGATAAACTTGATTCGGAGAAACAATGGAAAAGTTTTATGTTTTATCCTGACTCACAGTGGAATAAAAAAAAATGTTAATGTTTTATCCTGCCTCACAGTGGAATAAAAAAATAGTTATATTATTTGCACACCTGAACTTGTGGACGAAATTCACATCCACATGTCCTTTTAAGAAATTGTACAATCAACTATTTCAAGTCCAGTGATAATATCAGGAATTATAACACATTTTTCATTTGATTTGTATTATCCTGCAAGTAACGGAAAAAGTATGGCACAAGCAAACAGGTGTTTGTGTTTGTCCATTTTGCTTTTTTTTGTTTGTTTATTCCCAGATAATAAAAGGTAGACATTTTCAGGTATTGGGTTCAAAAACTAAGTGATGTCATCTGGGACCCAAACATGTCACTTCTGCCATGCCTTCTATGTTAGGTGTCACTCATGCTTGTCTCCTCATTGTCACACCCCCAATATCATGTTAATTTTCAAAGTAAGTAAAAGAGAAAAGATAGGTGCCCACTATGCCTGAACCTCTTTTTTTTTTTTTTCCAAGAGATTTCCCAGGAAGCTCTAGTTCTCACTGACCATCTAATGGTATGCCTAACTATAGCATACCATTATAGGTATGGTAGGGATACTGAGGCCAAGCATATTGCTGTAATAAATACAATCAGGATTATATTAGCAAGGAATCTGGGGGAAGGTTATGGGTTATGCAACTGACAGTGTTTCCAATTCACTAATGAAGAAATAAGATGGGAAAAAAGCCTTCTCTAATTGTTTCCTAGTACTTGTCATTAATCTTTCTTACTCGCAAGCCTAAAGTTTACTTGAACATTGCCAGGACAGGACAATGAAATGAGTAATTTAATATGGTTGTGTGTTGATGATGGATTTTACATCTACTATTTTATAGTATCCCCGTTGCCTTCTCTGTTTATCAAACACTGATTGCTATCAGTGCCCTAAGCCTCCAGTAAAAAAAAAAAAAAGAAAGAAAATTGTGGCTCTTTTCCTGTTTACTTTCTATTTATACTCCTCGAATTAAAATAAACTTCAGCCATAAGTGAAATCCATATGCTGTCAGGGTTGGTGAGTTTTGATAATACTGGACAAATCCTAAATTAAGAATGTACACTTGAGTGCTGATTGTGAAGCCCAATGGCATAGAAGCATAAATCCCTCTATAGTCATTCCCATATGTGAAAACAGGGAGTAGGGTTGGTGGTGCTTGAGGACAGATCGTTAGATGATTTATTTAATATCCTCTCCTATTGATGAAGGTATGCTAGCCAAACTGGCATCTATCACAAAAGTGCAAAGTACAGGCAAGTAGGAATAAAAGGAAAGAGATGGTGTGGCTTTGCAGAGAGCCCCTCTTCTTAAGCCATTTATCAGTGATGATGGATGTCAGCCCTAAAGTTAAAACTGATAAAGCACAAATCTTATACATGTTACTTCTTTGGAAGAAGGACAAAAAAGGCCAGTAAAATATTCTTCATACTCTGACTTACTTTGGCATTTATTTATCATCAAGAATGAGCTCACATTTGCCTGATAACACCACGGCCTTCCTTGAAAATGTACACAACCTAATCATGGTCTAAATATGCTATGCCACTTTTAATTTATTTGTTATTGCTTGGTTTCTATTAAGATTCAAGCCATGCCAAAGGTATTCTCATGCGATTTTTTAAATGTACATTTGTATTTATTTGTATGGTGTGGTGATATTTTTCCTGGAATACTGAGTTACATTCATTCACTAATTCTTTATTTCAACACCAAATATATATTTAATATTCATTTATATGCTTGCTGCTACACATAGGGTGGTTACCAAGACAAAAGGAAGCTTCAGACCTTCTGAACTGATAGCAGCTGTTTGGGCAACACAGTTTAGCACCCTGTAGAATTTGTGAAACACAGGTTCTGTCCCTTCACACATATTTAGTACCGAATCTAACCTAGTTTTTCTCCTGCCAGTCTCTATTATACACTTAGAAGTATAAGGCAGAAGCCATATCTTCATTTGATTTAGAATAAAAGACGAAAGAAGAGAAATCAGGAACATGTCCTTGTAAATATAACAGGATTTGAAGTCCCTCAGGCGCTGATAGTCATCCTCTAGATTTTTGTTGCCCCAGAACCTTCCTTGTAACTTCTGTTTCAGAATTGTGTATCTTAGAAATCATCACGCCCGTAATCCCAGCACTTTGGGAGGCCTAGGCGGCGGATCACCAGGCTAGGAGATCGAGACCATCCTGGCTAACACGGTGAAACTCTGTCTCTACTAAAAATACAAAAAGTTACCCGGGTGTGGTGGCACGCGCCTGTAGTCCCAGTTACTCGGGAGGCTGAGGCAGGAGAATCACTTGAACCCAGGAGGTGAAAGTTACAGTGAGCCAAGATTGCGCCACTGCACTCCAGCCTGGGTGACAGAGTGAGACTCTGTCTCAAAAAAATAAATAAATAAATAAAAAATAAACAAAAAAAGAAAAAAAAAGAAATCAAACTCATTCTGTAGGGCTTTGGAATTTGTTGCACTTTATGAATCTGGTTGCCTTTATCCTCCATTCTTTAGTCATTGTTTGACAAATATTTGCATTTCTACTGAGAACATGGAGAAATATTAATGCTTTTATCAGTTTAATCAGTTTTGCTATACATATCTTGCTTTTTTTGGTGCATACACATTTAAGTTGCTATGGCTTTTTAGTGGATTGACTCTTCTATTCTTATAAAATGTCTCTCTGCCTCTTTTAATTTATTTTTCTCTGAGGCTTACTTTATCTTATATTTATATAGCTACTGTTTCTTTCATTTCATTAATAAATGCATAATCTATGTCTTCATTATTTTAAGAATGAATTCTTCATTATTTTAAGAATCTTTTGCCATATAGAATATTTTGTAGCTTTCACCTGTAACTATTAAAATAATCTAGAAGAAAGGACTCTTATTAGAATCATAGGTATGGAATACCGATAACATGGGTTTGAAAGGATAGTAAAAGGATGTATTAGGTAGATCTCAGTCATTCAAGAAGCTATCCAAACACCAGTCCTCAGTGTTCTAACGAGTTTTGATCTATGTACTTCTCATTTTTTCTCTTCACCTAACCTGAACTTGGTCCTGAAAGCTATTTTTACTGACCTATGTGCCTCAGTTTTTCCCTGAACAATGCCTTTTTCTGATTAGAATGCTCCAGCCTAGTAAGTTCTGTCTGTCTCCTAAAAGATAAAAAGAAACACAAGCTCCTTTTGGTAGAGCTGCTGTCTTTATTTTTGACCTTATTCAAAACTCCATGATTTTGCACATCATGAAAACAGGCCTCCAACAACAGGCTTATGTTTCGTTTCAATGTAATCATTCTCAACCCTATACCTTCCTTAATACTTAATCGTCAATAAGAGGGGTTTATTAAAGAAAACAGGCTTTCCAGAAGCTTTTATCAACTTGTCTCAGATGTCTCAAGTCATTTGATACTATCTTAAAGAATTTCAAGATTGTGTTAAATGCTTATAAAATATTTAGACAAGAGAACAAACTGGGCAGTTTTAAGGATATTTACATCACAGTATAATTCTTATTTGAAAATGAAAGATATTTCAATATTGTCTTAAATAATGACTTCATGTTAATCCAATAATAATAATTGTTAAGAATTTATTTTTTTTTCTATAGCTGAAGTGACCGATGAGATTATCTAAATTAACTGCCACCTTTAGGCGATAAATGATTATTACATTTGCAGAATTGCAATGGAGGCAGTAAAGGTTAAATGATTTGTTCAAGGCTGTACAGGGTCTTCCAGCAATTGAAGTTTCCTGGCCTCCTTTTTTTGTTTTTGTATGTCATTCCTTCTGGTACTGGAAAAACTTGATTTATGGCCTCAGACTACCTTTTAGCATTATCTTTGATCTACCTCTCACCGCTATATGACTTCCAGCAATTTGCTTTTTAGCCTAAATTTTCTTGTTTCATAAAATGCATATAACTCCTTTTTTTTCCCTCTTTTTTTTTTAGACAGGGTCTCATTCTGTCACCCAGTCTGGAGTTCAGTGGCACAATCTCAGCTCACTACAACCTCCACCTCCTGGGCTCAAGAAATTCTCCCTCCGCAGCCCCCAAGTAGCTGGGACTAAAGGTGTGCACCACCACAGCTGGCTAATTTTTTGCATTTTTGGTAGAGATGGGGTTTCCCCATGTTGCACAGGCTTGTCTCAAACTCTTGAGCTCAAGTGATCCACCTGCCTTGGCCTCCTAAACTGCTGGGATTCCAGGTGTAAGCCACCATACCTGGCCTCTATTTTGAACAGATGCTGTAAGGATCAGAATTAACATAAGTAAATCCTTTTGAACAAATGCCCAAATAACGATTGTGATTTTCATGTCATTTAACAGAGTATTTATTGAGTGCCTACTCTATGAGATAATACCAGGTGCCAGAGAAATGAGATGAATAAGACTGCCATGTAAAAGAAACTCATAGTCACATGGGGAGAAAACATATAATTACTATATATTGCAATGTGATACCTTCTTTAAGAGGTAACATGCATCCTCCCGAGGTGCATGAACCTGGCTCTTAGCTTCTGTTTGGTAGCAACAGTGATACCTAGGCAGAAGAGCAGTAAGGTAACCCACTTTATGAATTGTATGAGTTTCCATGTGGTGGTAATGGGATGACTCACCTCACCTTTTTGTTCAAAAACGTCAGCCAGTTTTCAAGGGTTCTCACTTTTTGTCTCACTACAGAGAAGTTTTGTTTAAGTATGAATGGGACCTACTTCTACTTCTTTTAGTTCAGCAATATAACTGGTTAATGACTTGTGGCAAATAGTTATGTACATCCTCAGATTTTACCAAGGTCACTGAAACCAGGGCATTTACTTTTGAATAAGTCTTGCTAAGGAAGCTTGTCTTGCCACTGGTAAAGTATTTCCATAATCTCCTGACCTTAATCTCACAGGATATTCAGAGAGATTCCGGCAAAAAATTCACAATTCATCCAAATGCATGTTTGCCTTCCAGTACTGTGTTTCTTTGCCTGAGTGACTAGCAGCACTGACCTGTTCTTCTTTATCACCTGCAGGTTGCTCTGGCATTTCCGCTCCAGACCATCAAACTTTAAAGCATCATGAAGACCCCGAGCCAAGCCTGGAAAAGTGTGTCCTTTCTGGTCCAGCACCTGCCTGTGTGCTCAACTCCATAAACTGCTGACTTCTAAGAGCTACTCACAGAGTGTGTGAGTAATCCAATTATCAAAGCTTAGCCAGAAGGGTTTATCCCAAACAAAGCAATGCACATTGGCATTGGAATGAAAGCGGACAGGCAAATGGGGGAAGCAAGTCAAAAACTTTGCAGTTACCAGAGCGGCATTGCAGAGTGACTGATTAAATTATTTTTGTCTTTTCAATCAGAGCTTTCACAGAAAGAGTAAAGAGCATCTCTACTTGCTGCAAATCTGGGTGTCTTAACAGACAGATTTAATTTGGCCTCACTTTCTGCCTGATATAGAGTGACATGCAGTAGGGGCTGGACAAGCATATCAGATGAATGAGATTGCATGTGGGGCATTTTAGGCAAGAATGGAGGTGCAAGGTACTACATCTGGGTCCCAAGAATGAAAGTGACACTTTCTTTCTGGAGGCAACTTCTGCAAACAGAGAATGGAATTGAATCGACAGGTGTCATTATCGCTCCACTTTACCTGCAGGTTCTGAATTGGATTCTGCCATTTCCCAATAGTGCAGCTTTAAGAAAGTAATTTCGCACCTGATAGACTCAGTTTTCTCATCTCTAAACTGGGAGAAACATGAGTTCATAACTCACGGGGTTGTGGTGAGCATTCATTCTTATCATGTTCTTAGTAAAATATCTGACACAGACTATGAATTTAATTAGTGTTAGTAATTAGCAAAATATGTTACAATTTAATAATAATAGTGCCAATAGTCTGAGCTATTCTGTGGTTTTTAGATAAAAATTATTTAGGTGCTTGGCTGACAGTATCCTAAGATTAAGTCTACCTAATGAAAACTATAACTTTGACCTTTGCAAAGCTACCAGTTTGTCATGCTTTATTTAACATAAATGAGATTAGCATTTTGCAGCAGCCTTTGTAGGGTCTTTAATTATTAGCCTGCAAGGAATTGGAGGTCTCTAGAAGCCAGGCATGTTGGCAGCGGCAGTATAAGAGTTTGAGATCTGAGTGGGGATCTGGCTGAGTGCAGGGGCAAATGATCATTAACTGAAATGGCACCCCAGAAACAGAGGAGCAGCGAAGATGCTATAGCTGATCCTTTCCCCCCACCGGGCCATTCCACTCACAGGGCTACTTGCTCTTTAAAAGCCACAAGGCGCAGCTTTAGGGGAAGGTTTATATGGTAGCAAAAAAGAGTACTATAACTTCTAGAAATCAATGTGAAATTCCAGCCATTATGTTCCTTTAAATCCAAAAATGCCAAACAACTTTGGGAAACAATGCATGTTTTCTGCCTCATTAAAATGACATAGCAAAGGATTCATGAATTGAGCAAACTGAATTCAAAACAATGGACATAAGACATGCTATTTTATCCAAATATTTATATATGGAATATGCTTTTATATTATATATGTGTATGTGTAATTTGCACACCTCTACCTCCTCTGGCCTTCTAGAGTCATTATTTCCAATCATTTTTGCCTTCTGTGCATTTAGGACATTCGGAGCTTTCTCAGGTGAGCTTGCATGTTCCCGGCTCCTGGCCCCATCAACTTTATGATCTTATTTGTATTGAAGGCTCTAGTGCTGCTCCCTCTCACCTTCCCATACTCTGTACTTACCTGCCTAGCCATGTTTCCCCACCTGTTTTTGCTCAATGTATCACTAACATATGGTTGATTCATGAAACAAAATTTTACTGAAAGAAACTTATAAACAACCCACCAAAAATAACCATCTCAAAAAATACCATCCTGAGGTACGTCAGTGTTTTCTAATATGGTAAAATGTTTATTGACCTTTGTTCTATTTGGCCTCCTACCTGCCAACAAGTTACTGGAGATTCTAGTTGTCTATTGAATCCTTCTCTTGTCTTTCTTTTTCACCTATTTTATTCCCCACCATCACCCTTATCTTTATCTCTCTAAGAAAGAATACAAATCCTTGTTATTTCATTATAAAATGCATTTTAACTTACTAAAATGGAACTTCTACCATGCTCCAGAACTATTTTAAAAGTTGCTATAGTTCTTTGCAAACAGAAAGCTCATCTATCCTGGGTTTCAAATTGTCTTTTTTTTTTTTTCTTAAGTCATACCATGCTCCACATTTCTAAGAAAGTGTCCTTCCCATCAGTTCAGATCCCAGAGACAATACGTGGGTGTGGAAAGATTTCTTTCATTTACAAGAATCCAATATATGTGTGTATGCTAATGGTAACAACTCAACACTTGTAGAGAGCTTGCAGGATGCCAGGCATGGTGCCCAGTGATTTACTTGCCTCAAATTGTAAATCCTTGCAAAAAGCTTTGGAGGGAAATGCTATTTTTTTTAATCTTACATTTGAGGAAATTGAGACTTGGGGAAGATAAGTAATTGACTGTGACAGTGATTAAGATGAGAATGAAGCCCAGCTGAGCTGGTCTGATTCTGGAGCTTTTATTGCTGTCATTGTGTGACTCTACTGTTAACCTGAACCATGGGAGAATTGCAGAGCCATGTAAAGAGAACTTCTGCCCATTCATAGCGGACTCAGCCTTGCATTGTATCCCAAAGTCCACCTAATTTAACTGCTACTTGTTTTCTGACTTTGGTACAGTGAGACTTTGGTAGAAAGAGAATCAGAGAGAGTCATAAGTGCAGTAGATAAGACATTAGGAAAATCAGTTAGCATACCTGGGTGTCATTTTTTTAAATCCAAAAACTGGAGAAACAATACTTCTCAAACTCCCTTCTATATCAGGAAGCACCAAAGTTGAATTTTAAAAATACTTGAAAGAAATTATTGAAATGTGAAAATTCTGTAGAAATGTTTGCTACAGGCTCATTGTACTATAATTATTCTGTTACACGGTTGCATAAATTTATGTGTGAATACATACAACCTACTTATCTTTCCTAGACTTTGTTATTACATTAAAAAACCATCATTCAAGTTATATTACATTTAGCAAAATGTAAGAGATTTGCAAACTGAGTTCTGAAGGGAAAGTTACATAGGCACTATCTTCCTAAATTCAATACCAGTTTTAATATCCCTCAGTAAAGGGCACAGTTTATATTACTCCCTGTGGAAAGACGGAGGAGATGCTGGCAGCATGGAAGTTTCTGGCTGTCCTTCACTCGTATTTTTTGTAACTAGCTCATGAAAACTTCAGTGTAAATGTAACTGTGCTAACAGGGTATGGGCTTATGTGAAACTATCCCCTACATAGTAGAGTCTTGGATTCCGCGTGCAGACTTAACCTTCTGGGATGAATTTCAAAGCAGATTCATTATCAAACATCTGCCAGGGTCACTTTGAGTGTGATGTGGGAATGAGCATTAAGTCAGCATTGAAAAATCAAAGACAGATGCCCTCTTTTTTATTTTAAAAGAAAATGGATTTTTTATTTCCCTTAAAAAGTAAAGTTATGGCACTTAATTTTATTTCTCTTCTGCCAATCAGTTTAACCCTTCCTACCGGTAGGAACGAGAGGAAATACCCAAAACTGAACCGCAATAGATCAATTTCAAGAGTTTTTCTATCAAATCACTACCCCTGGTTTCCAGAGACTATACATCCTGACTGCAATATACTCTTTCTTGATATCTCTGTGTCCTACAGAACCACAGCCTTAATAGATAGAAGAACCACAGTTCTAGGATTTGGAGTGTCCACCGTTGCTGTCAGTTGTCATATCTAGGACTGCAGCATGGCTCAGAGCAGACTTGAGCAGGATGACAATGGACCTTCACCAGCTGGTGACACAAAAGACCTAACTCATAACCCAGCACCAAACAAAAGGGCAACAAGGGAATAACTGAAGTTATCTTAGCACAGTTTTACCATCAGTGTGCACTAGCGGGTACTGAGCAAAACCTCATTAAATAGTACATTTAGTGGAATAAATTTAATAGAATAAATGATTAAGGAAATGAACAAGTGAATGCAATGGAAGGGTTTCTAATCTCTAGTTCCACATTTTAATCTCAAGCTGATTATTCCCATCTATAATTTATTCTCCCTTTGTTTCCCTTCAAAAGAATCTTGCAGCTTATATAAAGCAGAATAAGCAATGCATGCATGTGCACGCGCACACACACACACACACACACACACACAATCTGAGATAATCGGGTGGACAAAGAGCATAACGGGATTTGTCTAATAACTGCCTTGATGCCCTTCAGAATGACCTTGGCTTTGCCCAAAAGCACTTGATTTGGCTACTGCCGTCACCTTTCGGCCTATATAAGTCAACCAAGGTTGATCAGTAACTGTGGCGAATTTCAATTGTTGTTCTCAAAATCTCTACTTGCCTGGGGCTAAAGGCAGGGATATGAGTTTAGCAAGAGCCCTGCTTTGTTACAGGCAATAAGAGGAATACTGAAGGTAAAGATTCTAACACAGAGGACTTGGCCCTTGCTCCTCTGGCTTACACGTATACCATCATAGTAAGAAATGCATACACAGGTCACTTTCTATATTACAATTTATTCTCAGCCAAAGGGCTATAAGAGGCGAAATTGTCTTTAATGGGATTTTGTAGAAGCACTCAAAGACATCGAAACCCAAGTTAGTAACTTGTTTCAGAAGACTGCAGAGTAGTTCACGATGGCAAGTATCTGCTCAAGGCTTTATGTGTTTCTCCTTGGAAATATCTTAAGATTGTTAATTATAATTATATTTTAAGTAGAAAAATATTTGTATATTAGAATATACATATGTACACAAATGTATACATATAATATATAGTAGATTATATGCATGTGTATTACATCCACACATAGCAATCTATGTACATGTATACATATCTAGTACATATATGTACACAATATATAGACAATTTTATGCGTATGCATGTCTATTTTTAATTACATATAAATATATAATTTATTCAGTACTTCAGCAAGTACTATCTTCTTTTGTGAGTTTTATAGCTGTGGACAAATTTGCCTCCCCATATTAATGCTGGTAACTATTCTTTTGCTCTAACCAGTATTCTTACTTGTTCTTTTCTCTTGAATAATACCACTACAATTTTCCATTTAATTTTCTCCCATTTCTTGCTTTTCAGTGGAGTATTCAGTCATGGTGCCCAACATCCCAGGGCATATCCCTGCTTTTAGCCACATGCAAGTAGAGATTTTGAGAACAATTGAAATTCGCCACAGTTACTGATCAACCTGGGTTGGCTTATATAGGCCTAAAGGTGATGGCAGTAACCAAATCAAGTGCTTGTGGGCAAAGCCAGGGACTGGTCTCCTCACAATGGATCTGTTATCTAGGCCAACCAATCAGACTCCCTGATAGATTTTTGTTGTTGTTGTTGTTTTTTCAGTAAATTCTGGGATAACCTGGGGACTTGAATGGGCACCAACTTTTCTATCTGTGGAGAGACACTTTAGGGAGAATAAAGCTTCAGGAAAAGAAAAAGACAAAAGTGTGGTCATGTTTTTTTTGTTGTTGTTTGTTTTGTTTTGTTTTCCTGAATCTTTGCATGAAGTTTGTCCTGAAAAAAAGCTGCATTCTTACTTACAGGAGTCACAGTAACTCCTATTCAGAATTCCTTAACTAGTTCATTAACTAAGGAATTAAGAATAATATTCCTGGTAGTAGTTGAATAACAAGATGAAAAAGTTCTGTGTTCTTGGAGGTAGGCATCAAAATTTATTTTTCTTTATTGGGAAAATAGCTTAATAAGCCTGCTTGGGTAATTCAGCTTGAGTTGAGATTTCTCATCAGGGAGCAGTTATTCTGAAGAAGAGAGGAGACTATGCAGCGGCTGGGGGGTCTGGGAAGGAGAACATGAAGCGCAAACGGAAAATGTAGGAAGGAAAAAAAATAGAAGGCCTTTTGAGCACAACGGGGGTCATACAACACATGAGTTACCCTTCCCTGCCCTCCCTCTTGGCCTCAGCAATGTTCCTAAAGTCACTGGAATTTGGGAGTACGTGTACTTTTGAATAAAATGATAAAAGATATTTTCATCACAGGGACGTGAACAACACCAAACATAGCACAGGTTGTTACTTGTTCTCAACCATATAATCATAAGCCTTAGAAGGGAAACCAAAACATTTTTGGGAAGAGATTTGGACTCTCCCACACTATGCAAGTAATTCCTATCTCATTATACACAGATTTCCAAGAGTTCAGTATACACCAGATGATGCCTGCATCAGAGTCACAAACTGAGCAGGTAACACCATGAACATTAGAAAATAAATAGGGCAGCACGTTTCTCATTATGAGGAACAACATTTTCCACAGGCCTATTTCCAAGATGGTGCTACAGGTATTAGGTCTGTGGAATATGCTGATTAATAATGGTGTTGTAAAGCCTGATGATACTTGTGGCTTTTCTACTTTAATGCCTTTTAAGATGCTGCTGACAACAGATAATTAACTTTGTTGTGGACAGGAAATTCAGATTGGATGGGGCTTTACCAAAAGCCCATGTTTTGCCCACTACCACTAGTGAAGTGCACACCTCCCACTCTCTCTTCTCAAATGCATATTGAATCAAAGCTAAAATGCGATCTCTTCCAGGAAGTTTTTTTGTTTTGTTTTGTTTCTTGAGACAGGGTCTCACTCTGTTGCCCAGGCTAGAGTGCAGTGGCACAATCTTGGTTCACTGCAGTCTCTATCTCCCAGGCTTAAGTGATCCTCCTGTCTCAGCCTCCAGAGTAGCTGGGACTATGGGCACCCACCACCATACCCAGGTATTTTTTTTTTTTCATTCTTTGCAGAGATTGGGTTTCACCATGTTTCCCATGCTGGTCTCTAACTCTTGGGCTCAAGCGATCTACCTACCTTGGCTTGTCAAAGTGCTGAGATGACAGACATAAGCCACAGCACCCAGCCTCCTGCAGGCAGCTTTCTAACTAGCTCAACAATCTGCTATCTTATCAATCAAATTTTCTCTCTGCTTTGTTATCCCCATCAGCATTTGAACATACTGTAATATTCCCTTAGTTTCTGTGTCTCCTACTTGTTCTCTGCTGTTAATCTGTTCTCATTTAAAGTAGAACTCCATGAATGGTTTGTCTATACTAGCTGCTTCAATTCTCTCATCTATCATTCTTGTCTTGGTTCACTGTACTCAGGCTCTTAATCCCTCCTCATTACTATCAAAGCTATCTATGACCTCCAATCTGTGCCATCAGTTTGGTTCTTGTTTTGGTTTCTGTTTTTTTCTTGCTATACCTGTGTAGCAGGACAAGCTGCAGATAAAACCCCTCAAACACTGAGTTAAAGAAGGAAGGTCTTTATTTGGCCGGGAGCTTCTGCAAGACTCATGTCTCCAACAACTGAGCTCCCAGAGTGAGCAATTCCTGTCCCTTTTAAAGGCTCACAACTCTAATGGGGTCCGCTTAAGAGGGTCATGATCGATTGAGCAAGCAGGGGTATTGACTGGGGGCTGCATACACAGGTAATTAGAAAGGAACTGAACAGGACAGGGATCTTCACAGTGCCTTTTTATGCAAATAACTGATTAGGTCAGGGGTCGATTTTTAACTACCAGGCCCAGGGTGTGGCTCCAGGCTGTCTGCTTGTGGATTTCATTTCTGCCTTTTAGTTTTTACTTCTTCTTTCTTTGGAGGCAGAAATTGGGCATAAGACAATATGAGGGGTAGTCTCCTCCATTACCTGTCTATGCCATTGGACGTAGTTGGAAAATCCACAATATATAATGAGTATTAACATGAATGCTGTTCACACATCTAATAGTAGCTACTATCACAGGGTTGATAATCAAATGAGTCAACAAATGGAAAAATATTTGTAGAAAAATTAATCAGTATGCACATTTATTGAGAGTGCTATAGAAAACCCAGTTCACTACATTATTTTTAAAACTAGCAGAGCCGAAGAAACATAGATGACCACATGCTATCCCTTAATCTTTACAATTTCTAATTTGTGGCATGAAATTTTGTTTTCTGTATTTACAAAGGAGCCCTAATTTTATAAAATCTATTATTGTTTCTTTTCATTACTCCCTTTCTGGAAAGTAGGACTATTATGAAAATAATAGAAGATATAAAGATGCAAACAGATGCAGTCTGATTCTCGGTTTCTGTTAAATACACAGCTAAAATGTTATGTTCAGGTCTCTTTCCTATTACCATGGCCCCAGCATTAGACCTTTCAACTCCTACAATTTGAAAAATAAGAGAGAAGGTTCCAATTGAAAGGGCATTCAACAACCACAAAAAACAATTGAAGGTCATTATTTTGTAGATATAGAGGCAGTTTCCCATAGCAAACTGCTAGTGAATTGGAACTATGACTCATGGATCTCGTCACTTGAGCCTGTTCTTCCTTTCCCATCTAGGTTGCCCTCCAAAGTGCCTAGATTTCAGAGGATTTGGGGTGTGATAAGTTACTGTGGCAGTACTGTCCATATAAATAATTTTTTAAAGTGGATTCTGGACTAGAATCTTATGCTCTTCCTAAAGTAACTTTGTTGCTCAAATCAAAGTGATCATTCCTTATACTAAATTATTTGTAAGAAGATCAAATACATATGTTTGGATGTTTTGGAGTAAAGAAGCAGGGGAGTAGGGAAAGGTTTCCTGTGTTGTCTTCTCCTATCCCCAGTTCCAAGTGGGACACTGTCAAGATTCATGCATTTTCTCCTTTAAATTAACATGGCTGAAATTAAGTGTGACGTTAATGGTCTCTTTGGGTTGCGACTTGGTTGCACAAAGCCCTGTATTTGGCTGTTTTGCTTGTTATCATGAGAAAAATCATTAAGTTGGTTTCACATTATCAACTGAAAAATCCACCCCTGACTGGTATCTGAATCCTATTTGCTATCTTCTGCCTACTCCTGCATGCAAACCTGACTGACTCCTACAGACTTCTACTGAATCAGGGATGTGAGATGTGTTGATCATCAGCTCATCTGTGCCTAAGATCCAATTGAGGAGGTAAGTATCTGTACATCATCGCTGACTCAACTGACTTTTCTTTTCTTGCTTTGGGAAATAGTGTTGGACTTATATTCAAACACAAAATGTTTTCCTGATCAGATTGTTCTGACCCCTACAGAGCTCTCTTTGACGGATGATAAATTTGAAAGCGAACATACAAAATATCTAGTCTTACCCTAACTAATGTGACATTTTCATCCCTTTTTGTCTGAGGAGCAAGTTGAAGATGATCAGGACATGCCACCCTAACATATGCTGCCTTGGTGTATGGATTACTTTGAGCGGAGGACACTTGAAACACAGCAAATGCAGGAAGAGGCTTTCTCGGAACTCCTCTTATCTGTGTAAAGACAGATATTCCAAAAGGAAATCAATGGTCATCAGTCCTTTCCCTGGAAGTTTCATCAATCTGGGAGTTTTGTTTAAAAAATTCTTTTTCTTAAGATCAAATGAAAATTTTAGACAAATTATAATTGTATATAATTATGGGATACACATTGATGTTATTATACACACACACACAGGCACAGTGCGGAATCATTGAATGAAGCTAATTAACAAAGCCACCATCGTGAATACTTAATAGAATTCAATATGCCCCTGTCTAACTGTAACTTTGTACCCTTTGACCAACATTTTCCCATTCCCTACACAAGATTAACTCTTATCACAGGAGAGGAGACTCTAGAAGTTGGCACCACACCCAGAAAGACTTTGTCACAAACCTATCACCTCTTGTTCTAAGGGTGCATTTATCTTCCCCAAAATAATTTACTCTCCTCTAAGTTGTCTACATTTGTCCTCTCCTCTCTCCTTAGCGGAGGGCATATATTCTAAATCTCGCTTATTTTTTGTGTATTTACTCTTTTTCTAGTGATGCCCCCAAACACGTAGTAAATTTGTATACCTTTTGTCCTGCTGATCTGGCTGTTGTCACTATATTTCATAGACTATTAAAGAAACTTTAGAGGGTGAAAGGAAAGTCTTCCTTCGCCTACAAAGTTGTAACAATAGTCTTTAAGAAAATTCCCATTTACAGACAGATGCCTCATTGTTCTTTTCATTATTCTGCTGGCAGGATATTTAAGAAATCGCCACATTGTGACAGCTACTATTGTTGTTTGTAAGAGTTGTCAAAGAGAAACAAAGCTGGACACTAGTTAAAGGCAACAGAGACAGATTTTATTCAATGATAACTATTGCAGTAGGGAAGAGAGTTCAGAGTAAACTGAGCTCAGCTTTGCCAAACCTAAAGGCAGGAGAATTTTAAAATGCTAGGGTGGGCTGAAAGAAAGACACTGAGAGGTCATTAAGAGAGTTTGGTTCATGTGATTCACTTGGTTATTCAGGGTTGCTAATTGGCACTTATCTGGAAGAGAAACAAAATTCTCATGTCTTTATGACAGGCGTAGTTTTGCAAGTTGGAGCAAGAAGCCCATTGCCTGCCCACTGAAGTTAGCCCCTTAGCCTCCCACAGGGAGTCGGAGTGAGAGTTATTTTCTTGAATCTTTACATTTCAAAGAACTATTTCCAAGTCCTTGAGGAGACAGTTCTGGGTGGTAGATTTCCATCTCAAAGGGGCAGAGAAAGGATTTATAATTGCAAACTTTCTAAAATAACTGCTCTAAGAGGAGGTTTAGGGAGCTATCAGCCTCACTAGGTTTTAGCTGGAACAGATAGTAAGCTTTTCTAGCAGCATTGAACTTTCTCGGACAGACTTTTTAGGGGGAATTGGAGTCATAATAGGGACACCACCTTAAGCTTCTAGAAGCCATGCTAGCATTTGGTGAAGTCTCTTAGTGCAGGAGTTTGGAAAGGGTTGTATGCTGAGAATTTTTGCAGTTCTCAGGGCCTACTCTGGGTCAGATGCAAAGTTTGCTGGAACATTGCATATGATATTGAAAACCCTACCAAAAATGCTGAGAGAGAATATTTTCAAACTTTTTCAACATCTGAAATAACTTAGGTTTATAGAAAGATCAGAGGATGATTAATTGGTAGATCTAAGATTTGAATCCAGTTCTGTTTGCAAGTCGGAATCTTACTGATTCCCCAAATATAAAATCTGTAAACTTGGTAATTTTTTCCAGATTCTTGTTTGAAGAAAATTGTTTTAATCATGTACTTTTTAAACTTACTTCTAACTAATATTTTTGTGGATTTTAACATCCTTTGTACCACCTTTCTTTTAAATTAGATTAGGTTTGGGGGTACAATAAAATGAAGAAAAACGTGAAATCTTTTGCTTTCTAGTGTTCTCTATGCTATTTAACTTTTTCTCTATCCTTTCAGGTTTTTCTTATTTTTCAGGGGAAAAGGTAGTGTATAACCAAAGAAAGGGAAAAAAATGAGAACACAATTGTGCAAATACAGTGAAATTAGAGCATTTTAATAATTATTCAAGAAGAGGCAAAATGCAGGGTTTCTCAATATCTGCACTAATGATTTTTTTTCTTTCTTTTCTTTTCTTTTTCTTTTTTTTTTTTTTTTTTGAGATGGAGTCTCCTTTTGTTGCCCAGGCTGGAGTGCAGTGGTGTGATCTTGGCTCACTGCAACCTCCGCTTTCTGATTCGAGTGATTCTCTTGACTCAGCTTCCCAAGTAGCTGGGACTACAGGCACCTGGCACCTTGCCTGGCTAGTTTTGTAGTTTTAATAGAGACAGGGCGACACCATGTTGGCCAGGCTGCTCTCAAATTCCTGACCTCAAGAGAGTTGCCCTCCTCAGCCTCCCAAAGTGGTGGGATTACATGTGTGAGCCACCATGCCCAGCCCTATTGACATTTTTGAGTCAGGTGATTCTTGGTTGTGGGAGCAGTCCTGTGCATTGCAGTATATTAACCCTGGCCTTTCCCCACTAGATGATTTCCAAATGTCCCCTGGGAGGCAAAATCATCTTAGTTGAGAACCCCTGAATTAAAGGATCTAAAAAAGGTTTTAAAAATTGTAGTCACTCTGTGTCCCTGCTGCTGCCCTGTTTCGGTTTGTAAAGCTTTCTGAAATCCACCATTGTGCTTTTGGATCCTGAACTGTTTCGAACTCTGGCTAACATGTTCAAGAGCAAGTTGGCATGACTCTTCTGTGACCGCATTGCTTGGCCCAGGCACCAGTTCTTCGCCAAGTCCTTGCTTTGGTGGTTTGTCTCATGTTACGGTTATATTTGATTCAATTTCTTAAACATTGAAACACCAACATTTCCAGGTTGACTAAAGTACCACCCTGCCTCTCCAGCCTCCTTGAATGAGATTTTAATTTCATCTTCTTTGCTTTCTTAAGGGCTGGCTGCCCACCCAATGAGACCTTTGCCACCTTCTCTGCAGCCAGAAACTCTTGATGCTATGCCCTGTCTTTATACCTAAGCCTCTCCTTTTTGTATGCCACTTAATAAAGAAAGCCCCACTCACATGTGCTTCAAACATAAAAGTATAAGAGCTAAGATCAAAAAAGAGCTAATACTGGCAACACTGTAGGGACTGGCAGAAAATAATAGAATTGATTTACATAGGGAAATAGGACAAATTAGCCCTGGTAAGGAGACCATGCATTTCTGCAGAAAAAAATTCAGTATACAACACAGGAACCAAAAAAGCAGAATTAAGGTAAACAACAACAATAACAACACTTCCCATTAGTAAATTTCTCTCTTCAGTCACTTGTCCCTTTTCATATGTTTGTTGAGGCCGTTTCAGTATTATTAATTGCTTTCCCAGTTTTATTAGGTGTATTTTATATGCTCTGTGGTAGTGGGTATGTATTAATTAGTGGGTTGATTAGTTTATTTCCTTTGATAGAGTTGTATGCGCAACATTGACTAAACAGCAGCTGAGTAGAGCCTTCAGTTTCAGTTTCCTGATAAATTAGGGGTAAATCAAAATCATCCTGATGGGTGTTGCCTGCTTTGGTTTTGAATTGGGAGGAAATAATAAATCTCTGTTTTAATTCAGAATATAAAGTAGGAAGAAAACCCATGGAATTAAATCAACAACCTCAGGAATTAAATCAATAAATAAGCAAATCTTCCACATGCGGTCACTTTATTTCAAAGCTTTCAGTTTCTAGCCACACTCATCTGGTCACCATTCTTTTACCCAGCAAGCACTTAGGGAAATTTCTTCCATTTAGTGGGAGCCACCTTCAACGAAAGTCTTTCATGATTTAAAGCTAGGCTGGAGTAATTAAATTTAACAGAAACTCCATCTTTGAAGGGCTGACAAATAATATATCATTTATTTTGTTCCTTTATCTGAAAAGTTAATGGAGATATTTGGAAATCTACATGTTTATTTCACCTTTACCAGAGGGTCTTGTTCCATAATAAATTTAGAACAGAATGGTTTCTAAATACTTAATATATTGAGCTAAAATATATTTGCAGAGGATTCACAGAGGTTTGCAGTAATTGTGCCTTTTGAAAAAGAAATATGTTTTAATGCTTTGGGAAAAGTCCTGTACCTATATCAGTGATAGGATCCAATTGCAAATTCTGGGAATCTAAAACTGGTGGTATATCTCCTTCTGACCTGTTATTGCTGGCTACACTAACAAATCTCTGTGAACACAGTCTTTAAATAATTTCCTGGAAGCCCAGAAAATTTTGGAATTACTTTTGGCATATGAAGTTAGTAACCCTGCCCTTCCCCTTGGCAGAGCAGGGAAGGAAGAGGGATTTATAGAACAGCTCAGTCAAAATAAATCTTTTGAAATCCTTTCTCAAGTTTTAAGTCCTATCACTTGTTATATCCTTGTTACCAGTGAGGGTATCAAAGGTTATCTGGCATTTCAATAATCATTCTAAATACTTTCAATTTTTTTTAGCATCTCCTTTGAAATATATCTGAACTATTTTGGTACTTTCCTACTCTGTATTTTTCTTCAACAACTGTACATGTTCTTTATAGTTTTAGAATTATATTACAAACTTCTCATTCTTACATGTTATTTCAGTTGCAAACATTCTTACATTCATCTTTTTTTTATGATCGTCAAGCCTATTAAATATTCTGGCCATGTTTTTTCCCTACATGGACTCCAACTCTCTTAATCTTAATAAAAATAATATAATGTCTCATTACTAAAACAAGTCATTTCCCTTTAAAGTCTTTTATTTTACTCTTTCATCCATTAAAACACTATTGATCTTGCCCCTAATACTAAATCACTATGAATGAAGGAAAAGTTCATATAACTTATCTAGGCATGCTACAAAATTAATTACGATTTTGTTGAGGAAAGATTGATATAAATTAGGATGAATATACAAAATGAAATGGTACTGAAATGATAGATGCAGTCCGTTAAGTAATACTTAATCCTGCTGATATTCTAGGGATACTCGTTCTCTCACTATTTAAATTTCCTTCAATGACATGAGATGAAACACATTTTATCATTATGGAGAACTTTCATTACATGGCCGTTATTTAAGTAAAAGAGTATAGATAATAATATCTCAGATCTTTTCAGTAGTGCATGCTGTTAAACTTAGCTGTTTTTGTTTAAAGATTTTGAATAGTTTTGCAAATGAACATACGAGTAATGAAGATTCTCCCATTTTGTTCTGTTTTGCTTAGATGATGGAAAAAAATGTTTTCCCTCCCTGCCTCCCTCCCTTCCTTCCTTCCTCCCTACCTCCCTCCCTTGCTTCCTCCCTCCCTCCCTCCCTTCCTTCTTTCCTTCCTTCCTTCCTCCCTACCTCCCTCCCTTCCTTCCTCCCTCCCTCCCTTCCTTCCTTCTTTCCTTCCTTCCTTCCTCCCTACCTCCCTCCCTTGCTTCCTCCCTCCCTCCCTCCCTTCCTTCTTTCCTTCCTTCCTTCCTCCCTACCTCCCTCCCTTCCTTCCTCCCTCCCTCCCTTCCTTCTTTCTTTTTCTTCCTGTATTTGTTTAAAGAACAAAAGAAGTTGATGTATGGATCTATTTGCTCTAAATTATATTCATTAGAGATATATATCACATCTACCTAAACATTCGTTACAATCAAGTGTTCCCAGGCCATTTACTATAAAAAGTTAATTTTTGGAAGCCAAGGAGGAAACTAACATTTAAGTTCTCACATATCCCTCCATATCCTCCTTCTACATATAGAAACCACATAGCAAAAAATTTGTTTCAAAATGTTTAGTGTTTTTCAAGGAAAAAAAGGTAATTGGGAAATGCTTTTAAGAGAAATTAGTTTCTCTTGTCAACTGTCATCAAGATGGATTACGCTCAGCTGCTTCGTGGAAGCAGAAATGAAATCTAACATATTTGTGGCTAAGACAATAGTGTGCATATTTTTAAATTGCATCAAGTAGGGTCTATTATTTAAGATTCCTTGCTACTGTCATTGTCACAACATCCTACATTATTCAAACCAAGCATCAATTCCATTAGTCAGTCTCTCCTTTGCTGTCAAAGATGCAAATACACTCTTGTGTGGCTTAAAGTAAATGCATCATCTGAAGAGGAAATGTGTCAGAAAATATTAAATGAGATAAGGTTTAATTCAGAAATAAAATAAAATAAACAGGTGAGTTCCTCTCTCTCCAATAAAAAGGAAATTTTCTTGTAAAAAAAAAGAAAACCTTTGAGATTGAGTTTTTGTAATCAAGGAGAGCAAGATATTTATTTCTGCATTCTTAGTACCTACAAAATAGCTGGTACTCAATGACCTTACGGTATAGGTGCTGAACACATATTTTTACAATGAATGACTCAATGAATGAATGAGTAATCAAATGAAAATCAAAGAATTATTGTTTAACGTGTTGAATACACTAAAGAGATAATGTGGTCTATCAATATTTCCCTGAGTGTCCAAGAAAATATGCAATAAACATACATTATTTCAACTTTCCATACATTCCATAAGGAGTCATATTTATATCAACGTGTATGGTTGAAAACATACTTCACTCTGTTGAACAAAAGTGAAATGCTGCCATAATTAACTATCTTTGAATATATTTTCTTACATGCCTGCTATTTGCATGTTTTCAGTAACACATATAACCAACAGTCCAAAATATGGGGGAAATTACATTGTTGTGATTGAGAAATATTAGGTCAAAACTCATTTAATAAATTAAAGATGAAACTTACAACACTTTCCCGAGAGCTAAGCCTAAGGCTAGATATCAAATATGGATATTGGTCAAATGCTTTAAAAGACTTTTGGCTTTACCACCACAGGAGTGATTCTATTAAAACATCTAGACTATCAGTTAAATTTATTCAGGTAAGTAAAATAGCCTACTTTGTTTTGTTTTTGAGATGGAGTCTCGCTCTGTCTCCCAGGCCGGAGTGCCATGGAGCCAACCTGGCTCACTGCAAACTCTGCCTCCCGGGTTCAAGCGATTCTCCTGCCTCAGCCTCCCGAGTAGCTGGGATTACAGGCACCCGCCACCACACCTAATGTTTTTTATGTTGTTGTTTTTAGACGGAGTCTCGCTCTGTCGCCCAGGCTGGAGTGCAGTGGCGCAATCTCCGCTCACTGCAAGCTCCACCTCCCGGGTTCACGCCATTCTCCTGCCTCAGCCTCCTGAGCAGCTGGGACCACAGGCAACCGCCACCATGACTGGCTGATTTTTTTGTATTTTTAGTAGAGACGGGGCTTTCACCATGTTGGTCAGGCTGGTCTCGAACTCCTGACTTCATGTGATCCGCCTGCCTTGGCCTCCCAAAGTGCTGCAATTACAGGCATGAGCCACTGCGCCTGGCCCCTATTTTGTTTTAAAAAATTAAACGAATAACATAAATATTTGTATTTATTGGATTGATGATTTAAATATTTTTGTACCATAATGTTTATGTACTTAGACCACAGTTTAATTTACTACCAGTATTTATTATATGAATATTTTGCTAAGTATTTTTAAATTTCCATATAATGCCTCATGGAGTACATAATATGAACTGAATTTAAAAAAAAACACAGAACTTGTTTAAAATAATAACTGAAAATATTTATTATTTACAAAGGATCTATTATGGTACATGTGCTTTATATATGTGATTTTTATCCTCATTTCAATTTTTTGAATTGGTATTATAATCCGTGTTTCATAATTGAAGTAGACATTCAAAAAGTTTGAGTAACTCAGCACTTTGGGAGGCCGAGGCAGGTGGATCACCCGAAGTCAGGAGTTCAAGACCAGCCTGACTAACGTGGTGAAACCCCATCTCTACTAAATACAAAAATTAGCCAGGCGTAGTGGCAGACTCCTGTAATCCCAGCTACTTGGGAGGCTGAGGCAGGAGAATCGCTTGAATCTGGGAGGCAGAGGTTGCAGTGAGCAGAGATCACGCCATTGCACTCCAGCCTGGGCAACAAGAGCAAAACTCCGTCTCAGAAAAAAAAAAAAAAAGTTTGGGTAACTTGTTCATGCCTGGACATCTAGTCATTTATGTTTAAATTTGAGCCTGTCTTTTCACTATGCCCAACTTTCATTATGATATAATGACTAAAAGACTCTCTCATACATGGACACCACTGCCATGCTAGTTCTCTATTGCATCCCTAACTATTCCATACTTTCTTTCTTTCTTTCTTTCTTTATTTTTTTTTATTGATCATTCTTGGGTGTTTCTCACAGAGGGGGATTTGGCAGGGTCATAGGACAATAGTGGAGGGAAGGTCAGCAGATAAACAAGTGAACAAAGGTCTCTGGTTTTCCTAGGCAGAGGACCCTGCGGCCTTCCGCAGTGTTTGTGTCCCTGGGTACTTGAGATTAGGGAGTGGTGATGACTCTTAAGGAGCATGCTGCCTTCAAGCATCTGTTTAACAAAGCACATCTTGCACCGCCCTTAATCCATTTAACCCTGAGTGGACACAGCACATGTTTCAGTGAGCACAGGGTTGGGAGTAAGGTCACAGATCAACAGGATCCCAAGGCAGAAGAATTTTTCTAAGTCTCCCATGTCTACTTCTTTCTACAGAGACACGGCAACCATCCGATTTCTCAATCTTTTCCCCACCTTTCCCCCCTTTCTATTCCACAAAGCCGCCATTGTCAATGAGCTGTTGGGCACACCTCCCAGACGGGGTGGTGGCCGGGCAGAGGGGCTCCTCATTTCCCAGTAGGGGCGGCCAGGCAGAGGCGCCCCTCACCTCCCGGAGGGGGCGGCTGGCCAGGCGGGTGGCTGACCCCCCCCACCTCCCTCCCGGATGGGGCGGCTGGCCGGGCAGAGGGGCTCCTCACTTCCCAGTAGGGGCGGCCGGGCAGAGGCGCCCCTCACCTCCCGGACGGGGCGGCTGGCCGGGCGGGGGGCTGACCCCCCAACATCCCTCCCGGACGGGGCGGCTGGCCTGGCAGGGGGCTGACCCCCCCACCTCCCTCCGGGACGGGGTGGCTGCCGGACGGAGACACTCCTCACTTCCCAGACGGGGTGGCTGCCAGGCGGAGAGGCTCCTCACTTCTCAGACGGGGCGGCTGTTGGGCGGAGGGGCTCCTCACTTCTCAGATGGGGCGGTTGCCAGGCAGAGGGTCTCCTCACCTCTCAGACAGGGCGGCCGGGCAGAGGCACTCCTCACATCCCAGATGGGGCAGCGGGGCAGAGGCGCGCCCCACATCTCAGACGATGGGTTGCCGGGCAGAGACGCTCCTCACTTCCTAGATGTGATGGCGGCCGGGAAGAGGCGCTCCTCACTTCCTAGATGGGATGGCAGCCGGGCGGAGACGCTCCTCACTTTCCAGACTGGGCAGCCAGGCAGAGGGGCTCCTCACATCCCAGACGATGGGCGGCCAGGCAGAGACGCTCCTCACTTCCCAGATGGGGTGGCAGCCAGGCAGAGGCTGCAATCTCAGCACTTTGGGAGGCCAAGGCAGGCGGCTGGGAGGTGGAGGTTGTAGCGAGCCGAGATCACGCCACTGCACTCCAGCCTGGGCACCATTGAGCACTGAGTGAACGAGACTCCGTCTGCAATCCCGGCACCTCCGGAGGCCGAGGCTGGCGGATCACTCGTGGTTAGGAGCTGGAGACCGGCCCGGCCAACACAGTGAAACCCCGTCTCCACCAAAAAAATACGAAAGCCAGTCAGGCTTGGCGGCGCGTGCCTGCAATCGCAGGCACTTGGCAGGCTGAGGCAGGAGAATCAGGTGGGAGGTTGCAGTGAGCCGAGATGGCAGCAGTACAGTACAGCTTCGGCTCGGCATCAGAGGGAGACCGTGGAAAGAGAGGGAGAGGGAGACCGTGGGGAGAGGGAGAGGGAGAGGGACTCCATACTTTCTTATCAAGGTCTCTTCAGTTTTTTTTAAAAAAGCACAGACAATCTATGAACATATAGAATGTATATTACAATACATGAAATATTAGCCTAGGCAACACTGTGAGTTTCTGTCTCTACAAAGAAATAAAAATTAAAATTAAAAAAAAAATTAGCTGGGTGCGGTCACACACCACCTGTAGTTCCAGCTACTCAGGAGGCTGAGGCAGGAGGATCACTTGAACCCAGGAGTCAAAGGCTGTAGTGAGCCGTGATCACTTCACTGCACTCCAGCTTGGTGACAGAGCTCAACCCTATCTCTGAAAACAAAGAAAAGATGTGGGATATAATTTATAATGTATATAGAGAGTTTTGTGGGAGATGTGTATTCTCCGCTCTTATTAGTTTCATACCTGTAACAGAAGCTCAACAATGTGACATCCCTGCTCTCTCTTTGTCCCATTATTTATTCTGGCCCAAGGGAGGTGTTGTGACTTATCTGACTGATAAATTTGTAGGAGTAAATTTGGAGAGACAAAGTTTGGCTCAGCAACTTCTTCATTTCTCTTAGGAGCAAGCTACTTGCTGGGATTGGGTGCTTCAATGTTTTAAGTATCTTTAATGACTCGTTCTTTAATAGCTTTAGTACTACCTGGGAAGACCTCACCTGTTGCCAAATCTGTTTCAATCCAGTATTTTCCCTAGGTATGCCCACCTAACTTGGGGGGTCTATATTATATCTTAGGACCATTTAGTTGTCATGCTAAGCTGTGTCTTCCATCTCAGCCTTTATGAGAAATGCGAAGTTTAGCTAGCATTTAGTAGTTCATCATCTTATTTCCTGATTTTTACACATTTTAGATTTAACAAATGCTATCTATTAGGCCTACGGAGAGCCTCCAACAAATACAACAATAACCACCACGTAAATTTACATACATATTCACACCCTTACTAAACCACAACAAACAAAAACAAATCAGGAAAAAATATACTAAAACTATATCAGTGGCTGTTTTTAGGTCATACCTTTCTATAGGAAGTCCATGATAGTCCTAAGTTTACTGGTGTAGTTTTTTTTTTTTTGAGACAGAGTTTCACTCTTGTTGCCTAGGCTGGAATGCAATGACGCTATCTCGGCTCACTGCAACCTCTGCCTCCTGGGTTCAAGTGATTCTTCTGCCGCAGCCTCCTGAGTAGCTGGGATTGCAGGCATGCGCCACCACACTCGGATAATTTTGTATTTTTAGTAGAGATGGGGTTTCTCCATGTTGGTCAGGCTGGTCTTAAACTCCCTACCTCAGGTGATCCACCCACCTGGGCCTCCCAAAGTGCCAGGATTACAGGCGTAAGCCACCGCACCCGGCTGCTGGTGTAGTTTTAATCACAGTATCCAAACAACAAAAGGGAAAGCATGAGATAGTATGAGAAGTATGAGTGATAATTCCCTTTCACTTTTTGTATTTTCCATATTACATGTAAAGCACATGTGTGGTATTTTTATTAGAATCAAACTAAAAATACCTTTTTTAAAGAAAAAAGACTAATTTCATCATGTTTTATTTAAACAGCAACCTGCCTTGTTGTAAACCTGTGAAGTGAAAAATTGATGCATTTTATTATTTTCTTCGTTGACCATATGGAAAAACATACATTTAACTACCCAAATTACATAAATATTGACACACAAGTGCCTAATTATATGTCTGAGCATGAAATATTTAATTTTAATGACCTAAATGTTTTATGTTAGCATCTGTTTTTGGAAGGGCATGCTTACAAATTATTCTGGCATTTTGACTGAAATATCTTCTGGAATAGCAAATGTTACAAAATCCATAGGGAATAAATGTATTATGTTTATATTAGTGATGTTCTTTATATTTTTCTTGGTATTTTGATAGGGCTGTCATATTTCAAATTAACTTTATGGTAATAATATAGCACCTTTAGGTTATGTACATCAATACAGCTAGAATTACAGAACCAGAATAATTTATGTTAAAAAGTTATTACTGATTCAATTATTCAGTGAATTATCATCTAAAACAAAAGTGGGGATAAGAAAACAGAAACTTAAATATAAGCAATCCGGATGGAACTCTTCTTACTCATCAAATATGACCTAGGTATGTTCTGTTTTAGCTCATCCAGTGTGTGTTTCTGCTTTAACAGGTAGTATATAATACATAGAATAGAAAACAAGTCTTAGTAACCCTAATTTTTACATGCATGTTTTGGCACTTGAGCAATATACACTGTCTAAAAATAAATGTTTGGAGAGTAATATTAATGTGAACTTTCAGTAAAAATAAACATGAAATGAAAATAAATATTCATCCTTTCTAGATGATGTTATATGTCATAGCATTATAGTGGAATTCTTGGGTAGCCAAGAAAAGTACAAAAATTGTCTTTATCATAAAAACACATTACTTTTTATCCTTATGGTGTATTGAGACTAAGATCAATAAAAATAGACCTACCACAAGCTTCCTGTATAAAATCTATAGGGGGAAAAACAAAAACCCAGGGTTTTACAAAGATATGGCATGTGGCTGTGCATAAAATTACAAGCACATGCAAACCAAAAGAAATATCTCTAACATGTAAATTCAATGAAAATGAATTAAGATATAATCAAAGGATTTAATTTTTTTTTTTAAAGAATGCTTTTAAAATAAACCTTCTTTTTTGGAGTGGAGGGATTTTTACGTCAGCTCTTAAATGTTTATGGTAAGAGGTTATTGGTTTGGCCAAGATTCAGTAATGGTTACCAAAGCTAATCTCCCACTGTGAACTGCTGTAGATCTGGACACAATATATGCAGCAATTATTTTCAGGCACAGGGTAGCAGACTGTGCTGGGCAAAGGTTCCTAAAAGAGGGAAGATATGCAAGATGGGCTCCTTATTCATACTGGGATTCTGTCTGGAGCCATTTTATAGAAAGAGGCAATGGGACCCGAAAAGAGCATTGGTCTTGCTGGGCAAAGGAAACAGGAATAAGAGTTCAGGGATGCAGAAGAAAATAGAGGTGGAAGCGAGAAGGAAGTGAAAGAGGAGGAGGAGAAGAGAAAGAGGTGGCTGAGTGCGGTGGCTCACGCCTGTAATCCCAGCATTTTGGGAGGCTGAGGCAGGTGGAATATGTGAGGTCAGGAGCTGGAAACCAGCCTGGCCAACCTGGTGAAACCCCATCTGTACTAAAAAAAAAAAGAGAGAGGAAAAAAAAGAAAAAATAAAAAAAAGCAGGGCTTGGTGGTGCTCCCCTGTAGTCCTAGCTACTCAGGAGAATTGCTTGAACCCGGGAGATGGAGGCTGCAGTGAGCCAAGATCACGCCACTGCACTTCAGCCTGGGCGACAGAGCAAGACTCCATCTCACAGAGAGAGAGAGAGAGAGAGAGAGAGAGAGAGAGAGAGAGAGAGAGAGAGAGAAAGCAAATAAGTGGCATCGAGTTTGGAAAAGAAGAAATAAAATTACTCATTTAAAAAAAAATGATGACATGAGCATGTACATATAAAATAGTGAAGAACCTAACACGAGGAGAGCAGCATATTCAGTCACAATCAAATTAAATCATAGTGAAGTGCTTTTGAATAATTAAAACCCTGAATTTCTACTTACTATTAATAAGGACTACAAAAAATTTTGTTGATCTCTCTCTCCCAATTCTTTTTCTGACAGAAAATGTCTTGTCAGAACATTTAAAAGCCCTCAACACTATAAGATAGAAAAGGAGAGATGGAGGGAGACATAGAGAGATTTAGATTTCTAGATATACAGATAGAAATATATGGATATATATAATCAGATGTATAACTCAATGCATGAAGGTAATTTTTCTACCATTGAAAACAGATTAATAATTAAACATATTTCAGATTTGTAGGCTTCTTTAAAAATAAAATGAAAAATAACAAAGTTAGTACTATGGTCTGAATATTTGTGTTCCCCCAAAATTCATATGTTGAAATCCTAAATCCCATGGTGATGGTATTAAGAGGTAGGACTTCTGGGTGGTAATTAGGTCATGAAGGTGGAACTCTCATCAATGATATTAGTGACCTCCTAAAATAGGCTCAAAGGAGCTCCTTTGCCCCTTCCTCCTCCATGTGAGCACCATGAGACGATTTCATCTATGAGAACGCATGCCTTCCTCAGGCACTGAATCTGCTGATGCCTTGGTCTTAGACTTCCCAGTCTCCAGAATTGTGAGAAATAAATTCCTTTTGTTTATAAGCCATATCATTGATGGTATTTTTTATAGCAGCCTGAAAGGGCTAAGACAGTAAGCATCATGAAAATAAACACTTGTCTTCTAAAAGTGACTATTTTGAAGGGGAAAGTATTCATTTAGATGTCATGTTTCTCTTCTGCCTGCAAAGACAACTCATTGTGCTTGTTATATATGCTGAAATAATAATTATCACAGAGAAGATTGCATGCATAAGATACAGTATGTATTAAAGTCCTCTTCAATATGTTTGCAATGTATATTAGGTTATCAAACAGTCATCAGTTTTGAATATGTTTTGAATCATGCTTATTTTGAATTAAAATGTGCCTAATTCCAAGTATCTTCACTTATTAATTAAGTTTTGATGCCTTCCACAAGATGATGATGATGATGATGATTATTATTATTATTATTTATTGAGATTGAGTCTCACTCTGTCACCGAGGCTGGAGTTTAGCGGTGCGATCTCAGCTCACTGAAACCTCCACCTCCTGGCTTCAAGCAATTCTCCTGCCTCAGCCTCCCGAGTATAAAGATAATTTTTCAAATGATCAAGGAATTTAAAAGACTACACAAGCGTTATTTTGCAATGGTTAAGAGCTCTGTATTGAGCCAAATTGCTTTGGTTCAAATACTGACTCTGCCACTTAGTTTTTATTGTTTGTTTCTTTAATCTTGATAAAATTAACTTATCTATGCCTTAGTTTCTTCATTTGTAAAATGTAAGTGATTATAGTCCACTTATTTCATTGGATTATTGGGAAAAATAAATGAAGATACATAGAAAAATTTTAATATATGGAAAAATCATTCCTGACCCATTATAAAAAAAGTTATATAAGGGTTCCTGGTAATTGCATATCACCTCTTTCACAGATTCATTGTCCTACTTTCCCCTCTTCTAATTGTTCCTATCTTGAATAGTAGTTTGAATTACATCACTATTCCATTATAATTACTATCTTGGTTATGATTAGTTGATCACCTGATATGTACAGGCCATTGTGACAGACACTTTATTATACTTTACTCCTCTGAAAAGGCTTATAAAATAGATATTATTCAAGTTTAACTACTGGTACGAATGAAATTCAGAGAGTTTAATACTACTTTCAATATTTTAGATTTAAACTCAGGTTTATCCAAATATAAAATCATTCTTCCTTTCCTTAAGGTTATTAACGAATTTATCACATTTTCACTCTCTTGGCCTTCTATTCTTACACTTTCCTGGTTATGAAATAAGAAGTTACTGATAATTCCTACGAGTGAGCAAGAAAACAAGTAAAGTGTGTTTTTTTCTTGCTCTCCTGTCTGCACCATATAATATACTACCAATATTTTATAAAGACACCAGCTACTGCTAATTCAAATATCGGTAACCTAAATAGGTCACTGTTATAGAAAAACAGATAAAGAGCAAACTAAACACAATATTGATTTTCAAATTAAAAGAAAGTGATTTATCTAAAAACATTGGAAGCATAATAGCATTTGAAAGCAAAATAAAACAAAACAAAACTAGTGATACTTTACTGAGGGATCTGTTGAAAGGCCACGTTAACGAGTGTTATGCTACACAGCTCTCTCTCTGCACCGAGTGTCCTCTATAGCCCCTTGGAGCTCCCTGCTCTTTCCACAGATCCTCTCTCTGCTAATACAACGAGGAAGGGTGACCTTTCCATTTATCCTCTGATGAAGTTCCCATTTTCCAGTCCTAATTAGTAACATTAAGCCGTAAAGAGAAAGAAAGCGTCTGGGTGACAGGGTTCCACATCAAGCCAGGGATGAATTATAGCCCAGCTTAACCTCGAGTAGTACTGACATTTAAAAAATTGAGCTTCTTAAGACACATGCATAAATCTCTAATGTTGGAATTTCGGAGGAAATGTTTTTGAGCAAAAGGTTCCTCCTGGAGCCAATAAAAGTGTTATATTTGGGTGAGAACAAATGATTCTTTTTAAAGATAGCCTTGTGCTTTCAGTGGACAGTTTTTTATGTAGAGTTGATGTTCCTCTACAGTACCATGACATGCCATTCAGCATCATCAAACTAGCCTTTTAAAACTCTTTTCTGCACTTCAGTCTTCTAACAGAAAGACAGAAACTACACTGTTCTTGCTGTTAGTTCAAAATTTCATTCAGCCAACACATATTGAGTGTTTTCTCCCCAAAGGCAATGAGTGGATACTGCTACCTCTCTTTGAAATGCTATCTTCTCTTCCTACTTTCACAGCCTGGCTAACACCTTCCCATTCTTTCAGTCACAGATTGGATGCCTCACACTGAAGAGACCTTTTCAACACTCTGTAAAGTAATTTTTCAATTCACTAATGTATTAAAAATGTATCCCCTTTAAAAATATATGGTCACTTTTGTAATTCCAACACAGAAAATTTGTGTAGAATGAATATATAAAAGGTACTATGAGGAATATGGGGAAGATTAACAGCCTAGCTAGAGGCTTTTTACTTGAATGGAGACTATACTACTCTTAATTTATTGCAAGATGAAAGTAAAAAAATAACAATTAGCATCATGGGTCAGGTGCACATAACATGCTCTGAAAGTGCATATGTAACACTTAATATTTTTAGTCACTAATCTGGAAGATTAATGGAAATATATGCTTCATCATCATGCAATTAATTACCATTTTATTTTTTTATAGGTGCCATCATAACCTTAAATTGTCTTTAGAAAAAAATAAATAGTAGTATTTGCAACACTAAGTACTTCTATGCCAATTGCCATAGAATTTTCCTTGGAAATTGTCAGGTGTTTTTGGGTTTTTTTGTTGTTTTTTGTTTTTTTTGGTTTTGTTTGGTTTGGTTTATCATCCATTGCTTGCACAAATAGGTTTGGCTGGGCTTGTCAATGGCTAACATAAAGTTTGTGAGTCAGAAACTGGATACTACTTATTGAAAAAGAACATATAACTGATGGTACACTAACGGAAGTGAGGAATTAAGATAATTGCCTACTCTATAATCTGGGCCATCACCTCAGGAATGCTATGTTCTGATTTACACACCTGATTTGAAATTCTAGAATATACCTTTAAGTGAACAATCCGAAATCACCAGCATCATTGTAGAGTAGGGGTGATGGAGAATTATGTATCCTTACCTCCTCGTATCAAAAATATACTCTCAGCATCTATGTGTAAATTGTTAGAAATACGTGGATCTATTTATGTAAAATAGAAAAGACATCATGGTTCTATTTGTTTTATGATGTGGTAAACATTACCAAATTTGAAGAGAAAATAAAATGTCAAATAAAAACTACAAGTGCTAAGAAGAACTAGACAGATTCACCAAATTTCCAGATTTCAAGAAATAATTCAGCCTCTATGATGTTTGCCTTGGTTTGCTGGAAATGACATAGTTCCAAATCAAATTACAAGGATACACTCCCCATCATTGCAGGCGAAGGATCAGTACACATGTGGCAGAGAAAAGGACATGGGAATTTTGTTCATCCCACAGATTTTGAAGGCCTGCATCTATCCATCTTGTCAGATCCTAAGAGGTACAACAATTTTATCAGAGAGTTTCAGAAGATGTAAAGGCAATAACATCAACTGGCATGTGTGTCTTGTTACTGCAGTCTGCTTTTGCAGGAGAGCCCTGGAGACCTCTATTTTGTGAAGCTAATTGGCAATAATCGTGGCATTTATTAAGTGCATTCAGGTATTCAAAGGCAGGCTGCCTATGGCCAGGCAAATGCCAATCATTTTAAACTGTACCTCTAGGGTCAATTCCTCTCCTTCATTTTAGACACAGCACGGAGTTGAAATTCACACTACTTCATTAATAAAAAATTCAATCACTCTCTTTTTAATTTAGAGTTTCAGATTTCAATTGATTTGGGGGATAATCAGGTGACCTCCTAGAAACAGGCTTATTAGATAGTGGCACTTCATGGGGAAGTCCAGAACCCAATAGCAAATTATCTTTCGAATCCATATCACTGCAAAGACCTGGAATCCTTGGCAATGGTATGTGCATAAGCCTCCCAGCACCTATGCCGCTCTTTCTTCCTGCCCACATACACACACTTCTTAAGTCTGGCTATAACTAAACTGGAATTCAAGTCATATAAGAACAGACCTTATACAAATGTAATAATAATAGTCAACACATATTGAGTTTTTAGTATGTTCGAGCACTGTTTTATTCATTTTTCCTAACTTTTTATTTTAGAATAGTTATAGCTTTACATAAAAGTTGCAAAGATAGTACAAAGAATTTCCTTATACACTGCACCTAGTTACTCTTATTTTAAAAAACATATATTGATATGATACAGTTGTCACAACTAATGAATAAATCAATATTGAAACATTATTATTAACTAAAGTCTACATATCTTTGTATTTCTTAGCGTTTATCTAATATTCTTTTTTTTTTTTTTGTCCCAGTATCCTATCCAGGATACTATATTACATTTATACACCATGTCTCTGGCTTCTCTGTGACAACTTCTTGGACTTGACTTGATTTTGATGACTTTGATATCTTTAAAGAGTACTGATCAGGTTGTGCTGTAAAGTGTCCCTCAGTCAGGATTTGTCTGTTGTTTTTGTGTGCAATTAGACTGGGATTATGAGTTTTTAGGAATTAGTCTACAAAGGTAAAGTGCTATTCTCACCGCATCATATCAAGGATACACATTGTCAGCATTGCATGTCACTGTTGTTAACTTTGATCGCATTGCTGAGGTAGCGTTTGTTAGATTTTTCTCCACTGTAAAGTTAGATAATTTTCTTTCTTTATTGTATTCTCTGGGAGAAAGTCACTAGGCTCAACCCATATTTCAGAGTTGGGGAGTTATGTGTCATCTCCCTGAGGGATGGTTGTATGCATTGCTTACAAATTTACACATTTTCAAGATAAACACTGTGAGGTAGGTAGTATTATTATTCCATTTCATAGATGACAAAACTGAGGCATAGACAAGATTAAATTTAAAAAACTGCCCATAGTTGCATACATAAAGGTGGCTGAATAATATGAACTTGGGCAGCCTGGTTCCAGATCCTGACTCGAAGTCAATGTGCTTGTAATTCATTCACACAAGTGAAGTTGAAGTGGTGACCTGATCATTAAAGTCAAGTGGCTGAAAGCCTCTCATGTAAAAAAAACTGTATTTGTCCTGGGTACTCTGGAAATAAAGCAGAGCTGAGATCAATGGATGGAGTTTAAAAACAGAAATGCTTTAACCCATAATAAAGAGATGATATTCTGAAAAATGTTAAGCAATAAAATTGGAATGAATAGGCTACCTGAGACTAGCAGTACTTGGATGACAGTGTTATTTCACAAGCAATAAAGTAATACAAACAAAAGCTTTTATAACACTTACAAGGGTTCGCCCATTGTTCTAAGTGTGTTAAATGCATAATAATCACAATAATCACAAGGGCACTATAAGGTAGTCAATATTATTATCCACCTTTTACAAAGATAAAATTGAGATAGAGTCTAACTAACATGTCCAAGTCAACACACCTAGTAGATGGCAGAGTTGGCATTCAGACTTGAGCAATCTGATCTCCATGGTGCTTGGTTTTCTCAATGCAGAAAGCCTTCTGCATGGTTTCAGAGCTGGAGTAGACCTCATTTGGAAGCACTTCCTCACTGCAAGATGCTGTGGCATGTTTGGTTTTCTTAACTAACTTTACCTAGAGAAGTGCTTTGCTTTGTCATTATAAAATATACAACATTTTCTCACTGCATGTTAATTCTTACAATTTTGAATTAAAATTTCATTGTGTAAATGTAAAGGCAGACCACCTCCTTCAGATTTACCTTCAGGAAATTAATCATTTCCTGAAGACATTGGAGGCAATTTAGAAATTAGAGGCAATTTAGAAAAATGAATATATATTTGTGTTTATATATATAGTCAACATATATATTTATTTTCTACATTATATATAATTGTGTATTATATATTCATTTATATATACATATATACATATATTCATTCATATGTACATATATTATATGTAGATATATATGTATATTCATTATATACACACATATATATTTTATATACATATATAATACACATTTTATATATACTTTTATATATACATATAATATATATTCATTTTTCTATTATCTATTATACAAACACACATATATATCCTATATAAATATATATATATTTTTTGACTACATAAATGAATATATATTCATTTATATATTATATTATAAATAAATATATATTCATTTATATATTCAAAAATGAATATATACTCATATATATTCAAAAATGAATATATACTCATATATATTCAAAAATGAATATATACTCATATATATTCAAAAATGAATATATACTCATATATATTCATTATATTGTATTTATATTAATATAATATATTATGAATATATATTCACTATATTTCATTTACATTAAATTAATATAAATAAAAATGAATATATATTTATTTTTATGTAAGGATATATATGGGGGTGTGTGTTTATATATCCCTATATAAGAAAATAAATGGAAGAAAAGCATTAAATAATCTGTGTTGTTAGAATACCCAATGATTTTTTTATGAATGTAATAAAAATCATGCTCTTGGAAAATGAAAGTTTTATCTTTCTTACTTGGGTTTTTGTAAAATGTGTGACAAGATTCATTTATTCATTTAACAAAATACTTTTTTTAAACAAATGCATAGACTAGGGATGGTAGCTGGGGTTTCCTTACAGCTCCTTGGAATTTAGGGTTTAAAGACAAGTTAAAGAAAAGTTTAAAAATATCTCTGTTGACCAAACCAAATTTACCTAACTCAGAAAAGTTCCAGTCGGGAGCCAGAAGTGCAGACTGAAGGCATAACTACGCCCACAAAAAAATACCGTCAGTCCTCATCACTGATATTATTACAAGCAGTTAAATAAGTGAGGAATCTGAGTTTAAGGCCAAAAAGAAAGGAAGAAGGAAGTTATTTTGTGAACCTCTCCCTGGACTAAATTGTGTCCTGAGCAGTGTAACAAGCAGAGAAGATAAATGCAATCCTGTGGTTCACCTTTTAGATTTTCATCCTGAGACATTAGTGGAGGTCTACAGAATTGAACTGGGTGATGCCTGGAAACTGGAGGCCTCCAGAAAGTGCTGGTAATGAAAAGGCTTTGTCTTCCACCCACACACGGCGAGCCAAGCTGCTGACAAAGTGGAATCCATTGGGTTTCTCCTGATTGACGCATGTGGTTAATTGAGTGTCATATTGTGTTCATGTTGCCTCTGTTCTGAAGAACACAACAAGAGATCAGCCTTGACGATTGATAGCTCAGAGTGAGCCTAAAGAAAGCATTTCATTGATCTGGCGATGGCTGTTCATAGAACCCACAGCCCATCTGCCTGACCACCTGATTTGCAAATCATGTGAGCACTGTAATCTTTTCCCCTTTCCCTTCCTTTTCTAATGTGATTTAATCACGGGACCATTTAAATTGATTTAGTGACCATGAAGATGATGTTGCTTCATCTACAACAGTATTGTAAGCCCCTACCCTAACCTGCCCTACTACATCCCTGCCCATGTTTTGCTTCACTAAAAGTTTACTTTTGGGGAAGAAATGCTCCAAGTACTTTCCCAAGGTTGCTGGATGGAGCCACACATGAGGTATCAATAGTGTTTTTGAGAGGACCCAACACTAGGTGTACTGGTTGGAATGTGCGGGGAGAGAATGGTAGAAAGAAAGGCAAGAACAGGGGTTTAATGTTGGTTAAATATGATTAGCCAAACATCATCTACCCATTCCTGTCTGACTCTCCCAAGCAGTTTGTCACATTAATCATGTGTGTTACCACAGCAACTGAGCATATCAATTATATTATAATTATCTTTTTGCAAGTAGAGTGCTAACACCAGACTGTGTGCTTTCTAAAATCTATATCCCCATTGCTATTACAGGAGCTTTTCAAAACAGAGGAAAGAGAAAGACTCACTAAGAATGCAGTCAAAGAATGTATGAGTGATGAAAAAGATAGTGATAAGAAGAATGCATATGCATTCATATAAATCAGAGGTCCTCAAACATTTTAGTCTCAGGATTTCTTCATGCGATTACAAAGTATTAACTACACAAACAGCTTCAGCTTATATGGAGTACATATATTAATATTTGCTTAACATTTTAAAAATACTTATTAATTCATTTCCTAAAATCACAATAAACCTGTTGTATGGTAAAATAAATGCCATATTTTTATGAAAAATATCTACTTTCCACAAGAAGACTAATTCACGGAAAGAGTAGCATTATCTTTATATGTTTGCCAGTCTCAAAAATTTGGCTTAATACAAAAAACTGGATTTTCATATTGGCCTCTGAGATCACTCTGTTGCAGTATCAAATGTCACATGTAGCCTCTGGAATACTCCGCTGTATCCTCTTGAGAGAATGAGAGTAAAAAAGGTAAATCACTCTTTAGGACCCTTGATTGTCCCAGGAGTACATTTTGAAAAACCTTTACAAATGGTTTTGAAACTCCACTCAAAGCTTCAGTGACCACTAATTTCCAATGAAATATTGTTTGGAGAAAGATGAGCTATTTATGACACTGATTGTGAGTTGTAAAATCTTGCTAAGGTGGGTCTTCACATTTAACCCATCCACTTACCTCCTCCATTTCTGTAAATTTCATGCTGAAAAAGGATTTTGAATCAAAACAATGCCAGCCATCTTCAGCCCCCTTATCCAGTGATTTTCCCATCAGTATTCCCCTTTTGCCTAAAGAATGCCATTTATAGCATCTTGTCTCTCCAGAAAACCTTGGGCTGATCCTAAAATTTCAGAGAAATGAGAAAGTTGTTCCTTTTCTCCAAAGGGTTGGAAAGTACATAAAGATACAATGCTAATATAGAAGACTAAGTATAAGTAAATGTTACTAAAATAAATACGTGGATGCCTGCAGATTGCACCTGTCAATCGGGGCTCTTTGATACTGTTTAAATCTAGTTTCAATTAAATAAGAATGTGATTTCCAATACCCTTAATAGTGGAATCATATGGCCTCTTACAGCCAAGCAGTGCTTAAAAAGGAAAGAGCAAATCAGAAACTCCTACCCACCCAAGGACACGGAAGCTAACCCTATTGAACTGACTATCAATAATTAAGGCCTTTGATGCCTCAAATCATTTAGATAATAAGATTGCTTCGAAGTAAATAAATATCAAATTAAGATTTGTGGCAGTCACAGGTGTTTGGCAGGGCTGGCCTATAATCAAAGAGAAAATGAATGCATTTTATTCAGCATAATTAGAAAAAGAAATGAAGTTTATATGCAAATCGTAAGCCACTTTAGTCAAAGATAACCGGTCAGACTGCTTCTGGTAATTTAAACTTTCATTTAGATGAAAATTCGCAAAGTATCTATTTTCAATGCAATTTGAGTGCAGCTGGTTGCACTCTCTCAGTCATCTGAGAGAGAAATTTAAATATCCCTGATAACCCTCCTATTTTGCTTTGGTGCTGACAGAACAACAAATGCATTCTTTACACTTGACTTTTTCCCCTCTTGCCTATATAGGGAGTCAGAAGGTTATATGGGATTTTTCAGCATCCAGCACTGACCTAAAAGAAACTTGTGTGTTTGGGGGGTAAGGGGAAGGGAGGAAAACCCCTTTAGATTAAAAAGAAATTAACAGATTAAAAAGATAAATATTAAAAAGATAAAGATTAAAAAGACATATGCCTGGATGCATGTAAAATTTAAGTGTTCTAGGAACAAATTGGGAATGTAAACATTGTTCCTGATTATTTCCCTCAAAAAAACTACATGCCACTGAAACTGTCTTAACTCTCTTCTTATATTTTGCCATTTTGGAACGTTTATCTACTTGTCTTACCTTCTTCCTGTTAGACTTTAATATGCTTAAGTCCAGGAATTGGTGCTATTCACCTCAGTGTTACCTGAGTAGCTTGGACTGCTACCTACCCTATGTGAAATTAAATTAAATTTAATCAGTCTGGGTGCGGTGGCTCACGTCTGTAATCCCAAAACTCTGGGAGGCCGAGGAGGGTGGATCACGAGGTCAAGAGATCGAGATCATCCTGGTCAACATGGTGAAAACCCATCTCTAATAAAAATACAAAAATTAGCCAGGTGTGGTGGCGGGTGCCTGTAGTCCCAGCTACTAGGAGGCTAAGGCAGGAGAATCACTTGAACCCGGGAGGCGGAGGTTGCAGTGAGCCGAGATTGCGCCACTGCCCTCAGCCTGGCGACAAAGTGAGACTCTGTCTCAGAAAAAAAAACAATTAAATGGAATCATTAGCCTAAGGACACTGAATAGAATCATGGCTAAGAACAAAGAGTAATATTCAAGGAGAAAAAGTAGACCGTTTTGCAAGGGAGTAATGTAATATTTCAAAAGTAACAAATGATTTTAGTATAAGCTGTAATTGTTTTAGTTGTTTTCTTTTTGCTTTTTTTTAAACCTGAATTGTTGCTAGTTGCATGCAGTGTGCTGGCTCTGAATTCCTATGGCCCCTGTCTGTTTCTCTTATTCTGCTTGTCACAGTGATCCGCAACTAATCCTTTGCTTGTTTGATTGAACACACTAATACTAAATCAGTGCACCCATCTTAATGCTCTTTGCAAATGCTGAGTAAGTGTTCATAAATAAACATCTGAACTAATCATATTTACTTCTAAAAAGGCATGTTGCATATCAATGCCTTACACCTATGGTGTAGTATGGTAATCTTCAAAATTAAATGGTCATTATAATCATCTATGGAGATTTTTAGAAATATGGACATCTGGGCTCTGTAGAAGACCAAGTAAATCAGAATCTCAGAAAAATTAACTGGACCTTGAAAACATAGTGAAAATTAAGAGGAATTAATATACAGAAATTAGTTAGCATGATGCCTCATACAGCAAATAGTTTTATATATTATCTAGTGTTAGGATTAGATATTCAACAAATTTATAAGTGAAAGCAATGGATCCATGAATGAACAGTAAAGCAGTGATTCCCAACTTTTTTGGCACCAGGGGCCGGTTTCAGTTGTGGAAGACAATGTTTCCATGGATGGGGTGGGGGTATGTGTGTGATGGTTTTGGGATGAAACTGTTCCACCTCAGATCACTAGGCATTAGAGTCTCATAAAGTGCTTGCAACCTAGATTCCTCCCATGTACAGTTCACCATAGGGTTCGTGCTTCTATGAAAATCACATGTCACTGCTGATCAGACAGTAATGCTCGCTCAGCCACCACTCACCTCCTGCTGTGTGGCCTGGTTCCTAATCAGCCTCAGACTGGAGACTGGAGGGGGGGCCTCTGTGCTAAACAGATAGGTACATATAAGGAGAAAAATGCCAGAGAAGATAGACTTAGATGGCTCCTGCTAGATCCTTGGACGGAGATGTTGTCTCCGTCTTCTTTCTGTTCCTTTCCCTCTGCTGATCACAAACACAGCCTTATTTATAACAAGGTGGGTGTAAAACAAGCCTGTGATATTAATCATATAATGTACATGAAGAGGTTGGAACTCTTTGGTGGCATGCTTTCAAAAGAGGATGGCCTTAATGCGACAGTGCTCAATCAGTCAGATGCCAGGTAGCTGAGAGCCATACCTATTCTTTTTTGTAGTTGTGAAACTTGGCTCTTTCACAGATAAGCAACCACCTAGTATCCAGAAAATTGTTACAAACTGGAGAGCTCTTGATTCTCTTCCCATTGTTGTTCCCTACTTATGCCTTCGCTCCTTAATCTTAGCTTGGATAAGCAGCATATAGTTAAGAGCATAAACCTATGATGGTAGAACACTGTGTCAACTGAGACAGGAAGATGTTTGCTGTTGATGTTATTGTTAGGTATGTGTATTCTCTACTGCTGCATAACAGGTTGCCCCAAAAATGTAGCAGCTTCAAGCAGTAAACATTTTGTTTATCTCATAGTACATGTGGGTCAGGAATCAAATGTGGCTTAGCTGGGTTTTCTGACTTCAGGTCTCCAACAAGGCTTCAAGATGTTAGCTGGGGATGTCATTATCTTAAGGTTCTGTGTGGTAGAGCCACTTCTAAGCTTACTTACAGGAGTGATAAACTGAGGCCTTTATTTCTTCACTGTGTGTTAGCCATAGGCTTCCCTTTCTTCCCTGCCACATGGACCTCTCCATGGGGAAGCTAACAACATGCATTTGGTTTCAGAGCTAGTAAATGAAAGAGTAAGAGAAAGGGTGTTAGCAAGTCTGAAGTCATAGTATTTTATTTTATTATTTTATTTTATTCTTTTGTTTGAGATGGAGTCTCACTCTGTCGCCCAGGCTGGAGTGCAGCGGCATGATCTCGGCTCACTGCAAGCTCCTTCTCCCGGGTTCACGCCATTCTCCTGCCTCAGCCTCCTGAGCAGCTGGGACTATAGGCACCCGCTACCACGCCTGGCTAATTTTTTGTATTTTCAGTGGAGACGGGGTATCACCGTGTTAGCCAGGATGGTCTCGATCTCCTGACCTCATGATCCAACCACGTTGGCCTCCCAAAGTGCTGGGATTACAGGCGTGAGCCACCGCACCCAGCCTGAAGTCATAGTATTTTATAATCTATTCTTGAGGGTGTCATCCATTACTTTCACAACACTCTATTCATTAGAAGCAAGCCACTAAATTCAGTTAATACTCAGGGGGAGGAATTATACAGAGGTGAAAACACCAGTAGGTAGGGGTCACTGGGAGCCATCTCAAAAATGTCCTAACACTTTAGGGGACCCTACTATTATATCTAGCCGTATTGCATAGATATCACCTGCCTATTTCATCAGCCCTCAAAATATCAGTAGAATGTCTTCTAAAATTCAGAAGCCTAGAATTTCCTAATTAGAAAGCCTTAGTATGTGAGGCTAACAAGAGGACATACTTTTGGATGTCAAGGTACTTTTACAATTTCCCACTGATAACTCCATACAACACAGGGTGAAATTCAAGGACCTTCACAGAATTACATATACCTCTCTTTGAACTGGCCTGGCTACCTTTCCAACTACATTCTGTGTCTTTCCTTCACTAGAATTTTACAGTCTAACAGTATCATATTGTTTGCAGTTTCCTAGTTAGTTAGGTATGTATGCCTGTTGTCTCTAATACCTGAAATGTCCCCATGCACATCTCAGCCATCTGACTATCTCTTACTTAAATTTTAAGAATTAGCCTCAGCATTGCCTCCTCTAAAAAGTCTTTCCCAACCTTCTCACTGGGCTACATGCCCATCGTCTCAATTTCTATAATACCACTTGCTTACTGGTTAGTGTATTTTCTGTGTGTTTTCTTCAAGAGTATATGGAATTTTTAATAGTCAAGACTGTTAATATATCCGGCTTTGCATTCTCAACACCAGAATGACTTGGGCTACAATATATTTTACTAAATGTTTGTTGAATTACAATGAAGTTGGAGGAGGAGGGTAGGAAGGAAGGAAGGAAGGAAAGAAGGGGGGAGGAAGGAAGAAAGGGAGGGAGGAAGAGAGGGAGGGAGGGAGGGTGGGAGGAAGGGAGGGAAGGAAAGGAGGGAGGAAGAAAATTAAAGTACTGTTTTCCAAGTAAACTGAAGAACAAAGTTCTTACACCCATTGCAAATAAATACCATGAGAAGATATTTTTAAAAATGATAATCCAATTAAATTACCATCTAATTGATTGATATTTTCCCTTGTAGGCATAAACTTTAAAAAGTCTATAAAGAAGTGAGGAAGATTAGAGTCGAGTCTACCCTGCTATGTTTTAAAAATCATGCTACATAAACAATGTTTGCAATGGTTAAAAGAAACTATGGTGTTTCAGATTCATTGTAGCAAAACAACACTGTCTGCAGGAATTGTGTTAATAAAGTGTATTTTTAGTTTAAGCATATTCTTTGTTAGAATATATTCACATTTTTCTCAAGAGGGAGGCTTTTTTAAATAGCAGAGGTACAGTGGTTCTTGCTTATTCTCCTCCTTTCATCGTTCCTCCTTATACTGAACAAAGCGCAGATCACTCAAGCTAAATAGCTGTGCTGTTTAATTCACCAGCTGTTACTGGAAGTGACCACTTTCTTTCCTCCAGTAAGGAGTGTTGTTTCTGATGGGGATTCCATTATCACAAGTAATATAAATCACTTTCTCTAATTAATTGCTCAATTATAGTCCATTGGCTTTAACAAAAAATCATATTGTTAAATTAAAAAATCTAACAGTTGCAATATTCTTGATATATACTGCTAATTATAATCTGAACAAATTAAATAATGTGATATATGGTATACTAAAATAACACCTCCTTCTTCCCTTTTTTGTGTATTGTTTGGTTTTGCAATCTGGAAATTCACTATATTCTATATCAAAATTATTCTTTTGTATTCATGTTTTGATTTATTTGTGTGCATTTTGTCTTTTATTTTTATTTTTACAAAATCTATACCTAGGAAGCACAGCTCATTGAATCCTTAACTCGATGTCAGTGGGTTTCTAAACCATCATCTCTTTCAACTGGAAAGTATGGGTTAGTCAGAAAATGTTGGCTGGCTGAACAGCATTTGGAGAGTGGCATGCAGAGCAGGTGCAGTAGGAGGTTCAGAATTGGTTAAGAATGGCTCTGGTCAGAAATCATGCTGGAAGCAGCTACTCTGAGGAAAGTAGTGTTCAGTAAAATCCTTTCAAAGTGTTGTCCTGTAAAATCATTATTTCTTCTTTTAATCTAACTCTGATGGGGTTTTGCTACTCTGTACAGCTTGTAGATGAGTAAAACCCTCTATTCCCCTACCATTCTGCCCAGAATTCATTTTTCTGACAAGCATTGAAACACATTGCCTTCATAGATTCTTTTTTTTGCTGTTTCCCAACCAATTATGCCAAATCCAGAATCTTCCATAATTAATTTTTCACAATTTTTCCTATCCAATAAACTTGCTTGTTAAATTATACTTATAGCCTAAGCTGTAGCTTTTGCTTAATTAATACATGCAAATATAAAAAGCAGAATAATTAAAGGATTATTTATAATACAAAAAGAAAAGTGATTCAGTAACTGAAGAATTTCTTTTATTAAATATTATTTGCAAATTACCTCTGCTTTCAGGCCTCCTGTGTAATATCTAAGTTGTCAAGGTGTTTATTGGAGAAGCCAAATGTGGTTGTGTGTTTAACACCTTTGAATTTTGGAGTTTTAAAGCTATTCTAAAATCCTTGGAACTACCCTCTGGCTGCCAATGTGTTTTTCATTAAGATCACATGATGAGGACTTCACAATCAAAAGCTACCAAGCACCTATATTTCAAAGATATAGGAGTGGATAATTTAAATGGCTCAATAAAAATAATCGCTTATTTTATAGAGTGCTTGGCATGTGTTAGCTCTATGCTAAACACTTTGTATTATCTATCAAATATTATCCTTACAACAACTGTAAGGGACGGATACTTTTACAGTCTCAGTTTAGCTCAGGAAATATTGAGAAAATATTTAAATAATTCAAGGTAAGGACAGCTGACTTAAGACTCCATAAAGATGCAGTAGGTATTCTGACCACTGTTTTTTCTTTGTTTGTTTTTAATTTGGGCACAATATTACCCTCAATTTCCACTAGAAACTGGGTATGGTTTTAACAGGCTGAGACCATCTTCTACACCAAATTTCTTCTTATTGTGTTAATTGACCTCCAAATTTCTAGTTTATTCTTGGGTTAAGATTGTTTTAGCTGTACTGCCTTAGATAATAAACTCAAGTGGCATACCTTAAACTCAAGAAGGTTTACTTCTTGAGTTTATTATTTTCACTCACTTGAGTTTATTATTTTCTTCTTACTAAGACTAAAGAATCTGAGAAAGTGGGAGGTGATTATAGTTAAACAATGAATTGCAATTCTCTGAGTTAAATATTCATCCCAAGGAAAAATACGAAACTTCAGCAAAAGGCAATATACACATTATTTTTAGATATTTACTATTTAAGGCGATCTTGTAAAAAATAGGAAATGATTCAACAATGCATTGATAATGTGGAAAAAAATAACCTAAATCAATGCAAAACTTGGCATTGTTAGGTGGGCTACCGCTGGGTGCTTTTCATTCCCACTTTGCTTAACCTAGCGTTGACCCGTGAGAGATCCACATTTAATTCCTCAAAAATGTGTTGATGACTTTTTTTCTGCACTCTTGCAATTTAGAAGCTATTGAATTTCAGTTGAAAGTGAAACTCATCATTATTTTTCTTCTCTTATCTTCTGGGTAGTGTTGCATGCTGTTGAAAAGTTGGATGCGTGCTTTTCTGTTATAAAGTGATTTTATTTACTTGAATTTATATCTAAATATACTTATTTACTTACATTTATTTTTAACTGCCTAATTTGGCTTATAATCTATATAGCTAGACAGTCAACCACTTAATTATTTTGAAATAATTCATGTTAAACCATAAATGTTTGTAATTCTAATACAGCAACATCGCTTTGACAATTCCATAGCTTCGATCATTCTCAGAATTAAGAAGATATTACGTTTTATGACTGCCAGCAATATTATGTTTAGATCATCTATTTGGCGGAAAAACAAATGTCAAATTTAATATCTTTGGAAAATGTATTGTAAACGTTAACTGATATTGAGCACTTTGTACTTACCAGTTTTTTTTTTGTTGTGGTGGTGGTTGATTTGTTCTGTTTTTTGTTTTTTACATCATAATTTGGTCTCAGAAACAGGTACCATTAAATGTTTTCTGGGAAAATATATGTACATTAAGGGAGGTGAACTCAACCATAGAACGACATTTTTATTATCTTTTGTTTCATAATGTATTGTTAAGGAGATCATCAATTTGATTCTAGCAGTTTTCCCTCCGGATCATCAGCATCAAACATAACATAGGAGAGAGAGAGCAGGAGCAGTAGATCACACAGTGACATCAAATCAGGGTATCCTCATACTGCGTGATGAAATCAATTAGAAACTTGACAAATCAACTCCAGCTATTAATGGAAAGGCACATTGTACATATATATATTTGTGTGCGTGTGTATACACACACACATACACACATACATATGTATCTATACATATATAATACATATTGATATATGTATAGACATATATACAGAGAGAAATCTATCCTATATATATACACACACACACATATGGAGAGAGAAAGAGAGAAACAGATTTGATGGACTTTGGCATGGAATTCAGCCACACTGTCTTCATTCAGTAGCTTTGATGGCATGGGCTAAGAATTCTCACAAATGACATCAATTCTGAGAAAGCGAACTGAGTTGTTTTCCTAACTTTCCTGTTTCTGTCTGGGCATGGTAGGAAAATCATCTTTGAGTTTCTACTACAATTTTGATGTGAGGGACATTTTAAGAATACTGACACTATGATGGAAGAGGAGACTCCAGGATCTGAACTGGGAAAATAATCTGAAGTTTAACACAGGATAAGCAAAATTCACTCTACTTCAAATCAATTAGAACCCTGGTTCATGACTTTTGTATCACCCCACAAGGGAGAGAAGAAGCCAAATATTCCTTCAAATATTTTATACAACTTCAGTTGATAATCTCCTCTTCCATGTCCTCAGCCTACTCAAATAATGTCAAAATATAAAATACTCAGAGAGGAGAAACAACAGGTTCCTAGTATTTTGAAGAGAGACAAAGATAAATCACCCACACCATATTGGAACCAAGAGAAAGCACCCACAAAGACGTACAAGCTGAAGTAAGATGCAGAACAAACCACATTATGACCATGAACACATACACTTTCTTCCCCATAATTAAAAAATAGTTGAAAGAATGAAATTCCCATAGATAATAAAAGGAAAAAAAGTAAGAAAGAAAAACAGCAGGAGAATTTGAAGGAAACCCAATTTGAAAGAAAATATAATGCAAGAATTAAGGCAGAAATTTTTCAGGAATTTTCTATGCTACAGAAAAACTCAATAAAAGCAAAGGTTCAATAGGTACATAATTTTTAAAGATTATAAAACAACCAAATGAGATGGTAATGAATTATCTCTTGCTCCCAAAACAATGTCCACCCAGAACCTCAGAATTAATGTAAGCTTATTTGGAATAAGGGTCTTTGCAGAAATAATTAAGTAAGGATCTCAGATGAGATTGCTCTGGATTTGGGTGAGTCTAAATCTAATGATGCACATGTCCACATAAGAGACAAAAAAAAAAAAAAAAAAAAAGAGAAAATGCAGAGACACAAGAGAGATGTAGATGTCAGATAAACAGGAGAGAAGCCATGTGCAAAGGCAGAGGTTGGAGTCATGCAGTACAAGCCAGGGGACCTTAAGCCTTGGCAGAAGCAAGAAAAAGCTAGAAGAAAAGCATGAAATAGCTCTCCCTCAGAGCCTCCGGAAGCAACCAACTCTGAAAACTGATTTGAGACTTCCATCTTTTGGAACTGTGAGAGTACATTTCTGTTGTTTCTAATCACCAAGTTTGTGGTAAGTGGTTACAAAAGCCCCAGGAAATTAAAACGGAGATGAAATGTGAGATTGCATAACTACGGAAGCAAATCAAGGACCAAACAAGATTATTACAAAAAATAATTAAATTAGAAGCAGTGAGGATACAGAAGCTGCAAATTGAATTAATGATAGAAAGTGTAGCAAAGCCTCTTACTTTTTTTCCCCCCAACTGCCTCTATACCCTTTTTCTCGAAAAGAGAAGCCTCTCAAAACACATTTTCTGGTGTCCCTTGTGATTGGCTGTTGGGTGCTACTTCCGTTCTGACCATAGTGTCTAAGGCAGAAGCACAGGTGTAATCCTAGAAAGTATCTTTAAAGAAAGAATGCATGTCTTAATATTTCCACTTCCCTGCTGGCTGACATGCAAGGAGTATGAACGGAAATAGAGACTTAGAGATGGTCCACACTCAGCCTAACAGAGCAACAAAATGAAAGCCAACTGGGCTGAAAAGTGTGGGGCTTCCATACCATCCTTGAGAGGGTTATGCTGGACTTGCTGGATGAAAGAAAAATGAACTGCTCTCTTGTTTAGACCACTCACACATTTCAACTTTCGTTACAGAACCCAGAACTTTTATTTTAAATAGTGTATCCTAATATGCATAGAGATATATCTGAAATTATATTCAAAATATATTCATGATGGGTAGGTATCTGCTTAACTTTTTATAACACATACTTTTATTTATATCGAATAAAGAGAAGAGGCTTTGAAGTTAGTCTGGGGTTCAAATTATTATGCTATCACTTGCCATTGATCTTAAGTGAATCAATTCATGTATTTGAAACTTAATCCTTCATTTAAGCAAGAGAGATAGAACTGCCTTTAACCTCAGTTTTCTAAAGTATAAAATGGGAGTACTGTACTATTCCCTCTTTCATAGGTCTATTTTTAGATTTATTTAAAGTGCTTAGAATGATGTCTGGAACAAATTAAGCATTATATGATGTTTAGCTATTCTCATCATCCTTATCTTTACTATTATTGTTAACTAATAAGATATGGGAATGAAAAATGATAGAGAATATGTAATGTTTAGCTTAATGCCTGACAAGTCACAAATGCTGACTAAATGATAGTCATATTATTTCACCTCTTATTTAGTAAGCACATGAAAACATGTTTTCCAATTTGTCCCCTCCTGTCATGCTAATTGAGGACACCGATTGTAGAGTAGTCTTAGTTTTCTATCCAATATTCTGATATTCTAACCTCTAGTATCTCCTGCCACATTAATTCATTCCAGTTATTTCTGCCAAATTAATTCTTTTAAAGCATGGCTTGGTAAAATCACTATCCCACTCATCATGGTTTAAAGAACCAAAATAAAATTCCTCATTTTGTCTTACAAATCATTTTGTAATATAATTCAAATGTTCCTTCCAGTTTCACCCCTTTGACTTTTATTATACATTGTGCTGTACATTCAAGTGAAATAGTCAAGTCATATTTGCCTAAATATTTCTCACAAATTTTTATCTCATCTTTGCTTATGCTGCTGCTCCCATTACTCGGGTCGGGGGGGGTTCTTCTTTTTTTCTTTCTACATATATGAATATTTAAGGCTTTTCTAAATGTTCATTCCTTTACCAACCTCTCCGGGCATTTTTGATGGAATGTAGTTTTTCTCTCCTCTGGTTTTGAAGCCCTTTATAATAATAATGCTAACTATGATGCCTGTGATAGAGATTGTTACCCAAATCTGCCTGCTCACTTCCTTCCCCTTGGGCACCATGAAAAATTAGCTATATACACGCAGAAGACAATAGCTAAATGGGAAATAAAGTACCTCCCCCACCATCTCCCCGCTGTGTGGTTAATATGACAAATAAGAAAGCCAAGTAATTCTTCTTCCTTTAAACCTAGCCCTCAATTCCTAGGTATGCAGTGACCTCTTTGAATCTATTTACTCAGCCAACTTTGTGAAAAAGATGTACCAAACTGACTTCCATCTAGTTTCAGACAAATAAATATAGAAAGACTGAGCAATAAAAATGATAGGGCCTGACAGCTTTTCTCAAAGTTGAATGTACATATTCATCACTTAGGGATCTTGATAAATCACAAATTTCAATCAGCAAATCTGGGAGTAGTCCCGAAATTCTTCATTTCTAGTAATTTTCCAGGTATGAAAATGTTGTTTGTCTGTGGACCATTCTGAGTGGCATTTCAACTTAATAAAGATAGGCATTTAAAATGAGCTTGCTCTCCGGGAATTGCGGAGTCAATGAGGAAGCAAGAGCTGTCATGTTGCTTATTTGCACAGTCGTGTTGTCTACTATGAATGTTCTAAATATGACCAATTAGGTGAAGCAATTATTTTTTCCATGAAATGCAGCTAAAACAAGATACACAGTGGAGACCATGCAGTTTTTTTTCTGCATTCTTCTTCTGAGTAGAGTGAAGAATGGTTTCTAGAAGATTCATCTCCGCAATAGACAAAAACAGAAATGATGTTGGAGAATCAAATAGAGTTTCCCCCTCACCGATGTATGCCATTCTTCTTCTCTTTATTAGATTTGACTTCACATAGTTATTTATACATTTGGCCACATTACACTGTTTACATTAGTTCTGTAGCTTTGCTCAGAATAGGGATGCTATTTTGCTATTATGCTTGTATCATAGTAAGGTATAGGTATATGATAGCACTTTAAAAGTGTTGTTGAATTAAATCAAGTTTTTGTTCTGAGAATTGTTCTGGTAGCTCATGACATTTACATTAAAGCTGTTAATAAAAAGAGAGAATCTCTTTGTGGACTCAGGAAACCAAAACACAAGTATTCCACGTGCACGAAGCCCCTGTAATTGTAGGCAACTTTCGGGGTACTGTGGTATCACAGAATGAATGGGGAGTTCTGACTAATAAAGATTCAGATGTCAACTGGGATGCTTACTTAGTATTTAAATTACAAGTAATATTAATAATATTATTTGTGTTGTTGAAGTATGAAATAAAGTATATTACATAATATAATACCTGAAACATAATAGGTGCTCAATAAATGTTGAGTAGCCCCCACCTTTATCCCAAGAATGTCCTTGGTAATGAGAACAAGTCCAGTTTAGAATTGCGTAGATTGCCTTGCTTACATTCAAATACTGCTTTTGGTTCTGCCCGTATGGGAATAATTCAGTGGAAACATCTTGTTGCCAACTGTATTGTATATTGGATAAATAAACCTTAGAGGTCTTTCCTGAAACTCCAGCAGGTACCAGTAGCTAGGCACAAATATTTCAGAAACGGAAGTGGCTTGTTGCTCCTCACTTTTTGTATATAAAAGAAAAATATCTGTAACTTTGGACCTACAGAATCAAATAGTTATTTCTGTATGCATATATTGCTACAGTTTGAATGTTTGTACCCTCCAAAACTCACGTGGAAAATCTCCAATATGGCAGTATTGAGAGATGGGGCCTTTAAGAGGTGATATGTGTCATGAGGGCTCTGCCATCATGAATGGATTAATTCATTAATGGATTAATGGGTTAATAAGTTAATGAGTTATCATGGGAAAGAAACTGGTGGCTTATTAAGAAGAGAAAGAGGGACCTGAGCTAGTGTGCTCAGTCTCCTCATCATGTGATGTCCTGTGTCATCTTGAGACTCTGTAGAGAATCCTGCCCTCAGCAAGAAGGCCCTCCCCAGATGCAGCCCATCAAACTCTCAAACTTCTAAAACTTCTCAAACTCTCAAACTTCTCAGCCTCCAGAACTACTGTAAAAATTAATTTGTTTTTTTTTAAATAAATTACCATCTCAAGCACTACGTTATAAGCAACAAAAAACAAACTAAGACATGTATGCTTCTGTGTGTATGTGTGTATGTATGTAGAATGAAAGAGAGCAAAAGAGAGAAGAGATAACCAGTTTAATTTGTTAGACCAACAAAACTTCTTTTTAGTTTATGGGTTTGAAACAGCTAAACTACATAAATTTTGAAAATTTTTAAAGACCAAATTTTTATTTATTTATATATTCAAAAGCATTATTCAAGAAAATAAAATGACTCTCTATTTAACAGGATTAATTCAATAAAGCCACCAGGCAAGGCCATGTACTCATAGGATCATCAAGACAGAATCCAAGTCTCTCCAGCTGCCTGTCTCCTGTACCTCTTGTTGACCCTTTCCCTGTTTCATCACAGTTCACAGCTTCCTCAAACTTCATGCCCCACCACCAATATCATACATATTCCATTTTTCTTGTTAATTTCATACTTTAAAAAAACTGAACATAAAACATAAAAAACCTAACAACAACAACAATAACAGCAATGCTCTTAGCATTGTCTTTTATTATCTATTGGGCCAACCCAAGATCCTCCTAATGCTTTAAACCACATTGCCCCATTCATGTCTCTTCTCTTTGCCTCTCTACCTTTTGCTCTTTTCCTTCCTGAAAGGTGATATTTTGTGTGCATATCTTGAGGAAGGTGTGGTTACTTATCTGTCCCTTTAGAATAACAACTGATGAATAAAATCATTATAATATATAAATAGTAGGTAGTTGCTTAACATGTAACTACTGCCTGATAGATTTGCATTTTAACTCTTCTTATTCCACTTGAAGATATTCCAAATGCTGGATGCATCTTTTTCTGTTTAATGGAGAGATCATCTAAAAATCACACTGTGTTCATGAGCTCCTATGAATAAGACCGTTCCTGTTGCAAAATCTTTTCCTAGATCCAATTTTAATGTTTAAGTTAGGCAGCTCCCTTAGAAATATATTAGTGAATACAGTCCTTCTGCTTCCACTTATAAGGTAATTTAACACAAAACATGATCTAAGTCTTAACATGAAGTAAACCTTCAATTACAAGTGGGCAGGAGTTGGGGGGACTAATTTATTTTGTCCTTTTTGGTACCTTAGTTTGAAAATCATATTTCTCTTCAAAAATACCTTCTAGAAAGAATAAAGTTATGCAGAGGACAAAAGACACTGGTTTTTTTTCCTCTAGTTTTTAAAATTATTATTATCATCAATGTCTTTTGCCATTCCACTTAAGTTTACTGTAACTACTGTAATTAGTCCTCTCTGATGCATCTCTGTGTACCTCCAAAAATTTTATTATCTTTTTTTTTTCCCCCCAAAACGAGGAAGACATTGTTTGGGCTTTAATGCTTGAAAGAAGTTACAATGCTGCAATTTTCTTAGCAAGAGAATCTGATATCTTGGAACATCCACAGAGTCTTGGTATTTTCATTCAGACAGATCTGGGAGCTCACTTTTTGTGCTTCTTAGTTCTGTGTCATTCATTTCAGCGGGGGAAAGAAGACAGGGGCTGGGAGGAGTAACAGAACTGAAATAAGGCTGCTGCTCAGATTTAGTCATTGAAAGTTTCACCCATGCCTGTAACTTCAATGACATTTTAACATCTTTTGATAGTTTAATTCAACTAAACATGTATTCAGTACAATAGCTGGAAAATAAAACTACCCCTACCTTAAAGAACATAAGAAGACTTGGTTTGGTATATTTAAAAACATACTTTTCAAGAAAGTGAGAACATGCTATCAGATCGCTGGTCGCTGGTCTGTAAGCTCTTGTAAGCTGAAGCAGGAATCTTTCCTGATTTGGGGATAGCATCTGGCTAATAAGAGCTGGTTGCAGAGTCTCAGACCTGCCACTAACACTTAAACCTCAAATGTCCCAGTTTCATTGTCTGTAAATGAAACAGTGACACTAAATTGACTCTATGATCTTTTCCTTCCTTACATTCCATGATTCTTGAAGTAAGAATCAAGACACCAAGCCACAGAGTGCCAAATCAAATATAATACAGACCATCACAGGTGTGACAGCCAACGCTATGTGTGATCAAGACATGGAGAAAAAGGCAATTGCAGTAATTGGAAAGGCCTGATGGAAGAGCCAAAAACTACAGTCTAGAAGTTAGGCAGGAAGCAGATGGCCTAGAAGAGAGAAAAGAACAGATTTAGTGTATTCCATCAAATGTATGATGCCTTCAATTATAAGATACACTATAATTGTATGCATTACTAAAAGGGAAAATGCTACCAATTAAACTAGAATCTTGTGCTTTGTTATCTCTTGATTTTTTAAGACATTTATTTAAAAAGCTCCTTTAGACTCATTTGAATGTAAAAAGACAGAACAACATGAACAGCGGTGATCAAGTTGATTCAAATACGATTCATGAAAACTGCACCCTAAATGCTCCCCGGTCAACAAAAAGGGTAAATACTATGGATTGTAAGACAGACAATTTACAGAAATACTAAAATGTAGCAGTATAAATGTATATCTTAACAATGAGTGAGACAGGCTAGCAGGCATTTTATGGGTAAAAATCACAGCGTGTTGAGTGAACAGGACGGTAAATGGTGTGTGTACACCATGAGGTGATGAAGCACAGGGTCTTGGTGGATGCACGAACAGTGCTCTGAAAAAAACATCACAACGCCTAGGTCAGAAAAAGCTGGGCACAGGATGCATAACAGAAGGTTTAACACTTAACCGTGGCAGAGCCAAATAAGTTTTGTTAAAGTGCATATGCCTTCAAATCCAAAATGTCTAGATGACTCTCTCTAATCAGTATCCTGTTCCTTGATTAGCTAGAACTTGCCAAACGGAAACTGGGTTCTGAAAGACTCATTATAAACTAAGTAACACTTCCACTTAATACTTAAATATCAAATGGCCCACACTTACACAAAAGAAGCATTTAATTACATGTGTATGCTTTCATCTTAGTCCTCAGGGAAAGAAGTAAAGGACTTTATTCTTGAAAATACCTTATGGCTCACACAGTACAGAAAAACAGTGGACACTTTCACGTGTTTTGTCACTGAAACAGCTATGTGTCATTTCAAATCCCATTCAAATCTTCCAGTGAAGATAATTCTCCTATAAAATCTCCTCCGGAAGACAGCCAAAGGCCTGCAAGCAAACTAGAAGAGAGCCTATCAAAAAGAGCGTGATTCTTCCAGTTCCGAACAGTATTTAAGAATCTTATTTTCTACTGTCGTTGCCAAACAGATTACTCTCAGCATTGGTGACTAGGGAGTGGATTTCATTACTAAACCCAAGGTCACAGGTGGTTTCACACTGAAGCATAATTAAATTGTGTAGAATGAATTAAAATTGTTTAGCAAATAAGTTCTCCTTGTTTGGGCTGAATAGGACAGACAGAATGCAGCGCCATGTTCAGGCTGAAGCCAGGCAGCACTTGGGCCCAGGAAGATTAATCTGGAGTGCAATCACTTGATGATCCCTGACTATGAATACTTAATTTAAATTATTTCTCGGCCACACTGGAATGGGAAAAGCAATCACTCATAATTAGCAGGTCACTTTTTTTGTAGGACTATTTATGCAAGGCACGGAGAGGATGGCATAAGAGAAAAGCCCTCTTGTTTAGAGAAAAATTGATATGTGTGTTTGGGATGAACATGATGATCAAAAACTATTAAAGAGGAAAATAAGTTATTAAGGATGAAGGAGTTCACTTAATTGTATATTTCCATATGTGCACTTTGATGGGCTGAAAGATACCACCCAGGAAATAGGTAGCAGACTGGTGAGAGTAGCTTTTCTCACTTTGGGAGAAATCAGTTCTCTTCGGCTAGGTTTTTAGAAAAGACACAAACACAGTAAGTCCCTTGGAAAATAACTCATGCCCTTTCCCCAGAGAAGTGATGGGCTTTTTGGCTTCAGGAGTTAAAACTAAAGTAAGAACTATATAATCTCACTTTTTAAATGACTACAAATATATTCTCAGTTTAGTCATGATGTGTCATGTGAACAATTTCTATTCTATCTCAGTTAGATGTTTGTCCAGTAAATAAATTAAAATATTCAAATTACTACTTAAAGCAGATCTTTTTGTTTGTTTGTTTTTGAAAAATGCCTTCAGAATATGTTATGCAATATTGACTTACAACAAATATTTATATGCTTTGTGTACACATGTGAGGTGTATGTGTGTTGATATATGTATAGTAGTTTAATAGTCAAATAAATCCATGAACAAGGGGAAGAGACCAGAAGAACCAGCTATTGACTTACCGGATAGAAAACACAATATTTTTTTAGTAGCATACCAGAAATAACCAGAAATATTTGTATGCCATAATTTCTAAAATAATTCACAAAGCAAATTAAAGCTTCGGGTAACAATTAATGATGAATTAACCAGATTTACAAGTTCTAAATTTGTTAGTGAATATGCAAATCAGACATCAGCTCTATTGCCAGTTAGAAACAAAGCCAAAACATCTAGGTTTTTTTTTTCCTTTAATGCATGTTTTTCTGGTATGGTAGAAAGGATTCAGGGTGCTTGAATTGGAAATCAAATTTGTAATATTCTTGCACTGCCTCCTACCTGATTCAAACATCTTTTTTAAGTTCCTCATCCAGCAGGTGACATAAGGTAGACTTTAGGAGCAACACAATCAGATTAAATTAATACACACTCACAAGAATGGCTGGTAGTAATTCACTTATGCAAGAATATTCCAAATATTAAAATATACAAGTAAAATTTAAGATGGATTCAGATTAATCTAAACGAAAGCTCACATACTTATGTTAGTGAAATTAATAACTATAGGTAGTTTGAAAAGATTTAAGAGGCTCAGGGATATATTGTAAATAACAACTGCCTTTAAGGAATTAAATTCTCTTCTGCTTGGACTGCTTCCTTAAGTTATTACTGGTTTTCCCAGCATCTCTTCTTTCTCCATATACATGTATCTGTTCAGTATTTTTGTTTGTGGTATTATAAAAGTACTACACCGGTTTGTATATTCCATCTAAATTGCAAGTGGAAATAAATTAGTGATGATTCAGGACATACCTTCCAAGAGTGAATCCCAGACTGCCATACCCTATATAGCCAGGATTCCATATGAATAGAATAAAGATACATCTGTATTTGCCTGAGACAATCCCGGCTCATGTATATTGTCTCAGTTTTCTAGTCCAGTTTAGTATTTGCCCCTGACTTTTTTTTATTCTTAAGTTAGTTAGTAGTAGTAGTAATTGCACTTCAATAAGCCATGATGAGTTTTGTAGATCTTATTTGCATTTTTCATTTAGTACTATAAGAAATGTATGTGCAGAAAACAAAATTCCCACTTTAGCACATGATAAAACATTAAAGATAAAGAGAGAGAACTTACATCTCTTTCTCTCAACACTTTCCAGTCACATATACGTGCATACTATAAGACAATCTTACCTCTCTTTCAGGGACAATATTCAGGGCATGTGTTGATGAAACCAAATACCCTTAGAATGAGTAACTAGTGACATCTAACTCCTTCAAGTCAGGGATGATGGTTGTAGAAGGATTTGATGCTCCTGTCCTTACTTGACACTTGGTGTAATAGCCAAATTTGCCTTAGACTGTGTGCACCATGAGCTGCAAGCAGGCCAGCCATCACTTTATCAATGAGCAGTGCCTGTGGGTATTGAGAAATTACAGAACAGCTTTACATTAAATACATATGGGAAGTACAGATTGAACAGTTGTATCATAGTTTGTAAAGAGAATGATCAGAATGATCTTGATAACTGGTTTTGTCATCGATTTCAAGGTGCAAAACTGTAAGTATTTATATTATTGTTCATTAACTTATCTTTAAATTTTTCCATAAATCCTTCTAATGGCAATGACTTTTCCAAAATGCATATTTGGTAATATTCTATGTACTGTATTTCATTTTTCAATAAAGTTTATGTGAATGTGTAAACTGCATAAAATGTCTATTGACATTTATTATCCACCATGGAGGATGTAGTGAAATCACAGATTGCATAAAAACTAGAAGACACAAATCAGCTGGAGAAGCATCAGCAATTACATTAAAATATGGTCAGATTTAACTTGTATTACTACAAAAAGTATATTTAAAATTATTCTATAAAACTTGATTTTTCATCTAGATTAAAGGATTGTTCTTTTCAGTTTATTCCTCGCATTTGCAATTTATTTCAGAGCAGTTTTTGCTCTGAAAGTGAATTATGTCAATTTAATATCATTAGCATTAGATGCATCAAAGACAAAATCAGTGATGTTAGTGCCAATAACAGGGATTTTTTTTCATTCAATTTATTAAATCAAAGAAAAGGTTTTGAATGCTCCTACTGTTGAAGGTAAAACATCTGACATGAACATTACTTCTTTTTTAAATCCAGCTAAAGAGTCCAACACATAAGTTGTATTTATTTGCTTTTATATTAATAATACAAATAGAATTTGGGTAAAGTACAGCATTATAGTTAGGCATTGTTTGTATTAAATTAATAAGCTTGTATAAACCTGGAATTGGTTGTTGTACAAACATACTTTGTAATTGTGTTCAAGTAAGTTACATAATTCTGCTGTCTAAGTAGAATTTATAATTGTCAAAGTCTACAAATTTGACAATTAACTAGATTAATAGATGGATAGAGAAAGAGAGAGCATTGGAACAGAAAAGTTGTGACACCTTTTCTCACTCATCGTAAGGGTCATGGCCAGCACTTCTATTACAGAAGACAAGTTAATAAGAAAATCACATAACAAACTTATTTAACCAAGCAAAGTTTTATGTGACTTGGGAGTTTTCAGAAATTAAGACATAAATGGAAAAACAATCCCTTTTACAACACCTACCTAAAAAAAAAGACACCTAGAAATGAATTTAACCAAGGAATTAAAAAATCTTTATACTGAAAACTATAAAACTTTGAGAAAAGAAATTGAAGAGGACACAAAAAAAATTGAATGATATTTCATCCTCACAAATTAGAAAGATTAATATTGTTAAAATGCCCACATTACCAAAGGGATATACAGATGCAATGCACTCCCTCTCCAAATACCAATGATGTTCTTCATAGAAATAAAAAAAAGATCATAATATTCATATGGAACCACAAGACACAAGGAATAGCAAAAGTAATCTTAAGAAAAAAATCACAATGCTAGAGGCATCACACAATGTGACTTCAAAATATACTACAAAACTATAATAACCTAAACAGCATAGTATTGGCATAAAAACTTACATATCAATCAATGGAACAGAATAGATAGCCCAGACATAAGTTCATCTATTTAGAGTCCACTAATTTTGACAAAGGATTCAAAAACACATTAGGAAAAGAACAGTCTCTTTAATAAATGTTACTGGGAAAATTGGATATCTACATGCACAAGAATAAAACTGAATCCCTACTTTTCCCTAATTTACAGCAATCAACTCAAGATTAACCAAAGGCTCAAATGTAGTACCTCAAACTATGAAACTACGAGAATTAAAAATAAAGGAAACACTTCATGACATTGGACTAGACAGGAATTTTTTGGAGAAGACCTCAAAGACACAGGCAACCAAAGTAAAAATAGACCAATGGAATTGCAACAAACTAAAAAGATTCTGCACAGTAAAGGAAAGCATCAACAGAATGAAGGGACAACCTACAGAATCAGAGAAAATACTTGCAAACTATACATCTCACAAAAGGTAAGAATTCAGAATATATAAGGAACTCAAAAGACTCAACAGCAAACAAACAAACAATTCAATTTAAAAATGGGCCAAAGACCTCAACAGATAATTTTCAAAACAGGATATATAAATGTCCACCAAGTGTATAAAAAATGTTCAACCTCACTAATCATCAGCAATATGCAAATCAAAACCTCAATATCACCTCACTCCAGTTAGAATGGCTATTACGAAAAATACAAAATATAACAAGTGTTGGTGATGATGCAGAGAAAAGAGAACACTTACAGACTGTTGGCAAGAAAGTAAATTAGTACAACAATTAAAGCAAACAATATAAAAGTTCCTCAGAAAACTGAAAATATAACTACCATATGATCCAGCAATCCCAGTACTGGATATATATCCAAAGAGAATGAAGTCAGTATATAAAAGAGATATCTGTACTCCCATGTTTATTGCAACACCATTCACAATGGTCATGATGTGGAATCAACCTAAATGTCCAACAATTGATGAAGGAATAACGAAAATGTGGCATATCCACAATAGAATACTAATCGGCCATTAAAAAAATAAAATCCTGGTACTCACAACAATGTGAATGAACCTGGAGGTCATTATGTTCAGTAAAATAAACCAGACACTGAAAGACAAATATCACATGTTCTCACTCATATGTGGAATCCAAAATGGTTGATTTCATAGAAGAAGTGAATTGAACAGTGGTTACAGAGACTGGGGTGAGTAGAGGAAAGAGGGCTTGGGAGAGGATCATCAATGGGTACAAAGTTACAATTAGAAAGGAACAATAAGTGCTTGTGTCCCATTCCACAGTAAGGTAACTATAGTCAGCAATAAGATATTGTGTATCTCAAAATTGCTAGAAGAAAGGACTTTGTATGTTCCCACTACAAAGGAATGTTTGAGCTGATGGATATTCTAATTACTCTGATTTTATTATTACACAATATATGCATGTATTGAAACATTGCATTTTACCCCATAAATATGTACAATGATTATGTATCAATTAAAAACAAAAGTATATTGAAAAGATAGAATATAAAACATAAATTTAAAATAAAAGAAATAAGGATTCAAAGACTCAGGGAAAATTGTCCACTTTTATGCATAGATTCAATGAAGAATGGACAGCCCTGAAGAAATGTGATTGCACAAAAAAGTATGATTTAATGTTAATAGACTGAGTGGGAAAACCCAGCAAGACCTTTCCAGATTGCTTTTGGCCTCTGTTTAACATTCCTTCTTGAAATGATTTGGCTGTGTTCCCACCCAAATCTCATCTTGAATTGTAGCTCCCATACTGGGACATAATTGAATCATGGGGGCAGTATTCCCCATACTGTTCTCGTGGTAGTGAATGAGTCTCACGAGATCTGATGGTTTTATAAGGGGAAACACCTTTCGCTTGCCTCTTATTCTCTTCTCTTTTCTGCTACCATGTGAGACATGCCTTTTGCCTTCGCCATGATTGTGAGGCCTCCTCAGCCACGTGGAACTGTGAATCCATTAAACCTCTTTTTCTTTATAAATTACCCAGTCTCTGATATGTCTTTATTAGCAGTGTGAATATGGACTAACACATTTCTTCCTGGGTATGAGCCAGAAACTCTGGGATGAGTGTCTTATGACCTATGATCAGACAAGGTAGACAGGAGAATTTCCTACAGCTAAAACACAAAAAGGCAGGAGAAAGTTAGAGTAATATTTCTAGGTGTTGTTTTTAGAGATGGCGTCTCACTCTGTCTCCTAGGCTGGAGTGCAATTGCAGGATCATGGCCAACGGCAGCCTCCAACACCTGGGCTCAAGTGATCTTCCCACTTCAGCCTTCTGAGTAGCTGGGACTACAGACATGCACCGTGAAGACTGGTTATTTCTAGCTGTTATGGCTGGCTTTGGGTGAGAGAGGCTCTAGTTTCTATGACTTTCTTTGGGGAAGGAAGAACCCTGGTTTGTGTGACTTGTGTCAGGGATGAAAGAGGGGTGGGAGACAGAAGAACAGGAAGGCAGAGAGAGACTTTGCTTCTGAGGCTGCTTCTGAGGCTTTCCAGTCTCCTTTATTTCAGAGTACTCAGGATGCCAAAGTGCTGCATTTTGGATATGATTTTCTGAGATCCAACAATAGACAGATAGGTGTATGGAAAGATAGATAGATAGACAGATAGATAGATAGATAGATAGATAGATAGATAGATAGATACATACATACATACATACATACATACATACATACATAGATACATAGAAACATAGATACGTAGATAGATGAGAGGGAGAGATGATAGACAGACAGACAGACAGATAGATAGATAGATTAGAAAAATAGCGTAGTAAATGAGTGGTTTGTGATGAAGCTAGCATTCAATACAAAATTTGGTGAACATGGCAGTTTATAATTTTTCTCATTGCTGCCCATCCTTAACCAGAATTTAGAAATGTCTGAGGTTGTGAAAGACTTTTAAAAATCAATGAAAACATCCCTCGATGGCACAGAATTATTTTTAAATAAGCTTCTGCAATTTTTGTTGTGTATAGTTCAAAATAAGCTTGGAGATTTTTTATCAAAATAATAAACTAATGCATTGTAAAAATCTTCAGCTCTTCAAGCTTTTAGCAAATTACAATTATTGGGGAAAAAGCATACAAATAGGAAGTCACTGAAAAGTATCTGCTCAAAGCAGGTGAGTAGCTAAATAAATAAAGAGGGAGTTTGAGTATATAAGATTTAATATTAAAATTCTATGGAGACTCTGTGGACTGTCTCCACCTAGGGACAAACTTTTAGTTTAAACTCTTTTTAAAATTAGATAAATTTCACATCTAATATAACATATAAAACTATAATATATTTTATATTATTGTATAATTTATAATATATAAATATATACTATATAAACTGTTGTATACTATATTTTATGTAATATATAAAATGATTCTGCTTTTTTAGTGTTTACATAGCAAAGATATTTTTAAATTTTGCTTTCATAGACTCAATTATATTATTTTTGTTTTTAGTTATAATTTTATCCTTGAAAATAGTATTTAAATAGAACTGTACAAGATATATGTAATATAATTGATAAATCATAATTAGAATATGACAAATATAAATTAAAAAGGAAATAAGTTTATAATCAATAAATCATTTGCAAATTAGTAATTTTTATTTTTAGCATCCCTATTTTACTCAAAGACTTGTCCAAATTTAGGTGATAATATAGTATTCTCTACATATAAACATCATACTGACAACAATCAGGAATACTAATCAAATAAAGAGTCTTATGAGGATAAAAGAAAGCCCAGTTATACCCATGTATTGAATTCTTTCTTGTCAGTTGTATCTTTATATAAATACTTTTTGGTACATTCTTGGAAGATGCAGGACAACCTTGCCTGCAAACGCTCTGGGTTCCTAGTAGCTTAATCTTGGGAGCCAGGTTAATAGGTCAATGTTCTTGCCAAACACATACATGACTTATTCTATTCACATTAACTGAATGTGCACATATTAATTGCATGTTAGTCATTTCTTAAGTACCAATTATATTATTTTGCTTTCTAACTTTACCAAGATAAAGATACACAATTCATTCCCAATTAAGGATTTTACTTACGGCACTTTTAGAGTCAGTGAACAGATCCTGGATATGTCAATCAGAAATGGCAAAGTGGAAATTCAGTAGCAAAACTGGAAAAAAATATTAGCCGTACTCTTGCCTTTCTATACAACCCATTTGCTTCTTCATGTGTCAGTTAGAAACCGTTATTTTTAATCTATGCTTTAGGATACATCCAGTTTATGGTTTAAGAAGAAAATTATTGTGGGTTTTTTTTCTCTTTTCTATTGAAAAATTCTTAGCTGACTTCCTCCACCCTCCTTAGAGTTTAGCTAGCAAGTCATTTTAGAACAAAAGTTTTGGTGAGCAAGTCTTATTCTAGCTCTTTTCGTTGGCAGAATACTTACACCGCTGAAGGCACCTCAGCCTCTGCTAACTACTGATTTTAATGGATTTTGTTGGCCATTCCCAGTCCATCTGTCTGCAATAAAACAAAGATTCCTTCAACCCCTATTGGAATTTCAGAGCTATGAAAAGTCAGAAAATACCAACTGGGAGATTACTTTACCTCCTTTTAGGGGATTAAAGATTAAAGTGTTCTTCTGGGATTAATTTATGTTCATCTAACATTTTGAATAGCTACTTTCCTCAAAACTCTGAAAAAAAAATCTCCTTTCCAGTGAAATATCCCCCTCACAAACACAAAGACATTAGAAAATAATAATGAAAAACATGGCCTAATGATCCCGTAAAGAGAAATACTGTAATAAGATCCAATCCATTCTTGAAAAGCTCTGAGATGACATCCTTGCTTCTCTTCTTCACTTGTTTTAGAGATACATATTCCATTTTAACCGTGCGCTTATTTAACTGTCCTCCAGTAAGAATGCAGTTATTATTTTCCTTCTGCATATCATTTTACCAGGAAACCAAAAGAGAACAGAAGGGTGTTAACTCTATGAATTCTTAGGCCAAATTCAAGTTATGTTTCTCATTCACTAACCAAGGTTATAATTCTGCAATATTTCTGCTCTCAATTCCTGATAGAAGGAATGCGGGAGAAATATTTTATTCTAAATTATCATGGAATTTCCAAAAATCTGTAAGCGGATTGTCCGAAGGCAGAGACACCGAGATCCTGGATGTTTAGAAAAAGTGTAAGTAGATTTCAACTGGTCTATTGTGACTGAGATTTTGAAAACAATTCCAGACTCCCTCTGACTTCCTTGATCCTTAACCTCTTCTCCACCACTGGGGGCAAAGTAGGCTCCCAGCTCCAGAGCTGTGAGCCTTTAGTTTCTGGAACACTTGCAGATTTAAGCTTAAGGAAAACAAATGCCAAGATGTTGTAGCTCCCATGATTTATTTCTTTATTCATTATTGTTAATATTTTTCTTCTCCATCATAAATGCCTAGAAACTGCCATATGAAATCTAAGGAATGTTATTACTCAAACAACAAAGGGAATAGAACAACTTAATGTATTTTATCATTTTACAGGAGGCAAACTAAACTGAATAAGTACCATGCATCATAAAAAGAACCATATTTTTTAAAAGCAAAATAGAGAGGTGCTAATAAAAATGAAGGCTTTTCTATTTCACTCAATCCCCTGCAGAGAAAGAAAAAAGGAAGCAATGAAGCTGAGGGGCTCTGCACTCTGAGCCAGGGATCCCGCACAGATGTCTAGGTATTGCTTTTCAGTTTTCCCTTCCAAGGTCAAGGGGGAAACATGCCTATATGGGACAGTTGAGACCTTCCTAAAGGTTTGGTGGATTATGTGAACCTATATCAGAGGACGAGGAGAAGGGGTGCTTGGGGCCAAGAATGTTCATTGCCAAAAGTCTGGTGCTCCTGCTGGGAGAGCCTGTCCTCAGTCTGGTAATCTCTCAGTTGACTTTTCCAAAGCAGCCCAGTGTCTGTGACTGTTGCCATTAGAAACACTGAGAAAATCCCGGCAGGGATTACCTTGCTAGCTGCTGATGAGTGAAGGAGTAATTAGGCACAAGTAGTTCCCTGACAGCAGCTGCAAAAAAGGCACTGGCTTCCTTCTGGAGAGAATTTCCAATGGCACTAATGTTATGACACACAGGAGATGCACTGCCCTCCATATGGAATGAAGCCAAGCCATCAAACTCATCTGATTTAGGACTGTGAACCTGAATTCCTATGGAGATCTCAAAAGAACAAGGTCAAGACTTCTAGTTTGAAGTAATTCAGCATGCCTTTTTCTACAGCTGCGGATTTCCTTCGGAATGGTCTTTAATGTTAGGACATCTCTGGGGTTCTGCTCATAAAAGAAAAAGACACAGATGTTTCTTTTAATGCCCTGACTACAGAGTTGATGAGTCAACTCGCCATATTCTGCATATTTAAAAACATGATGTGGATATTCTTTTAGGAAACAAAAATTCCAGAAGATGTCACTTAGTATTTTATATTAATGGTTTTCATTGGAGAATTACCTGATTAAATAGTGAAATAGACACGTGTGTTGCTGCTGATCTGCAAGCCACCAGGGACACAGAAGACAGTGGACAGTTGAAAAGAGCCAAGGACGAGGAAATATATCTGAGGATGGGACATACAAAGTGCAGCCAAGTCTGTGATAATGCCAGAAGGAGTTAATTCGAATTTCATATTCAAAAGGTTTTCTTTTATCTTTTCCTGAAAGAGTACAATAGAACAGATTTTTACCAATATAAAAGACAGAACCAAGTGTTGAATGGGAGTGTGCATATATGTGTGTGTTGAAGGCTGGCACTGAGACATAAAAGGTGTATTTATAAACAAAATTTGAGTAAGTCTCCCTCACTGGAAGAAATAATCAATTTTGGAGACAGAAAAATGAATATGCTGCTAATAGATTAACTTGATTTTCAACTTTACAAATGTCATTTCATATTTGGCCAGCAGGAGGTACACTTTGCAAAGGGCTCAATTATAAACTAGCCCTGTACAGTGGGCCTATAAATCAGCTTTGGTTGTAGTTTGAATTATGTTCTTAATCATGTAAGGATACTTTTGCTAGAAACTATTCTTTCTCGTATTTCTGGCAGTCTCTTTTATTTATGGGAATGCTGGAATCTGGCCAAAGCTTTTCTCCTAGGTAAAATGACAACATCTTAATTAGGAATGTTTGGTCTGTGGCTTTAGTTGCCAAAGAGCAGCCCCATTGTTCTAACACACAGACATCCATCATCAGTTCGCTCCCAATGCCTGTAGCCTAGTGGTAGAAGCACACGGCTGAAAGGCATCTGAGTCATTTTTTGGATTCTAGCCCTCATCTAGTTGTATGGAAAATGGCAATCACACTCTCTCTGAAGCTTAGCTGTGTCATCTTTCAAGTGGCTACCCCAGTTTCTAGCAGTTTTTTTGTCAAAGTTAAATAACTTTAAATCAAAGAAATCATTTTTTTAAAAGGACATGGAATTAAAAAAAGGTGGTATTAATATTATTATTATTTGAGATAATATATCAAAATTATCAGGTAAGTAATAAAGATGCTGTATTTTTATTCCAAATATTAATTCCTTAGACGTGTATAGAGAATCTGAATTTCTTGTGAGATAGGGTGGGGCTATGGTCTACTCATCTTTGAAGCCGCAGAGAAAGCATTACTATGGGCTCAAGAAATATTTGTAAATGCAAAAGAGAAGGCCACAGCAAAACAAAAGCAAGCAAAGAAGGTAACTAGAAAACTGCACTCAGAGAAAGCTACAAAATTCCCATTTTTAGAGGTGCATGTAGATGAAAAACTTTTTTACTGTTTTGGCTTCCAAACACAGCAACTGTAGCTCAAAATAAGAAAATGAGCAAAGATCTAAGAAATGTCTGAATACATTTTTCAAACATTTCAAATATAAACAAACAGACAATTGTTTCTCATTTTTATATATCTTCTCATGTAAGAATTTCTTAGGATGGTAAAAGAAACGTAAAATGAGTGTGTACGTGTGTGTGAGTGTATCTCTGTTGTGTGTGTGTGCTGTTGTAAATGTGAGACTGCTGTGTGTGTCACTGGAAGTAGGAAGAGCTCACAATTCAGGACAAATGTGAGAAAGTATTGGTCTGTCTCATATTTTAGTGATTTCAGAAATAAGGAAAAATCGGCCGGGCATGGTGGCTCACACCTGTAATCCCAGCACTTTGAGAGACCGAGGCGGGTGGATCACGAGGTCAGGAGATCGAGACCATCCTGGCTAACATGGTGAAACCTCGTCTCTACTAAAAATACAAAAAAAATTTAGGCGGGCGTGGTGGCAGGCACCTGTAGTCCCAGCTGCTGGGGAGGCTGAGGCAGCAGAATGGCGTGAACCCGGGAAGCAGAGCTTGCAGTGAGCTGAGATCACACCACTGCACTCCACACTCCAGCCTGGGTAACATAGAAAGACTCCATCTCCAAAAAAAAAAAAAAAAAAAAAAAAAAAGAAAAAGAAAAGAAATAAGCAAAAATTCAACACTCTGAAGTACACACCAAGCTACACGATTTGTGACAAAATCTTTTGATACTATGAAGATTGGCAGTTTAACTTCAAACTTTATTCAGAAGTATTTAAGTCATCAAGCCTGCTACCTTTGTCAAATTTCTTAGAAGTGTAAAGCAAGTGCTCTTAAGAAAGACCTGGGCAAATATAAATACCTAATCTGCTGCCACTAGGTAAAAATGCTGAATTCTGGAAGAGCTCCTAAATGATGCCCTGAGCCACAATAGAAAATGATGCAAAGATCAAAAACATTGAAATATGCTTTAGATTAAGAAGAACAACTCCTTATTAGCAGTGTTGTCAAATCTGGTACCACTTACCAGGATAGCAATAGCTAGTGAAATATAAGTACTACTTTCTTGAATCTAAAACATTTAGAAAGATAAAAACTAAAGGAAAGATGTCACTTCTGCTGTTCTTCACCCATTTCTGTTGATTGTGTTTTCAACAATTAAATGCCTGGCCACCTTTACCTTTTTCTGGAAATTAAAACAAAATATAATTGATAGCCTAAGTGTTCTCTGTTTTTTAAAAACTTCTTATTTTAAAGTAAGTCAACTCTTAAGAAGTTACACAAATAGTATAGCAAGTTGCTGTGTACAGTTCACCCCACTCTCCCCAGTGATCATATCTTATGTAATCATAATGCATTGTCAAAACCAGGAAATTGATATTGGTACAATTCTGTTAACTCAAGTATGGGCCTTCTTCTGATTTCACTAGTTTTTACATGTGCTCTTTTTCTCCCTCTTTTGGGAATCTTCGAGTTGCCTAAATCTCTGATTGGTTATCAGTAATAAATATCATGTGATACAGAAACAAATCATTGACCAGCAGTGACATTAAAATGAGCAATGCTAATGCATACACCCCATCTGTTTCCACTTCACAAGGTTTCTGACTTCAGTCTACTTAATCATTCCTACCCTCTACTCTCTTCAAACCTCCCCCACCAGCACCAGTATTCAGATAGCAACCGCCTAAAACAAGGTTTGACATTTTTGATTGTTTTATCTTTGATAAGCTCAAGGGGCCATTTCTACAAATTCTAGAGGCCCTTTCTGACACTAATAGTGACAAACTAAAGAAATGAACAATTTATAAATGTAAGAACAATATTTTCTTCTAACTTGTGGATATTTCTTCTAACAGTGACTATTTCTACTCGGAGAACACCTGGGTTCAACTTGCTAAGGAACAATGAATGTCATTATTTGGAATAGAAAAAGTAGTCTAAAGAGACTCTCCTATCACTGATTGAGCACCAGACAGTACTTTGGGAATGATCCTTGAGGAAGATATCCTTTAATTGTGTCATATTTTAAAGAGAGAGAGAGAGAGAGATTACCATCATTTGTAGACATTTAAAACATCAGTACATCATAGGTATTCTTGTGATTGAATTGTTAATAATCATTGCAATTAATCATATCATTAGAAGGATTTTAAAAGGCTTAATAAAGGGATCATGGACCATAGAGAAGACAGTGGATAGGTTAAAAAATCATCATTATACAAAAATGGAGGAAAAATAGACATGATCCCTAAAATAGTGTGATCTAGATTGATGATTTATCAAATTGGAGACGGACATCTCTTGGCCCATTTCTCTAAACTTCTTCAGCAGGAAAGAGAACAAGGCCACTTTTCACAAGCTACCAGCTGGTGATATAAAAGACAAAAAACTGGACTTTTTAAAGATAAATGTCCGAATATTTTTTAAACTCCTGGAACACTAGAGCACCTTTTGGGAGACATATGATCTCCTTTAACTACCTATATATCTAACAAAGACAGAATTATTAGAAGGGATAGCAATAAATCATTCTACCTTCTTAACCCTACTTTCCCCAAGCCTAGACCAGTCTAGTTAATAGCATCTATTTTCACTTCATTCCCTCTTCTATAAATGAAACCAATATTATTGGACTCTGGCAAGTCTAGGTGGGTAGTTGTTGCTGGAAGAGAGGCAACATCAAGTTAGAGGACCTACAAGGTTAGGTTTATGACTGTGCAACATTTAAGTTGTTTTGACAACATATATTGCCAGGAGCCTACAAGTAACAAAAGAGAATACATAGCTTTGTAGAGAGATTTTGACCTGTAATACATAGAAATACTAAAGAGTACTTCTGATGAGGTAGCATGAAAACATTCATGCCAATCCTAGGCACAAGACATTGAAATAGAAGAATAATTTGGCATCTTAACAGTGAAAGGAAATTTATAGAGCACTGTTAGTCAACTGGGCCTTTTTCCTTTGAGGGAACTTTGGAATCTACAAATACAGAAGCTTAGGGCTTCCATCATCTTATACTTGCTGTCATAGAAATTTGGCCAGCTAGTTTTATTGGACTGTAGGTGGTAGGTGATAAATTACTGGGCTCAAGATGCCTTGCATTTCAGGCTACAGAATTCAATTTTGAAACAGAAGGCTTTGTTGGATATTATCTCAAATCTAAAGAGCAGCTACGGGCAATCAGAATTTCTGGGTAGGCCAGCCATGATAGCCTTTAGCCTTTGCATTTGTTAGAATTAGCATATGTAGATTTATTTTATGAGGATTCATTTATTATTTGTTAGTCATCAAATCAATGATAACATACCATCTGCTATGTGATAAAAAACAAATCAGATATGAAAAAAACAAAGAAACAACCCTTTATTTGCCAGGGTTTGCAGTCTGGGTTTAGGTAGGCAAGCATGCATTTGTCATGGAGAGTTCAGAGTACCGTGACAACACGGATGCTGTCGAAACACAGCCAGGTTAGCTAACTGCGGAGCGGGAGAAGGTGATACAAGGGCCTCCCAAGACTCTGACACTCTGAGATTCATTGCATACAGCATGAAAAATGAACTTTTTCAGTGCTTTGTTCATAATTATCTCTTTTCTCTGTCCCAAGAGCAGTTGTGTTCTATATCTTTCATGAAACATTTGCATTATATCATCTTTTAATTGATATTATTCCATTGTCCCTGTTACATGGGGAGCCCTATGAAGGCACAAACCTGCTTCCCCAGGTCTCTCCAGTTGTGAGTTCAGATGAGGTCACATTGGCAACACATGTCACGGGTTTCTGCACCACCTGTGTATGCACGTTGGTGGTTGGCGCATAACTCAAATTCACAAATAGTGATTTCTGAGTGTGCTCAGAGATGATGTTTTCTAAGCTCACGTGTAGTTGTTCCACATAATATCCTGCACCCCACCTTCTGTAATTGCAGTCTGCCACTTGCTGCACCTGCTGTATGAAGCATCTCTCCACCACTGCTGGTTCCTTCCTGCCAATGACGACACGAATGCCAAGTGTACTGTTTCTCAGCATTCTTCAAGCTATATGACTCCTGCTCTCAGGTCCCACTTTGATCCTCGAGCAGTGATGCTGCTGCCTGGTTGTGGCCTTGGGTCACTCGGTCTCAAATGAAAGAGCTCCACTTCTTTGACTGCACATACTGTCTTCATGTGTGTGTGCAACCCTTGAGGCAGGGCTTGGAGACTTGTGCCATGCTTTCCTCTCCATTCCTCGCCTGTTCCCCAAAATCATAACCACTGCTGAGTCTAACAACTTTTTCCCTTTTGTAAATCAGTTCTTACAAACTGACACCTGAGGGGGCCACTCCATGCACTATTTTATTAGGCATTGTCCTTAGGCTCAGCCCAGATGCCTGCTACATTCGCATTACTACTATGTCCTGCATGAAGGCCTTTATATAGTCTCTTTTCAATCAATAGAAATGTTTACTAATTAATTCATAACCACATTCAATATGAAATAGCACCACCTAATATCATGCAGTTGGAAGAAAAAAGGGACTTTGTCCTATACTCAGAAATCAAAGCAAATAAATTGGAATAAAAAGCATGAAGAAAAATTGCAAGCCAGCGTGCCAGAAGAATAACAACATGGCAGTAATATGCGTCTGCCAGACTGCCATCTCCACAAATTAATCTTTCATTTCATTTCTGGATTTACTGTCACACTTCGTCTGGGAGTACAGTTATGAGTGAATTGAGATTCTTTTATATTCATTTCTCATGCTACAATATAATAAACATTTTTATCGCCAAAGTTTTCTCGATGAATATGTTATCAGGAATCACAGAATTCATCTCATAGTTGACTGTATGGAATCAAAAGAAGCAACATTCTTTAAAGTATGGGGTACATGACAGAGGTTTATGTAAAATCCATGTGAATATATTAAACACCATCAAACACACACACACACACACACACGAGTCAGTCCCTAGTGCTTTATAAGTGAAAATAACTCCATTCAATGCTTTAGATTCTATCTTAAATTTTTCCTTAAATAACTGATTTATCCCTCATTAAAAAAGTTCTCATTAGCTGTTAATCCTGATTGATATGAGGAGCAGAATATTGGTTTCCTTTTACTGAGAAACTGGTATTGTACATAAATGTGGTGAATATATCATGCTATAAGGATAATGCTTAATTGTAGTATTACTACTACATACTACTACATTACTACTACATAGTAGTAATGGCCAACATGGAATGATGTTGTGGCCAAACCCAGAATCAAGTGATGGAGAAATATACTCTCCCCATGATGATGTCTTGTCAAATGTATGGAAGAAAAGACTGAAGAATCCAGTATATCCATCTACCACTTCATAATTTCATGTCATGTTTCTAACTCTAGTCTCCTTTTCTGATGAAGAAACATGATTTGAAAGACTCAGTGTTTTATCCAAAGTCATAATCAAGAATAAAAAAAATACATGTTCACTGTAATAATTCCCTAAGTATAAGATAAGGCACACTGGCAGGCTCCATTGAATCATCTTGAAAGGCTGAAAACACATCCACAATTTCAAGTATTTTCTTTCAAGTTTTTACAGAAGGCTGATAACAACTCTATAATGTTTTAGTTTTGAATAACATTAAGAGGGCACATATTGATAAGCCACCAAGCGGTTACTGAAGTACTGAAAGCAGGTCTTGCAAAACAATGTGCACATGGTTCAAGTTGACTAGAGATTTTAAGTTCAGTACTATAAGAAGTCTGAGTGTCATACCACATTAGACAGCTTTGTGAAGATTCTAACACATTGCAAACAAAGGGAAAGTAAGATACCTTAAATTCGGGGCAAAGACTCTGATGGTCAGTATTGTTTTGAACTAAATATGCTTTGGAATTGCTGTTTTACTTGCTTTTCAACAGTTACAAATAACTGTTCATTTATATTCATCATCATTAATTTTCTTTGTCGTGTGCTTACTGATAATGTTTACACTGTTAGTAAACATTTTTGCAACAATAGCATTTTAGGAATAATTTTTTTTTTTTTTTTTTTTTTTTTTTTTTTTTTTTTGAGACGGAGTCTCAGTCTCGCGCCCAGGCTGGAATGCAATGGCGCGATCTTGGCTCACTGCAACTTCGCCTCCCGGGTTCAAGAGATTCTCCTGCCTTAGCCTCCGAGTAGCTGGGGTTACATGCGTGTGCCTCCACACCCAGCTAATTTTTGTATTTTTAGTAGAGACAGGGTTTCACCATGTTGGTCAGGCTGGTCTCAAACTCCTGACCTCATGATCCACCCGCCTTGGCCTCCCAAGTGCTGGGACTACAGGCATGAGCCACCGCGCCCGGCCCAGGAATAATTTTTTAATAAAACTATTTTAAGGCACAGTGATTTTTTTTTCAGAAAATAATCACTTACAGTTCTGTTTCTGTTGCATACAGGTACAGTTTTCTCTCTCACACACACACAGACACATACACACACATATACATACATACACACATACAGATGCACTCACACATACACACACCAGAAAGGAGGGTGCAAAATGGCAGTTTTCATAAGAGAGCTATTTTTCTTTTGAAAAGTAGGAAAGTAGGGGTGGACTGATTAGAACAGGGTGGCACAGAGTTGTGTTTAGCGCAATGGGATGCAGTTTGAGAGCTGCTATTATAGATCAATGTAGACACTGTGATTAGGTTAGATCAGGGAAGGTTGTAAATAAAGCCCTACAGCTGAAACTATTTTCAGTGCTCTCAACAAAGTGGCCCTAATTTTACCTCTCTGTTTCATTTTACTGTAGGCAACATCCCTGATTACATATTTAATTTTCTGGCAACCTGGCAATGTGTTTATGCACTTCCTAAATTATTAGTAAGAAGCCAGTAATTTGGTCAGTTGTCCAGATGTTTCTAATCACATACACACTTCTAAACACATAGACGTTTGATATCAGTGATTGAATTTTTCACTTTTGATCCAGATGTTTTTGTGTTAATTAGTTGTACTGATTATTATGAATTTGACTTTTCCAACACTATGGTATATAGAGTAAAAAAACTCATCAGTTTTATTTCTTTTCCATCTCTCATCTCAAAGTTAGAAAATGGCTACAGAAAGCCCAAAAAGATTTAACAGGATAAACTGGGATTTATGAAATTTCTTCACAAAAGCAAAAGAATGATGCTCACAGTATATAATAGATTGAATAGTTATTTACCTTTGTATCTTATCATTGGATGCTATATAATATTCTTTGAACTGACTTGGTAGAGAATTATGTAAGGTTTCTACATGTTAAGTCAAGTCTTTTAAAACTTGTATGACTCTTAACCCACAAGCATAAGATTTGTTATATTGATGTCTTCAAACATTAAATCATGTGTTAGAATAGAGAGTAAAGTGATAAAAATCCCTAGGTTTTGAGCCCAGGAGACATGCTTCAGATATAATTTTAAGAATTGTGTAGTGTGGTTAAGTCCCAAGCTTTGGTAAAACTTAGTTTTCTAACAAGTGACATAGGAATGAACCTTACTTTGTAAGATGTTTATGATGATTAATGGTGGTATATGAACAATGATTTGTATTAAATTCTCTCAATAAACAATAGCTTAAAAATTGATTACTTTCACTTCCCCAAATTGGGAAATTAAATGTTTCATAGGAAGTCACCACATAAATTGGGAAATTAAATGTTTTATAGCAAGTCACTACATTGGTTCCAGGAATAAGAATGAATGAATTCATTAAAATGGCTATTCCTTCATGTTTACCCACTTTTTAACTTTCACATCTCAATCTTGTGGTAATCAGTCCAGAAAGTGTTATGATGGGACGGCTGGATTACACAAAGGAGAAGAAAAAGATCATGGGAAAGAGAACGAAATAGGGTATGTAAGCAATTAGAATCATGGTTAAAAGGGAAAATGTTGAGGTCATAACTAGTAGAATCCATATCCTAACTGCTACTCTCTTTTATTCCCAGAAAAGCAAAGGCTAATTCTCAGTCTTTTATAGATGGGAACTCAATATCAAAAGGGCTGATTCTTCACATAATGTCTGAATTAACAGTAAAGACTCGCTTACAACTGGAGGGAGTTTAAAGAAAAAACTAGCACCAAACTCCATCTTTTTGCAATCAAACTATATAGAAATTCTATTTATGTGGCAAAAATATGAACTGATGTTCTTGATGTTCATTTTCAACTTTTTTATGTATTCCAAAGTGGAAAAATACTGTATAATGTCAGTGTTTTTGAATTTTGTTTCACACAATTTCACAAAAGCTAAAACTAAAAGTAAAAATAATTCCATCATAATTTTAAAAGGGTATACTGAGATACTGTAGTCATGGATACCAGGTCATTGTAATTGATGAAGGCACATGACTCAACTGGTGGGTTACCAACTGGTAAAAAAGAATTAAAGAAGTTAATTGGGTTTAGATATAGTATGTATGTTCTTAATATTTTTATAATTACACACATACACTCTCATATATGGATATATACAAATGCATACATACATGTAAATAGGCACTTGTGAAATATAAATACATATATTTATAGGTTTCTTTTCCTTCAGTAATTTATTGCTTCAGGTGATTTACCTAGCAGATGTGACTTATTTCATATTATTCTGCTTTTTTTACAGTATAATTCTTCTTTCAGTCATTTACTGAGGTATAACAATGTACTCCAAAACTTACTGGCTTAAACAACAGCGATTTCACTTTTTTATGAATTCTCAATCTGAGTTAGGTTTCTACTGATCTTGCAGAGGGTCACTGATGTGGATATGTTTTTCAAGTCAGCCTGAGGCTGGGCTCAGTGTCTGTCTTTGCAAGTAGTCTCAGGTATTGTCCTTCTATATGGCCTCTCCATGTGGCATTTCTACCAAGATAGCAGAACTTCTTACATGAAGGCTCAGGATTCCCAAGAGCACCAAAGATGGAAGCTGTGAGGTTGTTTTAAGGCTTAAGCTAGAAACTGGTTAGCATCACTTACAACATATTCTCCTGGTTAAAGCAATTTATAAGACCAGCTCAGATTCAGGGGAGGAGAGGTAGCATTATATTAGGTAGGAATTTTAAGAGTTATAAATGCTGGGAGGCACAATTTATTTGGGTCCACCATCATTCCCTCTGTTTCCTAATTATTCATATTTCTCCCACATTCAAAATTCATCAACTCCTTCTCAAAATACCCAAATATCTTATCCCATTGATGCACCAAGCTCGTTCTTAACGTCTTAAATAACATCATGTAAATTATATCTAGGTAAAAATGACGCTCTTGAGTACAATTCTTTCTCTATCCGAAGACCTTTGGTTAAAGAGACATGTGATCTTTCCAACACCCACCCAGCATACAAGGGTGAGACAGGGATACAATAGACACATCTACCTAAATGTGTGTGCAGGAGTGGGAGAGAGGGGAGATGGGAGGCGGAGTCCTCAGTAGTTCATAGTAATTCTGAAATCCACATAAGGTCACATCACTTACCAAAACATGAGAGGTTCAGTGCAGGTCCTGCTGATCACCACACAGAATACCAATCACCAAGACAACAAGTGTTGCTAGGGAAAAAGGTTTTATTGGGTGCTGCAGCTAAGGAGATGGGAGATTAGTCTCAAATCCATCTCCCTGACTAAAATTAGGGGTTAATATAGCAGAAATATAATGACCTGCAGGAAAATAGGAATTAGGAAAAAGAAAAGTTGGTCAACAGGAAGCAGGTGGTCAGTTAGACAATCATGATGGTTGAAGGGTCTGACATCTTATTGTCATTGTAAATTTCAGCTCCTTGATACCGTCTGAGAGGACTGATGCTTGGTTTTCTAAGAAAGAAACTCAGATAAGACAAATGTTACTTTCTTAAGTTTTAAGACTGGGGAGATCAATTTCTATGTTTACTCAAAAGAAACCCAATAAATGTTGGTTCTATGGGACAACTGGGCTGGATTCATTACCATCCTTCTCCCTTACTCTGGGGTGGACAATGTAAGATGGTTAAGACTCATTTCTGTTCCATTTCACCTAGAAGTGATTCTCCTTGTTATTTGATTTTGTAATCTGGGCCCTTGACTCTTATCCAGTATGTTGTCCATCTGCTTCCTTACATTAGAAGTTGAGGGGCCCAGAGCCTTATTTGCATCTTGAATTGCCTCTACCCTTTGAGACTAAATTATTATAATTCCCTTAAAAACTTTGAGGGCCTTAAAATTTGAATTACAGTCCATTCCATTAGACAAAAACTATGCCCACAAATTTCTCCAAGATAGGCCCAGCTCCACTTCAACCTATAGTCATGAAGCCATGGAACAACATATTTAATATGTCCAGAATTCCTTTTTCTAGAAGAGAATGCCTATAAGGCCTTTTGTTAATAGCATTAGGAGCTCCATATTTGTCTAAGAGGGTCTGAAAGGCTCTGCCTAAAGTCCTTATGAAGGCTTTATAAACAGTTTTAAAGACACGCCTTTACTTGATTTTAATCCTAACTTTACATTTGATTTTTACCCTAGATGAAGATGTTGTGAAAGATAAATTTTTATTTTCCAACATAGAAAGTCCAGATCAGAGATGTTTCCTATAGATTTTGATCGAGAACAAAATAGTTGCTTCTTTTGTTCATCACTATCTTATAACTTCTCAGACACTAAAATGAAGTCAGTGAGCATTTGAAGCATTCTGCCTGGAAATCCTTGCACAATTCAAAAGTTAATTATAAACATCTTCTGTTGTCTGTATCACCATAGATGACCACTTCTGTAGTTATTTTGTCAGTAAATAAAATGGTGAGTGTCCTTTCTGAACCTCCAGTGACATATATTGATTTCTCTGCCTGCAGCAATAGTCTCCTTACAGTTTTTTAAATGAATTTATTTATATTTTTAATTGGCAAATTAAGTCTAATTCAATACAACAAATAGAAAAATATTTCCTAAATAATCTGGGTGACAGAATGCCCTAATTCATAATTTCTTTTAGAAATCTTAAAAGAAGATTGTATTTTAGTGAAATGACCCTGAAACAGCTAACACTCAGTACTCAACTTCATTGGCAAATTAATAAATATAATTAATTGAAAATTCTCTTCAAAATCTAATTCATTCCTTATTTTCTGTTTTTAAACTGATAACTTATAACCAGATTATTAACAATTGAAACATACCACACATAGATAAAATACCAGACATTAGAATAAGTGCAAGAAGAATTTATATCATCTTGCCAGGTTAAAAAAAAACTTACTAATATTTTCAAAACTCCCAATAATAAAAATACCAGCCAACAAGTCATTTTGAGCAGAATCATTAGTACAGACACAATTTACCAAATAAATTACCATTATTTATCACTAAGAAGGGGACCTATATCAGTCAAAATTAGTATAACTAATTTTGAAAAAACTCAATTTAAACAATAAAAATCTATTATAGTGGCAATTTTTTGTTTTTGAGAAGTTGTAATTTGCTAAGCTCTGTGCAAGGAGGAGGATGCCTTTTATTTCTCCACTTACAGATGAGATTTTTTAAAACATAAGAAACTAGACAAAAAACAGACTGCAAGGTCCAAATCCCAAATCCAATGTCTATGCACTTAACTCCCAATCTTGCTATCTTCAGGATTATGGGAAGGAAGGAATGAAGACATATTTTTAAAAAGGGATATCTATTTCATGAAGAATTTAAAGCACTTGTTTTAGAATATAGATTCCATGGGAGAAAGAATCTCAGTGTGTTTATTTTTGCTTTCTCAGGGCACATTTCATTACATCATTTATAAACAGAATGGCTGATAAATGTCTGCAGATTAGACAGCCACTTTGGTTTTATTTCAAAAATTGCATTACAGCATAACTTTTCAAGAATTCACATAAGCAATGAGCCATATTTTAAAAATATATATTTCTTTCACAATTCAGAGAATTGGCAATGCCATTCTAAAACAGTATTATTAACCTATTGTACTTATTTTACAGGTATTCTGTGGGGATCATTGTTCAAATGTCTTGCTTCTCAATCTTCATTAACCTGGGTGAGAGTTTATATCTGAGGGAATTGACAATTCCCTTGAATTTCTGGATGTTTTTCTGTGTCAGCTTTTAAGGTTTATAACACCTCTTTGTGTTAATGTTTTATCTCATATCTAGAATTACAAATTATGCAAGGGCTAAATACTGTCAATATGTGAGTTGGAATAACTTCTGACAATTCCTAGACTAGATTTAGAGAGTTGGTCTTTATCCGTAACTTTACCTTCTCATTCCACATTCTGAAACACTCCGCTTACTACTTGGTCTGATAGATATTGATGGATGCTAATGTCCTGACTGCTTCAATAAACTGGCCCCAAGGACCAAGGCTGCATCTAGCTCTGCACTTTTCAATCAACTTCCACACATTTTTCTTTGTTACAATACAAAATTCCTCTCCTCAATCCCTTAGGTTGTCCTTCCTTCTAAGTAAAATCCGTGTCTCCAAATGCAACAACGAGATCATGTGATTGTGTCTATGGCAGAGACTGCTAAGTGTGCACCAAAATAATGTAACCTTCCGGGTTTAGCACTTGAAACGACTAGACTGCATTTCCCAGAATTCCTCTTAGTAGGGGTGGCCATATGCAGAATTCCATGTAATGGAAAGTAACAGAAAATGATGTATGCCAGTTCTAGGCCTGGTCTATAAATATCTCCATATGTGATTTTTTGCTCTTTCCTCAGAGTCTATCTGAGAGGCAATTTCTAGGGAAACCTAGAAAGTACATGAAGAAGATGGTGGAGCTACTGTCAGCTTTGGGAACTGAATGACAGCACTTCATGCAACAGGAGAATATCATGCTCCTGAATGCATTGAACATGAGTGCTAAATATGGCATTTTTAAATTAGGAAGTTAAAATGAAGTATTACTTTAGTCTATTCAGAACCTTAAGTCAGATCCTGCCAAGTGAAGATTTTTTTCAATATCAGTTTAGAGACATATTAATTGGTGAACACTAATTGCTAAATTAATTGAATATACATATGAATAAATAATTAGGCCTGTGCTGATTTATGTTGCTTTTCAACCTGGCTAATTATTGAAGCATATAATAACTATAAAATTTGTAGAGAGAAATAGTAGATTCAGTGTTTATAATTTAAGATTAAAAAATATATAGACCTATATATGAATAAATAATTATTATTTTATGACTATGAATGTGAAAATAACTACAAATAATATAAATGTGAACAAATATATAATACGTATTTATATTTATTTATAAATGTGAAGTTATATGCAAATAAATATATAATTTATCATTTATAAATAAATAAATGTATTATGGTCTTTTCACTACTATATTGAACTTCTGTGGTAGGTCCTGTCCTAATTAAGGTTTTTATGTTAAGTTATTGTAAACCACAGAGGTAACCAAACTTTTTTGTCAATTGTGTTTCTACCTGTAACTATCCTGGACATTTTCCTATTCACAGACAATTGTTGTCTTGTTTTAATCCTTTTCAAATATGGTTTATAATAAGCTATAGAGCTGTGACAGGTGCTCTCAAATACAGATTTCTGATAACTTTAGAAATTGTGACATTGAAAAAAAGAAAAATGTACAGGACTAATGAAGAGCTGAAATGGCAAATCAAGAGTTAACTAAGTGGACTGAACTTAGAAAGCTGAAGAAACCCTTTTAACCCTTGCTTGGAATATTGCTGTTGCTTGTTTTGTTTTTCAGAGTCAAGGAAACTTATTTTGAACTATTTACAGCCTTTAATAAGTAAGTAAGTTATACTCTGGGATCAAGATTTGGAGCATGTTTGTTTCTCTCTGCCTGGTTCCTCTAGAATTTGGAAACTATCTGTGAGTATTCCTAACTTATGGCAGTATAGTTGTTTGCAAGAGTGCAATAATAATCCATTTTTCTTTTGCAACAGCACACAATTGGAAAAATTGGTTAGTTTACCAAGGCTTTGACTGGGAGGGTATGCTTCCCTTTAAGGGGTCAGTCTCCACTTGCAGAGCCAATAAAAGCCCCATGGGGAGACTGGCCTTATACCCTCACCTACACAGTACCTGTCAGGGTTTCTGACTGGTGGTCAGTAAAGAATGTCACTTTCTAACATGTCTAGGAGCTCCAAGTTTATCTTGGGACCTTAAGAGGAGAGAATCACCCAATTCATAGGTGTTTGAGGGTACAAACTCATGGTTGAGCTTGGCTTAAAGGTCTTATCTGAGACTCCTCATGGAATAAACTTCCATCAAAGCCAATCCAAAAGGCCTATGTCAAATAATTACTCTGGCTGCATTTTATGCAAGTAATCAGGCCAAGTATAAAACTAAAGTCTATTTTGCAAACCATTCAGTCCTATGATGATTTTTTAACAAACATGGGGACTGGAGAGAGAGAGAGAAATCATGTTTCAAAACTTATCATACATTTGTCATTAAATTCTAAACTTATTAGTTGTTTTTAAGTTTTTGTCTACATTTTAGACTATCCCTGCTTGCTCCTGTGAGCCAACCAGAAATCCTTGGCTGCAGCTTAGAAAGAGCAAGAGGAATGGGTAATGTAGAAATCCAGATCAATATTATAGTTCTGCACAATTATCCTGCAAATCCTGCCAGGTGATGGAATAAATAGAGTGCCCATCACCTGGCAGTTTCCTTTTTGGGAAAGTAAGACCAAGGGAACTAACCAAAGCCAAGCACCATGCACCCAAATCCTAGCAAGCATAACTATAGCTACCAGTTATCTGTGTGTGTCACATCCTTTTCTCTCCTTTGTTGGAGGAGGACTCAGTTCAACAGTTTCACCTTAGCACTTGGCTTATAATAAGGAGTCCATGCAATGCCCCTTGAGACACGTTTTTGTCCCAGACTCAATTTCAAGCTTCGGGTCAAAGCCCTAGGAAAGAAAACTGGATCTGGAAGATCCAGAGGCAAATGACAACAGAGGTTGTCACAGCGCAGGTGAGCATGGCTGATTCCTGCGAATTAAGCCAACCTGAAGCTTCCTGTTTCATGGATAAAGGCCACATTAGTATCCATGACATACCTGTGGTCTAGGGAACTCCAAGGCTACTGACAGCAAAAGAGATACGGTGTATGTGGGTAAGAGCAGATGATTCTCAGCCCCTAGGCCCCCCTGCTTCATGGGTGCAAACTGCTTTGGTACCCATGGTGGCGCCTGACAAGGTCACTGGAACTCAGGGATGCAAGGATGGAAGAGAAAAAGAGGATGCTCTTCCTTCTCTCCCTCATGTACCCTGGGTATCTGCTGGGAAGAGAAAGGAGCCAGCGATTCCTGCTTCCCTTTTTCTAGATGGGTAGCCATTCATCTTTAGTTTGCACCCCTTTCAAATGCATTCTGAACCCTCAGGACTACTTTAAAAAATGTCTTCGTATTTTTCCTTTCTTTTCCTTGGTTCTCTCTTCACTAAGAGGTAATTGTGTCTCTGTACTATGAGACACTCCCCTCAGATGCATCCTCCAGACTGGAAAGAGTTAATTTCCCAAACCTTAAACTGGTTGGTTTAGGATTGGATTTAGAGGAAGGAAACCCAGAAGCCCAACATGCTGGCAAAAGGGTACAGTTTCTTTGACAGTCAGGCTTTTGGCCTCCCTCTCCCTGTGCAAATTGATAAAAGGCCTTGGAATTTTTGAGCTGTCTTTGCACCTCTCTGTTTCGTTTTGATACATGTTTTCTAATAACCTGGTTTGTCTGTTCTTGCCTTCAGGCCATCAGACTGCAAACAGTCATACAACTGGAGCCTCTGATGATGGCCCCTTCTGCTGGGAACGCTTAGATAGGCCTCTGAGGGAGCTCTGACTGCTGTTTCCCCCTAAACAGCGCCCCCTGTCCGCAGGAAGCAGTTAAGATCGGTCTTCGTTCTTAATCCTTAATCTAAGGGCAGTTAGATACACTTCTTTAGAGGGGGGAATGAGACAGCTAGGTGAGTGGGGGTCCCTGGAAAAACTCCAACCGGCCTGCACACTGGGGTGGAACCTTGGGAAGTTCACGTGCCATTTGCAGCAGAAAGGAGCCTGGCTCCTCCTCTTCTTGTGTGGGACCAGGGATTCAAACTGCTGGGTGGGATGCAATCTAGCGGAGGGACTCTGGCCTTGCGAGAGTCCCTGTGTCACCTTTGCTTCCTTTTCATCGAAAGAAATCCTGTCTTACTCACTATTCAAATTGTCTGTGAGCCTGAATTTTCGCGGTCATGGGACAAAGAACCCCTTAGCTGAACTAAGGAAAAGTCCTGCAACATTAACTTTGTTGAAATAAATAATTTTCACAGATAAATTTTAAATAAAATTCTCATAAATTGTATGGATAAGAGAATATAGAGCTATGTGGTGATTCAAATGATAAAGAAGGAATTGAACAGTTTTCTGTACCTGCCAGTCTTTCCATATAATAGCTGTTTGTAATTTTATCAATAACGGTATATTCTAAATAAATATCAATGAAATGACCTGCACAATTGTCACTGTCTCTTCCCTGAAATCTAAGATTGGCTACAAGCCCCAATATAAAACTCAGCTCTCCTCTATGAAGTTTTTCTTAATGATCTCTCCTTTGAATTTTTGTAAGTATTACCTACTGCTCTCATTGCTTAAACATCAATATTTGTTTTCATTTCCAATTATTGCAAACAGTAATAGATTGCTTATCTTGTCATATTTTGTCCTTAAGGCAAAATAATTTAAACTTAAATATTTGGCAATCATTGAGTGTACAGATATGTGCTTCATATTTGCAAACACACTAATGAACAGAATAAAGGTTAATTAGTTCATTAAAGTAATTTTAAAGGTGTTTATATATATTGTGAAGAACATAACTTAGAATTACCAATGTGAGATTATCAGTACTGCAGGAGAACGTACAATAAATAACATGCAGCCCACTAGGAGACACAAGACATTCTTACTATAAGAACTTAATTCTTTTTTTTTTTTTTTGAGACAGAGTCTTGCTCTGTCACCCAGGCTAGAGTGCAGTGGCGTGATCTCAGCTCACTGCAACCTCCGTCTCCCAGGTTCAAGCAAATCTCCTGTCTCAGACTCCCGAGTAGCTGGGATTACAGGCGCCCACCACCACGCCTGGCTCGTTTTTGTATTTTTAGTAGAGACGAGGTTTCACCATATTGGCCAGGCTGGTCTCTTACTCCTGACCTCGTGATTCACCCGCCTTGGCCTCCCAAAATGCTGGGATTACAGGTGTGAGCCACTGCGCCTGGCCTTATAAAAACTTAATTCTTAAGCAAAGAAAAGCTGAAGTTAAACGAATAAACTCTCATTACACTGATCAGATTCCTCGATCTTTCTTAGCTAACTTCAGGGTAAGTAAGTGACTCTGCTTGTTTTTCTACGCAGTGTGGCTTTTTCTTCAATTGATCAGAGCCCATGCACATTTGCGCATGTCTCAGTGCACAGACCATAGAGTTCATATCATTTCCCAGCTTAAAGAGGAAACATTTCTGAGAATGTGCAAGTAGATTTTTATAAGCCTCGTTCTTTATTTTGTTCCAAGTTCTGTAGTTCCTTATTACACAAATGAATCTATTCTTTCTTTCATATAAACGCAAGTGCTAATTTGTCTTCTGAAATATATTAGCATTATTCAGTCTCAATTCCAGCATTTCACCTATACACACAATCCTCCCAGTGAGATAACCTAGATAGCTAGTTGTTTTTATGTGGGTTATATATTGCTCTCATAAAGAACTATGGTTTACCACATTCTTTAAAACGTATAGTTTGAAATATTCCAGTCATGAAAATGTATGCTTATGTGCATAGTTTAAGAAATACATTATAAATAGAGTTGTGTCCTTATGTACTCCCTCCCCAAACATATCCTTTTTCCATACTCTCACGATGCCTACTCTTTTGGTTTTCAGATTTATCCTTTCCATATATTTCTTCGTATTTTTATTTCATAAGCATATTTCCTCAACATTGTATGGCTTACAAGGCATGCATTTGAATTTTATATAAGTTGTTTTATATCAGTCATATCATTTTTTACTTGTTCTTCCTTCACTCAATTTTATGTTTGTAAGAGTCTTGCATATCAATACATATGACAAAAACTATTTTTTTTTATTTAGAAAGTCTGTTTTCTTGGGATAGAAGCCGCATGGCTGAACTCTATTCCCTAGCCTTCTTCATGGATAAGTGTAGCCATGTAATCAAATGCTAGATAATGATATGTGAATGGAAATGATGGTCTCAGATGGAAATGAAGAACATGGCACTGGAAACTGGGGTAAAGGCTATCCTTTCAACACAGTTGCAAAGAGATTGTCAGAACTGTGTCTATGTCCTAGGTCTTCATGGAAGACAGAACTTAACAGTGATGAACTAGGGTGTCAGACAGAAGAAATACCTAGGTAGCAAAGCATTCAAAGTACGTCATGGCTTCTTTTAGTCATGTTCAGTAACGTAAGAAAAGATAAATCAATTTATAGATTGAATTTATAATTAAAAGGGAAGCAGAACAAAAAGATTTGGAAAACTCTCAGCCTGGCCACATAAAGAATAAAAAAGGGTGTTCAGGAGAAAATACTAAGAGTGTGGCCAGCAACCATTTGCTAAAGGGATTAAAATACATAGAAGGCAGCCAGGTTTAATTCATCAGGACAATGAAATAATAATCTTCAAAGTATTTCAGATCTTTTTGAGGCCAGCTAGGACTCTGAGGGCATGGTTTCTAGAGAGATGCCAGAGGAAACTTCGTATTTGCCACCTAGAGCTGCCTTGGGACTTTAATCCCTGCATCCTGAGAGAGTGTTCCTCATCCACCCCACCCATGGCTCAAGTAGCCCAAGTGTAACTGGACCCATTGCTCTGATAAGTCCTGGTGGCGTCCACATTGTGCTGACTCTGTAGGCATGCAGAGTGTGTGGGCTGTGAGGCCATGGTGGTCTCTACTTAGATTTCAAAGGATGTTGAGGATGGCTTGGGGACCCAGGCAAGAACATACCACAGAGGCAAAGCCACTGCAGAGAATTCACACTCAGGCAATTCCTAGTGGAGCTATGAGAGTGAGGTTACCACTGAGACCCTAGAACTGTAGAGCTACCAGCACACAATACCTTCTGGGAGAGCTGCAGGCATAAGGCCCCAACCCATGAGAGCTGTGCAGGCTTAGCCCAGCAAAGCCAAAGGGGTGTGGCTCCCTGAAACCTTAGAGACCCACCCTCTAAGGAGTCAAAGGAGATTATTCTTCAGCTTTAAGATTTCATATTTTTTTGCCCTGTTGGGTTTTGGATTTACTTGGTGCCAGTTATCTCTTTCTTTTTGTGTATTTCTCCCCATTGGAATGTGAATGTCTGTCCTATGCCTGTCCTGCAGTTGTATTTTGAAAGTAGATAAGTTGTTTAGATTTAACAAGCTTACAGGTGAAGAGAATTCTATATTAACTCTCACACATATCCTGATTTAGATGAGACTTTGTACATTGGACTTGTGATTTAATGCAGGAAAGATTTAAGACTTTTGGAGCTACTGAGATGGAATGAATGTATTTTGCACTCTGAAAAGACATGAATTTTGGTGGCCAGGGGTAGAATGCTATGGTTTGAATGTGTTCCCCAAAGTTCATGTGTTGAAAACTTAATCCCCAATGCAACATGTTAGTACAGGGCACCTAATAAAAAGTGATTAGGATATGGGTAGATGAATATTGCTATATCACTAGTAAGTTAGTTTCTCAAGATGGGGCTTGTTATAAAAGTGAGTTTGGCCTCCTCTTGCTTCTCTCTCTTGCTTGTGCCATCTTGATCGTCTGCCTTCCACCATGGGGTGACACAACTAGAAGGTTCTCACCAGATGCCAGCATCTTAACCTTGAACTTATCACCCTCCAGAAACGTTAGAAAAAAATATTTGTCCTTTATAAATTACCTGGTCTCAGATATTCTGTTATAATAACACAAATTGACAAAAACAATAACTAAATTATAATTTTAAAATCAAGGAGTATCTTAGGGTTTCTTTTAGGTAGACTCTTACACATAGTAATACAAATTGCATGTATTGCATGCTTTGAATGAGTTATTTCTTTTCAAGGTTGTCTAAAATTTTATTATTTACAAAACAGTGAAATTCTTAAATACAATTAAATATTTTAAGACTACATATCATATATTCATGAAAAATTGAGTAAATTTCCAGTTGCTTTCTTTCTAATTATCCACATATCTTTCAAATGCAAAGGAAAAACAATTTAGTTTTATTAAATTTAAGTTATGCTGAGATAAATTTCAAGTCAGCAGGAGCTATAACTTAGAGAGGTTATGTAAATAATTAACCTTTGAAAATAATACTTGCAATGTGAACATACATATCAATAAAAATAATTACCAGATTCTATTCACCTTTAGCCAAAGATTGCAGTGGGTAATTTAGAAAACATTCAAAATATTTGCATATCATTCAGAGTATTACATTTTCTCAGGTTCTCGGTATTAATAGGCCAAGACAACAAAGCTTCTATATCAGTGTGTAAAGAGGCACAGTGATTATTTAATTGACAAGCAGTAACAACCTCTTCATTAGAAAAACAATACTAAGCTTTATTTGTTGATTTTATTGCTTAGGACAATAAGCTGATTTCCTAAGTTGTCAGTGTTAGACCTTAAATTGTAAAAGGAATTTTCCAACAAAAATCAGACAAGGAAGAAGAGGTATTGCTATAAAAATAGAAGGTTTTTAATGAGTTTGTTTATCTATTCATCAATATGTGGTCTTTACAAAAGAGTAAAACATAGGCATATAAAAACAACTTATTTTGTGTGTGAAACATTTAAACAGCTATTTAATTATTCAGTTTCTGTTTATGCACCATTGAAATTCTGTTTGCTCTTTGATTCTTTCTAGCAGATTTAAAATAACTGAGATCTTCATCCTCTTGTATATATGATAAATGAGATTATGAAACTTCCATTGTTAAGAGTAACCTTTAATTGCCATGATTAAAGAAAATCACATTCTTATATTGGAAGAAGGTACCCACCACAGGTTCCTTTGCTTTTCTTTGGAGATTCTGATAGTCACTCTTACGTCCAAAGATTTTTTTTTTCTGATCTCTTTTTTTCATATTGTATTGAGGTATTTAGGAGGAAATTAGGTTTATTCTAGTTTCACAGTTTATTGACACTCGGTGTAAATGGTACACTGACGTGACTCCTAGGTGTTGTAAGTGTGGGATTTTCTCCTATGTCCATCCCCAGTTCAACCTCTTCCCTCTCACTTTCCAGGCTCACAATCTGCTACCCTTCCTTCAGGAATGAGTGCTGTAAAATATTTTAATTATGTGGATAATTCACCTTTGAGAGGAATATTGCACATCTCGTGTAGAATATGGAGTTGGGTGGATTACACCTGGGCCTTGGAATGGATACGAGGAATAGCAGGGATCACCAACAAAATACTAATGGGAGGGCTTCTTGAAATGTCCAAACTTGTAAAGTCACTTCCCAGAAATTAGCTGATTTGTCAAAAAAATAAAAATGGGAAATAGTTTTGTCATTTAAAAAGTGGGCTAGGATACACAACACATAATTTGAGAAATTTTTGTTAAATATTGTGTACAAAGAGCTGGATTAAAGTAACAAGAAACCTGTTCACAATTCTAATTAAAAAAAAAAATGGTAAACCATTGTACAAAGTCAGTGAATAACACTCAGGACTCATCTCTAAATTAGAAGAAAGGATAAGTAAAGCCAATTCCAAGAGAGAGCCAGACCACTCTTCCTGGAGAGTTTTCAACTTCCAGCCTGTATCATGCAGCATTTGAGAACTCCTGCTATGGGCCTCCATTATAAAATTCAGTATAATTTTATAAAGTACAAAATTTAGTAAGCAGTCTTCTATCAGTTTTTTATTTATTGATTTTGGTCATTGTACTTTGCTGATGTAAGATAATAATTGAAAAGCCTAGGGAAATGATGTATACAAACTGTATTATTTCATCAAATTATAAATAGAAATTATTTAAATATGAAGTGCTTATATATATTTCTGTAAATAAGAAAAGTCTATTTTCTAAGCAACAAAATACCCTATAGAAAGAGAAGTGTTTTCTTTGGTAATTACCAAAGCTTATTAGCTACTTTGGGTGAGAGGTAAGTCTCCTAAGAAATTTTTTTAATAATACAAGATAGTCAGTGAGCTAGTTTATAAATTAAAGTAGGGGGACAGCTATCTTCTTGGATGTCTTTACACGATGGAATACAGAAGGGGTGGAGCAGAACTGCTGGGAACATTAGAAACAATTAGAAGTTTTGTGGAGACAAAGGCGGAACAGGCGAGATGGCTGGCAGCCAGAGTAGGCCTTTGAATGAACAGCAGTGATGCCTAAATGAGGATTTATTTTAAGTGTATTCTGTGAAGTGTGCTATGACTTCTCTTGCCTATACCTCTATGACATTCTCAATAACATCTACTTCTCTTGCTAACATATTGAGAAAAAGGATGCTTTATTTATTTATCTATTATTTATTTATTTAGGCATAGAGCTGAAGTACTGAGTATGTCCCCAATGCTGTTTCAGGAAAGCCCTCCAACATTTGTGCAAAACTTTGGAGATATTCTTTTCCTCTCTCAATTACTAGTGAGGGAGAAAGGACAAGTGTATTCAAAGACAAGATCCAGCCCACATTAGAGGTAGGAGTAGCATCTGTATCTCTTGGTGAATTGCGCTACCTGGCAAGAGTGGGTAGATGCACGGATAAATATTCAAATGTGTATGCACACAGAGACTATTTTTGAGGAAGCCAGACACAGAAATCCTAAAGTCATATGTATCTAGGAATCGAAGCATATCTCTCCTAATCTGGACTCTTTCTTAGTACATTTTATAGGTGCATCTGAATATAATAGCTTTGTCAAAATCTTTCTTTCACTCTTCACACGTCTTAAGAGAAGCCAGAAACTGTATTTGATCCTCAACCCCTCAGTAACAAGGACACTCTTAAAATGAATCAGGATTTAATTCTAAACAACACATATTTAATACATACCTACTATGTTCTCAAAACATTAAGATGATTTATGGCATGCAGTGGACATAGAGGTGTCTCCTCTTTTGTTGTGATGTACTTGTTCTGCATATTTCCCTGTTTTGGGTCATGGTTTTTTTTTTTTTTTTTTCTAGGATTTATCTGTTTCTTTGACTTTCTGATTCGTAGTTATCTTAAATTTTAATTATTTGCTTCTCCTTTAGTCACCTAGATTTCTTGCTTGTCTTTATCAAGGGTGTGTCATTCTTTTGATTCCTGTATGTTCACACAACTCAAGTCCATTCTTGTCCTACGGTTCTTACCACCATAGTTCTCCATTTTCCTGGTACTAGCTCATTTCTTGGCCCTAACATAATGTTCAATACTCTGCTTCATTTAATCAATATTTACTGACCGAGGAGGTCCGGGAAGGAAGACTATCCTTATTGTTTTTTTCCTGTGAGTTCTTAGACAAGTATGCTTCCCTGTGAATTCTCCCTCTATCCTCTCCTTCTGAACTCAGTCCAAGATGCAGGAAAACAGAACAGTCTGCATTCCCCTACTAATCCTTTTGGCAAGTGTGGTTGATGGTACATAAAAGAAAACATTAGCTTGAACAAGTCAATAACAGCATGTAACATGAGCCTCAATTTTTCTTTCGTATTTTAAGGTAATGAGAGTAAATTTAGCCCAAATGTGTTCCTGCTGTCTAGTTTATTTTAGGGCAATTTAAGAAATAATTCTCCACTGTACGGTTCATGTTCAACTTTGAAATCATCAGGTTAGCAATAGTGAGCTGTTATCTGCAAGTTAATTCAGATTCAATTTCAGTGGATAAAGATACAAAGTAACTCAAATTGCCATCTTCCTGGTTCAGAAATAATTCTTTGGAAATTGGAGCCTAGGTGACAGGAGAACATTTTCTGTAAAGTTAATTTAAATTAACAGATTCAATTTCATATGTGTTATGAGCCACCTGAATTTCCAGATGGGTACTGTAACATTTAAACAGAAATTCCACTTAGAACTCATTCCCTACACTGGCATACAATCCTGGTAAAATCATCTCTCAGAAACACGTCAACACAGGTGCAATGGAAGATAATCATCATAATTCTCCACAAAAGTGACTTGTTAAGAATGCAGAGAGAAGACAGGAATTACTAAAGATTTCAGAGGTATCATAATTTAAGCAGACTTATTTCAAATGAGAGCAATATTTGCTAATATTGCTTTTAGAAGAAATCAAATAAATACATTATTAAACAAAGCTAAAACCAGAATTCCAATGCATAATAATGCCAAAAATCCCTAAAGTATTTATAAGCAGTGCTTAAATTATAGCTCCTGAAGAGTTTTCTTTGCTAGCTTTTCAAATTATTTTATTGTTTTAAAATAGCACTGCTTTTTAATGTTAGAATTGAGGAATTCTAGATATGAAGATATTTGATTATCTTTGTGATAATTGAGAAGATTTAGGTGACAGTAATTAAGAAGAAAAGAAAATCCTTTATGTAAAATACAAACAATAAATTGATTATATGTAAGTTTAGATACATAAATCCAAGTTTAGATACATAATCAAATATGATTATGGTTCTCTATATCTTAAATTACAACATAATTTAAATTTTGTCTTTAAGGCAAATTACATAATAATTTGATAATCAAACTAAAGTGTTGGAAAAATTAAAAACAGGATGATTGTCATTTGTACACCCATTCTGTGCCAATTTTACCTACACTTTCAAATTGGATTCCAAATTGATGGTCATTGACATCTTTGAATCCACAAATCATAATATTTAATGATTGTCCTTAATCTTACTAATAATCTAGATTTTACTTCCAAAAGTTACTTCCCTCCACTTACACATATTCATGTAGAATATTCTTTTTATTCTGGCTCTTGTTTATACATGCCATCATTTTTTTTTTCAAATAGTTCAATAGGAATGTAATAGACCAAGAGGGCTGCTCACTCTCAACCCTTCTTGCTTTATACTCGCTCATCTTTCATCTTGTTAACAGCAGATCCCTATGTCAGCATTTCAGCATTACCTCCCTTCATCAATTATACCATGGACAAGCCAACGGGCATAAACTCACTGTACCTCTCTCAAGTAGTTTCTCTATAAATTTCTCACAGAAGCTTCTAGCATCTCTAATGCATGGGTAGAAGACTACACATAGTAACTGGTTTCCAAAGATGGCTGCCCAATGAACCATTCTTCCCAGAATTCCTGCCCTACTGTGCTTTCTTCCTTTTGAATTTTTGTTGCCCCTTAAATTCTGAACCAATAAAATACAGTATTGTGACATTTAGGGATTTCCAAGCATGAGACAGAAGAAGTCTTGAGGTTTCCAACTGGAGTCCTTTTCAATTGTTCTTCTCGGGATAATCTCTCTTGGAAACCAGCCTCCCGGCTCTGAGTAGCCCAAGTCACAGAGAGCACCAGATATAGGTGCCCTGGTAGACATCCCTAGCTGAGGTCCTGGCTGAGGTCTTGGCTAACAGCCATTATCTGCGGGCAGCAATAGGACTGAGCCATCTTGGACACCCAGTTTAGCCAAGCATCTGACTATAATCACACGAGAGGTCCCCAAGTAAAAACTACCCATCTGAGCCTAGTCAAGTCACAAGATTTGTGAGAGATAAAAATAAATTGTTGTGTTAATCCAGTAAGTATCAAGGTAGTTTGGTATCAAACAAACAGATAATCAGAATACCTTGTAAGGAAAATAATATTTCTACTATTTATATTGTTCAGATTAGCCTAAATCTAACAAAGTAATATACCTATGAATACATCTGGCTACTAGCACTGAAGGCCATTTTACAGGAGTCATTCAACTAATAAATTTCTAATTTCTTAGTGCCAGCTTCTTATTGACAAGTCAGTGAAATCAACAGACCTCTAAGAATGGCAAAATAGATACAAGGAATTAATAAAAAATGTTATTTAAAACAAAATACTCCACGATTTGTTAAATAAATTGAATATATCTGTATTTAATAATGCCAAGATTTTTAAGTTAGCAAAAGTAATTTACATTTACCATTAACCATTTATATCAAACAACTTGCTTATTTGTGTATCTTTAACCTATTTTAGCGGTTTTCCACTAAATTTAATTGAAAAAATATAATTAAATATTCTTTAAATGAGACTGCTTAAATACAGATTCGCATTAGGTTTCAAATGTTACCTCCTCAGATAAGCTCTTATGCTGACTCTATTTTAAATTGACACACACACAGCTCTCACCTACATAGTTTATTTTCTGTTTTATTTCTTTCATAGCTCTTACAATTTTCTTGAATTAGCTCATTTCTTTTCTTGTTTACTCTTGTCACCACCACTTTGGAATGTAAGTTCCATGAGAGGAGGGTCTTGGTATCTCTTGTTATCCCTAAGATATCCGGTTCATTATATTCCTTAAGGCTTACTCTTCATTTTTTATGGCTGCATAGTATTCCATGCTGCTTAGGACAGATTAGGCCTTCAATCATACTTGTTAATAAATGAATGAATAATTTAGAATTTTTCAAATGCCTTAGGTTTGGGTCTCTATATTAAAAGCAGGAAAAAACAAACAAATAATATAAAATTCTCCTACACTAAATACATGTTTTCTTCCTCTTGCCTTGCTAATTTATGAAATCTCAATTTTCAAAATATTCTTGTCTTTAGTACTTTGCAACAAGCATAATTATTTGATAGAAAAGGAGATAAAGGAATCATAATATCTGGGTCGTGGTTGGAGGTTTCCAACACTAGTTGTATCTATAGTTAAACCAAGTGGCAGAAGCTTCTTTTACTCACTATTTTTTATCAGTAGACTATGTAAAGTTGTATCTGTCTTTGTGGTTTCTAGTGTAGTTTTGAATATCTAATAAAATACTTGATACAAGGCAGTTTGAAAAGTTAAAGTCACTATGGCAAAGTAAAAGCACGTGATTGCTAACCTTTAATATTATCCTTAAGTCAAACATAAAACATATTTTAATACCGCTCTTTTAAATATTTGTGGCAATTTCAACGGATTTTATGTATTGTAATCAATTTTTTTCCATGCAGTGAAAACTATTTGTTTCTCAAAAATGAATCACTCCATTTTTAAGACACCAGTATTTCTTACCTGTTATATAACAGACGAGTTCTCATATGTATGTGTGTGTATAAGAACAATACATATGTATTTGTGTATATACACAGTTGTACGTGTGTGTGTGTGTGTATCATCCTGTCTTCACAACAATATGTGGAAACATTCAACTGACAAACTATTTAAGTTTTGGGAAATTTACATATGAATTTAACCATTTATTAATGTGTTGATTTCTATATTTTAAGTCCTCTTATATGATTACTATGCACCGTTCCAGGTGTATGAATTAAATCCTCAAGCCAACATACATGTATATCTTTTTCTGGAATTTACATTCAGTTTGATTTTAAGAGTCTATTCATGCAATGGAATATGCACATTATTGTCATTATTGCCAACAAATGATTTAGTTACCATAAAAAGAGTCTATTTCAAAAAAGCTAGAGTCCATATTCAACTATCCGTTTATTACTTTAACGGACTTCTATTATTGTGTTAGGTGTTTAGGAAACAAATGTGATTAGGACACTGCCTGGAAGCTTAAGATTTTCACAATCTGTGCAGGAACAAATATTCAAGTATTGAAATAGATTGATATTTGTTCTCCTAGACAAGTAGCCTTGGAGGAAAGGACCATGTTAATGCTCAGAAAAAATGACCTGGTGCTACTGCTAGGTTGTTCCTATCTTGTTAATAACCCTGTTATTATTGATACTTGTGTAAGTAGTGTTAGAAACACGCTTGAATTTAATGGGAAAAGGAAACTAATTTGCAATCTTAGAGCTACTATAAATGGAATATTTCAAGTAAATTAAAGAGATAGGTGTTATTAAGTCTTTCTTTTTTCCCCAGATTTTACACTTCTATCAGCTCATTAGAGGCAGGCAGTTCATTATGTGGTTTATAACCAAATTGGAAAATGTTCTCCAAAGGGTAGAACACTCTACAAAGAGTATTGGTATTGAGGGAAATGATTTAATAACTGCTTCTTGAGGTTTGGACTGGGAGTCTTACAAGTAGTTCAACTTAGAATTACACAAATGACAAGGGCTAACATTTCTCAGAATTATAAGCCAAGAGACAACGATTAGTTGGAGCCAGTAAGATATATTGTCCGGTGCATGGATTTTTATAGATAACTTGGAAAGTAGAAGTAAAATATCTGACTAAATTTTTCCAGTTCCCGTGGGGGATTCTCAGCATTCAGTCATGGAATCAGAAGTCTTAATACCATACAAGACTTTAAGTAGAATAAGTAGAATCAGTACGGGCTATATTCTTTGTATATTTTTAAAGCTTATCAATCACATAGGGTCATCATGTATGATATGACTCTTAAGGTCCAAGAAACTCTAGTTTTAGGCTCAGTCCAGTGGCTTACGTCTGTAATTCTAGCAATTTGAGTGGCCAAGGCAGGTTTTCTTGAGGCCAGAAGTTTGAGACCAGCCTGGGCAACATAGTGAGACCCCGTATGCACACACACACACAAATAAAAATTAAAAAATGAAATAAAATGGAAAAGAAATACTAGTTCTCAGGAAGAATTAGCTTTTCTTTTTAATAAAGAAATGGGGAATCCTCTCATTCCCCTTTCCTGAAAATACGAAATTCAGATGGAAGATGCCCTTACCGAAGTAGCTCACCAACACACACCATGCCTCCTTTCCCCTAAGTGTTTCTTTCAACATGTAGTGGCTCTGTTCTTTTTAAAAGCTCCAGTTAGGCCGGGCGCGGTGGCTCACGCCTGTAATCTCAGCACTTTGGGAGGCCGAGGCGGGCGGATCACGAGGTCAGGAGATCGAGACCATCCCGGCTAAAACGGTGAAACCCCGTCTCTACTAAAAATACAAAAAATTAGCCGGGCGTAGTGGCGGGCGCCTGTAGTCCCAGCTACTTGGGAGGCTGAGGCAGGAGAATGGCGTGAACCCGGGAGGCGGAGCTTGCAGTGAGCCGAGATCCCGCCACTGCACTCCAGCCTGGGCGACAGAGCGAGACTCCGTCTCAAAAAAAAAAAAAAAAAAAAAAGCTCCAGTTAAAAATGTAAAGTACCGCATCTCTACTAAAAATACAAAAATTTAGCCGGCCTGGTAGCGGGCGCCTGTAGTCCCAGCTACTCGGAAGGCTGAGGCAGGAGAATGGCGTGAACCCAGGAGGCGGAGCTTGCAGTGAGCCGAGATTGTGCCACTGCACTCCAGCCTGGGCAACAGAGCGAGACTCTGTCTCAAAAAAAAAAAAAAAAAAGTAAAATAAAATAAAATAAAAAAAAGTAAAGTAGTTGCTGTCACCAGCAGTCTTAATACCTTATAGTGAGTTCACCACCTTCACACAATGGAATTAATTAAAATACTATCTATAAAATTCTCTGTAAATTTCTAAGCTCTCAAAAGGTATCATTAGTGGTCCTTTACCACTTAAGCTTCTGAAAGAATGAAACATGAGGAAATTTTGGTGTGGTGGCTTTAGTGAAATGACAACGCCATTAAAATGAGCTACTCCTGTGGAGCGGAACGTTGGAGCATCAGCTGAAAACTGAAAGACTGGAAGTATTTGGAGGTCAAAGCTCTAAAATGAAAGTTAGGGCGATGCAAAAAGATGCGGAGTGTAAATAATAGGTGCTCCATACACGTCTATTCCCTTCACCTTACTTTATAATTTTTATTGAAGTCAGAAACAAGCAAGATCAACATCCTTTATATGCATGTGCTAGGAAGGTTTCATGAAAATGAGTGAAAAAATCTTTGAAAAATGAATGTTGCTTAATAATGCTTGTAATATGGTGTAACCCAGGAATACAACGTCCTTGGAGTCAACATTATATACTCAGGTTCATCTTATCTTGCTGCATTCTACATATTCATAGTCTTTTTGGTACATACTCACCACTGACAGCTCAACTCATTATAGCAATCCAAGGCAGACAGAAAACAGAGTGCAAACATATATCTCAGGCCCTGCATTGTCAGTGAAGGACAAAATAATAACAGGGAAATTTCTCCTTCCTCAAGTTGGGTAATATTCAGCTTTATGTGTCCAATTCTGTTCTAAGTTACATAACAGCATAAAGCATTCTGTAATTTTGCATCTAAAATTAAAATAATTTCATACACCACATAAGAGTCAATAGAAGAAAAAGGTAAAATGGAAGGATGTAAAAGGCAAATGGGGAATTATTTATTCAAAAGAAAATTATTTTTTTGAAGTGGCAAAATGCAGACAGGAGACTATCATAATAAAATATAACTAATAATAATAGCTAATACAGTTTAATAATAGATTCAATTAATATCTTCCTTATGATTTACAATGAACATATTAAGCATGGGTATTATGCAAGGGGCAATAGAGTCACATCTTATCATTGTCAAACACTCAAATAGAAAATAGTATTTCTTGAGGAGAAAACAAACAAAGATATAAGCAGAGAGGTACCGGAATGTACGTGGTATATGAATTGTTAGTGTACCACAGAGCGATGTGCTTAGGATACATAAAGCTGATCTACACATGCCATGGCTGGGGTTCCAGGAAAAGAGAGACCACAGCCCTCACTTTTAGGGGTGCAGGAAAGAAACCTCACTGTGAGTCTGAAAAGTGAAAGCTCTTTAATCAAGGATGTGGCCTTATTAAAAAAGGAGGTATTTGAAGCTCATGGCTGGTTCTTTCACTAACCTAACTCAGTCCCAGTGATGTCCGCTAACCAAAGGAGGAAGTGAGCCTTCAGATTACCATTTGTCTTTCCTCAGTGGGTCTTATTAGCACTTATATACATGAAGAAGCGGATACTTGATTGACAGACTTCAAGTTTCTCACCCAAGATCCTACAGGAATTTAACAAGAGTTAAAGAAGTAAAATGGGCCTGTAATTTTATTTCTTTTTGTGTTGTATTTTGTTTTATGTCCTTGTATAATGAATTGAGGATCTTTCTTCACTATGTGTTAACATCATTTGAGTAAAGTAAGAGTTTTTCTGTTTCTTGTGTGTGTGTGTGTGTGTGTGTGTGTGTTTTAATTTGTATGAGAAAACAATTGAGAGTTAGTTTTATTTTTTTGGAAGTGGTGGGGGTAGGCAAGATTTGTTGATTATTCAATTTATTTCATGGTTATTGGTTTGTTTAGGTTTTCTATTCATATTTCTTGTGTTAATTTTTATAAGTAATATTTTTCTAGATAAATTTCCATTTTAATTATGTTTTAACATGTACTATTATAAAGTCATGGTTATAATTTTAAAGTAACCTATATTGATCTGCATGTACATGCATTTTTCTCCCTTTGATTGATAAATCTTCCAAACTTGTGCCTAATTTATTATATCTTTCAGTTTCATCCTTAGTATGGTTTCTTTAGATCTTTTAAAGTCCTTTTCTGCTCAATCCATTGTCTTTATTATTTCCAAGTGTGTTTCTATTAGCTAAATTTTCTACAGCTTTTGGGTCACATTTGCTGTAGTGTCTGGTAATTTTGTATCAGATTTCTGACACAGTGAATGGCACATGTTTGAGTATATGGAATTGATTATATTCTTTTGAAGAATGTTGATGCTTATTATGGCAGGCTTGATCTTTTCAAGGCTTAGTTTTAAGCATCTTTTAGGACAAGATTAAAGTATCTTTTATTCTAGAGCTAGTGTAGTCCTACTCCACAAGTGTGAGTCTTTCTGCAGTTTCTATTGATTGCCATTAATGTTGAATACAATTTCTACTACTTGGCTGCTTTGAATTTGGATGTGACTCAGTCCTGTGTGAGGTTTGGAAATTATTCACTTGCTCACTGCATTTACTTGCCTAGCCTCATAGAGTTTCAACTTTATATGCTAAAATCAGTGTGAAGTCCAAGATTCAAGAGGATACAACACAGATTTCAGGAGTTCGATCTCTGCCCTGCAACTGCCTCAGCTTTTTTTTTTTTTTTTTTTTTTAAGACAGAGTCTGCCTCCATCACCCAGGCTGGAGTGCAGTGGAGTGCAGTGGCCCAATCTCTGGTCACTGCAACCTCCGCCTCCCGGGTTCAAGCAATTCTCTTGCCTCGGCTTACCGAGTATCTGGGAACCCAGATACTCGACCCAGATACACGACCATGCCGGCTAATTTTTGTATTTTTAGTAGAGACGAGTTTCACCATGTTGGCCAGGCTGGTCTCAAACTCCTGGCCTCAAGTGATCCGCCTGCCTGGCCTCCCAAAGTGCTGGGATTACAGGCATGAGCCACTGAACCTGGCCTGCCTCAACCTTTCTGAAATCTGACCTATGCCACCTTCCATCAGCGATCCCATCATTCTCTGTCTTCCTCATTGCTGAGCGTTGGTGCTGAATTTACCTCTAGGCAGAAAGCCAGAGCAATTGGAAAGCTCACTTTGTTTTCATTCTCTTCAGTATTATGGTCCTGTTCTGCCTATATCCTCCATGTCTGAAAAGAGTTGTTTTATATACTTTGCCCACTTTTCTAGTTATTTACAATAGGAAAGACAGTGCCCTTCTATTTACTTTTCATGATTAGGAGTAGAATTACCTCCCACTAGTTTGGATGAATCTGGTGTGTGTGTGTGTGTGTGTCTGTGTGTGTGTGTGTGTGTGGTGTGTTTTGTTTTTTGTGGGTTTTTTTGGTGGATTAATCTTTAGTGCCATGTAATTTTTAGTATGTATATTTTTAAACATGGAATTATTTAGAACTGGGATTTTTAGTTTCCAACAGTACATTTGTTTTTTGAAAAGTTATCTTTGAAGTGTAGTTCACGCTTGCCAAAATATATGATCTTTCTCTTCTTTCTCTTTTTCTTTCTTTCTTCCTTCCTTCTTTCCTTCCTTTCTTTCTCTTTCTTTTTCTTTCTTTCTCTTTCTTTCTTTTCCTTCCTTCTTCCTTCCTTTCTTTTCTTCTTTCTTTCTTTCTTCTTTCCCTCCCTCCCTTCCTTCCTTCCTCTTTTCTTTTCTTTTCCTTTTCTTTCTTTTCTTTTCTTTCTTTCCTTCTTTTTTCTTTCCTTCCTTTCTTTCCTTCTTTTGTCTTTCTTTCCTTCTTTCTTTCTCTCTTCTTTCCTTTTTTCTTTCCTTCTTTTTTCTTTCCTTTCTTTCTCTTTCTTTCTTTCTCTCTGTCTTTCTTTTGTTCTTTCTTTTTGATATTTGTTCTGTATTCTTTTGAGATAGCACCCAAGATATGCATGAAATAATGTATTTTTCTTCATGGTTCTTTGCAAAGTTCTTTATTAGGTCAAACATATTACAATTGAAATATTTTTACTTGCAAATATTTTGGCTGGTTTTATTCTATCGATTTCAGATTGAGGAATATAACAAATTTTCAATATATTTATTTGATGTGCTTATTTCTCCTCTATATAAAATTTTTTTTTTTTGAGATGAAGTCTCACTCTGTTGCCCAGGCTGGCGTGCAATGGTGTGATCTCTGCTTACTGCAACCTCTGCCTCCCAGGCTCAAGCGATTCTCCTGCCTCAGCCTCCTGAGTAGCTGGGACTACAGATGTGCGCCACCACACCCAGCTGATTTTTGTATTTTTAGTAGTGACGGGGTTTCACCATGTTGGCCAGGATGGTCTCGATCTCCTGAGCTCGTGATCTGCCCGCCTCAGCCTCCCAAAGTGCTGAAATTAAAGTGTGAGCCACCACGCCTGGCCTCCTCTATATAATTTTTGCTATGTACTAAGGTGCATTGAGACTCAGAATTTTTGTATATTTCTGGTAAATTTTTCCCATTAACACTACATAAGCATGATTTTGTGTTTCCAATAATACATTTTTCTTAGTAGTTACTGTCTTTTGATTAGTGATATGGTTAGGATTTGTGTCTGAACCGAAATCTCCTCTTGAATTGGATTCCCCGTAATCCCCACAATCCCCACATGTCAAAGGAGCCATGTCAAGGGAGGTAACTGAATCATGAGGGCAGTTTTCCTCATGCTGTTCTCATGATAGTGAGTGAGTTTTTATGAGATCTGATGGTTTTATAAGGGGCTCTTACCCCTTGACTCAGAACTTCTTCCTGCTGTCTTGTGAGAAGATGCCTTGCTTCCCCTTTGCCTTCCACCATGATTGTAAGTTTCCTGAGGCCTCCCCAGCTACGCTGAACTGTGAGTCAATTAAATCTCTTTCTTTTATAAATTACCCATTCTAAGGCGGTTCTTTATAGCAGTGTGAAAATGGACTAATACAATTAGTATTTTTTTGCCATTTATTTTTATTAGTATTATTTATTTATTTATTTATTTATTTTGAGACAGAGTCTTACTCTGTCACCCAGGCTGGAGTGCAGTGGCACAATGTTGGCTCACTGCAACCTCCACTTCCCAGATTCAAGCAATTCTCCTGCCGCAACCTCTCAAGTAGCCTGGACTACAAGCACACTTCACCATGCCCACCTAATTTTTGTATTTTTAGTAAAGGCTGGCTTTCGCCATGTTGGCCAGGCTGGTCTCGAACTCCTGGCCTCGAGTGATCCACCAGCCTCAGCCTCCCAAAGTGTCGGAATTACAGGCGTGAGCCACCGTGCCCAGCTTTTTACCATTTATGAGTACTTTCTTTTTATCATTTATTTATTTACAACTCTTCTCTGTCATTAAATAACTTGTAGTTGAATGCTTTTAAGTCATTCTAGAAATGGCATTTGTTTTTAAGTCATTCTAGAAATGGCTTTTTCTTTCGTAGGGAAGTTGAAATTTCTTTTTTCAAATATATTCTTTGGTATTAGACACTTAATAATAATTAATTATTAAGCTTTGTTTTATTTTCCCCTACTTTTGCTTTCAATAAACTTATTTATAGATATGACTTATTGAAAAACTAATAAACCATAACTGTGGAAGTGACGTATTTTCACAAAATGAACTTACTTATTTAACACACCGAGATAAATGAATAAATGGTACTAGTCCCCAGAGAGCTCTCTTATACCCATCCCAGTTAGTAGCTCCTTCTTCCTCAAAGGTGAACAATATCTAAATTGCTAACAGCATAGATTAGTTGTGCCTGTGTTAGCCTATATAAATGAGATCATAAAGTATATTACATTAACTCTTGAATTATAGTTAACTACTTATTTCCCTTGTTGTTTGTTTTCTCCATTTGTGATTTTCCTGACAATTATCTTCCAGTTCACTGATTTTCTTTGCAATCTATTACTCATTTAATCACTCAGAACAAATTATTTGATAAACCTTCTATGACCGTTGCTGTTATATTTTATTCATTTTCCAGTTTAAACTTTTTTCCTCCTCATATTCTGACTATGATACATGGTAGTTCATCCACCAGTAGTGTTGGGAACTGGTTTACAAATGCTTCTTCAGCAGGGATTGTTTCATAAGTAGTAGTCTTGTGTATTGTCACTGAGAAGGCACTCCTCTGGCATGGATTTATGTTTATTTTCAGCTGAGTCTTAGTGTTTCACGTTTCCTGAATCAGAAGTTCTATAGACTAGTTGGCTTTATAAGAGTACACCCAAAGGATCTGTTTTCTGTGTTCCTCTGATTCTTAAAATTCTAGTCTTCAACTCCTAGGATATCACTTCAATAGTGATCCCTCCCCGGAATGCTGAAGCATTAACTAGTTTTATTGTTCTGTCTTTAAGTTATTGTCTGTCTCTAGCTTTTGGAGATTTGTCCTTTTGCTTCAAGTAGTAGTATATTTTAATAGGAAGAGATGTGGATAAAATCTATCTTCACTCATTTATTTATTTTTGCTGACATAACCATGCAATAATAATGTAATAAATTTTACAAAATAAATTAAATCTTGCAACAAAAATTAATAAATTAACATGAATGGATATACATATAGCTGGCTATAATAAAATATAAAATCAAGAGAACATAAAAACCTATCATCTAAATCACAAAATAAAATATACCTGAATAAATTCTTTTACATTCTATTCAAAAAAGCAAATATAGCAAGAAAATTTGTGAAAAGCCAAGCACATATAAGCAAAAAGTAACAATTGAAAGAAATACAGAAATATTTTATTCCAAAAAAAAAGAAAAAAGATTAAGAGTCACGCTTCTAGAGTAAATTTCAGAGATTGTTTGTACCAAGACAACAAAATGACAACATCAGTCAATACTAATTTAAACTAGCTTGACCCAAATATTATATCTATACTTCCATCTGAGTGATAGAAACTATAAGGTAGAAAACACAACCATAAGCATAAAACCCAAATTCTATATTTCATCTGGTAAAAAAAATAATAGTAATAATTGGAAGCTATTTGGCTGAGATGACTTTGGTGCCTTGGGTTACTAGGACCCAGTAAACTAAAGCTTAAGCTTAACCACTCAGAAACCACCAACTAACCTCTAACTAGGAACTTTCCACTGAATTTTGCCCGAATAAGGCAAACACCTGGCTATAGCCAATCAAGTATTTTTTTTTTTTACTTTGCTTCCACGTTCAGCTTATAAAAGTCTGATACTCACTTTGCTAAAGTGAATCTCTCCAAACCTCTTTTAGTTTTGAGTACTGCTTGATTCATGTATCTTTCAGCAGTGAAATAAACTCTGTTAAATTTATTTTGTCTAAAGTTTTTATTTTTATTTTTTATTATTTTATTTTATTTATTTATTTATTTTTTGAGACGGAGTCTCCCTCTGTCGCCCAGGCTGGAGTGCAGTGGCACGATCTCGGCTCACTGCAAGCTCCGCCTCCTGGGTTCACACCATTCTCCTGCCTCAGCCTCCCCAGTAGCTGGGACTACAGGCGCCCGCCACCACGCCTGGCTAATTTTTTTCTATTTTTCGTAGAGACGGGGTTTCATCGTGTTAGCCAGGGTGGTCTCCATCTCCTGACCTCGTGATCCGCCCGCCTCAGACTCCCAAAGTGCTGGGATTACAGGCGTGAGCCACGGCCCCCAGCCTAAAGTTTTTATTTTAAATATGGATGGGACAGCATGGTACAATCACTAATAGCACAGATTTGGTAGCCAGACTTCTTGGAGTCAGATCTCTACTCTTCCACTACCTGCATGTTCTTGGGCAAGTTATGGAACCTCTCTGTTACTTGTTTTTCTTCCTTTAAGTGAAAATAGTAATTGTATTTTTGCGACTTGATATGAGAATTGAGTTAAATGATTTAATATTCATTGTGTTTACAACAGTGCTTGATAAATATTAAATGCAGTATGTTGCTATTTGAGAGGGTTTTTACTTTTTATTTTTTTGGTTATGATGAGAAACCTATATGTGTACTAAAAAAAATGTCCTATTCCACCCCTAATTAAGATGTTAGATAATAGGACACACAGCAGTTACAAGAAAACAAAACATTTGGTCTTCAAGGGGTATGTGAGCAGCACAACATACTTTTTACTACTGTATTACATTTTTTTATGTTACTCCACACATCTCTCTCTCTCTTTTTTTTTTTACTATAAATGAAAAAGGATTGTATTTGAAAAGACAATTATATTTTCTCTGCTCTAATTTTTACATGAGAAGTCTTTGTAGTACAAAAATGTTAATTTGCTGTTTGAAGAATTTATAACAATAAAAGTAACACATCAATAGACAGAGGTGTAGTTCTCCATTATTCACATAAAAAGTGACAGCAGGTGAACAACAGGAGTCCAAAATCATGTGCTGGGGAGAATTAGTCAGCTAAGTTCTCTACTGAGAGGATTTGTATCATTTGGCCACACTAATTTTTTAGTTAAGATATTTGCCTCAGTTTTTTCTACCGCAATTTTGTGTTAATACAAAGAGAGTTCAAAGTAAAAGTGAAGGAATAATATAAACTGAAAAAAATATTGCTGGATTTTACAAAATAGTTGCTACTCAGTTTTAAGCTCAACTTACATTTTTATTATTATACTACTATAGGCTAAATCAGTGGAGAAGCCGGAATAACAAAGGCTGAAAGTAAAAAAAAACTTAAAATTCTGCTCAAAACCACTTCACTATGCTATCATTTTACCCATAAATTCAACCAAAATTTTTAATTTATTAGTAAATTAAGAGATCTTATGAATACAATAATTTTCCAATTCTGGGAAGATGATTTTGTTTCTCCTTTAGATACAGTTCTAATACAAAACCATAGTGGAAAAACAGTCAAGACAGATTTGCAATCTAATGGGTCAGTAGGAATAAAGGTTTAATGGGAGCACATTATTAAAACAAGACATCTTATCACAGTATTACAGGCACAGAGTAAAAGCATAAAGTCACATTCAGTCATTCCTCATTCATTCAACAGAGAAAATGCCTGTCCCACAGAGCTTACATTAGAAAGAAAACAAACAAAAACAGGCAATTAAAACACACATACACACACACACACACACACACACACACACGAGGGAAGTTAGATGTGTTGAATAGGGATAACTTCCATGAAAAATAATATAGCTGTAAAAAAAAGAGAGATTTTAAGGAGCTGAATTTTGACATACATCATCCAGAGAAGCCTCACTGAGATGCTTTAGAAGCCATGTGAAAGAAGTGCTGGGTGTGCCTTATAGACATCTGGGGAAGCAGCATGTGAGGCTCTTAGAGGAACAGGTGAAAAGTCTCCAAGGCAGGAATATACCTGTGCATTCATCCAACAGCTCAGAGATCTGTGATGTGTGATGCCACACAGCAAATGGGGTCAAAGCAGGGAAAGAAAACCATATTGGGCCTCGTAGATTTTTTTTTTTTTTTGAGATGGACTCTCACTCTGTTGCCCAGGCTGGAGTGCAGTGGCGCGATCTTGGCTCACTGCAACCTCCACCTCCCAGGTTCAAGCGATTCTCCTGCCTCAGCCTCCCAAGCAGCTGGGACTACAGACACCTGCCACCACGCCCAGCTAATTTTTGTATTTTTAGTAGAGATGGAGTTTCACCATTTTGGCCAGGCTGGTCTTGAACTCCTGACCTTGTGATCTGCCCGCCTCAGCCTCCCAAAGTGCTAGGATTACAGGCATGAGCCACTGTGCCTGGCCGGGCCTTGTAGAATTTAATGAAAGATTTGGCTTTTACACTTGAGGATATAGGAAACCATGAAAGAATTTGACCATTGAATTAACAAGATACAATTGAAAAATAAATGTTACAATGTTGCATGAAGTAGAGACTATATGAAGGGCAAGGTAGTAGCCACATGACCAATCAGGAGGCTATTGCAAACATCGGAGGTAGTGGCTTGGATTTTGATGATAGCAGTGGAAAGAGTGAGAAGAAATGAGATGCTGTCCACATGTTGAAGAATGTGTTCATTGCATTTGCTGATAAATTACAATTAGTATGTGAGAGTCATAAAGGAATAAAGGTTTTGAACTGAGCAATTAGAAGGAGAGTTATTGCTCTAAAAGTTTAATCTAGGTATATGATAATTCAAATAACTTAAGCCAAAAATTAATGTGTGGAATTAAATTAAATTACAGTGACTTTTGCCGAAACAGGCTAGACAACTAAGCTGATTGGGGCGGGAAGGGGATATATAAAAATATAGACTATTTGCCTAATTTTTTGAGAATCAGATTCAGTATGTTTGAAGGAACATCCTTATATATCTATCTAACACACACACACACACACACACACACACACACACACACACAAAATAAAACAACCAGGTTGAAAAGATAAAAAATTGGATATTAATGGCGTTTTACTTTGAATGGTCAAATACAGATGTTTTCTGCCCAGATGTTTGTTTTTGTAAAGACTTTTTGGAACACAGTCATACTTGTTTATGTATTGTCTATGGCTGCTTTCATGCTACAACAGCAGATTTAAGTAGTTGTGACAGATGCCATATGGCCCAGTAGCCTAAAATATATACTATCTGGCCCTTTAAAAAAGTTTCCTTACTTCTGCCCTAGATAATGTTTTCCATAAAAGAACTGGTACATTTACAGGGTAAAGAAAGTATATTTGATTGAATAATTTGGAATGAGAGATGAGAATCTGAAGCTGGGAGTAGATTTTACTACAGGTAGCTGGTTTAATTAAATTCAGTGCAACTGAATTAAAAAGTATTGATCATGTACTGTCTATTGTTCCTCTTTGAGTTGCTCTAATATCAGGGACATCGTGGTTGCCATTAGGACCTTCATCGATGTACAGCCATTTAGATTGTGCACTGAGTAACTCTGGGTGCCATTTACATCATAGATTATGAGGTAATTCATATTCTTTGGTTTTGTGTAAGGCAGTAGCTCTGGTTATCATCACTCCCTGAAGTGTTTCTCACTTAATTGAATGTGTCAACATTAACATTTCAAAGATAAGATTGAGTCTCTGGATGATTTCTGCATGCAAATTTCTTTTTAACACAACCCAGGAACTTTAATGAAATACCACTCTTTGGTCTATTAGGTGGGAGAAACTTCTATCTTGGCTTTTTCCAAGACTTCCAGAATGAGTCTGCGTTAAAATGACATCTGTGATGTGGAAAATTCCAGATTCTCGTATTCTGCTTGGCCTACATCTACATAATGGCAAAATTACAGGAAACAAACCAGTGACTAGTTGGTTATTTCTTCTCAACAAAACATGACCATTTACAAAGTAGTTCACCAAAGCAGTTTTATCTTGTAGAAGAAAATTACAAAACCAAGTCATAAAAGCCAATGAATAGCCTACAGCTGTCTCAAGATTATTGATGTAATGTTTGTAAATAAGAAGAATTTTTAAAATCCCAGCAATTCAGCTGCTGCTAGTATCAATCAACATCCCTGCTAACAGAGTTTCTTTTGTGGGTGTAAAGAAGTGGAAAACGTGTAAATTGAAAGCTGGAGCCTTAGCAAAGACTGCTTTATTCTGGGAGCTATGTAAACAAATAACATACAAAGCCCTAAAACCTTGTTCATTTTATGAAACCAGTAAATACAAAGGAAGACTTTTTTTTTTTGTAGAAGCACAAACTTGTAGATGGTACTCTTTCTTTGTTTAGACATGCACATCTACAATACACCATACTAAGCACTCTGCCTTTCATATGAATAGATGAGAGTATTTAATCAAAAAGAAATGAAACAAATAACAAACAAGCACACCAACAAGTAAAAGCTAACAACTGTTTTGAAATGCTGTCTGCCTCCCATTCACTCAAGACAGGCCAGGTAACACGTAACACATGCATCAGTCAAAGTCACCTCAGGAAAATCACTCAAGTGCAGGTGGCACAACAATCCTTAACACTTGAACACTGACAGAAGTGTGGCAGGGTTGAGGGGCCCGACAAGAAGGGTTGAGACAAGGCATTCTCAGACTAGCAATAACAGAAAGCCATTACCATTCCTGGGCTGAAGGCACAACAGAAAAAACATGCAAGTGTTGGAGGAACGGCCTTCAGAAGCTACATCCTGGAGGGACACAGCCACTGCCATCAACTTGGCACTGAGTCAGGAAGCATCCAGGAGAAAGCATATCCAACCTTCCTCCTTCTCTATGCATCCCGAAAGTTTCCTGATGCCTTTCACTTGGCAAACCCAACTAGAAATCTGACAAGGGAACCCAGGGGGAGAAATCCAAGGCAGAAAACAAGGTGGAGGATGGATTGAGAGTGTCAAACAAATGGAGAACAAACAGCACATCCAGGGAAAACAACAGAGCAACACTTACTTCTTCAGCCTTGTGGTTTCTTGTTTTATTCTGTGCATGTATTTAGTTCATTGTTTTTTCTCCCTCTTTTATTCTGTTATGTACTTTCCAAACTTTTGAATAAGTAATGAAATAATTAACGCTAGAAATTCCTTTAGCTTCTTTTCAAAGTATGTACACCTAGAAGGTACAACAGGTGTGACATAGTTACAACTCACTAGGCTCTTCCAGAAGAATATCAGGAAGGCTTCAGAACAAAATATGCCCAGTGAAAAGTGCTGTGAGCAGAGCCTATTAAATTTTAAACTAGCAGACAGTTGAAAGCTGCCTGAGCCCTGCAGCAGGATAGTCTAACCCAGTGGATAAGTTGTTCTAAGAAGGACCCATCCTTGTGAAAATATATTATTTTTATGACAATACCAAGACCATTGCACAAGGCAGTTATTGGTTGTGCAAATACCAGTATCAAACGTGAAATATACTAGGAGGCTAAAGGTGGAGAAATAAATAGGTGATCAAATAAAACATACAGATAAATGGAAGGGCCCACATCTGTCCTGCGAGTCTTGTCTCCAAGACATGGGATTTCTGTGATCTGACTCCATTGGCATACCCAAACACCATGCCCAGATATATTTAAAAGGTAACTTCAGATAATTTCCCCTATATAATTTAATAATGTATCCAGGGGTAAATCAACTTAGAAGCCAAAGGAGGGCTTACAGAGAACAACTGTGGCTAAAACAAAACAAACAAAATTAAAATTCAGAGGACAGAACTTATTACAGTCTTGGAGAGGAAATCCTGCCCTTTGCTTGATTTGATGAACAACTTTTAAAAGATAATCTAATACAACGATTTATGAAATCATGAATCACTTGGGTTACTCCCATACATATGAAGTAAAATATAAACAAAATTAATTTTCTGGGTAACTCAAAAGAAACCTAAAAAAATTTTGTTTTGGAGGGTGGCCTTCTATGGACAAAATCAGAAAAGAGATCTATAATCATTAATTTATTTAAATAAGTACTCAAACTGCATCCTACTATATAGATACAGATTTAGAATATGTAGTTTGTCAAGGGAAATGATTACTAACTCTATATTAAATTGAAATCTGCAGTCAATCTCTGGATACCTTCAGTGAAAATATACACAAAGCAAAATAGTTGAAGCTCTTCATTTAACTGCATATTTTATTTGTGTTTATAAAACTTGGGAGCTAGTCCTCAATATGTGATGAACATGTTTCACTTAAAAACAGGAAAGGATTCACACTTTACTACCTTAAGAGACTGTGCCTGGTAGGCCATATTGGAGGCATGTGTTCAATGATGTGGTCTAGCATCATAGTAGTCTCCATATTATATTCATTACTGCCCCCTCATTTCCAAATCACTACTGCAAAGTCATATGGGCATTCTGCTCAACAGATTGGTTGGGTGGTGGGCGAAATGACATTTTCTAACCCTGGTTTTCAATTATGGTTCTGTCACTCTATGGTATATCTAAATTCTATCTATGGCAATTCATTTCAGCAATTTACACCTCAGCTTACTTATCTTGAGTTGGATTTATCCTATTCCATTATCATGATAAAGTTCTATACATATATTCTAGTAAAAGTCAAAGTATAAGTATACAAAGACAAAATCATTGGTATTAATGAGTAATCCTAAAATCTCCAAAAGTTAATGGATATTTAGTTACTTTTAAGAGGATATTAATTTTTCTCTTGCTTTTCTTTCTAAACAACACACCATGTTTTTAAATCTTAGAGGTAATGCATGTTCACTGAAGATAATCTTTCAAGTATAAAAATATGAGGAAGAAATAAAACTTTTGTATCTATAGACAGTCATGCATCTACGAATATGTACATCTGATATTAGTTCTTTTACTAGGCACAGATATTCTCTCTCACAAATAGATACACATTTTAGTAGAATACAATGATGTTATTTTACATTAACACTGTATTACAAGCATATCCACACATTAAAACTACTTCAGTTATTTTTTTAACAATTACTTTTAATAGTGACATAATGGGCCATTCTATGAACATACCACAATTTAGTAAATAAGCCTGCTTTTTTTTAGAAATGTATTTTCCTAAATGTGTTTTTTCCTTGTTCTCAGAAGCAGTGAAACTATAATGAATACCAAAGGGATAAAATCTTTGTAGTTATCTCTGATAATCATAGGGCTAATTTTTTGAAGTGGACTTTTTGGGTTAATACTTAATAAATGTTCAGGGTCTTGATGCAAGAAACCAGATTGCTTTTGTACTTATTTTCACTAGTTTATGCTTCTACCTGCATCAGATAATTTCAATCAATTATATACACTTTCTTTGTTTTGTGTCACTTTGTTAAATAATTTCACCAAAGGTACTTCAGGATGAATAGATAACATCACAAATAATTATATTGTATTGGATTTTAGTAGACACCAAAAAGGAGTGCAAACCTACATATACCTTCACACTTATAAACACATAGAATATATGTATAAACACAGAATGCATACATACAAACACATATGAATTAAAGCTCTTTCTTCAGCAAGTACCTAGATCTGGAAAATTATTAAACACAACAAATGTGGTTAGATACGTGATCAGAAAATGTAAAGTCTTTAATTTCCTATAATGCTGTAAAGTAGGTGAATTTTGTGAGAGATAGAAAGTGTATGATCTGGTTCTCGGACTTTCAGAGTATGGACATTACATTCAAACTATCAGCTCCATAAATATTTTCAAGGGCTAAAAATAGCAAGTGTTAACATATATGTGGAGCAATGTGAATTCTCAGGTGTAGCTGGAAAAGTAAGAGTAAAAATGATAAAGGCAGAATCACTTTAAATAGACTTCTTTGGCAATAGCTCAAAAAATGAAGATGTGCATGTTCTCTGATTCAACAATCCTTCTCCTAAGTATCTACCATGAAGAAGTTCATAACATCCACAAGGAGACGTGTACAGGAATTTTCACCACAACACTGACTGTATTGGTTAAGTAAAACTAAAACCACGTAAATGCCCTTCAAAAGAAAAATGAATCAATATATTATTACATATGTACAATGTACTAGTTACAGCATTATGTAACAGTTAAAACTAGTTTAATATGTAACTTTTTAGAAGATAGATATGTTCGTAAGTGCTATATTGCTAATGATATATACTTATTTACCAAAAAATGTACAGGATTGATTAAAACAAAAATAATAACAAGTAAACCTGGATTAGAAGTTACCTGTAAAAGAGAAGAAAAATAACAAGGTCAGGGAAGAATACAAAGAGGAGTAGAACACTACCTTTACTACTTTAATAATTTTATTTATTTTTAAACAGTGGAGGTAAAAATATAGCAAAATATTCAAATTCAGTATGCCTTATCATAATTAGTCTTTCTGTATATCTGAAAAATTTATTTTTAATAGCCTATTGAAAAATGCTGATGTATTATCAGACAAATTAAATAATTTGATTCCCTGTAATTCTTTGCTATTTATCTGAACACACTCCAGACATCTCTGCCTGTCTGCCTCTTTATTTTTATCTTTGCTGTATGCCTCTGGGGAGGCGCCAGTCATAAACTGTTTTATGTTGTCTTCATTTAATATCTCCCATAGCTGCTTTTCTGCCAGAACCTCATAATCTAAAGCCCCCTTCCACAAGCCTAATAACCATCACTTCCTACCTTTGGTCCCCTGATCATCTTACTCTATCTGAATGGTTTGTCTGCCATTTTCATCTTCTAGCCTCAGCTTCTTCCAAAGCCATTGGTCCTTTCTTGATCTCACAGGACTCCCAGTGCATAAAACTATTGGAACTGGCCTATTTTCACTTTAGCTCTACGCGTCTGCTCGAACACATGTTCCTCTCAAAACCTGCAATGATTTTTTTAAAGTATTGCATTAGAATATCTCTCTTCCCACTTTAAACATTGAAATGACTTTTCATGTTTTTCTAGGATAAAATTCCAACTTTTACCAATGACCTACAGTGTACTGCATGATCTGGTGCATCTGGCTATGTTAGTTACCATTCTTCCTTTACTTACTGTTACCCGATAAACTCCAAGCACACGCACCTTTCTTTTATCCAGACATAACAGGTGTGTTTCCTCCTGCAGATGTTGCACTTGTAATTTCCCCTGCCTATTATGATATTCATATGAATGGATTCTACTTGTTCTCATTATGACTTATCAAAAGTCATCTCTTCAGAAAACCCTTTCCTTGTCATGGGACAAATTTTGGGTTGTCTCTATTCTATCGTTATTTATACTGATGATCTTTATAATTATCAAATAATTCTTATTTTATACTTAACAGTTGCCTATATGACCATTGGAATGTAAGCTTTATGAAGGAAGAGATCACACCCTTTTCTTTAATTGCAACCATAACCCCAGGACTGAAAAAATCTTTGCCATGTAACAGATGCTCAATAAATATTTGTTGAGTGAATGAATAAGGTTTTTACGGTCATTGCCACCAAGAAATACACAAATGCTTTTTTCTTCTAGTTGATTCTTAGCTAATTACCACAGCACCTATTTCAAAGCTTTTCTGGCTTTTAAAACTCCTAGGCACAATTTTCCTTCCTCATTCTCAGAAAATCTTTTGGTTGTGAACAGAATTGAAAGCATTCAGCCATTTAGTGTTTTTTCCCCTTCACTTTGCATTGATTTTCCCTCTTTCATTCTCCATCTTTACCAATTCTATTTCTTTATCAGGAAGACAACTAATTTTTTTTCACTTAGCTAAGGTTAATTCTTCCATCTTCTGCATGATAGTATAAATCATTCCATCTGTCTATTTTTCAGTTTGTTTGTAATTTTTTTTGCCTGCAGCAAATGTGATTAAATTAGCTATGTTCAAACAAAACAAAACATAGCATAACAAAAACCTCCTTTAACTGTTTTATATAGTTTGGCTGTGTCTCCACCCAAATCTCATCTTGAATTGTAGTTCCCATAATCCCCAAGTGTCATGGGAGGGTCCTGGTGGGAAGCGATTGGATCATGGGGCAGTTTCCTATGCTGTTCTTGTGATAGTGAGTGATTTACCGCAAGATCTGATGGTTTTATAAATGTCCAGCAGTTCCCCTACTGGCACACTTTCTCTTTCCTGCTGCCCTGTGAAGAGGAGCTTTCCACCATGATTGTAAGTTTCCTGGGGCCTCCTCAGCCATGCAGAAATGTGAGTCAATGAAACCTCTTTTTTTTATAAATTACCCAGTCTTGGCTAGTATCTTTATAGCAGTGTGAGAACAGACTAATACACTGTTTTCTCCTCAAAATAATTTTATTGTTTCTTCTATTCACCAAAAAATTTCTCAAGTAAATAATCTTCTCAAACTGTATTCACTTCCTCTTCTCTCATCCATTTCTCCTTCTCTCGCAGTTTGGATCATTCCTACCATATCTAGTCTTTCCAAAATCTGCTTTCAGAGTTACCAATTACTTACAGAAACCAAATCTACTGGCTTCTTCTGAAAACTTTTTCTGGATATTGGTTAATGCTAAGTTTCACCTCCACCCTTCATAACGAGTCTTCACAATCCAAGTGCTGAATGCCTGTAAACTATACCTTCAGACTCCCTTGCCAGTAGGATTCTGGCTCAATTTTGCCAACGAGAGGCAATGATACGGGTTTTGGCGAGCTAAGACAAAGAAAAGTGATAGCTTTTCTGAGGCAGCTGTGGACTCTGAGACATGGGGTTCTGCTATTGTTTTGGGGTGAGTAGCCTCCTGAGAATCACCCACACCCATGCTGCAGGCAACTGAAATGTTTATCATAGCTTTTAGGATCTTTGCGCATCTGCTTGAAAATTACTCAGCCTTTTCCCATTTTTCAAAGGATTGCAAAAACTTCCAATTATTTTAAAGCTCTTTGCCACAAGAGACAACTTATGCAGCTTCTTTTTTCCTGGCTAAATTTTATGGATAAGAGTCCCCATTTTTTATGTACATAGTTACTATATTCTTAGAATTCCAGGATATATTAGACAGTGTTGTTGCTTTTCTCTTTCTCTCTGAAAGCAGTCTTCTCTTGACTTTTGAGTCTTTCAGTGTTCCTTCTTATTTCAATTCCTGGTCTTCATTTTATTCTTTATCACCAGATCTTCTTCCATTTACTCCTGAAATGAAAGCATTTCCTACAACACTCTACTCAGCTTCCTGTTTGAAATATATGGGCATTCCCCTATTTATTATTTGCAATCCCATGCCATAACTTCTCACAAATATATCAAAATTTACACTTTAGGCCTCATCTCCTTTGGGAATTCTAGACCATCACTGATACCTGCTATAAAATATCTTTCTAAGCATGTCTCACAGGCCCCTAAATTTTAACATAACCAAGCTTTCCTAATTCCTCCTGGAATTGTTATGTTGCTTAATGACAGAGAAATTCACTCAGTTATTCAGGCTTTATGCTCTTTATCCCTCAACTGTACCTTCTAGAGACAATCTAATACTCTTCACTTTACCTTTACCTTTTTAGTTCATTCTGCTTCTACATCTTTATTCTGTTATGTTACTGTTTAGTTCATTTCCTCTTTATCTTTTGTCCTAACTTGTTTTCCTGCTTATAATCATTCCTTCTTCATGCACATTGATCTAATATTCCTTCTCAAAGCTCACTTTTGATCATGGATCTACCAGGTTTAAAGGTTTTCAAATCAATATATTAATGTAAAATATAATCCCATACTCCCTGACTGGAATTTAATGTCTTTTTACCTTAAGGATTCAACTTTCTAGCCTTACTTCTCCTCTGGCAATCTTCTCTGCTTCAGTGTATTCCCTCATTTGCATCCTGTCCTTCGATAGCAACAGGTTACTTGCCATTCTCCCAACATTTACCATTCTTACCCTTACAAATTTGTGCAATGTAATCTGAAATTCATTTCCTTCCCTTGCTCTGAGTGGCAAAACCCATATTTCTATGTCAAACTTGAAAGCAGTTTCTACATAAAAACTTCTTAGACCCCTTATTAAGAATTAATCACTCCTTTTGGCTATACACCACATTCAATGAAATTACATTGGAACTCTATCCCATTGATTTCTTAAACTAATCATGCATTTTCTTGCCTGTCTTTCTTACCAGATTGTGACAGCCACAAGCTTAGAGCTGATTCATCGTAGCTTTCCTCTTCAGCACCTGAAATAGTGTCAGGAGCACTGCAGGCACTCCATGAATGTGTGTTGGACTTAATTGAATTCCACTGCAACTCTAATCAACATTCACTGTAGGGAACAGTGATGGAAACATAATGGACTTCTTCTCCTCGGAACAACATGTCACTAGCCAGTCCTTGAAGCACACTTCCTGAATCACACCTGGATGAATGCAGCCAAAGGGAAGCAGATGAAAGCAACCAAAGGGCTTTTCTAAGTGGCAAAGGCAGATGAGGAAGGGCAAGGCTGTGGTTGTGCTCATGGCACTAGAGCAGCTCCTTCAGCGCCTGAGAGCTGCCAGAAGACAGGTGTAGAATTACCAGCTCTAGTGAACTTCAGCTTGCTGGACTGCCTCCTGCTTTGGGACCTGGCTGCTCAGATGATTATTTTCTCCATCCACTTTTGGCTCAATGAAGACAGATACTTACAAATGATAAGTGCACTTGGCAACATCCCAAATAATGACTCTTCAACCCTTGGAGACTGCCTTGCCTACACTTGATTTTTGGATTTTGAAATTTAAATTGGGTAGCCAACATGGTTCATTTTCCAGATACATAATGATAAAAATTACACACTGCATATAGACAAATTTGTCATTAACAAACCAATTTTATGAGCATTGTTTCATTTAATTTGCAAAATTCCCTTGGGATGCTGGGAAGGAATATATATTTTTTATCGTATTTTGGTCAACAGCATACTGCTTCCTTTTGATGACCATGTATTCTAGAGTCAAAAGAATGTAAATCTGAAGTTCATCTTAGCCAGTTGCTAGTGTGTTCCTTTGGGGATACTACTATACAATCTTGTTCTGTTCCTTTAGAAAATAGCTACTCACAATATTAATTACCCATTGGGATGTTATGAGGGTAAAATTAATAAAGACAGTCCTCTGGCTCACTTGGATTCTTTGAGAGAGTAGAAGCACTAGTGATCATAAAAGGAAATGAACTTTGAGGGAAAAGCTATTTTAAAGACTTATTCTAATTTTACAAACCTGGGTACATCACAGACCATTCCGGGTGGCATTTTCATTATTTGAGAAAATGGGGCTGGTCCTTACTGTCATTATTTGCATGAAGATTAAATGATACTACAAATTTAAAAGCACAGTATGTAGTATGAAGTTGTACTTGCAAGATTCATTCAATAAATATGTTTCATTTATCTTTCAATAAGCCTTCTTTTATTTTTCATCTGTAAAATGGGGATTAAAAAATGCCTTGCCTCTCTGTTTCATGTTTTTTTTTAACCTCTCAGGTAAACTAGACAAGTAATATCCCTTAATAAAATTTTAAAGTGCTTAGATTACAACAATTTGGATTTTTCTACTTGTCTCAATACAATAGGATGATATCTCCTTGATAGGAAATCTTGTTGGCTCTGTCTTCAAAATATGTATCAAAGTCTAGGCCGTTTGGTACTGTCCCCATTGCTCCCATGCTATTGAAGTCCTTGCCATCTTTCATCCAGGTGGCTGCTTCCACAGTGACCCCATAGTCTTTTATCTCTACAGTGGGGGTTAGCTTTATATCTCTGCTAAAACTCTTGAAAGGCTCTACCCTTTATTCAGAGAAAGAAAGCAATACAATGCAATGTTTCAGATGATCTGCCGCACCCCTCCACCAATCCACTATTTCATCACATTTCTGTAATTCTCCCCTCTGCTCCTTCATCTCTTTTATATTTACCTCTTTGCTGCTCTTTGAATGCCTCAGGTAGGCTCCCATATTGGAGCGTTTCTAAGGGCTACTCCCACTAGCTAGAACTCTCTTCCTTCAGATATCAACATGGTCAAGCTCTCACCTCCTTGAAGTCTTTCCTCAAATGTCATCATTTGAATAAAAAGGACCTTGATAATATCAACCACACAATTTAAAACTGCGTCCCCCTTCACTCCTCATCCCTTTATTTCTGATTCATTCTTTTGTCCATTTATATCATATAATTTATTTATTTGTGATGTTTATGTTTTATTATCTGTCTCATCCTATTGCAATATAAGTTCCATTAAGGATCTAAATTTTGTTCATCAATGAATTCCAAGTTTCTAAGACAAGCCACCAATAATTATTTCTTGAATTGAATTGATAGCAGCAGAGGTGTCTTTTCTTAAAAAATCACTTTTCAGATCACTGTCAAAAAAGTTTGGTGCATAGTATGGCACTATGCACACATGAAGCAATGACTAAATCATTAACACTTGTATTTGCTGTGATAATTTTGGTTTTTTACAGATGCAACCTCTCTCTCCTGTAATTTAAGCTGCAGACCACAAGTGCATTGGCATTTCTTGAAAGAAATAGAAGCAAGGAGCTAACTTTTCTGAGTTCTAATAGAAATGTATAGCTACATGGCTGAGTGCACTTAGTTTTCTTTATATTAGAAGCTAATACTTGAGTCTCTATGAAGGTAAAAAACATATGCTGGGTAGTCATATATCCATGGAGAATGTTCCCCAAAATAGTAAGCTAGTTTGCATTAGGGAAGCTAAATTTTCCAACTACTGATAGAAATATATTGAATATGTTTAAAACAGGAAAATTAACATGCTGAATCCTCAATGTGAAAGCAGTTTGTTATATTGCAGTTTTTAATAAATAACTGAAAATCAAGCATAGCCTCAATTACTTCCATAATTTGTATTAATGATAATTGGTATCTTTGCAGGACACTGGAGTTGCCTCATTGAAACCAGCAGCACTATAGTACTGTCAATATGATATACATGGATTTCTACATAGGGATGAACTGGATGCAGAGGTCAGCTTTACCATGGGATTTGGCTTACTGTAGGCATGAGGCCTCTGATAATATCCATAGATATATTGTCTCAATTATCTAAAATGAGACTTTGTTTCATTTTGTTCATTTTTCTGAAATTTTGTTAGAGAAGGAAAAAAAAAGAAAACAGACAAGACAGGGAGAGAGAACAAATACAAACATGCCCTTAGTCAAAAAAGATTCCCATTAGACATTTTGATTAAAGATGTAATAAACAGATGGTGGAATCCATATATTGAAGAATTCTCAAATCTATGACCAACAGTTCAAATGTCTGTAGGGCATGTATTTATGAAGTAATATAGCAAAGCCTTACTAAATGTCATCTTTCCTGACTAAAAGGAGCAGCATTCTCATTACATGGCAATTTAAAGAAGATAGAGGTGAAGAATGGAAAACTAGGCTGCATATTAGATGTTTTGATTGCCAAGACAGAAAAGCTTAGATGAGGTACCCAAATCTCAATGAGAAAAAAAAATTCTAAGAATGAGGTTTTGAGGGATTATAGAAAGGACATGCTATAAATCTACTGCTGCTAGATATTTTCCAACTCTTCTCGATAGGATAGTTAAGTCATGTGGATTTAAAATTTAAGGTTGTGGTCCAGATGAAATGAAGACATGACAAATTCACATTTCAGAAGATTATTGATTCAAAGAATGTCAACATATAATGCAAAATGCAAAGCACAGTGAATTACTCTGAATGTTTTACTCTATATATTTGCAAAATCTCAGCAAAATTGAGGACATTTCAAAGTAAATGACATGAGGCTTCATTTAACTAGCCATACAATAAAATACCTACACAAATCTAATAAAAATTACTCCCTCAGAGTGTCACTACAAATTCTTACTTCACCCAGAGAATCTATTTTAATGAAGAGCAGGAGTTCAGTTTTGTGGTTCATTTACAAATTCCAATAGGAAAGACAAATTTTTAAAGCTTTAGTATTTTCTTTATTTTCTACTCTTGTCAAATACCTTTATTAAGACTTCATTAAACTAACTGATACGTTGCAAAGTTACCAATTTGACTTTGCTTAAAAACATCATGGAAGATTGAATGATTACATGTCACAACTCAATTACCCACCTGTATATCTCTTTCAGATCACACACACACACACACACACACTCTCTCTCTGTGTCTCTCTCTGTCTCTTTTCTTCACTTAACCACAATACACATTTATAAACCACTTAGTCTAAATATTAACTCAGAGATCATGAAAACCAAGTCAAGATTAAGATCACGTCTTTGATTATAGTATAGACCAGTAAAATTCTCTTCCACAGTTTCTTAAACTGTCACCTCTTTTCACAAATATCTATGCCTGCTAAGACCTAATACAGTTAGTAAGCTCCTACCATACCCTAGGTTTGCAGCACGGTTTGCATGCATTACCATTGAACATTAACACATTTCTTTTTTGATAGTAATTTAATCTAAGTTTTTCAAGTAACCAAATTTAATCTCCAGAACTAAGTACTCAGTATTTTTAGCTAATAAGTAGCTGAACAATAATTTAACTCAAGCATCTTTTATTACAAAGCCTATAGTACTGAAATTGAACTACACTGTTTCTAGGCAAAGCTTCAGGCCTAAGTAAGATTATACCAAATTTGAGAGCATTGCCTAAATGACATTTTAACATATCTTCAAAAAGTAAAATGAAATTCAAAATCAACATGTTAGATATAGGTTGTGGTTCAAGGTAGTAGACTGAGAGTATAAGGACATTTTCTTGTCTCCCAACATTCTATTTAAATACTCCTAAATGTAGATGATTGATTAGATGGAACGATAGATAGGCAGATGATAGATAGATAGATAGATAGATAGATAGATGATAGGCAAAGAGAACAGGAGAAGTAGTCATCATCATACAAGAGAGTACACAGTTTAGATAAAATAAATTCATTGAAGCCTTGCTTGTTTGTGTTCATTCCTCAAAATCTAGAGCAGTTTATAGCTTAGTAGATACTCATTATATATTTGTTGATTGGTCAAGAAATGAAGATACAAGCTGAGCCTTAGAAAACTTGCAGAAGGGAGCTAAAGTAAGCACTGTGCTGATTTGCCTCATGGTATGCCAAAAAGTTCGAGGATGAGATTCAAGGGGTTAAGGGTAGACAGGGCAAAAAGGAGGAAGGCAGTTGAAAATTAGAGCAATTGAAATCCTGTATGCAGAATATATGAAGCAATCTACTCCATCTTTATTATCCCACATACATTTTGTCAGGGAACCAACAGTCAGTTTACTATTTCAGGACAAAATCAAAGGTTTCTTCATCCAATAAATTGACCAAACTTTTTGAGAAAGTTTAGGTCTGCAAGGATGAGTATTGATGCTTCAGAGCAAAGTGCTGAATTCTCTAGTATAAACAATGTAAAAAGAAAAAGATATGTTAAAGAAAATGTGAGAAAATATGAGACATAGATGACATCAAGGAAGTCTCATTAGCAAGAGTTTCACAAAGAGAAAAAAAAGTAATGGAGGTAAGACAATTACTACAGGGATACTAGGAGGACATTTCTCAGTGATTATGATAGACAAAAGTTTTATATTGAAAACACCCATCAAATCCCAAACCAGAAGCACAGAAAAATACTTCAAGGAACTTCAGAATAAAAAGAAGAAAGGAAAGATCCTAAAAGCTTCGAGAGAGAGAGAGAGAGAGAGAGAAAATTTAAAGAAAGGAATAGCAGTAAAGATCTTCAGTTTTTCTTATCACCAAGAGTGGGTGTTAGACAAAAATAGGGAAATGCCCTCAAATTTCTGAAGACAAGTAATTTCAGCCTAGAACTCTGTACTAAACTACGTGACCAATCAAGGCTGTTGATGAAGCAAATGTTTTCAGACATGCAAAGACATAGTCTTAGATTTAATAAAAATTTGCTGTTCCACCAAATAGATTTAATAAAAATTTGCTGTTCTAACCACTGAAGATAGAGTCATGAATAAGGCAGGCATAGTTCCAGATAAATAAATCATACATCCTAGAGGTAGGAGACAGGAGAAAGTATCAACAAAAGATAGTGATGGAAAAATAGAAAACATCCCCCTCAACTCCTATCTTGGGTATTGTTTTCTATTGATGAAAAGCTCAATCCCAAATGCCTTGCCTCAAATTATGACTGTCGTAACATCTTGGTTCAATTTATAACTAGCACCAGATAAGCCAAAACACTGTCTCTTTCTCTCTCCCCGTCACCAATCTAACTTTTTCTATTTCTGCTTTACTTCTTTATCATGTTCAATTTCCCTGACTCTGCAATACTTGAAGTACCAGGAAGTCTTTTTTAAATTAGTCTCGTTTTGTATACCATTAAACAACTGCTCTAGAATCTTTGCTACCATTCTCTTTTGAATAAGTCCTAAGGTAACAACTGACTTTGTAAGTAAACCAATTTTCGTTACCATTTCTCTCCCTGAATTTAACCCTATTAGTGCAAGTAAAATATTTTCTTTCACCCATTATTTCGTCCTTAACATAGTTTGTAATCTATTATTTTATTTAAAAAAAAAGTTTCTATTTCTAGGTCCTCATAGTCATTCTCTCCCAGCTTAGGGTCTGTTTGCTATTTTGGGCAGTGAATTCCTTTCTGCTCCCTGCTGGGCTTCGTAATTATTACTTGGCAGATGAATCCTGGCATGCCTAATCATTGCTCTGAACTTTCCACAAGCCCAATTAGCAAACAGCAGTAGTGCAGGGGCCACTTCTCAAGCAACCCTTAGAGTTGCCCTCCATGAGTTTTTAAATTTGCAGTGAGCTCACTATAATTATAGCTTTTCATAATTATAAATCATTTGTGTCTATGGAAGGTTTAATCATGATGTTATATTATCCTTATACCTCTGCACATAGATGAGACCAGTGCTTATTAAGGAGCACTGACCTAAGTCAGTAAATATTTGCCAGAGATTAGTCGGTGGAATTCTTAATATTCCAAGCAAAGGCATCATTGATTCAAGGAAGAGAGAAACAGCAAAAGCTTTCTGAAAGCATTTGCAAACAATATCTTAATACAAAGTAATATTACTAAATGAAGAATACAACAATGAAAGATTATTGGACCTATTGTTCTATTACCTGAACCACACTGCTATCAATGTATAAAAGGTTCTATTTTTAAAATAACAATTCTGCCTGATATGTTCTTCTCAGATAATCCTGAAGATTTTACAGATATAGCTGGGGTTTTGTTTGTGGGGGAATATTTTAATTTTTCTGTGTCAAGGTATAGTTTTTACTCTTTGGTGCTCTGTCTGGTCGAGATACAATGTAGTGTGATGTAAAGTCATAGAAAGGAGGTGGAGAGACCCATGTGGACATCCTGACCATGCCATTGACAGTTGGGCATTTAACTGTTGAAAAAATTACTGGTATAAATCAGCCTCAGGTACTCAGCACCGGAGTAATAGCATCTGCCTTGCAGAGTCTTTATGGGGATTGAAGGTAATGTGAGTAAAGCTCAATGACACCATTAAGTAGTCAATACCTGATGGTTTATTATCAGAGGCATGTTGTTAGGTTCACACAAAAGGAGGGTGAGTATTAAGCTTTTGGCTGTCCACATTTTTACTTGACAATAATAGGACTTTCGAAGAGTTAAAGAACTCAAGAACTGTGAATTATTATATCCAAGAAAGCAATACAGTGTTTCACTGTTGTCCATGAAAACTTGCTATTCCATACTGGGCAATGAACTTGTTTAAATTTTCACAAAGATAGAAACAGCTAATAGCAATCATTGGCATTTGGCAATTCTCTATTCAAAAATACATTGATTTAGATTTGATGGGATCCTAATCAAAATCCTACCAAGTTATTTTGTGAATATGGATGAACTGATTCTAAAGTTTATATGCAGAGACAAAAGATCTGGAATAGACAACCCAATATTGAAAGAAAAAAAAGTCAAAGCACTGGCACAACCTTCTTTGAAGACTTACTATGAAGCTACAGTAATCAAGCCAGTGTGGTACTGGCAAAAGAATAGAAAAATGAATCAATGGAACATAGTAGAGAGCCCAGAAATAGACCCACACAAAAATAGTCAAGAGATATTGACAAAGGAGCAAAGAGAATACAATGGAGAAAAAATGATGACAAGGCCAAATGTCCTTGGAATTTCAAAAATTGTGCTGGAACAAGTGGACATCCACATGCAAAAAAAACATCTACACACAGATCTTATGGATCTTATGTTCTTTACACAAAATAACACAAAAAAGATCATTCATTGAAAACTTAAAACTATAGACTTCTAGAACATAACATAGAAAGATCTAGAAAGTCTAGATCTTGGATTTGGAGATTACCTTTTAGGTACAAAAACAAAGTTATGATCCATGGAATAAATAACTGGTAATCTGGAAGTCTTTACAATGAAAAACTTTTGCTTTGAGAATGACATTGTCAAAATAATGGAAAGACAAGCCACAAATTGTAAGAATACGTTTGCAAAATACATAGCTGAAAAAGGATGGTTATTCAAAGTATACGAAACCTCAGTAATACTGTTGTCTTAAAACTCAATAAGAAAATGAACACCCAATTAAAAATAAGTAAAAGATATGAACAGACAACTCATCAAAGAAGATAATACAAGTAGCAGATATGTGTATGAAAAGATGCTCAACATCACATGTAATTAGGGAAGTGCAAATTAAAGCAACAATGAGATAACACTCCTTACCTATTAGAACGGTAAAATTCCAAACACTAACACCACTGGCAAGTGCTGGCCCGAATGTGGAATGAGAGTAATGACCATTCTTTACTGGTGAGAGTGCAAAATGGTATCACATTTTGTAAAACAGTTTAACAATTTCTTTTTCCTTTTTTTTTTTTTTTTTTTGAGGTGGAGTCTCACTCTGTCTCCCAGGCTGGAGTGCAGTGGCATGATCTCAGCTCACTGCAACCACCGCCTCCCAGGTTCAAGCAATTCTCCTGCCTCAGCCTCCCAAGTAGCTGGGATTACAGGTGCGTGCCACCATGCCTGGATAATTTTTGTATTTTTGGTAGACAAGGGGTTTCGCCATGTTGGCCAGGCTGGTCTCAAACTCCTGACTTCAGGTGATCTGCCTGCCTTAGCCTCCCAAAGTGCTGGGATTACAGGCATAAGCCACCGCGCCTGGCCTAGCAATTTCTTTCAAAACGAAATGTACTCTTACTATATTATCCAGCAATCATGGTCCTTGGTATTTACCCAAATTAGTAGAAAACACATACACGCAAAGACCTGCACATCAAGTTTACAGCCACTTTATTCATAATTGCCAAGACTTAGAAGTAACCAAGGTATTCTTCAGTAAATTAGTGTGTAAGTAAACAGTGTTACAACTACACAATGGAATATTATTCAGAACTAAAAAGAAATAAGCTCTTAAGCCATTCAAAGACATGAGAACTTCAATGCATATTAGTAAATAAAAAAGTCAATCTGGAAAGGCTACATACAGTGTGTTTCTAACTATGTGACATTCTGGAAAAGACAAAATCAAGGAGACTATTTTGTGTTTGGTATAAGCATCATGAGAGAGGACATCATGCTCATCACTGTACTGTTAGCATATAGTGCTGTATGACATGGTATATGTGCCTAACACATTTTATAAGTGATTTATTCCTCTCATAGCTGTTGTTAGCAGTTTTAGTTATAAATTCACTAAAGCTGATGATTTAATTTTACTGTTTAATAGGTAGCCACTTCCAAAAGATAAACTATTCCTTGAACAAAAGGTTGGTCATTTCACAAACTTTGTTAACTTTTTATACTGATAAGCTGCCTTTTATTTTATTAACTCGAACAAGCTATTTAATTAAAGGTGCTCATAGATTTTATTCATAAGATGGATTTGTGTGTTTTTTAAATAATTGGTATATTTTATTTGTGATGTCTCTGGTTTTAAATACCTGAAGAATATTTAGTGACCTAGAGGGCCTGGGTGACTACATCAATCTTTAGAATAAATGTTCACCATGATTTCTTAAGGAAAGCTAGACAATCTGAAGGGCTTGGAGAATAAAGTTTACCCTGCTAGCACTGACCCCTGCCATCATTCTCAGAGGTACAGGGATTGTAAAATACACTGGTGATAAGGCCAAATGTCCTTGGAATGCTTCCAGAGTTAGCCACGGGCAGCATTCATTTTCAGAACATATTAGTCCAAGCCGAACTAATGGGCTTTGCCATGCCTCATTTTCACAGTGAAAATGCCGGTCCCTGTGAATCAGGAGATGTGGGGCCCACCAGGCTATCTAACTTCAAGTGCTACAAATGAGGTTGTTTAGTACAATGGAAAGATGCAAAACTAAATTAGGTCTTGGATTTTTGACCCAAACTAGTGCTGAGAGTCTGCTCAATCATGGAAAAGTGCACATTTCCTCATCTAGGTACAGGAAAAGCTTTGTCTTGACCATCTCAGAGTTTGTTGTGGGAATGGAAAGAAACATTGAACTTTTAAGATTTTTTAAGCTATCAGTCATTATCAAAGGGTAAGACTTTTTTTTAAAGTAATTTTCTAAGAGTATAGAAAATAGGCCTAAGCACAGAAGAAATGTGGACAATGAAAAGGGAGGATCAGGGTTGGAGTTTGGGCAGGAAAACTGGAAATATAGAAATGCTATACCAGGAATTTAGATTTCCCTTCTCTAAGTATTCAAAACTTTGTATGAGTTAACCCTTTAGTGGAAAAATAGCCAGAATATAGGATGGGAATCAAAATCCTGGGAATGCCTCTTTGACACATTGTCTTGCTATCTTCAACCAGCCTTTCTTAATTACTCACCTAGCAACATATGTCCCTTCCATTGTAATTAATCCCAAACTTTTTACAAGGCAGAGTGCTTGGAAGGAAAGTTAAATACTGGAGAACTTTCCAAGGTTAATTGCCAATTACTAATGATGCTCTTAGAAAAAAAATTTACAAAGCAATCCATTTCTCATTTATGGAGCTGTTTGAACATAGCTCAGTCAGGTCAGGATCTGCTGACCTAAATTCAGGACATTTTCTGAAGATAGAAACAATGGCAGCTACCCTGTAGAGAAGAAATCAAGAAAATGTCACATTTCAAAGAAGAAAATAGTTGTGTTTTTCTGCTCAGTTGATTGCCAGAACTCTGGCTAGGGCAAGTTAGAAAAGACAAAGTTGCTATTGAATATATACATATATATATATTCTATAATTATATATACATACATGTATACATATGCATACATACATAAGTGTGTATATGTATATGTGTGTATATATATAATATATATATATAATTGAATTGGAGAACCCTTTAACCAAATATAGTATGGTTCTCCAATAATCCATATTCTAAATGCCTTAAATGTAGTTAGTCATTATTATTTTTTAAATAAATTTGTCAATCACTATTAATATTTTCTTCTGTTTCTGGAAATGTTATCTGAATATATGGACACACATATATGGAAGCAGGCAGTACACACTCATGTTTTAGTTTCCTTTTAACACCTATGAAAATGTATTCCCTAAAATTCTCATTCCACAAATTCAGATTTTCAAGAGATGTAGCTTTATTTGTTTACCTTTACACTTATGTCTTATTTTAGAGCATACTTTCTGCCTTGTAGCAGAAAGAAAATCTTGATAAACTTAGGGATTCCCCACTTTGCCTCTAAACTGACATCTCAGCTAGGAGTATAGGCAGTGTTTAGCCTGAAGTGTGGGGAGGGAGTGGCCTCTGGACTTCCTTCAGCCTATATGCACTATAATTTGAATTTCCACCATCTGAGACAGATCATCCCACAGACCCCGCTAGGCCATCTCCAATTGCTGTTTGTCAGGCCTATTTGACTCTGGCTGTATGTACCTCCCAAGGGCAAAGGAGGCATTTGTTTGCTGCTCCTCCCCACTTTGGTGTGGCCAATTCTCACTTATGCTGTCTAAGGTGCTTTTCCTCTTTTATGCTATCCTTGAACTCACCAGAAATTATTCCATTGGTCCCAGACTCTGCTGGAAACTAGTAGAGGTTTGCCTCAGAAACACGTGCCCGGATGTATCATACAACTGCTTTCTGCTACTCCTTGGTGACCCTACTTGAGTATATGTGGTGGTGGGATGGAGAGGATGAGACTTTGCCATTTTGTCAGGCTTCTCCAGGGAACTGAGACTCAGGCATTCTCTCAACTTGGTTAACCCCAGGTATCTCAGGGTTTTGTTGTTCTCTAACTCATGATTAGTGGATTAGGGGAGGGGAGTAATAGAGTCTAACTCTTAAGTAATTTGTATCTCTTGTTATTCTCCTTGCTCTTGGGAAAGAGGCCATAGATTTTGACATGGAAATCGACCTTTTAGTTTTTTGTGTTCTCCCTTCTCTGGGACTATGAAGACAGAATTTCCTACAGCTTAAATCTGAGAAAAGGGAGTGGGAGTAGGAAATAAGTAGGGAGAGGTAAGAACATGGGTAAATACAACAAAAGGATATGTGTCTACAACTCTATACTGAAAAGCTTTTCATAGATACACTATTTTAAAGTGTATCTATGTGACTACATGGTATTATTTGTTTATACTACATTTTATATACTTCATAGTTTTTCAATTGAAAAGCAGCTACTTTTATTCTTTTCATTACCAATAATGCTATAATAAATGGGCAAATACGTTATTCACATGTGTGAGTATATATTTTTAGTTAAGTCTTTAGAAATGGAAGTCCTAGGTAAAGAGATAGATGCAATTTACATTTTGAAAGTGATTGCCAAAATGCCCTCCAAAGAGTTTGCAGTAATATAAAATCCCATTAAGAAAGTGTCAGGTAATAATATTTGTAAATGCATATTTCATATAATTGAATTCACTAATGCTATCTGAAGTCCATATCACAATTTTGACTTTAAGAACACATAGAGTTTAAAGGATAAATTTGACATGTACTCTACCTACAATTATTTAAAATATGAATGATGGCAAGAATAATCACCATATCATCTGCATTTTGTAATGTGTTTGCATTTCATAATGAATTTTCTAACATATTCTTTCTTTACGTTAGAAAATACATAAAATTATTTTTGAAAATTCTCTAGAGTGTAAGTTCTATGAGGCAGGGAGCTAGTCTATTGTCTCAGGATCTATATAGGGTTTGGCAATAAAGGGTGAGCTCAAAGAATATTTGTTGAATAAATAAATGAAAGATTGAAAACAAATGTAAAAAGTAATAAATAATTCCGACCTACAGAAATATTATACAAACAAAAGCACCTGTGATTCATTTGTCTTTACACAGAACTTTGTAGACATAATTGAATGAGCATAAGCTCTTTAAACTGTTTTAAGATAGACATTACTAACTCAAATGAATTCGAAAAGTCCAAAACATATTGTGACAGAATAGATGAGAAGATAGGAGTGAAAAATAGCACAGAACTAAAAGTCTCCAATTACTTCCCCTGCCATTCTTGAACAAATTCTATTGATAACCCAGTACCTCTCAGAGAAGTAGCTCCTGAGGAGTCTCATTTTATTTTGGGACAGTAGTGGCTCTTCAAAAAATCTTATGTTTCTAAGTTTAAATTTGTCTAAATTTGGCCTCTTCATTGGTCCAAAGGCCTCTGGTAAGGAATATCTACATTTTAGGCTTTCATTATTTGAAAAATATTTGTTTCCAAGATACTCCTCTGGTTCTATCATCCAAATTAACTAATCCCATATCCTTGCCTCTTTTTTTTTCCACAATCAATTCTACTTACTTTCTCTTTGTTTCTTTCTTTATTCTTCACTGGTCATCCTGAATTGGTAGGTGTTTTAGTTTGTTCTCACACTACTATAAAGAACTACCTGAGACTGGGTAATTTATAAAGAAAAGAGGTACAATTGATTCACAGTTTCACAGGCTGTACAGGAGGCATGGCTGTGGAGGCCTCAGAAAACTTACAATCATGGTGGAAGAAAGGAGGAAAAGCAAGCATATCTTCACATGGTGTCAGGAGACAGAGAGAAGGAGGAAGTGCTACATACTTTTATAAAATCAGATCTCGTGAGAACTCACTGACTATCATGAGAACAGAGAGGGGGAAGTCTGCCTCCATGATCCAACCACTTCCCACCATGTCTCTCTGCCAACATTGGGAATAACAATTTGACATGAGATTTAGGTGGGGACACTAGAGCCAAACCATCTCTGTAGGAAGGGATTTCCCATAAAAATACAGGTTTAGGAAAGTGAGCACTGCATTTAACATATGCCTGGATTTCGCTGAGATCTTTGGGAGAAGGAGAATAGATACAATCTCAATAAGGATTTGGGTTTAGAGGCCTGTATAGAGGACAAGACAGAAAGCAACACCTAACTGAGCTTTTGTAGACTATTAGAGCTGATGCTGCATCAAGCTGCGACTCTCAAAATGCCACCCAACACAGTATTTTTTTATCTTTTTCAGACGGAGCTCTGAATAGAAAATAAAATCCTCCTGAGAATTTATTACCATGAGTCTCCTGAAATTGATATTTGAATTTATACTGCCCACATAGGCCGGGAACACCAAACCAAAAACTTTAAATATAAAATATTTTTAAATGGTTCGTCACCAAGGGTAAAACTTGGAATGCTTAGTAGAGACAAAGATAAGACTAGTTTGAGATTTATGTCCTCTATTATTGACACACTGGCAATGTCCCACTGGACATGAACTGAGTCTGAATTAACTTGACAACTGAGGGAATGATACAACATAAATGGGAGTCAGGAGATACAACAAAGAATGGGGGGAACATCAAATGATAGAACAATAGTAGTATGGAGACTATACGATGTTTAACTTTCCTTAAGTCATGCAAGTCAATACAAACTTAAATAAATAACATAATATTATCAAAATAAAGCCAGTTGAATATTTAAAGAATCAAATATAATTTTGATAAACAAAAACGTCATTACTTTCTAATGTTTAAAATAACTCAAAACAAAATTGAAAATGATTAACCTGAAGAAGAGATGAATGTCTTTAAAGATTATACTGAGGAATTTCTAGTGAATGAAACATGAAATAAGGAGATGAAAAACTTTAAAAAAAACGTTAAGCAGTATGGGCAGCCAGGTCTTGATGAGTCAGAATTTATTTCTTATGAGTTACAAAAGGGATGATCAGAAAGAATACAGGAGAAGTAAAATTGAAATGATAATTAATGGGAACGTTGTAGACTTAAGAAAATAAATTTTTAGTTCCCAGGATTATAGTAAATCCCCAGAAAAGTAAAAATATGCCTAAAGAATACTTAGTATATTAGTTATCCATTGTTACCTAATAAATTACCCAAGGCTATTCCAAAATTAAATAGCTTGAAACAATTACTTATTTTCACACAGTTTGTGTAGGTCAGAAATGATGGGTGGGTTCTGGCTCAAGATCTTTCAAAGGGTTGCAGCCAAGATGTCGGTGGCCAAGGCCACAGTCATGTGAATCCTTACGTGGGACTGGAGATCCACTCCAAGATGTCTTGATCACATGGCTGGCAAGTTTTGCCACCCATTCTCCCAGAAATGCTTCCATGACACTCCAGAAATGTCTTCGTGAGATAAAGACTGATTCCCCTGGAAGACATAATCCAACAGAGAGAGAGAGAGAGGGAGAGAGAGACAGGGAGATGGAAGCTGTATCATTTCTATCTTCTAACCTTAGAAGTCCCATATAATCAGTTTTACCACACTCTAGTAGTTAGAATTTGATATGGTTTGGCTGTGTCCCCACCCAACTCTCAGGTTGAATTGTGATTCTGAGTGTTGGAGGTGGGGCCTAAATCATGGGGGTTTCTAATGGTTTAGCACCATCCCTTTAGTGCTGCCTCTTGGTAAAGTTCTCATAAGATCTGATTGTTTAAAAGTGCGCCACACTAAAAGTGTTCACTCTCTTTCTCCTGCCACCATGTGAAGATATGCTTACTTTCCCTTCACCTTCCGCCATGATTTTAAGTTTCCTGAGGCCTCCCTGGCCATGCATCCTATACAGCCTGCAGAACTGTGAGTCAGTTAAACTTCTTTTCTTTATAAATTACCCAGTCTCAGGTAGTTCTTTACAGCAATGTGAGAATGGACTAATTAAGAATTGAAACACTAAGTCTGTCCCACTTTCAGGGAAAAAGTGTCAAAAATTTGCCGACACATTCTAAAACCAGCATACCTAGATAGTTGAAATAGCACTGCAAATTACCCCCAAACCAGGACAAAGAACCAAATACCAAAATAAGTTTATGAAAAATTTAGAAGTGTATATAAATAATACCTATCCTTAAACAGAATAAAATTTGGAAAGCAACTTAATATCTTCAAAGAGTTAACAAAACAACTGCCAATATATAATTCTAAAACCAAATGAACTATGATTCAAAAAGGAGTAAAAAGTACACAGGTTTTCAAAGAGCATATTAGCTGCAGTAATTTATCATCATCAGGTATTTCTTGAATGTGTTAAAGAAGCACCCTGGGGATGAGAATATTGAAGTTAAGAAAGAATGACAAACAGAAAAAAAGGGTCATTAATGCTTATATCTGGATACTTGGTGAGTATTCAAAATAATAATGGCGGCTGGGAGGCTGAGGCAGGAGAATTGCTTGAACACATGTGGCGGAGGTTGCAGTGAGCTGAGATTGCAACACTGCACTCTAGCCTGGGTAACAGAGCAAGACTCCATCTCAAAATAAATAAATAAATAAATAAATAAATAAATAAATAAATAAATAAATGTAATTACTAACCTGGCATGGGTTAAAACAAAGGAAAGTAAAATACAAAAATAAGAAGAAGGAAATGTTCAAAATTAAGACATTCTAAGGTTCTAAAATTGTCTGGAGATGGCTAATAACTTTGATGGTTTTCATCATTATTAACTTAATGAAATAGTCCAGAAAACAATATATCTTGTAATGACTACAGATATTACAAAATATTTAAGTACTATAATTAGACAGCACAACAAAAAATGAAAGAAACAAATAATGCACAGTTTTCACAGTCAATGCAAGCTGAGTAAACTTACAAATCCAAAATAAAATGCTATCAGTTTATATTGTTACACAAATAATCAAAGGACAGAGAACTAAGAAACAAAATGATAAAGAGATAGATCCTAAGTAAATATTAAGAAATAGATAATTCGGCAAGTGATGGTGATGGTTATATAAGAAATAAATTAGCTTTAATACAGAAGTATTATTTGCCAAAAGATGATTGTGATGTGATGTTGAAAAGATCAATCCATTAGACAAATATAAAACCCTAAATATTTATTATCTATTTAAATAATCTTAAAAGACAATTTTTTTTCCAAAATTATCAAGAAAAATTAATAAATTTTGTGTACATGTCTTAGTAATCAAAATAACACAGAGAAAAAATAATAAAAGCTATAGAATATTTGAAAAGGATAATTCAGAAGCTTAACCTTAGACATGTATAGACTCCAGTACCATGAAATTATGAAACATATATATTTTACTCAACTACACTTTCAAATCCCTACAAAAATTAATCAAGTATTATACCATCTAAGAATTTCCAAAAAATACCAGATAACTCATGATATATTCCCTGTAATATAAGTTATTACTGTTAGTACAAAATTTAAGAACTATTTTAATGTCCCATTATTTAATGCATTGCTGTGTGGGAATAAAGTTAGACAAATGAACAAATGAGACAAAATGAAACTCCAGAAAGAGAGGAATCCATCCTCTAAAAACTTGAAATACAACAAATGGGAAATTTTAAATCAATAGGGAGAGAAAAGCCTGTTCAACATGGTGATGAGACAACTATTTATCCATATGACAAATAAACATAGAAACGGCCAAAAAATATTCTGTTGTCAACAGAAATAAAAATCCTTTCCAGATGCATTAAAGACATCAATCTGATATGAAAACGTTATACTTTCATTGGAAAACAATAACTATTTTCATGGTCTAATTGTAGGTATTAATTATTTATGCCAGATGAAAGAAGAAAAAAATAAAAACAAGTTAATAAATATTACCACATCAGTGTTTAAAACATAGAAATGAGAAATGTTAACATAAGCAAAGGGAAGATTGATGTTGCAGATTAGGAAAATAAATTGTCCACTTGTATAGAGAAAAATGCATTATTTTTACAATGTACTCCTATAAAATGATAAGAGAAAGAGAAACAACACAAAGTAACAAAATAAACCGCATATCTGAAAGGAAAATTAAAGGGGCACAAACACATACATATACACAAACATACCCATTTCAATATCATTAATACTCAACATGCAAATCGAAACAGCAATGAAATAACATTTTCGCTCCATAAGACTGTCAAGACTGGCAGACATACATCCCAGGAACCATGCAGAAGAATTTTTTTTCAGTATTATTTATCATACTAAAACATTTTTTAAAAAGCAGTGGTAGAATGGGGAAAGAAATTGTTTCTGTATTGTTTTATAAAAGATTATTGTCATTGAAGACTGTATCAATCAATTTGGAATGGTAATGTACAAAATGTGTATATCTAAAGTTCTGAAAATTAGTAGAGAGTAAATTTGCTAAACTGTGAAATGTTCACATGACCAATCTAATTTTTATAGAATATTAGAATTTATACAAGCTAATTTGGCAAATTTTTATTAATGTTTTTATATATTCCCTACATACATAGGCTACTTAATATAAAAAATATAATTTGATATCCCCTCTGAGTCATTTAACATTTCATTGGAATTGTGCCATTTTATTTATTCTTGAGAAATTTGACATTTCATGTTCCATTACAGTTGTTATCACATGCTTTATATTTCTAACAGTTGTACCCTACAAATCTCTAAAGGGCTTGCACTCAGACTTTTCCTTATTCTTCAAACCACCTTTGACAAAGTCGATCTTTAAAAATGTTTATTGAATAAAGTATTAATATATTTAGAGTGTTTGTAAGTGAAAGCTTTTCTTTGGTGGTATGATGAACATTTCTTTCTAATATAGATAATTAAGAAAACCTAATCAAAAGTTCCATCAATAATTCAAATATTATGGAGACAGTAGAAACAATAGAGGGACAATTTCCAAACAAAATAGAGAAATGAATGGCTTTCTTACCTTGCTTTTATTCATTTTATTTACCAGAAAGTATTTCTGGAAGATTTGGAACACCTCTCTCACACTTTCTACCATTAAAATAATTTCATAGGCTCTTTCCTGAAATTTAGCCTTCAAGAATGATTCCTAGGGCGATTGTGATAATCATCTTTGCCTTCCTAGTATTCCTTTATCTTTTTCTCAACCAACTTCACATTTTATTTACAGTTCACAAAATTTCCACTTGAGATTTTTTAAATGATTTTAAAATAGCCTTATGTAACAAAGATCTTAGAGAATGTTATTATATTAAAACATCCTGAAGATTCTGAGTTGATGAAAAGTAGTTTGATAATTCTATTATTTGACTCTCTTATTCTTCCTCCAATAAGACTAAATAATTGATTATTTCTATACATTTTTTCTTAAGTAGATTTAATATACCAACTATTAAATTATTGTATTTAACAGACAATAAACTTAGAAGACCTCAGAAAGGAGAGAAATAATCTATGGTGTACCAAAAGGTAAAATGTTGCAGTTTTATCTTAAGTATATAACCCTTGTAAGATGAAGTAGACATGATTTACAAAATATAAATTGAAGCATGCAACACTAACAATAATGTTTAGGATACTCAGATGATAAAACGATAAGATATATGACAAGCATGATAGTCACAAAGCTCAGGAGAAGTAATACTCAGGATAGCAGGAATGGCTTGGGTTTAGGAGTGGCTTGTAGAGGTATCAGAGATACCTAGCAAGGTTCTTGCTCTTGGTATAGTAGTGATTAAAATAAAAAAGGAATTAGTAATTCATAACCTGTATATTTCTTTTGTGTGATTTTCTCTACTTATTTTTAACAATAAAATTTTATACAGATGTAAATGAGCATATTTTACTTTTGTTTGAAAATTTAGAAAAAAATGGACAATCTTAGCAAAATATAACCTATGAAAACTAAAATAAAAATAAATAAAATTCTGAGTATATTTACACACAAATGTAGCAAACCAAATGAGTGATGCATAAAAAACAGTATGTTGTGTGTATTCCACAAATAAAGGAATAAAATATTAGCAATAAAAATACATATTAGTAAAATAATAATATTTTTAAATCACCAAAATAAAAAAATTAAAGAGTAGAATTTCTTAGTGAAAATTTAAAAGAAAATGGCAACACCTCCATACAGACATTTATAAACCATTACAAAAAAAAATAGGTAACAGTCCTAAGTAAATTGAAAGATATTCCAAGTTCTCATATTGTGAACCCAATATTGAAAGATGCTAGTCCTTCTGAAATCATTTCATAGATTTCATGTGAGCCCAATTTTTTTTTTCTTTTGAGATGGAGTCTTGCTCTGTTGCCCAGGCTGGAGTGCAGTGGCGTGATCTCAGCTCACTGCAAGCTCTGCCTCCTGGGTTCACGCCATTCTCCTGCCTCAGCCTCCCGAATAGCTGTAACTACAGTTGCCCGCCACCACGCCTGGCTAAGTTTTTTGTATTTTTAGTAGACATGGAGTTTCACCATGTTGGCCAGGATGGTCTCGATCTCCTGACTTCGTGATCCACCTGCCTCGGCCTCCCAAAGTGCTGGGATTACAGGTGTGAGCCACCGCGCCTGGCCCATGAGCCCAACTTTTTAGAATTGTGTCAGCTTTTTTTTTTTCCTTTCTTTGGTGAGAATTGAGAAGCTTATTTTGAAAGTGTTGTAAAACTTATTCTATGTGATAAGGAGCACAGTTAGTATACACCCACTTTCACTAAGGAAGGGTTATATAAAGCATTTTATGTTACAGCACTATATAGCAATGGAAATGAAAAAAATCCTGTTACGTGCAGTGACATAAATGAGACTTGCACATATAGTATTGAATGAAAAACATATCGTGTGAAAATTTTAATAAAAAGTATGTACTTTTTAATTTCATTCACATAACCTTGAAAAACTGGCAAAACTACTATATGATTGATATCAGACATCAGGTTCAGGGTTATATTAAGGGTGCAGGGAGAGAATAATGACTAGGTCAGAGCATGACAGAAGTTTCTGGAATTAATACTATTCCAGTTCTTCAGGAATAGTACTGCATAATGCTGCTTGATAATGGCTCTCTCTCTCTCTCTCTCTACATATATATATGTTAATTTCATGATAACTAGATAATTTCTAATGTGTGCATATTTTCTGTATGTGTTGTACTTCAGTTAAGAGCTCCATTATCTTGAAGTCTTCATTCATAAGTGAACGTATAAATACCATTTAAGATGCAGTAAACATGACTATATCTATGTCTCTATCTATCATCTGTTTACACACATACTCAAAATGTATAGAGAAAAATATATACACAAAACTGTTTAAGAGTCAGCAGCTAAGGTGTGCTGATGATAGGTAGATAGATAGAAAGATAGATAGATGGATAGATAGATAGATTGATTGATAGACTGCAAAGCCAGTGGAAGTGTGCTCTTCATGGGCTAAGTTCTGTGACTCTCTTTGTCCTTGATTTAGCACTCTTCCCTGCCAGGCTCCATAACCCAGGAATTGCAAGGCAAGGTTAACCGTGAGAAAGGACTCACTTGCAACCCAAAGCAAGTGAATTTGAATGGCTCCACAGGTCATCAAATCATTAGGTCTTGGAGATGACGATCAGAAATGTTTTTTATCTACATTGCATAATCAGAAACAAGACAAAAGTTTAATGAATACCAACCAGCAGGATCAGCCCCTCTAAGTTCTTGGTCTCCATCACACCAGTTGTAAGTATGGGGCATGGAACCTGTAGTAGCAGCATTTCTGTTCATTCACCTTTGTTGTTACTGTTGTTACTGTGTTTATTTCAGGAAATTTGCTGTTCACTCATAGACTGAGCGTCATGTCAGGGCTTTGAGTCAAGGTTTTGATTTCAGGAAGAGCGTTGATTTTACAGAAATGAGACGACACTTACAGAAAGCTGAAGTGATAGAACCTGTTAAGAAAATAGTTTCACTTCTCTCAAGATAAAGTCATACAATTTTCAATAAAATTTACTCCTGAATTACTCAGGAGATAAAGGCATACCTTATCTGAAACAGGTGTTCCATGTCCCTCCTGTTTTTACATGAAGCTACAAGGTAAAAAGGAACAAAAATGGACACTGATTTATTCATGAATGAAGAGGCTCTGACTTCTCATCCATATGCTTAACAATAAAGGAAAACACTGACAGACGTGGTAGTAATTCAATAGGTATCCAAAAGTAGGAGAATTGCGTGAAGCCTCTATTTCATCTCATCCTTTCCTGGTTGTTGTAACGGACGGCAAAGAATCCAAACCCACCATTGGCATATTTAGTGCACACTGATGGAATCTTAATATCCATACATTGACTTTTTATCAAGTTAAGTGCTATCTTAATATCTAATTGTAGGCTACTGGCTTTATTTACGTTGTTTCTAACCGATAAAAAAAATCTTCAACCACTACGGAAATTAAAATGTCAGAAACAGCTATTAGAGGTAGTAATAATATATAGTCACGTTTGATGCTCTCACTTATGAGCGATTACTTATGAAGTGTATAAATTCTAAATCTCTGTTAACATATGTGAGAATAGCAGTAGCAAGGATTATCTAATGCTCTTGTAATTAAGGGGATAAGCATTTTCAAGAAGATTATTACAGGCATACCTCAGACACATAGCACATTTCCTTCCAGACCACTGAAATAAAGTGAATGTCACAATAAATCGAGTCACACAATTTTTTTTATTTCCAATTGCCTATAATATTCAGGTTCACAGGATACTGTAGTCTAGTAAGTATGCAATAGCATTATATCTAAAATGTACATAATTTAAAAATACTTTATTTCTAAAAATGTCAGCCATCATCTCCACCTTCAGCAAGTTGTTATTTTTTGCTAGTGGAGGGTCTTGCTTTGGTATTGGTGGCTGCTTACTGATAGGGTGGTAGTTACTTACAGTTCAGGTGGCTTTGGCAGTTTCTTAAAATAAGACAACAGGCTGGGCGTGGTGGCTCACGCCTGTAATCCCAGCACTTTGGGAGGCCTAGGCGGGTGGATCACGAGGTCAGGAGATTGAGACCATCCTGGCTAACACGGTGAAACCCCGTCTCTACTAAAAATATAAAAATATTAGCCGGGCGTGGTGGCGGGCACCTGTATTCCCAGCTATTCGGGAGGCTGAGGCAGGAGAATGGCGTGAACCCAGGAGGCAGAGCTTACAGTGAGCCGAGATTGCGCCACTGCACTCCAGCCTGGGCCACAGAACGAGACTCTGTCTCAAAAAAAAAAAGACAACAATGAAGTTTGCCACATTGATTGGCTCCTCTTTTCATGAAAAATTCCTCTGTAGCATGGAATGCTGTTTGATAGCATTTCACTTACAGTAGAACTTACTTCAAAATTGGAATCAATCCTAACTTTGCCATTGCCTTATCAATTAAGTTTATGTAATATTCTAAACCCTTTGTTCTCATTTCAGCAATGTTCATAGCATATTCACCAGGAGTGTATTCTTCTAAAGAGAACACCTTCTTTGCTCAACCATAAGAAGAAATTCCTTATTCATTCAGGTTTTATCATGATATTACAGCAATTCAACCACATTTTAAGGCCACACTTCTATTAATAATTCTAGTTCTCTTGTTATTTCCACCACATCTGCAGTTACTGACTTCACTGAAGTCTTGAATCCCTCAAAGTCATCCATCACGGTTGGACTCACCTTCTTCCAAATTCTTGCTAATGTTGGTGTATTTGCCCCCTCCCATGAGTCAAAAATGTTCTCAATGGCATCTAGAATCGTGCATTCTTTCTGTAAGTTTTCCAATTTGCTTTGCTCAGATTGATCAGAAGAGTCGTCACTATTTACGGCAGTTATAGTGTTATAAAATATGTTTTTAAAATAATAAGACTTGAAAGTCAAAATTAGTCCTTGATCCATGGGTTGCTAAAACTATTGTTGTGTTATAAAGGCATGTAAACACATTAATATCCTTGTACCTCTCCATCAGAGCTCTTGGGTTACCAGCTGTATTGTCAATGAGTAGTAGTTTATCGAAAGAAATCTTTGCTTTTGAGTAGGAGGTCTCAATTATAAGCTTAAAATATTCACAAACCATGGTGTAAAGGGATGATCAGTCATCTAGGCTTTGTTTTTCCATTAATAGAGCACAGATAGAATAGATATAGTATTATTCTTGAGGGCCCTAGGATTGTTGGAGTGGTAAATAAGCATTGGCTTCAATTTAAAGCCACCAGCTGTTTTAGCCCCTAACAAGACAGTTAGCCTGTCCTTTGAAGCTTTGAAGCCAGGCATTGACGTCTCCTTTCTATCTATGAAAGGTCTACATGGCCCCTTCTTCCAAGAGAATGCTGTTTTGTCTGTATTGAAAATCTGTTTAGTGTGGCCACCTTCATCAAATATCTTATCTAGATATTCTGGATAACTTGCTGCACTTCTCCACTAGCACTTGCTGCTTCACTTTGCACTTTTTTGCTTCTTTCCTTAAACATTGTGAACCCATGAACTTCTGCTAGCTTCAAACTTTTCTTCTGCAGCCTCCTCACCCCTCTCAGTCTTCATAGAATTGAAGAGAGCTACGGTCTTGCCATGGATTATGCTTTGACTTAAGAGAATGTTGTATCCGGTTAAATATTCTATACAGAGCAGTGAAACATTCTCATATCAGCAATCACACTGTTTTGCATTCTTAGCATTTGTGTGCTCACTAAAGTGGCACTTTTAATTTCCCTCAAAAACTTTTTCTTTGCACTCTCACATTGGCCGTTTGGCACAAGAGGCCTAACTTCTGGCCTGTTTTGACTTTCAACAGTTCCTTCCTCAATAAGATTAATCATTTCTCTCTTTGTATTTAAAGTGAATCCCCGTACTGAGTATATACCCAAAGTATTATAGATCATTCTACTATAAAGACACATGCACATATATGTTCATTGTGGTACTATCACAATGGCAAAGACTTAGAAGCAACCCAAATTTCCATCAATAATAGACTGGATAAAGAAAATGTGGCACATATACACCATGGAGTACTATGTGGCCATAAAAAAGGATGAGTTTATGTCATTTGCAGGGACATGGATGAAGCTGGAAACCATCATTCTTAGCAAACTATCACAAGAACAGAAAACCAAACACCGCATGTTCTCATTCATAAGTGGGAGTTGAACAATGAGAACACATGGACACAGGGAGGGGAACATCACACACTGGGGCCTGTCGAGGGATGGGAGGCTAGTGGAGGGATGACATTAGGGGAAATACCTAATGTAGTGATGGGTTGATGGGTCCAGCAAACCACCATGACACATGTATACCTATGTAACAAAACTGCACGTTCTGCACAAGTACCCCAGAACTTAAAGTATAATTAAAAAGAAAAAAGAAAAAATAATAAAGTGAATTTAACATGTGAACTGTTTACTTGAGCACCTAGAGGCCATTACAGGGTTATTATTGGCCTTGTTTCAATATTGTGGTATTTAAAGGAATAGGGAGATTTGAGAAAGGGAACACAAACAGGAGGAGGCTGGTTCATGGAGCAGTCAGAACACACAGCATTTCTTAAGTTCTCTGTCTTATTTGGGCATGGTTTCTGGTACTCCCAAGAAATTACAATAGTGACACTAAAGATCACTGATCACAGGCCACCATAACAGAATAATAATTTAAAAAGTGTCATATTATGAGAATTACCAAAATATGACACAGAGACATGATGTGAGCATATAGTGTTGGCAAAATGATGCCAAGAGATTTGCTTGATGCAGGATTACCATAGACCTTCAATTTGCAAAAATAATTAAAAATTAAAAAATTAAAAAAGTATTCTATGCTAAGTGTAGGAAAGTGCAATAAAATGAAGTATGCTTGTATTATTTGTAAATATTGGATTTTAAAAATAGTATGTAGAAGAACTGAATCACACAGGTAAATTCGAAATATATTAATGGTAGAGCCTTACACTCATCCAGTATTTGGCAAGGGTCAGGTATTTAGCCTATTAATTTTCAAAAATAAAATTAAAACAATCTTTATATGTGTTGTTATTTACTTTGTTAGTGTTATAAGATTGATAATTAAGTTAATTGTACCTTAACATCTAGCTGATGAAAAGTAGTACATGTTGTTTCACAATAATGCATTTTCCCACTTAAAGTCTTGAAATTATCTTTTTTGGGGGGTGGTGGTCTCACCCTGTCACCCAGGCTGGAATGCAGTGGTGATCATATCTCATTATATCCATGAACTCCTGGACTCAAATGTTCCTCCTGCATCAGCCTCCCAAGTAGCTGGGACTAGAGGCATGAATTACCACACCCAGGAATATTTTTAGTTTTATAGGGGCAGGGTCTTGCTATGTGGCCCAGGCTAATCTTGAAGTCTTGGCCTCAAACAATTCTCCCATCTTGGCCTCCCAAAGTCCTGGGATTGCAGGCATGAGCCACTAAGCCTAACCTTGAAATGATCTTTTGTTCCTACTAGAACTCACTCCTGAATAATACTTTATTGAAAAATCAGATTCTTTTGGATTTAAAATCTATTCCATGCTTAATGGAGCCACTATAGTTCAAAGCCTCTGATAATTATTAGAAAAAATCCTAATTTCTTTCTTTTTAAATTGTTCTTCTTTTGTCTGTGTAATTAGGTCACTCCACAAATAATAACTGAAATTTATTGGGAATTTATTGTATTCCAGAAATTAAAATGCTTATTGCAAACATTATTTACTCCACAATTACTTCAGAGTTGAATCTAAAATTGCTCTCATTTTATAATATTATTAATGTTGGCTTTAGAGAGGTTAAGAGATTAAGTATGCTTGAATCTAGGCCATTTGGCTTCAAAGAGCATAATCTTAATTCATGCTTTGCCTCTCCTTCTCCTCCTCCTTCCTGCACAAGGTCCAGTGGCTCACTACTGACTCCTTTCTGTTTCAACATTTATTTCATACAATTTAAAATAGATATAAAAATAGGACAATATAATAAACTCCCATGTATCTATTACCAGCTGAAAACTTTATCAACTCATAGCCAATCTGATTTCATATATTGCCCCACCCACTTATCTTCATGTATGTTATTCTGAAGGAAACACCACATATCATTCCATTTCTTCTGAAAATTATTCTGCATATCTTATGACACTACATACAATGAATTCTTTTTTAACAATACCACCAAACCATTAGGACAACAATTTCTTATATCAGAAGATATACAGTTAAGTTTTTTATAGTATTAGGATCCAAATAACATCCTTAAATTGTAGTGGTTGATCTTGGTCTTCCCTCTTTCACTTACAGATTCCCCTTACATAGCTTCTCTCTCTTATTTTCTCTCTCTCCTCTAATTTTTGTTAGTTATTTTTCAAATAATTTTTCAAACATGTTTTCAATTTTTTTTCAAATATATTCTCTCTCATTTTCTCTACTCTGGTGACTACAATTACATGTATGTTAGATAACTTGAAGTAGTCCCATTGCTAACTGATGCCCTTCTAATTTTACTGAATTTTTGCTTTGCACTTTAGTTTGAGTTGCTACTTTCAACATGTCTTCAAGCTCACTAATACTGATTTTGCAATGATAAATTCGTAATCCCATCATTGTATTTCTATTTCAGATTTTTAAATTTTAATTCACCTGGATTTTCTACAATTTTTATTTGTGTCTTTGTTGTATCATCCATGTTTCTACTTTCATGATATAATAATTTAAGTGTATCATAACAACTGTATTAATTCCTTGTCTGCTAATTCTAACATGTGACAGTTATGGATCAGTTTTAATTGGTTTATATTTCTCACTATGAATCAAATTTTTCTTCTTCTTTGGATATTTTTGTCATCTTTCATAAATGCCAGATAATTTTGAATTTATCTTGCTGGGAGCTGGGTATTTTGGTATTGCTACAATATCCTGAGTCACATTTTCTTTAAAACAGTGTGTTCCTTTCAGTCTTGTTTTAAAAAGCAGCTGGAACCAGAGCTGTGTTTAATTGAGGACTATTTTCCACTCTTCTGGGAAATAAGCAAAACCCTCTGAGTGCTCTACCCAAGGTCCTGTCAATCCTGAGGTTTTCTTGTCTGGCTGATGGGGGCAGGCACTATTCCTGGCCCTGTGTGTCTCTGGGAATAGCTCTTCCTAATCCTTTCAGAAGGTCTTGCCATGTCATGAATTATTTTCTTACATGCATGTACTGCTCAGGATTCTATTGAATACTCGAGTGGAATCCTCTGCAGATTTCCAGGTGATTTTGGAAATTTTCTCTTCTTCAGTATTCTGTCCTGTGAACTCTAGCTGCCTTGGTCTCTTAGTTTCCAAAGACCACGACAAAAATTGCCATAAATTTGGTGGCTTAAAATAACAGGTATTTATTTTCTCCTAGTCCTGGAATCCAGAAGTTCAAAATCAAAGTGTCCGTAGGGTTGGTTCCTTCTATAGGGTGTGAGGAGGAATCCATTCCATGCCTCCATCTTAGCTGCTTATCTCACTGCCTGGCAGTCTTTGGCATTTTTTGACTTGTATCAATTGAAACTGACCCAGAACTGACATATGCTAGAATTAGCATACAATGAGTGAATACAGTTATTACGATACAACTTAAGTTACTATATCATAAAATTAGAAACTTGGATGATATAATAAACACACAGATAAAAATTATAGAAAATCCAGGTGAATGAAAATTACAAAATCTCTGTCTTTGTTTTTATGCCATCTTCTTCCCTGCATTTCTGTGTGTTCCTTTCCATCTCTTATAAGGAGACTTTCTCTGGACCTACACTAACCTAGTAAAATGTGATCTCAATTATTACCTTACTTATGTATGCAGAACCCCTCTTTCCAAATATGGTTACAAGCAGAGGCTCTGGGAGAACGTGTGTTCTGAGGAGACTCTATTCAATCAACTGTGGTTTCCCTGGGACTCTTAACCCTGTCTCCTGAGGTCTCTGAAATCTGAGTTCCCAGGCCCTGTGCCTCAGCTTGGAAACTTTTTCACAAGATAGTAAACTGGAGCTATTTCGGGGCTCACATTATTTGTTTCCTATTTCTTGGTAATCACTGTTCATCACTGTCTGATGTTAACTATCCTAAATTTTTTTTTTGTGATTTTTTTGGTGGGGAAGGGTAAATATATTCCCTCTACTCCATTATGATTTTGCTGTGTCCCCACGCAAATCTCATGAATTTTAGCTCCCATAATTCCCACATGTCATGGGAAGAACCCTGGGGGAGGTAACCGAATCGGGGGGGTCAGGTCTTTCCAGTGCTGTTCTCGTGATGGTGAATAAGTCTCATAAGTCTCATGAGATTTGATGGTTTTATAAAGGGGAGTTGTCCTGCACACGCTGTCTTGTCTGCCACCAAGGAAGCCGTGACTTTGCTCCTCATTCACCTTCTACCATGATTGTGAGGCCTCTCCTGCCACGTGGAGCTGTGAGTTCATTAAACCTCTTTTTCTTTATAAATTACCCCGTCTCAGGTATGTCTTTATTAGCAGCATGAAAATAGACAAATACACTTCATCTTGGCAAAAAAAAAAAAAAAAAAAAAAAAGCAGAAGGTTTTTGTTGTTGTTTTTTAGATTTAATTTATTTTGTAGTTAGCAACATGACCATGTTATTTTAAGGTACCTGAATATTGTTCTGTGACTAAGTTCAGGTGATTTTTCTTAAATTTGGCTTTTTAGAAACCACTGGATATTGAAAACTCTGGTCTATTTTAATAGGAAAAGAATCTGTATCAAGAGAGGTATTAGCAGAGATGTGAAAGAGAAAGAAGAATCAGGAAGAGGAGAAAAGTAAGACAGAAAGAAATTTTGTGCCTTTAAGATGACAACAATGAGATAAATTGACAAATTATATATGTATATGTACATATATTTTTAAACTATATTTTCCAAACACAAGCTATTTAATAGAATTACCTTCAACAATAGTTGATTAAAAACAAAGTGGTACAAACTGAATTAATTCTATATTCCATATATAGTGTGTATAATATGGATATGAGAGAGAGAGAGAGAGAGAATGAGAGAGAGAGAAAGAGACAGGGAGAGAGAAAGAGAATATGCATCCAAACCAATTTTCCCACACATAGGTGCTGTGAGATGTTTAGAAAAATAGTATTTTATAATCTATCCCAGTTATGCTTTTCTCTTCCCAAACTCTCAAATGTGAGTTATATTCTTGTAACTTCCATATGTATTTAATTTAGCATAGATACTCCATTGCCATTCCTTAATAGTGTCTACAAGGAGGTCCAGCTGTGAAGAATTCCCTTTGCTATTTTTTTCTTCAATTTTGAAAACATATTTTGGCTGTGACATTCATCAATAAAAAGTACATTTATGCGTTGGAAAAAATATTCCTAATGTTGAATAAATGTATCCATGTCTTCTAAAACTCTCAATTGTTTTCAGCATATCCATCTGATCTTCAACATGCCTGACAAAAACAAGCCATGGAGAAAGGATTCTCTAGTTAATAAACGGTGCTGGGAGAACTGGCCAGCCATATGCAGAAAATTAAAACTAGACTCTTTATCTAACACCTTATACAAAAATTAACTCAAGACTGATTACAGACTTAAATGAAAAACCCCTAACTATAAAAACCCTGGAAAAAAATCTAAGCAATGCCGTTCAGGACACAGGCACAGGCAAAGATTGCCTGACAAAAACACCAGAAGCAATTGAAACAAAAGCAAAAATTGACAAATGGGATCTAATTAAAGTAAAGCGCTTCTGCACAGCAAAAGAAACTATCATCAGAGTGAACAGGCAACCTACAGAATGGGAGAAAATGTTTGCAATCTATCCATCTGATAAAGGTTTAATATCCCAAATCTACAAGGAACTGAAATTTATGAAGAAAAACAACCCCATTAAAAAGTGGGCAAAGGACATGAACAGACACTTCTCAAAAGAAGACATTTATGCGGCCAAGAAACATATGATTAAAAAGCTCAACATTACTATCAAAGAGAAATGCAAATCAAAACCACAATGAGATACCATCTCAGTATCGGCCAGTCTGGATGGTGATTATTAAAACATCAAGGAACAGCAGATGCTGGCAAGGTTGGGAAGAAAAAGGAACACTTTTATACTGTTTGTGGAAATGTAAATTAATTCAATCATCGTGGAAGACAGTGTGGCGATTCCTCAAAGACCTAGACCCAGAAATACCACTTGACCCAGCAATCCTAATACTGGGTATTACCCAAAGGAATAGAAATCCTTTCATTATAAAGATACATGCTTGTGTATGTTCACTGCAGCACTATTCACAATAGCAAAGACATGGAATCAACCCAAATGCCCTTCAATGATAGACTGGATAAAGAAAATGTAGTACATATACACCACGGAATACTATGCAGCCATAAAAAGGAATGAAATCATGTCCTTTGCAGGGATATGGATGAAGTCAGAAGCCATTATCCTCAACGAACTAATGCAGGAAAAGGAAACCAAACATTGCATGTCCTCACTTACAAATGGGGACTGAAAAATGAGAATCCATGGACACATGGTGGGGGAACAATACACACTGGGGCCTGTCAGGGGGTGGGGAAGGGGTGGAAAAGCACTAAGAAGAATAGTAAATGGATGCTGGGCTTAATCCCTAGGTGATGGGATTATCTGTGCAGCAAACCACCATGGCACACGTTTATCTGTGTAACAAATTTGCGTATCCTGCACGTATACCCTAGAACTTAAAATATAAGTTGATAAAATAAAATTTAAAAATGTGGTGTACACAAAAAATGATTAAAGCACCATATTCACTGGTTTCTAAGACAAGAATTATCTTCGAAAATATCAAAAGAATTAACCTATAGGTTACAATATACTTCTGCCCTAACCTGTTCTGGTAGACACAGGTTTGTTGTTTATAATGAATGTAAACTTATCATCTTACCTCCAAAATTTTGAGACATAGCATAAGCACCATTTCACTGTTCATTGATGAGAATAGTACACTTTTTATGTTAAAAGTCTCTTCCTGTGTCATTTACCCAGTATGATCTCACTGTACCATATGTAGAAATCATCATTAAATTTATGATTCTATTATTAAATCAATGTTTATTATATTCTCTGTGTTTTTGTACCCTATTGCTCAGATTATGTAATTTGATGACAGGGTCCATGTTACACTTTTGGTATGTGTCCTTACCACCTAGAAGATATATAATAAATATGTTAAATATTAAATGAACACAATTCAGACTCTTATTGTGATTACTTTTCAATTCAATCTGTTCACTCTGCCACATAAACTCTTGCTATGGTCACATTGCATAAGGAAATACAGGACATTGAGTCATGAAGAAATATAATTTTTAATGTTTTAACAATACAGCCACAGTTTTTATTCTTAGAGGACAGGAATCAAGCAAAGGAAATTTATCACTTTATATGTCTGTTTCTGCTATTGATGCTGTAGAGAGCATCTTCAGGTAGAATAAAATACAGAAAAAAAATTCAGATTATTGCCTGGAAATAATCTCTTAATTGTGTGTATGTATTTCTTAATGAATAAATTATAAGTTTATAAAATCTAAAGGAATATTTTAAATAGCATTTTTACTTTCTGAATAAAAGTGTGTATAAAGTCCTGAGAAAACATGTTGCTTCTCCAGAAATATGTCCTGTAATTCAACAATAATGTCACTCAATGTTTTTAACATAGCAGGTTTTTTCTCTTTAAGACGGAGTCAAGAACACACCTTTACTATCTCCCACTCAGATTATTCTCTTCTTTATAGTATCAGAAATCATAAAAACACATTTCCAAGATAACAGAATTACAATTGAGGTGTTAGAAATAGGGCCTGAACTTTGAGGAAAACGTGGTAATGACAGTAGAAAAAGACAATTTCTCTATTTCAGTTCATGTGTAGAAGCAAAATTTTCTGTTCTCTCCTTCAATAAAATAAAACAAAACAAAAATGACAAACGCAGGCATTCCAATTTCTAACTTCATGGACGAGAACACTAACATAAAATATTTATTCACATCTAAGTGTAAAGAACTTCAGTTGAATCTGTGAATCAGAAAGAATGTTTGCAATAACTTAATAGGGGAGTAGAGTCTGCAAAAGAAGTGCAAAAAGAATCTCACTCATGAGGTGGTAATGTTTTTCCCCTTTATTAACTAAAGCCATTTTGACTAAAAGAGTATTGAATGATGGTTTTCTGTAAAAATATCTACGCGTACATGGGCACCAATTCCACTTGGTCTTTGAACATTAAGAAATTTACCCTATTTCCTATTAGAATGCAAAGTTCCATGCAAGATTAATACACATCATAAAATTGAAGCCTTAGAATAGGATCACAGAATCTAATTATAAACCTTACTTTGTATAATTCTTATTTCAGATAAAATTATGCTTTTTAATCCGGGATGTGATGGGGGACAATTGCGTGTTAATCCTACATTGCTCTGTTCCATTTTAGAAAACCTTGAAAAGTTCAAATGACTTTTGTAATGAGAGATTGGGAACTCTGGATTTTATCACAAATATATTTTATTGCATGCAAAAGATACTACAACATTAAATTGCACTATTTTATAATATATTTAGGTAAAACCAAAATAATATATTTTACCTAAGTAACATATATAGGTAAAAGTATTAAAAGGAATACTTTTAAGTATTTGTTTGAGATTATATGTCTTTGGTTATGTAATCTTTTTCTTAATTCTCTGAGCTCTAACCTACACTTCTTTCTTATTCAATAACTCCTATATTAATGATACACCCCCCATAGTCCAGGGATACAATTGCATTTTTTACTCCCACATATTTTTCACTGTCACTTGCTAGTTTAAGGCGGATATATCAATGACACATTAACCAAGAGAGAACAGAACTGGTCAATATTCTTCATCCAGTTGACAATAGAAAATCCAAAGCAAAAATTGCTTCCCAGAATATGGTAAGCTACATTATGCCATTCTATACTCTTATTATAGCACTGTGGCTATAAGCAGAATCTCTACAGTCAGACTATATGAAATCAGTTCTCAACTGTGCCAATTAATGGCTCGATGAATGACCTTGGGTAACTTTACTTAACCCATCTATGCCACAGTTTTCTCATCACTAAAATGGGGATGGCAATACTAATCCTGCCATTATGTTGCATAAGAATTAAATATGATAATATATTTATATATCTCAAATATTTAGAATAGTGATCATTACGTAATAAGCTCCCAAAACATCTTAGCTATCACTGGCCTGCCTTTGCTCTGGGCTGCCCCTGCTTTATGCACTATCCTAACTTGCACATTGTCAGTATCTTAATTGCTCAAGATCTGGGGACATGGTTCTGTTATGTTTCTCTTTCCAATATCTAGATTTAACCAGATAACAGACACTTAGCAAATACACACTACAGACAAAACTAAATTTTATCTATCAACCTACAGTCACCTCTTCATGAAGCTACCTCATCCTATCAAGAAGATTTTATGACACTTCCTTTGTGCCTACCTTATTTTTCACAAGCCTCTCCCATACTACTTTAAACATTTTATTATATATATTTTGTTTATGTATCTGTCTGTATATTAACTATCTCTTTCTATGTAACAAATTATTACACATTTAGGGGCTTAGACCTCTACAAATTTATCGGTTTCCAGCTTATGTGTGTCAGGAGTCCAGTTATATTAATAGATTAGCTGAGTCCTATTCAGCATCCCACAATGCTGAAATCAAGGTGTTAACTGTGGCTACCATCCCATCTAAGGCTTAGTGTCTTCTTCCAGCTCATAGGTTTTTGGCAGAATGTATTTCCATGCCATTACATGGCTGAGGTCCCATTTTCTTGCCGGTTCTTGGTCAAAGACTTCTCAGTTTGCAGAGTTCAGCCTCAGGTCCTTGTCTCCTGACCTCCTCCTCTCACAACATGGCAGTTTGTTTCTTAAAGACCAGCAGAAAAGTGTTTGCTGCTGCTTCTTGTCTTCTTTAAGGGCTCAAATAATTAGGTCAGGCCCACCCATGATTAACTCCCCTTTGATCAACTCATAGTTCATTAAAGGACTTTGTCATAGTTATGGGGGTGATTTCCCATTATATTCACAGGTCCAGCCTACATCAAGAGAGAGGATTATACAGGGTGTATAATCATATACATTTTAAAATTCTGTCTACAACAATTAGTTAGCACCCTGTGAATTAATGAAAAATAGGGGCACATTCAAGTTCAGTCTTTCTCTGCATCACCATCACCTTGTAAAAGATCCAGTCATTATTTGTTGAACAAAAAGAAAAAGAGAATAATTGAATGAATGACTATAAACCATACAGTAATGTGTGGATGCTAAAGATAACCACGAGAAAGCATCTGGGTTATGTGTGGTCAACATACATTGAAACATCTAATTTTGCCAAAATTTTAGACTTTAAGGTACTGGAAAAGGTAATCATTTTGAAATCACCAATCACTTCTAGATGATTTCAAGTGACTTGTCAGTACCCTGTTTTTCCCACAAAATGAAAGCTAGTCAATATTTGTATGGCTTCTCTAAGTCAGTGTAATTTTTCAAACCCAGCCTCAACCTGCTATTGCTGTCTGAAAACCCATTTGGGTCTGAACTCACAATCTTTTTGATTGGGTATAGATCCCAGGATGCTCCACTAGTTGGATGATGTTTAGTTTAATTGGTTCAGAACGACTAGAGTATGAGAACTAGACATCTATAGATTTTGATAGGTTTACAGAAATAAATATTTATTTAACCTGTTTCTCAATGGATGTCCAATTGGAGCACAAATGAATGCAACTTTGTTGATATTTTAAAGGATGGAAGGACAAATTGGATCACATACATGATGTGAACTTCTAATGTGTACCGGGAGTATAGGGCAAGTGACCGGAATGAAACCTAATAGTTTTTTTTTTTTTTTTTTGAGACAGAGTTTCGCTCTGTTGCCCAGGCTAGAGTGCAGTGGCGTGATCTTAGCTCACTGCAAGCTCTGCCTCCCAGGTTCACGCCATTCTCCTGCCTCAGCCTCCCAAGTAGCTGGGACTACAGGCACCCGCCACCATGCCCAGCTAATTTTTTTTTCTTTTCTGCATTTTTATTTTTTTATTTTTTATTTTTGAGACGGAGTCTCGCTCTGTTGCCCAGGCTGGAGTGCAGTGGCAGGATCTCGGCTCACTGCAACTTCCGCCTCCCAGGTTCAAGCGATTCTCCTGCCTCAGCCTCCCGAGTAGCTGGGACTACAGGGGCCCGCCACCACGCTCGGCTAACTTTTTGTATTTCAGTAGAGACGGGGTTTCACCGTGTTGCCCAGGCTGGTCGCGAACTCCTGAGCTCAGGCAAGCCGCCCTCTTCGGACTCCCAGAGTGCTGGGATTACAGGCGTGAGCCACTGAGCCCGGCCTTTTTTGCATTTTTAGTAGAGACGGGATTTCACCGTGTTACCCAGGATGGTCTCGATCTCCTGACCTCATGATCCATTCGCTTCGGCCTCCCAAAGTGCTGGGATTACAGGTGTGAGCCACCGCGCCTGGCTGAAACCTAATAGTTTTAATGTTGCCTTAATTCAAAACAGCTGTTTTAAATGTTTCATTTCAAAATAGCTGGAATAGCATTTATACACAAGGAAGATGGACTATTTTAACTTCTCAGTTGTTCTAATGTTACTCAGGAGAGTTCAGCAAAATGAGAACACTCTTTTTAGTTTGCCCTCCTTCTCTCTGAGATATTTCTTTTGATCTAATTAATGGGTCATGGTCACTACTATTGTTTTATATTTTGCGGAAAATTTTACATCTAAATAAAAGTGACAGAGACCAAACTAATTTAGAACAATGTTAAAAGAGGGAAAAAAAAAACCACAATAATACTGTAACACAAATAAAAGAAAGGGCAATAGTTCTTGAAAGTGGTTTTTATCCTGCTTTTGCATAATTTTTCTGTATAATTGGCAATTAACCTTCATTACCCCTTAAGCCCTTTACCTTCACACTTATTTCCTTTCTAAGTGAGGTAGACTGATTTTTAAAAAATGCCTCCATTTTGAGATCTTTAAATTTTGCCCAGTGAGAATAATTAGCATTTCCTCTGAAGAATATGCATTAGGGGTTCATTCATGCTAATTTGTATCCAGCAGAAGCCACTGGAGTAAAAACCAATTTACTAGGAGGGTATAGGTTGTATTGTGCTTTAAGCTCTTTATCAGAAAGAATTTAAGGAGGGACAGCTATGAGGCTGCTGCAATAATTTCTAGAATTGTGAATATTTAAGAAGATCTAGATGCCTCATCTTCTTATCCATTTTTGGTTATTCAAAAATGTTTTCTGTCAGTAAACTCAAAATTACTGAACAACAAAAAGTACATCAAAGTTTCTTTACATGCTTGTAACATTGCTTTATTTCTTAGGCCTTCCCTTGGAATCTTAGTCTGATTTATAATAGATTTTTAAATAAGCTCAGGAGCTTGACGGAGTAATTTTTGGTTATTGCAATAATGAATACTCAGGGTTAATCCAATTTCCAAGTGATTCTTGAAATGATTACTTAATCTGTATTTTTAAACTGCTTGGACAAACAGAAATACGATGATTTGACATGAATGGTAACTCAGAGACCTCTTACTCATAATAAAGCTTGTTGTGTTTGGTCTTTTTCTCCCCTTTCTCTATTCTAGGAGTTTTCATTACCAAAGCACTTTTGAACATGGACTGCATATTAGAATTACATTTTTACTATTTTTTTTACAATGCCCATGACTGGTCCTCATATCATATGAGATGAATAAAAAATTCTGGAGATAAGATCCAGGTACTAGTAATTTAAAAAAAAATGAAAAAAAATGTCCTGGAGGCTTCTGACTAAGAGCAAGGTTTATAGTCATTAAAATAAGGAACACAATTCTGACGTGAGTGCACACATAATTGAAATTCACCTTGTAATATATATGTCCACTTTTAAGTAATACTTTAATCAAAAATAGTTATAAATTTAATAAAATACATTAACTCAGCGAATCTGGAAGACATTGGGAGAAAAAGACAAGATAAAGAGGATTCGTATGTTTGCAACCATTAAGAGTGAAGCAAATCAAGAACAAAGTTGGGCTCAGCTCCTGAGCTATAAGAAACCTATTCAGTTTTATTCAAAAACTATGACCAAATTCACTGCAAAACACTGGATTCCAGAAAAAGTAGACATAGATCAGTGCATGAGAAATATACCACTGAAGGACATGGAGTATTTCCAAGCAGTTGGTTTTTAGAAAATCGTTTCCCAGATCCTCAGCTTCCAGGTGTACTCTCTCTCCTAAAACGTGTCTTCCAGAGAGTGTAACTGGCACTTCACTGCTTCTCCCTTCTCACCTCTTCTCTCATTTTATAAAGGGCAGTCATTCTCTCACTCACAGTGCATTGACTTAAAGTGTAAAATACTGAATGCCAAAAAAGAAAAAAAAAGTGCTGTTGAAGAATGCAGTGCTCATGAGTGAGATTCCCTGAAAGCAAAGCAAGGAGAGATTCCATAAGAAATAGTAAATTGTGGCCAGGCGTGGTGGCTCACGCCTGTAATCCCAGAACTTTGGGAGACTGAGGTGGGCGGATCACGAGATCAGGAGATCAAGACCATCCTGGCTAACACCGTGAAACCCTCTCTCTACTAAAAATATAAAAAAAATTAGCCGGGTGTGACTAAAAATACAAAAAAATTAGCCAGGCGTGGTGGCTGGCGCCTGGAGTCCTAGCTACTCGGGAGGCTGAGGCAGGAGAATGGCGTGAACCCAGGAGGCGGAGCTTGCAGTGAGCAGGGATGGCGCCACTGCACTCCAGCCTGGGCAACAAACAGAGCGAGACTCTGTCTCAAAAAATAATAATAATAATAATAATAATGATAATAATAATAATAAAGAAATAGTAAATTGTCTTACACAATGAATATATTTATGGCAAGATTATGCCTAGTTTTCTCTCTTCTGTCTATCTCTCTATTCTTCACATTTTTATTTTAAATGTAAGATGATTGTCAAATAGAATTGTATTAACTCATTTATTTGAATTGAAAAATAAAACCATAGATCTTATTTCCTACAGTAAGTCTGAGGTGGCTGAATGGTTCAACAATGATGGCTGACTTGCTGTTGGAATTATGTGGTGATGGACATTCTTTGTAAATTTAATTAACTATATAAGCCTCTTTAAATTTTGATGAAGATGTATAATTGACCCTAATGTCACAGGGGTTAGGGACACCAACGTCCATGCAAAAATTGTGTAACTTTTGTCTCCCCAAAACTTAACTACTAATAACCTATTGTTTACTGGAAGTCTTATGGATAATATAAGCAGTTGATGACATATTTTCTATGTTATGTGCAACATATACTGTATTCTTACCAGAAAGTAAGCTAGAAAAATGCAAATATTATTAAGACAATTACAAGAAAGAGAAAATATAATTACTACTCATTAAGTGGAGTGGATCATTGTAATGGTCTTCATCCTTGTCACCTTCACATTGAGGAGGCTGAGAAGGAGGAAGAGAAGGGGTCAATGATGATGTCTTAGGGGTGACAGAGGTGAAAACAAATCTGTCTCTAAGGGAACCCATGCAATTGAAACACATGTTGTTCAAAGGTCAACTGTATATTAGTTACACATACATGTACAATTGATGAGAAATTACATAGTTTATTAATAATAATCTATGCCAATCTAAAAATGTACTAGGGAATGCACAGTTCTGCAAAAAATGTTTGAAAACCACTTATTTGGCTCATGCTCCCTTGTGGGACTAATTGAGATGGAATTTTGTGGGTGTTAATAAAACGTAAAAAGTAAATTCTGACAGGATGAACTTTATTTAAAAATGAAAGAGATTTTTGAGCCTTTAACTGGCTGGAGAATTGTATGTAGGTTATGGCTGACCCGACATGGACAGAGGCAGTGAAAATTAACTAAATGTTGATCAATCCATATTGGACATTTGTTCTAGTTAGTTTCACAGCTGCAAGGAAGGAAACATTGGAGCTCATTTTCCTGAATGAATGCGTTTAAGAATAAGCTTGTGTAATAGCAGTTGAGGGAGAGCACTGCCTTGAGAGTGTCTTCTGTCATTTCCTGCCTCCATGCATAATAAGCCAACCCAAAGGGGCTATGATAGCTTGGAGGAGCTATAAAAATCCATCAATGAAGATGTCTAACTTTCACCACTGTAGCATCATCTCAGGAATTACAGTTTGAAACTGAGTGTCTCTATATATCTTGGGTCTGCCATAGGAATTTATAATTATATTAGACCCAAGGGCAGCTCCTCCTGCTCTAATAACATTCATGTTATTGAACTAATGGGACTGTTTAATACAGGTTTCTCAAAATGCAGCTTCCTTTGCCTGCGCCTCCCACATATCCTCTCCTTTAGTTAATTTAGATAGTTGTTTAACCTTCTCAGCTTAGCAAATACAGTATTCAATAGGCTTAAATGAGTTTATACATGGTGTATGTCTCTTTGTTTTTACCCTCTTCCTCTCCCCTCCTCCAATAAGCAGAACCCCACCCTCCAGCAAATTCCTATCTCTCTTCCTCTCCAATAATTTCTATTAATTTTCAGGTGGTCTCTCCACTGTGCTTAAAATACCTGACTCCTAAATCCACTGTGTCAGTTAGACTCAGGGACACTGTAATGCCACATCTGCTAGGTATCTCTTGCATCCATTGGACACCTCCAATTTGTTGGTCTTGGCTGTCATTTTTGCTTCAGAAGTGGCAGCCGTGCCCAGCAAATGTTGGGCAGCATTAATGACCTGGTCCCAGCAGGACAACACAGAGGCTTCCACTGATATTCTGCTTCCAGCGGGGGTTGCTACCTTTTGCTCAACATTCCTGCACTGAAGATCATTAAGAGCTAGTGCTTGGAGTTTGCTCATAAGGTGGGCAATTTTTTCTCTTCTCTTTTATATTCAAACATTTAGAACTATTTCCCATCTATCTGCATAATTTTAGACAAGCAATACTTTGCTTGTGTTTACTTTCTTCTCCTTTCCAGGGACTGTGGAGCTAAGCCAAGATACAAATTTGACCAACAAACACCAAGCCTTATTCAGCATCATTTGTGCTTTCTAGTAGTTCCCAAGAATGAGTAATCTTGTTATAGTTACCTTAGTCTTTCTTGTAAATTGCCTAACAGGTAAGGTTTGGTTAACAGAAGACTCATAGGCACATACTTTTGAATCTCAGTGACAGACACAAATTAGGTACAGATTGAAAGCCTATGACAGTGATAAAGAATCGAGAATAATTCTGGTATATCGTGTAGACTCCCCAAATTGACTTTCTTTGTTCACATCACCTCTCTACTACATTTTCAAAAATATTTTAGGAAAAACACTCTCAAAATGAAGCACATATATGTTACCATTATTTCTAACATCAAACATCAAATGCAAACTAAATGTGCAACAGCAGAGTGGTTAATTTTGGCAAGACAGATAACAAAATAATTGCATCCTTTAAAATGATGTATAGTCATTTTTTTAATGGTAGGGAAACACATAGGCTAAAATTCTAAGCGGGAAACTGAATTATAAATTTGTTATAATGTCAAATGCCTGTATAAAGAAAAACCTGGTTAGAAACACATTTTAATTATTAAAATGGTTTTCGCTGGGTAGGGACATTTTGTAGGGCTATTGTTATTTTCTTTGTAGGTGAGAATGTTTTCCAAAAATTACAGAAAGTTGGTGTATTATTTTTATATTGGGGAATTAGTAGTTTTATTAAGCAGACACCCCTAAAGCAACCTATTTCCTGGTGTTCTCCAGAAGGAGGAATTTTGCTGATGCTAAGTACTTAAAAAGTCTTTCTTTGAGTTATTCACTTTTTTGCCAGCCCTTTCCTGATGCCTGGTCCTAAGCTATCTGCAGGAAAAGTAGAGTGAATATGTTATTTTAGAAGTTCTCATTCTTTTATATTTAGTTCATGCCTAATTTATGAAAGAAAGGAGCTTCTTTTCAGGCCCCTCAAAACACTTGCTTTGTCCAATAAGTTATTCTGCTGTAAGACTTGCTATTCCGTTTCTCATAATTAGAGGTTTCCTTAGTTTCTGCATAGCCTTTTATTATTTCCAAACAAATTTCCTTCAGTGAGATGCACTATATTTTACAATCAGGGATTATTTAATTTAATCTTTTCTTTCTATGCTAATAATGATTGAAGAACATTCAAACTATCCAATAATTGCACCCACTTGGGGAAGGAAATTTCTTCTGATTTTGAAATCCGGCATCGGAATCTAATGCATTCTGTGTCTCACTCAATGAGTAATTGACAACTGTAGTTAGAGAAATACACGTTTCACTAATCCTAGTCAAATAGCAAAATTAAACTTGGCTGCCAAATATGATCAAGGAAAGTTTTCCTGCCCAAGATGTAATAAAAAACTCTTTTGTTAGGTTACATGGATCTCTGCCCATCCTTACTTCCCAAGTGTACGTAAGCAAGTTTCTGCATCTTTTTCTTTTAGAAAGTCACCTATTTGGCTGCATGTGGTGGCTCATGCCTGTAATCCTAGCACTTTGGGAGGCTGAGGCGAGTGGATCACCTGAGATCAGGAGTTCAAGACCAGTCTGGCCAACATGGTGAAACCCCGTCTCTACTAAAAATACAAAAAATTTAGCCGGGTATGGTGGTGCATGTCGGTAATCCCAGCTACTCGGGAGGCTGAAAATCACTTGAACCCAGGAGGTGGAGGTTGCAGTAGCTGAGATCCCACCACTGCACTCCAAACTGGGCAACAAGAGCGAAACTCCATCTCTAAAGCTGTCAATTTCTGATACTTGGAAATAAACTAATTTGCTTCTAAGAAAACCATACTGTACAAAATGATCTTAGGTTAATAACAGAGTTTTTGTAGCCAATGCTCCAAAATGTTAAAACAGATTCACAAACTAAAATTGCAAATGACATCAATTTCTGAATAATACTCCATAAGAAGCAATTATCATTTTATTATCAAACTGACGAAAATACGTTAGCCTGTAGGTAAGCTGTGTTCAAATGATACATTATCTCAACTTATTTTAAAATAACTTCTTATAAAATAAATTTGTATTATAAATTAAAAAAAATTTACCCATGATATTATGGGATATATACATATAGATGGCGAAATGGTTTTAATAGTGAAGCAAATGAACATATCTATCATCTTAATTGAGTTCCTTCTTCTCCCTTTATATTTTCAGTTGACAGGTAATAATTGCACATATTTATAGGGTACAGAATGGATACTTCACATCATCTTAAATTATAACATATTTTTGTTGCCTTGTAGAGGTTATTAGTATAGCAGGGAATGTAGAAAGAGACCAATTGGATTCTATCAGGTTTTAGAACTCAAGGTGCTTTTCTACATGAAGGAGTTGCCTATGACGTACTGAGTAAAAATTGCATGAGACTGCCTAGGGAGAAAGGACAGAGTCAAAATACTAATGTGTAGTACAGTATGAATGTCATTTTCTAGCCCAACTATAGGAAGTAGACTTCATTCTTCATAGAAATAAAGACACTTCTGGAAGAAATTTAAGGTGTCATCATTCTTTAGAATCTATTTACAACTCAGAGATTCAGCATTGTTGCTTTGAGACACAGGTGAATGATAGAAGCCATTGATTGCTGAAAAGGGTGATTCTGTTCATTTATGTATGAGTTTCAGCATCACAGTGAACATGGAAAATAATCCTGTAGCATTTAAAGGGTTCGTATTGCAGTTTGGGTGGCACTGGGAACTGACCCTTAAGGCAGGAAGGCAAATAGTGCTTCCATGGAGATCAGCAATGAATTGTGTCCTCAGAAGAAAGAACATGGGCCAATGAAGATGGCCATGAGCAAATGTAAGATAAGTCTCGACTTCTCAAAATGTTAGGTAAGATTTCCTCCTCATGAATATTTGGAAGCTTGTGGTATTTGACATGATGACTTCATTTTTATTCTCAGACTCCTGAGGCTGATGGACATTAATTTTCTACAAATATTTGGTAAAAACTTGATCTGTTTTATCTTTACAGTCCTATAATGAATACATTATCATTCTCATGTTAATACAACTGAGTTATATCTCAGGAAGATTAATACATTGCCCATTCTTATTCAGACAGCAGATGACAGAACTAAGGTATTTTAATTGTAGATTATGGATGTTTTCACTGAACATAGTGGATCATTGCTTAAAAGCTTCATCTGTTTGACAGATAAGAATGCTATGTCTTCAAATGCTAGGTTTATCTCTAGGATTAATTCAAGTCTGTTCCCCTCTTTTGCATGAATTAGCTCTTCATTCTTCCTGAAAGAAATAGCAACAATGGTTTTAAACAGGCAAATGAAACACTTACAGATCTTCAAGGTCAAACCAAGCAACAAATTTAACAGAGGTAGATAAAGAATTGCAAATACAGTTTAGCTCAAGCAAAACAATCAGGACTGGGTGCGGTGGCTCACGCCTGTAATCCCAGCATTTTGGGAGGCTGAGGCAGACAGATCACGAGGTCAGGAGATCGAGACCATCCTGGCTAACACAGTGAAACCCCGTCTCTACTAAAAAATACAAAAAATTAGCCGGGCATGGTGGCGGGCGCCTGAAGTCCCAGCTACTTGGGAGGCTGAGGCAGGAGAATGGCGTGAACCCAGGAGGTGGAGCTTGCAGTGAGCTGAGATCATGCCACTGCATTCCAGCCTGGACAACAGAGCGAGACTCCCTCCGTCTCAAAAAAAAAAAAAAAAAAAGTCGCCTATACTTGTAAGGTGAACAATGAATTAAGCCAAGGCAACCAATGGCCCATTGAAAGCACATACCTTGAGATTAAAACTCTGTGGCCTTTTATTCCTAACCTTACCTCATAAATCTGAAGAGAATTTGTGTGTGTGTGTGTGTGTGTGTCTGTGTGTGTGTGTGTAGAAATATTAATAGAAACACTTAGTCAAGATATAGTAAATAATTTTATAGTTCATAAAGTTTATATTGGATAATTCTAAATATTTTTTCAACAGATTTCCTGTGATTGGTTTTTCACATATTATGTCAAAAGCAGTAGTGTGAATGAAATGCAGTTCACTGTTGGTTCCTAGAACTCTCTGGTTCGAGTTTAATAATTCTACTATTCTAAGAGGCCTGATAAAGATAGTTCTCTGGACTGATAAAACCTTTCTTTGGGAAGCTTCATTATTTTGTGTATGGGATAGGTGGGGGGTAAGTTTATCTCCACCTTTCCTCATGTGAAGGTTTCAAGTGGGTAATTGACAACCAGTTCCTCTAAACACTTAGCTAAAACTTCTGTTGCTGACAATTGTGTTCCTCTCTTCTCACAGATTTAACTCAGATTGGAATGTTAAGAAACATTTTGGCGGTAGGTTCCAGGTCTGTACTAAACACAGTTGTACACCACTCAAAATTTCCTTTTGGGACTGAAACACTCATTCCCCCAGTCGCCTAAAATCTTAGTGACTGACAGCTTGTATCTGCATCTCCCTGTAAGAATTATTTGAGCTAAAGAGAGTCACTGTGCCCAAGGTCATGCTTCCATGCCAAAGTCAGGCTCCTCCAATAACTGGTTGATGACAGTGAAGGCCCAGCTCCCTCACACCAGTAGGGACAACTCTTCAATGCCATCTTAGCTTCAGTGCTCTTTCCAATCTCTATGTGAGAGGTGACTTTCTGGGGAATCAACCTTGCCATGGGGACACAAAGGAAAAGCAGACAATAGGCTGCTGCCTTTGATTCTACATAACAAGCCATCTTTCAATTAGGCAAAATGCTTCCTTCTCAATGGTCAATCTACATGACAAGGGATCTATATTGAGACTGGGGTCCAAGGCCTAACTGTGATGGGTAGAGTTAGTTTACTAACTAACTAATTTGTTCACTGCACAAATATTTTCCTAGAATTTGTCATAAGAGAAATCTCTGAAAAATAGCAAGTATTTTTTGATGTCATAGAATGATGATGGGATATCTCACTCTTTTCCCTTTAGCATCTAAGGTGTATAATCATACCCACATAGAAACACACAAGTTGTTCCAGTGAGGTACTATTTGTAACAAATGATGGTTTCTCTAAAGCTTTGCACATTCTGTTCCATCTGTACGGTATAACCTCCATATCCCAAATCCTCCTTTATTGGACTAATGGCTCTCTGTCCTTTAAAACTCTGACCTCTTCTAAGAAGGCTTTCTAAAGCTAATTAAATGGGCTTTACGCCCTGTTCCTACAATCCTAAAGCATCATAAAATCCAAAGTTCTAATGTGAATGTGTTGGCTTTCTAAACCTAACCAAATGGGTTTTATGCCCTGTGCCTGTACTGTCAAAGAGTCATAAACTCCGAAATCCCAATGTGAAGGTGGTGTTACGTGTGTTTAATATGTCTTCACCTCAAGACTATGAAGGCTTTGTCACATTGTTTTTTAGCACCAACAATACCTGACACTAAGCAGGTACTCTAAACATTGGCCGTGCGATAGTTGTATTTGCCTCTCCTTATGTTCTCCCTGTAGATACTGAGATTTCTACAAATAGTACTTGGTAGTATTAGGGTCTCTAAGTCTCTAAAAATATCATATTGTGTAGTATATTGTCCAAAGAAAATTTCCTGAATATCAGTAGTTTATTACTAAAAATATTGTTAGGCATTTTTATTCTTGTGTTCTTGGCTATATCATTATGCTCTTATTTATAACCTAACGTTTAACTGGTGTGCCTTGTTCTTCAAAACAGATTGTAAACTTTTTATGGATAGGATGAGAGATTTATATTTTGCTTTCTTTTCCACTTGACTTATATTATATTAAATCCATAACAGGATTTTTACTTTAGAATTTATTGTTTAACTAAATGTAGTGGAATGTATTTCATGTTCTTTCAAAACTATAATCATCATCCAAAATATCTGTACTTTTAGAATAATTAAAATCTTTTATTTTTATTCTAAACAAAGGAAATGTGGCTTTGGTATAAACATTTGTCTTAAGTTTCGAAAACCTCAATCTAATTTCCTGAGACAAAATAACCATAGACAAAAAAGCCATTTTTTAAACTAAAATGTTCCAAATTATTTCTTGCAGGAATAATATTGCTTATTTCTCTTAGATTTTTATGAAAAAAAATCTAATTCGTAACAATGTTGTTTTGTAATTACCTAGAAATCTATCTATGAATTCTGAAATGTGAAGGCTTTAATATTCTTCTAATTTACTTCCCTCATTATAGTAAGTATCATTAGCTGGAATTTCACAAACTCAGACCTTTAAGATAATTATATATGAGCTAGTCTGAACTTTATTTTGGAATTACTTCTAAGAAAACAATGTGCTAAGAAAATACAAGCAGGGTATAGATACAATTTTATAGACTATATTTAGATTATGAAAGAACACATTATTTAAGTGTCTTACAGTTTTCAATTACACTTCACTTATACAAAAGATAAATACTACCTATATACAAAAGAACCAAGGTCCTGGATGAAAGGAGAAACAGATGCTGTGCAGCCAAAATAGAAGCCACGTATCTTTATGTTTATGTCACCTCTTTAGATAATTAACACAAAACGTTCCACACAATTATATCCAGTACTGTCTCTTAGTGTCCCAGTTACATAAAGTAGAAGATACCATAGCACAATGGCTAGGAATACTGCTAGAAGCAGATGAAGCTACAGAAGAAAAGAATCCTTACTGGTAGGCAGACACCAAGTTGGGGGATCATAAAATAGGTAAACAGCTTACGTATGAATCCGAGGTGTAGTCATTTAGTACTATTAATGTAGAGAAAAACAAATCTAGAAACATAACCAGTCATTTATTTGACAACAGGCCACATATTTCTTTCATGGTAATGAATAATGACTAAAAACAGAATTTTGTATTTTAAAAAGTGATTTGCATGCACACCCAGGGCAGATGACTAGAATCCATTCGACTGGATGCTGCAGTTTCGCTGCCAGCTTTTGAAAAGTTTTTAGGATTATCACTACATGTGTTATCTCTTGTAATCTTTAAGAAAAATCTCTACTGCAGTTGTAATGGTTGCTTTCTGTTGCAAATATATATATATGTATATATGTATATGTGTGTGTATATATATATGTATATATGTATATGTGTGTGTATATATATATATCACTCAATTACATAATTGTGTGTATACATCACTCAATTATTATATATGTAGATATATAATAGATTTTTGTATTAATCATTCAATTATTATATATATAATAATTTTGGTTATTTTATTTTATTATTTTAGATTTTTAAATCTAAAATAATTGAGTGATTAACACAAAAAATAAAAAATCTGAGGTCAGACCATGCTTTAAGACTCCAAGATTCTTTCCAGTTTACATTTTGAAATATAAGGCAGATTATCTTGGTCCTCGAGCTTTCCATGTCTTCAAGATGTCTGCCATAATTCTAACTAACACATAGAGTGACAAGCTAAGTTCTACCCCAAGATGAGAAAGTAGCTGCTCTTCAAAGACCTGTGATCCTATTATGTAGCACAGTTTTAGAATTTTAGAATGTGTTGTTAAAGTCGCTGTTTTTTAACTAATACCCATTCTTTTTTATTAAATACCAAAACTTTTTCAGAAGCTACCAGCTGATTTCTCAGGAACAGTTTGCTTTTGCAAACTGCTGTCAGTGCCCATGGGAAAGCAGACAGGAGTGTAGATTTAAAATGCATTTATTTAGCACCAGGGAATAGGCTAGAGATAACTCATTTCTGACAATCAATACAGCTTCTAAACCATCCGACGTTAAGTTTGGTGTAATCTTGCCTTTGTGGATAGAATAACCATCCCAGTGGAGTCCAAGCCCCATGATGGAGCCTGTTCTCGATTTGAATTATTCTGCACAGCATCTCCCAGTTGCAATCACCAGAGAAATGAAAAGAAGCCATAGAGTATCCTCTTCATATTAACCTTCATGTTACTGGATACTTTATAAAATTAACTCTGCATTTTCTAGCATTAAATGCTTTTTTCCTTCTCATTTAAAAATGTTAGATATTGTTTCAATTCAGTTATTCTCTAGCTGTGACTTTTTGGACATGTTACTAAAATTCTCAGGCTTTTGTCCTCACCTATGAAATGAAATAATTTCATCAGATTATCCCAATTGTGCTCTAATTACAAGCAATTGAGAATATGTCATTATGTGTATGTGCTTGTGTATATATACATATGTGTGTGTGTATGTCCTTGTATATATATATATATATATATATATATATATAAGCACATACAAATATATATTTTTATAGCAAATATATAAAATATCCATTCCCTTGTTCATTCATGTGATGTCGATAAATATCATCTACCTCTTTAGTAGAGATACTTTCTGGTCAAATGTTCCTAAATAATTGTGTAGTTGGTTCGATTTCTTGTTCCCTTTCTCTTTCTCTGCACCCCAACCTGAATAGGAGCCAATTGTTAAACTTTCATACATTCAGATGTGCATTTCCAACAATGTAAAATAAAATATTGATCAAGGTCAATAACAATATTGTAAGCCTACACACACATATATTTTGCCTCCTACCCTCCACACGCATATATCTTCATTGGAAGTTTGTACTCTTTCTCTTCTTCCTTAGAGCAGTTTTTAGAAGAACTGAATAAAGCTATTCAAGTTTCTCTGTCATTAAAAAATAAGATTAAATTATGTTAAACCTCAACCAGAAAATTAAATTAACCAGAACACCTCATTCTCCAAGCAACAAAATGCTTTTTCTTAAAAAAAAAAAAAAATTCTAATTGGTTTTCTGTTAGCAATTGAACCTGTTTACACAGGGCTCTCCAGAAACACTTTGCATCATGAAAATATCCCAATCCAATAAAGCTCTGCTGTTGAATTCTTGAGAAATAAAATGCCTAGCACTTACACCATGGGAATAAATACACAATTGTTGTCTAAGAATGAAAACTTTGAACAACTGAAGCAAGCTTAATTAAGCATTGTATTTAATGGATATCTCAGCTGAAACCGAAGTGAAGTAGCAACCCAAGGTAAACCATTGTTAATACCATCAAGAAACAGTACAAGGTAGTTTCAGTCAACAGGTTCTTATTAAATACTCAGGATAAAAAAAAAGAGAAAAGTGAGGGGAAAAGTTACAAGAGAGAAGAATGAAAAAGTTTGAATTGATTAAATATTTTCTTTTGAAAATTAAAAATGCTGCATTATTTGGTAACTTTCTTAAGGTGATTGATTGAAATGATATTATATCAGCATTTATGCCTCTGATAAGCAAATGTCTGTGACATTTTCTGTGGTGTCAAAAGGATCATCAATATGAGGAAGGCTTCTACAAAAGTACTTTCCTTTTATATATGGTGTTAGGCTTTGTTGAATGGAGTATTTTTGCAGGAAAAAGCACACAGGATTGTTGTGGGACTTTTCCATAGTTCAGCTAAAGATGGGGTCCTTGTCACACAGCCATGAGGCTCACAGACAATTTGAAGGGTGAGTAGGCCAGGGTTTTATTGGGTGAAAGGAAGAAAAGGGGAAACAGAGACTCTTAGAAAAGCGAGAGTGTGTTTCCTGCCCTTGGGCTTCCCAGTTTACAAATTGAATTCCAGTTCCACCCAGGAAGAGGAGAGGCCAGGCTTCTCCCCACTGCAAATGGTGCAAACTTCTGTGGCTCCACCCCAGCGAGCACTCCTCACAGTGAGCAGGCTGGCTGGAGTTTCTCCGGGGACCCCTTCCCACCTGGCTGTCTCAGTATGCTAGCAGTTGCAGAAAGTCAGCATATTTGTTATATCATGATAATTTTAATCCCCCATCATCTCATAGTCAGCAAATGATAATATTATTAACAAGCCACCAGGAGCAAACTTTACACAATAAAAAGTAGGCAGAGAAACAAACATTTTAGGACTTATCATCTGGCAATTTCAATGCATCAGCATGTAGATGTTAACAAGTTTTTGTTTATATTTCTCTTGGCTCTATTGAAATACTTAGATTGGACTAGCGATTTTAATACTTGGAGGCAGCATGAGGAAATTGTGAGCTGCCTTGGAATCTCACCCCTATGATTACCCTGCTCTGACATCTTGGTCATAATAATAAAACCAATTTTTTCTTTAATTTTACTTTAAATTCCAGGATACATGTGCAGGAAGTGCAGGTTTGTTACACAGGTATATGTGTGCCATGGTTGTTCTGTGCCTATTGACCTGTCCTCTAAGTTCCCTCCCCTCACTCCCCACCCCACAAAAGGCCCTGGTGTGTGTTATTCCCCTCCCTGTGTCCATGTGTTCTCATTTTTCAACTCCCGCTTATGAGTGAGAACCTGCGGTGTTTGGTTTTCTTTCCTGTGTTAGTTTGCTGAGGATGATGGCTTCCAGCTTTATCTATGTCTCTGCAAAAGACATGGTCTCATTCCTTTTTATGACTGCATAGTATTCCATGGTGTATATGTACCACATTTTCTTATTTCAGTCTATCATTGATGGGCATTTGGGTTGGTTCCATGACTTTGCTGTTGTAAACAGTGCTGCAATAAACATACGTGTGCATGTGTCTTTATAGTAGGATGATTTATATTCCTTTGGGTGTATACCCAATAATGGGATTGCTGGGTCAAATGGTATTTCTGGTTCTAGTTCCTTCAGTAATTGCCATACTGTCTTCCACAATGGTTGAACTAATTTACATTCCCACCAACAGTGTAAAAGTGTTCCTATTTCTCCACAGCCTTGCCAGCATCTATTGTTTCTTGACTTTTTATTAATCGACATTCTGAATAGCGTGAGATGGTATCTCATTGTGATTTCAATTTGCATTTCTCTAATGATCAGTGATGAGAAAACAATCTTTATATTAAATACTTGCCATGTCCTAGGCACCTAGACACTGGGCTAATCATTTTTTTTTTTTTTTTTTGAGACGGAGTCTCACTCTGTCACCCAGGCTGGAGGGCAGTGGGACAATCTCGGCTCACTGCAACCTCTGCCTCCTGGGTTCAAGCAATTCTGCTGTCTCAGCCTCCAGAGCAGTTGAGACTACAGGTGTCTGCCACCATGCCTAGCTAATTTTTGTATTTTTAGTAGAGATGGGTTTCACCATGTTGTCCAGGGTGGTCTCAATCTCTTGACTTCATGATCCACCCGCCTGGGCCTCCCAAAGTGCTGGGATTATAGGCGTGAGCCACCGTGCTGGGCCTGCTAATCACTTTTATGATCTTATTTAATACTACAAACATATGTAGAGGTTACTACTAATAGACCAGTTTTAAAGATGAGTAAGGAAGCTTGGAGAGATTATCATTCGTTTCTGAGGGATATCAAGTCAAAACAAGCAAATATTGGGTGAGTAAAAGCAGTGCTTATCAAATTACCTTTATGTCCTTATTCACTGTCTCTCCATCAAAGCCTTCCCACTTCTATGGTTGTTCCACATACTTTTACAAGGCTCTTTCAATTGCACTGAATATCGCCTCATGTTTAATAGTTGGCCCTTCTCCTTATAAGAATAAGCTCAATTTGGGTGCCTACTTAACCTTACTTATTTATTTATGTATTTACTTTTTTAAAGAGATTGTGTCTTGCTGTGTTGCCCAGGCTGAAGTGCAGAGGCACCATCATAGTTTACTGCAGCCTCAAACTCCTAGGTTAAAGCAGTCCTCCCACTTCAGCCTCTCAAGTAGCTGAGACTACAGGAACATGCCACCATTCCCAGCTAATTTTTAATTTTCTTTTTTTTAAGAGAGGTGTTCTTGTTATGTTGCCCAGGCCAACCTCAAACTCCTGCCTCAAGGAATCCTCCCACCTCAACCTTCCAAACTGCTGGGATTACAGGTGTGACCCACCATGCCTGGCCTGTTATCTCTTGTTATTTCTTCCTGTTGTCTTCCCTGATCCTGGAATAGTGACTGTATAATTAGATCTCAATAAATAGATATTAAGCAAAGTGATATATTTTCTGACATGCCAAGTAAAAATAATATCTTCAAATTATCACAATCTGTCACTATAAAATATCAGTTTTGATCATGAAGATTAGTAACAAAGGATTATGAAAGGCCATGAGGAAATTATGGGGAGTGATGTAAATGTTCACTCTTATTTGGAGTGATGGTTTCATGGGTATAGGGGTATGTCATAATTTATCAGATTGTACACTTAAAATTTGTGTTATGTATTGGATGTCAATAGAACATTAACAAAGCTGTTAATAGGGCAGAAAGTATTGTGGAGCAAATGATAGAATGAATTCAATTTACTTTAAGAAAATATTACCAAATGTTTCTTATTTTATGCTTCCTTGTTTACTAATCACATTATTTAAACAGCCTGGCATTGTGACCCAATGGATTAAATAACAGAGGGATTGTAATAGTGATTCCAATCCAGTGACATTTGCTTCAAAGTCAGTGAGTTTAACTATTAAATGGCAAAACATCTCACCTCTATTTGCCTGCTTTCATTTTATATAAAAAGTGCTATGCTAAAAAATATAAAGTAAATAATTGCTCTAAATATTAGCTCCTTGCCATGCTCTGCATTATTAAGAATTAATATGCATTGTGACACTAATGCTTCTATATGTATCAAATATATCATATATATATATCTTAAAGAGCAGTTCTTTATAGTGAAAGTGTAAACAAGATCTTATATATGAATTTACACTTGCTACTCCCTGCTACGTTTGAGCATCAAATTTACAACTCATCATTATCATGATTAGTCATTATTATAATTATGGTTGTGCATGGGACAGATAATCCCAACGTGATGTATAAATCACCCATATTTCATACTAGACTGCTATGGAAGCAAGAGAAAACATTTAAATTAAAAATGGAATTCCACATGTGGATAGTCACAATTAGCTGTGTACCTAAGCTAACATACAGCTCCTAACTTAATGATGGGCTTATTGAGTTAACTAATGAAGCTGCAAAGTGGGAGTTTTAGGACATCAAAAGCATATTTAATACTTTGTTAAACAGACCAGGGAGTGAAAGACCAATCTTGCCAATTCTTGCGCCATTTTCCTTATTTCTAGGTTCTCTCAGTATAATGTTGATATGCTTAATAAAAAACACTTCCACAAGTCAACTAACTCAGTGGGTTTGAAATAGAAAATGAACGATCATTTTATTTTGCATTAAATGTTTAATTATTTCATGCACAATGATAAACACTAAAAGTAGAAATCTGAGTAATATGTGTTCCCTGCCATGATCTCCTGGTTGAGGAGTGTTGATGCTAATATTCAAGAGAGAATATTACTTTGGTAAAATTCGAATCACTTATCTTTCTATCATGAAAGGTAACATTTTATATAATAAACATTTTTTTTGTCTTCATTAGGAAGGTCTGTTAACAAATGACCATTGTTTGAGTTACCTGACTCCTTAGGGTAAAATTCATGACCCTTAGCATTTACTTACAATTGTTACTGCAACAGACTTTAATGTCACAGGACTAATCTTAAAGATAAAGCTCATAGTTTCATCTATTATTGGATATGGTAATTTTTTTTAACCTTTAAAAACAACTAACAGGTAAGAAATACTTGGCTTAAAAGTAGAAATAAGAGCAAGTTTTAGAATAGAAATATTTTTGCTTCTGATCCTGCAACCATCATTCATTTTTCACCCACTCCCATCTCAACTCACACTCACACAAACACACACACACACTAATAAAAAACACAGATGCCTCAGGTAACCATTCCCTAACTTTTGTGCATTCTTCCAAAGGTTGTTTGTGTCCGTGTAAGCAAACAGCATATATGTACTTATTTTCTATAAAAGACGTTTTGTGAACTATGCTCTCTGTCTTGCTTTTTTCACCTGAAAATACACCTTTAAGATCTTTGTATACCAGCACATAGAATGATTCATTCATCTTTTAATCTGCATATTTAACTGGATAAACAGACAGATTGACAGTAACAGATAGATAACGCACATATGAAATAAAAATTCAAATAATTCCTATCGGTGGGCATGTTATTGTATTACAAACTAATGTGTATTTGCTAAATGTAAAATGATGTTCAGCTTTGTACATTGCTCGTTTCTTGAATGTGGGAAATACTTGTAGAGTATGCAGAGGCAATATCGATGGGTCAAAACTGGAATCTACCAAGCTGGCATGGTGGCATGTGTTTGTAATCCCAGCCACTCTAGAGGCTGAGGTGGGTGGATCATTTGAGCCCAGGAATTCAAGGCTGCAGTGAGCTATGACCACACCATTACACTCCAGCCTGGGCGACAGAGTGAGACCCCATCTCTAAGAGCAAACAAACAGCAGCAACAAAACCTGGGATACACCACGCCCAATTAGTCTCTATACTTTCTGCATGGATTTGAACTCCTGTCTAAATTATGTAGAATGCTGGTTTTCTCTAGCCTGTGTGGTGGAGGAGTGTATTTTCAAAATTAGTTTTTTGCTAGTCTCATAGGCTAAACCAATATTTTACTGCAGTTTTAATTTACATTTTCCTCACAGTGAGAGAAGATAAACATCCTTTAATAAAATGCCATTTACATTTCCCTTTCTGTGAACTAGCCATCTAACCGATTGCCATTATTTTTATTTTGGCTTGTCTTTTTTCTATATATTTTTAGAATCACTTTGTATATCAGAGATATTTTTCCACTGTCAAATATGTTATAAATACTTTACATAATTTCACATTTTCTTTTGGGTTTGCTTGTAGTATTACGATTATTTACATATATCAGGGATTTCTTTAGTTCTGTCAGTGTTGAAGCATAATAACCAGTCTTCCCTTATAAAACATATAAAGGAATATTACTATGGGTGTTGTTGTTTACTAATATATTCTTTTTGTCACGTATAAATGTTCACATTTTTCATGACATTTAAATCAATATGAAATTCATGTAGAACTTCAACTTTGTTTCTTTAGATGACGAGTCAATTTTTCCATCATTTAGTAAAAAGTCCTTCTCCCTCTGATTTAACATACATTTGTTATAAAGTGAATTTTCATGTGTCTGGGTTCATCTGTGACATTTTTATATTTTACAACTTTTTGGGAAGTGTCTGTCTCTGCCCTGGGCCAGTTCTACATTTTCTAACTTTTGGGGCTTACAATATGTTTGAATAGTTGATAGGCTGGTACATCCATATTGTTTTATCCTGCTCTATTGTATTTTTCATGGGTCTTTTGCTAATTAATATCACATAGGAACAGAATTGTAATTATTTAATTTGGTACTGACCTTAGTGTGTCTACATTTATATAATGATATTCACTGGTGCAACACCGACAATAATGATATTCACTGGTACAACACCGACGAATGTGAATAAGGCCTTCTCAGCAGACTTCTAATGAATCACATGGTGGCCTATGTTTTGTGGACATTAATGATATATTTCAACAAGTACACATTTCCAGAGTACTCCTTGCATGGTGAGTATTTCATTGGTATGTTAGATGTGGAAGTTAGCAGTCATTCCCAACATTTAAAATCACAGGATCAGGACTCAGATCACACAGGTTTAATTCCAGGGCTGTGGTTTTCTACCTTTGTGACTAAGAATAAGTAACTTAGTATTCCAAAGTCTCCGCTTCTTCATTTGTAAAAATGATGCTCCTGCTTCGCAGCATTGTCAGATAAAGTAAATGAGGCTGTAAGAGTGAAACCCTTAGCAAAGCAGCTGAAGTAAGTGTTAGATGTTACAACGGATACTCTATATTGAAGAGTCTAGGAATTGAGAGTGGCCCAGTCACCCTTTCTTTCTAGTTCCTAGCAATATACAGTTTCTTTTGGGAGAATCTTTTTGATAAAAGCTCTACCATCAAAAATTTGAGGAGTCTTTGAAGGTTCTTTTCAATAGATCTTTATTATGAGCAGTGCAACCTCGAGGAGTAAACTGGCCAAACAGATTTCCCAGCTTGCAGATATTTCCCACAGTAGGGAGAGTGAGCCAGAGGAATGGATATTGGAAATACCATTTCTAGAGGTGGTTCCTGGATGAAATATGGTTGGGTCTGTGGGTTTGTTTCTGGTACTGGGAACATATATAACTTCTTCCCTCTCACCTCTAAACTTGTTGGTCTTCCTCTCCTTTATCTTGTGAAACTTCCCTTATCCTTCCAATAAAATTCCTTTTAGATGAACTTAGCCGGAAGAAGTTTCTTTACAATACAAAAGGATCTAACTGAGAAGACAATCACTATTAAAGATTAAATCTCTGGAGGATTAAATAACATCGCCCAGATCACACAGCTAGAAATGTTCTATGCACTATCATTAAACAATTAAAGCTATGTTTAAACTGATGGAGACTTAGCTTGATATTTAAAAGAGGCATTTTTAAAATAAATCATATCTGATTTAGACATCTTTGCAGGAAAGTACTTTGAATTAAAAATTATCATTCTGTTATAGATTTTTCATAGATTCTACTTGGTTGCATATTCTACAAGAATATAATCATTATTTTTGTTAAGAAATACGTATTTCTTGTCAAGAAAACTGATTGCTCAGAAATACTGTATTGAAAACCTTCCAAGAAATGTTCATCAATTTCAGTTATTGTTGTCAGAGCCTGGTAATAATATTGACCATTTGACTGAACATGGGCTTCATTAGTGGTTTTATTTACTTATTTATTTATTTATTTTGTTACATCTTCATCTTCCATTTCCAATGTGACCATTCATTGTAGCCCAATTACAGGCTTTTTATTTACTATGAAGTCAGAGTCTCATTAATCCATTAATAAACCAATATCGACTTTATTTTCTGCAGGCTTGTGATGCTTCAGAAGTCATTGTTACTTCATTTTCAAAATGAGTTCTGATAAATCTCTTCTGTTGCAGAAATTGCAAAAAAATCAATTTAAACATCTTATTGATTTAATAACACCTGTTTTTAAGTTACCAGCATGGTTCAAGGCCAAATGCTGTAGATTCTCTAGCAACCTGACCTGTGTGATTCCTTCCAGACAGAACCCCTCCTCAGCACAGGTGAGTAGGAGACCCTTGAGGAGGCAGAAACTTCTTCTTTTTTTTTAATCTGTCTCTCAAAATCTTATAAACAATCGATGAAACTTTAATCATCTTGACCATAAGATATAATTTCTATAAACCTTCTTGTAATGTTTATAATATGTATTAATATTAAAAGTATTAATATTAATCTACTAATATTAAAATATTATACCAATCTATTAATATTAATCAATCAATATATTAACATTAATTGATTAATATATTAATATTAATCAATCAATATATTAACATCAATTGATTAATATATTAATATTAATCAATCAATATATTAACATCAATTGATTAATATATTAATATTAATCAATTAATATTGATTGATATATTAATATTTATATATGAATAAAAGTATATTAATATAAAAGTATTAATGCGTAGGTTAATACTCCAAGAAAACATTGTTAATCTGACACAGGGGCCGAGATGCTGGTTTTGTATCAGTGTGTTTTTGATATTAGTGGTTCATGTCTAGAGAAACTGAGTTAATTTTATCTCTTAAAATCAGCCATTACAGTCTCACATGCCCACATTTTCCTGTATAGTCCCTGGGCCTTGAGGAGTTGAATAGTTTTAATTTCTAGTCCTGTGTCTTATGAACGCAGTTTATATTTTATTTTATTTTAGTTTAGTTTAGTTTAGTTTAGTTCTGGGATACATGTGCAGGATATGCAGGTTTTTTAACATAGGTAAATGTGTGCCATGGTAATTTGCTATGCCTATCAACCTGTCCCCTAGGTATTAGCCCCAGCATGCATTAGCTATTTATCCTGATGCTCTCCTTCCCCTACCCCACCGACAGGCCCCAGTGTGAGTCCTTCCCCTCCCTGTGTCTGTGTGTTCTCATTGTTCAGCTCTCACTTATAAGCGAGAACATGTGGTGTTTGGTTTTCTGTTCCTGCATTCATTTGCTGAAGGTAATGGCTTCCATCTCCATTCATGTCCCTGCAAAGGACATGATCTTGTTAATTTTTATGGCTGCATAGTATTTCATGGTATTTATGTATCACATTTTCTTTGTCCTATCTATCATTGATGGACATTTGAGTTTAGTCAGTGTCTTTGCTATTGTAAATAGTGCTGTAATGAACATATGTGTACAAGTATCTTTATAGAAGAATAATTTATTTATATTCATTTGAATATATCTAGTAACGGGATTGCTGGATCAAGTGGTATTTCTGGTTCTAGGTCTTTGAGGAATTGCCACTCTGTCTTCCATAATGTTTGAAATAATTTATATTCCCACCAACAGTGTAAAAATGCTCCTATTTCTCCACAGCCCTCCCAGCATCTATTGTTTCTTGACTTTCTGATAATCACCATTCTGAGTTCTGTGAGACGATATCTCATTGTGGTTTTGATTTACATTTCTATGATGATAGTGATGTTGAGCTTTTTTCATATATTTCTTGGCCATATAAATGTTTTCTTTTGAGAAATGTCTGTTCATATCCTTTGCCCACTTTTTAATGATTTTTTTTCCTTGTAAATTTGTTTAAGTTCCTTGTAGATTCTGGATATTAGACCTTTGTCAGATGGATAGATCGCAAACATTTTCTCCCATTCTGTAGGTTGCCTATTCACTCTGATTATAGTTTCTTTTGCTGTGCAGAGCTCTTTAGTTTAATTAGATCCCATTTGTCAATTTTTGTTTTTGTTGGAATTGCTTTTGATGTTTTCATCAGGAAATCTTTGCCCGTGCCTATGTCCTGAATGGTATTGCCTAGATTTTCTTCTAGGGATTATTTTTTATAGTTTTGGGCTTTATATTTAAGTCTTGAATCCATCTTGAGTTACTTTTGGTATAAGGTGTAACAAAGGGGTCCAGTTTCATTTTTCTGCATATGGTTAGCTAGTTATCCCAGCACCATTTATTGTATAGGAAATCCTTTCCTCCTTGCTTGTTTTTGTCAGGTTTGTTGAAGATCAGATGGTTGTAGATGTGCGGTCTTATTTCTGAGTTCTCTATTCTGTTCCATTGGTCTATGTGTCCGCTTTTGTACCAGTACCATGTTGTTTTGGTTATAGTAGCATTGTAGTATAATTTGAAGTCGGGTAGTGTGATGCCTCCAGCTTTGTTCTTTTTGCTTAAGATTGTCTGGACTATACAGGCTCTTTTTTGGTTCCATATGAATTTTAAGGTAGTTTGTTCTAATTCTGTGAAGAATGTCAATGGTAGTTTAATGGGAATAGCTTTGAATCTATAAACTACTTTGGGCAGTATGGCCATTTTCATGATACTGATTTTTCCTATCCATGGGGATGGAATGTTTTTCCATTTTTTGTGTGTCTTCTCTAATTTCCTGAGCAGTGGTTTGTAGTTCTCCTTCAAGAGGTCCTTCACTTTCCTTGTTAGCTGTATTCCTAGGTATTTTATTCTCTTTGTAGCAATTGTGAATTAGAAGGAACTCTTATTTCTTAAGGAGCAGTTAGCAGTGGATCTCCCCACTCTGCATTTTCTAGTACTGTTCCAGGTCATTTGGTTTTGATTCTATAGTACAGTTTAATTATGTAAATGTTTTTGAAATCCTGCCAAATAAAAGTGTGAGGAAATAACTGGTCAATTTTTTTTTTTTATAAAACTTTGCTGATTTCTCACGTGAATAGTCAACCAAATTATCCAGATAATTGTGGTCCTTTTGACTTCTCCTGAAGTTGCCTTTTTCTCAGCTTCCTCACATTTAATTACTGTCAGGTGTGTTAACTGGTGAAGGGAGAAAGATAAAAAAGATAGGAGAACTGAAAGAAAGTCAAACACCAATCTATAGCAATGGCTTAATTTTTACTTCTGTAACATGCACATTTGAGGATGCTACATGGCATTTTTTGAATCAACTCTTTTCCTAATGTGCCACTTGGAGTTATGATAGGTTATGTGTATAGTAAGGACAAAAATCATTCAGGGTCATGTTTAATTCTAAACCTAAATAAATTATTTATATTACCATAGAACCAGCCATATCCAGTTGTGAAAGCTTTCCAGCTAAATTCTCTGCCTCTTTCTGATTGAGAACAACTGGTTGATAAGCCAATTTAATACTTCAGTTAGGGGAATTAGAGGGGAGGTAAAATCAAAGCCTGGGTGTAAAATCTCATAGAAGATAAGCCAGATTGCAACTCTACTACTTAATACCTATTACTAAGTTCCTCTGAGCCTCCATTTTCTCAAATGTAAAGTGAATAATAAGATCTACCTTGGAGAACAATTTTGAGGATTAAGTGAGACACATGTAAAGCACCTAAAATTGTATTCTGTTCATAGATATACTTGCAGATATTTTTCTCATGTATTATCACTTGCAAATGTTTTTTTAAAAGGAAATAGAAACTTACTATATTTAAACCACATTAAAATAGGTCCTCTTGCTAATATTTCTAAAATTTTAAATCTTTTATTAAAGATGGTCTTCCCAAATTCAATTTTTTAAAAGACCCTCAACCCCAGTTTCTTACTGAATTAAAACGCAGTCTAGTTTTCTGAAGACATATAGGTGGGAGAAAGTCAAGGGTTGGAGAATGTTTAATGGAAACTGGCAAGCAAATTATTAACTTGTGGGCCTTCTTTAAAAAGAACAATATGTGCATATTTTGTTGACCAAATACAACTCTTTCTGTGCAAATGCTTCATAACTTGGTTGTAGAGAAGACATGAATCTGAAAACTCCTTTTTTGCTTTTATACTAAAGCTGGATTTAAACATTATAATGATTTGAATTATTCAATGCCACAGATGTCCTCAGATCTTCACAACTGTTAAAATCCAAGAACCCAAATGGAGTGAAAATGAGACCTCAGGCTCCAAAGAAATTACAACGATAAGTCACAAATATGTAATGGACAGATAAGAGGAAAAAAAATAGGATGAACATGTGATAGCTGGCATGTGGCAAGACGGAATCTGAGAAATGAGTTTCATCAAAATGAAAGATGAAAAAGGTGATACATTTTATAGTAACCTATTTTTGCTTTGAATATTGGATAGAGGAAAGCTACCATCTTCTTGGTTATATTAGGACTCAGCAAGTAGATATTCATCTATAAGTTAATTCAACCATTCCTTTAGCAACCATAATAAGAGGTGCTGTTAACTAGTAGTAAGAATGCCAGCTCTTTCTTGAACGAGAAGCAAACTGAAGCTATTTCTTCTTTTTCTGGCTTTTTGATCTCAGGTTAGCATGACTGTAAGTAACTTCATTTCAGTTTTCTTATTTGTGAATTAAGTATGCCTACCTCATGGAGGATCACTCTAATAAGATTACAAATGAAAGGGAAAATAAAATATGTAAATAGGTTTTAGTCCAATGCCTGGCACACAGTATGATCTAAAGTAAGTAATTGTTATCATTTCTCAGTTCCTACTGTTTACTAGGTACCGCAGCTAACATTTTATATGACTTATGTCATTTAATTTGCACAACTTTAGCTTGGTTGGAAATAATTATAATTATTCTTCTTTTAAAGATAAGAAACCCAAGATCCAGAAAAATTACATAATTTGCCCATGTTTATTCAATAGTGGTAGAAATCTGAATTGAACTCATAGCTTTCTGCCTGATGTGGCTTGAATGTGTCCCCCAAAGCTCATAGGTTGGAAACAGTCCCCAGTGCAATCGTATTAAAATATGAGACCTTTAAGATGTGATAAGGTCATGAGGCTCTGCCCTCACAAATGGATTAATGTTTTTAAGGTGAGAGTGGATGAGTTATCAAAGGATAACTGCTTAAAGGATTTTCATTAAAACAATGTGTTGGGCCCTCTTCCTCTCACTCTCTCTTGTGCTTGCTTTTTTGCTCTTCTGGCTTTGGCCAGGGGATGACACAGCAAGAAGGCTCTTACTCAATATGGCTCCTTGATCTTGGTCTTCCCAGCCTCTAGAACCATAAGCCAAATAAATATCTGTTCTTTATAAATTATCCAGTTTTGACCAGGTGCAGTGGCTCACACCTGCAATCCCAGCACTTTGAGAGACCCAGGTGGGTGGATCACCTGAGGTCAGGAGTTCGAGAACAGCCTGGTCAATGTGGTGAAACCCCATCTCTACTTAAAATACAAAAATTAGCTGGGCTTGATGGTGCATGCCTGTAGTCCCAGCTACTCAGGAGGCTCAGGCAGGAGAATTGCTTGAACCCTGGAGACTGAGGTTGCAGTGAGCCAAGATCGTGCCACTGCACTCCAGCCTGGGTGACAGAGTGAGACTTTGTCTCAAGAAAATAAAAAGAGAAAAGAAATTATCCAGTCTTAGCTATCTGTGATGGTAGCACAAGGTGGACTAAGACACTGACCTGCAAGTCCTTGCACTACCGTTTCCTTTTGTTTGCATTTGTTTTTGCTATAATTTTATCTTGCATCCCACATTTTAAGGACAAGACTACTTTCTCTATAGCCATTATTATGAGTTATTTAAAACTGCCTTATAATGCTGTTTTCTGGGGTTTTCTATATGTTTGTCTTCTCTTCCAGAAACTTAATTGATTTCCCTGAAGAAAGATAATGAGTCATGACATTTATCTCAGCATTTCACCTCGGACAAAACCATCACATAGGTGCATAATAGCTGCTAAATAAATAACAAAATAATACAGCATAGGCTGTATTTTGCTACACTATAATTTAGGTTAAGACTTACATTTAAGGCATCTTTTTATCTTCAGTACTTAGAATGTTTAAATGAATGAGGAAATAACACCCAGTTTAACTAAATGAGAAAATAACCCTAAATAGCCATAAGGAAGGTTACTTCATTCCAAAACCGTCTATTGAATGAATTGTTTATGAAATATTTTCCCCCATTTAAAATTTTCTCATTTTCCAATAACTGATACATAACTATCTTTATATCATTGAAACTTCTAGAAATGGAAAAAAAGAACGCTCGCATCAATCAACACTTGATTGTATTCAGGTATAGTAATTCTGATTACAGTAGGTTTGATACATTTATATGTTTTAATTTTCTCCCTATATTCAAATTGACTTATATGATGTTCTTACAGTGAAAATAGAGCAAGCAGGACTTTTGACATAAGCAATTCAATTTCAAATTAGGGTTCCATCTCTTGGGTTGTCCTTTCTTATAGGAGAACTATCAGAAAGAATGGAGGAGGCTATTTTGAAGAGAACTAGCTATCTAAATCACCTACATTGGCAAAGAACCATAGTAAAAATTTATACATTCATACTGTTTGTGTGTGTGTGAGAGAGAAAATTTATCTTTATGTAACTACTTTTCAATCAATTAATCAATAAGCATTTATTTACTACATAATCTATATTGGGCACTCTGCTAAATGCTGTTGAAGATACAGACAAATTTACGACACAGTTGTTCTATATAAGCTTACACTAAATATTTGATATTTAGATTTTTTCCTGACAAACGTGCTCCAGCTGAACTCGTCTAACATCCTATAGCTTCATTTCTTGTCCTGCTATTCTTTCCTATCTGCTCCCATGAATTTATCTTTTTAGACCTTCTCTGGCTCTCCAGCTTTGGGGTCATCACTTACATTATATAAGTGAATTGTGCCTTACACAATGCCAGGATGTGTCCATCCTATATGACCATTGTGGATTTATCCCAGATGGATGTTTTCTCTGACTCTTTCTAAAAATTATAGGCTTCCTTTTGAAGATGAAATAATTCATTGCCCCTGAGTTAAACAATTCTGGGACAGGTGACTTCCCTGGTCCTGTCTTAAACCGTACTATGACCAAGCAGTATTTTATCCATCAATTAATCTTTCTCAAACCACTTCCCCACTTTTCAAGACACACCTTATTCAGCTCAGGTTCTAAAATTCCATATACACCCTTCTCTAGTTTTCTCACTTTGAGATACTGCAAAGACTCTTCTAAGTTGGTGTTCTCCATTACTACACAGTGGCCTAATAAAGTGAGCTTTTTGGGGGAGTTGGTAATCAATGCCTTTTAAGTGGGGGTTCCTTTCTAATATTCTATCCTCTTCAGCCTAAATTGTTTTCAGAGTGCATGGTAACCAAATAATTTAAGCATTACAGATTCTAATGATTACAGAATAACTGCACAACAGCTGCTAAATAAATGGCGAAGTAATACAGTACAGGCTGTATTTTGCTACACTATAATTCAGCTTAAGACTTACATTTAATGCCTTTTTATCTTCAGTAATTAGAATGTCTAAATGAATGAAGGAAAACACCCAGTTTAACTAATTTTCATTGAAAATTCTAATGGTTACAGAATAATTATGTTGTAAAGAGCAAGATGAAAGAAAAAGAATACTCAGAAGAAAATTCCAAAAACTTAAGTAAATGTAGGTTCTGGTGTGAGAAGAAATACCTTTAGTTTTGAATCTGCAAATATATGATTCCATAGGTACATGAGCATTCTCTTCTCTCCTGGGTGTTCTACTTAACTTTCACAATTGCTAATCTCTGTGTCTGGCATGAATCTAAGGGTCTTACATAATTCATTTTGTTTAATCATTACCTCAAATAAGATTTTTATTTTTTTCCCATTTTATAGCTAAAAATACTAAGTCGCAGAGAGGTTAACTAACTTGTCATTAGGCATAAAGTAAGTAATTGGTAAAGCCAGGTGGTATCATAGTAGAACTGAGACTTGAAGCCTCTATGACATACTACCTTCTTGAAATGTACGCAATCCTGTTGTCTTAAAGAGGCATAGGGACACAGGGATTATGACCACATTTGAAACATTCACCAGATGGGTGATGAATGATTTATTCATCTTGTATTATAAATTTAAACATAATTTAATCACTCTCACCATTATCAGTTGTGCATGCTAATTTATTGTATAATTTTATGTAAAATGCATGAGCATCTTTTGTATGAAAATCCTAAATATCTCCATATATTAACATAATTTAATGTTTTATTTGTATGCATTTCGTGTCCAACTTGATGACAAGTTGAAAATAATACATAATATATTTTTTAATCTTGATTATAGTGCTCATTATAAGATGGTTAGTTATTTTTTAAAACAAAGATAGATTTTCTAATAAAAATGACTGAAATATATATAATAAAATTATCTTTTTCACCCTGTCCTTATTTCCAAGGTTACTCTCTCAATGTTGTGATTTTAATTGCCTTTATGTTTATATTACTAGGCATGATGGATTAAAAAAAAAGCACATTTATGATTAAGATTTAGAAGGTAGCTTCTAATTAGTAATACTAAAGTGCGAAAATACACACACATTATGGTTGTCAATTGATATGTAAAATTGCATTTCTGAAGTAAGTATATTTTATAATTTTTTAAATATTTGAATTATAATGTGTCCTTCAACTTACATTAAATGTTTAAGAGCAATATAATCTATTTTAGGAGGAATAATATAACAAATGCTTATAATGCAGTGCTCATTTACTCTTGTCTGCATTACGGTAATACTTCCTGACTTCCTTGCCTCTTTTTCTTCTGAATTTCTCTCTACACTGGCAACAAACTGATCTTCATAAAATGGAAGAACAATATTAACCTTTAATTGAAATTCTCAACTGTCAAATAAGTAAAATTTATTACAAGTATCTAAAAAGGTGCCCAGCATCACCAATCATTAGATAATTGCAAATCAAAACAGCAATAAGATCACTGCACATCTGTTAGAATTGCTGTTACCAAAAAAAGATAAAACAAAAGATAATAGTGTTGCTAAGCATGTAAAGAATGGGAGCCATTGCATACTGTTAGCAGGAACACATACTAATACAGCCATTATAGAAAACAGTACGGAAGTTTCTCAAAAAATTAAAAATAAGACTACCATATGATCCAGCAATCCCAATTCTGGGTATATATCCAAAGGAATTAAATTCAGGGTCTCAAATAGATAGACATCTGCACTACTGAATTAATTGCAGCAGTATTCATAATAGCCAAGACGTGGAAACAACCTAAGTGTCCATCTACAGATGAATGGGTGAAGAAAATGTTGGATACACATACAGTGAACTACTATTCAGTGTTATAAAAAAGAAGGAAATCCTTCCATCTGTGGCAACATGATGAACCTGGAGGATGTTATGCTAAGCAAAATAAGCTACACAGAGAAGGACACATTCTACGTGACCCCATTTGTTTGAGGAATCTAAAATAGTTGAACTCACAGAAACAGAGAGTCGAATGGTGGTTCCCAGGAGTTGGCAGAGAATGAATAGGTATTAGTCAAAGAGTACAAACTTTCAGATACGCAAGATGAATAAGTCCTAGAGTATGCTGTATAGCATAATGTCTGTCCTTAACAATGTTGTACTGTATACTTAAAAGTTCACTGAGGGTCAATCTTATGTTACATGTCCTATCACAAAAACATAATAAGGAGGGCGGAAGAAACTTTTGGAGGTGATAAATAGGTTTATAGTGTAGAAATGTTGTGATGACTCCATGGGTATACACTTATCTGCAAATTCATCAAGTTTTGTACATTAAATATGTACAGTTATGTATGTCCATCATACCTCAATAAAGTTTTTTTAAGCAAAATTTAAACTTCCTTACATGACCTCTAATATCCTCCACAATTGGACAACAGCTACCTGATATTTGAACCATTCAGGCTTTTTTTTTTTTTGGTCTGAATTAATTATATATTTTTAAATCTGTGTGTTTCACTCCAGTTTGGTGTTTGCTCACTCTCTAGTCTGCTAACGCCCTGTGTTTTCATGGTCCACTATCTTGAAGCTTCAAGTTATCTACTTGGTCAAAATTAGTTATTGGAGTTTACAGAGAACTTTTTAAAAATCTCTTTATTTTTCATGTAATTTTTTCTCTCTTATCCACCTAAAGCATTGTTTATGTGACTATTCTTTAGCCTTGAAGGTCGAAAAAGGTTTTATTTATCTTTATACTCAAGACAGAACTAACCACAGTGCTTTCAAAAATTAGGGTTTTATCAAATTAGGTAATAAGAATTATTTCCCAGGATGATTTGCAGACAGTATGGCATGTACTATCTTCTAAAAAGAACTAACCTCAAAGGGCTTATAAATTGCTGTACCATGAAAGAGAGATATTAAAATCAAACTAATTACTTGACTTCACATAAATAAAGCATAAGATATATTAGAAATTTTCAGTTTCTAAATATTAATATGAAAAGGAAAAACATGAAACATATATATTTTTAAATAAAAGTATTAATACAAGAAATTGAAAGTGAAAAGTTTTAGTCTGTATTACAATTGTAGTAAGAAAGGCCAAATATCAAAGTTGGAATATTTATTTTTAGGACTAATAACAGTTTGTTAAGCTAGACAAATAATAACATAACATACGTAGTAGCTAAGTTCAAGAAAGATCTAAAGAAATGTCATGTATCACTAATTCATGAGTAGTTATTCTAAAAATTTAGAAATCAAATAAGAAAATTATATTATTTTCTTATTACTTAAATGCTTTTTTATTACTTACATATATTTATTTTATAATATATAATATAATTTAAATTAAATATATTTAAATTCATGTATATAATTATATATGAAAATAATACACTATTGAAGGAAGCAGTAATAATAATACTAGTAATAACATTCAACCCTTATTTCTAGTAATCAATATCATAAACAAGATATCTCCCAGGGAACCCAAAATAATGGCAGCAGTTTAAACCCATACCCCTAAATACTATTTAAAATTTAAAACAGAAGATCAAGGATACATAAAAATACCAAAACAACATTCTTTCAGCATACCTGAAGACAAAAAAAAAATGCTCAAAATTTGAATTATCTGCATATTAAAAAAAAGAAGTAAAACACGAAATACCGAGAAGCAATCTCTCACACTTTTGCCACAAGTCTTTGACATGAACAGGGTTAGTCCAAGAAAAACTCCATGGAAGAGGGAAAAGAGGACATAGTAGTTTATCTCAAATGTGGAGCATTACTGCTCCATGAAAAGTACCTCCACTGTTTGAATGCAAATATTGAAAAAGTGTCCTGGTAGATCACAGCACTTAAAAACACATGCTATTTGAGGAGCCCATGTTTGAAAAGTATAACCACTAGGGGAGAAAACGGTTAAATGGTATGAATAAGTATCACTTGGCAGTTGGATGGTGAAAAAACAAAAAAAGAAGCAAATTTTATATATTAGGACACTAAAGAAAAATTTATTATTGAATTAGGAATCATGCAAACGTTCCAAATCCACAAAATAAATAGATAAAAACTAAATAATATTATTAAAACTTACAAGAATTCAGGAAACACAGAACAAACACACCTTAGCTGATAACATTCACCTATCCAAACTAAATTTAGTGTATTTAAACTGATTTGTGTATATCCAGAATAGTGTTTGGGAAAATTAGAAACCATCAATTACAAATTCATTTTTTTTAAAAAAAGAAATAAATATTTTAAAAAATGTTGATTGAAAGAAGGTTGGTTGGAAGACAGGAACATAATCATCTTCAACATGAAGTATAATTTACAAGAAGGTCCAAGGTAAATGGATTTGAATGGAAATGGAGTAAGTCATTAAGGAAAGTTAACACCGTAAAAATAAATGGAGGTTAAAAAAGAGGTGAAAAAGTCAGAGATAAAATGGTAAAAATGGAAGGCTAATAAAATAATAACAACAACACATATAATCAGAGGCCCTAAAAAACAAATATTTAAATCTATAATCCAAGACAACTCCCCAAAAGGCCTAAGTGAATATATTAAAAGGGAATGTGAGTATTTGTGCAACATTAAGCAACAATAATCAAACCTAAGACTTATAAAACTATTCAATTTCACAAAGGTCTTCAGGCAAAATATTGAATAACTGACTAGGACAAAGGTACTAGACTGGCATTGTCACCCAAACAACCAGTGAGCACACCTAACTCCCAGATTTTGTTTTCTAAATGCTTACCCTCCAATAGAACAACCCAGAGCTCCTTGGAAAAATGGCTTTTTGTTGAGGAAAGAAAAGTGCATGATGAGCCTTGAAAATGCTGTGGTCCCAGAAAACAGGAAAGTGCTAGCTGCAACATTGGTCTTCTCCATTGATCTTTCATTGGTATTTTTACAGTTTCCAATGCCTAGAAGTATGGATGCTTTTTCTGTTCCACTTTAATTCAGTCTGCCCCTTCCAGCAGCAAATCTGTTGTTTTTTGCAATGCGAAGTTTGGTGGGGAGGGTGGATTAAGAGTAGGAAGCCCCTCAGATGAACCGCAGACTCCCTCCCATTGTTCTTACCTGGAGTTCAGTGATTTGTCTTGAATAAAGGACTCTCAGTTTGTTGTTTGCCTCAATTTACAGACCTGGTTTTGATAACTTCATCAGGTTTTATCATTAAGTTTTGGGAAGAGATTTTCACGTTTCTCTCTCTGCCATTCTGGAATCCTCCTGGTCTGAGTCTAGTCTTTAGCTCCAGTTTGCTTGGCTGAAATGGTCACACAAAACCTTCTTGACTGTCATTTTTATTCAGAATGTATAACAAAATAATAATGGGAACAACTAAAAAGTACCTAATAAGAAGAAATCCAACAATCAAATTATTTATAATAAAAGCTTTATATATGTAAAAGGAAAGGCATTATATTTATCTGTAGGTTGTTGTTTTTTTCAACATCAGCTTGACTACAGACAATGTGTTGGGCATATGCCATTGAGTTTTATCTCCAGATCACAATTGCCTGATATAAAATAAAGGTGTTTGCCTAGATTTTCTTTAGGCTTCTTTCATTCAGAAATTCTATGGTTCCATGAGAAAATAGCTAAGATGTCAGTTTCTACAACAAATACATAGGAAGTCTAAATAATTGTGAAGCCTAAAATAAGTGTGATGAATGTGTGAATTGCCCCTAACCTAGGAAGGAAGAGAATTGTGAATTCGTATGACTATGTGAGAATATTAATATCGTAATCAATGTTAAGTTTGATTTGTATGCTGGTTATACATAACTAGCCTTAGAAGGTCAGTCATGAAAAAGGTTGTACTTGCCAGAAACCTTTTTAGTCAAGACATCATAAAAGGACAAGAAGTGAAAAATACTTAAATTATACATTGTATGTAATGACATTGAACTGGAAGGAGATAGGCTAATGTATCTTTTGGATATTGAATCTCAGTGATCCCCAGGCTGGATATTAGTAAGATTTGAATATCATTCAGTTGAACAATTTTCCTTCAAAATTTTGCTTAAATGAATTTAATTTCCTTAATTAAAGTTACTAAATATAAAATCATTTGATAGCCAAAAGGTCAGATGCTTGCTTTATTTTAAGAAGTGCAAAACTGTTCAACTTGAATGATTTATTATAATGGAAATTGAATCCAATGATTCATTTGAGAAAACTGCAAAAGATTATCTTTGGTATTTGTAGTCATTCTTAAACATTTGTACTTGATTCTAAATTTGCCCTAGCTTTGGGCCCTGAGTTGTGACACAAATGTAATACTTGAAAATAATTATTGTGCTGCATGCCTGAGACTGGAAAGAAGTCAAGTGTTTCTAAATCAGACTCAAAAAGTGGCAATAATGAGGAATAAATGATAGCTGCACACATTCTCCACTAATTTTCTAAATATTTCTTTTCACAATAAAGAGGAATTATGTGGGTGGGTAAAAATATACCATAAAACACATATAGAGTCAATACCAGTCAATGGATGAAAAAAACAGATTATCCTAGCAAGCTATTCCAGTAACTAATCAGCAATTATTTATTAAGTTCCTAACACGGGTTTATCATGTGGTAAGTTTGCTACACATCATTGAGAAAAAGTAAAATATATACACGTATATATGGTAAGTGATTTAGTTTAGTTAAAATCAAGATAGGTTTATGTAGTTTGGATTATTCAGTGTGTTTAAGGTGCACACAAGTTATCTGGGAATTTGTTGAAATGCAATTCTGACTTACTGGATGTAGAATGGGATCTGAGATTCAGCATTTCCAACAAGCTGCCAGCTGATGCCAATGTAACTGGTGCATGAACCACACGTTGAGTAGCAAAAGATGAAGACTATCTTCAGTGTTCTCCAAAAGAATGACTCAACTTTTACAATCAGATTTAAAATACACGAGTTGTTAATCATGTTTCTGAGGAACTGTTCTCACTTCTTACTTTGTTCTTGATGAATCAAGTTTTAATGAACTGAGAAAGATAATAAACAATAAATGATCCTTCCACATTATTTTGCTGGATTTTATATTGTTTAATATTTGTATGTTTAGTTCTTATCTTCCTGAGTTTGAAAATGCATTCTATTCAGTCATTGTATTTCATACTTATTATTCATTTCTCAAACAACTAACCCATTTGCTTTACAAATAAGTATTATTTGAAGAGGTTGAATGTCCACCAAATATCAAGGAGTTTGCTTTGCCAAAACAGTCATGAGAAATCTGATTTAGATTTAGAAATGTTGAAAGGGTATTAAGTTAGCCAAGTTCAAAATTATTTTTGTTTAGAAAATAAATCAATCTAGTCTAATAAGTGTTTAAAGAAATAGAAAAGATAAGTTTTCTGATTTTAATTTTAAAATATTAAAATGCTTTGAAATGTTGGACTAGTATCCCCATGAGTGTTTATCACACATGTTCCTCATGTTCAGGCTGGTGTTTCTTGCCATGTACTGCTTTCTTTGCCATTGGTTGGACCGTTTCCTTTCTTGCACTCTCTATCGAAACATTTTAATAATGACCCGAATCCAATTGGTCTTGGCTTTCTCCTTTAACTCCCATCTTTTTTTCTTCCTTTCTTGCCAGTTTGGGCACATGCCACGGTATTCCAAATCCTAAATATCACCAGGCCATTTATTGAGGGATTCTCCTCTTAGATTTCACCTTGTTATAAAATATTAGCATAGCAGAGACACTGAAGGGAAAAAAAAGTAACATAAAAATCAAAACTTCATTAGAGTTAGTTTTTCTCTGGGGATTGGCAATCACTTCAAAATTGGTAATCACTGCAAATCACTGAAAATGTTACTCTTAAACAAGTTGATTATAAACAACAGGAAGGCACGGGGAAGCTTCCCTAATGAATGAGTTCACCTTACCTCCCAGCCATCCAAGAGTTAGAGGAGCTGTGGGGAATTACATCCTCTCCACTCTCCGGCTGATTAAAAGGCTGACTCTTTCCTTAAGCCTCCTGGAAACTTCAGAAAGAGACACAGGTGGAGGGTCCCCAAAATGAAAAATATTAGAATCTGGAGCAGGGTAAAGCATACTGAGAGAAATAAATCTTCTCCTTTGGGAAAAAGATAAAGAAGCATTGCTTGGAAAATAAATATATTTTTGTAGCACTCAGTACTCAAATTACCATGTTAAACTTTCAATAGAGTCTCATTAATTCAGCCACATGCAATTAAAATGTTGTGTTTCAATATGCAAGACGAGGACACATGAGGAAAATGTTAAGCCAGATGACAGGACACTCAGGTCAGAAGGAAAGAAAACCTCACAATGGAGTGGAGAGTTGTTTTCTTGGGAAAAGGCACATTTTTCATTATTTCTGTATTTCTAACAAGGAAGGAAAATCCAAAATTGTGTGAAAAATCTGTTTGGTTCAACAGAGTCCTAACACATACCATTAAAGGGACATATACAGAGAGAAATTATTCTGTCGATCACCAATGTAAAGCTCTTCTTTAAATGGAAAGAGAAGTGCAAGGTTCAGATGAGAGTGAGCAATCTGTGCTTCTGTTTATGCAATAAATGACAAGGGGTTCTAAGAAGAAAAAAAAGCAACTGATATTTTCAGTGAAAGCAATATTGTTTTCTTCCTCTAAGCAGAAAATACACAAAGAGGTTAGACTAATCTGATAGAAATAAGAGGTCAACGACTGGCTCCACTGAAATGTCTGCAGGGTACTTCAAGTGAAATTCACCAGTAAAGCAGTTCAAATATATAAACACTTGGTTTAAATATGAAAGTATGTGTGTGCATGCTATGCAGTTCCATTTCTACTCATTGTTCTTTAAAAGTAGGCAGAATTCTGAGATAACCAACAAAATCTCCACACCTTGGTGCACAGGCTCTGTATAATCCCTCCCTTTTAGTGTGGGCAGGACTAAAGGTATGATAAATGTCACATCCATAATTAGGACATGTTTTATGTTAAAAGTGAAGGGATTTTGCAGATATAATTATAGTCTCAATTCAGTTCATCTTGAGTTAATCAAAACTGAGATTATCCTAGGTGAGCCTGACCTAATCGGATGAGCCCTTCAAAAGAACTGGTCCCTTTCTGAAATCAGATTCAAATCATGAGAGAAATTCTTCTGTTGGCTTAGAGAAAAACAAACAGGTAAGTTGTGAGAGGATCTATGGGGGCAGTTTTATGGCAAGGAGCTCTGGGCAGAGTCTAAGAGCTGAAAGTGACCTCTGACCAATAGTAAACAATAAAAAATTGAACCTGTGTCCCACAACTGCAAGGAATTAAGTTCTGTCTACAATCTGAATAAACCTTATGAAAACCCTGAGCCTCAGATAGGACCCTAGCCAGGATGTCATATTGATTTCAGCACTGTGAGGCCCTGAGAAAAACCCCAGCTAATACATTCCAGACTCTTGATCTACAGGATCTGTGAGATAAAAAAAAAAATACATGTTGTTTTAAACTTTAAAATGCTACCACCATTTTGGAAGACAATGCATCAATTCTTAAAAAGTTGAACACAGTCTTACCATGCAATCATCAATTGTACTCTTTGACAGTTACCAAATAATTTCAAAATTTAGGTCCACAAAAAAACTTGTATGCAAATGTTCATAGCAGCTTTGGTGATAATTGTCAAAAAGTGGAAGCAACTAAGATGTTTGTACATGATCAGATTAAGGACTTTGTTAAACCAAGCAGAACAAACTGTGCTGCATTTATCTGATAGAATATTATTTAATAATTAAAAACACATGTGTGTGCACACACACACAGAGCTACCAAATTATGAACATATATGGAGAAATCTTAAATATGAATTCCTATGTGAAAGAAACTAATGTGATAAGGCTATATACTGTATGATTCTAATTATATGAGATTATGGAAAAGACAACAATCTAGAGAGTAAAAATATCAATGGTTGCTGTGGGTTTCAGGGAAAGGGGGAAGGATGAATTGGTGAAGCAAGAGAGATTCTAGGGATAGTGAAACAATTCTGTATGTTACTGTAATGGTGAATGCATGACATCATGCATTTGTCGAACCCCATGCAACTGTACAATGTGAAGAATGAAACTTAAACTGTAGACTTTGGTTAATAATAACACATCAGTATTGATTCATGAATTGTAACAAAAGTACAACACCAATGCAAGATGTTAATAATAGGGAAAATTGTGTGCATAGAAAAGGAAATATGGGAACTCTGTCGTATCTGCTCAATTTTTCTGTAAATCTAAAACTGTTCTAAAACATAAAGTCTATTAATTTTTTTAAAGTATCTCAAATGGGAATGAGTTTGGGTCACAGAAAGAGGGCATGGTGAGTGTTTGGCAAACTGGAGATTTTACATCTCTTCCAAAGGAGACTCTCACTACTCAACTCTGCAATTTCTAACCTATGGGAAAATGGAGCCAGTATCTCAAGATATTCTGATTTCTTAGAAAAAACAAAAACAAAAATGATTTCATATGCACAGTATTCTTCTTTCAAAATATTGAAAATCAAGTCAGTTTAACAAAAATTAAGATATACGTTCTAGTTAGATTTATACCAAAACCAAAAAAGTTCTGTTTTTCCTTGTAGAAAACTCACTTGCTGGTAAAATGGCAATAAATTAACATGTGGCTATGGTAAGTTTCATTTTGTTTGACATTATTTACACAGGAAAATTCAGTCCTAAAATAAATCAGTGCATCATGTGCCAGTGTTTTGTCTTATATAAGCCGATTTCCTAAAAGTTGGATTGTATCTGGGGTATTTTCTTTTTGGTTTATTCAATAAAATCTAATTTAGTTTCAACCAACCCTTTTTCTAAGTACAGGAAATCCTCTTCCTCTGTCATGGGAGTTACAAGTTATACCATTAAAAATATCTGCTTTGGGCTGGGTGCGGTGGCTCACGCCTGTAATCCCAGCACTTCGGTAGGCCGAGGCTGGTGGATCACCTGAGGTCAGGAGTTTGAGACCAGCCTGACCAACATGGAGAAACCCTGTCTCTACCAAAAATACAAAATTAGCCAGGCGTGGTGGCCCATGCTTGTAATCCCTGCTACTCAGGAGGCTGAGGTAGGAGAATTACTTGGACCTGGGAGGTGGAGGTTGCGGTGAGCCGAGATCGTGCCATTGCACTCCAGCTTGGGCAACAAGAGTGAAACTCTGTCTCAAAAAAAAAAAAAAAAAAAAAAGATGTATTTTGGTTGCGTTAGTCAGATGGTGGGTATAATGCAGAGACATACCTGGAATGAATGGTGGCCTTTACATCCCTTGATGCCCATCTTAGCATCAGTTAAGCAACAGTGCTACAATGTGGTATACTCACTTTATTTTTTCTGGCCCATACTCATGACAGAGGAGTCCAGTATGAATTAATGAAAAATCCAAATGGCAGATTGCTTTTAAAAAAATAAAATTTTACATCCAAATACATAAAGGAATTGCAAGCAGTAAAGCAAAATAGTGCTTAAGTGGAATTCCCAGACCGTTAGCTGTAATGGAAATACAAACACACATTATAGAAAGGCATGCATTATAACTTGTGTAATTAGAATAGACAATTATAAAGATTTAAAAATATACTTGATTACACCTTAAATTTGTGTTTATTGTAAATACACAGAAACACAAAACCAATATACACCTGACTAGCAATGTTAACAAAGCTTATTATATCATAGCTAAGAAAATGTTTACTGAACTGTGAAAAATTACTGAATGAGCTTTACAGATAATGCAACAATTAAGATTTGGTCCCTTCTCTTAAGGAATTTATATTTTACAGAAGAGGCAGGTATATGCACATTTATATTTTAATAGAAGTTGAGTAAAAAGTATGTTTTGAGAACCCTAAATGTGAAAAAACCAATTTCAAAGAGAAATGAGAGAAGGCTTTCTTAAAAAGAGGTAGCATTTGAGATTTATTAAAAATGGAAGATTCCAACAGAGAATGTGGGAGTAAATTCAAATTATGATACAGAGTCTGTAAAATGTAGGTAAGGCTTTGTGTCCTTGAAAGATAATATATTCAGAATATTCTATTTCCTACTCCTTGAATATATAGTAAAAGGACATATATCAACATGTCACTAAAGTTAGTGGTAGTGGCAGATAAATTAATTTCTGGATTTATGTATTTATTTTAGAATAATGTATACAATCAATACATGTTGATTATTAGGCTCTGAAGAATATGAAAAAGTACAAGGAAGGAAGAAAGTATAATTCTATACTACTCTAACACAATGAGAATTAGAATTTAGTGGTCGTAATTCTAGATAATTATTGATGTCAAAATGTAAAAAGATTGAATTGCAAGATGGATGCATAGATAGAAAAACAGTTGTAAGAATTGAGTCAAACTATACCTGTTATTGCTAAAACAGCATTCACTTTATTGAATTATTCATAATTTGATTTAATCAAATGGAAAAAAAGCTACATGACATAGGAAGAAATAACCAAACTACAAATTATGTTTTCATCACATAAAAAAAACTAGCTAAAAGATCGTTATAATAGTTAAAAAGTTGTTAAATAATGAGTTTTTTAAGCTAAATAATTTGAGTTACACAGTATTAATACATATTCTTTCATGAAAGATTGCATCATCTTCTCTTTTTCACGCCTTCCGCCTCCTTCCTTTTATCTACCAATTTTAATGCCGATACTTTTCACCTTGTCAGGGATTTTAATATTTACCTTTATTATTTAATCACTTTTCAGTTATTTAATCTTAGTTTGATATTTAAATAAATTTGATACTTGTACCACTTGTACACATCACCTTTCAATTACCTCCTTATTTATTTCAATTCATTATTGTTTGACTTGATTCCATCCTCAAGTAACTTTCCTTTTTCTTTATTTTTTAAAGACCATGTGACCTCAATGGTACAATATTCTCATTTTTATTATCTTAAATGTCTAGCTATTGCCTATATGTTATAAAGGGTGCTTGGCTACATATATTTGTGGGTAACCCTTTGTTTGTTTCCCACCTATGTGTATAGCCATTGATTCTTTGTGTTCTTACTATAGATATTATAGAAGAGAAGGATGAGGTCAGTCTATTTTTCAACTCTTGCTAGTGACTGGCTTTTCTACCTGGAGGCCTGTACAAAAATACCTTCATTTGTGAATTTCAGTAAGTTAACCAAGTTTTATAACAGTGTTGCGGTAATGACCTAGAACGTATTACGCTCCTTTAAAAATACATTATCTGTTTTTTCTTCCTCAAAGCCTACATACTGCCTTTCTTACTACTGTTTCTGAAGTTCAATAGCTTAACAACAGGATGTTTTGATGTTAAGCATTCCAAATCATTTTTGTTGTCATACATACAATGTGTGTTTTCACCACATAGATCCAATGACTAATTTCATAACAATTTTTCCGTATTTTACTTCTGAAATGTTTGTGTTAAATGTTGTATTAGTTAGCTCAGGCTGTCATAACAACATACCAGAGACCAGGTCAATGAAACAACAGAAATTCGTATTCCTCACAGTTCTAGAGGCTGGAAAGTCCAAGATGAAGGTTCAGCATGTTGAGGCTGTCCACCTGGCTTACAGAAGGCTACCTTCTCACTGTGTCCTTACATGGTGGAGGGAGAAAAGGAGTGCAAGGTTTCCAATATCACTTTTTATAAGAGCATTAATTTCATCATGGAGGCCACATCCTCATGATTTAATCTCAACTTTATTACCTCTCAAAACTCTAACTCCAAACACCATTGTGAGTTCTATGGCTTCAACATATAAATTTTGAAGGGACACAAACATTCAGGGCATAGAAAATATATTAAGATAGATATATATTTTTACACACATACACACACACACCACATATATACATCTATTGTGTATATAATAGATACAATATATTCATAACAAATACATTGACTTGTCAATTTCAGCGATACAAGTAAACTGTAGGTTACATTGGTTTCCTATGTTCTTTACATTTGTCCTCTTTTCCTGAGTTACTTTAATCTCTTTTTTCTAACCCTTCACAGCAGCTTTATCATTTTTTTCTGTGCAATATGTTTTTGATTAAATTAACTAATTATTTGGCCATGTCTATTTCGTTGTTTGTTGTTTCCAATGCATGATTACTTTATTTTATTTTTTTAATTTTTAATTTTTATTTTTTTTGAGACGGAGTCTCGCTCTGTCGCCCAGGTTGTAGTGTAGTGGTGCAATCTCGGCTCACTGCAAGCTCCGCCTCCTGGGTTCACGCCATTCTCCTGCTTCAGCCTCCCAAGTAGCTGGGACTACAGGCTCCCGCTACCACGCCCGGCTAGGTAGAGACAGAGTTTCACCTTGTTAGCCAGGATGGCCTCGATCTCCTGACCTCGTGATCCGCCCGCCTTGGCCTTCCAAAGTGCTGGGATTACAGGCGTGAGCCACCACGCCCAGCCACATGATTATTTTATACTCAATGTTTTCCCTTGGTGCTGCTTTTAAAAAAAAATCTTATACTTTTTCATAATGTTCATTATACACTTATTTCATTGAATTCAAACTATCACCTAATCCTTATCAGATGGTACAATTAGGGAACTCTTTTTTTGAAGTAGTTTCTATTCCTTTGGTTATGTTTCGCTCACACTACGTTTGAAGAGTTGCTAGCTCATTTGGTTTTCATCTTGCTCTTTATATGGGCAGCTAAATTCAGATAACTTTGTGTTCTGATGTAGTTTGGGCAATTCTTTTTGACATCTTGTCTAGCTTATCTGGCTGGACCAATAGGTATGGCCTTAGCTTTTCCAAGTCTGTGACAGAATATTGCTGATGAAATTATAGCTATTATAATATTTTAAACTTTATGTTTATTTTTCTCTACTTGATTATGAATTGAAGAAGGAACCATTTGTGAGTCAGCTTTATTGTTTTTCATCTTTACCCAGCAACTCCAAGGCCATAAAATTAAAGAGTAGTTATTGGTAGGACACAATTTCCAAGGTCCAAAGGGAGGAGAGGGCAAGAAGAAATCTCTTATAGGTGAAGGAGAGTTAAGTAAGCTTAAGAGAAAAGAGTAGATTTGAGGTCTTTTTCAAGAACTTGATATGCAGAGAAGATTTTTAGTTTTAATTGGATGTATTCTGCAGGCTTTAAGGAACAATAATAAGTGGCCATGTAAGTTTGATTTCAGTTGTAATGATGAATATTAATGTATTATGTTTCTGCACATAAACTGACAAGTATAAATAAATAAGAAATAAATGCTTTTTTGATTAAAGACATGTGGAAGACTGAAACACACTATATACATATAAATAAATATATGTTAATAATCCATGGTAAACTATATGAACATTAACTTCAGGATATGAGCTTAATTATTTTAAAAACGACATTTATGAACTATGTAAATTGATAACCAATTAACTTGCTGCAGCTATCTTATTAAATGTCAATTAAGTGTATTAACGTTCTTTACAATTTCATATATCAATATGAATTTAACTGTACCTTTATTGCCATTGTAATTTTGAGTTAATTACATGGTTAGATGATTTATCTTTTGCATAACTATTAAGGCTTAGCCTCTGTTCTTCAAAAAAATAAAATTGGTGGCTTTATAAACTCTAAAAATAAATCTCAAAGCATCACTAATTTTTTGTCTTTATAGAAATCTTTGTGTTGAAGCAAAAAGCAGATTTCACATGGTTTGTGGTTTCTGGATAGCATTTTCTATTGTTTTTAAAAATAAAATATGAAGCACCTACATAATGCATCACTAAAGCTATTATTAGGTCTTTCAAATTTTTTTTTTTTTTGCTATTCTGATTTTGATTAATGTCTGTCTAATTATAGGAAGATTTTCTGATAACTGAGAAATATCTTAATAAAACAGTTTACAATATACCCTATTAAAAGACATACATTTTGATTCTTTTGATAAAACAAGTTTTATTTTGCTCCAACAATTCCCTGAATATCTATCATGGTATCAGGCACTTACCAAGTTTGAAGTAATTGAAAAGAGTATGGGTTTTATAATCAGATAATTTGGGGATCAAGTATCTCTCATCCCAGTTTATATTTCTTTGGCTGGAGAAATGGGTAACATTTATGCCATTTTAGCCTATTTCCTTATTGTTAAAATATGAGTAACTACTGCATATTGTTGTGCTGAATATTAAGTCTAAGTATATGCATGAAAACATAATACTATGAATAATATGTATGAAAATCCATAATCAGTAAATACTTGCTTTTATTTCTATCATTTCTAAATTTTGGATTTTTGAAACTACTCCATTGATTTGTACATACAACAAACCTACTCCCAAATAATTTTATATGTGATTTATGAATGGGATGCATCTCAGGGCAACTATTAGTCTAAAAATCTGCACATGAAAGATAAATTAGTTATTTCAATGTGAGCAGGTACAGGATCATTTTCTTGTTTCATTTACCTTGTTAAAATAAAATTTAAATGATTAATGATTAACTTCATACTTATACAAAAAAGAACCTCTTAGGCATATATTTGCTCATGGTTCAACTGCTTATAAATTGATAAATCCAAATCCAAAATATTGAGAAAAGAGATGCCAGAGAATCAGTTCCTGGCTCTGGGCTGAAAGATGGCCATTCAGCAGAGGCATGAAAGTAAATTTGGTGGTGGGGCTTTTTACTTTTCTGCTTTAGTTTCACATAGCTCAGTGCTCTCGGCAATATGACCTTGTTACCACGTTGTTGTGTGAAATTTAGATGTATGTTTCAATTGTAGAGACAACTTTTTCTATTAGCTATTCCCATTAACTCTGTCTAATGCCATTTTCCATCTTATCAACCTTCACATTTCCTCTGTGTGAAAAAACTGATGAGTGGTAGACTCTTCACCTTTCCTCCCCTTTCTCTGCCTACGCAGTGATGACCACCTCCCTGCTTGACAACGTCCCTTGTTACTTTGCTAACCTCTGCCTATTTAAGTCTTCTATAAAACCTCCAATAAAATCACCTATAAAGCCATCAGTTGTCAGATACGATAATGAATGCCCATGGAAATAAAATCACCCTGATGAAATAGAAGGAAACCTAAAATCCTCGCCCATGTGCTTCCAATTAAAATTTTTTCCTCTGGCTTACCATTATTTATAGCACTGTTAATGATGGAATTCACATGGAAATAAATGTATTTCTTGTTGGTGATAATTCATGAGGCCCATGAGCATATAAGTGCCTCAAACTGAACATTCTACATGGTGGTTTGAGACTGAAGGTCACTGGGGATTGATGTAGAAGGCTGGGAACAGATTTCACCTGTAGTTTCACAATGGCCCCGTTGAGCTCTGGGTCTGACTGATAAAGATGAACAATTGTGACCACTGGAGGAAATTGTGGAAATTGGTAGAACAATTGCAGTGTGGCTCTGCAATATCAAAATTACAATTTGTGTGGAAGGCGACCCTTGCCAGTCAACTAAGCAATGAAAATAAAGTTGCTGCTAGTGGTCAGAATACCAGCATTTGGATAAAAAGCTTTTTTGGCACCTCTAGGCCACATGGCAGGTAGGCAGGAAGCAGAAGACTGAATTAGAAGTTGCTAGATTTTTATTTTCTAGGATTTAATAGCCTAAGGTCGTATTTTACTTCTTCCCAGAGTTCTCAATTTTGATAGGAATTTCAAGGATTTCTCCCCATGTCATAGACACAAAAGATATTCATGAAAAGAGAAAGACATTATTAGTCCTAATGACAACTTTCATGCATTGACTACATCTTCCGGCACTTTACGTATTTACAGCTCACAAAACGGTTCTGCAATGTAGGCATTTTTTAACAGTGATTTTATATGTGAGAAAACTGTACCTGAGAGACTAAACACTGAGTAAGCTATTATCCAAACCGACCTATTTGTCCCTCGAACTCAGATTCTTTGAGCTACACCATTCTGCTCATGAGTTAATTGACTAACTCATGAGTTCATCTTTTCCATATAATTACAGATCTCATTCCTATTAACATATGTCCCCAAATCTCCAAAATTTTCTTGTGTAATTACGTTAATACTATTTTTCTGAAGGAATCTGTATAAGTTTAGTTGCTCAAGAGTATTTCATTCTATGTTATCAGGAATATCTTTTTGTTTGTACACTCTATGCATTCTCTAATTATCTGATTTTCAATGATTTTGCCTGGTGAAATCATCTATTAGTATTAATTAGGAATGAATACATGAATGCTATATCTGCTATTGCATGCCTGATATAGAATGGCAAGGTAAACATTTGCTGTCTCAAACACTTCAAGTTTCTCTATATCTTTGTTTTGAAATGTTTAGTGAGTTGAAATTCTCCTGCATTTTACATCCTATTTTTCTTTTTTCCACACACAAACACAGACATATTTGAATAACCAGTTCTCTAAACTCTAAATATATTAGGAATAATTATAGCAATGATGATTGTGCCAGCAAAAAGTTTTAATGTACGTGTATAATTTATTTAAATCATCTGTTGTGTTTCATTAAAGCATCCTTCAAAACACTGCAGGTATCTCTTGTTTTTTAAAATAATTAACAGTTGTTCTATTGAAGTTGCTAAAATCTTGCTCAATTTATGTTATACATTTTCAACACAGCCTTTTTTCTTACCTTTAATTATTTTAAAAATGATTTTTGTAGCATTTCTATTTTTAAACCCATTAAATATTTCCCTGAAATAATAGATTTTATCCAATAACATTTAGTAAATTATACACATTTCTTAACAATGGTGAGTGTGTCTAAAATTTGAGAAAAGCCTTATTATATCTAAGTCACTTTGTGTTTAATTGATTAGAAAACATTATGTATCCACGATTAACTCTTCTTACTATGTATAAATATTGGGATATTTCCTGAGCGGCCTCAGATATATATTTGCTATCTCTCTAGCAAGGGGGAAAGCTGAAACTGTCTACTGCTTCTTGATTCTGATAGTTGTGGAACCCCTAAATCTGTTCCCTTTAGGTCTCCTGGAGAAACTCTACTGTTGCCTGGATTAATATAGGCCAATACCTAAGGTATCTTTTTTTTTTTTTTTTTTTTTTTTTTGAGACGGAGTCTCGCTCTGTCGCCCAGGCCGGACTGCGGACTGCAGTGGCGCAATCTCGGCTCACTGCAAGCTCCGCTTCCCGGGTTCACGCCGTTCTCCTGCCTCAGCCTCCCGAGTAGCTGGGACTACAGGCGCCCACCACCGCGCCCGGCTAATTTTTTGTATTTTTAGTAGAGACGGGGTTTCACCTTGTTAGCCAGGATGGTCTCGATCTCCTGACCTCATGATCCACCCGCCTCGGCCTCCCAAAGTGCTGGGATTACAGGCGTGAGCCACCGCGCCCGGCCACCTAAGGTATCTTATACTGCAGTGACCTAAATAAAGTTTCTGTGTATTTTTGCCAAAATCACAAAAAGATGATTTCTCTTTGATTGAAGCTTTTATTTACTGCAAGAACCTATTGCTGATCCTGTGGAAGGGTTTTAAGAAATTTATTTTATTTGTTCTAAGACCATCACCTTTCTTTTTTAAAAGTCGTTTTCTGTGCCCATTGAATAATCCAATCACTCTGGTATTTCTTAGGTTGCTATGATGACACATTCCTGGATTCCAGTCTTCCTACACTTATAGACATACAACATAGAGGCAGAGGATAAAGTCCAGTGGATGAATTTGTCAATAGTGAAGGTGACTAGTAAAACCTTCCCTCATGTTTTTTCTATAGCATAGGAGGAGTGTTTATAGTTTTCAACAGAGTTTTAAGGGGATTTGTGAATCAAAATAGTACAAAATGATCTTTTATGGAGATGTTTAGGCATATTATAAATAGGTTGACTTCCACTGCCCCTTAAAATTTAATAGTGAAACCATAAAGCATGTAGAAGATAATATAGGAGAATATCCTTATGACTTGGGGTGGACAAATTTTCCTTAAATGGAGCAGAATTCATAAAAGAAAGGTTTGATAAGCTGGATATAATTAAAGAAAGGAATAAAGAATTCCTTTCCATCAAAATAAACTATTCGGAGAAATAAAATGCAAAGCAGAGAAAGAAAATGTTTGCCATACACACATCTGACAAAGGACTTATATCCAGAATATATAAAGAATATCTTTAAAGCAATAAGAAAAAGACAAAAAACACTTTATAAAAAAAAACACAAAAAATAGCACAAGAAATTCACAAAAGAACATATCTAAAAGGTCAACACACATATGTAAAGTGTATTGGTCCTTTCTCATGCTGCTAATAAAGACATACATGAGACTAGATAATTTATAAAAGAAAGAGGTTTAATTGACTCACAGCTCTGCATGGCTGGAGAGGCCTCAGGAAACTTACAATCATGACAGAAGGGGAAGCAAACACGTTCTTCTTCACATGGCAGCAACAAGGAGAAGTGCCGAGCAAAAGGGGGAAAGCCACTTATAAAACTATCAGATCTCATGAGAATTCACTCACTATCACTAGGGCAGCATGAGGGTAACCACCCCCCTTATTAAATTACCTCTCATCAGGTCCCTCCCATGACACATGGGGATTATGGGAAATACAACTCAAAATAAGATTTGGGTGGGAACACAGCTAAACCATACCATAAAGTTTTACAAAATGGTCCTTCATTAGAGAAATGCCAATTAAAATGCAATGGTATCGAAGACATACTGGCATACACTCATCAGTATTGCCAGCCCAATCTCCTGAGTCTACTATCACAGGACCCCAGAGGCCAGAAGTGATGCTGTCAAGTTCATGGTCTTCTGGCACTCTGCTCTGTTTGGGTCACAGAGGTGTCCTCATCATGGTGCCCTCCACTAACCCCAGGCTTGGATGCCAAACTCTCCCACAGTAATGATCAACCAGGAATCATCTGCCATGTCCATCCAAGACCCTGCCATCTCCTGATGTGCAACATGAAAGCTTCCCTGAGACTCATTTTTTTCTCATCTGTAAACTGACTTGACATTAGTATCTACCAAGTTTTGTGTGAGGCTTAAATGTAATAAAACAAGTTAAACCAAAAAAAAAAAAAAAGAATTGCTTAAACAAACAAAAAAAGAGAAAACAAATTGACAATAGACAATATTAAGTGTGTTGACTAGCATGTTGAACAATTACAAGTTTTAATAATAAAGGGTAAATTAAATGTTACAAATACTTCTCAAAACTTGTTTCCAATATCTATTAAAATAACACATCACCTAATATTTTGTACACACACACACACACACACACACACACACACACAGGATAAATTCTAAATAAAAATGTGTCTATGTTTCAGTCAACTGGTATATCCATATATATGCATTGAAAGATACAAAGAAGAATGTCAATAGCAGCATCATTTATATTGGCCCCAATTGGTCAAATTTTCCAATGCTTCTCACCAGTGAATTGGATAAATTAATTGTTGTATAGTCATACAATGAAGTACTGTACCTTAATTAAAAACAACAAATTACTCCTATTTGTAAGAACAGAGATAAACCACACACATGATTTTGAATTTGAGTGAAAGAAGTCACTGATGAGAGAGTACAAATGGCTGTTAGTAATATATATTACTGGAGTGAGATGGTATCTCATTGTGGTTTGGATTTGCATTTCTCTAATGATCACTGATGTTGAGCTATTTTTCATATGTTTGTTGGCTGCATGTATGTATTCTTTTGAATAATGTGGCAATTCCTCAAAGACCTAGAGGCAGAAATACCATTCGACCCAGCAATCTCATTACTGGGTATATTCCCAAGGGAATATAAATCATTCTGTTATAAAGATACATGCATGTGTATGTTCATTGCATCATTATTCACAATAGCAAAGACATTGAATCAATCTAAATGCCCAACAATGATATACATAGACAGGGTAAGGAAAATGTGGTACATATGCACCATGGAATACTGTGCAGCCATAAAAAGGAACATGGATGGAGCTGTAAGCCATTATCCTCATCAAACTAATGCAGGAACAGAAAACCAAACACCACATGTTCACACTTACAAGTGGGAGCTGAATGATGGCAACACATGGACACATGAGGGGAGCAACACACACTGAGGCTTGTAAGGATAAGGGAAGGGAGAACATCAGAAAGAATAGCTAATGGATGCTGGGCTTAATACCTATGTGATGGGATGATCTGAGCAGCAAACTACCATGGCACACGTTGTACCTGTGTCACAAACCTGCACATCCTGTACATGTATCCCTGAACTTAAAATAAAAGTTTAAAAAATATACATACATATATATATCTCCAACAAATTAATCCACAATGGTAAAAGTCACAGTGGAACTTATATTTTATTGGGTGGGCAATGGCCATGAGAGGCTATGAGGCAGATTGCTGGGCTGCTGGGAATGTTATGCATGTTAATCTTGGTGGAAGTTATCTAAGTGTGCACACTTTGTAAAAGTTAATCAAACTGTACAAGTGATATTGGTGTACCTTATGTGTTACACTTCAATAAAATAAAGTTAAAAAAATAAACTCTAGACAAATAAAGACAATATCTAGCAAAGAGGACAGGAGGTTCCCAAGGGAAAACTATTTTTCTGTTTTTTAATCGCTGTATGGGCAGAGCCAGATCAAATGTGACTAAAGCAACACTGTCAAGCTATAATTTGAAGAAACCACTTTATTTATCCTTGTTCATTCTGCCATTTTACTTTCTTTTTTCCCCCCTTCCACATTTAATTTTAGGTTCAAGGGCTATATGTGCAGGTGTGTTCCGTGGATAAATTGCCTGACATGGGGGTTTGGTGTACAGATTATTTCATCATTCAAGTAATGAGCATAGTACCTGATAGGTAGTTTTTTGATCCTCACCCTCCTCCCACCTCCCACCCTCCAGTAGGCCCTGATGTCTGTTGTTCCTTTCTTAGTACCTATGTGTACTCAGTGTTCAACTTTCACATTGAACATCAGCAAGTTTCCTGCTCTGTAAAGTCACCTAATATTATCTGTTTTATAGGATTTTTAGGGAAATTTAATGATATACTGCAATGCAAGTGCTTATCACAGTGCTTTCCACATATTGTAGCACTCACATATGCTAAATATTATTGCTATTATTACAATCATGATTATTATTATTATTATTATTATTTTTTGAGATGGAGTCTCGCTCTGTCGCTCAGGCTGGAGTGCAGTGGCGCAATCTCGGCTCACTGCAAGCTCCGCCTCCCGGGTTCACGCCATTCTCCTGCCCTGCCTCAGCCTCCCCAGTAGCTAGGACTACAGATGCCCGCCACCACGCCAGGCTAATTTTTTGTATTTTTAGTAGAGACGGGGTTTCACCGTGTTAGCCAGGATACAATCATCATTATTTTTATCTATATTAACATTGTAAGCATTGAGTTGATTTTCGTCCATTATGAAATTTAAAGGTCCATTTTAATTGAAAACGATGGTACTTTTTCTTACTTTCTCCTATGGATTACAAATTTCCTTCTAAATGTATTGTGAAACATAATTAGAAAATTATTATGGGTTTTGTAAAACACAGTTAATAAAATGTCCTGTAAGACTGTTTTTAAGAACACACACACATTTTTTATACATAAAGTATCATCTGTATTGTTCAGTATTTTCTCTAAACATACAAGCATTTTTGAACTAGGACCAACCAACAATACAAAACAAACCAACCAATGTAGTTTGATTACTTATTTAGAGCAGTTTTTAATGTCCTGATAATTAATTTAAATGTATACCCTATGAATCTAGTTTTGATCAACCTCTTTAGCTATATCAGTGTCTACATTTGAAGTGCAAAGCAAAACAATGACTCTTTTGTGTTGGGAACAGGTCCCCCAAAATCTGGCCATAAACTGGCCCCAAAACTGTCCATAAACAAAATCTCTTCAGCACTGTGACATGTTCGCGATGGCCATGATGCCCACGCTGGAAGGTTGTGGGTTTACCAGAATGAGGGCAAGGAACACCTGGCCCACCCAGGGCGGAAAACCACTTAAAGGCGTCCTTAAACCACAAACAAACAAACAAAACCCATGAGTGATCTGCGCCTTAAAGACATGCTCCTGCTACAGATAACTAGCCAGATCCGTCCCTTTATTTCGGCCCATCCCTTTGTTTCCCATAAGGAATACTTAATCTATAGAAACAATGCTTATCACTGGCTTGCTGTCAATAAATATCTGGGTAAATCTCTGTTCGAGGATCTCAGCTTTGAAGGCTGTGAGACCCCTGATTTCCCACTCCACACCTCTATATTTCTGTGTGTGTGTCTTTAATTTCTGTAGCGCCGCTGGGTTAGGGTCTCCCTGACCGAGCTGGTCTTGGCACTTTTGTAGTAACGTAATTCATCTCTAGCACTTCAATTTTTTTTCAGAATGAGTTTTATTTTGTGAAATGATTTGGTCCCTTTACTTCAGGTTCACATCTTTGTTCATAGAAGATGGATTTTTAAGGCTGCAAGGTCAGTTGATATTATAGTACAGTGGTCAATCCTCATGCTGTCCAGGAGAAAACTGTGGTCCAGAGATGCTTAGAACTTGCTTTGAGTCACTTTTTATAAGATAGATACAGACCTAGAACCCAAGCCTCCTGAATCCAGATTCCTTGCTCTGTTAATTATTCCATGTTATAGTATACCCTTTCTGTGATAGGAATAACAAGACAATTGTTCAAAGAGCCAAATAGAAGAGATCCATCAATATGTTGCTTTTCTTGAAATGAATATCTAACTCAGAGAGGTTTGTATCTAGCAAGCTGTGATCTTAACACAAGCTAGAAGGCTAAAATCAATGCAGCCCTCCCTTACTTAAGCCATGAATTAGCTGTATGGCAACATAAATATTAAAGTTGTTAATCACTTACATAGCCCCATGATCTTTTATTAGGGCTTCTTATTGTCAGAAGGTTTTACTACTGACTGTTTGGAGGATGATTTTCTTCTTTGCAAGTTTCAAAGGCATTGAAAGAGAGAATTTCATGTAACTGCATGAGATGTGTGTGGTATTTCTATGCTAGAGAAGATAGGATCTCCTGAATAAATACATTAAGTATCAGGCAATGAAGGGGTAAAGCCAAATTTACTGTAATCACAGTTCTTTCTAAAGTCATATAGCCTCTATAAATGAGATAATAAAGTAACTCACATTGGTTCCTTCTGTTCCCTGGAGTTTAAAGTGTATTAATGGCTACTGGATTCAGAAAAAATAAATACACTGGCTGGAAAAATCATTATGTGAGTTTTATTTTCCAAATATCAGTTTGGTTTCTAAGCACTCCAATAACTTACCCTTAATTTCCAGATTGGAGCTTCTGAGAAAAATAGTTAAAATTTGGGGCATCATTTATTTTTACCCCTCTTATAATAACGAAATGTGAATTTAGCAGCTGAGTTTATCGAATTTGGCATTAGAGCTGATTCATCTCTTTAAAAAAACATATTTTACTTACTGACTTTCATTCTTTTAGGGATAACAAACAATAAAAAGTACACCGAAAAAATTAGTTTGAATGGGTGAATGAATAGACCCTTTCTTCTCTTTACTGAATTTAATAGTGTCATGTAAACCCCACCCAGTCCCTCTGCTAGGATTTAACACTCAGAGGTAGTGAGCATAGTTGTTAAACCAAATTACATCCTTCCTGGGACAAATGTTTAAATTTCCTTAAGTTTGCCTACACTGGGACTTTTATATTTCAATATACCATAAGCGGGAAAGGTCAGAAATGGAGGTTGAATTGTTGGGATATTAAGAGCGGTGTGTGTTATCTGCATGCCTTACTGTGTGTGGATCCTAAGTGTGAATTGCTGACAAAAATGCATTTTGTATCACTAAATCTCATTTCCATTGACATGAAAGGAATTAACTGGCAAGAGTGAGAAAAAGACAAATTGCAGCACACAACTGTAACAGATCAACAATTCATACTCAAAGTCCAAGGTCTTGTAAAGTGGTCAAAATATTCACAAAAGGTTAGTTTTTACATTCAACAAGCAATCACTGTGTTTCAACCACTTGTGTAGTTTTTTCTGTAGTTTATTGTTTTTCTTTCTCAAATCTTCTTTTCTACTGAGGCAAATCGTAAAACAATGCATCCTTTTATTGCCATTTTCTCTTTTTTTAAAACTTAAGTTCTTTCCTTTCTATATTCATACCTTCTTTCTTTTCTTCTTCCTACCTTCCCTTTCTTCTGATTTTTGTAATTGTAACATAATTCCACAATTATTGAAAGGCTAGGATGATTAAATAAGTACCTATAGCCTCATTTCTCAGGGACAATAACAGATAATATTCTAATATAGTTACTTTCAAAATGTTCTTTGTATTGTAAATGCTTGTTGAGTACAGAAATATAAAGAAATAAATTAGTTAAGATCTTAGTATATACAGATTTCATGACTTCTTTTTACTTTATATGTATTTTAGATTATATACTTAAAATTATTTTTTAAAGTTTACTTTTTTTCTTAGTTCTAAAAATAATGATATTGATTTACTGATGTTCCAAGTTGTGATCATAAGTATTTTGCCTTGTTTTGAGTCAAGGTAAAGTTTATCAAATATATCACTTATATGAATATACACATTAATGCTGCACATTTTTCATAAATGTGAATTTAACTCACTTGTAACAGTGATAATCTTGAGCTACTACTAAATTAAATATAAAATTTAAAATAATTCAGGTGGAGGATATATTGCACCTGTTGCTACTCTACAGGCATACCTTGGAAATACTGCAGTTTCATTTCCAGACCACTGCAACAAAGCAAATATTACAATAAAGCAAGTCACACAATTTTTTGTTTTCCAGTGCATATAAATGTTGTGTTTATACTGTAGTCTGATAAGTGTTCAATAGCATATCTAAAAAACAGTGTATATACCTTAATTACAAAATACTGTATTGCTAAAAAATGCTAACAATCATGTGACCCTTTAGTGGGTTATAATCTTTTTGCTGACAGCAGGTCTTGCCTCCATGTTAAAGGCTGGTGACTGATCAGGGTGATGGTTGCTGAAGACTGGAGTGGCTGTGACAATTACTTAAAATAAGACAACAATAAAGTTTGCCTCTTAATTAATTGACTCTTCTTTTCATGAAAGATTTCTCCATAGCATGCAATGCTGTTTATTATTTGGCATTTTACTCACAGTAGAACTTCTCTCAAAATTGGTGTCAGTCCTCTCTAACCCTGCCACTGCTTTATCAATGAAGTTTATGTGATATTATAAATGCTTTGTTGCCATTTCAACAATGTTCACAGCATTGTCACCAGGAGTAGATTGTCCTCAAGAAACTACTTTCTTTGTTCATCCATAACAAGTAACTCTTCATTCATTTAAGTTTTATCATGAGATAACCTCAATTCAGTCACATCTTTAGGCTCCGCTTCTAATTCTTGTTCTCCTGCTATTTCCATCACATCTGCAGCTACTTCCTCTACTGAAGTCTTGAGCTCTTCAAAGTCATCCATGAAGTTTGGGGTCAACTTTTTCTAAAATCCTGTTAAGGTTGATATTTTGACCTCCTCCCATGAACCATGATTACTCTTTTTTAAGATTGACAAGTTATAATTGTACATATTCATGGGGTAAATAGTGATATTTTAAAACATATATAGTGACCAGATTTGGGTAATTAACATATTCATAATGTGAGGTATTTATTATTTCTTTGTGTTGGGAACAAATAATCTTAATAGCAGCTAGAATGATGAAAGATCCAGGAGGTTTCCAATTGACTTTCCCAGATATATCAGAGGAATCAATACCTATGTCAGTTATGGCTTTATAAAATGTATTTTCAAAATAATAAGATATGAAAGTCAAATTTATTCTTTGATCCATGGGTCACAGAATAGATGTTGTGGTAGCAAGCATGAATACATTCATCTCCTCATTCATTTCATCAGAGCTGTTGAGTGACCAGGTACATTGTCAATAAGCAGTAATATTTTAAAATAAACTTTTTTTTTCTGAGCAGTAGGTCTTGAAACTAGGCTTGAAATATTCAGTAAACCATGCTGTAAACAGGAGTGCTGTCATCTAGGCCTTGTATTTTCCTTTATATTGTACAGGTATAGTAGATTTAGCATAATTCTTAAGGACTTAGAATTTTTGAATTGGTAAATGAGCATTGGCTTCAACTAAATGTCACCAGCTACAATTAGCCCCTAACAAAAGGGGCTGTCCTTTGATGTTTTGAAGTCCTATCAGCCTGTCCTTTGATGTTTTGAAGACAGACATTGATTTCTCTCTAGCTATGAAAATTCTAGATGGCACTTTCTTTCAATATAAGGTTGTTTTGTCTACATTGAAAATCTGTTGTCGAGTGTAGCCACCTTTCATCAATTGTCTTAGATCTTCTGGATAACTCGCTGCAGCTTCTACATCAGAACTTGATGCTTCACTCTGCACTTTTATTTTATAAAAATGTCTTAGACAGAGTGCGGTGGCTAACACCTGTAATCCCAGCACTTTGGGAGGCAAAGGTGGGCAGATCTCTTGAGGTCAGTGGTTCAACATCAGCCTGGCCAACATGGTGAAACTGTCTCTACCAAAAATACAAAAATTATCTGGGCATGGTGGTGCATGCCTATAGTCCCAGATACTTTGGAAGCTGAGGCAGGAGAATCACTTGAACCTGGGAGGTGGAGGTTGCAGTGAGCCGAGATCATGCCACTGCACTCTAGCATGGGTAACAGAGCAAGACTCAGTCTCGGGGGAAAAAAAAGACGTAGTTCCTCAAACCTCATGAACCAAATTCTGCTGGCTTCCAAGTTTTCTTTTGCAGGTCCATCATTTCTCTTCACTTTCATAGACTTGAAGAGAGTTAGGGCCTTGCTCTAAATTAGAATTTGGCTTAAGGGAATGTTGTGGCTGGTTTGATCTTCTATCCAGATCACTTAAAACATTTTTCACATCAGCAATTAAGCTTTTTTGCTTTCTTATCATTCATGTGTTCATTGAAGTGGCACTTTTAATTTCCTTCAAGAACTTTTTCCTTTGTCCTCACAATTTGGCTAACTGTTTGGCACAAGAGTCCTAGCTTTCAGTCTATTTGGGCTTTTGACATGCTTTCCTCACTAAGCTTAATTATTTCTAGCTTTTGATTTAACATCAGAGATGGGGTGACTCTTCCTTTCACTTGAACACTTGGAAACCATTGTAGGGTTATTAATTGGCTTAATTTCAATGGCATCTCAGGGAAAAGAGAGGCCCAAGGAAGAGAGAGATAGGGGAGTGGCCAGTAGGTGGAGCAATCAGAACACACACAGCATTTATTGATTAAGTTCTCCATCTTATATGGGTGCAGTTTGTGGTGTCCCAAAGCAATTATATTATTAACATCAAAGGTCCCTGATCACAGATCTCCATAATAGATATAATATTAATTAAAAGCTTAAAATCTTGTAAGAACTACCAAAATGTGACAGAGAGACACAAAATTAGCACATGCTGTTGGAATAATGGTGTTGATAACTTGCTTGATGCAGGATTGCCACAAAATTTCTATTTGTAAAAAGCAAAATATCGCCGAAGCACAATACAGCAAAGTGTGATAAAAGGAGGTATACTCGCATTTACTGAGACTAGTTTTTTTCTAATTACTTTCTCTCTTCTTCTATACAGTAACCATATATGTTATACATTTTATATAATATATATATATCCTGAAACACAGACCTGATGTAACACACTTCTCTATATGCCTCATGTTCTTTGTAAATTAGAGCATTCATATATTATATTGTCTAATAAGTGGTTTCGCTGTTTAAATGTTCTGTGGTGGTTCCTTCTTGCCTGTTGGATGTTTCTCAGAGAAAAAGTACAATGCCCTTTAACTTTCAGTGGTATGAAACTACTCAAGATTCTCTAAACATGCAATGTATTTTCATATTGCTATAGATTCCTCAAAATCAAAGTGTTTCATCACAAAAATCCTTGACCTTGTGCTCTTCCCAAACTTTCCTTTTCCAATGCACATACACATATATGCACTCATATACAAGATTATGTTTCTATTTAGTGAAATGTGCTAAATCATTCATTGGAGTTCAAACTCTGTATTATCTTCTCAGGCATGGCTATGCTGCCCAAATGCCCCAGGCAAGAGGGGCAATTTTTTCTTTGGAGATATGTTTATATGATATTAATCACCACAAAGTTTAGCCACTTCATAATTCGTGCTTTTGGGGGGTAAGGACTTTGCCTAACTTACTGTGCATCAGACTTTGCAGTAGGACATAGGGTTTTTACTGGATGAGTAAATAAGTTAATGTGATCAATGTATATATTTAAGATACAGAACAAAAACCTTTTACCTCTAGATGGAGAAAACGATTTAAAAAAACCCCACACTAGATTGAGTTAAAGAAAAATAAAGGACAATTATTTGAACAATGTGAATGTGATTTAATACATGCATTTGGGTTTATAAGAGAGCTATAATACAGTGACTCTTGTATAAGGGGCAGAAACAAGGCAATGGTGAATGTGCTGGTTTTCAAGAGGTTAATGAGAAATCACGACCTACAGCTACTACCTGAATGTATCTAAACATTCCAATTCTCCAGGCTCAAGCGAATTGCATTTTCAACCAGAAACAATGCTCATTAGAGACAAAATATCTTATGAAAATACCAGATTTTTTACCCAAATAAATATTCAATTTAAAAAGTAAGGCACTAAATTTAAAAAATACATGTATCCTCAGTACTTGTATTTTTCTGTTTTCTAAATGCTTGTGGTCACTTTTTAGGGAAAAAGCAAGAACATTTAGGCAGAAATGTATAAAATTGGAAAGAAGAAAAATAGTCACAAGGTTAAAAAGTTAGAAAAAAGCTGAAGGGACACCAACACAGCTGCCTAGAAGCATGGAGAAAACCCTTTTGGGGATCTATAATAAATGAACATAGGTGATTAAATTTAATTCAGTAGTTGATGGTTCCTAGGGGCCAAGCTTGCCTCTCAGTACATAAAATATATAACACTATGTTGGCTTAAACATCCGCTGCCAGGCTATAAGAAACACACTTAATTCCACCTCTAACCATCTTTCACATGAGAAGTAATTTATTAAAGTCCTTGCCCTTTCCTTTGCTATACAGCTTGGGTTGCCTGTTCCTCCTCTATCATAATGATATTATTTTGCCTTAGAAACTGTGGTTTTGTCAGAGAGATTTCCATGGGCAAAGGATGAGGTAGAATGCTTTATCATTCTTTCATTACTGTGGCCTTTTGCATATTAGTTAAAATTACATAAAAATGAGAACTATCGTTATTTTACTCAGTCGACAGTTTTTGAGTCCCTACTATGTGCCTGGCCGTAAGGATATAGAAATGGAGAGTTGAATAAGGCAACAACTGGACCCTGGGCATGTTTATATTTTAGAGGGAAAAGTGATATGAAAAATAAAAAAGAAAAAATAGTGTAACTATAATGAAAGGAGAAATTCTGTCTTTGTATGCTGGATTCTGAATGATCAACCACAAAAATACCTAGAGAATTTTTTGGCCGGTTTCACATTGTAGCTGTTTGTCTTTGTTTTTCTTCAGAAAAGTGGAGAGAAATGGGTGAGGATTTTACACTGCCTAGACAATTAGAAGACCTAAATCCAAAGGACATAACCTAGTTACTGTTATTGGAAGACAAACATGCTTCTAGAACCACTGATTTGCATGTTATGAGAAGAGGGACCGTGCTTCCTCATGACATGGCATGTAGAATCACAATTGGTCTTTTAGATTTTAAGTAGTTCTTATCAATAGCAGGGCACAACTAGCTAGACCCTGGTGAATGGCTGATTGATTGATAACTGCTCCAAACCTGTCCATATACCTCAACCTTGGATCACCTTTTTATTTTAAAGACCTGGGATTGGAATTTCCAAAATGAATTGTTGGTCTATAAGTAATGTTTCTAACATAGTCAAGAAAACCGCAATACACAATTGCAAATATCTGAATATAAAACAAATTTAGTTTCTCTGAATGTATCAAAAGGGCTACATGTTTAGAATTACATAGATTAAATTCCCTTCCTGCTTGCCCTGTGGCCATTTATTGTAGAAATTGCTGAAATTTTCTTTGAATCTTATGCATTTTGGCAATATTATAGGCTCACCTCAAAAGAGTAATTTGTGGCTCTGAGTACACACGTTGTCAGCCCTGTCTACAGCACCTGCATTTATATATTAAATAGAAAATATTATTATTATTTTTTTTTATTTTTTTTTTTTTGAGACGGAGTCTCGCTCTGTCGCTCAGGCTGGAGTGCAGTGGCGGGATCTCGGCTCACTGCAAGCTCCTCCTCCCGGGTTCACGCCATTCTCCTGCCTCAGCCTCCCAAGTAGCTGGGACTACAGGCGCCCGCCACTACGCCCGGCTAATTTTTTGTATTTTTAGTAGAGACGGGGTTTCACCGTTTTAGCCGGGATGGTCTCGATCTCCTGACCTCGTGATCCGCCCGCCTCGGCCTCCCAAAGTGCTGGGATTACAGGCGTGAGCCACCGCGCCCGGCCGAAAATATTATTTTTTAAGATGCACTTTAACAGTGTAAATTCCCATAGATTTAAGATTTTTAAAAGAGCAATTATTATCAAACTCTTAAAATCTCTTAAAACCTGGGGATGTTAATTTTAAGCATTGCTATCATAGCTTATTTAATTTCTCACCCAAGTATCTCTACAGAGCAATAGATCACGTTTTTATATTTGTGCATAGAATTGTCATATCAATATAAGATTTTAGCTCAATACTATCTCGTATTCCTGTTACTTAGCTTAGTGCTGTGTTTAATAAAATCTCTTCCCTTTATAAAAGGATAAAAGGTAAAACATAAATGTCCTTCAAATATGATTCAATATTTTATCCTAAAATCTTACCTGTCAACTCATTCTATCCTTGACACTGCAATTAATTCCATTGTCCATTTTTGGATTTACAAAAATACTGATACGCTTTTGTTATAAAAATGATCCTCAAGAGCCTCAACACGGAATGATGAATGGCAGATCTTACTGCTGTGCAAACTGCCCAATGCAGAACAGAGTTGAGACTATGGAAAATAAGGTTGAGGAGAAGAGACTTTGAACTGTCCCATTTTAGAAAAGGAACAATTTCTCAACCTCTATCTTTATGAATGATTGATACATTGTTAAAAAGTCTGTGAGTATTAGCTAATGATATCTGGACTTGTGCATAGGTAATCACCGAGCTGTCTGGAGGTGGTCTGGAGCACACGTGGGGTACCCACCTGTGATTATGGCATCTAGCTACCTAAATTGATATATTAAGGTAGGTCTCTCTTTGATATAAAGTGAATAAAATAAAATGTTTAATTGACTATAAATGTTCTTTGTTGCTGATAACATTTTTTTCATTTATTCTATGAACAAAATAAGAGGTTTATTACCATAATTATATGAATTTAAAAAATGATTTATTTTAAATCCTAACTCTCTTAGTTCAAAGGTAAAACAATTCAATGTGAGTGTCTATAAGCCATCTTAGCAGGAATCTCCTTACAGCCACAATCTTGAGTATGGAAGAAATCAGATGTTTCTTTTACTTTTTATCCCCCCTTAAATTAAATCAAAATTAGAATGCTTTGTTGTTAGATCACCAGTTGTATTAACCTATTCTTACATTGCCACAAAGATACTACCCAAAACTTGGTAACTTATGAAAAAAAAAAGGAGGTTTAATTGACTCACAGTTCCACTTTGCTAGGGAGGCTTCAGGAGACTTACAATCATGGTGGAAGGGGAAGCAGGCATATCTTATATAGCAGCAGGTGAGAGAGAAGTGACAGCAGGTGAGAGAGGAATGAGAGAGAAGTGACTACCATGTATCAGATCATCAGATCTCATGAGAATTCACTCACTATCAAGAGAACAGCATGGGGGAAACCACTCCCATAATCCAATCACCTCCCTCCCTTGACACATGGGGATTACAATTCCAGATGAGAGTTGTGTGGGAACAAAGAGCCAAACCGTATCACCAGGATTTCTCAACGTCAATCTTTATGAATGATTGATATATTGTTGACATATCTCAATGCTACTGACATGAGGCCAGTAATTTTTGTGTGTGGTGGTGGCTTTCTTGTGTGCTGTATGATATTTCACAGCATGCTTGATCTCTGCAACTAGACACCTGTAACAACACCCCACCCCCATTTGCCACAACAAAAAATGACTTCAGAAAATGCCAAATGTCTGCTGGCAACAAAATCATTTTGAATTGAGGAAAACTGTGCTAGGCTGATAGAAATGTCAGGTCCCTATCATTATCTGATTTCCCTTGCATCTCCTGTAGTGTTATGGAAAGGCCACCAAAACATACGAGAGTAAGCCATTTGGAAAGATATCCATAGTCTTAGGTGGTTATTTCTAAGACATTTGCATGACCCCCTTAAAGTTAAATGACTGCTTTTAGGCCATGCGGGGGACAGAGCAAGCTCTGTCGCAGCTGGGATACCCCATGCCTAGGGCCATTCTCCCCAGTCTTACTCCACAGCTATTATTCTCTGACCACTGCACCTTCCCAGGTCTCTGCCACAAAGCAGACAAGGAATCTATTAGTTGAGTAAACTGCTAACCTCCTCAACCACAAAAATCTCTTTCTCCTCATCCATCTCTCAAAGACCTGACCTTCTCCTACCTCTTCCTAAACACTTTGCTTGCCTAATCTTGGCAATAAATATAGACTTAGAAATTAGGGATAAGGGCAGCTGAAAGCAAGCATCTTCATTTTACATAGTGCTGACGATCTTGGAGCAATAAATTATGAGGGACATGATCATTGCTTTAGAGTGGAAATGACGGAAAAATACAAAGAACATAATACGTATAACTGGTAAATTTGAAAGAGGAGCAGATATCTGTGATTCCAAAGGCCATATGTGGTCCTGAGGAAATTGTTGATTTCATATTTCTGAATGTTCCATCTCTGTCCTTGGAGACAAGCAAGTTACCTCCCTCCTGCCCAACAATGGATTTTAAGAAAGACAAGCTTCCTGTAACATCCCTGTGAGCAATAGGAAGAGAGTAGACTCCTGAGTCCAGTTAGAAGTTGCCATTTTTTTAAAATGTGAAGCAGGTATTGAAAACCCTGATGTGAATGAGGTGAGAAAGCAAGGTGGTTGGGTATGTGCTTTGGAGGTTTCAACATCCAGTTGTTTCCCACGCAATTTAGTTAATTTCTCTGGGACTCAGTTTCCTCCAATATACTATAAAATGTCCTACTTTATAAAGTGGTTTGGCAATTAAATAAGCATGGAAAGTTTAGAGTGGTGTTTTCCCTAGAGTCAACACTCCATAAATTACATCATTACTCTATTGTTCCCTGATAAAAAGGATTAAACCCTCTTAAAATGAATCAAGCCATCAGAGAGGACTAGAGAAAAGGCAGAGACAAGTAAACCAGAGTGATATGGAATAATGATCTTAGTGAGAATTTTGAATCTATCCAGGCCTCTGCCCAAAACTTTTCCTGACCTATTAAGTCAAGGCCTGGCTTATGTCTATGTCTATATCTAATCTGCCACTCCTGACTGCTCAAGGCCTAATCTCTCAGAAGTAAAATGCAGCTGATAACACAGCATCTAGTTTAGCTTTAGTGTGGGCTGACCTCAGATAATCTCAATACCTGCTTTCTAATACCTACTTCTACCTGATCCCAGCCCAAGCAAATGTTGACACCAGCTATTCCCTGAGCCTCTGGGCCAGTAGCCAAGAAGCCAAGGACAGCTAATGCTTAGCACCTGGTTACAGATGCCTCGGAAGAAAGAAAGGTTTTAACTTCATTTTTCTCAGATTTTTCAAATCTTATCTCACCTATGAATCCTCTTTGCATTTTTCACCAATATTCTGTGGAACTGTGGTTCTAAGAAATATAGTTGGAAATATACAGTCTTAAGGTACCCTTTCATTTTGATTAAAATTGCTCTGTTCTCTAATCACTCTTGTGAATCTTAACCTCACACAGTCTATAGGTTACTTTTTTATTTGTCTTTTGCCAACTTGTGCTCATTATGATTTGATTTCAGTACACGTCTTAAGTCTGTTTTCTGTTTATAATAGCACACCTGTAACTGGTAATTTATAAATGAAAGTAATTTATTTCTCATAGTTATGGAGGCTCAGAAGTCCAAGGTCTAGTGATTGCATTTGTTGAGGGACTTCTTGATGGTGGGGACTCTTTGCAGAGTCCCAAGGCAGCACAGGACATCACATGGCGAGGAGGTTGAGCTTGTTAGCTCAGGCCTCTCTTCCTCCTCTTATAAGGCCAACAGTTCCACTCCATGAAAACACATTAATTCATTAACTCATTAGTTGATTCATTCATTAATCCATTAATACAGTAATCCCTATGACCACAGCCCTCATGATCCAGTCACTTTGTTTTTTTTTTTGAGATGGAGTCTCGCTCTGTCCTCTGTCACCCAGGCTGGTGCAGTGGCACCATCTCAGCTCACTGCAAGCTCCACCTCCTGGGTTCATGCCATTCTCCTGACTCAGCCTCCTGAGTAGCTGGGACTACAGGCGCCCTCCACCACACCCAGCTAATTTTTTGTGTTTTTAGTAGAGACGGGGTTTCGTGTTAGCCAGAATGGTCTCGATCTCCTGACCTTGTCATCCGCCCGCCTCAGCCTCCCAAAGCACTGGATTATAGGCATGAGCCACCACACCCAGCCAATCCAGTCACCTTTTAAAGGCCCCCACCTTACAGTACTGCCACACTGGGGACTAAGTTTAATATGAGATTTGAAGGGGGCAAACATTCAAACCATAGTGCCATGCACTCATTATGTTGTCTCCACTGGTTCCATGGATTACAGTAATATTCAGTCTCATCACTGCTTTTCCAGATGAACATCCTAGCACAGAACAGGTGCCACTTTACATGCCACACACTTACACCATCTCTCTTCAGCTAATTTTTTGCCTGTTCGTGTCTCACTTGTGTCTAACTCTGAGATGAAGGAGAGTTGGAGGCAATTAGTGCTTCACTACTTAATCACTTTGGCTTAGTAATGGTTAACCAGGAAATGTTCACATTAAAATACAGCTAAATACTAAGTGCTTTTCTGAGATGAATGAGCTACTTGTGCCTCAAGAGAAGAAAAAGCAAATACTATTGGTTTTTTGAAATAATTTTCAGCAGTTTCAGCATTTCTTATTTATGAATCAGATAGAAATAGCTAAAATGTACTCATTTATTAGGTATTTTGGAATGCAAGGTTTTTCTCTCTCCTAATCTAAGTTCATTTGGTTTAGATGGGGTAGCTACTTGGGTATGTAACACAGACAGCCAAAACATAACTTTGTACCCTCCCAACCTCCCAATTACACTAGTGTGTACTGGAATTTTTTTTTTGGTTTGTTTTGTTTTTGAGATGGAATCTCACTCTGTCACCCAGGCTTGAGTGCAGTGGTGTGACCTCAGCTAGCTGCAACCTCCACCTCCCAGGTTCAAGTGATTCTCCTGCCTCAACCTCCCAAGTAGCTGGAATTACAGGTGCCCGCCACCACACTCGGCTATTTTTTTTTTTTTTTGTATTTTTAGTAGAGATGGGGTTTCACCATGTTGGCCAGGCTAGTTTTGAACCCATGACCTCAAGTGATCTGCCTGCCTTGGCCTCCCAAAGTGCTAGGGTTACAGGTGTGAGCCACCAAGTCTGGCCTGGAATGGTTAAATATGGTGGAAGCTGAATGGTTTAGCTGTGTCCCCACTCAAATCTCATCTTGAATTCCCATGTGTTGTGGGAGGGACCTAGTCAGAGGTAATTGAATCATGGGGCAGGTCTTTCCCATGTTGTTCCCTGATAGTGAATAAGTCTCATGAGATCTGATGATTTTATAAGAAGGACTCTCCCTGCACAAGCTCTTTCTTTGCCTACTGCCATCCATGTAAAATGTGACTTGCTCCTCCTTGCCTTCCAGAGGCCTTCCCAGCCATTTGGAACTGTAAGTCCATTAAACCTCTCTTTATTTTGTGAATCATCCAGTTTCAGGTATGTCTTTATCAGGAGTGTGAAGCAGACTAATACAGTAAATTGGTACCAGTAGAGTTGGGTGCTACTTTAAAGATACCCACAAATGTGGAAGCGACTTTGGAACTGGGTAACAGGCAGAGATAGGAATAGTTTGGAGGACTCAGAAGAAGATTGGAAAATATGGGAAAGTTTGGAACTCCATAGAGACTTGTTGAATGGCTTTGACCAAAATGCTGATAATTATATGGACAGTGGAATCCAGGCTGAGATGGTCTCAGATGGAAATGAAGAACTTGTTGGGAACTGGAGCAAAGGTGATTCTGACTACGTTTTAATGCAGAGACTGGTAGCATTTTGCCCCTGTCCTAGGGATTTGTGGAACTTTGAATTTGAGAGAGAAGATTCAGGGTATATGGAGGAAGAAATCTCTAAGCAGCAAAGTATTCAAGAGGTGACTTTGGTGCTGTTGAAGGCATTCAGTTTTATAAGGGAAGGACAGCATAAAAGTTCAGAAAATTTGCAGCCTGACAGTGTGATAGAAAAGAAAATTCCATTTTCTGAGGAGAAATTCAAGCAGGCTGCAGAAATTTGCATAGCTGGATGTTAATTTCCAAGACAATGGGAAAAATGTCTCCAGGGCATATTAGATGTCTCCATTGCAGCCCCTCCCATCACAAGCACAGAGGCCCAGGAGGAAAAAATGGTTTTGTGGGCTGGACCTAGCGTCCCTGTGCTGTGTGCAGCCTAGGAACTTGGTGCCTTGTGTCCCAGCAACTTCACCTGTGACTAAAAGGGTCCAAGGCACAGCTTGGGCTCTTGCTTCAGAGGGTGCAAGCCCCAAGCCTTGGAAGCTTCCATGTGGTATTGAGCTTGTGGGTGCATGGACGTCAAGAATTGAGGTTTGGGAACCTCTGCCTAGATTTCAGAGGATGTATGGATATGACTGGATGCAGAGGCAGAAGTTTGCTGCAGAGGCAGGGCCCTCATGGAGAACCTCTGCTAGGGCAGTGCAGAAGGGAAATGTGAGATCAGAGTCTCTACTTGGGTACTGCCTAGTGGAGCTGTGAGAAGAGGGCCACTGTTCTCCAGACCCCAGAATGGTAGATCCACCTATAGCTTGCACTGTGTGCCTGGAAAAGCCACAGACACTCAACAGTGGCCCATGAAAGCAGCTGGGAGGGAGGCTGTACCCTGAAGAGCCACAGGGGCAGAGTTGCCCAGGACCATGGGAACTCCCTCTTACATCAGCATGACCTGGGTATGATACATGAGTCAAAGGAGATCATTTTGGAGCTTTAAGATTTGACTGTCCTGCTAGATTTAGGACTTGTAAGGGGCCAGTAGCCCCTTTATTTTAGCCAAGTTCTCCCATTTGGAATCATTGTATTTACCCAATGCCTGTATCCCCATGGTGTCTATTAAGTAACTAACTTGCTTTTGATTTTACAGACAAGGGATTTGCCTTGTCTCAGATGAGATGTTGGACTTTTTTGAGTGAATGCTGAAATGAGTTAAGACTTTGGGGGACTGTTGGGAAGGCATGATTGGTTTTGAAATGTGAGAACATAAAATTTGTGGGGCCAGGGATGGAATCATATAGTTTGGCTGTGTCCCCACCCACAAATCTCATCTTGAATTCCCACATGTTGTGGGAAGGACCTGGTGGGAGGTAATAGAATCATGGGGGCAGGTCTTTCCCATGCTGTTCTCATGACAGTGAATAAGTCTCACAAGATCTGATGGTTTTATAAGGGAAAGTTTCCCTGCACAATCTCTCTCTTTGCCTGCTGCCATCCATGTGACTTCTTCCTCCTTGCCTTCCACCATGATTTTGAGGCCTCTCCATCCACATCGACTGTAAGTCCATTAAACCTCTTTCTTTTGTAAATTGCCCAGTCTCAGGTATGTCTTTAGCAGCATCATGAAAATGAACTAATACAGAAGCTATACCAATGAGGGCCAGTCCAGCCCTGGGATTTTGCTGGGAACTGTTTCAAAATAAATGCTCTCTCTTGTTGGAGTTGATCAAATGAGAGACATACGTAATGGATAGTGCTTGTATTGACACCATGAGAGAGCCTGCACCAACACAAAGACAATCTTGGGCAGAGGGTATAGCCAGGAGATCGAGTTTCAAAGATGTTGTTTGAACCTCTGTATCATGCCATACCTCACAAGAACTACCTTCCTTCAGCCTTCAACTAATTACTTTTTGTCACTCACAAATAAAAGTGCCTAGCTGTACAACTGCTAATGTGTACATTTAGAATAAATCACTTGAAATACAAAGCACAGAATAATGAGGCAAAACATTTTAAAACAGGAAAACTAGCAATACTTACATGTAAAGTACCTTCTAAATAGTCCTTTTAGAGTTCTTACCCTTTATATCAGAGTTCTTGGATTATATTACCCGTCATCATATACATGCCATTAGAAAATCTGTATATTTTAATAAGCAAGGACTCTCACATATCTTTGAGACCCTCCTTTATGCATCAAAATGATTGTGCTGGATGTTATAGCCAGAAGATAACTTTTTTGAATGATCAATAGAATGCTATGATTAAGTGATGGGAGTTACCCAATTAAATTTGTTATTTTGGATAAATTTTAGAGAGGAAAATATTCATATAATGAGCAGCGGCATTTCAAAAATGAAAACACTAAAATTGGACATTTCTAAGCATTTTGTTCAAATTTAGGTTGATATATTTATTCTATTTATCATTGTATTATTTTATTATTACTTAACTTGTTAAATTATTATATTTCTTTAGGAAAATGATAAATTATCATCAAACTTGCTATAAAACTCCTTTTGCTACCTATCACATGAATCTACAGTTATTAAAAATATTCTGTCCTGGAGAAAGTTAATTTACTGTACTTCGTATTGTTGTCTTTTGAAGGAAAATACTTATTGTCACTCAAATGTGCAAAACAATCTGCTTTAATTGTGAGCCAAATATGAGACCCAAACTTTCCTATACTCCTTGTATGTATGAGCCACCAGTACTATAAGTATGTGTTAAGTCTGTTTTCCCTGGAAATTTCTGATTGTAAATATGTGGACCAAATAGCAGATCTAGATGGATAACTCATAAAATGCCAGAGAAGTGTTTAGGTTGGAGACAGGAAGTTATGTGATAATTGTGGGAGGAGATTATAATTTAAAAGATGTATTGCTTATACTACACCAATAATTTAGTAGTCTTAAAGAAGCAGAATATAAATTAAATAGAATATCATAGAGAGAACTATACAAAGCTAGGCAGAGCTGCAGGTGACAGCAAAGAGATACACACGCCCACACATCTATAAGTGAGCAAAATCACATTTCATTCTGTTTCCTATTTTAACTCCCTTTATTCCTGCTCATTTTGCTCACTGATTTAAAAAATGAAATACAAATGATATTCCAATTCCTGAGTGCAATTGTGTTAAAAAAATTCTGAAAAATATTAAAAGGAAAACACCTAACTCTTGAAAAAGTACATCAAGGCATGAGTTTGTCGTCCTCACTATCGTCATCATTATCATCATTGCTGTCATCATCATGACCAATCATCATCAGTCATCTTGCTCAATGAGTATGCATTTGGCTACATGACAAATGTCAGATGCTTCAGGTTGCTAAATGGGAATAAAAATGCAGTAAGGTAAAGGGATTACAGAAGCATTTTTTTCTTGAATTAATTTTATCTAATATTAATCTAAAATAATATATTCTAATGGACATCAATGACTTAGGTTTTGTCAGACATTAAGAAGGCATAATTTACAGACTTTTCTTTGTCATTGTCTTTTGTAAGAGTCACACCCATAAACATAATAACTTCACAACTGTTATATGCAAGATGTTTCTCCCTCTCTACTAGTCAAATATACACAAACTAAACAACATTGGAATTTATTTTAGGCTGACGGGCATCAAGTTGACAGCGGTGTTGGAAAGACTTGATGGAACATACATTTTCATTTACTACTGGTAGGAGTAAAAATGTCTACCTTTTCTGAGTAGTAATCTGAAATTATTTATCAATGTTACAATGGACATACTCGTTGATCTAGCAATTCCACTTCTAGAAAAAGATAAAAGCATAATGGGTACAAGCAAGAAATTTATTGCATCATTTTTTGTGACTGGAAAACAAAAGGAAGGAAAAGCAGTCTCCATGTTACCAAATCCAATGAATATCATTATGCGCTCATCATACTTGACTCCTCAGAGGTGTTCAACACTGTTGTCATCAAAATGGTTACTTTAATTGTGTTATCCCACCACCCTCTTTGGCTACTCTTTCTGTCTCCTTTGTGGGTAATCTTTATCCAGTTGAGAGGCTCTGGAGCCAGACTATCTGCTCTTCCACTTTCTAGACACATGATCTTCAGCAAAACACTCATGCCCCTCTGAGGCATAATTTCTACATTGCAAAAAGTGTATAGAAGTGCCTGGCTTCATAAATATAAGCTATATTATCAGTATTTCAAATATTAAGGTGTATGAACTTTCTAAGAAAATTTTAGGCCTTTTTCTCTTTGTATACTTTACCTCCTGTAAAATCTCATCATATTTATGAATTCGGGTTTTGCATACTTGAACTATTTCTATCTCTAGGCGAGTTATAGAAGGGACTCGAGGGGAGGTAATTGAGTCATGGAGGTAGATCTTTCCCGTGCTGTTTCCAAGATAGTGAGTAAGTCTCAGGAGACCTGATGGTTTTATAAGGGGGAATTTCCCTGCACAAGCTCTCTCTTTGCCTGCTGCTATCCATGTAAAATGTGACTTGCTCCTCCTTGCCTTCCACTATGATTGTGAGACCTCTCCAGCCACAGGTATGTCTTTATCAGCAGAATGAAAAGAAACTAATGTACTCACATATCCAACCTCCTACTTAATGTTTCCACTTGCTTGTTGGGATGATACTTCAAGGGCTACCTATCCAATCTGAACAAAATCTACTCTCTGTCCTCAGCCAGCCCTTCCCATATATGATTCTTTTCTAGGTTGATCTATCACAGTGCATATGATCACCATTTGTGTGAGAGACACTTGAATTCACTACATGCAACAGTGCAAAAGGGCTAAGCACTTGGATTAGATTTGAAATCCATACATGGAATTGATGGCATCCTCAGAGAGAGTAAGTTGAAAATAATTCAAGGTGAAACTATTTACAATGAAATGGCCATAGACTGGGATAATGCAATTCCGAGACCTAGTATATCACCCCTAGGCCTAAAGGGGGTAATAGAAAAGAGCATGTGCCAGATCCAGAAGAAGGGAAGGGGAGAGGGCCACCAATAGGCATTATGACGTTTGGTTAAGTGATGCAGTCAGTCGGTTCACAATCACCTATGGGGAGAAAATTGAGTAAAATGCAAATAAGAATAATGAATATGAATGAAATATAATGAATATAATGAAAATGAATTATAAAAGGAAAAAAATGAATGCTCTGGCCTCACTCTCTTCCCTCCCTGCAGTCCCCTACCAGTGCTTCTCATTGGTTAAATTCAAATCAAAACAAGAGGGCAGGATAATTTATTTCTGTAGTCTCTACAGAACAACCTCCAGGGGAGCAGGAAGGGAGAGAGAGGGTGGAAATTGATATAGAAAAAAGTATATGTTTTTAGCACAATCCTCATGTCCCTATTACCGAACACACTTCCAAAAACATTTTCAGTTGAATGAGTAAAAGAAGTAGCACATTCCTTATGGACACTAATTTTCTTTTTTAAAATCTCCATTACTGCATCTTTTACTCTTTGTTCAAGATACTATCTGCTTTGTCCTTGATTATTTCAAATGCTTCCTAACAGATCTTTCTGCTGTTCCTGCATGTACTCGGGAATTCTTTCTTTCTGCACTCTGTCTCTGTCTCTGTCTCTCTCTCTCTCTCTCTCCTCTTCCCCAGGGAGTGACATTTTCAAAATGCAAATCAAATTTTGATACCTCTTTGTCTAATATTTTCCATTGCTTTTAGTTTTCTATTACTGCAGGCGATTACCAAAAACTTTATGACTTAAAATGACACCAATTTATTATCTTAGAGTTTTATAGGTCAGTAGTCCAAGTAAACTCAACTGAGTTTTCTGCTCAATATCTCAGGAGGCCAAAACAAAGGAGTCTTCCAGCTAAAATCTTATCTGGAGACTCTGGGAAAGAATTCATTTCCAGGCTCATTTCTGTTTGGGGCAGAATTTCATTTCATCAGGTTTAGGACTAAAGTCCCTGCTGCTTTGCTGGCTGTCAGCCAGGGGTTGCTTTTAGCTTCCAGAGACCACCTAGACTCTAGGATGAGGACCCTTTCACCTTTGAAAGAAGGAATGATGCATTGAGTCACTCTCATGCTGCAAATCTCTCTTTTTTTTCTACTACCAGCTAGAAAAAACTCTAAAAGCCCTAATGTGATTAAGTTTGGTTCACCTTTTTGCCAAGTTAAGTAACATAATTCTGGGGAAGTGATATCTCATCATGTTTAGAGGCTCCTCAGACACTCAAGTGAGAGGGAGTTAACAACAGAGAGGGTCATTGGGTGTCATTCCTAGGATTCATTTACAACATTGTTCTCATGATAAAGACCAAAGTTCTTATCTCCTTGTTGATCTTCCCTTTTCCATCTCTCCAGCCTCATTTCATGTCATATTTCCCATTTTTTATGTGTATTTGACACACATGCCGGCTTTCTCAGGGCAACTGCTGGCTCTTAGCCTCTCAAATATTAATTCCATGGGACAGCAATTGCTAATATCTCCCTATTGCTCAAACTTCCTCACCTCCAAACTCCTCAGAGTACAGTCAATAATGCTGAAATATATGTATCTGGTGTTTGTACAGAGAAAGTGGTTTAGAATAATATGTTCAAAAATGCTAGAGATTATCTGTGTAGTGGGTTTGTTCACAATGTATAATTGGAGTTCCAAGCTTCCCATATGTCTGATATGTGTTATAAGTATAAATTACCTTTATCATCAGTTAAAACTCATTTTATTTTAAAGTTTATAACAATAATGGAAAATACAACAAATGTTTCAAATATATTGTCTACACCTGAATCAGCAGTAATTAGATATATACTATGACATTATTATTATTTATATTTCTCAACTATTATAAAGTTCAATGATACGCACAGAGTAGAAGTTAATAAGTTAATGTTGATAAGCCATACAAATTCCAGTCACTCTAAGTAAATGGTAGAAATGTTTTTCCTTCATTATGTTAACTACAAAATCATCCCTTTATAATTTCTTCTGACCTAAATTTTAAACTTAAATATTAACTTAAATCAGTTAAGTTCATGGTATCTTAAAACTCATTACAAATGTAAACATATATTTGAAATTTCAGTGAGGTCTATTTCATGGTTTTATGTACCTATGTGGAGCTTACTATAGATGATGACATAAATATTAACTGACATAGAACATTTAAAATTAAATAAAACCTGTAGATATTCTGTCATATCACATTATTCAACAAAGTTTTCTGGTTGCGGTGAAAAGGGAACACTTTTACACTGCTGGTTAGAATGTAAACTAGTGCAATCACTATGGAAAACAGTGTGGAGATTCCTTAAAGAACTAAAAGTAGAACTACCATTTGATCCAGCAATCCTACTATTGTGTGCCTACCCAGAGGAAAAGAATTCATTATACAAAAAAAGATACTTGCACAAATGATTATAGCAGCACAATTCACAGTTGCAAAAATATGGAATCAGCCCAAAAGCCCATCAATCAATGAGTGGATAATGAAATAGTGATATATATATATATATATATATATATATATATGTATATATATATATGTATATATATATAATTTCATGTGCATATATAATTATCATATATATATATGAAATTATGGCATTCACAGCAACCTGAATGGAATTGGAGACCATTATTTTAAGTAAAGTAACCCAGAAATGGAAAACCAAATATCATATGTTCTCACTCATAAGTGGGAGCTAAGCAATGAGGATGCAAAAGCATAAAAATGATACAATGGACTTTGGGAACTTGGGGGAAATGTTGGGAGGGGTGTGAGGGGTAAAAGACTACAAATTAGGTACAGTGAACACTTCTCGGGTGATGGGTGCACCAAAATCTCACAAATCACCACTGAAGAACTTACTCATGAACCAAACACCACCTGTTTCCCCAAAACCTAAGGAAATTTTTAAAAATCATAAAAAATTCCTCTTATGTTACTGCATAATTAATACATAGACAACTTTTTCCTTTGAAGAATTATATAATAAACAGAAGACCTTTCTCACAGCATGAGAAAAAGAAATGAGGGGCAGGAGGAAAAAGCAACAATTTTAGTTTCTCATTTCTTTATTAGACACATTACATATCCATAATAGAAAACTGCAGCACAAGCAAAATGTATCTCAACTGCTGGATCTAATGTGAAAGAACTAAGAGGGAAAACAAATGAAATTTTAAATACTCAGTAAAATGTGATGGATTCCTGACATACGTGACATGTGCTTATTTATAAATCAGAATGAAGTTTGAATAATATTTTCTTTGAAAGGACAACGAATTGTTACTACTTTGTATTTTGACCCTAAATAACACCCCACCCCCACCTCTTTCTCTCTCACTCTCTCTCTCTCAAACACACACATACGTGCACACACACACACGTGCACACACACACACACTCTAGAGGTGAAGTGGGGAGAAAAGAAAGAAAACAGGATAACTCACCTTAATGTCCTGTTCTCAGATTTCAAATTAAGGAAACATTTATCAAGTGCCTCCAATGTACTAGAAATTGAGCTAGTCTCTGGATATGTCATAGTGATCGCAATGCCCATAGAGGTTATAGACTAGTGCTCAGCACTTGCATGTACATAAGTCATGTTTAATCATCATGCCAACACGATCAAGTAAGTTTTCTTCCTATTCCATAGATGAATAACTAGTCAAAGTCACTTTAGCAATTAAGTGTCAGTGGTTTTCCAATTCAAATCCTCCTAAAGATACATGTTTTGAAGTTCACTTTTCTCCTGTTGATTTATTTATCATCTCAGACATGACTAACTTAAACAACATTGTTTTAAAGTTTGAAGTTTGTTCTGCTGGTTCATTCTTTTAATATGTTGTAGAGAAAATCTTTTTACTCAAAAGTCTATAGTATGGCATTTGCTTTTATTCATTCATTTGTTTATTCTTCTTTTATGAGGCACTTATCTGGGGCAGGCTTCATATCAAGCCTAAAGGAATTAATAAGATAAGTTGCTAAAGTTTAGAAGATTACCGTGCAGAACGTGGGAAGTGAAATATACATAACCCAGATGTCAATCGTTTCTAAAGTCTGAACCAAAGTAAGATCCATTTAAACTTTATGGTGGAACATTGCTAGTTTTTTTGTTTTTTGATTTTGTTTGTTTTCTTGCTTTTTTTTTCTTTTGTTTTCGTTTTGGCCATAAAGTATTATAACGCCTCTTTTGTACATAATATCCCAATTTCTTCTCAAGATTCATCATCTTTTCTCAGTTGTTTTAATGTCAAATGACTGTGTCTCTAGCTTTTATTGTGAGCATACAGCTCTCAGGTCAGGCCTATCAAAACATCCTCTTCATGTACACATCTTCTTGTCCAGACATAATAAGCATGCAATTCAATAAAAACCAAAGCACTTCAGTGAGACTTCTCTGGACCTGCTGCAACAGAATGGGTAAGCTTCTCTGCTCATACTGTACGTGAGAAATGCAACACAGCCTATGCCCAGACATTTTGCAACGTTGAGGATAGAGCAAATTCTGGAGAAATGGAAAGAGAGAAATAAGGTTCATATTTTAGTCATGTTAAGTTCAGAACTACACATGATTCTTTAATTATCACTTTATGCCAGACTTTGCCACCCTCCCTCCTCTAATATAATTTTATGTTAGCCCTTTTCCTCATCAAACAACTTATACAAGCTTTATGTATTGGCCTTTTAATGGAGTGTGAGTCTAAAATTGAGAAGGGATATATTATGGCACCATATACCATTTAATTTAAAACTGTACAGTAAACCTCATTGTTTTGTGTGTTTGTGGGCTTTTTAATTTTTATGTCCTGCATGGCCTACTACCATGTATTTTCTTCTTCACTAAGTCATCTGTGCTTTCTCCTACCCACATTTTAATGCAGAGGAAGTTACCAGATAATTAAAGGGTGTTGGGTAAAATGTGAATTCAAATAAATAACAGATAACTTTGTAGTTAAAGCATGTCCAAGTTATTACATGGGACATGCTTGTGTGAATAATATTTATTTACTTGAAATTCTAATGAATTGAGAATCCTCTATTTTTATCTGTTAAGTACAACAACCCTAATACTAGAGCCATTTGCTGTCTCCACCCAACCCTTGCCCCGAGGATCTCAATTACCAAGTAGTTGTTTAAAATGTTTCTCTTCTTATATTATCAGAGAAATATGTATTCAAATTTCTCATTTAATTATAGAAGTAGTTATTATAATTTATGCATATTAATTTAATGTTTTATTTCCTTCTATATCTTGGCACAAAAGAGCACATTATAAATTAGTAAAGTAGATGAAGTCTACATGTAAGTTCTCTTTTCTATTTCTCCATCCTTTGGGGCTCCTTACCCTTTTCTGCACTCCCTTTTGTTCTCCACACTCTCTAACCCTCCTAAATACAGCACACACATTCATTCTTCATTCAGCCAGCTTGTCCAGTGTTTTTCCAACTGCTCCTTTTTTGATTATTTAAAAAAAAACCCCACAAAACCTAAGAAAGTCACAACGAAAAAAGAGAACTACAGGCCAACATCCCTGAAGAACATAGATGCAACAATTTTTAACCAAATACTATTGAACCAAATCAAGCAGCATATCAACAAGTTAATTTAGCACAATCAAATAGGCTTCATTCCTGGGAGGCAAGTTTGGTTCAACATACACAAATCAATAAATATGATTCACCACATGAGCAGATTTAAAAACAAAAAACATATGATCATCTCAATATACAAAGAAAAAGCTTTTGATCAAATTTATTCATGATAAAAATCCTCAAGAAACTAGGCACCAAAGGGACATACCTCAAAATAATAAGAGCCATTTATACAAACTCACAGCCAATTTCATACCAAATGACAAAAGCTAGAAGAATTCCCCTTGAGAAATGGAACAAAACAAGCATGCCCACTCTCACTTCTCCTATTCAGCATAGTACTGAAAGTCCTAGCCACAGCAATCTGGCAAGAGAAATAAATAAAAGGCATTCAAATAGGAAAAATAAACATAAATAAAAAAGTCACTCTCTTCACTATCAGAGTCTAGACCTAGAAAATCCTACAGACTCCACCAAAAGGCTCCTGGAACTGATAAACGACTTCAGTAAAGTGTCAGGACACAAAATCAAGGTACAGAAATCAGTGTCATTTCTATACACCAATAACATTCAAGCTGAGAGCGAAACCAAGAATGCAATCCCATTTACAATAGACACACACACACACACACACACACACACACACCTACGAATACAGCTAATGAAGGAAGTGAAAGATTTCTACAGGAAGAACTACAAAACACTGCTGAAAGAAATAATATATGACACAAACAGATGAAAAACATTACATGCTCATGGACTGGAGGAATCAATATCATTAAAATGACCATGCTACTCAAAGCTATCTATAGATTCAATAAAATTTCTGTCAAAATATCAATGTCATTTTTTTCACAGAATTAGAAAAACTATTTTAAAATTCACATGGAACCAATGAAGAGCCTGAGTAGGCAAAACAATCCTAAGCAAAAACAAAGCCAGAGGCATCATGTTACCTGACTTCAAACCATACCATATGGCTACAATAACCAAAACAGGATGGTACTGATACAAATACAGACAAATAGACTAATGAAACAGGTTAGAGAACATAGAAATAAAGCTGTGCACCTATAGCCATTTGATCTTTGACAAAGTCAACAAAAATAAACTATAAAGAAAGGATTCCCTATTCAATAAATTGTGCTGGGAGAGCTGACCAACCACATACAAAACAATGAAATTGTATGCCTACCTTTGACCACATACAAAAATTAACTAAAGAGGGATTAGAGATTTAATCAAATCATAAATATCCTTGAACAAAACATAGGAAACACCATTCTAGATATCTGCCTTGGGAAAAAAATTAATGACTGTCTTCAAAAGCAATTGCAACAAAAACAAAAACTGACAACTAGGACTCAAACTAAAGAGATTCTGCACAGCAAAAGAAACTCTCAACAGAGTAAACATACAACCTGCAGAATGACAGAAAATATATTCAAACTATGCATCCAACAAAGGTCTAATATCCAGAATCTATAAGAAACTTTAATTTAACAAGCAAAGACATTTCTCAAAAGAAGACATACAAGCAGCCAACAAACATATGAAAAGCAATGCTCAACATCATTAACCATCAGAGAAATGCAAATTAAAATTGCAATGCGATATCATCACACACCAGTCAGAATGGCTAGTACTAAAAAGTGAAAAAGCAATAGATGCTGGCAAGGCTGTGGAGAAAAGGAAATGCTTATACACTGTTGGTGGAAATGTAAATTACTTCAGCTACTGTAGAGAGCATTTTGGAGATTTCTCAAAGAACGTAAAACAGATCTACCATTCATCCCAGCAATCCCATTCATGGGGTTATATCAAAAGATAATATATCATGCTACCAAAAAGACACATGCATTCATATGCTCAACACTGCTCTCTTCACAATAATAAAGCCATAGAATCAATCTAGGTGCCCATCAATGGTGGATTGGATAAGAAAATGTGGTACTTATACACCATGAAATACAACGCAGCTGTAAAAAAAAGAATGAAATCACATCCTTTGCAGCAACAATGGATGCAGCTGGGGGCCATTATCCTAAGCAAGTTAATGCAGGAGAGCAGAAAACTAAATACCACATGTTCTCACTTATAAGTGGGAGGTAAACATTGGGTCTTTATAAAGATAGCAACAATAGATACTGAGGACTTCTAGAGGGGGATGGGAGGGAGGAAAGGGTTAAAAAATTTATTGGGTACTATGCTCAGTACCTCAGTAGCAGGATCAGGCATATCCCAAACCTCAGCATTTTACAATGCACCCATGTAACAAAACTGCACACGTACCCCCTGCTAAATATAAAACAAAAATTGAAATTATTAAGAAAAAAAAAACATCTCTTCTTAGGAACAAGATTTTTTTCTACTAATTTCAATCTATATAGGATTCTACTGTTTCGATTCTTGGATCTGAAATTTCTCCAAAAATTATTTTTATCTTGTTATATGAATAGTGTTTTCTCAAACCTGTGGAATTCATCTGCCATTTTTAATTGGTCCCTAAGTTTGAGATTTTTCTTTCTGTCTAGTTTAGATTGAAGGTAGAGATACAAAAGGTTTTAATTATCTTTGCCTATTCCAAGCAAAGAATTTGCCAGCCTCCTTATTTCAACATCTCACATATAGAAAATCTACTTAACTTATACACCTTTTATCACCACTTGTAAATCTAATCCTTCCCAGCAGTCAGTTAAAAAAAAATAGGCAAACAAAAACTTTCTGATCCATCATCTCTCATATATTTCATTTTTTTGTTTGTTTTTTTAATTCTGCATGTTAAGTTGTTAGTCCAGAGGTAGATATTTTGCATATTTCATCTTCATACTGACTAGGGTGCTCTATAAGATATTAATGAAGGTTTTCAGAAAATTATTATTGCAATCTCACACACCATGCAATTTAGGAGATGAATTTCACTTAGATATTGTGGCTTTCATGACTCACACTTCTCTAATGCCATTCTTTTGATGTGCTTGTAGCAATACACAAGTTTCTTAAGAGCTAAACATTACTACGAGCTAGGCAGGAGAAAAGCATTAAAGATCAATATCTGTCTTAAAGAAAGAGTTTAGAATCTTCAAGTGAGACACCCATTCACAAGTCTTTATATGATTATACATTTTAGGTGAATAGATGTGCCTAGAGAATGTTTGACAATTGCAAAGTCTTAACTAACTCATCGTTTTCTGTAGACTGTTTCCCATACGTATTTCTTTAATATTTCCCCCCTTAAATCTCCAGGCTGTTTTGTTAAGTTTGTTCTAAGGCTTTTATATTTTGTTCATTTCTGTTGACTCAATAATAAACGTTCACTGAGTGTGCAGAATGTAGTAATCCTCTCTCTGAGACTTTGTGGAGGAAGATTTTTCCTGTCAAAAATAAAGGCAGTTTGTTCTGAAAATAAATTACTATTATGTCTGCCAACTTTGGGTGGTCTGCTGTTATTAAAGACCAGATTATGAGGATTCATTTTAGATGCTTCGAGAGCTCACAAGTGGACGTCTCTGGGGCTTGTGAGCACAAGGAGGAGTTTGTTGTGTCTAGGGGACCAGAGCCCTGAATCTGGGAGGTAGCTTTGATTGACAGGTTTATTTTTTTATAATTCTGTGGGAAAAAACAAAATCCTGGTTTCAGCATGGTTTCTGTTGTTACGTTTGTTTCTTTTATAAAGTATTTTGACACCAGGTAAAACTGACACATTAAATATCAATACAATCATTTGAGATTTACTTCTATAAAAACCTTCTAGATCATTCTGATGTAGGCAAGACTATCAATTATGTAGCATTTAGAACCTCCTTTCTTTCCCACCTCTGCCAGTTCAACATTATTCCCTGCAGTGGACTGAAAGTTTGTGTTTCCTCAAATTCATATGTTGAAGTGCTAATCCCCAATGTGACAGTGTTTTGAGGTGGGTCTTTAAGAAAGTAATTACGTCATGATGGTAGATCCTTACGAATGGGATTAATACCCTTTAAAGAAAGACGTAAGAGAGATAATTTTGCCACCATGTAAGGATACAACAAGTTTTTCCTCTGCAAACCAGAAAGACTGCCCTCCCCAGAAACTGAATTATCTGGCACCTTGATTTTGTACTTTGCAGCCTTCAGAACTGTAGTGAATAAATGTTTGTTGTTTAATTCTACAGTATTTTGTGTTGTAACTGCCAAAACTAACTAAGACATCTCCCAATTTTAGAAGCCCATAGATTATTTTAGATTCTCCCTTTGACCAAAAACTCCTCTTTGAACAGCATGCTAGGAACATTTAGCTTAATAATACCATAGACATTTATTGAAAACCTACTATGTGAGAGTGGTGCCGGGAAATATCTCTTGTATTTGAATACAACATGGCTTAAATTACAACATTTTTGTAATAATTTGCACTTAAATAGGGCCATAGACCAAATTTTACTGAAGTCCAAGTGATGATATTTAAATTGCTGCATTTTAGGAACTCACATGCCATTTAAAAAAATGTTTTGTGTAACAAGGACTGCTATGGCTATTGATTCAGAAATCGTATGAATTGTGAGGCAGAGGAGTTTGAAAACCAATCTACAAATGCACCAATACAGCATTAAGATAAATCCTGCAAGATCAACCCAGGGAAGTCTCAACACTCATATTAAAACCCAGATGAAGAGGTACGAGGTTTTTCTACATTCTCTTTTGCCCATCCATTCTCATAGAAATGTCTGTATTTTGATCATATTATCCTACCATTCTTCTCTCCATGATTTAAGTTCTAACCAGATCATCTCTCTGTCATTGAGAGATACTGGATAAAGAATAACACACCTTAAATTTCATTTGAACCCTTACTAAAATAAAAATTCTATGGAATTTTTTTATCTTCCAATTTTTTAATATTCTCAACAAATACAAATTGACTTTATACTATTTGCCATGTATCAGGCACTATTCTATGCCCTCAGTACATAAAGAAAAAAGACATAGCTCATGCTTTTTGGCACAAACTTTCTACAGAAGTCAGAAAATGAAGTATTCAAACATTGTGAATTTTGCAATATAAAAGATACTTTGAGAAAAAGAGATCATGTTGATGATGTTATTTACTAGACACATATTTATTAAGTGTATATTACCCCAGACATGGTTCCATACTAAAAGGATAAGAATTGCATCTTTGAATCTTTCACGTCTAGTATACATACTTTAACTTACTAGGCATTTAATGAATATCTTAGGAAATAAATTTTATTCAGTTTGAAAAAAAGGAAAAAAAAACTTATTTTGCTTTGTTGGTTGAGAGATTACTTCCTTCAACAAATACTGAGTAGTTTCCATTCATTTATTGAGTCATTCATTTAGTAAATATTAATCACTTAATATTAACAGAAAAAGAAGTGGTTAACTATTTCAAGTTCTACTGAGAGAGCTGAAGATTGAAATATGTCTATTTTATGTAACACTTTAGAGGCTACTGATAATCTTACAGAAAGGAAATAATTTGTCCTGTGGAGATTGGAACCACATTGGAATTACATGTTTTGAAGACCAATGAGATATCATTACACATCTATCAGATTGGAAAAAAATGTTAAGAAAAGAAAATCCAACTATTGATGAAGATGTAGACACACTGGAATTTTCCTACACTGATATCAGGAGTATAAATTGGACCAACGATTAATGAGAAATTGTATACTATCTAATCGGGTTAATGCTACGCATATTTTAAGTTCAAATATTCTACTTCAGAATAAAAATTTCAGAAAACTCTTAAACGTGTACACAAGGAGACATACAAACAAATTAATTGAAGAAATTTTAGTATACATATATTAAGAAAAATACATCTTAAAACATGCTAATCACTATAAAAGGCAAGATGCAGAGTTTTATTTTTACACGAAGTTTTAAAAATACACAAAATAGATTCACATATAGTGAAAGCTTAAAAAGATGTATAAATATAGTAATATTAAGAGAGGGAATAAAGAGGATATCTGAGAGGGGAACCAAAGGAGCAAAAGATTTTACTATCTGCAATGTTTTATTTCAAAAGAAAGAACGAAAAAAAGAAGAACGGAAAGAAGGAAGGAAGGCAGGCAGGCAGGCAGGCAGGCAGGCAGGGAGGGGAGGGAAGGAGGGAGGGAAGGAGGGAGGGAAGGAGGGAGGGAAGGAAGGGAAAGAAAGAGAGAAAGAGAGAGAAAGAGAAGAAAGAAAGAAGAAAGAAAAAGAAAGAAAGAAAGAGAGAGAAAGAAAGGAAGAAAGAGAAAGAAAGAAGAGAAAAAAAGGAAGAAAGAAAGACAAGGAAGAGAGAGGAAAGGAGCAAGAAAGAGGAAGAGAGAAAGAAATGGAGGAAGAATGAAAAAATAAAAAAATGTTGAGCTGTTAAAACTAGATATTTGTGTACCTGAAGTTCTGTTTATTTTTAATATATAATTCTACTATGCTCTACTTTTATTGTATATTTGAAAATAATTCATTATGAAAGAAATATTAGGGTAAAAAAACTTGACACATGTGTAGGCAGGTCCTTTCAGCTTCCTTGAAGAGATTGGCCTGGTGCCAGAAAAGATGGTAGCATTAGAAGAGGAAGACTTTTGTATTGAATGGGGAGAATAAATGCTTTGTGGTGAGAAATCAGTACCTGAGAAAACAACCTTTCCCCAATTATGAGATACACAGAGTATGAGGCGGTGGGGGGAAAACAAAAAGCAGTCCCCGCCTGGGGAAGCAGCCGTGTTAGGGGATGGCTGTTTCAGGTACAGCAAAATTATAGAACAAATATTCAGAGAAGAGACCGTCAATATGGAGTGGGTCGTACGCAAGTGAATACAATTTCTTTTTTGAGGATCCATCCATTGAACGCACTCAAGGCAGAGGTGTTCACAAAACACAACATTTTTCCAGGACGAACTTTGAGAAAATAGTTGAGAGACTAGGAAGCAAAGCAAGGCAAAACAAAGCAAAGCAGCAAAAGACACATAGAGTCAGAAGTGCTTTCTTTTCTTACATAATCTTGAAGGTTAAAATTAACGTATAGAATATGAGTGTTCTTGGACAATTAATAGAAAATCACAGACAGTGGGATCAGTGCCCCACATCCGCAGCACATCTTTTATCACTGTTAGAAGGCCATTAGAAGTAAGCTACACCATTTTTGTCTTTGTTTCTCTTATCTTAAAAGGAAAACACACCAGGTAAAGCATATGCTAAAACAATCTCCATGAACGTGAAATACGTGTTAATTTTTTACATGACTACAAGTTGAACATAAACAATACATGTACGGATATTACACAAAATAAAATGGCTGATTGTATCATTAAAAGTAGCCTTTTTTTGATTAAACATTTTTGATAGCCTATGATATTTTGGCAGAGTTTTGATAAAACTTTTTTCATAATTCTTTATTTTCCTAAGCTTAATTTATCTTTATGAAAGTCTGCTCTCAAAATATTCATTAGCAGATAACAATGGAAATTTATAGGGCCACTGGCCTAGAAGATAAACCATATTATTTCATAACCTGCCTCATACTGGAATCATTCCACAACTTAAGTGGGAATTATAATAACAATAGTGGCTACAACTCATTGAGCACTATTCTAAGTGCATTTCACTTCTTAACTTATTGCATCCTTATACATTTCCCAGGTATATACAGTTGTTTCAATTCAAGGAAGAAATGAAAGAGGTGAGCACATTCCCAAGATGGCGTAGCTGTTGTGGCTCAGAGTAGGAATTAGAACCCATGTCTTTCTGATGCTAAGCCCTAACTTGCTATTGTACATCCTGTTTTAGTCAATGATGCAAGAGCAGAAAAGACAAGCTACCCTATGTTCTATTTAAAGAATTAGGTGACACTTAGAAAGTATTTTCACCGATCACTGTAGCAATTAGAGGCAAAATTATAGACACTGCTAGAAAATTGTGCTGATGGAAATGTGTGATGGCTCAGTGAGAAAAATGGCAATATAACATAATCTTAAATGGAAATTATATTCGTGTCTCAGCTTTCTTCTTTACAATTGATTTTGATATTGTTTTACAGGGAGACTTGCTCTGCAAATATCACAGCAATCATTGGCCAAAAGTAACACAATTCTGAGTGAATCCCTGGTAAAAGAATTATAATAGTCCCAATATTATGGGCATTTGTCAGGAGCATCATCCATAAAGACAATCCCCAAATGAACATAGTTAAGGCTTAGTTTTCTTGGACAATTAAAAACAGTAAAAAAGACAAACAAACTTGGAGACAATGGATTTTCTTTCCCATTGTCTCTATGAATATTAATCACCATTAAAAGTGACTCTTAGTTTCAAAATCTATACTTTGATAATGGATGCATAATAATGATATCACTAAAAGAAATCTTACTGCACACATACTTAGCTTCCCCTCAAGACTACTACAAAGTTTTCCTCAGGGCTTGATTTCTTCATTAAAATTGAGTATTATCTAATTTAAGCTATGCTGTTTATTGAGATCTTGGAAAGTAAAGTTGGTATGGAGAAGGTCTACAAGGTAAATAACAAAACGACAAAGTTTTGAAAACTCTGTACAGATCCATAACTTATACACAAACTACTCAGAATGTCAAATAATAATAATAATAACTCATTCAACAGTCAAAAAAATTATAGGTATACCCAGATATTTTACTGATTGAAACCTGGAAAAAGAAGCCAATTTTGTTCAAAGTAACAATGGCTGCAAAAATAAGATCAAGAGTTTGAGCTACTAATAATAAATCTCTCCTAAGTGGATTCCAGATGTCAGTCATTGTAACTAAGTCATGGCCAAAGGCAATTAATCTCTTAAAATGAGTGAGTAGTGAACAGTTCTTTGGACCTGAAAATAGACACATGATCTACACTTCGTAACAGCAGCAGCCGTCCACGTAGTCATAGTACTAGTAATAATAATGATAATACTGACATTCACCCACAAGGCGATGCTTTTAAGCAGAAAGCAAATGTGTCAGGTCCAAAAATATTATCTTTAATAACTATAATCTTCTGGGGTTAGACAAGAATACTCAAAATACGTGACTCTACAGCCTGGGGATTTACTATTGATTATGTTTTTTAATCTTCTGTGGCCCATTTTCTTTTTAGTACTCTATCTGTGCCTACACTTTAGGCCCCAGTGTGTTGTAAATGGTGTAAAGGGAAAGCTGTGTTTGATTAGGAAAAAATACAAACCATTTCTCTTATGATTTGTTAGCATTAATTTTCATTGCTTACTTGTGAGAATGACTCAGGTTTTGGTTTAATTATGTCTATTTTATGAGCTACTACAATAAGGGGACATGTTTTCTGCCTATATATATCTATATGAGCTAACTTTCTTACAAAATGTATTCTGAGATAATATTCTGATCTTGAACTAATATCTTGGTCCTTAAATTGGCTCAATGAGATAAGAATAAAGGGAAATAGAATGAAAAAAATACTACAAAAATTGTGTTTAAATAAAATATGTTTAATCTTGTTGCTAGTGCATCATCTTGACCGAGTTCACTTGCTGGTGGCGGGTGCTCAGAGTGTATCTGATGTCACTAACACCTTCCACTCCTATCACATGACCACTTTCCATACCACTACTGAAGTCTCTGCTTTCTGAAATACTTCTTTCAAGATCTCAGAAGTTTTTGCATATAATAAGCTCATGAATTTAATTAGTTTTTGTTTTAATATATAGGTAATTTAGGTTCTCTTTTTTAGCTTCAACATTAAACAATTCTGTAATCACAGGAAATATTTATATTGAAGCTACCATAGGACTACCTTGCATATGAACATTATACACTATATTATATATTATACAGTATATACACAGTATATATATTCAGTATATACACACAGTATATATAAATTATACAGTATATATATTCAGTACATATACACAGTATATATAAACTATACAGTATATATATTATCTATTTCCTACCTTGCATAGGAAAATTACACAGTATGTTTGAGGGTTGATGAAAATCTGACCTACAGATATGTACCAGTGATTTTGCGTGTATACCTCTCAGCATCTGTTAATGGATGGTGAAAAAAAAGTCAATGAAATAAAGAATAACGTCACAACTCAAATTTATTGAGAAATCTTACCTACTGATGAAATTGGAGACTTGTGCTTAGGAAGGAAAAACAATATTTTCCAGCCAAAGATAAACAATGGACATACGAATAGTAGAATTTGGGCAGAAAAATTTATAGGAATAAGGACTGGAGGTTGGGATGATTTATTTAAACCATCAAGAAAGAGTGGCTTCTGGATGCATGTGTTTAATAAAAATGTATCCTTATTGAGACCATTTCAAAAAGGAGTCATTGAGTTTCTTTGCCTGAGCCACAGTCGCTTCCTAATTTTAGAATTCATAGGCATTTTAAGAATTCATGATTGATATAAAAATGTATTTGGACTGGATCCTAAGAACCAAAAAGATGTTTCTACTAGCAAATTAAACCATTGTTTCTACAAAGAACCACAGAACAACTAAATGGTAACATGATTATTGAAAAACATGTTTATTTTAATGAGGTGAAATGGTACATGTGCTGGAGTCAAATTGGCTTGAAACTTAATTTTAACCTAGGTTAAAACTTAGTAAGTTTTAAGTTGATAGGTTAAAACTTAATTTTAACCTATCAACGGTAAGGGAATAGGTAGCATACTTTCATTTAAGCAGAGATAAACTGATCAATAATGCTGAAATTGTGACTAATAGTAGAACACATTGAAAAGTAACACTTATATCACTATTGCAGAGTAACACTTTTACAGAAACATGTTAATTCAACTTAATTATCAATAGCAAATTATGTAACTGTTGAATATCGCATTTTATTAAATTTCGTTTTATAAAGAGCAGAAGAAGATATTTCTTATTGAAGTTTTTATTTAAATGGCATTTATTTCTTAATACATTACAGGCAACTGAATTGCTTTTTGAAATAATATTAATAAAAATGCATAAATCATTTAATAATCATTTATTGTTCATTAATATTATTAAATAATCAACTGAATTTTAGAAGACTCAACAAATAAGTGTAAACATAAAATTCATAAGTGGTTGCCACAGGAAATGTTTACCTTATTTGTGTAATGTTATAATTGCTAAGAAGGACATGATGTGTATATTTGGAGTTATTATGTTAGTTAGGCAGTAAAACTGACACTATGTCAAAAGAATAGTATGATGTATAAGTGGTTCAGTATAAGACACAGCCAAAACCCTAGGATTTTCCCTAGAGGTATGTGATGTATGTATAGCAGATGAAAACGCACAATAATTATTAGCTGCACAAGTGTTCATTAGGAGATAATCAATTACCACAGTTAGGGTTTTACAGTCATTTGCATACTAGACCAGCAGTGGCATAAAGGTTACAAAGGAAGACACATATTAAGTTAAAGTCTGTGTTTCTCGTTAAACTTGATTGTTCCTAACTGGATGTTCTCTAGCATTGTATGCAGCATATTTTACATAACTCACACAATATGTTGTGCCACTTCTTAGTGATAGGAACATTGATGCAGATTTCAAGGATAGTAATACTTTCCTCTAGTAATCAGTCTAAAGAGTTTTAATCAATCCTGTAGTAATCAATCTAAAGAGTTTTAATCACTTTCCTCTAGTAATCAATCTAAAGAGTTTTAATATATTTAATCAATATATTCTGCAGTTAGAACCTGACGTGTTGGGATTAAGATAAAGTTCACCCTTTAGTTGTTGTGTTTTATAATCATATCTGCTTCTGTATATATTTTATCAGCAACAAATAATTTATTTTTGCTGTTCTGAAACAAGAGAAAACATTTATTCCACAGCCTTTGACCATATGTTTCACTTACCACATATATAATTCTCCCTCCATGATTCCAATGAAAAAGTTTTTACAGATGACACAGACAACATAATTAAATAGGTATAAATATAAAAGAAAAAAATGATAGCAGGGTAAACTTTATCTTATAGTTTATTTTAATCTAAAGCTGTTCAACTTGAAGAATAAAAGTGAGTATTTTTGAGGATAAAAGCGATTTTACTGGGTCAAAATAACATGCTGTAAGCCACTTTTAAAAGGAAATCATGCAATCTCATAGTTTCACAAATAGGAATGTTTAGCTTATTAGTTACTATTTATTTTTTAAAATAGTTTTTCAACTTTACACATTGTTGAAAATATAAGCCACACCAATTAATAGGAACATCACATTTAGTGATGTAAAAAACAATAGAAATAGACATAACAGCCTGCATTAACAATGGCACAAAATGCTTAAGCCTTAAGACTTAGTGTTATAACCAGAAAGAATATTTTTTACAAAGTTTTGCAGAGAGATGTCCATGCTGATAAAATAGGAAATCACTTTTAGTTCACACCCACTGTGGAAATTATCACAATGTTTACTCAAACAAAAGTAAAACCTCTTTTACTTCTTTTACATCTTCTTCATATATAATATATTTTTAAAATCTATTTAAAAATTGGAAGTTTGATCATCAACTTCAAGACAATAGGCTGAGCATGCATAATTAACTTTCCTTGCTCCCAACAGAAATCACAGTAAATATATGTTAAAGAGTGTATATCGAGTGTAATGTGCAGAAGGAAAGCAGAAACCACTAGCAGAAAAACGACAGCGTTTCAGTAATGATTAACTGAGCAGTGGAAATAACAGCCAAGAAAATTCTTAGAAAATTTCTTCACTGTCCAAAACAGTCCTGTTTATTAGGCTCCAAACTCATGTTAGCAAGTGTGGAATGTGTGTGTGTGTGTGTGTGTGTCTGCGTGTGTGTCTGTGTGTATGTATGTGTGTGTCTGGGTCTGCGTGAAAGACCACAATAAACTAATAGAATAATTAGCTACAGAAACCAAAGGTAATTGAACAACTGGAGGATATTTTTAAAAAATCTAATGAGTATCCTATGAGAGATTGAAGATGATAGTTTATTGAAGATGATAGTTTTCTTGTACTAAAATCAGTAGCATGCTGTGATGAAAGAGGATAAAAGAAAACGAGAGTAGGTTCTTAGGAATTAAAATATACGTTTGTTAAAAAAAGATACAAAATCCATTTTATGTAAAGATTAAAGAAGATAAGGTTTAGAAAATAGCTCAAATTATATTTTACCAATAAAAAGAATTTCCTCTTCCAAGCATGATGGAATAAGAGAGGCAGATTTACATTTATCCTGTAAACAAATGAAACATTGAACAAAATATATGAAGTAATTCTTTTCAGACATCGGGTTACATGTGTTACAGGACTGTGACTCTTGAAATAAGGATGTAAAATCAGGTGAGTCACAGGATCACCCCAACTATCAATGTGTAGATACATTTCAGATAGGGGTACCCATAGGGATCTTGCTGAGTTTTAAAGACAATGATCAGACCTCAGGAAGCCACGCAGAAATCTGTATAGGATTCACCTTGAGTTTTGCTGAATACTAAAACCTTCATGTGTAAGGCAAAAAGCCATGATATTGACCTAAGAAATGCCAGACTGCTGAGACTTCAATGATTCCCAGTTTATGCAGGTAATAAGGCATTTAAGTTCTGATCACGTGGAGAGTCTTCATCGATCACTCAGATAATTTAGTAGAGATCCTGGAAGGGCCAAATCCTACTGTGGCTTGCCTATCCCTGGGGTGAATATATAAGACCTGGCTATCAACACTCAAAATCATGCCTCAGAAGAACAAATTGAACCACAAGTAACTTCACATATTACCAGAAAAACAATGGCATTTTTTTATTTAGAAGGAGACAGAAAAATTTAATATACAATAGCATAAAATCCACAATGTCCAGGATTCATAAAACAAGGGAAAAATCAATCAATCAAAATAGTTTTGGGAATGATAAAGTAACGGAATAAGGATGCAAAGTGTTAAAACAACTGTTATTATTATAATCCCATATTTAAAAGAATATATGAACATATAAGAAGAGAAATGAAATACTTAAAACAACAAAAGAACTTCTAGAGATGTAAAATGCATTATCATTTAAAACTTAACTGGATGGAATTAGCAGATGATTAAGAAGCGCCAAAATCAGAAAACTTGAAGACATAGCAGCGAAAAGTAGCCAAAGGAAAGCATAAGGGAAATAAAAAGATTAAAAAACAAACAAAAAATCCAAACAATCAATGGGTAGTTGTGAGCCAGCAGGTTAACATATACCCACTATAATTTATGTATACTTGTATATACACACACATATATGTACTTTATGTATTTTGTATATATACACATATGTATTTGTATATACATACATATATATTTTGTACATATATATTTGTGTATATATATTTGTGCATATGTACAAAATATATACTTTTATACATATATAAGTATATATGTATGAAATATATACTTTATATATTTTGAAATATGTGTATTTTAAATATATATTCTGAAATTTATTTATCTTGAAATTTGATGGAAACACTAGACCCATAGCCCTAAGAAACTCCAAGTAGCCCAAGTAGACAAAAACAAATGAGCAAACAAACCAAAAAAACAAAAACCAAGGCAGTTTCTAATTAAAACCTTAGGAGCAAATAAAATTTAGTAAAAATAAAATGAAATCTTCAAAAGTCTCAATCCAAAAGAAGGCAGGAAAGAGGAACAAAATAAGTTAATAGATAGTAATAGCAAAATTATAGATTTAAAAGTATTAAATCTATTAATACTTTTAAAAATATATTCATAATTGCATTAGATTCAAATAATCTAACCATTCCAATTAAATGGAAAATATTTTTAGACTGAATAAAAACCCAAGGCCAAATTATATACTATACCTAAAGAACTCGATTAAATATGAAACATTAAGACTAAAAGAAGAGGAAAAGTATCCAATGTGTACACTGATAATAAGAAGGCTGGAGTTACTAAATTATCATTAGAAAAAACAGAATTTAAAAGAATGAATATTACCAGAAGTTATAAGGGACATTTCATAAAAATAAAATGGTAAATTCATCGAGAAGACAGACATAACCCTGAAAGTATATGTCTCTAGTGACAGGGCTTCAGAAAACGTATAGCAAAAACTGAAAAACTGCAAATAGAAATACATACACCCACTAATTATATTTGAGAACTTTCACACTTCTCTTTTATTATTTAATAGAACAAGTTGGCCTGAAAAAAATTAACAACTAGCTAAATAATTTGCAATTATAGACACATTCATACACAAGAAAAGTTCACATTCTTTTGAAGGGCACATGAAATATTCACCAAAATAGAACATATGCTGGGTTTTTGTATTAGAGTTCTTCAGAGAAATAGAAGTAATAGGTTCTCTCTGTGTGTGCATGTGTCTCTGTGTATGTGTGTATTTGTGTGTGGAGAGAAAGGGAGACATTTATTTTAAGAAATTGACTCATACAATATTGTGGAGGATAGCAAGTCCAAAATCTGCAGAATAGGTTCACATGCTGGGTATTCAGGGAAGAGCTACTGTTGCAGCTCCAGTAGTATAAAGACAGGCAGCTGGCAGAATTTCTTCTTCTTTAGGAGAGGCCAGTATATTTTTTTTTGCTTGAAGGCCTTCCGCTAATTGGATGGGTCTCGTTCACTTTATGGAGGGTAATCTGCATTACTGAAAGTGTGCTGATTTAAATGTTAATCACATCTAGAAAAAAAAAATACCTTCACAGAAACATAAAGGATAATGTTTGACCAAATATTTGGGTGTTATGGTCTAGCCACATTGACAGATAAAATTAAGCATCACAGCCATAAAACAAGTTAAATACATAAAAAATGATGGATATCTTACAGAGTATATTAGTATACTCTCTAAGCAGAATAGACATAAATTATAAATAAAGAAAAAATAATCTGAAAAACGCAAAATATTTAGAAATCAAATGACACATTTCTTAATAACTCATGGCTCAAAAAAAAGCAAAAAGAAAATTAGAAATTGTTTTGAAGTGAATAAAAATTAATACATAAAATGTAAAAATTTCTGTGGCACAGTTAAAACAGTGATTAGAAGAAAATATATAGCACTAAATATTTTTTTTAAATTTCTAAAAAAATTATCTAAGTGTACATCTAAAGAAAATAGACAAAGCTGGACAAATAAATATAATACAAGTAGAAAGAAAAGAATCATAAAGATTAGAGTGTAAATCAATAGAATAGGAAATAAACTAACTACAGAAAAATATCAGTGAAGCAAAAGATTTTTTTTAAATAAGCAAATAGCATTAGTACACCTCTAGCCATATGGGTTAAAAAAGAATACAAATTACCAATATTAGGCATGAGAAGAAGACACCATGATAGATTTCTAAGATATTAAAGGGTTATAGGGGACTATCATGAGCAACTGTATGCTAATAAAGTTAGATGAAATTTTCATATTTTATGACAACCATAAATTACCAAAAGTGACTCAAAAAGAAATGAAAAATTTGAATAGAGTTGTATCAAATGAAAAATGTGAATGTTTAATTTCAACATTCCCACAAAGATTTTAGGCCCAGATGACTTCACTCATTAATTCTTTCAGATTTATGGAAGAAATAATGCTAATCCTACATGGTATCTTTTTAAATATAGAAGAGGAGAGGTTTATCAACCTATTAATGAGTTTGAAATTGCCCTGATGCCAAAGCATGCTGCCTATCTCAGTAGTATATTTACAGGAAGCCAAATATTGTTGCTGTTCTAGAGCTTAGAAAGTAATTAGATCAAAATAATCTCAATAAATAGTATACTTAAAAACCTGTGAAAATATACGTGATTTTCTAATTAAATAAATTAAAAAAAAAAACCCTGAACTTACAAATCTAAAAAGCAATTAAAAAGGTAGTAATAGAAAGTAAAGTTAAAAAAGAAAATAGACTTGCATCCTCTGAAGCCACAGCCTGAGCTCTAGGTTGGCCCCTTTTAGCCATGGCTGGAGTGGCTGGGATGCAGGGCAACAAGTCCCTAGGCTGCACACAGCATAGGGACCCTGGGCCCCGTCCATGAAACCATTTTTTCCTAGGCCTCCAGGCCTGTGATGGGAGGGGCTGCTGTGAAGACCTCTGATATTTTTCTCAATGTTTTGGGGATTAACATTTGGCTCCTTGTTACTTGTGTAAATTTCTGCAGATGGTGGCTTGAATTTCTCCTCAGAAAATGGTTTTTTCTTTTCTATGACATTATCAGGCTGCAAATTTCCCAAACTTTTGTGCTCTGCTTCCCTCATAAAACTGAATACCTTTAACAGTACCCAAGTCACCTCTTGAATGCTTTGCTGCTTAGAAATTTCTTTCACCAGATACACTAAATCATCTCTCTCAAGTTCAAAGTTCCACACATCTCTAGGACAGGGCAACATGCAGCTAATCTCTTTACTAAAACATAACAAGAGTCACTTTTGCTTCAGTTCCCAAGCAAGTTCCTCATCTCCATCTGAGACCACCGCAGCCTGGATTTATTGTACATATTGCTATCAGGCTTTTGGTCAAAGCCATTCAAGAAGTCTCTAGGAAGTACCAAACTTTCCCACATTTTCTGTCTTCTTCTGAGCCCTCCAAACTGTTCCAACCTCTGCCTGTTACCCAGTTCTAAAGTTGCTTCCACATTTTCAGGTATCTTTCCAGCAATGCCCTACTGTACTGGTACCAATTTACTGCATTAGTCTGTTTTCATGCTGCTGATAAATACACATCCGAGACTGGGAAGAAAAAGAGGTTTTATTGGACTTACAGTTCCACATGGCTGGGAGGCCTCAGAATTACGGTGGGAGGTGAAAAGCACTTCGTACATGGTGGAAGCAAGAGAAAAATGAGAGAGATACAAAAGCAGAAACCCCTGATAAAACCATCAGATCTCGTGAGACTGATTCACTATGAGGACAGTATGGGTGAAACCATCATACTGTTCCCACCAGGTTCCTCCTCCCACAACATGTGGGAATTATGGGAGTACAATTTGAGATGACACTTGGGTGGGGACACAGCAAAACCATATCATGCCAGATACCCTAAATCATCTCTCTCAAGTTCAAAGTTCCACAGATCTCTAGGACAGGATAAAAAGGCCACCGATCTCCTTGCTAAATTATGGCAAGGATCACCTTTGCTCGAGTTCCCAGTAAGTTTCTCATCTCCATCTGAGACCTCCTCAGCCTGGAGTTCATTGTCCATATCACTGTTAGAATTTTGGTCAGAAGTATTCAACAAGTGTCTAGAAAGTTCCAAACTTTGCCACATCTTCTTGTCTTGTTTAAGCCCTCCAACCTCTTGCAATCCCTGCCCATTACTTAGTTCCAAAGTCACTTCCACTTATTCAGGTTACCTATAGATCAGCACCCCATTTGTGGTACCAATTTTCTCTATTAGTTTGCTTTCACTCTACTATAAAAATACTACCTGAGACTCGGTAATGTATAAGTAAGAGTTTAATTGACTCACAGTTCTACATGGCTGGGAGGCCACAGAAAACTTTTAACATGGCAGAAGGCAAAGGAGAAGCAAGCATGTTTTACATGGTGGCAGGAGAGAGAGAGTGAGAAAGTAGTGCCACACTTTAAAACCATCAGCTCTAGTTTTATAGTGACAACACATTCACTATTACAAGAACAGCAAGGAGGAAACAGCTCCCGTGATCCAATCACCTCCCACCAGGTCCCTCCCTTGACATGTGGAGATTTCAATTTGAGATGAGATTTGAGTGGGGCCACAGAGCCAAACCATGTAATATGTGTGTATATATACATATGTATATAAATATATATGTATATAAATATATATGTATATAAATATATGTGTATAAATATATATGTATATAAATATATGTGTATATATATTTATATACAGTTTATAAAAATAGTAAGATATTTTTAATTCTCATAAACCAATTTTTGTCCCCCTGGGGGAAATATTATTTCTATTGAAAGGCATGATTAATAATATGAGATGATTTTGAGTAATTTAAGCCTTTCCAAAAAACATAATCCATTCCAGTTAAAACTAGTCATTACATATATATATTATAAATATATAACATGTATATTTTATTAGACCATAAAAGAATGTTTGAATTATTTTTATTTTTCTAAGAAATAGTTTTTATGTAACTTACCTTTGTTTCTTGGTGAGGCCCACTGAGTCTTAGATATGAAGTGCGTGTGAAAACAAAAACATAAATGTGACTATAGCATTGTAGTGCTAACTTTTTCTTCTTACCTAGAGAAGAGTCAAGAGAGACTTTTGTACAATGTGCTTTTTGAAATTCAGTGTCTGATAATCTTGTAATGATAGAAAAAAATAAGTGAGCCTAAAATGACTGAAATTGAGAAATTTCGGCAGCTGATAACAAGGTCTTCAACATAAGTAATAGCCATCAAAATCAGTGGGGATCACAGGCCATGGCCCCCTATATCAAAATCATCTGGACTGACGATTAAAATTAAAGATGCTTAGAACTCTTTGCAGACCTAGTAAATCAGCCTCCTTTCAAAGCCGAATCTAGAAGTCTACATTAAAGCAACAACAATACTGTTTCTCCTGGAAACTACATTTACTCTAATCTTACGTACAAATGCTGAAATTAGTGTAAAAAATTCCCAGCCATATCTGGCTTAGAATTTACTAATTCTCTAATGAGGAATAAAAGAAAATTTCTATAAAACACTAAGATATAGTATCTATAATCTGTGTAGAGTATTTTGCTCAAATTCATGTTGAAGGAAGCTGCTTGACGTGCCATGGTGTGTTAGGTTCTTCTTGCATTGTTGGAGGCCAAGGCAGGGGGATTGCTTGGCACAGGAGTTTGAGAACAACCTGAGCAACATAGTGAGAACTCATCTCTACAAAAGACAAATTAAAAATTAACCTGGTATGGTGGTGCATGCTTGTGGTCTCAGTTACTCAGGAGGCTAAGGTAAGAGGATTGCTTGAGCCCAGAAGGTGGAGGTTGCAATGAGCTGAGATCATGCCAGTGCACTTCAGCCTGGACGACAGAGCAAGACCCTGTTTTTAAAAAAAGAAAGAAATACATGAGATTGTGTAATTTAAAATGCAAAGAGGTTTTAATTGGCTCATAGTTCTGCAGGCTCTACTAAAGCATGATGCTGGCATCTGTGCACCTTCTGGGGAGGTTTCAGCAAACTTACAATCATGGTGGAAAGCAAAAGGGTAGAAGGCACAGTCACCTGGCCAGAACAGGAGCAAGAGAGCAAAAAGGGAGATGCCACCAACTTTTAAATGACCATATCCCATGAGAATTCTCTCACTATTGTGAGAACAGCACCAAAAGGATGGTACTAAACCATTCATGAAAAGCCACCCACATGACCCAATCACCTCCCACCAGCCCCCACCTCTTACATTGGAGATTACAATTTGACATGAGATTTGGCGGGGGATACATATCTAAACTATACTACACGGCATGTGTTCACCGGGCTATTCCATCCACACTGAAGCCCGGCAGGTTGACCAAGTCTTAAAGATTAGTCAGGCTTACTTACTCATGCCTATATACACTACCTATAGCATAAGTTTAATTAATCACTCAAAAATCACACATTGAAAATCTATTATGGTATATAACATATGATATTAGTATATTATATATACTAATAGTTATCTGATGTTCTGTTACAAAATTATATTACAAAATATAACAAATAGTCAAGAGATAAGATCACTCTTGAAATATATGGTACGCTGTTATTGACGAAATAGCTAAAGGAATTTATTTTTTTCTTCTCAAGAAGCAATACCTAAAGATTAATTTAAAAACAGTAGTTAAGTAGTTGGTTCAAGGTTGAATAAGAACAAAATAAGGCGTGGCTATCTATGATTTCCTTTTTAGCCTCTATGGAGTAGAATAACTAAAATCATAGATAGCTATTAAACGGCACGTAAAAATATTCCTGAGAACAACAGAAGCCAAACGTAGGGAACATTCTCTGGATAAAGAAAGAAATGGAACAAAATATATTAATAAAATTGTCCTTCCCTGCAAGTGAGAAATTAGACTAAATGTTTCCTCTTTACAAGCGTTGTTGGCATGACTCCACCTAACACTAGTTGTTTTCCTATATTGTACCAAAAAGTAAATGCCTTAGGAAGGAAATAATTGATAACATTTAAGAATAGTTAAAATTTTGCTGGTGTACAAGTCTAATGGTTCAATAGAACTATTAAATATTTGGGTTAATATTTTTCTTATGATCATGTGATTCCAATATAAATTATGTAGCTGAAAAGGCTGATAGCTCTGGCACACAAATATTTACCTCCAGTGCTGTGATTTTACAGGTGTTAGGATGTGATGCTACAACTTTATATCATTTTTATACTTTTAAATTTTTATATGCTTAAAAAAATACTTTAATCCAACATCTTTTGACAATTTTGCTTTGCTATTCACTAACGTGGATGAAGTTTCAGGCATTTTGAACTTTTACCTTCCCCAGGGGTTGTCTGGGGCTTGGACAGCTGAGACTTTTTTATTTTTGAGGGGCCATGAATATACTAAATCATGTATTTGATTTAAAGCTCTGAGGTTTAAAATAAAGTGTGAGACTCTTAGTGCTAGGGAGCTTCTCAGCATGAGCAAAATTTAGTAATAATAGAATGGATGAGCCACAACAGGTCCGAAGCTTAGCATAAGTAAGTATGCAAGATCTTGTATGCTTATTCTAACTTCTTTATTTTGGAAATGAACCAAGAACACCCTCCTCTGGGGGATTACCAGTATTCAGTAACTCAGTAGTGGTGAGAAAAATTATGAGAATCTGATTGCCATGTAACCTTCTTAGCTGTTAGCCCCAATTGCCATCACCATGCAGTTTCAAGAGTGTTTTCAGTTCACAGCAACGCAGGTTTCCAGTTTGTTCATGATTCTCAAAATGATTCAAGAGACTTCTTTCTAAGTGTATTTTCCATTAATATGATGTATCTTTAACTCCTTTTCTTTTTACTGTGCCTGCCTTCTCAGTAGGAACTCTTCTGTCAGACATCCAACAAAATCATATTTTAATCACATTTATAATGTCCTCCTGTAGTTGGGGAATAGCAGACATTGAACTGACTGACTTAAAGGTGAAAGAGAAAATTAGGCTTTGCCTCCCTTAAAGCAGGAGTACATTCCTACCATAATGACATTTTCAGATTGCTCTGCACTTATAAATAACACCAGTTCACATCAGGTATATGCACTAGGCAGTCCTTCTCCAAGTGATGAAACAAATTCTTCTCCACACAACATTCAATAATCCAGTATCCAATTCTTTTATTTCTATTTGTGACCTATAACTCAAACATGCCAGAGTCTGTATGTAAAGTAATTAAAATGAAATAGAATTGAGGTTAAATTAGTCCCTTTGCAAAGGATCCATTTTGGCAGTATAAATAACATGTAACAGATTTGTGTTAGATGCACAAAATAGGCAGAAATTTAAGAAAAGATAACATTTTATATATTAGCCTAAATTAAAGTAAGAAATAGAGGAGAGAATGAGAGTAAGAAAGTGTGTGTGTGAGTGTGTGTGTATGTGTGTGAAAGAGAAAGAGAAAGAGAGAAAGAGAGAGAAGGAAGAGATAAGAGAGAATAAGTTACCTAAGAGCATTGGCTCTGTAAAGTTTAGTGGATAAAAGATTTGAACCAAGTAAGAGCAAATTTTTAAAAAATTAGCACTTTTTATGGAAGAAAACCCATAATCCTAGACACTGAGACATCACTGAAATTGCTCCATTTTGATATTCTGTGAAACAGAACTAATGATTTCAAAAGCTTGAGTCTTTCCTGTATATTACAAAAAGAAAGGGGTGGAGAAGGAAAATCAGATCAAAGGAAAAGGATGAGAAGTTCAGTAATCATTGAACCTTAGGAAATCAGGAACCCCAGAAAAAAATCAAACCTGAATGTACATGGCACAGAGACCAAACAACATTCACAGTTTCATTTGTTAATGCTATGTAACTCATGTATCTACTATTAGATACATGAAGAGATATATCTTATTTCAGAAAAAAAATGAGATTAAGCATTAATTATCATCAGAACTTCAGTTTAACAAATTTTCTTCTTTTTCTTTTCTAGACTGTTCTAATAAGCTATTAGTTGCCATTTGGAAGTCAATAACAGCCTTTACAAGTATATAATCATATATGTTATTCTGGGCTGCTATGACAGAATACCATAGATTAACAATAGAACAGTGACTTAAACAATATAAAATTGTTTCTCACAATTCTAGAGGCTAGGAAGTCCAAAATCAAGGCCAGGAAGATTCAGTGTCTGGTGAGGGCCTACATCATAGTTTGCAGGTGGCTATCTTCACCTTGTATTCCCATTTTGTCTAGAAAGTTATCATCTCTCTCATGTTTCTCTTCATAAGGGCACTAAACTCATTGTTGAGGGCTCTGTCCCTATGACGTAATCACCTCTCAAAGTCCCCATTTCCTAATTCATCACAATGGGAGTTATTATTTCAATATAGGAATTTTGTGGGGACACAAATATTTGGTCCATAGCACATGATTTTTAATAGTTATAATTCTTATCATTCAGGCAATACTTTATAATAGATTTTTAGCTTTAGAGGCAGAAATGATATCGTGTTTTACTGCTGACCCATAGATGGGTTAGAATTTTTAAATTAATGACTAATTTGTGAAGACTTTACAGTAACTAATTATTCCCCATGTATCTATATAAAATCTGCAAGCAGCTTGGGACTAGTAGTCATGTTTTACAATTTTTCATTGTTGTTTCCATGACAACCCCCATAGTGCAAGATAAAAAGTGGGGATTTATGAAACATATTGCATTCTCTATTAGAATAAAGATCTAGTATTATAACAAATAGATAAAGGAAAAAACTTTAATATGCATTTCTTATTGAATTATTTCCCAAAAATATGCTTCTGATCTTAAAAAATAATTAAACTTACACATCCAAGCAAGCTGGAGTAACAGGAAACAAATTTACCTCTTTGCCTGAAATAAAAAACTAAAAAACGATACAGAAGAAATTATGAAACAATGGTTTTTATACATGTGAAAATAACTGGTGCAAGATAATAATTCCCAAGAGAAGGGAAATTAAGTTATGTGGATCATTTATCCTAGGCTAATGGCTAGAAAGTGTTTTCAATTCACAGTTCAGAGAGAGGAAACACACAACACACAACACACACACACACACACACACACACACACACACACAGAGAGAGAGAGAGAGAGAGAGAGAGAGAGAGGTCCTAGCAGTTACCCAAAGTGAATAAGATAGAGTTTTAAGTCCTGGGAGGTCAAGGCAGGTAGAATTCATAAGATAGAGTATTGCAGAAAACATTCCGCAAAGAGAATGTTATAGAAATCTTCAGAGTGATCCTCATTAGTCTTTGGCTGAATACAGATTAATAGATGGATATATGGAGACTGAGTTCAGAAAATGAAACAACTGAAAGGATGAGAGGCCCAATTCCACAGAAAGAACACTGGACTGAGAGTAGTCTGTGTTCTCACCTGCCATAGGTGTAAAAATACCTGTGAATTCCTGAGATGTTAGTAAGAATACTCAGATGGGTATAGCCTCATTAGAGCAGAAAAATAGCCTTAGGGTAAGGGCTACTCTGAGTCTACCTAAGAAAGCTTATATCAAGCATTAAAAGGATCAAAGTGTTCCCAAATAACTTAACTCTATCCCAGAATAGAGTTCAAGAATATTTATAGAAAAGAAAAATATCTAACAGCCAACGATGTAAGATTCCAATGTCTGTCATCAAATACAAAAATTGCCAGGAGTGCAAAGAAGCAGGAAATACAGCTCACTATGAGAAAAAATATAGCAATTAATAGAAACAGACATGAATTTTATAGGCAATATCATTAATAGGCAAGGGCACTAAAATATTTATTAGAAGTATGTAAGATATGTTCAAGAATATAAAGAAAAGTTTAAGCAGAGGAATGGAAGACATAAAACATAAAAATTAAGCTTCTAGGATGAAACCTAAAATATATGAGATGGAAAATATATTGAATAGAATCACACCTGATGAAGCACTGGAAAAGAAAAGGTTATTGAAATTGAAAACATGCCAGATATTATGCAAAATAAAACAGAAAAATAAATTGAATATTAGTAAGTTCTAGGAAAACTTTAATTAAGCTAATATAGTAATTGGAATCCCCGAAGGAGGTAAGAGAGAAGAGGAACAGAAAAAAATACGAAGATACACTCACCGAAAATTTCCCAAATTTGATGAAAACCATAAACCCACAGATTTAAGCTCAATGATCTCCAAGTCTGTAAAACAAGAAGAAAACCACAAAGCAACCCTAATGAAGTTACTTAAAACCAGTAATGAAGAAAAAATCTTAAAAACAAACAGGAAAAAATACATTATCTAGAGTATCAAAGATAAGAATGATAGCATACTTCTTGGCAGAAACAATATAAGCTAGAATACAATGGAGAAACATCTTTAAAGTAATGAGAGAGCAAAACTGACAATGTAGAATCCTATACCCAGTAAAAATAGCTTTCAAAAGTAAAGGTAGAAAGAAAAAACATATTTAAAAAACTGAAATAATGTAATCGTATCAAAGCTGAAATAATTTAATGTTATTATTAATATTAAAGATTAATATTTAATAGTATCAATTATAAGCAATATTAAGAAAGTCTATTTAGAAGAAAAAATAATATCAAATGGAAATCTGAATCTGCATAAAAGATTAAAGAACACCAGAAATGATAGATACAGATACAGACATAAAATTTTAATTTCTATGTAATAACTAACTGTTGAAAGAGAAAATAGGAATGTATTGTAATGTTTGTAAGACACGTAGAAGTAAAATTGTGAGAAAAATAGCACAGATGTCATAAAGGGGACTACAACTTGTCCCGTTGTAAGTTTTTTACACTCTATATAAAAAGATGCAAAATTCTGTAAAAGGAGATTGTGATGAATTCAAGAGATATACTATAAACCATGAAGCAACACTAAAGTACCATGACAAAAATTTACAACTACTAACTAGTAGAAGAAAATATTGAATCATAAAAATATTTAATTAATCCTAAAGGTGACAGAAGTAGAGAAAAACAAAGGAACAAAAATCATATAGGGTCACCAAGTCTAGAGATCTAATGCGTAACATGAGGACAATAGTTAATAAAATTGTACTGTACTAGCAATTTCTGCTAAATAAGTAGATTTTAGCTGCTCTTCCCACAAAAAAGGACAGCTATGTGAGATAATGGATATGTTAATCTGCTTCATTTTAGTAATCATTTTACTGTCTATCTGTCTCTTGTAACATCTTGTTGTACACCTTAACATACACAATAAAGTTTATGTTTAAAAAATTTTAAACATTGTTTTTTTTTTTGAGACAGAGTCTCGGTCTGTCACCCAGGCTGGAGTGCAGTGGCGTGATCTTGGCTCACTGCAACCTCTGCCTCCAGGTTCAGTCGATTCTCCTATCTCAGCCTCCTGAGTAGCTGGGACTACAGGCGCCCACCATTACACCCAGCTAATTTTTGTATTTTTAGTAGAGACGGGGTTACACCATGTTGGGCAAGATGGTCTCGATCTCTTGATCTCATGATCCGCCTGCCTTGGCCTCCCAAAGTGCTGGGATTACAGGCGTGAGCCACCGAGCATTGCCAAAAAATTTAAAACATTTTAAAAAGATTATGTGGGACAAGTAAAAACCAAATAGTAAGATAGCAGTTTTATGCTTAACCATATTAATCTTGACAGTAAGTGAAAATAGTGTGTCATGATTAAAAGGAAGATAATTTTAGATTGAATACAAAAGAAAAACCTAACTATATGCTGCCTAAAAGAAATCCATTTTAAATATAAAGATAAAATAAGTAAATGGTAAAGGAATTTAAATATATATACCGTAGCTAATACTAATTAAAATAAATTAAAATCATGCTGGAGTGGCTACATTAATATCAAACTATGTAACTGTGAAATTATATATATATATATATATATTCTTTAGAGAGAGAGAGAGATAATAGATGATAGATAGATAAATAGGCAGATAGATAGATCTTTGCCCTTGCTTCCTGAAACATAGCTTTTAAAACTCTTCCAGATAGTGGTGTGGGAAGAATCCATTGATAAAATTTTTCATCTTTGATCCTGGGTTTCTGTTACAGAGTTACAGAATTTTTTTGAATTTCTGGATTGATAGGAGTGTCTTTTGTTCTAATGGTTCTTGATGACTCTTGGTGGGCTCTTAGATGGGAGCTCATCACCAGAAAGGCCAAGCCATAATTAGAAGTTGGGAATTTTCAGCCCCACTTTTCATGCGCTTTTGGAAGAAGAGAGAGGCTGGAGATTTAGTTAATAATAGATTATGCCTATGTGATGAAGTCTCCATGAAAATCTGTAAGTTGAAGGGAGTGTAGAGAGCTTATGGGTTGCAGAACATGTGGAGGTGCTAGGAGGGTTGGGGATGGAGAGCAGAGGTAGGGATTTTAAAGACAGGTGTGAGGGAACTTACACCCACACAGAGATGGGCTCTGATGTGCACACACAGTAAGAGCTCAAATAAGTCCTTGCACCCATGTGATGACCATTGGAGCTGCTCCCTCTCCCAGGCAACAGCTAGTCTCCATCTGTTCTTGCCTTATGTCTTTTTAAGAAGTCCCTGAATAGAAAAGTCTTATGCTTAAGCTCAAACAGGGTGTTCTTTATTAGCTGAACTTTGGAATAAGAGACAGAAAAAGAGCTGAAGTCATGTACCTCAAGCCAACTCCATAATTCATATGGGCACAAAATATTCCAGAGATCACAGCAGTTCAAGCTACACATAGCAGTAACTCACCAAGTCAGGTTTTTTAATTATCTCAAAAACGTGAATCAACACTGAGTACTATCAAAAGCAAAATGAATGTACATTAATCACAGAATATTTTAGTCACATGGCATCTTTCATCCCAGAAAAGGTCACAACCCATGGGTCTGTTTCTCATCACACTTAACCTGAGGAAACAAGAGAGCAAGTAGCTTTGAAGAGATTGAATGGGAAAATGTTGAGTGTTTAATCTAGACAGGGCTACACAATTGTTGCAAAAAGCAAATGCTTTCTCTTACTGGGTCTTGTTTCTAGAGTTGCCGTATTTGCTTCCCCCCAGTGATAAAGAAATGGACAACAGCTTATATGTATGTTCATTAAGAACATGGGTGAAAAGTCTTGAGAGAAACTTATAACTAGTATATTTTATAGTATATACACTATAGTATATACCAGAATATTTTTATAGTATATATATTACAAAATAGACTACCTAATAGAATATTATTAAAATTATTATTATTTCTGCCAAAAATGAGTATGTTTACTGTACTGAGTACTTGATTTATTATTTCTGGCAATACATTCATGGGAAATCAAGCACACTATGCATCACTCATGGTACTGATGAACTGATGATTTAGACTAAACAGATCATTATTACCTTTTCTTGCTCTTCAAACTGGGGTCTGGGTAAAATATTATCTATTTCTTTCTACCTTCATGGTAAAATGAGCCAAAGGAAAGATTGAGGCATAATAGAAAAATGCTATTCTCCTGAGGCATTACATTTTCTACAATAAATATTATCCAATCGTTTTTTCAGATAAAAGCATTTATTTTCAAACAATACTCACTAAAACTTTTGTACTTTTAAATATTTACTCCAAGCCTTCTGCAAATAAAGAAGTATTTTCCCTCAGTAAATCAAATTCTCTGTTGAGTTTCTGAATTGCTTTCATTACTTATACATATTAGAATTTCATTCCAGGATTTCATTGTGAAAAAATTATTGAAAAGTATTTGAAAATTGTTCTATTAAAACAAAGATGCATGTGATAGTAGAAAAAAAGCATACATTCATTTGCTTTTACAGGTCAATGAAAATTTGAAAGAAATTTTGAGTGTTATAGCTCTTTTATAATTTGTCTAGTGGGCTTTCTGTTTTTTACGAGAAAGTCCTCCCAAAAAATTGTTGAAAAAAAAGAAGTTGTGTGCTTATCCCCAAAATAAATAACTCACTCTTCTCAGCCTTTTATTATTCTGAGTGAGACTTCATTTGAATTTTTTAAATAAAAGCAGAAAACTATGATTCTTTAGTAAATGTGGGGATAAGACAGTAGGTTGGCTACATATTTATTCTAAAATAGTTAATGGGCCCTTACCCTGATGTAGGGCAAATGGTAAGTGCTGGGATTGCTTCAGTGCCTGTTTTAGAGTAGATTTCAGGCTATAGAATGGGATAGAGATGTAAGCAAATGCCGTTATGACATTTTCTGGCCAGTCACACACCATAAAATATATTTTTCTGATTTTAATTAAAATGTAATTTAACATTTATTTCCTCTGTGGCGATGGTGATGTCATAGTGAGGTAGGGGACCAGTAGGACTTAACTCCCGGACCAGATTGAAAACTGGCTAAAACTGACAAGGGGCCCTGAAAGCAACGCCTGCTTCTTGTTGCTGCCCATCAGCATAAGACCTTCCCACCAGCGCCGCAACAGTTGACAAATTCCATGGCAACACCCAGAAGTTACCGGCCATTTTCTAGAGATTTCTGAATAACCCATGTCTTAATTTGCATGTAAATAAAAGTGGGCATAATTACAGCTACCGAAAAGCCATAGAAGTACCCCTAGGCTCCTTTTCTCAGTGCAGTGCCTATGAGCTAGCCCTGTTCTGCAATGAGCAGTCACAGAACTGTAACACTGCCACTTCAATAAAGCTGCTTACTTCTACCACGAGCTTGCTCTTGAATTCACTCCCAAGTGAAGCCAAGAAGCTGCCCTACATCACTGGCATGTCAACCAGTAGCTTGAGAAGAGGTGGCGAAAGGCAGCGAGGTAGGGAGAGTGGACAAATGATGAGATGTCAGCAATAGGAGATGGTCAGCAAAGCAGGAAGGCAACTGGCAACCCAAGCTCTGAGGGTTGTAGTATTGAGTCTGTAACATCAAAGAGCTGCTAATACTGAAGAGCTGGAACACTAACCAAAGGCTCTTTTCAGGGCTGTCATCTTTCCTGGCAGGTGGTGGAGCCAAGCTAAAGGGCAAGTGGCCACACTACTGCTGCCTTGTGGAGGACTCACTGTTCTGGCTGGTGAGTGATGGGTCTGCACTGTGGTCTACCCGTGGCAGCTGAGCCTATCCAAGCTGGGGGGTACCTGAGGAGACCATCACCCAGTTCTCATGTTGGAGACTGGTTGACACAATTTTGGCTCTTGCAGGTGAGTGTCCTCTCTGCCACCCCCTTCAATATCAGGTGAACCAGGAAACAGAACCTCTGTCTAGGTGATCAATTTAAAGTCCCCCATCATTTGGGTGCCCTGGACAGAGGCATATTTTGCCCCATCCCTCAATCCTTTATTCTCTAATGCCATTTTATTATTCCGCCAGCCATTTTATTTTCTGCCCTGGATATGTATTTCATTTGCAGTAATTTTGTTTTCACCCCCTGCAAGCTATATTTTGACAAACGTTTAAGGCAGGACCTTTATTTGTGAGAGGTGCCCCAGTTTATTGACTCCAGGACACTGGAGTTATGTTGTTTTGTGACCCCAACTTGGCATTTGGGGCTCACTGTTAGCCCCCACTGGATGTTCTGGAGTTTTCAGCCTTTGGTGAGGAGACACTCATTGGCTCTTACTTGGTTGCTCTGGGTTTTTTGACAGTGGTACTGTTGTCCACCCTGCTGGATGCTCCAGGATTTTCAGCACTGACATTCCCTCTAGAATTGAGGGGAATTTCCCCATTCCCTTTGGGGAATCTTGGTGTCACCTTTTTTGGCCTGAAGTTAGAAGTTGTTATTTTCTCTAATAGCCAGTTGTGGGCCCCTCCCTTGTGCTGTCTTCCTTTCTGTCCAATAAACTGCCTTGTTCAAGCCCATCTTGGTTAAAGGGGCCAGGGTTTTTGGTTTTCTTTTCAGTTTCTCTGCTACTGGGAGAATTCCATGGCAAGTCAGGGTCTTCAACGTCTCCCCTTGAATAATGTTGTTCACCCCTTCCCTTTCTGCCTTCCACAATCATCTTCTGTTTCTTTTGGTCCCTCTTTGTGAAAACTAAGATGCTTGCTTTTCTCTCTGCAGCATTTAGATTCATCATTCTACTGCCCACTCATAGTGCATAATCCATTTTTGTAAAGCTTTGTTACTTATACTTACACTTTCTTTGCAGAAGATGGGAATTTAAAATGGAAAATAACTAGGCTTTCATTAGACTTAGGCAAACTAAAAACAATTTCTGTAGAGAACCTTATTTCATATGGATACAACAGCGAGCATCTTAGAGGATTTGCCACTAGTGAGTCTTTGAGGCAACTGGAGCAAATTCAAATTAGATGGTCTAAAGAGGAAAAAAAAACAAAAACATTTTCTATTGCAACACTGTTTGGGTCCAATACAAATTAGAGCACAAGAGGTTGGCCTAAACAAGGTTTTTAAAGTTATAATGCTATTTTACAATTAGACTTACTCTGTAAAAGGATAAGGAAAATTGGGAGAAGTTCCTTATGTGCAGGCTTTAATGACTTTCTACTGGGATTCTGACTTACAGGATAGCTGTATGATGTGTCTGGCTCATGGTACTCCCAGGCACCTAGAATTTGTCTCAGATATCCTAGATGACTGTCTCCTAGCTGCTTCCCCAGAAGGTCTACACTCCCTTCAAAGCTTCCTCAGTCCCCTAGTTCTGAGAGAGGACCCACAGGTTATCTTGCACAGGATTCCAACCCAAGGTGATCAGGCACCCATCTCCCTTATATAACTAGCCCTAGCCTATAGCTCCCACTGCCTGAGGAAATCAGCCCAACCAGTACCACCAGGAGTGGGTCCCATATCAGCCCTTAAAATTGAAGTTGTGTTCATTGTGGGAGGTAGCCAGTGGAGATGGGGGAACACAGAGTGTACGCATCTTTTTCCATGTCCAATTTGGCTTTATGCAAGGGGAAATTTGGCTGGTTTTCAAAGGATTCAGGGAAATTTACAGAGGAGTTTATTAAGTTGACCATGTCCTTTGATTTACCTTGGCATGGGTTGCAAATATTATTATCCACCTGCTGTACCAAGAAGAGAAAAAAAAAAATTCTAGGTACTGGCCATAAAAGTGCAGATGGAGTGGCCACTCACAACCAAGGCCATGACATTTATCATACTGGGGAGATGTAGGTCAGTGGGATTACCAGAGGGTTTCCCAAGATCTCAAACCACAGAAATTACATGCTAACTTGTTTAGTAGAATGTATGAAAAATTGTGTGGATAAGCAATTAATTATGACAGTTAGAGAAGTCAGGGGAGAAATGAAAATCCTGCTGTGTTTCTGGGCTGCTTGGTTAAGGCACTCAGGAAGTATTCTAATGTAGACCTTGACTGCCCAGAGGGATGAGCTCTCCTGGACACATATTTTAATACTCAATCTGCCCCTGACATTAGGAGGAAATTACAAAAGGCAGCAGTGGATCCCCAAACCCCCATGAGCCAACTCTTAAGCATGGCCTTTGGAGTTTACAACAATAGGGGTAGGGGGGAGGAAGAGATAAAAACCAAAATAAATAACCCAAAAGTGCAATTGTTAGCAGTTGCTTTAAGCGCTCTGCTACCTCAAATTTACCTATACTGAGGATATGTTTCGAGATTGGCATCTGGAATGCCCAGACAAGAGCCCCTGACTCACCGGGCCCTGGGCCAAAATCAATGTGCCTTCTGTGAGGAAGAAGGCCACTGGAGGAAGGACTATCCCTGGCTTAAAAGGGAGTCTGAGCCACCCAGATCCATAATAACCAAGAGAACAGAGGACTGACAGAGCCTGAGGTCCTCTACACCTCTCACTGTACACATTACCATCTCCACAGAGGAGCCTCAAGTGACACTTGACATGGGAGGCAAAAATACTGAGTTATTGAATATGGGAGCAGGCTTCACAGTTCTAACCCACTACTTAGGGCCACTGTCTTCCCAGTCCTTGACCATAACAGGGATTGATGGCCAGCCAAAATTTAGGACATTCGCTTATCCCCTTCATTTCACCATGGATGACCATACATTTTCTCATAGTTTTCTGCTTATGCCTGAGTGACCTATCCCCTTTCTGAAAACAGACTTATTTTCCCAATTACAGGTCATAGTTCGATCTGGAGAGCCTCATGAGAAGACAACAGGGCAGGAAGTGGCACTTCTTCTAGCTCTAAGTGCTTGCCTTAACACACACACATATACACACACAAAGACTCTCCCATGACATATTGCTTCTCAACTAAACAGCTCTGTTTGGAATATGAAAGGTACTGGTAGAGCTGTTAATGTACCCCCAGTCCAGATTATTTTAAAACTCAATGTTAATTATCCATGAAAAAAAAATCCTTTGAGACCTGAGACAAAGAGGATATCCAGCCCCCAATAACAAATTTTCTAAAGTACAGATTACTACAATCCTGTCAGCCCCCATGTATCACTCCCATTTTTTTTTTGTAAAGAAACCATATTGGGATTATAGATTTGTTCAAGATCTGAGGGAAGTTAAGGAGGCAGCAGTGCTAGTCCACCCAATAGTTCCTAATCCTTACACAATATTGACCCAAGTCCTTGAAGACGCTAATTGGTTCTCAGTATTAGACTTGAAGGACACATTCTTTTGCATACTCTTACTTCCAGAATCCCAGGATATTTTTGTTTTTGAATGGACTGATCCAGACATTCATGCTGCATCTCAGCATACCTTGACAGTCCTTCCCCAGGGTTTTAGGGACAGTTTCCAACTCTTTGGCAATGCATTGGCAAAAGGGTTGAGGGAACTACTGTTAAGTAATGGATCCCTGTTGCAATATGTGAATGACCTATTAATTTCCAGCACTATTAGGGAAGACTGTGACAGGAACACAGTGCAGGTCCTTAATGTTCTTGGAAAATAAGGGTATTAATTATCCCCACACAAGACTCAAATTTCTATAAAGAAAGTTAAATATTTGGGGTTTATGCTCATTCCTGGGACAAGGACCTTGGCCCAAAAATGAAAAGAGACTGTCCTGGCACTCTAGCCCCTTCAGATGAAGAAATAGTTAAGAGCCTTTTTGGAAATGACTGTATTCAATGAATTTGAATTCCTGGGTTTGGGCTCATGCCAAAACCACTCTATGAAGCTCTACAAAGCAGTGATCACGAGCCTTTGAATTGGGATAATACCTGTCAATAGGTATTTTTAACCCTAAAAGAAAAGTTGGGAACAGCCCCTGCTTTGGGACTTCCAAATTTAGAAAAGCCTTTCACCCTCTATGTGGCTGAAAAACAAGGGAGAGCTTTGGATATTATAGCTCAAAGACTCAGGTATAATCCCAGACAAGTGGCTTACTTTTCTAAACAGCTAAACCAAGTGGTGGCTAGATGGCCAGGATGCTTGTGAGTTGTGGCCACCACTGCTTTATTAGTAGAAGTAGCCTGTAAGTTTATCTTGGGACAACAATTTAAATTGTGCAGTAGCCTGGAAAATCAAGTACATGGTATCCTAGAGGCAAAAGGACATCAATGTCTAACAGGGGGCCGGTTACTCAAATATCAAGCCATTCTGCTTAACACCCCAGATGTTATTCTTAAAGTATGTCTACTCTGCTACCCTGCTGCCAGATTTCACATCCCAAGAAACAGATCCTCAATTCATTCACTCTTGTGTGGAAACCATAGAATGGACCTCCTCCTCTAGCAGGCCTGACCTCAAAGATTAACCCCTGCCTAACCCTGGTGTTGAGTGGTTTACAGACAGAAGTAGCTTTATTCATGAGGGCGTTAGAAAGGCAGGTTATGCTGTGGTTAGCCAGTAAGAAGTCACTGAGGCCAACACTTTACCTACCCAGACTTCTGCCCAAAAAGTAGAAAAATTGCTCTAATTAGGGCCCTCCAACTGGGACAAGATTTAAGAGTCAATATATTTACTAACTCCAAATATGGATTCCTGGTGCTCCATGTTCAAGCAGTGATATGGAAGAAAAGGGGATTATTAACAGCCAACAGATCCCTCATACAACATCACTCTAAGATGTTGTAACTTTTAGACATTTCCAACTCCAAAAGGAGGTAGCAATTATTCGCTGCAGGGAACACTAACAGGGAGACCCCTCTATTATTAGAGGAATTGTCCTCCAATAATTGTCCTGGCAGCCAAGGCCACAGCTGAAGAAACACTGGCATTCCAGGCTACTGCACTAACACCAGGAACTCCGACCACGCCAGTGGCACCATGCTATACACTTGAGGAAATTAAACGGGCAGAACAGAAAGGCTTACAAAATGATCCCTCAGAGTGGTTGCTAGAAACAACAAACTCTCCCCAAAGCTGAGCAGTGGGAAATAATTAGGCATTTTCACGATTCTTCATATTTGGGATGAGATTCTCAAATATTCTTGGAGAAGTAACTATTCCAGACTATAAGAAGGTTCACCAAGGCCTGTGAACCCTGTGCCTATAACAAGCAAGGAAGCCACCCCATACCCCACCCCCTACTACTCAAACTTACACACCAAGGAACGTATCCTGGAGAAGACTGGCAAATAGATTTCACTCAAATGCCACCTTACAGTGGACTAAAATATTTGCTAGTATTTATAGACACTGTCACTGGGTGGCTAGAAGCTTTCCCCATAGGGGCGGAAAAAACACTGGAAGTATCCAAATTCTTACTTTAAAAAAATTGTCTCAAGTTTAGGATTACCAAAAAGTTTGCAAAGTGATAAGGAACGCTCCTTCACAGCTGACGTGACCCAGCGGGATTCCTCAGCCTTAGGCATTACCTACCATCTTCACTCCTTCTGGAGGTCTCAATCCTTAGGTAAGGTAGAAAAAGCCATTCATGTTCTAAAAAGGACATTAGCAAAACTCCGGCAAAAGATGTCAGAGGCCTGACGTTTCCTCCTACCCATAGCACTTTTGAGGAAGAAGATGGCTTCAAAGGGAAACTTAAAGCTTCATCCATTGAAATGACTTATGGAAGACCCTTTTTAACTTTAGACCTGCTACTTGATGAAGACACCCACAGAATACTCACTCATATTATCAATTCAGGCCAGCTTCAAGAGGCCTTTCAGGCATATGGAAATGAAGTGTTACTTCCTCACTCAAAGGGACAGAATAGCTCCCTTGTTCAAGCAGGAGACTTAGTTTTACTAAAAACGTGGAAAAATGTATTCTCTGACGAACAATTACAACCAAAATGGAAGGGCCCTTATTGAATGTTGTTGAGCACCCCCACTGCTGTTAAACTCCAGGAAATTACTAGCTGGATACCCCTCTCCAGGATTCAACCTGTTCCTTCTGAGTACCTGCAGGCACAAAAGGAGGACCTATGACCTACACCTGTAAACTTTTGGAGGGCCACCGCTACTCATTTAAAAGAAAGAACATTCAGCCAGAAGTGGTAACCTGGTGCTGTGAAATGTGAATTTTCTCTTCTCCCTAATACTTCTTTTCTATAGCTTTGGCCAAGTGCTTTCTCCTTGGAAAAACCTCCTTTATCTTTGTTGGGTATAGAGGCCACTTTAAGGCCCAACCAGACACCATGCTGCCACTTGTGACTACTGTTTGTTCCCCTGATTAACATAATCCAGTGTAAGTGAAAACAAAACTTCATAGTAAATATTTCAAAAATTATAGTGTCAGGGAATCACCTTAATGGTTGCTGTATTTGTCATCAACATCCCCAGGATAGAGAGTTCCACCATCTGGCACATCCAGAAAAAGTCTACAGTCATGTGTCCAGACTTCCTAACAAACCATAGTGATCTCAAAGTATTTAGACCCCACTACTTGTTAGGTGGAGCTCTCTCCAACTTAATGGATTCCACATGAGAAGTTGGGTATCCATACCTCCAGTGTACTAATGATACAATTTTTTGCACCCATTATTGTGCTGATAATGCAAAAAGGAAGTTTTCCCTGTGATGCTGTGATCCAGCTCTAGTCAACAAGTTCCCAAACCACAGTGAGGTAAATGGGATTCCATTTGTAAGAGAGGAAACTATATGTGATGCCTTCTGCTGCATCAGAAAGTTCAAGAACAAAACAACCGCCTAATCTGGCAATGTGAGAATACAGCCCTCTCTGGAAAACAAGGACTGTTTAACCACCTCATTGGAGCAAGGAAAAAATACTTCTATAGACCCAACTTGGTAGCAAAGGATGGACATCACATTTCTGTAGGGCCTCAATTTGTGCCCTAATAGGGCTCATTTTTGTTTGTGGCCATGAGTGGGAAGAAGTCCCACTCTATAACTACTACTGAATTCCTGAGGAACCACCTATTCTTTTAGGGATAGCTTTCCCTTGCATATCAAAATCGGAACAGGAGTGAATGTACATTGGCCACCTTTGCTCCATTGGAATTCACCCTCTATAACCCCATAAGACCCAGGAGTATCAGAAAAAATTAAGCAATATAATTCATTCTGGCAGGTCTATGGCCATCCCACCCTGAGCACACCCAGTCTTGTCATAATTAATTCTGACGGGAATCTGGGTGGCAATAGTACTAGCAACCTCCTTGGGGTAGATTTGCTATCCATGAGTAAACATTAAAAAACTTGATTCAAATCCTAGAATCATTGACTACCAACACAGATCAGGCATTAAAAAGAATTCAAGAGTCCCTACACCTGCTGGCAAATGTAATCCTTGATAACAGACTAGCATTGGATTACTTACTAGCTGAATAAGGTGGAGTCTGTGCAGTTATTAATAAAATTTGATGCTTATTTATTAGTATTTCTGGGTAAGTTGAGATTAATATCCAAAAAATATACAAACAAGCTACCTGTTTACATAGATATAACCAGGTCACTGATCCCAACTATATCTGATCGACTATTATAAATGCTGTCCTAAGTCTCACCTGGTTTTTAACCTTTCCTAGTACCTTTACTATATATCTTATTACTATTAATTTTTGGCCCTTGCCTGTTTAACTTCTTAGTAAAGTTTGTGTCTTCCATATAATATAATTCCATGTAAAAACAATAGTGGTAGAAGCCTTCCAACCCATCCTACCTTCTGATCTGGAGAATAAAAAGCATCCTGTATTTGACTCCCTTGGATCAGATGTCCAGAGATTTTTACTCATCTAATGCTAGGCAGAGCCTACAGCCATAAAATCATTAGGAAGCAGTTACAGAAGATGGACCTCCATCTTTTTCCAACCCCTTTAAAATTAAGGAGGTGTATCCAATTTCTGAGTGGGGAATGAGGTCTGAGACTGGCAGGACTCAGCTCCCTACCAGATTGGAAACCAGCCAGAACTGGCAAGTGGTGCTGAAAGCAATCTCTAGTTGCTCTCACCACCAATCAGCATAAGACATTCCCACCAGCATCAGGACAGTTTACAAATACCATGCAACATGTGGAAGTTACTGCCCATTTTCTAGAGATTTCTGAATAATCTGCCCCTTAATTTAGATGTAATTGCAAGTGGATATAAATCCAGCTACCCAATAACCCATGGGCTGCTACCCTCAGTGCACTGACTATAGGCTAACCCTGCTCTGCAAGGAGCAGTCACAGAACTGTAACTATGCCACTTTAATAAAACTGCTTTCGTCCACCACTGGCTTAGTTTTGAATTCCTTCCTGAGTGAAGCCAAGAACCTGCTCTGTATCAATAGTGCTTATTTACCTAGCTCCACCAAATCATAGCTTTACCTGGAGTTGTGACTGTCTTGCTTTGGGAAACTTAAACAGTGCTAATAGGTTGGAAGGAGGCAGATTAATCAATTACTCTGTTGTTCATCTAGCCCCACAGGTCATTGAGGAAACATTTATTCCTATCCAGTATGAAAATTCATCAACACAGATTTTATTAAATTGCACACCTTTCTTGTTTTCAATGGCCCAAATTTGATAAAGCATCTTTCTCTGCTCATTATATGTTCCTCTTGGGCACATTTAGGATTTGGTTTATGATACTCAAACTCCAGAAAGAAACTAGCTTTTAATTAGGGTTGAAGGATAAAGGGCAGGGCCAAGAAATAAAAGTAAATAGTAGGAGAAGTAAATAGCAATTGCCTAATAATTTAGTTATGTTATTACAACACAAGGAACTGCAATGGAGAGAGACAAGAGCTAAACAAAAGTGAAAAAAGAGAAACAAATAATTGGCACACACTAAAGGGGGATCAGCTGTTCATGGGGTTAAGGGAGGAGGTAGTGTTCAGAGAAGGCTTCCTAGACCAAGAGTGAATGCCCAGTAAGATCTGCTGATTTCATCACTCTTTGTTTGGATTTATTTAAACCCTCAACCTACCAAGGGTCCTCTTGGTTTGTTGTCTTTGAAATACACATACGTTCCCAAACTTTTTCAATGGAGAAGTTCATTTTTATAGACTAGGCCTATTAACTGGTTTAATATAGAATGTCTAAAACGTTATCATATACCCTTGAAAAATGTTTTCGTGGATTATTCTAGCCATATGACAACGTATATCTAGGAGAACATAGGTTTTCAAGTCAGGCATGTAGATTGAAATCTTAACTAGTTGTTGTTTACTAAATTAAGAATCTTATATCATTTAATTTCTCTGAGATTCACTTTTCTAATCTATAGAACTGGAAGATACATTTTTAAAACCTTGATAAGGATGTTGCTAGAACTTGATATAATAACCTTAATACAATGCCTAGCAGAGAACTGAAAAAAAATGGCAGTGTAGTATTACAGATGGTAATAATGATATGAAAAATAATGCCCTCCTCCTAAATAGAAGATACTCTATGGATATGAATGACTTTGGATATTACAAACTCTTAAAGAAACCACAGTCAATCAAATGATTTTGCAATCTCATAAAATCATAAAACTGGAAAGAATTCAATTCCTTCACCTTCAAGTAATTCTAATAATTAATATACTTTTTTCATATTTCAGAAAAATCCAAAACTTTTAAGTGCAGAATAAATTAGCTATTTTTGTCTTTTGGAAACCTGACATTTAGCTTTGTAGCTGAATGATGAGTAAAGACATAATTATGTTGAATTTAGAAGAAAAACTAGCAAATTTTTCTTTTCTGTATGATGCACAGTTCAGCAGCTCTACTCAGTATTTTTAAACATACTGTTTAAATTAAGTACAATAAGTATTTAATAACAGAATAAAAATATTAACCTGCCAATATTCCATTTTAAAATGATGTTGCTTCCACCCTCTAATTAGTCTATAAAACAAGCTAAAATATAATAGTTGTTACTCTATGTATATAAATCTTAATAATTCCTAGTGGAAAACGTAAATACCATGGCCTTGTCAAAGGTGGCTAAAATTAATCTCAAATTAAATATTTATAACAGATAGGTCCATAGAACACACCTAGGAAAATAGTACTATAGCCATAAAATTATTCACAGTATAGCTTTAGATTAACAGGTCTATAAAAGAACCTTGAAGTCTTTTGGTTTGACTCTATTTGTTTTTTTTTTTTTTTTCAGAAAGATATCCTAGCAATCAGAGATTAAACGAAAAGGAAAAAAAAAAAAAAGGCCGGGTACGGTGGCTCACACCTGTAATCCCAGCACTTTGGGAGACCGAGGTGGGCGGATCACGAGGTCAGGAGATCGAGACCATCCTGGCTAACATGGTGAAATCCCGTCTCTACTAAAAATACAAAAAAATTAGCTGGGTATGGTGGCTGGCGCCTGTAGTCCCAGCCACTCGGGAGGCTGAGGCAGGAGAATGGCGTGAACCCAGGAGGCGGAGCTTGCAGTGAGCTCAGATCGCGCCACTGCACTCCAGCCTGGGCGACAGAGCAAGACTCCGCCTCAAAAAAAAAAAAAAAAAAAAAAAAAGGTAAAATCCAGATGTATGGCAAGAAATAGCAAATGTAAACAAATAAAATATAATAAAAATTTAAGCATAATAAACGATATATAAATATATTCAATTCGGAATATCATACCCTGAAGATATGTTATGTTCTTGAATTCATTCTAATCATATAGTCTTGTTATATAGAGAAACATTGCTTTTGTTTTTTCTTCATTTGGGGAGCTTGTATTTCTCCAGCATCCTGACCAGCATTCCTACAGGAGAAGAAAGTAAAGGCCACCCAGGAAAGGGTGAATGAGTATAATGTATCAAAATTTTCTTCCAGATCAGGGAAAATATATAAAGCCTGCCCTCCAGCCACAGCGAACAGTGAGAAACAAATAGAATAGAGGTTGAAGAAGCAACCGTGAGGCACATTTGATTTCACTTCTTTGGTTTTAAACTTCTGAAGAAGAGATGTGTTAGCTCTGTTGTTTGAAAAACATGGGAGATTTTGCCCCGAGTTCTATTTTGAAATCTGAAGATAATCCCGCTCTATGGGAAGCTGTGCGGCAACCTACCAGCACAAAGAGTGCAGGCATGTTTGAGTGATGAGATAGACTGAGGTACCATTTCTTGCCCTACGATGGTTCCTATGTGCGTGGAAGGAAACCACAATATCCACATTCCCCGTGGGGGAAGTGTAAAGTAGCTGATTAATGGGTAGTTGAGGGGTGTGGGGGTTCGGAAGGGATAAGTTTGCAGAGAGATGGGGAAAGTGTAAAGTAACTGATTAATGAGTAGTTGAGAGGTGTCGGTGTCCAGAAGGAAAATGTTTGCAGAGAGACAAAGCAAGCTTTTGTCCTAAAGCTGTAGGGTGAGCCATCAAGGTTTAAGATTTAATGGGAACCACGGTCAGACCTTGAAGTGATACAGTGCCAGCGAGAGCTGAGATGAAATCAGTCAGCAAGGGGAGGTGGGACCTGCACTGGGTCGTTCTCTCCCCATGAAGATCATGGGTTGCATGTCACCAGAGTGAACGTCAGCGCGTCAGCCATCAAGAAGGCCAGTGACAGACTCTGGGAGTTATCTCACACACGCATAGGAGGATCAAAAGAGTTTCACTGAAGAGCTGACTGGCTCACATAAGGGCTAGTATCAGAAAGAGGCCTCTCCTCCATCCCCTGAACTCTGCTCTTTAAATCCCTGACAACCATATTTTCTCTTGGGTCCAGAATCCATCTTCCAGAAGAAAAGAGAAAGCAGGGGACAGCTTCAGCCACATCATGAAATTTGCCTTTGAAGAGACAGGACATTTATTCAAATGATGCTATGTAAATCAGGAAAAATTGAGATATCATTAATTGATTCTTAAAATATTATTCTAGCTTACTGCCTCCCAGCAATTAGGAAGATTAAATTACTGAAGATAAAAATGTTGTATTTTAATTGTTTATCTGAGTTTTATGAACAAATTTGCTGTCCAACTACAGTATAAATTTTAATTTTCCAACATAAATGTATGCTTTGTGAGGGCAGGCATACATGTTTTTTGGAATTGCATTTGTACAAACCTATGGCAGAGTAGTTTAATTGTGACTTCAGCTATTTCCTTACATGATTCTTAATTTATCTGACAGATATTAAATTGGAAATAATCTGTTTTTAATCACTACTATTGCTATTGAATAAACAGATATCTTAAACGTTTTAATATCTATCTGAGAAAATAAGAAAACTACATGTGAAAATATAGATTAAGAAACAACAAATATTTAAATACTAAGAAAATCAGCAAAAGCAGAGACTCCACAATTTCTCCATTTAATAAACTTTATCAATATTGTTCTGGGCTATTATAGAAATACTCCAAAAATATATAAATAACAATTAAATAGTATTAAATTGAAAATAAACTACTAAATTTATTATGACCATTGAAACAAATAAATTATGAATAGGCACATTGATTTTTCTGCCACTTGAGGAATTCACAAGATAAATAACTAATTAAATACTTCTTACAACATTTTCAGGTACTTATGTACTAAGTAGGCTATTGGGTCAGCAGTAATATCAAGTTACAAGGTTGAACAGAACGTAGACTTCTATAGTGAAGGACTGTCACCCTGGTGGGAAGCAAGGCATGCTGGCATGTAGATAGAGCAATGTGGCAGGACAATACGAAGAACGGTACTGTGAAGCTCAATAGAACAGAAGCACAAGCTCCTGACTATGAATGTTAGGGAAACTTTCAGGAAGAAGAAATCTGAGTTTGAATTCTGCAGACAAAATCCATGTCCCCACGAATATTATGGTAGGAAAGACACTCACACTAGCCCAGAAAGAAGGGCTAGTTTGATCAAGAAGTATATACATTTTGAGAAAAATATTAAAACCTTTGTTGGGTTAGGCCATGAAAAAAGCCAAGTCCAAGCCTAAGTAATTTTAAATTTAAAAGTCTTTATATTTCAACCACAAGAAACATAAAGACTGAACTTTTGAAGGCAGTGAAGACATTATTGAAAAAGGAAAGAGGCTGTTCATATAGTTCATTCCCTAAAGGATCTGGTCATGTATGATGTATAAAAGTTATTCAAAATATTCTTAAATTAAACTTTCATCTCTGTGTTATCTTATTTCATGATTAAAAATCGAATTTGGCATTCCTAAAATCAATTACAATTTCATATGAGCTTATTTTTCTTGGTCAAAATCATCATAATGTATTTAATAGTATAATCCATTTTCTGGTTCACTACTGAAAACTTAAAAAACACAAACTGTTTTATGCAATATTAAAGGCTTATGTTTTTAATGATAACATACTATTTGTAATTGCTGTGTTTCAGACATACTTTGAACAGTCTAATGTTTCAAAATACAAATGAACTTTGAATGTTTCACTCTTCAGCTTTTTTAATGTCTGCTTACGTCTGATTTTTCTTACCACTAAACTCCAAGAAAAATCACCTTATTAATGTTTATGGTGCCTCCATGCTGCCAAGCCCAGTGACCCAGGGACCAATTCACAGGACATGTTACTTGACATTTCTTCAGCAGTTAATCAGGCTATCCTTCTTTAAACACTGACTTTTTTAAACTTGACTTTAGGTTCACCACATTCTCATAGCTTTCCTCCAATCTCACTGACTCCTCTGTATCAATATCCTTTGAAGAGCCCTCCTTCTCTCTGCAGCCTTTGAATGTTGCAGTGCTCCAGGGCTCACAACTTAGACATCTTTCTGTCTCTTTTCATTCATTTTCCTGAGATGTGTGGCTTTAAAAATATCCAAGACTTCAAAATTTTAATTTATTGCATGGAATTATCTTCTATACTTACATATCTATCCATCTATTTACATTCTTGCTCAAATGTCTAATAGGCATCTATCTTAACTATCATAACCTTAAGATGGCTTTTGCCTAAAGTTTGACATTTGCACTCATCTCTGTTATTTTCCAAGTGTTTTCAATTTTAGAAAATGACACTGCATTGAAAACATATCCTAAATATATTTTCTTTACTTCACTACTACTACCTCTGATCAAGCCACCATCCCTCATCTCTTGCCTTGATTATGTAATCATCTCCTAGTTTGTCCCACTTCTGCCATATTTGTTTCTACCCACAGTATATTCTTCCATACAATAGTCAGTGTGATTATTTTAATATAAAAGTCTTGTTTCTAAATCTCTTAAATTGTTCCAACTCCTTTCCATGAACTACTCTCTTCTATATGATCTGGTTTTTGCTCCCTTCAAACTTTATGCCTTATTTTTCTCTTTTTTCTTGACATGTTTTAACCATGTTGGCCTCTTTGCTTTTTCTCAAATATGTTAAGCATATTTTCAACTTATTTTTCCTTAGAGAAACATGTTTCACCTTCTTGCCACATGTATGTCTCTGCTCACATAGCGACTTCTTTCCTTATCCATTTGGTCACAAATAGTCACTTATGTTTAATCTCTATTCACTCTTCTTATTCATTATCTGTTCTTCCTACTATTTATTGCTACTTGGCATTATATATTTATGAATTTGTTTCTTGGACTTTTTATTTTTTCTGTCTTCCTTACTAGAATGTAAGAATCAAGAAGAAAAAGCCTCCACCCACTCTTAGAAGAATAACTGAAGGCCTAACTGATTGAATGAATGAAGGAATGAGTGAATGAGTACATAATGCTGAGCTTTTTTGAACATTGTCTCCATCTAACCAGTTTCCTTTAAATAACTGTATCTTTGGAAGCCTAGCCTTAATGAGTCTCATCATACACCTTGAGAGTCAAGCCACTTAAAAGAAAGTTGTGCCCTATCATTTAGACACATTTAGTTTTTATTTTACTTGTAATAGTACTGTTACTGCTATAGAAACAACAATCTGCTTGCTGTGTTTTTAGGAAGTGCATACTATTTAAACAGTATGCACTTTAGCAAAAAAAAACTAGAAAATATTTTGCCTCAGGATAGTATGATCATCTATTTAAAAAATTAATAAGATGGGCCACAAGAAGATTTTGGGGGAGGTTTTAAGATTTTTAAAAATATTTAGTTATTATTTTCCCAGAGCACTGAGGGACATTTTTTAAGTGTCAGGTAACACGTACTAAAGGTGGTGGCTTGTCCTGATCTACAAAATACAAGTATTGGAAAAAAAAATAAACAGTTTTAACATCCTGGTAGCTTTTGAGAATTTTCGTGCCTTTGGCATAAAAGAACTACCATGGTATATGTTCAGCATTTAATTAGTATAAGAACCTTCAATATTAACTGGGAAGAACTTCTGAAAATTAAATGTCTAGTGGATGTTTTCTCTCTCATAAAGTGAATTAACTGGAGAAATATGATAATACATGGTTACCACTGTCTGCATAATTGACAGAAATATTAACAAAAGTTGTTTCTGGGTATTATTATCAAACAGAATGAGGAATTAGGCAAATTATAATGAAATCCCTGGTGTTTTAAGTTTCAGTAAGCAGAAACAAACACAAATATTTCTTATACAACCTTACTTGAATATCCAATGATAATCAGGTTTCTTTTACTGTAATTTTTAAGGAAGAGTACCTGAAAGTTATCACCCATTCTACAAAAGCTTGCACTGTTGATTCTTCATCTGACATGATTTGAAACTCTGGACTTCACACTTTCATCTGCTGCCAGCCATAGGGTCCATAGATCGTATCATAACTGAAACAGTTATCGGGCAACTTGATACCTTGGCTACCTATATTAAAATGTAGAAAGAACATGTTTTAAAGCTTCTATGTGCATCTGAGGCTATCTATATCACCATCTACCTTTTTCTTTTTGCCTAATTGCAAACTTACGATATTCACAAAGACACAAATCTTAAGTAAATTAACTCATCAAGATGGTTTTGGCATGCCAGAAACCATGTGTGACCATAGCAATTTTCTTGAGTAAATCTCCTGAAAATTTGTTTTCCTTCACATATGCTTCATTTTTCCTAAATATTTCAAACCTAAATAAAGCCTACCTTTTATTATTTAGTTAAGTATACTGGGAGATAAATTACACATAATTTTTGAATGCTCAATTGATAAAAAGATGACTCATAAAATACACAACTGTCTTGAAGAAATATAAAGTTTGTACAGAGTCAATAAAAAAATGATCAGGCCACATTCATACAAACCAACAAAATCCCAGCATCTAGATGTTAATGTGGACCTCAGGAGTTAACTAGGCTGAAGTCGTAGAGTATACAAGAGTATGTTTGTGCTTTTTATACCATCTGCCATTTATCAGTAGTGGTTGATAAAGTATATGCCAATATTTAATTTTAAGTGCTTTTAAAAATAAAATATTTCTTCCAACTGTAATACACAATTATGAATGTATTTGGATATAAGACATTTTCATTTAATTGAGAGTTTATTTTTTAGTGAGTGGACATGCCTTTTATTTGTAGAAGCTCCTTTCTTAGTATATTACAGAGTTTACATTGCACAACCAGGCAGCTTTTACTGGCTGATTACACGAATTTGTTTTTTCTAGCTATCCTTGGAAGTCTTTGATATTGCAGAACTGAATTGACTGGTGCCAAACGGGAAACTTTTGGAAATCTCTGATATAAAATGTTCTTCTTTGAATAAAAGAAATGCCCCCAGAAGTGGATTTTAAATCCATTTTGGATCTTTTCTGCTGGTTGTTAACTCTACATTCATCATTTTGTCCCTATTTTATATGTAATGCCCTTCAATAGATGTTTTTATGGGTGGTTCTTAACACCTGTATCCTCATAGATTAACATGTTCTGCTGATTAATAACATGTGCATTTCCACTGTTTACCTGATAGCATTTTAGATTGATTTGTAGTAATCCAAAACCTTGCACCAGTTTAATCTCTTTTAAAAAATGATATATTAAAACCTTCAATGTGAAACGCAGCATGTTTGTTTCTGGGCATATGAAAATGAATAAAATACATGTGGCTTTATACTTTCTATTTCTACTGTAGATGAGAAAGATGCTAAAAATAACTAACTTAATTACAGGCACACTTCAGAGATATTGGAGGTTCTGTTCCAGACCACCACAGTAAAGCAAACGTAACAGTAAAGCAAATCACATGAATTTCTTGTTTTTTCAGTGCATGCAAAAGTTATGTTTACACTATACATACTACAGTTTATTAAGCGAGCAATACCATATGTCAAAAAAAGTACATGCCTTAATTTTAAAACTAGCTAAAAATGCTAACAATGGACTGAACCATTGGCAAGTCATAATCCTTTCACTCCTGAAGGATCTTTCCTTAACAACGACGGCTGCTGACTGATCAGGGTAGTGGTTGCTGAGACTGTGGTCACCGTGACAAGTTCTTAACATGACAATAAAATTTGCTACTTAATTGATTCTTCCATGAAAAATTTCTCGGTAGCATACAATACTGTTTCATAGCATTTTACCCACAGTAGATCTTTCAAATTTGGAGTCAATTCTCTTCAACCCTGCCACTGCGTTATCAATTAAGTTTACGTGTATATTTAAATCCTTGGTTGTAATTTTATAACTCTAACAACGTTCACAACATCTTCACCAAGAGTAAATTCATGCATAGTAAGAAACTCGTATCATTCAAGTTTCATCATAAGATTGCTGCAATTCAGTCACATCTTAAAGTTTCACTTCAAATTCCAGTTTTCTTGTGATTTTTACAACATCTGAAGTTTACTTCCTCCACTGAAGTCTTGAACTCCCAAAGTCATCCATAAGGGCTAGAGTCAATTTCTTCCAAACTCCTGTAAAAGTTGCTATTTTGACCTCTTCCCATTAATCCCAAATGTTCTTAATGGCATCTAGAATAGTGAATCCTTTTCAGATGCTTTTCTGTTCCCTTTTCCAGATCCATCAGAAGAATCACTGTCTATGGCAGCTGCTTGTTTTGGCTGCTTTGATCATCTATCCAGCCTTGCAAAATTTATTTATTAAATTATAAGACTTGAAAGTCAGAATTACTTCTTGATGTGTGTGCTACAGAATATATATTGTGTTAGAATGCATGAAAACAACATTCATCTCCTTGTACATCTGCATCAGACCCCTGGGGTAATTACGTACATTGTCACTGAGCAGTACTATTTTGAAAGAGATCACTTTGTTTTCTTTTTGAGCATTAGGTTTTGAGAATGGGCTTAAAATATACAGTAAACCGTGCTGTCATCCAGGCTTTGTTGTCCCATTTATAGAGCACAGGCAGAATAGATTTAATATAATTCTTAATAGCCCTAGGCTTTTTGAAATGCTAAATAAACACTGAATTCAGCTTAAATTCACCAGCTGGCTGAGCCCCTAACAAGAATGTCAGCCTGTCCTTTGAAGTTTTGAAGCCAGACATTGGTTTCTCCTCTCTACCTATAGACCTAGATGGCATCTTCTGCCAACATAAGGCTATTTCGTCTTCATTGAAAACCTGTTCTTGGGTGTAGTTACCTTCATCAGTTATCTTACCTAGATCTTCTTGATAACTCACTTCAGCTTCTACCCCAACACTTGCTGCTTTGCCTTGCATTTTTATGGTATGGATATGGTGGTCTCTTTACTTAAACCTCATGGAGCAACATCTGCTTTCTTCAATTTTTTCTTCTACAGCTTTCTCACTTCTCTCAGCCTTCACAGAATTAAAGACAGTTAGGGTTATGCTCTAGATTAGACTTCGGTTTAACAGAAGGTTTTGGCTGGTTTGATCTTCTATACAAACCACGCAAACTTTCTCCATATCAGCAATAAGGCTGTTTCACTTTCTTATCATTTGGGTGTTCACTAAATTAGCATTTTCTTCATGAAGGTTTTCTTTGCATTCAAAGCATGGCTGACTGTTGATGCAAAAGGCCTAGCTGTCTGCCTATCTTGTTTTTTGACAATGTTTTCCTCACTAAGCTTAATCATTTCTAGCTTTTGATTTAAAGAAATATGTGTGACTCTTCCTTTCACTTACACACTTAGAGACCACTGTGGGGTAAATAATTGGCATAATTTCAACATTGTGTGTCTCAAGGAATAGCAAGGCTTGAAGACAATGGAGAAATGGCATTAGGGCTGGTCAGTGGAAGAGTCAGAACACACACAGTATTTATCAGCTGAGTTCTCCATCTCATATGGGTATTGTTCGTGATGCCCTCAAATTATTTCAATACTATCATCAAAGATCACTGATCACAGATCACCATTACATATATAATAATAGTCAAAAATTTGAATATACTATGAGAATTATCAAAATGTGAAACAGAGGCCTGAAGTGAGTGCATGCTGTTGGGAAAAATGGTGCTGATATACATGCTCTATGCAGGGTTGCCACAAATCTTTAATTTGTAAAAATTACAGTATTTGCAAAGTTCAATAAAGTAAAGCACAATAAAGTAAAATTTGCCTGAATTTAAATAAAATTGTTATAAATATAATAAAGGGGCACCTTCATTTTACAATTTCTATTGTAAATAATTGTATATACTGCATGCCACAGTTGAAGAAATCAACTGTAATCCACTTACCAAAACAGAAGTCAATTGTAGCTGACATACCAAAGCAGAATTAATATTGTCAGTCATTTAAAAATTTGGTCATCTTAGGACTTTTTTTTTTAAAATTAAATGAGCTCACCTTCATAGGCAAAGGAAAAAAAAGTATTATCTATGAAATGGCAAATGTGATATGGAGAATATTTTATGCAGTGATTTTTTTTATCTCACTGGCTTTTTGGATTAATTAAAGGTAACATAATGAATTGAATGGTGCCTAGCCACTTAAGACTGAAGCCATAACAAACTAGTTAACAGATGCCAACAGTTGTCTACCAGCTTTGGGTTGAAGTTGGTAGAACATTAGGTGCATACAAAATTAATTCCATTCTGTCAGATTTTCTTGTTTTTGTTGTTACTTTTGGATGCTTTTATTTTCTCTAATGTAACTGTGATCTTTGTAGGCAACCAAATAAACATTGGATGTGTCCTATTTTAATTTTTTCTACAAATGACATGTTAAAATATCACATACTCTTTGCTTCTATAAAAAAGTTTAATAAATGAGGAAAACTATTAAATTTTAATAGCTATTGGTATACTTTTCCAGTTTTATTAAGGTATGATTGACAAAAATTGTGTGTATTTAAGGTGTACAATGTCATTATTTTATATACATATACATTGTTAAATTATGTCACAACCATGCTAAGTCCCATCGTGTATGGCCACTTAGATTGTTTTCATAAGTTGACTTGTACAGTAAATTAATGGTGCAATAAAGTTGAGAGTGCAGGTATCTCTTCAAGATGGTGATCTTATGCCCTTTGGCTATGTACCCAGTAGCAAGACCACTGGATCATATAATAGTTCTATTTTTAATTTTGTGAGGAACCTTCATACTTTTTTCTATACTGGCTTTAATAATTTATATTCCAACCAACAATATGTAAGAGTTCCCTTTTCTCCACATCCTCATCAACTTTATTTATGTATTGACTTTTTGATAATGGCCATCCTAATAGGAGTGAGGTAAAACTCATTGAAGTTTAGATTTACATTTCTGTCATGAATATTGATGCTGGACACCTTTTCATGTATCTGTTGGCCATTTGTATGTCTTCTTTGGAAAAATGTCTATTCAGGTCCCTTGCCTGTATTTTTAATCAGGTTATTTGGTATTTTGCTATTGAGTGTATTTTGGGCATTAATTCATATATATATATGATTTGTAAATATTTTCTTTCATTCTGGAAGTGGCCTTGTCATTGTTGATTTTTTTCTTGCTGTTTGAAAGATTTAATGTGATGTAGTTGCATGTTCTCATTTTTGCTTGTATTTTCTATGCTTTTGATGTTATATCACAAAAATCATTTCAAAGATTATGAACATTTTCCTTGTGTTTTTCTCCTGGGAGTTTTATCAATGCAAGTCTTACATTTAAGTGTTTAATTCATATTGAGTTGATTTTGTGTATGGTGTAAGGTAAAGATCCAATTTCATTCCTTTGCATATGAATATCTGGTTTTTCCATTTATTGAAGAGACCCTCCTTTTCCCTTTGTGTATTCTTGGCATCTTTGTTGGCGATGATTGACTGCATATGTGTCGGTTTATTTCTGGGCTCTCTATTTTAGAATAGACTATACCAGTATATATATATATATATATATATATATATATATATATATATATATACACACACACGTATATGTATATGTATACATGTATGCATATGTGTCTATTTTTATACCAGTACATATACCAGTACATATATATGTGTAAGAACACACACACATATATATGCACACACGTATATGTATATATGTATGCATATATGTCTATTTTTATGTTAGTATCATACTGTTTTGATTGATAAGACTTACAATTTGAAATCAGAAAGTGTGATGCTTCCACCTTTTTCTTCTTTCTTAAGATTGTATTAGCTACTTTGTGTTTTTTATGTTTTCATATAAAAATTTTATAATTTTTTTCTCTTTGTATGAAAAATGCCAGTGAAATTTTGATAGGATTTGCATTAAATCTGTAGATTGCTTTAGTACTATAGATATTTTAACAATATTAATTTTCCCAATCCATAGACAGGAGATATCTTTCCATTTATTTGTTTCTTATTCAATATCTTTTAACAATGCCATAATTTTCAGTGTATAGAACTTTTACTTCCTTGATTAAATATATTCCTAAATATTTTTTATGTTACTGTAAATGGTATTGTTTTCTTAAATCCTTTTTCTGGCAGTTTGTATTTAATGGATAGAAGCACAACTTGAACTTCTGATTTTGTTTATGTGTTATCTTCCTGATTTCAATGAATTGTCTGTGTTCTCTTGTAGCTCACTAAGCTTCCTTCAAAAAATTGCTTCAAATTCTTTGTCAGGAAGTTCATAGATCTCCATTTCTTTGTGGTTAGTTACTGGAGAATTACCATGTTTCTTTGGCAATGTCACGTTTTCTTAGTTTTGTATGTTCCTTGAAGTCTTGTACTGTTATTACACTTTTAGAAAGACCCATCTCCTGCAGTCATTATTGAATGGTTTTGGGAGAGAAATACCTTTATCAGTCAGCTCCTTAGGCATTTTGAGGTTCTTTCTTTCAGTTTCTCCTATGAATGTAGTACTTCACCGTTTTGGTTCCCTCTTGTGGAACACTTAGGCATTACTAATTCAGACGGAGAAATCATTGCAAGCACAAATAAACTAAAGGAGTAATATACATAGTCTCTGATCCAAAAGTAGAGTAACCATTTATCCTAGTTTTCTTTTTCATCTAGCTTAGATCAGTTGCCTTGACTTAGGTTAGCAATTAGCACTCTCAAAACTGTCTGTTTGGATCATAAATTATATCACCAGTTGTGGATCTTTAGGGAAAGGATAAACTAGTTAACAAATGTTACGGACTGAAAAAAAAGGATATTCTTAAATAAAAAGTTAAATTAGATGTCTATCCACACTAAATATCAAATTCAATCAATACGAATATGGGAAAAACTATTTAGCATTACATAGTGAGGGTTAAAATGGAGCAAATGATCATTGATTATCTCTTCAAGCTTTGGCTCTGGTTCTCACCCTAGAATAAGGGTGTCTTTCTAGTCGCTCTGCTGGAGGGGGCACTTTATCCTTGTTGGTCTATCAAGTAGAGGTCTCTTTTGTGACTGGACCTGCCTGGAGCAGCACTTTCTTCTTCTTCTTTTTTTTTTTTTCTGAATTCTCACAGAAGTGTTCTAATGTGCTAGCTGTGGCCCCAATTGAATTTTAGTTCTAGTTAGTTGCTATCTAAGATCACTTTAATTTTTGGTGCTAGAGTTATCACCATTTACTAACATTTTATTCACTATTCTTTAAAGTCCTAAGTCATTTTTATGTGTACTATTACCTAACCATTATCTTTCATCTTATTATTATAGTCTTATTGGTTACTTAGGCGACAGCATATGCTTTTAGGAGGGCACTATGGTACAAAGCAGATGACATATTCTGAAATTTTACTATATTCAAAACCTGAATTTGTGACTTTGAGAAAGGTACTTCATCCTTTGACTTCCAAATCCATCAAACATGGATAATAGTAATACACATTCCATATTCCAGGGTTGTAGTGAAAATTAAATAAGATAACCTATGTAAAAACTCTCAGTATTGTGTTTCACATCTAATAGTGTTTAATGAATGCTGTCTCTTTCATTCATATTATGTTTGTCTTCATTAAATTTAATTTATTATATTAATCTCTTCTCTTTCACCAGCAAATACAGCTTTGTTTTCAATTTTGCCATCTATTATAGTCATAATTATATTATTCATATATGCAATATTTTGAAGTAGTTTCAATGCAATCATACAAATCATTGAATCAAAGTGTAGAATAGTAAAAGGTCAAAAATCAGAGTTCATGATACCCTGAAACACACCTCACTTTTGGTGAATATCAGCTCACATTGGAGATGATTATTCAACAAGTAATTAATATATTTATTTTACTTGAATTTGGTGTATAGGGTAATCAATCTAGTCAATTATCACTGAATTGTTATCGCTTCTATCTAATAAAAAAAGAAGTCTGAGTGACTGAGAAAGGGTTTAAACAAGGTGTATATTGAGTTTCTAAATAAATCACAGATATCGAAGAAGTGCTCTAGGACACTGGTTAGGGTACCTTTTTTTCTTGTTTTTTTTTTTTTGGGGTGGGGTGTTAAGACCTCAAAAGCACAGACAACCAAAGCAAAAATAGACAAATGGGATTGTATCAAGCTAAAAAACTTCTGGAAGCAAAGGAAACAATCAGCAAAGTGAAGAGACAACCCAGAGAATGGGAGAAAATATTTGCAAACTATCTGCCTGACAAGTGATTAACCACCAGATTATATAAGAAGCTGAAATAACTCAATAGCAAAATGTAATAATAATGATCTGATTTTAAAATGGTCAAAACATCTGAATAGACATTTCTTAAAAGAAGACATACAAATGACAAACAGGTATATGAAAAAGTGTTCAACATCACTAGTCATCACAGAAAGGAAAATCAAATCTACAATGAGATATCATCTATCCCCAGTTAAAATGGGCTTTATAAGAAGGCACACAGTAACAGAAGCTGGTGAGGACACAGAGAAAGGGGAACACACATACATTGTTGGTAGAAATGTAAATTAGTACAGCCACTATGAAGAACAGTATGGAGGTTCCTCACAAACTACAAATAGAATTACTATATGATCCAGCAATTCCACTACTAGTATAACCTAAAGAAAGAAAAGAAATATATTGAAGAGATATCTGCACTCTCATGTTTACTGTAGCCCTATGCACAACAGCCAAAATGAGGAATCAACCTAAGTGCCCATCAAGGAATGAATGAATAAAGAAAATGTAATATGTGTACATACTGAAACATTACTCAGCCACAAATAAAAATGCAATCCTGTCATTAGCAGAAACATGAATGCTGGAAGCTATTACATTAAGTGAAATAAGTCAAACACAGAAGGACAAATATTGCATTTTCTCATTCATATTTGAGCTAAAAGAAAAGTGGATCTCATGAATGTAGAGAGTAAATATGTGGCTACCAGAGAGCAAGAAAGAGGGGGGAAATGAAGAGAGGTTGATTAATGGGTACAAATATAGTTCGACAGAAAAAATAAGGCAGTGTTTGATAAATCAGTGGGGTGACTATAGTTTACAATAATCTATTGTGCACTTCAAAATAGCTAGAAGAGAAGAATTAAGACGGTTCTTACATAAAGAAGAAAACAAATAATTATGGTAATTGACTTCCTAAGTACACTAATTTAATCTTTACAGATTATATGAATGTATTAAATTATCACATGTACCCCCAAACTATGTATATTTAATATGTATCAATAAAATTAATACAAAAAAGAAAAATCTAAGTGCAGTAGCTAAAAATAATATAAAATACTGTTGTGATGTTCATACTTCAATATCCTTATTTCAGGAATACAGTGTTAAATCTCCATTATGTCTGGATACCTAGTACTTGATATTATTTATCATGGTACCACAATTCATCACTAGGTTTATTGGAAACTGTGACAAAACTAAATTTTTTCTCCTTCATGTGGGCTGCTAGAAAACATCAAAGGTATTGGCTTAATAAAACACTTATTTATTTTTCAAATATTCAATTATAAATCTGAATACATACACAAGAACAATGTTTCTGAAGGAACATGCAACTGTGACTAATTTACTTCTTCAAAGAACCCCTGAGAGCTGAGCAATAGACTAAAACCTTGTGCACTACCTCTGAATGCTATAATTATATTGAAATTTCCTGAAAGAACAAATACATAGAAAGAAAAAAGTTCCCGAAGACATAGAGTGTGTGACTATCTTAACTCTGAAGACTAGCTTTGAATTCTGTCAATCCTTCCAAAATTAGGGAAATACAGAATCCTAATGTTAAACTGAGATAATTTATAGGAATATATTAAGCAAATCGCAGTACTTCAAAACAAAACTCCAAACCTGTTAATGTTGTTTGCCCAACAAGTTCCTACTGGAAGGATGTAGCAAAAATATATTCATTATGGAATGTAGTTTCTGTTTAAACAAGCAAAGTTAAAAGGAACTAAGCAATTGGCCAGGTTCAAAACTTATAGCTTCTATTGAGTCTTAGTGTGGCAAAAATCCAAAGGAAGGAGACAAGGGCACGGCACTTACCCAAGAACCATTTGCTGTGGAAAGCTGGCTTGTTATAAGTTTATCTTCTAAACTTAATAAGCTCATCACAAATACTGCTTCTTCCCATCATTTTTTCTGGTATATTAGACATTTTTTAGAAAGATAGTATATCAACTATATTAAAAACAATTTTAGAGGATAAAAATGAATCATCTGTAATGTTTTTAATAAAATTATTATTTTTAAAATTTTATATTCAGAGGGTACAGGCACATGTTTGTTATATGGGTATATCGCATCATAGTGGGTAGGCTTCTAGTGTAACCCACATCCAGATAATGAACTTTGTACCTGGCAGGTAATTTTTCAACTCTTAACCCCCTCTTACCCTTTTCCCTTTTGGAGTTCCCAATGTATATTATTTCCATATTTATGTCCATAGGTATCCTTTGTTTAGCCCTAATACGTAAGTGAGAACATGTAGTATTTGATTTTCTGTTTGGGAGTTATTTTACTCAGAATGGTGGCCTCCTGCTGCATTTATTTCACTGCAGAGGACATGATTTTATTCTTTTTTATGACTGCATAATATTTCATGGTATATATGTACCACATTTTTTAATCCAATCAACCATTAATGGACACTTAGATTGGTTTCATGACATTGCTATTGTGAACAGTGCTGTGATAAACGTAAGAGTACATTTATCTTTTTTAATATAATTATTTATTTTGTTTGGGTAGATATCCAGTAATGGGATTGCTGGGTTGAGTGGTAGTTCTATTTTTAGTTATTTGAAAAATCTCTGTACTATTTTCCATAGAGGTTGTAATTTGCAATCCCACCAATAGTGTAAAAATGTTCTATTCTAAGTCCATGCCAACATCTGTTGTTTTTGACTTTTTAATGATAGCCATTCTGAGTAGTGTTAGAATATATCTCATTGTGGTTTTAATTTGCATCTCTCTGATGATTATTTATGTGGAGCATTTTTTCATGTGTCTGTTGCCCACAGTATGTCTTCTTTTGAAAAATATCTGTTCATGTCCTTTGCCTAGTTTTTAATGGAGTTGTTTGTTTTCTTTACATTGAGTTGTTTGAGTTCCTCATAGATTCTTAATACTAGACTTTTCTAGAGGTATAATTTGCAAATATTTTCTCTCATTCTGTAGGTGGTTTGTTTATACTATTGATTATTTCTTTTGCTCTCCAGAAGCTTTTTAGTTTAAAGCCCATTTTTTTGTTTTGTTGCATTTACTTTTGGGGTCTTTGTCATAAATTATTTGCCTAGGCCAATCCAGAAGAGTCTTTCCTAGGTTTTCTTCTAGGACTTTTATAGTTTCAGGGTCTTATGATTAAGTCTTTATCCATCCTGAGTTAATTTTTGATGAGGAAATGCCTTTGTGTATGATGAGTGATGAGGAAATGCCTTTGTGTATGATGAGAGATGAGGGGGTCCAATTTCATCCTTCTGCATATGGCTAGCTAATTTTCCCAACACCATTAACTGAATAGGGTGTCCACTTTCCATTGTCTATTTTTGTCAAAGATTAGTTGGTTTAGGGTATGTAGCTTTATTTCTGGGTCTTTTTTTCTGTTTCATTGATCTGTATGTCTAGTTTTGTTATCAGTATGATGCTGTTTTATTTACTATAGCCTTGTATTGTAATTTGAGGTCAGGTAATTAGATGCCTCTGGATTTGTTCTAATTGCTTAGGATTATTTTGGCTATGAGCTGTAGCATTATCTTTTCTATTTCTATGAAAAATTACATCGGTAATTTTATAGAAATTGCATTGAATCTGTAGATCTCTTTGCGCTTTATTGTCACTTTAACGATATTGATTCTTGCAATCTGTGAGCATGGTGTGTTTTTGTATTTGTTCATGTCATCTACAATTTCTTTTATAAGTGTTTTGTAGTTCTCTTTGTAGAGATCTTTTACTTCCTTGGTTAAATGTATGTCTAGGTATTTTATATTTTTAGTGGCTGTTATAAATGGGATTGAGTTCTTAATTTGATTCTCAGCTTAAATGTAACTGGTGTTTAGAAATACTTCTGATTTTTGTATGTTGATTTTGTATCCTGAAATTTTACTGAAATCATTTAAGTCTAGGAGTCTTTGGAGGAGTCTTTAGTGTTTTCTAGGTAGACAGTTATGTCATCAGCAAACAAAGGTAAATTGACTTCCTCTTTTGCAATTGGATGCCTTTTATGTAACAAAATTATTTTTATTCTTTTTCATATTTCCTCATTCTATAAATGTGAAAATATATTTTATGTAGTCAAAATATTAATAAAAATAAGATTTCATGCACCAAAATGTTGTATTCTAACTGATTTTCATGTTGCTTTATAATCATATTTGTTGCTTCATATTAGTTCATCACATATTATAAAAATGTAGCTATAAAAAACAATTATGAAAGACAGATATTTCCTCACTTTTAGACAGTTAAAATGGTATCATTTGTTTTACTAGTTCTGGCACTGGCATAGTAAATAATATGATCTGAATATTTGTACCCCCCCGCCGAGATTTGATGGGAACCCAATCACTAATGTAATGGTGCTAGGAAGCAGGACCTTTGGGAAGTATTTAGGTCATGAAGTCAGAGCTCTCATAGATGAAATTAGTGTCCTTGTAAAAGATATCCCAGGATGAATCATCTATTTATGAGATGGGCCCTAATAGGTACTGAATCTGCCAGTACTTTGATTTTGGGCTTTCCAAACCCTAGAACTGTGAAAAATAAGAGTTGCTTATAAGATACCCAGTCCATGACATTTTGTTATAACTGCCTCAACAGACTATGACCAAAAAAACAAAATCAGTATTGAAAAAGGGAGGTGGTGCTATAACAAACATCTAAAATGTGAAGTCTTTGGAACTGGATAATGGGTAGAGACTGGATGAGTTTTGAACTGCAGTGTAGAAAAAGTTTATGTTGCTATGAACAGACTGTTAAGGGTGATACTAGTGAGGGCTCAGACAGAAAGCCTCAATTTTCAGAGAATACCTAAGTAATCCCAAACAGAATGCTATTATAAACATGAAGGATAAAGGCCGTTATGATGAAGTCTCTGACAAAAATGAGAAATGTGTTATTGGAAACACAAATAGGAAAAGGAAATTCTTATAATGTGGCAAAGAACTTAGCTATATTCTGTTTGTGTCCTAGTGTTCTGTGGAAGGTAGAACTTGGGAGTAATGAAATTAGATATTTAGCTGAAGCTATTTCTTAGTAAAATCTTGAAAGTGCAGCTTGACTTCTCTTGAGTGCTTAAAGTAAAATGCTAAAAGAGTATAATGCTTAAATGTTACATTTTTAATCCAAAGGGGAGCAGAGCTTAGTAATTTGGAAAACTCTGAATTTATCCATATAAGAAAAATATGAGAAATCTTTTTCAAAAGACAACAAGGATGTGTCCAAGCTACTATTTAATAAGGTGATTTCTGTGAATTTTCCATGTCAACAGAAGCCAGGTGTTATTCATAAATGCAATAGAAGAATGAGCCCAAAGGCATTTTGGAGATTCTTAGAGCTGATCTTTGCATCACAGGCCCAGAGTACAAGGGCCTAGGCGATAGAATAATTTCCATGCTTTGCTCCTGACATTCCAGGGCAGCACTCCTCACTCACACCAAGTGTGGCTCCAGTGGGCCCAGGTGTGGAGAGGGCTATGGTGGCTGCCCTTTCAGAGGGCACAGCTGGTAAACCTCTGCAGCGCACATGCAGTGCCATCGCTGATGGCACACAGAGTATACTAGCAGAGGGACCATGGCTATCTGCATCTATATTTTGAAAGATGGAGGCTGCCAGAGACTTGGGTGCACTACCTAGGCAGAGGCACCTCGATGTAGGGACAGAGTCCCAACTAATGGAGTGCCTAGTGCTGTGAAGATCCTAAGATTCTATTTTTCTTTCACAGCACCAAACATGTATTTTAAAAAATTATCTACTGCCTTGAGGCAGCAGTAAGGAAAAGTGCTTATTGTTCTACAGTGTGATGTAAAGCAGTGATAAGAGCTGCCTACATCCTCTCCTGGTATAGTCAGCACCTGTTGAAGTCCTATTGATTTTAATTCAAACCTGCCCAAGGTGATGGCACAGTGCCCCCTCATGCCTCCTCTGTCCCTCTGTCAATAATTTGAAATGTCAACCATTTGGAAGGATAAGAGTTTGCAACTTCCATTATGATCCCTCAAGAAAAGCTTTACCTAATACAGTGTGTGTGTGTGTGTGTGTGTGTGTGTGTGTGTGTATGTGTGTGCTTACACAGCTGCATAAAACCTATATAAGTATTTGTATGTACAAAACACAAACTTTCAGCTCGTATTCTCATTTGCAGTTCACTGTATCAAGAAAGGGTTACAGAGGATGGAGCTATGACTACAAGTGACTAGAATTCACTGTGGACCACTCTCAAAGGAAAGCCATTAAAATGGGCTTTTTAAAGTTATGTTGCCTTTATTATTTAGAAGACTTAGTCCTCAGTAACAACCATTATGCAAAGTCCTAAGAAAGAAATGCAAGAGGGAAGGCCAGAAAAATGCATATATTCTTTATTAGTTTAGTGAGCTTTGTGTACAAAATTAAGTTTAGTTCTCTACTGGACTAAATTAGACTATTTAGTAACATGAGAGGTCTACTTATTTGGTTATAGGTAGATCTACATCCTGAATTAAAGGCAGTCTTGGTGTTTTGCCTTTAGGCCATCACTCTAGTCTTGGCTCTTAAGCTCTAATTTTCCTGTTCATATTGAAGAAATGATGGTTCCCCTGTAGTATTATAACTGACATCATTATTAAAGCATGAACCATAAGAGATATTCTGAGAGTTTTTTCTCTTAAAGAAATGAAAATGTGAAATTATGGTAGTTATATTATTCCATTAATATCAGTGTTAGAAAAGCATTGAACAGGCTAGTGGGAACGTAGATTTAAAAGAGAAAATCATTTCTTAACCTTAAAAAGAAGACGCCAGGTCTTAATAATACATCAAAAATCAATAATTGAAATGATCTATTCCAAAACATGTTGTCCTCAAAACACTAGCCTTTTATTTAAGAAGATGATCTGCTTATTTCAAAAAGTGTGATGCTGCTCCATCTTTCTGCACTTCCCTAAGAAGTCACAATAATTTGATGCTTATGTTACTGTTCAAAACATTTTTTCAGTTTTTATGGAAAGCTTTGATGCTCCAGATAAATCTCATTGTACAGTAGATCAAAGAGGACAATGCCTTTCGCCAAAGAAGTATAACATACCAATTAGCGTTTCATCTATTGGAAGTTATATATATATTTTTCCTTCAATAAGTCCTATCAGTACCTACAATGTGCCCAGAATATGTGATAGGACTACGTAGGTGTGTTTTCAGTGACAGGAGAATAGACCTGGGATAGGTAAAATGTGCTGAGAACAAAGGGTGTTAAAGTTCTATCATTATCATAAAATGCTTTGTATTATTAATAATATTAATACTAATGCCTATTATTAAATATCTATTTTATTCTATGATTTCTTCCTCTTGAAAATATCTCATAAACTAATACAAAATGTTAAGTGAATTAAAGAGAGAACTATTCTGTTTCTTCCAGAAATGAAGCTGGAAATCTAAGCTTAAAAGACTAGATTCCAACTTGGAAGAGAGCACCAACAGCTACGCATCACTTGAGGTTGTTTAAACAGAGTGCCAGCCAGAAGCATTCTGTAATGCATCAGCAACTTGCCCTCTATGAGAGGGTTCTGAAGTTTGTGGGAGCTGTATGCGCATCTATAAAGCTGAGGTTCACTCCCCAAGCACTTGGAGTCTGCTTAAGTATTGCATTATTTTTGACTGAGTTCTGATGAAAGTTTCCTTTCTGTGATTTTATGATCTGCATCAAAGTTGAAGTCATGATTGCGAGTCTTAATTTAGATCTACTGTCACCTGGAGAACATAATTCCCTTGGGATACTAGAAGAATTTTAAAAATTTACTAATGCTCATGTTTCTCCCATTTTGCCTAAAAAGTTCTACAGTGCTTTACCTTATATGATAATCTGATACTCAAAGGAATATCATGGCAACAAACTTCAAATTTGTTGCTTAGATAAATTATACTCCTTTATTCCAACTGAACTCACCTACTAGATTCGTGCAAATTGATTTGTTTTGTAATAAATGTCTCAAAAAAAATTAGCAGAATTTCCTTTTGCTCTTTAAAAAAAGGGGCCGGGAGTGGTGGCTCAAGCCTTTAATCCCAGCACTTTGGGAGGCCAAGGCGGGCAGATCACGAGATCAGGAGATTGAGACTATCCTAGCTAACATGGTGAAACCCCGTCCGTACTAAAACTGCAAAAAAATTAGCTGGGCATGGTGGCACACGCCTGTAGTCCCAGCTGTAGCACAGGCTGAGGCAGGAGAATCGCTTGAACCCGGGAGGTGGAGGGTCCAGTGAGCCGAGATCGCGCCACTGCACTCTAGCCGGGGCAACAGAGTGAGACTCAGTCTCAAAAAAAAAAAAAAAAAAAGGCAGAAGTCTTGGATATGTTTCTTTGTGCATCCTTTAGAGCAGTAGTGCATTATCTATCTATTGCTTCAAAACAAATTACCCTAACACTTTGTGGATTATAACGCTAAACATTTATTATCTAACATTTTCTGTGAGTCATTAATTTAAGCATCGATTAGTCAGGTGATTCTGGTTCAGATTCTTTCATAATGTTGCTATCAAGCTGTTGGCCTGAGTTGCCATCACCTAAAGGCTTGATTGGGACTGAAAGGTTCACTCAAGATTGTCCCCTTATGTGGCTATTGGCACAGGGTTTCATTTCCTTGCTGGCTGCTGGCAGAAGAACTCAATTCTTTGCCATGTGGACCTTTCTTTAGGGCTGCTTGAGGGTTCACATGACATGACAACAGATTTTCCCCAGAGCAAGCAGTCTAAGAGAAAGAACAGGATAAGGTAGTTTCTTTCATGATCTAGTCTCAGAAATCACACATAATCACCTCCACCATATTTCATTCATTAGAAGCAAATTAGTAAGTATAGTACTTGTTTAAGGTAAGGGAAATCAGGCTCCACCTTTAGAAGGGTGGAGGATTATTAAATAATTTGTCGATCTATTTTAAAATGACTACATGGTAAGAAGGGCTGGCGCTTTCTTAGAACTGGTTTGTATAATCTTCTTGAACCTGAAGGAGCACCTTTCCTCTCTACCTTAGTATTCAGAGTAAGAGATTTACACACTATGACAGAAACTTTAAATGCATAAGATTTATAACTGTGTGTATTTAATAGAAGCAGTGTGCAAGGTTCCGTGCAGAAATAAAGGTTGAGTACATAACAGTTTACTGTGCACTGTTTCCAATACCAACAAGATGTAGTTCAAAATCACTTACCTTAGTGTCACAGACAGAGATTTAAATATATGCAGCATCATTCCTAGTTGGAAGACTTAGGCAAGTTACATAATCAGTTTTCATGTCAGTTACTTCATTTACTTAAATGGATTCTTACAATAACTCTGTGAAGTGTGGAATATTATCCTCATTTTATAAGAAGACAAAAATTGAAGCTCATTACAACTAGAAAGTGGCAGAGTCAATGTTACAATCCAAGTTTAGTTGATGCCAAAACATCTTTGGTTTCTCCTGTGATTTCTGGAAAAGAGAAAACAGTTAAAATTGGTCAGTGATGTAGCATATATGAAAGTGGGGAGCATTATTATTAATAAAGTTAGTATCTACACATAAAACAAAGTTTCATAAATAAAAATTATTTCTATTGAAGAACAATTAATATGTGGTTACTTAAATCAACAGAATTTTAACTATCAGCAGGCTTTCAAGATTTTTTTTTATTTTTTTGAGACAGAGTCTTGCTGTGTCCCCTAGACTGGAGAGCAGTGACGTGATCTCGGCTCACTGCAACCTCCAGCTTCTGATTCAAATGTTTCTCCTGTCTCAGCCTCCTGAGTAGCTGGGAGTACAGGCTCCATGACTCCTGGCTAATTTTTGTATTTTGACTAAAGATGGGGTTTCGTCATGTTGGCCAGGCTGGTCTTAAACTCCTGACCTCAGGTGATCCGCCCGCCTCAGCCTCCCAAAGTGCTGGGATTACAGGTGTGAACCACTGCGTCTGGCCTAAAGATTGTCTTTAACTTAAAACATTGAGTTAGGGTATGCAACCAAGTAATATACTGCATTAAAACTATTCAGCCCTACTTATTGCCTTGCTCTGTAATTTCACATTAAATGTTGAAGCAATATGAAGCATTATGATTCACAGCTTAGTTTTAGTGACACAGTGCAAGCAAATGTCAGCTCCAGGATGCTCTTGGTTAGTTTATACCTGCCTTATTTATTCAAAACCCAGATTTATCTGGTATCTTGATTATACTGTAAATAGAAAAAGGGATACAGGAAATGTCAGTTACACATTACAGATGCCCTATCCCTTTCATTGTTTGCTGTATACCACTTTGAACCTAGTATTGAACACTAGCTTAATAACTCTGAGTTGAGCCAATCAAATTCAAAACATATTCTTGAAACTTAGATGAATTTCTGATAATTCAAAATCATTGATCCTGCTTTGAACAATGTAGGTTTTTCAGGATATTTGAATTTATTGAATATTTAAGTAGCTAAATTTTCTTAAATTCTTATGGATTCTTATTGGAAGTCTCAATTATAGAATCAAATACTGTCATTGAAAGGAGCATCAACTCAATAAAGCAGAGAGATCAATGCCATGTCTAAGGATGCTGGTCTATTTCCTTTAGGCTGCATTAGCTTACACTGGACTTGAACAGGTTACTGAACTAATGAGTGTTTAATCTTACTGTAATTTATAACATGACAACTTATTGAGGCTGAAAAAGTGATCAGTTTCAAAAGCTCTCCCTTAATATGTGGGAAGTAGTTTGCACACTGGGCAAGTATAAATCACAAAGTAATAACAGTCGTGTAAGATTGTAACAAATATAAATTGCTATGTAAATATTAAATAGATTACACAGTATTTTTAAGCCCCGAAACATCAAATCACTTTGCAAAGAACTAAATGTCAAATGACATGGTGTGTGTTTATGCATACTTCTTCTATGGGCCATTATTACAACTTTAGTAACATTGCTTTAAAATTTTCATATCCAGAGCATACTCACTTTTGTTATTTACTTTGCTTGGCTTCAATCTCTTTGTTTCAAATAGCAACCTTAATTTTCCACAGAAAATTTTGAAATTTGGGGCTTGAGGCTGCTGTGGTGACTGGTCACTTGCTCTGTTTGGAGAAATTGCTAAAGAAGGTAAGGAATGGCAAGTACGTTACTAGAGGGTAAGAGTCCTGAAAAAAAAATGATACCCATTACAGTTACACCAACATTTGTGTGTAGGAATTTGGTTGATGTTCAAAGGCAAACTTAGAGAGTAAAACTACGTAAATTGACAATATATATCTTGAGGGGTAAATGTGGAAGGAAACATGGCAGGAGGAAGACTGTCTGGGTAAGTAAGAGATTTTCAGCTGATACCAATACAATGATTATGCCAATATATAGTGAATTCTTATAATTTTATGTTGCCTTGGTATCCATTTTGAATATGTTTACATTTTTTATACCAGAAGTAAAGCTTAGTCACTCTTGAAACAGTTTCTAGTCCTACACCAACTCTCAGTTCCCCGGTGTAATCAATCCAGATATCTGCCTTAAACAACTTCCCGGTTGTGACCACTTCCCTAAGCGACAGCTAGATATAGCCTACTTGACTGGCCCTGCTAATCTCCACATCCCATACGGACTGTGCAGATATGCAACTGTGACCATTTTCCAGTCACAATGTTACCTCTGAGACTTTGTGTCTGCTTGCTTTAAACCTACCAAGCAAAACTTCCCATAGGAAATCTGTTTGAATAATGTCCTAGATCCCAATAAAGACATTGATCCACGGTCTCTTTCTCTCTGTCTCTCCACCTGCTCCTTAACCCTCATGTGTGTGGCCTCCAGACATGTCTATACCCCTCAAGATCTGTAAATAATAAGCTATTTTCATGTTGTGTCTCTCCTAATCATTGAAAGGGTGCTCTCCATCTTAAAGATCCTAAATTAAAACACAGTAGTAAGTATTACCATTATCATCATTATCACTGATATTTCATGTTCCTACTATGTTGTTGCAGGTCTTTAACATAAGTATTTTCATTTTTAACCCTTACCCTCAATGAGATAGCTTTTTACTCTCATTTTTACAGATGAGTGAGTAATCTGTCAGGGCAGTTGAGGGAGATCACACAGCAGGTGACTAATGATGGTTTTACATAAACCCAGGAGAGTCCTGTTCTAAAGACAATGCTGCAGATGTACTATCCCCTCTCCTGACTGCATCTGTGCCATGCCGTTTGAAATAGCTTGCCTTTCTTATCATTTCAAGTGTCTTAGACCTCAAATATCTTCTTCTACTTTTCCCCCAGAGCACACAAATTTACCTCACATGCAAAGTCACTGATTGGCCTAGGGTGACTACTGTTGACTTAGCACACACTGGGATTTTTTTTAAAATTTTATTTTCTTGCACCACTTTGACAGAGCAAACAATTTGCTTCTTCTTTCAAGGCTGGAATGGAGTACAGTGTTTATTTGTTTCCACTATATCTGACTAAAACACAGGGATAGAACTGGCTATGTGCTGGTGTTGAGAATGAAAAGGCATCAGAGAAGGGACTTCAGATGACAAAGGTATTTCAGAGCATGGCATGTTATCAGAAACACGATGTTCTTTAGGCAAGAGAAAAGGATAAAGAAACGAACGTAAAATAAAAACTATGAGGAAAATGTCTCCTAATTTTCAAAATTCAACAAAAGCAAATCATCAAGGAAGTTCATGGGGGCACTCTGAAGGACTGGCTGGGATTAGTACTAAAATTACAGAACACAATTCCAGCATTTAACAGGAGTAGTAAAACAAGACATATCTGATATGGAAACTAAGTCAAGGATTGCCTCAGTCCACAAAGGAAATTCTATTCGTAAGAAATAATTGAAGAGGCCATTTCCTAAAATCAGAGTATAGATTAGAGAAATTGACTTGATTTCCAGCTGTCAATATAGCTATCTTTGGCTGACTTATACAGCTGAGCAAGAGGAAGTTCCTCTTCCATAGGTAGAAACTATACAAAACTAAGTGATTTAGCTTTATGCAACATGCATCAGAGAAAGGCAGTTATGACATTAAGCATTTTGATGATAAACTCAATTTCTGTTTTGATATTCAATAATCTGCAGATGCAAGCTTTTTGCCAATAACAAGAAATTACTAACATTATTTATAGTTGTATTCCTAAATGGTAAATGTTTGGATGTTTGCATTTTAAGTAAAAGTCAAAATAAAATAATTATTTCTACTACAAATGTTTTCAGAGTAGTCTTTGATTTTAAACCTGAATGCTTTTTTTGTTGTTTTAGTTATATCTTTGTTGACTGTATGTATCCTCATACCTAAACAATTAATGTGAAATCATAAAAGTTGGCGTTTAATAATGTTAATAAAATGACAATAGCTATCATTTAAGGGCTTGATGAGACTGACTGTGATAAGTGCCAAAACACAGAATTACCATACTTAAGCCTTACAACAGCCTGTCTTGAAGGTTACCTTTATTAATTCCTGGAGAGGCTCAGGAAATTTGTCCATAGTTTCAGCTAACAAAAAGGTATATTAGACTCACACCTAGACTGAAAGCTTTATACTTATTATAAAATGTAGATACATGCTATGCCAATATAAGGTTCTTAATCAACTTCAATTTCATTATGCAATTGTATAGAAAACAGTCAACTTTTCACTGGAGTGAGAGGGAGGACAATTATTAGTATCAAGCTGTCTTGTCCTTTTACCTACTCACAAAGACAATATAAAATTTAGTTAAAATATTACAATCAACTTGAGTAAAAAAAGGCATCATCCATGGTTTTCTAATTCACTATTTTCTTTATTTTGCTATTTTAAACCAAAATATGTCTTTTTTATAAAAACTTAATACTTTTGCTTTTTTTTTTTTACTTTTTAAAAGCATACTAGAAACATTTGAAGTTTTGAAAGGTTACTACAAGATAGCTGAAAAATTTACTTTATCTGGAAAGGAAAATCTTGGAACATTAGCATAAAATAATTAAAGTAACTAAGCAGGAAAAACAAGATAATCCTACTAAATAAGTTCGATTTCACATGGTAATTGATTTTGCTGTTTCAAAATGTTTGTAAATGTTATAATATTGAACTGGGCTTGATCTACGTTGCTCCATTACATGTTTAATTTAATAACAATAAACTTTATTCTATGCTTTCTTCCTATTTTCCAGTACCCAATTTCTCAAAATTTTATGAAGGCCGGAAAATGTTTATTTACCACAGCACATATAAGACAGCTGGGATCCAACAAGTCTACAAGCTATCCAGCTGAAGAGGTAGCCTCAGGTTAAGTTCTTTGGTATGAATTCTTCTGAGATTCTTAGAGGACCTTCTTGCTTTGTTCCTTGAGCCCCAATTTAAGACTATTGCTGGAATTAGAAACTAACAACAACAACAAAAATATTCACTGTCACTTTGTCGTGAGTGGCACAAGATCAGACATAACCAGATCCATGCACATTTGTGTATTTTCACAGTCAGAATTTTACTATTTCAGTAATAGAAGCTATGAGCCACCTGGAATTTTTTCCCAAGGAGGCAATTCTTCTTGGTACTACCCACCACTCAGCACTAAGATCCATGGGTACATAGGCTCAAGCCACTCCACAAGTCAGTCAATATTGCAAACCACACGTAATAGTATATTTAATCAATATATAACTGTTAGAGATTAAAATTTCAAACCAAACTGTAGCATTTGACATCAAGAGAAAAAGATGATTAAAAAGGTGTTAATGAGCCAGTCCAAGGAGAGTGACATGGACAAGGAGAGTGTCCTCACCTGATCCAGACAGTCATCAACGTCTTGCAAAGAAGAATCCTTGATTTAGGCAGAGTCTTCAGCGGCAGATATGAGGTGCTGCTGATCATGAATGATGAAAAGACAGGGGCTATCAAGAAGGCCATGTCTACCTGCTGAATTTCTGCTCATTTTATGAACCTTGAGTCCTCTGGTGAGAATTGATAGTAAAGGGTTACACCCTTATCTGATTTGGTATTATCTCTACTGACTAGGCAAACATCTGGACCCTATTGGCTTGATGGCTTTTGAAACGTAAGATGGAGTCTTTTTCTAAGACAGACTCACTATGTCAAGGGAACTCACTTATTACATTCTCCATGTCATGTAATAATATATTTTCAAGAGGAAAGGTGCCTTAAAAACAATCTACTTTCATCATTTGCTTTTAAAAATTGAGGAAAATGGGAAATGACATAATTTGTTGACTTACTTGAAACCCACTTAGCTAAACTACGGTCTGAATAAATGTGTTCCCTGAAAATTTATATGTTAAATCTCATCCCTCAAGTTGATGCTGTTAGTTGGTGAGGGTCTTTGGGGGTTGTTGGACCATGAGGGTAGAGACTTCATGAATAAATTAGTGTCTTTATAAAAGAGAGTGCAGGGAGATTCCTCTGCCATTCTGCCAACTTCAGCAAGAAGTTGTCTGTTTGCAACCCAGGCAAGAGCTGTCACTAGAACTCAGCTAGGCTGGCACACTAATCTCAGACTTCTAGCCTCCAGAATTATGAAATAAATTTCTACTTAAAAAAATACTATACCCAGTCTTTAGCATTTTGTTATAGCAGCCCAAATAAACTAAGACGGAAAATTGATACCAAGAAGTGGAGAGGTGATGTAACAAATGCATTAAAATGTGGAAGTGGTTTCAGAACTAGTAATGGGTAAAGGCTGGAAGACTTTTGAAGTGCAGGTTAGAAAAAGTCCACATTACCATGAACAAATTGTTTAGGGAAATTTGGAAAAGGCTTAGAAGGAGAGGAGGAGTGATTTAGGGAAAGTCTCTATTGACTTGGAGAATACCTGAGATATTTTGAACACAATATTGTTAGAAATATAGATGGTAAAGGCCATTCTGATGAGGTTTCAGACAGAAATTAGAAACATGTTATTGTATTTTAGAGAAGAGGCAATTCTTGCTATAAAGTGACAAAGAACTTGGTTGAATTATGTCTGCATCCTAGTGTTTTGTGAAAGGGTAGAAATGGTGCATAGTGAAATTGGATATTTGACGGAGGAAATTTCTAAGCAAAATATTTATGAATGGCCTTGCTCCTCTTGACTGCTTATGTTAAAATGAGAGAATAAAGAAATGATTTAAAGACAGAATTGTTCATCAAAAGGGAAACAGAACTTAAAAATTAGGAAAATTCTCAGTCTATCCATATCGCAAAAATAAGAAAGCCTGTGTGAAAGAGAATAAGAGTGTGGTAAAAAGAATAAAGTTCAGCCATCTCAACTGAAGCTAGAAGCTATTGATCAAGACAATGTGGAAATTAGCCAGCCATGTAAACAAAAACGAGGACCTATTTTCTAAGACTATGGAAGAAAATGGAAATCATCAGTGCTGCCCCTCCTGTCAAAGGTCCAGCTTGCAAGAGTTATATTCCTATGATCTTAAATGGGTAAAGCCACTGGCAGGCAATTCTGAGCAAGGAGACCTTTAGGCACATGACTTAACCCATGAAAGCTGCAGTTTGGGTTGTGTTCAGCAAAACTGTGGTCATTGGCTCCAGCAGGTCTAAAGGACAGAGGGCCAAATTAAAAAAAAAAATACATATATATATATTCATATTCTTGAGCCTTAAGGGTTTAGATTTGCTAGAGACATTTCACTCTCTTCTTCTTTCAAATTTCTTTCTTTTTGAGTGGGAGTATCTATCCTATGCCAGAACCACAATTGTATTTTAGAGGCACATTATATGTTTAATTTCACAAGTTCACAGATGGAGAATAATTTGCCTCAGAATGAATTGTACCCTAAGTCTCACCCCTATCTGACATAGGTAATATTTAGATGAGACTTTGGGCTTTAAACTTTTTAGTTACTGCTGGAACAAGTTAATACTTTGGAGACAATAGACTGAAATGAATGGGAAGAGTATTGCATCTGAGAAGATAATGAATTTTGGGATCCAGGGACAATAATATGTTCTGAATGTTTATGTCCTCCCTAAAATTAATATGTTGAAAACTAAATCACCAAGTGATGGTATTAGAAGGTCAAGTCTTTGGGAAGTGAAAAGGTGATTAGGGCAGAGCCTTCATGAGTGGGATCAGTGCTTTTAAAAAAGAGGCTTCAGGGGGATCCCTCCTCACTCCTTCTGCCGTGTGCGGTTTCAATGAGAAGACTGTCTATGAATCAGGAAACTGTCCCTCATCAAACACCCAATATGCTGGTACCTTGATTGTTAACTTCCCAGCCTCTGAATATGAGAAATAAATTTCTGGGGTTTAAAAACTATCAGGGTATGCTAGTTATAGATGCTTGAATGTACTAAGTCAAGGTAGGACCCACATTTTCTGATGTCCAGGCAACAGTCAAATTCTATTTCCTTTCTTTCTGAACTTGATAATCAAAATTCAATGATACAAGTTTATTTCACAAATTGCCACATTTACATACTAAATTTTAAATAAGACGAATTTTATGAGAATCTCTTATCTTAAACAGAAGACATAAAAATCATAAAATGTTTAGGATTTTTGACCTACAAGTAGATTAATTATATTAATCCTTGAGAATTAAATAGAAATGAAAAGGAGATGTTGGAAAAATGTAAAATGGCATTAAAATCAGTTTTTTTTCAGCATAGTGTGAATATTAAACTTTGTGGAAATAGATCATTTTCATCATCATATTTTGTCTCACAAGTCCCCTGTAAAAAAGGAGAACATCTTTAAGGGCATCTGAAGTTGTTTTGGATTCTCCCCCATACCCCTCAAAAATGATTTACATCTATATATTAGTTTCCTATTGCTGAGGTAACAAAATGTATTCTTTTATAGTTCTGGAGGCCAGAGGTCCAAATTCCTTCTCAGGGGCATTGGCTGGGGTAGTTCTCTCTGATGACTTTAAGGGAAAATTCATTTCTTGTCTTTCCTGGTTGATAGAAGGCACCCACATGTCTCAGTTTGGGGTCCCCTTCTCTGCACTACACTAACCTCTTGCTTTCCTTCCCTTCATCACACCTCCTACTACTCTTCTGATCCCCTTGCATCACTCTTACCAGGACCTTGCACTCATATTTGCTTTACTTTAATTATCTAGGTTAATCTCAGGATCTCAAGATTCTGAATTCAATCACATCCTCAAAATCTCTTTACCCACATAAGATAACATATTACAGGCACCGAGGATTAGGGTGTGTTATTTTTGGAAGGCGGCATTCTTCAGATTACCAGGATCTACCATGAACTTGATACTTAATCTTGTCTTAAAGGTAAGATTTTAAGTACTTTTAAACTACTTAAAACTACTTATTTTAGCTATGCTTCATGGATTTCACAAGTATTGGTGCTTAAATCTTGTTCATTTTTCTGCTGTAACCTCAGTTGGCCCTTCCAACTACAACATTAACTGTGAGTGAGTGAGTGAGTGAGTGAGTGATAGTGAGAGGTGACAGCGTGCTGGCAGTCCTCACAGACCTCGCTCCCTCTCGGCGCCTCCTCTGCCTGGGCTCCCACTTTGGCGGCACTTGAGGGACCCTTCAGCCCATCACTGCACTGTGGGAGCCCCTTTCTGTGCTGGCCAAGGACAGAGCCGGCTCCCTCAGCTTGCAAGGAGGTGTGGAAGGAGAGGCGCGAGCGGGAACCGGGGCTGCGCGCGGCGCTTGCGGGCCAGCTGGAGTTCCAGGTAGGCGTGGGCTTGGCAGGCCCCGCACTCGGAGCAGCCGGCCGGCCCTGCGGGCCCCGGGCAATGAGGGATTTAGCACCCGGGCCAGCGGCTGCGGAAGGTGTACTGGGTCCCCCAGCAGTGCCAGCCCACCGGCGCTGCGCTCGATTTCTCGCCGGGCCTTAGCTGCCTTCCCGCGGGGCAGGCCTCAGGACTGCAGCCTGCCATGCCTGAGCCTTCCCCCGCCTCCGTGGGTACCTATGCAGCCCGAGCCTCCCTGACGAGCGCCGCCCCCTGCTCCACGGCGCCCAGTCCCATCGACCACCCAAGGGTTGAGGAGTGCGAGCGCATGCAGGACTGGCAGGCAGCTCCACCTACAGCACCGGTGCGGGATCCACTGGGTGAAGCCAGCTAGGCTCCTGAGTCTGGTGGGGACGTGGAGAGTCTTTATGTCTAGCTCAAGGATTGTAAATACACCAATCCACACTCTGTATCTAGCTCAAGGTTTGTAAACACACCAATCAGCACCCTGTGTCTAGCTCAAGGTTTGTGAGTGCACCAATGGACACTCTGTATCTAGCTGCTCTGGTGGGGCCTTGGAGAACCTTTATGTCTAGCTCAAGGATTGTAAATATGCCAATCAGCACTCTGTCTAGCTCAAGGTTTGTGAACACACCAATCAGCACCCTTTGTCTAGCTCAGGGTTTGTGAGTGCACAAATCGACACTCTGTATCTAGCTGCTCTGGTAAGGCCTTGGAGAACCTTTATGTCCATACTCTATATCTAACCAATCTGATAAGGACGTGGAGAACCTTTGGGTCTAGCTCAGGGATTGTAAACGCACCAATCAGCACCCTGTCAAAACAGACCACTCGGCTCTACCAATCAGCAGGTTGTAGGTAGGGCCAGATAAGAGAATAAAAGCAGGCTGCCGGAGCCAGCAGTGGCAACCCGCTCAGGTCCTCTTCCACGCTGTGGAAGCTTTGTTCTTTCCCTCTTTGCAATAAATCTTGCTACTGCTCACTCTTTAGGTCCACAGTGCTTTTATGAGCTGTAACACTCACCACGAAGATCTGCAGCTTCACTCCTGAAGCCAGCGAGACCATGAGCCCACCGGGAAGAACGAACAACTCCAGACGCGCCGCCTTAAGAGCTGTAACACTCACCGCGAAGGTCTGCAGCTTCACTCCTGAGCCAGCGAGACCACGAACCCACCAGAAGGAAGAAACTCCGAACACATCTGAACATCAGAAAGAACAAACTCCAGACGCGCCACCTTAAGAGCTGTAACACTCACCGCAGGGGTCCGCGGCTTCGTTCTTGAAGTCAGTGAGACCAAGAACCCACCAATTCCAGACACAATAGGATTTGTTGCAACAGAAATCCTTCGATAAAAGGTCAGTATTAATCCTGTAAGCTAACGCATTATCTTAGTTGTTCATTAACAATCAAAATATGACTATGAACTGAGACGTATGAACCTGCATGTAAAATTTTTCTTATTAGAAGATGATTGTTTCAGAAGCTTGTTGACTCCTCCACATTTTTCAAATTCATACAAAAATTTGTGCTAAGTAAAACAGATAATACATAAGTAGATAAAAGTAATAATTAACCTTAATGAAAAACCTTAGGATGGGCATTACATTTCAAAACCAAATATTTTTAAATGCATATATTTCATATTTCATGTACCAATTTTATTCCTAGAGAAACATTAGCGCAGCGTAATTTTTTCCATGTTTTGTCTTTCATTTACTGTGTTCATGTAGATATGAGTCTATACTCATAAAGAGGTGTAGATACTTGCACTACTTTTCTGCAGTTGTTTAGAATACAGAGATCTTATATGAAGAGAACATTTGTTGATTACGTTTAAGAAGTTATGTCTTCTTAAATCAATATGAAAGTATATATATATATATATGTTTTGTAGGAATTTGTTACAGGCTGCCTATGTGCATAAACCTGTGTATAAGATACTGGGAGAAGGGAGAGTCTTTAAACATAAGTTGAGACTTTGTCACACATATCTTTATGCCCCTGGAAATAAGTGCTTCATACCAACAAGCATATAAAATTAATATTAGATCATGAATCATGAGAAAGAAGGTGGGAGATGGATAAGGAGAAAGTGGAAAATGAGAGAATGAAGGAAAACTGGGATTAGACACTCTGTTCTAAGCTAGACCACTGCCATTATGTTAAATATTTTAAAGTTCATCTCCAGGAGCATGTTATCAATAGAGATCTCTCTATATCTGGAGACATGGTGGTAAGATTGATGAAAAGTTGAGTGCTTTTCAATTAGCATGCTTCATAGTAGACTTTCCTGTACCCAGAATAAGATTCTTTTAGTTTGAATTATTCTAAAGACACTTAAAAACAAAGGAAAAATAGAATGCAGAGTGGTCAAGTTTGTTTTCATAAAAAAGTGCCATTGTCTTAAATCAGAGCAAGTAACATCAAAATAGAGACAGTCGATACAGAAGATATAGTTGGGAATAGTTTTTCCTATTAAAGAGGGTCATAAAATTCTCTTGCCCAATGTCCAAAAATTCAGAAGAAGAGCAGGGAGAGGTATAGGAATGGCACGTGGTCTTGAAATCCTGACAGACTGACAGAACTAAATTCCAGGATTTTCCTCCTCCGGGTTTCAAGATAATAGAGAATGCTGAAGCTCTGTAGATCAAGCAATATAGCACATGCTCATTTGTAAAAACTACTGCAACAATACTGTGTATGGTCCAATTTAACTCTGCCCTGGTCCATTCCCTTGCTGCATTTAGACATGAGATGTGTAAAACGGATAATTGTAGTAATTCTTCACACAATGTAAAAGGAAAGGTCTTCTCAAAAAACACTGTGGCACTTTGGGAGGCTGAGTCGGGTGGATAGCCTGAGATCAGGAGTTTGAGAACAGCCTGGCCAACACAGTGAAACCCGCCTCTACTAAAAATACAAAAAATTAGCTGGGCATGGTGGCAGGCACCTGTAATCCCAGCTACTAGGGAGGCTGAGGCAGGAGAATCGCTTGATCCCGGGAGGTGGAGGTTGCAGTGAGCTGAGATCGCACCATTGCACTCCAGCCTCAGCAACAAGAGTGAAACTCCATCTCAAAACCAACCAACCAACAAACACCATTATGGTAATACAGAAGGGTTTATTTGAAACCTGACTCTACTGCCTAAATGTAAACGGACCAAACAGGTTGGGTTTTCCAGTAAATTTCTAATTACCTATAAGATTTCATTCAACAATTGAAAAGATTAATTGTACAAAATCTATATGCAAGGCTCTAGAATCTGATGATAACAAGTTGAATACCACATTTTTCTTATACATGATAGGCTTATATTCTGGTTGAAAGAGGATAAATTTTTAATAAATGTGGTTTGCTAATTGTGTAACTAAATTGGTTCAATTTTAAAACACTGCAAAACTGTCCTTATAAATAATTCACATGGAAGACATGGATTGTCAAACTATATGTCCCAGTTTTTGTTTAAAAGCTAATTTCTCCATGCCAATCTTAAAATAGAGATTTTTTTTGAGAAACAAAATTAGTGTGCATGTGTCAATTTCTTTATTTTTGAACATACAGTTTTTTGGATTTTTCGTTTTTAAACAAACGTGATTGACTTTTGTATACCCCCCATAACCCTTCTGGTACCATTTACACCTTCTTTAGTTCTAGATACGCAAATTATACAGAGTGAGTAAAAAAGAAGTCCAAATTATGCAGTGAACTTTGGAAAAGGTTCTGTAATATTCCAAATTATAGAGAGTTGTCCAAAATAAATCTACACTTCATTCTTTCTGTGTTGACTCAGCTTCAAAGCCTGGAAAGGATTCACATTTTGCTCTAGTCTAAACAAGGTTTTGCCAGCTCTAACCAGATTAGAAAACTACTCTTCCACATTTGTTTTTCTTGGGTCACATATAAATGTTTGCAAATTATGTTATTACTCATTGCTAATGAGGTAATTTTTCATTAGCACATCTCCCCTTTTTAAATCTAATGCTTATTCAGATATTATCCTGCTCTTGTTTTTCAATGGCAGTTACTAACGAATAATATAATTAAATAGATCCTAGTTTATTATTTTTAATAGGCTTACTTGTACAACCTTTTAACTGCAGGGTTCTTGACTGTTTTTAGGCAATTTAGCAGAAAGTTAAGAGTTTGACTGTTACAGGCATATTCATGTCTTGGGCACAGACTATTTTTAAAATGGCTTGAGATTTTTGCAAAAGGTGATTAACGAGGTCATATGGCTTCAGTAGTTCCTTCTTAATTATAAGAACATTTCCCCCCTCATAATGGTCTCTTAGCTTAAATACAGCTTAGATACACATTTTAAAATATTATTTGTTTCTTCTTCAATCTCTGTTTTTCTATAGCAGAAACATAAAGAATATATTTAGTTAAGTGTTGTTTTCCAAATTTTCAGATACAGTCATAGAATTTGTAATCAACTGCTTTTAAAGCAGTTTTTTTTCTTTTTGCTAAAGAGTAATGAAAATGGGTATTTACTGATAGGAGATTTTTCAATTACACTCAAATTTTACTTGAATTATTATGATCTGTAAGTGTCACAGAAATGATTCAATTTATCAAAGAATGTTATTAAAGCCATTTAAGCTCCTAAAGAAGCCATAACACTCTGTAGGTTAAAGATATAATTTAAGTTTAAAAAATGCAAAATTATTACAAAAACGTATTTCCTATTTTTAGTGTCTGGTATATAATAACATACAATAAATAATTGCTGCATAAATTAGTATGTATGAAGAACCGTTAAATACAAAAGCTAAAATTGTTAGTATTAAATAACACTCACAAAAAGGTAATTATTTAGAGTGATGGATATGGTAATTAGTCCTATTTTGGTAATCATTTCACAACATATACATACATTAAATACTGTACATCTTAAATTTTTGTCAATCATACCCAATAAAGCTAGAAAAAAACCCCAGAAAACCAAATGACCACTTTGATAGGAGAGGATATTAAATATTTAATGCAAACATGGTGTTTTCCAAAAATAAAACTGAACACAAAAACAGAAGAACAAAACCAAGCCTCCTCTTCCCACCTGTCGCTTATATTTAGAATTGTGAATCTACAAAGAGCAGCTTCCTATCTTAAACTCATATTCAGGGTTAAATGCTTAAAATATTTGATTGAATAATCATTTTCATGTCTTTTTTCATTGCTTAAAATGAACCTAAAATGAAAAACAAACATAAAAATGATTATTCAATGAAATATTCTTAGAAAAATCTGCATAGAATATGCTTCTTTTGGAAATTTATAATGCATACTTATAAATTAAAAGTCATGAGAAAGTCTGCAATAAACAAACTTGTTTAACATTCTTCAACCCCTTTGTTTAGGCTATATGTCCTTTCAATAATTTATGCAAGTTCTGTAGTAAAAAACTTGTTTAACCTTCATCTGTCCCTTCATTAAAGTTACATAGCCTTTAAACCTTTTATATCAAGTAATATTAGAGAGAAACTTTCTGGAAAACTTTTAAGAAATTTTGCAGTGGTACCTGACATAATTCCCTGATTCACAGTAGTTTCTCCAAACATGTTTATTCAATCAGTGAATAAACTAATGAATGAGTTCAGCTTTGGGAAATTATAGAAAAGAAATAGCTCTTCATAACAGAACAAAAATGAAACTAATCTCTCTCCAATCTCTTCTTCTCTCTTGCTTATATTCTTTTTCATTTTTTATCTCCCTTCTTATATAAATCTGTGTTGACTGACTGTCAACCCTTCTCTTTATAGACCCGTTTGAACTCAGACACTCATTGGTCCTTCTATTAAAAATGGACCCTATATAGAGATATGATTTTTATATTCAGTAGAGTAGAAAATCAATACTCTGAAAAACTGGTAAAGCCCAGTAATAAGCCTGATATTGTTCAAAATAGATCACATGAGTAGAGTAGTCTCCTTTTCTTGATATGACATGTGGAAGGGAGAAACATCATCACTGAAGTGCATTGCCTGTGCACACAGGAGTCTGGCTCAGGGCCAGTCCACCATAAACTACTTACAAATGGTATAATTAAAATGAATGAATGAAATGTTGAGCGGACTTTATATTCTAAAGCAATCAAAACTGAAATTTACTTTCTTATCACACCTTCTGGTAAAACTGGTTTTATGGAAACATTCTATTGAGAATTTTAAAGAGTGACTGTTAAAAAGATGGACTGGAGTTAATTTATGTTAGATTTGCTTTTCTCTGATGGAATTTTTTAAATGGAAATATTTAACTAAAAACATGATAAATGTCCTCTATAGTAATTTATAAATTAAGAAGAAAGTTGGAGTCTGCAAGACACCTAGCCCCAGGGCTGTTTGTCCATTCTGAGGCACCAGGAAGGCAGCAGAAGAAGGTTTTCACCTTATAGGTACTATTAAGAAACCTCCACCATAAAGGTAGTATTAAGAAATAAAACAGCATACCTATTGTCTCAGCTACTCAGGAGGCTGAGGAGGGAGGATTGCTTGAGCCTGGGAAGTGGAGGTTATCGTGATCCGTGATCATGCCACTGCACCCCAGCCTGGGCAACAAAGCAAGGCCTGTTTAAAAAAAAAACAAAACTCTATGATATAGAGGAAGAGATAAAATTAAAATATGCAATAAAGCAAGACCTGTCTTTTTTTTAAAAAAAACCTATGATATAGAGGAAGAGATGAAATTAAAATATGGTTTAGCAATTTATCTTAATGAACAGAAGTGTTTTATCTAGCCCTGTAAAGTAACATTTAAAAATTTTCATTGAAAAATTACCCCAAAATAGAAAACATCAAGTAGTTTTAATAGAATTTTTACATTAAATTAGATTAAATCTCACATGTAATTTAATATTTGTTTAGATAGTTTTGCCAATTTCAAAGACGAGTGAAGTAAATAGACTGAAATTCTTGAGTTACCAAAATGAATTAAAAAAAAAAAAAGGCGAGGTATGATGGCTTACATCTATAATCCTGCACTTTTGAGAGGCTGAGGCTGAGGAGGGAGGATTGCTTGACCCCAGGAGATCAAGGCTGCAGTGAGCTACAGTCTAGGATCCTGCTAGTGCATTCCAGTCTGGGAGACAGAGACATAGAAAGACCCTGTCTCTCAAACAAACAAACAAAAATAACAACAAAAAACTTACCTCCTTACTCTCCACTGAGAAATCTCTATACAAATAAAATTTTTCTTTTCATAATAATTATATATGCAAAACATTATATAAACCATTAATTGCTTTTTTAAAACAATAAAAATAAAAACAAACATCCGCTTACCCACAACATAGCTTTACCAGCAACTCCAAGGTGTAGAATATGCCTGAACCTGATCCCATATCTTTTCCTTACATTCCACATTTTGTATGTCCCTAAATATTTATTTTAGGGACATAGAAATATGATTTTGCCTTCTGTGTTATTCTAAGGCCTCCTCTTATATTTCAATATTATTCTTGAGCTATTCACCCATGCTAACCACATTATAGTACTCAACTGTGAGTCTATTGACTTTCTACATTTTCTCAGTGTTCCACCCAAAGTGGCATGCATGTTTTCATGAACATCTTCTGGTGTACAAGAACTAATTTAGGGAATACATGTAAGAGAGAAATTGCTGGGGCATGAGTTATGAACATCTTCAAATATGCTAGATAATTCAAAATCCTTCTCCAGAGTATCTATAACCATTTATATGCCCTCCACAGCACATGAAAATATACATATTCCATACTGGCACCAGTATTTGGCAAGACCTGGTCTCATAATATTTGCCAGACCAATGGATGTACTCCTTGCCATTTTAAGAGTTTTCAAAATTAGTAATAAGGTCTAAGAATTGTCATCCTTCTATCAGCCATTCCAGCTTCCAATTCTGTGAATTTCCAGTTTATATCTTTTCACATTTTTTATCACGGTATTAGTCTTTTGCTTATTCATTGTTTGTTAATTTGTTTTATTTGGATACTAATTATACTATGATTTATTTAGATACTAATAATAAAAATAATTTGGAGTATAATGGTATACTCATATACCATTCATTTAAATACTAATTCTTTGGTCACTTAAATGTATGCTGTAAATATTCTAGTCTGTGCCTTATCCTTATCTTTATGGTGGTATCTTAATGTGATCAGAAGTTCTTAATTTTAATGTAGCAAAATTTGTCAACTTTATGCTTTTTACATTTAGTTATTTAGTGATTCTTTTCTTTCTTTCTCTTTCTTTCTTTCTTTCTTTCTTTCTTTCTTTCTTTCTTTCTATCTTTCTTTCTTTCCTTCCTTCCTTCCTTCCTTTCTTTCTCTCTCTTTCCCTCCCTTCCTTCCTTCCTTCCTTCCTTCCTTCCTTCCTTCCTTCCTTCCTTCCTTCCTTCCTTCCTTCTCTTTCTTTCTTTCTTTCTTTCTTTCTTTCTTTCTTTCTTTCTTTCTTTCTTTCTTTCTATCTATCTTTCTTTTTTGAGACAGGGTCTCACTTTGTCCCCCAGGTTTGAGTTCAGTCGTATGATCTCAGCTCACTGCAGCCTCAACTTTCCGGGGTCAAGGGATCCTCCTGCCTCAGCCCCCCAGGTAATGGGACTATAGGTTCATGTCATCATGCCTGGCTAATTTTTTTTTATATTTTTTGTAGAGATGGGGTTTCTTAATGTTGCCCAGGCTGGTCTCGAACTCCTGAGCTCAAGCAATCTGCCTGCCTAAGCCTCCCAAAGTGCTGGGAATACAGGCATGAGCTACCACGCCTTGCTCTTTCTTAAATATTCCAAAGAAATAAAGATGCTCTATATTTTTTCAAAATGTTTCAGTTTTGTCTATAACATTTACTTATTTAATCTCTGTGGAATAAAATATTTTGTAGAGTGTAAGATAATAATTCAATTTCGTATTTTTCCCATATGAATAACAAATTGTTCTCAAACCATTTACTGATTATTATCTATTTTTACCTGTGATTTGAAAACCCGGTGGTATAATAAATCATGTTTAAGTATATGAGTGCTCTTGTTTCTGGGCTCTCTATTCTGTTTAATTATTCTTTTAGTTTACCTATGCAGGAGTATTACTTTATTGGGGTATAATTCTCATATCATACAAGCCATCCATTTAAACTATACAATCCAATAATTTTTAGTTTATTCACAGGATTGTGTAACAATCACCATAATCTACTTTTAGAATATATTTATCCTTCTTAAAACAACCACATACTCGTTAGCACCTACTCCTCAACCCTTTCTATCCACTACTATACCTTACTCCAGGCCTAAGAAACCACTAATCTACTTTCTTTATAGATTTCCCTGGTCTCTGCATTTAATATAGATTGAATCCTACAATTACAATTTGTGGTCTTTTGTGAGGGGCTTCTTTTATGTGGGATAATGTATTCAAGATTGATCCATGCATGTAGTAGTACTTCATTCATTTTTATTGCTGAATAACATCCCATTGTATGGATATACTGCCTTATATTTATCTATTCATCAGTTGATGAACATTGGGTTGTTCCCAATGTTATAAATAATCCTGCTATAAACACTCATGTGCAAGTTTTTGTGTGGGCATATGTTTACGTTTCTCTTGGATATATTCCTAGGAATGGAATTCCTGAATCATATGGTCATTCATGTTTAACTTTGTAAAGTTAACTGTTTAACAAAGTGGCTGTACCATTTTACATTTCCACAAGTAATACATGAGGGTTAAGATTTTTCTAATTATTATAGGTTTATAATATGCTTGTTTTCTGGCAAAGAGTCCTCTAAGATAATTGTTTTCTAGAGTTTCTTGATTTTTTTGTCTTCAATCTAAATTTTAGAATTTGCTTTACAGGTTCTACATGAATTCCCATAGGGATTTTGACTAGAATTGGATTGTAGATGACTTTGGTAGAAAGCAACATCATTATCAAATTATATTTTCAAATCCATAAAGATGTTGCATCTCAACTCTTCACAATAGCAAAGACATAGAATCAACCTAAATGCCCATCAGTGATAAACTGGATTAAAAAATGTGGTACATATACACCACGGAATACTATGCAGCCATGAAAAAGAAGGGGATCATGTCCTTTTCAGGGACACAGATGGAGCTGGGGGGCATTACCTTTAGCAAACTGACACAGGAACAGAAAACTGAGTACCCCATGTTCTCACTTACATGTGGGAGCTAAAAGATGAGAACACATGAACATATAGAGAGGAACAACACACCCTGGGGCCTTTTGGAGGGTGGAGGGTGGAAGGAGGGACAGGATAAAAAATAACTAATGGGTACTAAGCTTAACACCCGGGTGATGAAATAATCTTTACAACAAGCCCCCATGACACAAGTTTAGCTGTGTAACAAACCTGCACTTATACCCCTGAACTTCAAATAAAAGTTTTAAAAAAGCTGCATCACTCAATAGTTTAATTATTCTTCTATTACTATAAAGTTTTAAAAGCTTTTAAATGGTTATTTTGCATTTTTTAATGGGATTTATTTCTAGCTGTATTTTTAATTTTTATTTATTTTAAATGGTATTTTTAAATGATTTATTTACATATTTAATAAATTTACAGGTAGCACTTACTCTGTGCCAGGCACTATTCTAAATGACAAACCAATATATAAATATTTGTGTCTGTGTGTGTCTGTGTGTGTGTGTGTTTGTGTGGTATAACTTCCCACTTGTGGCTTTTAGTTTGAATCAACTTCAGTTTACTCACTGGTACTGGTTAACCATTTCAAATCAATTATACCAGTTTATTTAATAACAACATGCATCAAAAAACATTGTTTTTAATGATTAAAGGAATTTTCTTGAAGAAGTGTAGTTATACTCATTTTTACTCAGACACTTTGACTTTTATTCAACTACCATTAAAAATCCTTGGCCGGGCGTGGTGGCTCATGCCTGTAATCCCAGCACTTTGGGAGGCAGAGGCGGGTGGATCAGGAAGTCAGGAGATCGAGACCATCTTGGCTAACACGGTGAAACCCCATCTCTACTAAAAATACAAAAAATTAGCCGGGCGTGGTGGCGGGCGCCTGTAGTCCCAGCTACTTGGGAGGCTGAGGCAGGAGAATGGCATGAACCTGGGAGGCGGAGCTTGCAGTGAGCCGAGATCGCGCCTCTGCACTCCAGCCTGAGCAAAAGAGCGAGACTTCATCTCAAAAAAAAAAATCCTTATTAATATAAGAGTGATTGATAAAATGGGGCAAAAGATTATGGGAACTGGAATGCCAAGTACCCCAGGACGTTTCACATCATATATTTAGAGATTCATACAGTTGATTTTGATTTTTAAAATATAGTTTCTTTAGAAAAACAAAAAAATAGAAAAGTAAAACATAAAAAAATAATCTTTCCAGGTTCCCTAGGAGTGAATCTGTTCCTTGTCTCTTTTAGCTTCCAGTGGTTAATCCTGGATATGATGTCTAATTCTGTGTGTCTACTTGATGGAGCCACAGCTTCCAGCAAACATTATTCTAGATGTATCTGTGAGGGTGCATTTGTCTAAGATTTGCATTTACATCTGTAGATTTTGAGTAAAGCAGATTTCTCTCCTTAGTGTGTGTGGGCCCTATCCAATCAGTGAAAGGCCTGAAAAAAACCCAAAAGTCTGACCTCTGTCACAAGAGGAAATTCTACCAGTAACTTTTATTTTACCTATGGCTTTTAGTTTGTCTCAGCTTCAGTTTACTCACTGGCACGGGTTTGCCATTTCAAAACAACTGTAACAGTTTAATAACAACATGCATCAACAAAAATATCGTTTTTAATGATTAAAAGCATGTTCTTGAGGAAATGGATTTATATGCATTTTGATTATTTATTCAGTAAATAATAATCGGCATATGATTATTGGCCTTTGCATTTCATCTGCAATATTGCTTTTTTACGGTCTCTCCATCCTGACTGCTTTTGACTTTGAACTAAAACTGTTTCTTGAGTCTCCAGCCTGATGACCTAACCCATTAGATTTTGAATTCACCAAGTGATATGGTTTGGCTGTGTCCTCACTCAAATCTCATCTTGAATTCCCATATGTTGTGGGAGGGACTCAGTGAGAGGTAATTGAATCATGGGGGCAGGTCTTTCCCGTGCTGTTCTCATGATAGTGAGTAAGTCTCATGAGATCTGATGGTTCTGTGAGGGGTAATTTCCCTGCACAAGCTCACTCTCTTTGCCTGCTGCCGTCCACGTAAGATGTGACTTGCTTCTCCTTGCCTTCCACCATTATTATGAGGCTTCCCCAGCTATGTGAAACTGTAAGTCTATTAAACCTCTTTCTTGTGTAAATTGCCCAGCTTTGGGTATGTCTTTATCAGCAGCAGGAAAACGAACTAATACACCAAGTCTTCACAATCACACAAGAAGCCAACCCCTTAAAATAAGTCTCTTTCTCTGTATACATTTATATATGCATTCTATTCATCCTCCTTCTCTGGAGAACTCTGATTATACACTGGGCTTGTGGCCTCATCCCTCTAATCTCCGCCTCCTTCTTCGCATTGTCTTCTCCTCTGTGTCTGGTCTCCCTCTGCTTCTCTCTTTAAGGATACCTGTGATAGCTTTTAGGGTCCACCCAGATATTCCAGCATAGTCTCTTCATCTCAAAATTCTTAATTTAATCACATCTGCAAAGACTTTTCCTACATAAGACAATATTTACAAATTCCAGGGATTAGGTCTTGATATTTTAGGGTGGTTATTATTCAATGTACTACAACTTATAAGCACTACAAGTCTGTACATACTGTCAAATAGTTTAAGGTTAAGTGTTGTAGCTAATCCAAAAGTGTACTTTTGTCTGGAACTAACTACAGCTTTGGAGTTAATTTTGTCAGATTCTTTCATGACGTTTTTTGAGTTAATATCTCAAAGACACTCTGTGCATGTTTTGCTGCTGTTGTTTATTTTTCCCCAGAGCAAGTCAAATAGTACTAGAAAAAACACACGCTTTTTTTGAGTTTTCCTGCAGTCCATATTGCAGATGGTAGGACATAGAAGATGATGCCTTGTGTTGGAAAACAGAGACTTTGATTCTAGGCTGACTCTAACACTTAACTTGCTATGTGACTTTGGGTAAGTCATTCTCTTAACCTCATTTTTCTCATCCTTAAAAGGTGTCAGTTTGGTTATACAAACTCTGTGGTACTTTGTCATTCTAACATTTTATGAACTTGGGTCTATAAACCTCCTTTTACGATGATGTCTCTTGATGGCAGAATAGCTGATCCAGCTGTTTCTTATTATCCATCTCACCTAAAACCCAGGTTGTCTGAGTGAATTACTGGAATATTCTAAAAGTGATTCAACAATCTGACATTTTAAAGGGGACCAAATCATTTTGATATACAACCAACATATGTTAAACAATGTTAACCCATTAATATAACATACTTACGTCAAACTAAAACATTATATATTTACATCAGTATTTAAATCTCAAATCACAGATGATAAATTTTCACACTGGGTGGATGATAAGTTGTAGATAAAATAATCAAGTTGTTTACTAAAAATATTCCAAAAGTTTAGGGTTTTTTAAATTAGCCAGGTATAGAAAAGTGTTTTTCTTTTAATTAAAAAGCCCATGAATGCCATGAATCTTTTCAAAATTTCTGCAGATAAGCAGCAATGTCTAATTTGCATGATGAGAATTTACAAGGAAAAGACTATTGCTTTTTAAATTTATATAGGTGTAAAATGAAAAAGGAAGTCATTAAGTGATTTTTTATGATAATAATAATCATGAATACTGTGTTGAAAAACTAGGATTTTAACATTACTTTGCAGTGATGCCAATTATCCAGATTTTAATAGTTTTAATAAAGTATTATTTTTTAAATTACAATAGTGCTTTGATAAAGAATAATCCTATTTAGCTAAAAAATAAAAACTCTATTTGAGGACACAACATTATACAATCAGAAAACTATGAGCAGATATTTCAAGAAGATTCTTAACCATTTCAAACAAGAATAGGATATATCTTTATCTTATTCAAACATTCCCCAACTGCTTCCTTAACATATATTATTATTTTCATATAGGTGCTGATCAGTTTTGGAAGTAAAGAGTTTACATTCTATAATATACAATATTTGTTTTTAGAAAAAACTTCAAAGCTGTCTTGTGCTTTTTCTTTATATCTTACACTTTAATATTTGTTGACATTTTGAGTATTAATGAACTACATATATAGTTATTTGCTGAAACTCCTCATAAAATGAGTTTCTTTGCCAAAAAAACCCATGAAATTCAGCTGCTTAATGGAGTTTCTTTCTGCCGATATTTTAAGTGGACACATTGCCAGTATAACCAAACCAGTTTGTGTTGTCTAGAACATGTGAATGGAAGGAAATCGTATGGAGGAAAGATTCAAACTGTCAAAATTGTCTGTAGAGTAAGAACTCTATTTCCTTTTTTTTTTTTTTCTTTTCTTTTTGTTTTGTGATGGAGTCTCACTGTCACCCAAGCTGGAGTGCAATGGCGCAATCTTGGCTCACTGCAATCACTGTCCGCAGGTTCAAGCAATTCTCCTGCCTGGTCTCCCGAGTCGCTGGGACTATAGGTGTGCACCACCATGCCCAGCTAATTTTTGTATTTTTAGTAGAGATGAGGTATCACCATGTTGGCCAGGCTGGTCTGAAACTCCCGGTCTCAAGTGATCCTCCTGCCTCAGCCTCCCAAAGTGCTGGGATTACAGGCGTGAGCCACCACGACTGGCCAATGACTATTTTTTCCAAGACTCCTCTTAGAAAGGCAGTAAAGTGGCACCTAATAGCAAAAGTAAATTGCCTTGGCTTGATTGTCGGCTACATCCCTTATAGCTGTGTTAATATGGGGCAAGTTGCTGTGCTTCTCTGTGCCTCCATTTCTGTAACCTTAAAATAGAAATAATAACTGGATCTACGAGGATTAAGTGAATACTAAAACTGAGTAAATTATTAATGTAAGATATTGGTATTATCAAGACATTAAGAATTACTCTTTTCCACGAATATGAAGAACCTATATTCCATTTTCTAAAGGAATTTCCTATTTGTTTTACGGTTGATCGGACAGGTCGAGTTTTTCAAAAATGCTCACAGTAGTATTTATTGTTCCAAGTAGTCTTCTAAACATTGCAACTTCTCAATAAAAAGATGCAGTTTAATTCTCCTCGTGAGCATTGGTTGGCATTAATGATTCATCCTAATGGATAGACAGTGGTAATAGAGATGTATGACTCCAAGCCTAACTTATGCTGGGCGGCAGAGTTACTTCCTCTTCCTCTTGCTCTTGCTCTGCATCTCTCTTTCAATCTGTTTCTCTTCTCTCTGTGTTTCTGGATGTTTACCCTTGGATCCCATTCCCCATGCTCTGAGGAAGCCCAAGCCACATGGAGAGAGCATAGTTTTTCCAGCTGACAGTCCCAGCTAAGGCCTTCCTGCCATCCTGACATGAGAGTGATCAAGCTTTCAGATAATCACAGCCTTTGAACCATCACAGCTGATGCCAGACAGAGTTGAGAGGACCTATTCTTGCCAAAACCTGACCAGATTGCATATTAATGAATAAAATGAATGTTATGATTGTAAGCCACACATTTTGTGATAATTTGTCACACAGGCTTAGTAACGAATATTAGGCAATGTAGATACATCATGAATTAGAAAGTACTTGCAAAAATATAAGGGAGTCATGTATAAGTTTATTCAGCTTTAGGTAATAGTAAGAAAATTAGGACACAAAAATGTACAGACATCTCTGTTTGAATTAGCAGGATATACAGCCCCAATATTGACATCTGCAACCCCGAGTTTTACATTCCAGCTCCAATCTTACTTTGCTGGGAAAATTCGTGCATGTTATTTTTCCTTTCTTCCCTTGAGTTTCCTGCGGGTAAATATGGAAAATGCCTTATAGACCTGCTGAGGATAAACATAGATAATAGAAAGAACATAGTAAGGCCTTTGTAAATGTCAATTATTGTTTTCATTCATTCATCTGACAATATTTAATGAGTACCTTCCATGCTGCAGGCACTTCCATAGCCCCAGGGAATACACTAGTGAACAGAGTGGACACAGTCCCTGCTCCTCAGAGCTTAGTATCTCAATATAAAGACCCACTACTTTGTTTGTATCATTTTTAGTCTCTTATAAACATAACATTTGGGTCCTTTCTGGTGTATTAACTGGATTCCTTGGTTGTGTAGTTTAACCTTCCTCCTCATCATCATCTTTCAACTGTGTACCCTCCTCAAAAATAATGATCTGTTCATTTAGTAAACCTGAGCACATTCATTTTAAACAAATCCTTATTCCCTATCCCTAGCACCGTCAGAAAACTCCTATGTATAACTCTCTGTGATCTTGTTCCTACAAGAGCTTTTATTTTGTTTTCTGTTAACACATTTAAAAAAATATTGCTGAACTTCTACCAGATGCTGTGGACGTACTGGGAATCATTTGTGAGCAAGACAGCCTGTACTCAGATTAGTCACATTTCTCCCTCCTTTATTCTGATGTGTGTTCCCAAAGGGTAGGATCCTTATTTATCTTTGTGCTCTCAGTATTGTCTCCGGAATGTAGTAAGTTCTCATTCGAAGTTTTTAAAATGAATAAATGTTTAATTCTCTAAAATTAAATTTATTGTTGAATAGACAAATTGAGTTTGTCTTTCTCACAAATGATTCACTTACTGAAGTTCCCTATAGAATGGCACAATTATAAAAGAAATACTTGACATCCTTTATAACACAACACTGCATTAACTCATATACCATAGGGGTAGTAATTTATAATCTAATTTCATAGCAATAGTGCTTAGAAACGAAAGATGGTGAAGGTAACCTTCTTAACCAAAATTATGCCAAATGTTTGGTTTGGGAATGAAATACACATAAGGGAAATTGAGTCGCTGGGAAAACTGGTACTTCATTGAAAGTGAGATCAAAATGAGTGACATTTTTGAGAGGACTTAGAGGTGAGGGAAATTATTTTTCTTTTATGTGGTCTTTTCAGTCTTTTCTATAAGTGTTATGTGTGTTTTACCAGTTTACAGTGGCAGGATAATGGGGAAGGAAAGGTCAAGTTCACACAATCTGCTAGAATTTGATTTGCAACTTTTTTTTTTTAATTTGCCAACTGTTCAAATTTTTCTGTGAACTTTTTTATAAAAGAAAAATATAATTTTTCATAGTTGTCATTGGATAATTTGATTTATTAATGCCACTGAACAGTAAGTAATTAGATTTACACTTAGTGTTCTGCTGGGATTAGTATTTTAGTGAAAATGACTGTGTGTCTTGGTCTTGGACACCCCACAGCTTGCTGACACGTCCATTTCAAGGTAGTCAGGATTGTCTGTGGTTTTCTCTTTTCCAAGTTTTTTTGAAAATTGTTTTTCTCTTTCTTTCTAGTATTCTACCCACACATAGGAAGTTAGTGGGCAATAGTAAAACCAGAATTATCTGTACATTAAAATGTCTCCCACACTTTCTCTGATAGCACTCATATACATAGACTCGACAGAGCCTGTTCAGTGTCATGCCAACTCGATGATGCTCAATGTGACAAGATGTCTCTACATATCTGCATATTTTTCTACAGGATTAGACATAAAAATGGTCTTGGAGGGATGTCTACACTTTTATTTTTTGAAAATTTTACTAGAAAAGCACATTTTCAAATATAAAGACTATCTCCCTCATATCAATTTAGATTTCATTTTTACATAATTATATCTTGCTTGATGGCATCAAGCATGATTGATTTTTTTTAAAAATCTAACTACAAAGCATCATATTTTATTTTTAAAATAATATTTTATCAACTTCAGGCCTCTAAGATCCAGTAAAGAAAAACAGTTGAAGTTTAAAACACATAATTGAAAAATTAATATCATGTGTTTAAAACTGTGAACAAATGAAAAATAAGCTACCTTCTTCCAACAACTTAGTATTGTATCCTGAACAGTACTTCAGGGGGCCTAGGTTATCCTATTGCTGGAATAACGTGATAGAATAGAAGGGATATATACGATACTAAATACATTAAAAAACTGAAGAAATAATCAGAAAATGTTAAATACCTAATATGTTTTAAACCTCAAGTATAAAAACAGAGAGCTGGATTCAACTGACCCACTAAAGTAGAGGGCTCTGAAGGATAGGCCTCTGGGTGTAACTTGTACGCATGGACATATATACATGTACATGCACCCACACAGACACACAAACAAAACCATGTAACCCACATCATGATAACCCCCACTGTTGGTAAGAAGTCATGTGAATATTTGTTCAATAAGTCACGTATTTGTATGTAAAAAATTATAAAACAAAAAAATTGTAATTAAGCATATGAAAAGATACTCCACATCATATGTCATCAGAGAAATGTAGATTAAAACATTGAGATATCACCACACATCTATAAAATGGCCAAAATCCAGAACACTGACAACATCAAATGCTGGCCAGGATATGGAGCAACAGGAACCCTTATTTACTGCTGGTGGGAATGCAAAATGGTACAGTCACTGTGGCATACAGATGGGCAGTTTCTTACATAACCAATCATACCCTTACCTGACGATCCAGTATTCAGGCACTCTTAGTATTTACTCAAAAGAGTTGAAACTATATCCATACAAAAACATGTACAGGGATGTTTGTAGCATTTTTATTAATAATTCCCCAAACCTGGAAGCAACCAGTATGTCCTTTAGTAAGTGAATGGATTAATAAACTGGTATATCCAGGCAATAGAATATTATTCAGTGCTAAAAAGAAATAAGCTATCAAGCCATGAAAAGACATGGGGGAAACGTAATGCATATTGCTATCTAAAAGAAGCTATACCATATGGTTCTAACTATATGACATTCTGGAAAAGGTAAAACTATGGAGATAGTAAAAAGTTCAGTGGCTTCCAGGGGATAAGAGGAAGGACAGATTAATAAATGGAGCGCAGCAAGATTTTTAGGGCAGTAAAACTACTCTGTATGATACTATAATGGTGGTTGTGTTACATTATACATTTATACATTTGCTACACCCATAGAATGTACAACACCAAGAGTGAACCTTAATGTAATCTATGGAATTTGAGTGATAATGAAGTGTCAATGTAGCCTCATCAGTTATTAACAAATATGTCACTCCAATGGGGGATGTAGAAATGGGGGAGGCCATGCATGTGCAGGGAAAGGGGAATATATGGAAAATTCTTTACCATGCACCACAGTTTGCCAATCTGTGGTGCACAAAAGCACAAAATCTGTGTGCTGGCCAAAGGCAATAAGAGCAGAGATGATCATGATTTAAAATATCAAGCCAAACTCTAGGCAGTTAGTGTCTATAGACAATTTGTATCTATTTCTAAAGATAAACCACATGTGTGTAATATAGTATTTCACAAGTGTTGTCCTGGCCCAGGTTTGGGATCATGGCTAAGAATTCTTAATTACCCTTCATGGGCAATTTGCTAAGCATGATTCTCAACCACTTCCCTTATTGGGCTTTAACGATTCCAAGTTAACAATACACACACTGAATTGCCAGAGGTCTCCAGGTGCTAAATATCCGGGGACAGCCCCTTTTTATTAGGGTCCATGGAATTATGCAAAGCACCCATATACAGGAAGGCTACTAAACCTAGCAACCCCTTCCTGCTTGCCATATATAGATAAGCCACCTCCTACAGTTCCAGCTGGGTATTACCTTTTCCCTGGGTAGAAGTCCCTGTGTGGCTCTGTGCGGCAGCCTTCTCTCCTTCAGAACTACAAGTTAGAAAGAGTTCTTCTACCTTTCATCTATCCTGGGGTCATTGTGTTGTCCTTCATCAGAACCTAACGAATGTTGAAACACTATAACCCTGTATAAAACAGGAGTAAACCAGACTACCATAAAATGATCGCCATCTGCCATGGATATATGACCAGGCTTACCCATGGCTGGGGGCTGCCATCGCTGGAACTGAGATTAGGCTTTGGGCAAGCACTTTGTAAAATTATATAGGGACATGAACATTTAACAGAACATGTTTAAGGCACAGCAGCTTTACAGACTGCTTACATCTGAGAATTCTGAGCTAAGCACCCCTTCCTCTGTCCATCTGCCTTCAAGTGCAGGCAGCCCATGCACATCTGCTGCCTTTTAAAGAGAAGATCCATCTCTACCAAAAGCAAATGGGGCAAGAGCCTGAGAGCAGGCCTCAGGTCCACCTGCTTGTCTGTATTTTCCATTTCTTTTTCCATTCTTTTCGTAAATGGCAATGGGAGAAAAAATATAAACAGCTTTTTAAATACTTCTCTGCTTTTTTTCTCCAGTTCTCTGTTTTCTTGAGACAAAATTATATATTACCAAAGCAAAGAACTACTCCACTCTAGAATATCTTGGTTCCATCTTTGAAAGGTGTTGTTCTCTTTTCACGTATTCCTCTAGAGGTATTTTTACTACTCACTAAAAGGCAGGAAGAAAATATCTTTAGTATTTAAAATTATTTTGGAAGATTTAAACTCTTAGAGTTTAGAAGTAAATGATCAATGCCTCACATCAATTATAATCAATTTTATTTTATTTTTATAATTGTCCAATAATTACAATTAAGAAATAGAAAAAATAGTTTTGCTTTATGTCTAGTTTTAATACTGCTGTATATTTTTCACATTTGTAAAACATTGTACATCATTTTATATTTTGTTTAAATAAGTATTTCAGTGATAGCCTTGAACATTGTATTTTTGAGAAAACTACCATCATGAACCTGCAGGAAATCAAACCATTTATTAATTCATCCACAATTTCTAAAAAGAAAATATATACTTTTTTCCATACTGTCTTGGGAAATCCCAAGTAAAGAATGCAGATGTTATCAGAATACAATAAATTTTGACAATAATTGTATTTTGACAATTGTTTTCATCATATAAAAACCTACAAAGTGTTGAAAAAGCAAACATACTAGAATCAGATGTCAAGATATCAAGTAGGGATAAATTAATAGCAAATCATGTTAAATAACTTCAAAGGACAACTTTGAATGGAAATGAACAGGAGGTTGTCCAATATAATCTGGTTCTAAAATTCATTATGGAAATAATATAATAAATACAAAAGAAAAAACACGACTATAATAAGGGTTAGATATTTGAATTCGCCGATCTTAAATGATCAAATTGACAACAGATATGTTCATGAAACACCGTCATTCCCATTTTAACCCCAGGAAATTGAGGCTCGAAAAAGTCATTTAACTTGAACCTAGATCACAGTTATTAAGGTGGCAAAACAAAATTTGAAACTCTGACTCCAGGTTTTAATCACTGAACCCCTTAACCTCTGCACCACATAGAATCTTAGGGGACAGTGCTTGTTCACCTTTGTAACTGTACACATTCAGCATCTAAAGATTGTCATAGTTTTATAGAGAAAAGCTCAGTAAGTTATATGGATTTGAACCACAGTAGGAGAACCTGTGGAAACTTCTCAATACCTGTGGAAACTTCTAGTACCCATCCTGTGTTCATCTAAAGACAAGTCTTTGTTGCATTACTTCTCAGTCCTTAAAGTTATTGTTTTTATCTGTCTTACTTTTCTTATTACATTTTTTGAAGTTCAGTAAAATTTTGAATATAGCAGGGTCTGAGAATCCTTGCTTTGTGGGTTACTGTTAAGGCAATGTTTCTAATATTTTATCACAAAGTAGGATATGTGCTGTGTGTTTTTGTTAAATATTTCTTATTAGTACAAGGCAGTTACCTTTAATAAGTGTTTTATTAGAATTTTGGGGTGGGTGAGGCAGCTGAAGTCTGTAATCCCAGCACTTTGGGAGGTTAGGTAGAAGAATCACTTGAGCCCAGGAGTTCCAGACCACCCTAGACAACATTGTAAATCCCCATCTCTACCAAAAAAAAAAAAAAAAAAAAAAAAAAGCCAGAAGTGGAGGCACACACCTGTAGTCCCAGCTACTCAGGAGGCCAAAGCAGGATTACTTGAGCCTGAGAGGTCAAGACTGCAGTGAGCCTGGATAACAGAGAAAGAACAAGAAAAATAAAAGATAGACCTGGCCCATGTTTTTAAAATTAATTTTTTAAATAACTTAAAAATAAAAAAGAATTTTGTTTGTTTCAATTATGAATGATTGTTAAATCACAAAACAAAAGTCTGTAGCTCTTCAGATGGTACAGCTTTCTCCTTTAATGTGTTAATACCATGAAATACATTGATATATTACCTAACAGCAAACAGACTTTGCATTATTGGAATTAATTTTATGAGAGATGCAACTATATTCTGCTTTATCTCAACCTCAGTTATAAATCGTTGAGAATTAACAATCAGCACCACCCCTTTTCAAGTTTTCTTTCCCCCTCCTGTCCTTTTGAAAGAACTTCAACAGGTGTCTAAGAATTTCTGTCACGTCTCCCAAGCCTTTACCTGCATCTGCATTGTGGCTTCTCTTCTGGTGCAAATCCCACCACTGAAATTTTTAAATTTGTTTTATTTGTTTTTTTGTTTTGTTTGTTTTGTTTTGTTTTGTTTTGTTTTGTATTTGAGACAGAGTCTCACTCTGTCACCAGGCTGGAGTGCAATGGCATGATCTGGGTTCACTGCCTCCTGGGTTCAAGTGATCCTCCTGCATCAGCCTCCTGAGTAGCTGGGACTACAGGTGCGTGCCACCACGCCCAGCTAATTTTTTGTATTTTTAGTAGAGATGGGGTTTCACCATGTTGGCCAGGATGGTCTCCATCTCTTGACCTCATGATCCGCCCACATTGGCCTCCCAAAATGCTGGTATTACAGGCATGAGCCACTACGTCCAGTCCCCACCACTGAAATCTTTTGTGAGATTTCTGACCCATTCAGCCTTTGTGGACTGTATGTACTACTTTAGCTTCCTGTTGCCCTTCTGCCTTTCTGCTCATGGCTTCTTCTCCCTCTATTCCTTGATCCTAGACCCCTCAAGGCTCCTTCCAACATTAAGTTCCCCTTGCTCACTGCTGTCCCTGTGCTCCTTCTATGCCAGTGAAAATGCTCCCAGCCTCCAAATGATGATTGTAACCCTCTGGAAGAAGGTCTTGACAGTTTTTCTGGTGGTAGAAAAGCAGCTTCTCCTTCTCTGTATTTTAGTCTTATGATAAAATTTCACCAAAAATAAAAATATTAGTAAAAAATTGTGTGCACAAGATTTAAAGGTCTTTTAGTGCTTATATACATTCTTCCTTACATATAAAACTCTCCAGGCTTTCTGGGTAACGGGTGGGTCAAGTTGTTTCCTTGAACTATCAGATGCTATCATTTAGTCTGATTCATGGAGAGCTTCCTCTGCTTGGTCTATTTGTGATTTGTTTCTGTCACCCAATCCCACCCATGTAATTATTTAGAGGGTCTATCTCACTCCAGACAATAAGCTCCATGAGAGTGGGAACCATGCATACATCTTCCTTTGTGTATACATCTTCCTATTTATCAAACAGACTCATATTTTTATACCAAGTATGTATAATGTGCAAGTTCTTTCTAAGGTGTCTGCTTGGCCGTATTAGTATTTGTGTATCATTGAAATTCCCCTGAGGACAGAAAAAGATTACCTAACTCAAACTGCCAAGCGTATGTGACTCCATCTCCTACCCAACCAGGGCATCATGTTATGCCATATGAAATTCAGTGAAGTGTGTGTGTGTGTGTGTGTGTGTGTGTGTGTGTGTGTGTTGTGTGTGTGTGAAAGAGAGAGAGACAGAGAGAGACAGAGAGGTGATAGGGAATGGATAGCAGTGGCAGGAATAAGTTGGACACACCACCCAATTTAGTATATTAAAAAAAATGTTATTTTTTAAGTCATTGTTCTCATCTGGTGATGATTTTAACCCTAGAGGATATTGAGCAATATCTGGAGACACTTTTTATGTTCATGACTGGAGGGGTGCTACTGGCTTCTGGTGAGTAGAAATAAAGAATGTTACTAAACATTATGAAGCACGGAACAGTCCCCAATACAAAGGCTTATTTAGCCCAAAATGTCAATAGCGCTGAGGTTGAGCAACCCTGCTCTAAGTGAAACATGGACGTTCTCACACATCCTGAGAGTTTATATTCCTCAAATATAAATGGAACATTAATGATATGCTGCACATAGGAAGATGTATGCATGGTTCCCACTCTCATGAAGCTTATTGTTTGGGATGAGATAGATTTTCTCAATAATTCAGTGTGATTAAGAGTGATGGGAGCTACAATGGAAGTAGGATACAATATCTATTGAAAAAAATGAAAGAGAAAATATTCAAGAATCCTAAATAAGAGTTAAATATTATTTTTATTGACTATTTGCATTAATATTTATAGCAAAATCTCGTTAACACAATGATGCTTTATTCAAAATAGCAAAATTCAAGGGAAATTATACTCTTTGGCCAACTAAATGTAACATTGTTAGCAAATAAATAGATGCAATAATCCAAACCACCTCCCCTTCCTTCCCTATCTCTCCTCCTCTCCCCTCCCCTTGCCATTCCATTTCTTTGCCTCAGAATGTGGAATTAGTTTTTAGAACTAATCCAGAGAAAGTAAACTAATTTTTGTTTTAGACTGGAAAATATGTTTTTTTGAAAATCCAAGCTATAAGATGTTTCTTATTATCCATTTTTCTCCTCCTTTATCTGCAGGGAAATATCCTCTCTCTCTCATTCTCCCTCTCCTCCCCTCTCTCCCTCTCTCAAAAGCTCTTACAATGTCATTAACATCTGTTTACATTGACAATAAATAAAAGGCATCTGCAGGGATGAAAATACACTGATATGTTTTCAAACTTTATGACTTTTCTCCTAGTATTTGATCTTCATAATATGCACTTTCTGCTATGATCCAATTAATCTTAAACAGGATACCAGGCATGTAGACTGTTTGGTTTTAATTTACTAGGTTTTAACTGGTGGTATTTTCTCTTTGGGTATTGCTCTGCACCTATAAATTATTTGGTAGCAATTATCTCTTAAAATGTATCCAAATGCTTTTCACTTGCTTCCTGAATTCCAAGTAAGCCTTTGGTTGAGATATTCCTAAGAACTTATTTTAATGTTCTTTTTGTTTCTTCCTCTGACAGAGGGATATATGGGTGATTTTTTTGGCTTGCAGTATGTGTAATTTGAAGAGTGCTGGGAGCTTCCCTGACCAAAAATAACTCCATCTGTATACAATTTGATCATATCTCATTCCTTGCAGATTTAAAAAAAATGAGTATAAAATTCTAAACTTCCTGATAACATCAGATTTATCAGGTAAGCTGTTAAAATCACAATTTAAATGAATCAGATTTGTGGGGAGTTGGAAACCAGGTTAGGTACTGTAAATCTTTGGTGTGTGGGCCACAGACATTACTGCTTCTATAAACAGATGAATCTGTAAGAGTCAATGGGCTGAAATAAGAAGAATGAATGGGAGTTTTCTCAGCAGTGAGTCCTGTCTTTGATTTTCAATGTGTCTCTTATCAACTTTGTTTCTATAGATTCTTCACTTCTCTAACCCCAAGGTTCCTTCACTGCAAAAAGGATGCTATTCTTACCTTGAAGGATGGTTATGCAAATGAAAAGTAAAGTAATGATAACGATTCTGCTACATTTTATTTTCTGAGTTTTTAACCTGTATTATTGAATTTTATTCTCACAAACTATTACTGTGTACAAGAAATGACATTACGGAAAAATTAAATAACTTGCCTCTAGTCTTCAAAGATGTGAAGAATTAGGATAAAGAACAAATCCGGCCAGGCACGGTGGCTCACACCTGTAATGCCAGCACTTTGGGAGACACAGGTGGGCAGATCACTTGAAGTCAGGATTTCAAGACAAGCCTGGCCAACATGGCAAACCTCATCTCTACTAAAAATACAAAAATTAGCCGGGCATGGTGACGCATGCCTGTAGCCCCAGCTACTTGGGAGGCTAAGGCAGGAGAATTGCTTGAAACTGGGAGGCAGAGGTTGCAGTGAGCCAAGATCACGCCACTGCACTCCAGCCTGGGGGACAGAGTGATACTCTGTCTCAAAAACAGAAAAAAAAAAAAAAGGAACAAAGCCAAGCAATATGGGTCAGATCTTATATTTATAATTACTGCATATGTAATAGACACTGAATAAATAGCAGCAATGATTATTACAAGAAAGTACCAAACCTATTTAAGATGTGTTCAAAATTATCATGGGCAGATTATTCAATGTGATCTAATGGCCTGAAATATTGCAATCAGTGTAACCTCTTTTATTCTTGTGCATTATGGTTAAATATGCTAGCAAACTCTACCACAGGCTTCCATTTACCCTGCAACTGCTATTAACAAGAGAATATGTTGACAGCTGAACCTGTGTTAGAATGGGTGATTAAAGAGGGTATATTTCAGTTTTCCTCTATGCATTTAGCCCAGAATGAGTTCCTAAACTAAATTTGCTTTCCTTAATTATCTAAATCAATTGTTTGAATGGCACCGTATCTACACAATAGCAGTACAACTTCACACTTAATTTTAATTAGCTAAACATAAAGTGACTGGGTTGGCAATTGAACAGAAGGAAAATTTATAATATTAAACCCATACTGCCACAAATGTTGAAGCCCATCAAACAAAGAAGTCTGTTCTTTTTTCCCCTCTACTCCTGAAAATTAATATATATATTTCTCCACAAAATGCCTAGCAGTCCTTGTTGATCTACCCACATTTTAAATAGTGCATGAACAATGGGGCTTAGGCAAGCTTGCAGTGCAATACACAACACCTGTTCACAGACTCAGTAATATAACATGCCTATTGTCATAAGCAATTTTGGATCTCTGAGTTTTCAAATAGATAATGAGCATTGAAATATCTTTATCAGTAGTGTAATGGAAAAAATGAAAAATTCCAAAAATGATGAGGCGTCATTGGATGTTGCAGGAAAAGTCTACCCTGCAGTATTCCAAGAAGCCTTACCATATGGTAGTCATTACGTTACTAAATCTGCCAAGAATTAGGTACCTGCCCTCATATTTGCTATCTCAGTAATTTTAAATTTTAGGATCCATGTTCATCAGACAGGGAAATATCATATTAACCAACATCAGAGGAACAATATGGTGATTTAATTAATGTATAGTGAAAGATCATTGTTACTGGAATCAGAATACTCTAGTTCAGAGGTTGGCAAACTTTTGTGTAAAAGGTCAAATAGATAATAAACATTTTAGGCTTTGCAGACCACATGATCTGTTGCAACTATCCAACTCTGCTTTTGTAAATAGAAACACAGCCATTCACAATACTAAACCAATGGTCAAGGCTGTGTTCCAATTGAACTTTATTTGAGAACAGAAATTTGAATTTTGTATGATTTTCATGTGTTACAAAATGTAATTGTGGAGGTTCTTTATTCCCACTATTTCAAAAAATAACAGTGATTCTTAGTTCATGGACCATACCCCCCAAAAGAAACAAAAGGTAGGCCTTAGTTTGCCAACCCTGGCTCTAACCTAAGATCAAGGAATTCACATACAAATCAAGTGACCATATAATTTACCGTTCAAATCTGGATACTTTAGAGTGAAAAGATGCTCTAAGCTAATAAAAATTACATACAATATTTCCTAATAAGAATATTTTTGAAACATTTATAAGACTAGAAAGAGAAGTAAATAGCAAATAACTGACATACAAATATCATTTTTATTTTGATCATCTGGTTAGTAAAATATAATACACTCAGACTAAATATTCTTAGTGTGTGGTCATGATGTTAAATCAGTTTGTCAGCCACGCATATCTCAAATAACACATCTCACAGCTTGCTTACATAGTCATCATGTGGTTGACTATAGGGACAACAGCATCAAGCCCTTCCCTTCCACCTGAGAGAGCTGCCCTGCACCTTTGTCCAACAGCCTTCCGTTTCATCATCAACCACTTGTATGCATGCTGGCCTTGAAAAGGAAGCATTAGTCACTTTGCATCTGGAAAAGGCTGAAAAAAGAATAGATGGGTTATTGTTACCTCTCTTGTTAGAATTTAATCTCATGCCAAATTAAGGTTTCTGTTCACTGCTTATGAGTCTCACATTGAGACTGAGGCCAAACCAAGTCCCAGAAGCACAAAATAGAGACCCTCCAAAATGATCCTAGCTCATTTTAATTTTATAAATAATAATAACATTTCATCATTTTCATAAAATGAAATACTTGAGACAAACGGCAAGTCATAAGGGATGCTAGGATAACACTTGCCTGGGACAGGACAGATCTGCCCCATTTTCCCAACATGCCTTCTGATTTTCCATTGTATAACCTTCTTCAAGTAAATGCTCAAATGGAATCTTAAATATAAGGCCTTGACTGCCTTATGCAAAATTGAAACCTCATCTTCAGTAAGTTGACTTACATAAATTTTTAAAAGAAGTTACTTGATGATACGCTTTAGGGAAAAGAAGACTTAGTTGAGACAGAGAAAGGTGGGAGGGAGAGTGTTAGGAAAATAGTGGATCCAACCTAGAAAAGACATGAAGAGAAGGCCCCAAAAATAAGCTTTGGAACAGGGCTAAAAGACACTATTTGCATTTTGGAGAAGGAAGAAAGGACTTAAATATAGAGGTAAAAGGGAAGATTACAGGGGTAGAGTTGTCTGGATGTGATACACTTGAGGAAACTGGAAGTAATAAAAAATAATGAGATAAAGACATGTTATTTAAGAAAAAAAGAACACTTAGGATCTGAGAAGCAGAATTATGGAAGGGATCCATAAATGAAAGACAATATTCACCTGTAATGAATATTTGCATAGTGAGTTATGTTTTTAAATTTTGAAATTGTGGTTACATAATATATAGTTATGTAGAGTTATACAGTTATATATGGTATATATATTTATGTATATGCTATATATTGTTCATATATAGTATATATACTTATAGTTACAGAATAACAAAAGTTTTCAGGCTTGAAAATATAAAAGTAAAAACAAATGACACAATTTTGTAGGTAGAAGATTCTGGAAGGTAGGGGTAACTTGGAGAGAAGGGTGAGTGCTGCTGAAGCATCAGTTTTCAAAATGGAGAATCAAGAAATAACATCGTTAGTCTTCAGAGAATAAGATAAGCATGTTAATTTTTAATTTTTATTTAAAAATATAATCATAAAAGCCCTAAAGGAAAGTGATCGAACTATATTGAAGGGCAAAGGAAGTGAAAGAAGAGAAATTACACTAAACTTCATCTAATCTAGCAAAAAGTTGAGGCTTAATACCTAAAATCTCTAAATTATGCAGTAATAGTTTAAGAATAGCACTTAGTAATATGGTGATAAATGCCCAAATAAACAGTTAAGAGTTGAGAAGAGTCTTCTGGGAATGGAGATTAGAGATGATGACAGTAGGGAAAGCAATTCTTTTTTTTTTCTCTTTTATTTGACAATTTTCAAAATAATGGAAAAAAGTGAACATTTTTTAACAACAAAAAAAGGTAGATAATGGAACCAAAATTACGAGAGTTAGCTATGTCATACATTTAACACCATTAGCATTGTGTTAATGTCTATTTTGCCTACCATCATTATTACCTTTCGAACTTCATCTCATGCCTACTCAGCCACCTCTTTTAATTTTTTGAGCTTATAGTGCATGCTCCAGCCCCAGGTGCTTTCTGCACATTGCACCCTTAGCCTGAATTCTCTCCACTTAGTTATTTGCAGGCTCACTCACTCACCCACTTGAGACCTTGCATATAGTGCCCATTTTCAGCAAACTTTTATCTGCTTAGGTAAAAACTTTCTCTTCTTTGAAACTACCCATTCATTCCTTTTTCCTGCTTTGTTTTTCCTCCATAGTACTCACTACCATGTAGCAGATTGTACACCTTACGTGCATTTTGTTTAATTTCTATTACCATTAGAAGACGAGAGTCATGAAATCAGAATATGTCTATTGCATTCACTGCTCTAACATCTAGGATGATGGGTAGCACATAGTAAATGTGCAATAAACTTTTGTTGAATAAATGACTTTCAGATGCCCTTGCTAAGGGAATAGAATTGCTCATGGTCAATTGGCAAAGATTCCTGTCTGTTGGCCAGGATTTGGAAGAGCTTTGGCAATGTTTGCATTATTTGTCTTTCATAACTAGCAAAGCCACATTCATTCTTTATTGCTGCCATCTCTTACCAAGTATTTCATATAGTCTCTAAGTATTTACATATTTTTTCATATAGTCCCTGAACATCTGTAAAATAGCTATTATAAAACCCATTTTACAGAAGGAAAATAAGAAACTCAGACTGAGAGATTATAAGTAACTTAGTTAAAGCCTTAATTAAAGCCTATAATTAATTTAGTTAAACCTGGCTACCAAATGCCAGAATTAATATATTCAGTCAGGCCATAGTCAGGCTTTGAAGGCCTGGGATACATTTTTAAATGACTTTGCATTGAGTGTGTATCAAGTAAATACTTTTCTCTGCAAATTATAGAGAGCTAAATTCCATTGGTTAATGTAATAAAAGCTATTTATTGTCTTATATAAATAAAAAATACCGTATAGGGGTAGGGCAAGTTCCTGGTAAGAGTTTATGATGTCTTCAGGTGTATAGCTATATTTCTCTGTGATTCCTTTAACTCTGACTTTGTATGTTTGCTTTTTATCCAACTGGCTTTTCTTATGTCAAAATGTGGACACCTCTACATTCTCAGCTTTATCTTAAGACAAGGCTTAAGAACCGATGTTCAAATTGATTAAAAGTACTCAAGACTTTCCTATCAAACTGGTTGATGTGGTTTGGCTGTGTCCCCAACCAAATCTCATCTTAAATTGTAGTTCCCATAATCCCTACCTGTCGTGGGAGGGGACCTGGTGAGAGGTAATTTAATCATGGGAGCGGTTACCTCCATGCTGTTCTCAGGATAGTGAGTGAGTTCTCATTGTTCTCATGATAGCGACTGAGTTCTTATGAGATCTGATGGTTTTATAAGGGGCTTTCCCCCCTTTTGCTCTGTACTTCTTTCCTGCCGTCATGTGAAGAAAGACGTATTTGCTCCCTCTTCCACCATGATTGTAAGTTTCCTGAGGCCTTGCCAGCCATGCGAAACTGTGAGTCAATTTAACCTCTTTCCTTATAAATTACCCAGTCTTGGGTGTGTCTTTATTAGCGGTGTAAGAACAGACTAATACCTGGCGATGGAATCATCATCTACACAACCCAGTGAGGACATGCGGGATCCATACTCTACAGCCAGCCACAATTTTTAACATAGAATATAGTTTGTTCCCTAAATTTCATAGGTGTTATTTAAATGTATTTCCTGGAAGCTATGGGTATAATGACGACAGAATACAAAATGGATGAGACTTGTTCCATAAACATTACTGTGTAATAATTATTTTTATTCTCTAATAATAGCCAATGCAAATGGAAAGAAGGAGACAAGCATAGACTTTTTTTTAAAATAAAGAAAATAACAGGAAGAGGAAGAAGATAGGAATGAGAAATACTTAGCTTTTTTGGTGGTGAGTGGGACAACAAGAAATGAGAAGCAATTCTCTACAGAAGATGAAAAAATACTCATAACAAGTCTTACTTCAGTTACCATTTTCTTGTGATGCCTACTTAAATGCTTTTTCCTTTATTTGGTGATGAAACACAATGTAAAATATTTAACACAAAGGAAACTAGTTATTGTCAAATGTAACAAAACTAACTAAAAATCTGAGTGTCTATTGTATAGCAGTGACACTATAACTAAGGTGACATCCGCAATCAGAACCATGTCTGTTGAGCATAATGTTTTCCTTTATTTAGAGAAATAATTTATGCCTGGGAAATAGACTGGTTTTCACATAAATTTAGCAGGACTGAAGGTAATTGACAGCCCATAGATAGAATCCCTCCATTAGTTAACAAGACGGGTCTCATATGTGTTATTCTGACTATAATATTGCCTCAAACAGAGGATGCAACAGTGAGTTAACAATTTACATTAAATGACAGAAAATACTTTTCTTATTCTTGCTTTTATAATCTAAAAGGACTTTGAAATACACACATACACACACATGCTTATTCACAACCTGCCATAATAAGTAAGGAAATTATTGGGGTGTGTGTGTGTGTGTTTGTGTGTGTGTGTATACAGTGTTTATTCATTTGGTAATTACAGTGTTTGGTAATTTAAGTCATCATTTTAACAGTATGAAAATTTTACTTAAAAATACTGCTCTCTGATTTCGCTTGAAAAAAATAAAATAGAAGAGTAGAATAAAGATAACAAGCAGAAGTTGAGTTGCCGCTGCCTCTTCAGGGGAGTACCTTCTCTCCCATTTGCCAGTTACACTCTGTATGGAATAACATTCACCTTCTTTATAAGCTTTACTAATTGACTGCTCCCTACATAGCCAATATGACCTATGTCAAAGAGAAATAGCACTAGACACTTGTTAAACTTGGCAAGACAGACTTTATTCCGACTACCGCAGTAAGAGAAAAAGATTTCACTGTAAACCGAGCTCAACTCCAACCAAGACAAAGGTGACTGAGGTTTTAAATGAACAATAGAGAAGAAACAAAAAGGGGCCATGGGGAAGTGAAAAAGCACAAAAAGAAGCAAGGAGAGAGATGAAGAAACAAAAAGGAATCTAAGGGGAAATAGAAAATCATGGAGAGGAGTAGAAAATTACTGACAATGGTTGAGTGGACCATGTGGGTTGGGACAAGGAACATTTTGTGGTTTGGCAGTATTGCAATATTTTAAACAGATATTTTAATACTTGGGGCTGTGGAGAGTGGTTGGGTCTAGTGCAGGCAGAAGACAGGCTGAAGTAGCTACGTCTCTTAACACAATGCTCAGGCAACTTCTTTTTGCTGTGTGGGAGTTCACAGTTCACACCTACCATGCTTGCTTTAAAATTAAGATGCAAAGCATTGATCAACATAGAGGGAAGGGGAGGAGGGAGAGGTGACAGAGGAGTGGCCCAGATGCATGGCCCAGGCTACAAAACTCCTATGTGAAATTGCTTTTCAAACTGAATGCTCATATCCACTGGAAGGGGGGTCAGATTGCCATGAGGAGTTTGAAACCCCAAGATAGATAAGGCTCATTGCCCTGGAGGAGTAATTTTACTGAACAAGCAAGTCGTTTTGAGCATATTTTAAATACTTGCTATGCTCCCCAGCAGCACAGAATATAATCATCTTGCTCTCTGTCATTAATCCAGAATCACCAGAATGTCCAGCTCTCACTATTTTTCCTTCCCCTCCCCTTCCTCCTCTTCTTTCTCTGTCTCTTCATTTTTCTTTTTCTCCTTCTTTACTCTTTCACTCAAAGTAGTTTGTATAAAAAGATGTTCAGAAAATTGAGAATAAAGAGTAAAGATTTCAGTCTATATTTCTGGAATACTAAGAATATAAATACTTTCAGGTCCCTATTTTCAGGAAAAGGAGAGAAGGAGAGACAGACAGAGAACAAGAGAATAATGAGATGTCCTGAAGTCAAATTGTTCAAAAGATTATAATTGCTCTGTAACTGATGCATTTTGAATTTCCCTGTTTTAACTCAATCTTTTGGCTTATTTGTTTTTTATTGAAAAAGTACTTATTTTCTAACTTTGAGGTACATAAATTCAATAATTAAAAAGAACAGTACCGATTGTTTTTAACATGCAAAAGTCAAAGTGTCAAATAATCATTCAGAAACATTCTTATAAGTTGGGTTTAATTTAAATCACTTTCTAAGATGTTTGGCGTAGGCTTGATAATTTATTCACATTTTTCTGGTCTCCCAAATTTAGCTTGAAAACATGCCAAAAGGGATATAATTTTTCCCCATAACTTTCTGCTCCCATTTAGAATGCAAATTACTGCAGAACAGCATCTTGCACGATATGGTAACTTTTCCACGTCTGAACTGCAGAAAATAGGAATATGTGTCACTAATATTTGTTAACTTTTTCCAGTGTTTGGGATGAAGTGGACTTTAAGCAGACCAGGTCAAAACTGCAGAGCCAGAGAAAGGGATGTTTGAGTTTCCATTTCCTGAATCTACTCACTGATCCCAGAATTTTATTACTCATTTGTCTTCTTGATGGAGGGGACGACTAACTGTCAAGCCCACATCATATGCACGTCTCATAACTCACAAGCTGTCATTTCTTCTTTCTAAGTAGCACCTTTTGTTAGGAATGATAAACCAAATCCCTGTGAGATTTTTTTTTTTTAATTCAAACCTAGGGGAGTGGAGGGTTCCCATAGTTACAGCTATTGTTATCAAACTTATTTTAAAATTTTTTAAACGCCAGTTTTTTTTTAAGATAATGTGTTGATTTCCTGGGATGATTGTTGAGAGGTCAATATCACACTCTGTCACTGTGCTGTAACCTCAACTTGTTCTTTATTAAAAATCAGAAAGAGATTTTTCTTTCTTGCCTGTTGAATTGCTTTAAGAGAGCTCTGCACATTTTGTCAGCTCTTCTTGGTGGGGTTACCTCTTTAATTCCCAGCTACCCAGTGTGTAGAGATCCCTAAGAAAAAAAGACACTTATCGGATTAAGAGCAGCATGCATTAAGACTATTGTCTTTGGTGAAATCAATTAAAAGATCACGATTACTTGAAGAGAGAAATTTTCTTTTACTTCAGTTATATAACAAAGGAATCCATGGTAAATTATTATTAATGATAAACCATTATAGAGGACCAACTATGTTTCAAAATTACTTTGCTAAGGTTTGAGGGCATGTAAATAAATAGATCTCTTGTATTACCCTCAAAGAATTACAGGTTGGGTTAAGAAGTAGCAGAGACAAGCATGTAAACAGTAACTCAAAAAATATGCATGTGATAAAAAAGTGTATGGATAAAAATGAATGGGAGTGCAGATGAGAGAGGATCAAATTCTTCCTAGGGCTTTTGCTGGGAAAATCTTATTTAAAAAAAAGTAAATAAATAGGTTGAGCCAATATGTAGGAGTTCAACAGACTGACAAGGGACAAAGGGAATAATTGGAAAAGGGAAGGCGATGTTGTTATCTGCAACGTGCCAGGTAGTTATCACAAAATCACCTAAAACACAGGTAAGCATAGATAGCATAGTAAAGTCTTGAAGAAGCTGTGTGGTCGTCATATCAGACTGTATAAGAGAAAGTGGTGAAAAATAAGGTGGAAAAGGTCACTTTTCCAACGGGACATGCCTTGAAGGGTCAGGAAGAGCATAAGCTGAGTTTCAAAGGAGGTATAACATCAAAAAAAGGCATCCAAGTTTTCCACACAGTATGAAAATAAGATTTCTGGGGGGAAAATTGGCCAAGCAGGCAAGATTTGAACGGAGGCCTTACTTAGCATAGTAAGGAAAGAAAAGATCACGATGTCTACAATACTGTGATTAAGAAGTGTGAACTTTATCATCCAGGGAGCAACAGAGGGGTCCATTGCAAGCATAAAGTAGAGGGAAGACATCTGCAAAGCTCTCTTGCAGAAAGATTAATCTGGCAGAGTGTGATGTCTTGGAGGAATACGTGGGAGTAGGTCAGTGGCTGGGAACAAGTCATTTATTCAAATCTAAAATGGTAAGAGCTACAGTAAGGGTGATGTCAGGGGAAATAATCACACAATGGCCATAAAGAATGCCCTCATATACATAGTATAACTTCTTGTTCTTCAGCTCCTCCATTAAACTGAGTTGTTCCCTCCAGCTTTGTGAGTGCCAAGCCAGGATGGATCTCACATGGCTGGCAATGATTTCACACATGAACACCATTCTATTGGCAGTTTCCTTTTCCAGCTCACACATACACCAGATTTTGTATTTTTGGTGAATGAATTAAATCAGACTAGGAGGAGCAGTGTGCCCAATGTTGCAATGGTAAGGAAGGAGATAATGGGAAAGGTCATTTCATGTTAACTTACTCTGGCAGTGAGAACTCTTCCTCCCTTTCATTCCCTCTGTGCTCTAAACATCAAGTCAGGAGAGAATAGACCAATGTAGTTGTAAGGACCGTGTTTTTCTAATGGACTTATAAAACACAGCCCCTCCCTTCCTATAACTCTACCTGTAACTCTAATAGACTCCTTCTTCATAGTCTCAACATTCTGTGCTTCACTCAACTGCAGCACTAAGGAAGGGGAAAGACGAGAAGCAGAGGGGGAAAAGCATGGCTGATATTCCGAACACTAGGGAGGACAAATACTGCTGAAGAATTTATGATGATAATGTAAACAGCCTCCAACTAGCAAACAATTCTCTTTCATCCTACTGAATTATCTAAAAATTAAAAAGACCAAGTCAAATCAAAATAGCAGTACTAAATTTGCAGAACTCAGAGTGTGCACTAAAGGAAAACATTTAAAATGTATACCAGGAGAGTATAATGAGAATGGAACTAGACTAGTACTATTTAAACGTTTTTTTTTTTAAATTTATGGGTAACCGCCATTTCCTCTCAGTTCAACCTGGAGATTAGATTGCAATGATATATAGATGCTATTAAGATGAAGATTATAGGGCTATATTCTGGTCCCCAAGAGCCGCTAATTGAATTGTTCCTATGATAATGGATACGTGTTGAATAGCTCTGTGCAGAAAGAAACTAATTTATTTCCTGTGATCCATTTTATGCTCAACCCATAGGCAAAGCCAACTATAAACATTCAGCATTTATTCAGCCTCTGCAAGTCCTCATCCTAAAGGTAACATTTCAGCCACTTTTCTAAATGATGATATATACCTGAAGCCAAGATATCCACAGGATGGAATTATTTTATCAAAGTTAATTTATCCACAGAATCACCACCTTAAAGTTTTCTGTCAAAGGTGAGTGGCCAAGGCAGAATTGAATTATGTTGCCTACGCAAGAGAAGGAAAAGAGAAGATAACGTGTGAAAGATTCAATTCTATCTCTAATAGGCTTTTTTCTTTCCGACACATTTGGTTTAGCTGTTTTCCAGAAATCAGCTTGAGAAGGATGTGTGTGTGAGAGAGAGAGCTCACGCACATATGCTGCATGCATAACACACCCTGAAATTATTTACGACTTTTAATTTAGATGATTAGAGTTTTGATAAAGTCTAGTTGCCCTCCCAATTTACTATAGAGATGAGAAAAATAAGTATGTATTATAAAATATAATGCAAATTTATACGCTATGTGTGTTTCAATGAAGTAAATTTACATGGCTTCAAGGTTTCATTTGAGCTCCCGTATGAAAATTCAATAGCTTTCCTGAAACCTTTCCCATCCATCTCTGCATGAAAATTGGCTCTAGAATCCTCATGCAAAGCAGGATCCCAAGTGATATTCTTGGCACTCACACATTTACACCTAATGGATTCCAAAAGTGAGACAGCACATGAAAATGAGAAAGTATGATAAAATAGGTTCAAATAATGGCAACACGAATAAAAAGCAAAAATGTTGAACATTATGTTAAGATTAAGAGCTGAAGGATTTTTCTATTTTATATAAAAATGGAACCATTTAAAAAGTAACTAAAATCACCCTCCTTTTTTCTTCCTTTTGATCTTTTATTAAACTATACTGACAAATTCTGTTCTCCTGATGGAATTATCTGTAGACCCCCTGTGCTACTTGACTTCATGTACATGCACAGTGAAGTCTGAGTTATATTACAATAGTTTCTTTTGTGTGCTTGTACCAATTACCTTCATAATTCTTACTTCTTTCTCCTTATCTCTTTACTCAAAGGTTTTACTTTTGCAGTGTTTGACCAACAAATTGTCACTCTCATGCCCTTGGCCAAAACACTGTAGCCTGCTTTATTTTTCCACTATTATTATCCATTAATATATATATTATTCACTCATAACATGTATTTGTTTTTGGATTCCTCTCATCCCAACTAAAATCTCCATAGGGAATGGTATTGAAAATGGTTTTACATAGTAGGTACAAAATAAATAATTGTTACATGGACTATTTTTCTTAGAATTCACCCTAGGAAGTTTTCAAAATCTTTGTTAATGATTGCCAGAAAATGTCAGCTCTAGCTAACAAATCTGGGACGTAGACAAGCACAACAATATAAGATAGAAGGGAGGGACAAAAATTTGAATTTTCTTAGTTTCTGAAGTCTTCAATGTTAAAGAAAGTTAAAAAACAAGGTAAAGTGCATATTTCGCTATAGTGCAAAATGTAGGGAATGGTACAGATGTCTATATCATCAATATAGATGATATAGATATATTTCAAAGAACTCATAAGACACTGACATAAATGAAGGAATAGATATTGTTTTCAACATCATTTTTATTTGAATTTATCACTTTGAAAGAGACAGGAAGATATGGGAATGAATAGTATAGATATGGTCCTCATTATGAATTTCATCTGTAGTATTCATGTTAACTTACTCTGGCAGTGGGAACTCTTCCTCCCTTTCATCCCCTCTGCGCTCCAAACATCAAGTCAGGAGAGAACAGACCAATGTAGTTGTAAGGGTTGTGTTTTTCTAATGGGCTTATAAAACACAGGCCCTCCCTTCCTATAACTCTACCTCAGAAAAATAGATTCCTTCTTCTGCATGGTCTCAGCATTCTGTGCTCCACTCAGCTGCAGTGCTAAGGGAGGGGAAAGAGCAGAAGGAGAGGGGGAAAAGCATGGCTGATATCCGGAACACTAGGGGGGACAACACTGCTGAAGAATTTATGATGATAATGTAAACAGGCTGCTATACCATGACCGTGATTTTGATATACCAGGACAAAGAGAACCTGGTCAGGTAAAATAATTACATCATTTAAAAATTGCCGGCCAGGTGCAGTGGGTCACGCCTGTAATCCCAGCACTTTGGGAGGCCAAGGCGGGCAGATCACAAGGTCAAGAGATTGAGACCATCTTGGCCAACATGATGAAATCCCGTCTCTGCTAAAAATACAAAAAATTAGCTGGGCATGGTGGCGTGTGCCTGTAGTCCCCGCTACTCCAGAGGCTGAGGCAGGCGAATCGCTAGAACCCAGGAGGTAGAGGTTGCAGTGAGCCAAGGTCACGCCAGTGCACTCCAGTCTGGTGACAGAGGGAGACTCCATCTCAAAAAAAAAAAAAAAAATTGCCAATGGCTAAAGAATACTGGCATAAGGTAATAAGGCATGGGCATCTCTTCTCTCTCTTGCCAATGAAAACATACACACACACTCACGCAGACACACATATACACTTAAACCCATGGATATGCAATCAGGATGGTGAAGTATATAAGTAAAAATTGAAGAATGTGAAATGAATTAAAGGGTTTATAACTGTTTTTAAACATTTTCATGATTATCAGGATATAATAGGAAAGATGTTTAATTTCTGTTGTTTTACTAACTTAATAAACATACGTATTTATGTTGTCCACTATCTGGAACTGTAAATGTTTGTGTAATAGTACACCAGTACACAAATGATGTGGGTACCAACATGGGCAAGACAAACATAGTCTCTGTGCTTCAGGGAACTACATTGTTGTGGGAAGCAATAGGCTCAAATGCACTGAATTTGGACTAGTGTATAAAATTGTGGGGAAGAAGAATGTAACACAATGGAGAAATGCAATCTTCAGAAAATAAATATATTTCTTGTGAAGGACTGAGGTCCTCATCACTATGACATATTTAAGTTGAAGCTCATCAGTGACTTTAAATTGGTTCTCTAGAAAAGCTGAGGGAGAACATGTTAGACAACTGACCCCTAAGGTACTTTCCAACATATTAATTCTATGATTCAGTATTCAAGGGGCTCAATATCCATGATAGGATTATTCAGTTTATTAAGAATGTTATACAGAAGTAGGAGAAATTTACAATCAAGTTAATTGCATAACTAGCACCTGGAAGATCTGCACACAGTATCTCCCATTATTACAATAGAATATATAATATAATATGCAAATTCCCAAATTTTGTGTTTGATTGGCTTTGCAGCAGTTTAATCAGCAGTCTGCACCTCTTCATCATAATTTTCTATTGTGCTTCCCCCACCAAAAAAATTAACATGCTGGTTTTCCATTGGCTTCTTGAAAATATTAGAACTGAATGGTTTGTGGAACTCATCCAGGGATGCGGTTTTGGAGGAGTCTTCCTTTGCTATTTTTCATAGTACAGAATTTTTATAGAGCTCATTTGATGTGATCTCTCATATACATTATGCTTATGAATCTACTTAATTGTGGCAACTGATCAATGGCATCCAGCTTTATATGTGACATTTGCCGGAAGGATAGTCTGCATGATGCATTTTTATAACTCTTAATAAGTGATAAATGCGGCACTGAGTTAAGTTTACATAGCATACCTGGTGCAGCAAATCCACACAGCTGTTAACAGGTGTGAATACTTGTTTACCAGCATTATTGGCATTCGCTCATTTGAGTCAGCTTCCCGGGTTTACTACTGCTGCTAAATGAGTCAAACTTATCTGAATAGCAGTGTCGCCAGTGTCTGTGTTTTCCAGCACTGCTTAATTTAGAAGAAATCAGCATGACTGGAAAGTGACTTTCTTGCAATTCACCTGAATTTGACCTTCCCAGATTGGGAACTTGGTTTCCTGGGCACATATCTGTTGACTCTGGATTCTGCCAAAAAGAGTCTGCCATTCCAGCAATGCGTTTACAATGATCAAACCTTGCTGGAAGGAAACGTTCATAAATTGAGAAACTGCCTGAATTTACTCAGAAAGAAAGTTTAAAGAATGAAAAAAAGGGGGAGTTTCTTTCCCTGGGGCCTTTTAGTGTATGTTACGCCCTGGATTCATCTGGTAAGGTTCAAAATCCATGTCTCTCCTGGGTAGGTATTCTCTTTGCAAAATCTCTACCTCTACACCCTGGAGGATCAAGGTTTCATGTTTGTTATAAGAGTTAAACTTTACCTAAGCTTTTAGGGAAAATTTGTGCTCCAAGTATTTTTAATTCTGATTCTGGTAGCTGTACTATAAATGTTGTAGGCATTGAGACAATTTGACAGTGTTTGGATTGTGTTTGACAAATGAGACAACTAATACACGATTGTCTTCCACTGCTGAGAAAGGTTTCTCAGACTTGAATGTGAATTTAGGTTGGTTAATATTTCAGTGAACAAAAATGGAATTGCTGAAACTAAACCAGTTTGTCCTCAGTTAGGAAAAGGGTGCATAATTGGTTCAAATAGGATTTGGTTTGCGAAGTTGTGAGGGCTGAAGGGATAAAGTCGATAATGTACACCTTCCCCATTAAGACATAATTAAAGAGAAAGCAGCTATTCAGAGGGAAACACATGGTTAAGAACAAGCACATGGCATGTGATAATCTTTCTCTACACTGCATTTAACCATGTAGGTTTTACTAGAAGCAAAAGAACCCTGACCCCATCAAGCAAAAATACAATTATAAAACAATCATGTTCATATTCTAAAAGATAATTGTTATGTGTAACTAAATCAAGCAAAGATTTGGCAAACCAGAGATGGCTTCTACTGCAGAATTCACAAAAAGTTTGAATAGATGAGGATGGAACTGGGTTTTTCAACCAAATGTAATCTTATTATCTTTGGGCTAATTTCTTCTTAGCAATGTTTACTAATCCTTTATGCAGTGTTATTTTCCAGCATTATTACAACCACCATAAATGATTAAGAAGATCAAATGTTAGAACTGATTTTTAAAAGCACAGTCATTTGCTTTTGTTCTCTAGCCAAATTTAGCATCCTTTCATGTTCTTTATAATTAGTATCTTGGCTCAGATTATAGCCTCACCGCCCGTGAATGTGTCAAATTCTGGTGTCACTGTGAAAGAGACAGGCAGGCCTCAATGTAAACTATGCTTGGCAATAGCAGGGTTCTAGGAAAGAAGCAACATTGCAATTTAGCTCTTTTAATTGCACAATTCCTTATAAAAGTTATTTCTTCTTTGTCTTAAGGTTAATATTGAAATGTAGAAACAAAACCCGCCGGTAGCGTTGTCAGCAGAGTACCCTTTTCCCTTCCTGAAATGACTGCAGACTCAGGGCGTAGTTGAGCAATTACTGAAACCCCAGCATGACTCTTTCAGCTACTAATTAATCCCACTGTTAGGTGGTAATGGGAGAAAGATCCCGGGGGTTTAGGTTGAAATTCTGTCTAGCTGAGTACTTGAAAATCTGATAGGCTTATAGGAAGAGAGAGCTTTTAAGCCACGGAGCACATGCATATTGCATAACATACATTATGATGCGGTAAAACATGCACAAGAAAAACCCATGTTTATTGTGTTAACTTGCTAATACACATCTTCCTAAACTTTTACTGAAAATCTTTTCTCCTTTCATGATATTAAGGGAAGGAAGAATAATGGTAAAACTCAAGTGTATTTCTCTAGTCTGACCTAGAATATTGGGCTAAAAATATTGGGAACTCTTAAGTACGTAAGAGAAAAAGCCTTTAATGTTAAAATAAATAAAATGTATATATTTCCTTTGTGTTTTTAAGAGAAAATGTGTTCCTGTTCAAACAAAACACAAAGTTAGATAAGGTATTATCTAACAAGAGGCTGGAAAGGGAGTGTCCCTATGAAGTTCACCTTTCCAGAAGAGTTCTCTGGGTTTAATTTCTATCACTCCCTCCATGCTTGCTTTTTCTTACTTCTATTTAGACACCAGCCCAATTACCTTTTACTGGGTTCCTTTCAAATCATCTGAGAAATGCCAGGATTTCAACAAAATCCTCATCTTGTTATTTGAGAAGGTTTCCTACTCTCCAAGTGTCATTTTTATCATTCTTCTTGCTTTCTGGGAGCAGATCATTGATTGAGTCCTGGCCAAAAATGCTGGAAAGAAACCCATTCTATTTTGACATGCACCTGCTCCCTCCAGTTCTAGATTCATTTCAGGATTAAGAAACAGGTCTTATCTGCAGTGCATTGTTAATTGAGGACATGGATAAATATTATCTTGAGTGGAGTTGCCTGACCTCTAAAAAAGACAATAGTGACTTAACTAAAGAGCTCCTTCATTGGAGCTCTGCTTCCACTATAAAATAATCATAAAGGAATTATGCAAATGTGCCATAATAGCATCATGCCTACTAACATTCAATCAATTTCAACTCACTTTGAAGAGAACATAAACCATTTTTTCATTATCAGAAAAAAATATCATAAGTAAATTTTATATATTGAAGATATTAAAGAGTCCACCCTTCTGTAACTCAAATAGATTTAAGTGGAGAATGTCAGAATTAGGTGGAATTCTTTGATATATTTCGGGAAAAAATGAGGTATTTCATTTGTAAAAGTGTCAAATATCCTTCTCTCACATGCAAACAAATTGCATAGTCAGTTGTTAATAACATGTAGTGCTGTTAGAATTGTGCTTATAACGATTGAGTCTTTTTATATGTTTCCCATCATAATTCAAGTCTAGGATATTGACCCTAAGCTAAATTCCCCTCATCCTAAAAATTAATAATCATCATCTTCATCATCATCAACATCAGGAGTAAAAAGTAATGAAAGAAGAAGAGCTCTGAAACATGGTTATTTTCTAAGGTTGTAAATTGAGTTATACAAACTTTATAATTAGCCTTTAGAAGAAAAGCCAGGTCAAATTTTTGTTCAATTAACCTCTTGAGTGTCTCATTAATCAAAACCTACTTAAAGTGATTTTCTTATTCTGAGCATAATGTGATGTAAAGTACACTATGTTTATAAATTCTCATTATGTCTGTAATAATGTCATAGCAGTAGATTTTTGTTTGTTTCTTTTCATTGGGTTGTTTTTGGTTTTGTTTATTTATTTGCTATGTCTTTCAAGATGTTTATGAGGGAGGAATTACCTACCCATTTTATGATGTGCACTTTTATGCTTACTAGTCCACTGCTTTAGGAAATATGAGATACATACAAAAAGGGAAGTTAGTTTAAATTTAAAATGTGTAAGTCATGGTAGACAAGCAGCTCAGAGATTGTATCAATGCTATTACAGTCGCTGACAGATTTGGAGAATGAAAAAAAAGAGAATCAGATCAGGCAAGTTGAAATCTCCTGCCCTCCATTCTCTCCTAACATTTATATATTCAGTTGGATATGACTGAAACAGTAATTGCAGTACTTTCTCAATCTGTCCATCACTTTGCTCAATGGTAGCCACAAGGATAAAAATGACACATCTGTAGGTCGTGATAACTTTAAAGGAAAATGTGTTATAGTGCATTGTGGGTAAAATCGGCAAATGAGCAAGACAGTAGAGTTAATTAAATGTTCTTAAATCAGAATAAAATGACCGTCTTTTATTTTGAAGGAGACACAAATTCACTGTATTAATTCTTATAGGAATGTCCCTTGTAATAAAGTGAAGCTTGACAGATGAGGAGATAAGGAAGCCTGCGGATTTACAATGGGAAAACAGGAACAAATAAATTAACACAGAGAAGATGCTGGATTCATGATATATGCCACCTTTTCTTCAATGTTATTTCAATTGTTTTGGTAATTCATAGATATGCTTAAACAAAAGTAGCAGAGAACAGTTAGAAGTAAACAAAGTTAGCTCATAAGGAGTAATAATAACCATTAATTGCAAGTGGAGCTGTGATAACATTTACAACTTTAATGAAAATACATGTGCAATTTTGGTATATATAGGTATAGATTTTATATATATATAAAACATATAAATATATGTGTGTGTGTGGGCAGGTGTGTATGTGTGTATGTGTAAATATATATATATTATTTATATTTTACTACAACCTGAAATCTACTATAATTCTTGGAAATGAAGAGGAACTCAATGAATATTTTTTGAATCCATGACTAAAAGAATAAAACTAGTCATTTCAGTATGTTGATTCTCATCACAAATGTCTGTACAATATTAGTACCAACCTGGTGCAATTTAAACTGTTAATTTTCTCTAAACAAAATAGGTTTGTCAGTGAATTACTGGGCTTACATAGATCAAAAGGAAGATTTAAAATCTCATTTGACTACATTTACATACTAAATATTTTCAAACAGTCATAGTCCTACCTTGTCTAATGCTACCTGCTTTAAGTTGTAAATATAAGTGGTGTATTTGCACACTTGAGCATGCATATGTGTGTGTGTGTGTGTGTGTGCTCACACATGTGCAGGAGAGTGCATGGTTTTCCTGACTGGACATCTTTTGACTTGGCAAAGGTTATTTTTACTGCCGGGCAATGCTATCTGCACTGTAATGAGGAGATTAATTTGACTTTTAATGTCAGCAATATGATTACAAAGTGAGCTTTGGGTTATAAACCAGTGTTCATATTTACAATTGCCAGTGGCAAGATTTGAGACTTTTAGACAGTATTGTTATTTCTCTAAGCTTTACTTTTTTTGTTAAAAATAAGGACATATCTATATTTATTATGAGTACCATCCACAGGTCTTTAGAGATACATGTTATTTTGAGGCTATTTTGGAAGCCATCCTCTTCCTAGCCTCTGTCCCCTTTTATCCATCTTTATCCTATAGATATATTCTAGGAAACCCTTCCCAATAAAAAAAGTCTAGGAAAGAAAAACCCTTAGAATTTGACAATACAAATTCAATGTGAAGATAAATTAAGAAAGAGTCAAGAGAAGGTTCTACTTAAAAATGACACTTCAATGTGTTTTTTGTACACGGTTTCATTTTCTTTTCTACAGATATCATAGCTTTGGAGACATGATCATGGGTAGTTTATCTCTATTTGCACTGTGCTCCCATATCTAAGACTTTATGATAGCCTCAAGCACCTAGTCTTCTCTAAGCTCAACATTCAGCCCTTTAGCCAGAGTAAACACTAAACTTCACAGTCATCAGAATTTCAGATTAGCTGGGAATTCCTTGTCATGGTGCACAGAAATCCTTAGACTAGACATTTTCTAGTTTTCTGCACAAAATAACCTTCTTAATACCTCCTGCCTGTACTATTCCTCATGTCTACAACTAAATCTTTAGTGTATTACTATTCTCTAGTTTCTGCTAGGTACATCTTTCTCTTAGGCAAATTTCCTTTTTCTTCCCCAGTATCAATCACATGCTGAATTACCATTTCTTCTAAAAACCATTCCATCGCAATCTTGCTTTTTTTATTTACATGATTAAGTGCATTTGTTCCAATTGCTTTTTATCCAATTTTCTCATCTCTTTCTACTGATCTGTGTTGCAATTTCTCAACTATTTCCTGCTGGAATCCAACCTAAGTCAGTTCTGCCTGTTTTTGTTCTGAGTTTAAATATATTCTTATTGATGAAGTTTATGAAATTGTATTATAAAGAAAAAGGAACTAATGTGCAAATTAGTAAAAAGGAACTCTCTTTCTTTCTAAGATGTTAACATACCGCTAGTCCTAGATAATATTTGTATAAAATACCTTAATGAATATAAATTGGATATATATTTTTACTGTTGATACTGCTAATTTTAAAAATATATAATTCCTTAAGGGCAAAGACCATGTATTTTTTTCCTTATATACTCAATAATATACATTAGTTAGATCATCAATTTTTTTTAACATAACCTGGATAGTGGAATTCATTTTCTTTGTTTAGCTGTGTCATGAAGACTTCACAGGCTTATCAATCTTAATAAACAATGGATCTTAGTTCCAGTATTGAGCTCTCACTTAAGCTTTTTTTATCTAAGCATTTGTAGAAAATTGACTAGTTGTTTACTATTCTCTCATTCCCTTTTGCTTTTAAATTTTTCACCTAACCTTGCCATGGAACTAAATTATAGCAACTGGAATATTGATGGGAATGATATATGCAACTCCAAACTCTGCCCCTAAAAACATCCAGTGCAATTCTCCCTATATTCTCACTCTTTTCTTTTTTATCAACAAGATGCTGAAAACATAATGCCAGCCTTAAAAACTTGAGGGATGGCAGAACAATTAGATGGAAGAAACTGGGGTTTCTGAATGACTATGTGAGCAGATCCACTCCATTCTTCAACCTGCGTTGAGCTATTAGGTTGGTGCAAAAGAATCGCGGTTTTTCAGATTAAAAGTAAAGGCAAAAACCACGATTACTTTTGCACCAACCTAATGTAATGTGAATGAGAAATAAACTGTTACTGTGTTAAAACACTTACATGTTTCTATTGATGACCAATTCAAAACACAGAATGTTAATACATTAAATCACTTAACTGTCACAGGAAGACTATGGGGTAGGATTAGATTTAAGAAAAGCTGAGGAATTCCTGAAAGAACCTCTATGTCAGAACTCACATAAAAGCAAATGAAGAATTCACACTGAAGAGAGACTAATACCTGCTTTAAAATTTCTAGATCATATCATGTATAAATAGCATCTGACTCACAGAAAGTACACATAAGAATAAAATTAAAGTGCTAGGCATGGTGGCTCACCCCTAAAATCCCAAGACTTTGGGAGGCTGAGGTGGGCAGATCACCTGAGGTCAGGAGCTCAAGACTAGCCTGCCCAACACGGTGGAACCCTGTCTCTACTAAAAATACGAAAATTAGCTGGGCGTGTTAGCACACGCCTGTAATCCCATCTCTTGGGAGGCTGAGGCAGGAGAATCGCTTGAACCTGGGAGGTTTGGTTGCAGTAAGCGCAGGTTGCACCACAGCACTCCACCCTGGGTGATAAAATGAGATTCTATCTTTACAAAAAAGTAAAAAGAAAAAAGAAAGAATAAGGTGAAAGTACATAAAATAGCCCTGTAGAGGCTGTAGAATATCAGCTTCGGTGTAAGACAAAGCTCAGTTTAAACCTTGACTCGATTACTACTTTGTTCTATAACTTTTTGAAATTTACCTCATCTCGCATAGACTAATTCCCTTATTTGTTAAACATAACAATTTTGACCTATAAAGATTTGCATTAAAAATATATTTATAAATATGTAAATATATGCATGCATATATGTTTATCTTTACATGTACATATATGGAAAAATGACTAACAATGCCTGTCACATGGAAACACCTAACAAATGATCATAGTTTAAAGTTATAGACATTAAGATAGCTTAACATAAACATACTGTCTGGACACTCATGGTGAACTGGAAGTCAGTCCATGCATTCTCTTTGACAGACTCACTGTTATAGGTCAAATTGTGTCCCCTACCAAGTTCAGATGTTGTTGTCCCAAGACCCAGTATTTTAGCTTGTGATCTTATTTGTAGATAGGATCTTTACAGAGGCAATCAAGTTAAACTGAGTCAAGTTACAATAAGATCATTAGAATGCATTCTTATTTAAAGGGGAAATGAGACAGATAACGCATTTAGGGAGAATGCCATGTGAACACGAAGAGGGCCATCTACAAGCCAGTGAAAGAGGCCTGGAACAGATCCTTCCTCACGAACCTCAGAAGGAATCAACCTTGCTAACACCTTGATTTCAAACTTCCAGGCTCCAGAACTATAAGACAGTAAATTTCCATTGTTTATACTAGCCAGTTAGTTTGTGGTACTTTGTTACAGCAGCCCTATCAAACTAGTACATGTTAACTATTTAAATTTTGTTTTAGAAATAAAAGAATAATATAAAATCTCTCAAGACAATTGGGAAACAATAATTGCTGACAGAACACTTCTGCTTCTGCCATTGCCGCCACCGGTGAAAGACTGAGCTTTGTGTAAGGCCCCATCGGCAGAGGCATAGCATCTTAGTTCAACACAAACCCTCTGATGTCTTGAGGGGAAGAGGCTAAAAGTAAAATATTGGTTTCACTGACCCCTGCACTTCGGATAACAACCTCCATTATACTACTGTGGTAGAGGTCCCTATTCCCTTTGCCTTTTCAATGTGTGAAAACTTGATATCCTTAAGAGGTCTGCAAGACATTGCAAATCACAAACTTTCTAGAAAAAAAAAATCAGGTGTACATTTGTCCTGAGGGAAATATTAATTCCTAAACATTTTTTCTTTGTGGAACTAGAAACAGAGCATTAAAGAGGAAGTATTTAAACAAAGTTTCAAAGTTAACACATTTTTTAAGGGGTTGTTTTTGGTGGTTTGAGGTATTTTGGCACTTTTTAAAATTTGTGTTCATGGTATTAACACTGGGAAAGATATTGGTAAACTACATCATTTTTAAATCTTAGATTTTAAAGCAGGTCTTGCTTTTATGTGAGTTCTGACATGCAGGTTTTTTCAGGAATTTCTCAGCTTTTCTTAAATCTAATCCTCCCCCATAGTTCTTCCTGTGACAGTTAAGTGATTTAATGTACTAAGATATTGGTAGGCTACAACTATGCTCATTATTGATGAGAATGGTGGCTATCTCTTGGTGGCTACTGTACTTCCTACTTCTTCAGCAACTATGAAAGGAAACACATGGTGTAAACGGAAGTAGTGAAAACTAGAGCTTAGGAAGCTGGGCTAGGCATGGTAAATTAAGATTTCTTTTCTAGACTTAGCATCTTTCACATTAGCTGAAATGATGTATTTTTCAGATTGATTCATTTTTATTTTGTAAAGTAAAAATGAATACCTCTGAAACATGCCTAGTTTATACATTTATTCAATAAATCAAACACAATTCTATTTTTGAGTACATGTTAAAAAATATATAGTCCTGAGCAGCTGTGCAGACCCCCAAGTAATATATAATATTAATTATGTGTGTATATAGGTAAATAGATACATAGATACATAAATACATAGATACGTAGATAGATGATAGATATTATAAGGAATTGGGTTTTATAATTATGGAAACTGGCAAATGCAACAAGGGCTGGTAGGCTTGAGACCCAGGAGAGCTGATTGAGCAGATGAGGTCCAAAGGCAGTCTGCTGGGGAATTCCTTTGTTCCTGGGGAGGCTAGTCCTTTTGTTCTATTTAGGCTTTTAAGTGATTGGATAAAGCCCACTCACATTATCAAGGGCAGTCTGCTTACTCAAAGTTCACTAATTTAAATATTAATCTCATCCAGAAACACCCTCCAAGTTGACACATACAATTAACCATCACAAAGCACCACGGGACTTTCTATTTGAAACCACAGGGCCAGCCTAGTTCTCAACTTCTCTATCCCTTTCTCTTACTGCTAGAAATTGTTGACTCAACATCAGGACTTTAACAACATTTAATTCTTATTATCCCAGGACCTGAGGCCAGAGCAGTTTACACTCATTTAGAAGAACCCTACCATTTTTGCTGTCCTAGCCTGGAGGACACACGCTAATCCCTATACTTAAACTCTATTTTCATTTCTGTGACTAAAAGGCCCTCTCTTTGTTGTAACTGGCAGTGGATTCCAGCTCTAACTTTTTTCCCTACTGTCAAACCCCTTGTTCCGAAATTTGCTAAATGTCTGTCTCCTCCTGAGGATTAGGATAATAATTGAGAATTACACATATTGCATGGCGATCTACAGAAGTGTCAGCGTTTCATTGAATGAGTGTCAGGAATATCTTATAACAACTGTATTAGCCTGTTCTCATGCTGCTATGAAGAAATACTTGAGACTGGGTAATTTATAGACAAAAAAGGTTTAATTGACTTACAGTTTTTCATGGCTGGGGAGGCCTCAGGAAATTTAAAATCATGGCGGGAGGGACCTCTTTACAAGGCGGTGGGAGAGAGAATGAGTGCCAGCAGGGTAAATGCCGGAGACTTATAAAACTATCAGATTTCATGAGAACTCACTCACTATCACTATAACAGCATGGGGGGAAACTGCCCCCATGATTCAATTACCTCCCATCAGGTTCCTACCATGACATGTGGGGATTATGGGATTACAATTCAACATGAGATTCGAGTGGGACACAAAGCCAAACCGTATCAACAGCTTTCTGCTTCTAAATATTGTTAATGCTTTCCTCCAACTACCTGCTGGGCAAAAAAAAAAAAAAAAAAACAAAAAAAACCAGACTATTATATTCATTCATAAGTAAGCCATTATAAAGCATTCATCTAAATTTTCTCAGTGAGCACCGGCAACTTCTCTCTACCTTACCATCATGCAAATAATATAATTGACAGATACAGGGCCAATCTGACCATCTGCTCCATCCAGCTCATCTTGCTAAAAACAAACAAAAAGACTTCACATATTTCCGTAGTCTTCCCTTCCTTATCCAATATAACACCATAGATTTCTCCATTTAATTCCTACTACCTTTATATTCTACCCCATTCGTGTGTTGTTTAGTATCCATGTATCTTCGTGTTACTTAACCTGACATTTCCATGTCTTTGCTTGACTGTAAAATTACTGGGCTAACCATTTTTACCACCACTTTACGTGATCTCACCTTTCTTTCCACATACATCTAACCATGGCCACATAATCCTTCTCAAAATTCAGGGTTATGTTTATTTCACCTTTAAACATGAGAACACTGAACACAATCATTAAACTAATTTGTGAATAGTGAGTATAATTTTCAACAGTAAAAGTATCAGTACTAGGCTATTTCTCATTGTTCTAGCTTTAAGAATGCTGAGATTTTACATGCTGGTTCATTGAGTCTCTAAGCCAGCTTAAACATTTACAGGCTCTTAAAAAAAGTCTTGGTAATTAGTCAACATTTTACATAAGTAAGTCAAAAAAATAATTCAGGTTATTTTTACTTAATGTAAAATGTTACAATTTGATAGCTATATAGCAAAGAGAAGGGCCTACTCTTTATTTTAAATGGTTGGAGGGAAAAAGTATGGCTTTTTCCAAAGGGAGGAGCTGCTATATCATACTCCCAACTTTACCAATTATGAATTAAGAATTATACATATAGCATGGCTATTAATAGAAGAATCTCCTTTGATAGGGACCTACTTCAACCAAGGCATAATCTAAACAGTATGACTACTACTGCATCATTAACAGTAATATTCTTTTGAAGCAAGAATGCTCAGCTGAGAGAATTTCCTATATGGAGGATTAAGGATGGAAGATGAGATAAAGACTTAAAATAACTACATCCAGCCAGGTGCAGTGGCTCACGTCTATAATCCCAGCGCTTTGGGAGGCCGAGGCGGGTGGATCACAAGGTCAGGAGTTCAAGACCAACCTGGCTAACATGGTGAAACCCCATCTCCACTAAAAATACAAAAATTAGCTGGGCATGGTGGCATGTGCCTGTAGTCCCAGCTGCTCGGGAGGCCGAGGCAGGAGAATCAGTTGAACCCAAGAGGTGCAGGTTACAGTGAGCTGAGATTGCACCACTGCACTTCAGCCTGGGAGACAGAGTGAGACTCCGTCTCAAGAAAGAAACACAAACAACAACAACAACAACAACAAAAAACTACATCTTTATTTTCTGCTGCACTTCTTTAGTTATAAAGTTTGCTGTTATGAGGGCTCAATTTAATTAGGTCGTTTAAATGGGATAAGAATGTTGAGTCGGCCAGGCGTGGTGGCTCATGCCTGTAATCCCAGCACTTTGGGAGGCTGAGGAGGGCCGATCACGAGGTCAGGAGACCAAGACCATCTTGGTTAACACGGTGAAACCCTGTCTCTACTGAAAACACAAAAAAATTAGCCGGGCTTGGTGGTGGGTGCCTGCAGTTCCAGCTACTTGGGAGGCTGAGGCAGGAGAATGGCGTGAACCTGGGAGGCAGAGCTTGCAGTGAGCCCAGATCACACCACTGCACTCCAACCTGGGCAACAGAGTGATACTCCATCTAAAAAAAAAAAAAAAAAAAAAAAAAGTGGAGTAGCTGTATGTCCACTTGTATGCTTATTGTTGTTTTTTTTTTAATTAATGAAGTACAGAACAGTGCCTAGATCCTACCATGAAGTTTCTAAAACCCATTCTAAAACCCACTTTACTAAATTCATACTATACCTCAACAATTTTCAAAAGCTGGACTCAATAATGAACCTACATCAAGAAATAAAACATTGCAAGTACTCTAGAGTTCCCTTTCTTCCCCACTTCCAGTAACTAGCCCTTCAAGGGTAACTGGTATCCTGACTTGACAAAATAGATTTTTAAATATATTTTTGTACTTTATACAAATACACTATAAATATAGTGTCTTATATAAATATATTTTACTTTACATTAATACTTCACAAACCTTTTGTATCTTAATTCTTTTGCTCTACCATGAAGTTTCTAAAACCCATTCATATTGTTGCATGTTTCTGTAGATTGTTCATTCCCATTTGCTATATGATAATCTCCTATGTGACTATATCCTAATTTATTTATCCATTCTACAGTTGATGTGTATTTGGGTGGTTTCCAGTTTGAAGTTACTACAAATAATGATTCTGCTATAATAATTGTAGTTCATTATTTTGAGTAATATATGTAAACATTTCTGAGAGCAGGTTTTTTTTCCCTCATTTTAATTCTTATAGATAATATAAACATTTTAACTACATTAATTCTTCCAATCCATGAACATGAGATGTTTCCATTTATTTGTGGCCTCTTTAATTTATTTCATCAATGTTTTATAATTTTTATTGCAGAGATATTTGACCTCTTTTGTTAAACTTATTTCTAGATTTTTGGGGTGGTTTTTTGTAGCTAGTATAACTGGAATTATTTCTTGAGTTTTTTTTCAAATAGTTTGCATTGATGTGTAGAAATGCTACTGACTTTTGTATGTTGATTTTGTATCCTGAAACTTTACTAAATTCATTTATTATTTCCAACAGGTTTTGTGTGTGTGTGTGCGTGTGTGTGTGTGTAGTATGTGGGGTTCTACATATATGATTACGTAGTCTGCAAACAGGGAACATTTGACTTTATCCTTTTTAATTTTGATACCCTTTACTTATTTCTTTTGCTTAATTGTTCTGCCTAAAACTTCCAGTAGTACATTTAGTAAAAGTAGAGAAAGTAGGCATTCTTGTCTTGTTCCAGATCAAGTTGAAGAAAAGTTGAAGAAAAGCTTTCAACTTTTCCTCTTCAGTATGCTGTAGATTTGTCATATATTGCCTTTTTTGTGTTGAAGTATGTTCCTTTTATATCCAGTTTTTATCATGAAGAGATGTTGAATTTTATTGAATGCTTTTTTAGCATCCACTGAAATAATCATATGATTTTTGTCCTTGATTCTCTTAATGTGATGTATGCTTAATGATTTGCACATATAGAGACATCCTTTCATCCCTGGGATGAATTTCACTTGATCATGATAATTGATCTTTTTTTTTTTTTTTTTTTTTTTTTTGATTCAGGATCTCAATCTGTCACTCAGGCTGGAGTGTAATGGTGTGATCACAGCTCACTGCAACCTCGACCTTCTAGGCTCAGGTAATCCTCCCACCTCAGCCTTCCAGGCAGCTGGGACTACAGGCATGCACCACCACACTGGGCTAGTTTTCTGTATTTTTTTTGTAGAGATGGAGTTTGCCTTGTTGCCCAGGCTAGTCTCAAACTCCTGGGCTAGAGTGATTCACATGCCTTGGCCTCCCAAAATGTTGCGATTATAGGCATGAGCCACTGTGCTCAGCCAGTGAATGATCTTTTTAATATGCTGTTGAATTCTGTTTGCTAGCATTTTGTTGAGGATTTTTGTGTCAATGTCTATTAGAGAAAATGGCCTGTCGTTTTATTTGTGTGTGTGGGTGTGTTTTGTCTGGTTTTAGTATCAGGGTAATGTTGCTCTGGTAGAATGAGTCTTAGAAGCATTCCCTGCTTTTCAATTTTTTGGAAGAGTGTGACTAAAATTGGTACTAGTTTTTCTTTAAGTGCTTGGTAGAATTTAGCAGTGAAGCCATTGAGTCCTGGGCTTTTCTTTGATTGGAGATTGTATTGCTGCCTAGATCTTATTACTCACGTTTTGTGTGTTCAGGTTTTCTATTACTTTCTCATTCAATCTTGGCAAGCTGTACGTGTCCAGAAATTTATCCATTTCCTCTAGGTTTTCCAATTCGTCAGCATGTAACTATTCAACTCAAAAGAATTTTCAAACAAAATCTAAATATGAAACCCATTTTGACCCCACATTGTCCCTACAGCTGTGCTCCATTCCTCTACTTGCATTTACAAGAAAGATCTTAGAAAAATATATCCATTCTCTTTCATTTTTTTTCTTGAACCCTCTCTCAGCTTAAATAAAGGATCCGATCAGAAAATAAGGGACTCACAGAGATCTTTCACTGTGTCAAGCTTTATAAATAATTTCAAGGATATAAGCAAATAACGGGCACAGGCATAGTATGGTGACTCCCTGTCCTTTATTCCAGCCTGAGATGTACTTTCTAGCTCTGGTCAAGAGGAGTGATCTCTAAATGAGATAAACAGTACCTCACACAGCAAGGAAGATTCAGATAATGAAACAGCTCCATTCTATACTCACGTAGTTACATAGTTTATGTGATATTTTCCAAAAACCCAGGCCTCATAAGCCTACAGATTCTAGGTTTGTTTACCATAGTCACTAAACCAATAACTACTAAAATAATCTAATGGATAAGAACTCTCCTCTAATATCATTAGTTTGTTGTCTAGTAGGTTATTGTTAACGTTTTACAAGAGGAGTAACCTAAACTTATCTGAGTTTATTCTTCCCTAGAAACATCACCCAGGTAGAGGTAGACAAATGAAGCAAAGTTCAACTGCTTAATTATTCTCTTCCCATCCTCTAACAACACATTTGTTTATACCTATTTATCAAGACCATCAATAAAATTATTAAAAAATTTTTTTAATTTACATGTTTTTTTTTAATTTCAATGATACGTTCTCAGTCTTTCTCCTACTTGATCTGTTTGATCATCTATTCTTTTAATGTACTTCTTTTTATTTCTTGGCTTCCAGGGCACAGCCTCTCTCTCTCTCTCTTAATCGCTCTCTCTCCTCTGTCTCTCTCTCTCTCCTTTGTTTCTTACCTCACTGGCTGCTAATTTTTCTCTTCTTTATTTATTGATATTATTTTTACTTTGTTTTAAACATCTAGGTATCTTAAGATGAGAGTACAACATAAGTGTGTCCAGATTTGGTTCCTTCCAGTGGGTTCTTGGTCTCACTGACTTCAAGAATGAAGCCGCGGACCCTTGCGGTGAGTGTTAGAGTTCTTAAAGATGGTGTGTCTGGAGTTTGTTCCTTCAGATGTTCAGATGTGTCTGGAGTTTCTTCCTGCCGGTGGGTTCATGGTCTCGCTGACTTCAGGAGTGAAGCTGCAGACCTTCGCGGTGAGTGTTACAGCCTTTAAAGGTGGTGCGTCCGGAGTTGTTTGTTCCTCCTGGTGGGTTCGTGGTCTCACTGGCTTCAGGAGTGAAGCTGCAGACCTTCGCGGTGAGTGTTACAGCTCATAAAGGTAGTGAAGACCCCAAGAGTGAGCAGCAGCAAAATTTATTATGAAGAGTGAAAGAACAAACCTTCCACAGTGTGGAAGGGGACCCGAGCAGGTTGCCACTGCTGGCTCCGGCAGCCAGCTTTTATTCCCTTACTTGGAGCACCCCCGACCAACGTCCAACGATTTGTCCATTTTACAGAGGGCTGATTGGTCCATTTTACAGAGTGCTAATTGGTTCGTTTTTACAGAGTGCTGACTGGTGTGTTTACAAACCTTTAGCTAGACTGAAAAGTTCTCCAAGTCCCCACTCCACCCAGGAAGTCCAGCGGGCTTCACCTCTCATAAGGAATAGTCTTTTGAATTCATTTCTCCTATTCCTTTGTAATCTCACACAATCAAACAATTTCAAACCCCATTTATATGTTGAAGACCCTAAAACATGTATCTTCTTCCCTATCCTTTCTCTTATTTCCTTATATACCTAGCTGCCTTTCTTGACATCTCTGTTTGTATGCCAATGTCCATCAGAAACTTCACATGTCCAAACTGAATTTCTGTTCTTGTTCTCCTCCCATAGACTTTCCCATCTGGAAAAAAAAAGAAAAGAAAAAAAGAAAAACAAGCAACTATTTTTTTCTAGTTACTCAGGCTAAAACCACGGTGCTTTTCTTGCTTTCTTTGCTTCTCTTGCACTCACATCTGGTCTATCATCATGTTCTCTTGGCTTTATCACCAACATTTATAAAATATGTTGATATAACACGTACAAAGAAACATACTATTTACTTCTCCTCATCTGTATCTCCAAAAGTGAATTTAACTTGAAAGTAACAAACTTTAAGCTTCATGACCCCTCCCTAGTATGGGTCCTTTCTATCCCTCCAGGAATGAAGGACAGTCATCTATCTATGTGCTGTAGGCACAGGGTGCAGTCTGTACTCTAATGCATTCTGGCGAGAGATCTGAAGCTGGGAGTAGGGAGCAGCATGCTGACAACACCACCTCTACAACCATCAAGTCCAGAGCAACACCTGCCCCTAGTTGACGTTGAACAGTATCTAGACTCAACCAGTCACTCCAAGAGCAAAGTATCTAAAAGCAACATGGTTTTTCTCTCTGGGTGATGACGAATGTGACCCAGGCTTATCCAACCCCTGAGGACTAGCACAGTGGTAGCAATGGTGAGTGAGAGTGAGGAACCCCAGAAGATAAGGATTAGGTCAAGCTGGACCAGTATTTGGGGCTTTGTATTTCCCCAGGGTTCAAGAATGGGAGATTAAAGGGCTGGAGCTTCAGAGGGCTTCACGCCAGCAACAAGGACAGCCTGGCAAAGAACTACAGAGAAAGTTGTAAAACAGTTATTTTTTTCTAAACTGTCAAAAATTAAGGAAAAATTTTGTTCAACCATGCTTGAACAAAAGGAGTTTTGACTTTTTTCAACAAGATAATTATCTTTCTAGTCTCTCTGCAATAAAATTGTTATATGAAGGGTTGGCCAAGGAAAATGCATCTGGAGGTACAGGGAAAAAGCAACATAGAGATACAGCAGGCGGGTAATAATAATATGACTAATAGCTTATAAATTTTAGGCCTTTCATGATGCCTGTTGACATCATGTTGACAGTTTTTTTAACATTTGCAGTCTTTACTTATTCTAAATAAATATTTACTCCTGTACTTGACTTGGTAGCAATAATTTTGTATTTTTTAAAGAGGTCCCTGAAAAACTTACATCTGCTCCTATGCATTACTTTCTCTTTATTCCAGGTGCCCATTTATCTCTCACATGGACTAACTCTAACCTTCCTGATTTGCCCCTATCTTTCTCTACTCAATTGACAAAAGGACAGTCAGAAGAATCATTTTATACTGTAATCTAGGCCATGTCCCTCTTATATTTGAAACCTGTCAGTCACTCCTTGTTTTATTCAAAGTCAAGATCAAAGTCCTTATCAATGGCCAAAATCTTGCCCTACTTAACTCTCTGACCTTACTTCTCTCCCTCTCTCTCCTCTTGCTCACCATTCACACATCTTCAGTCAAGTTTGGTCTCTTTGCTGTTCTGACAATGTAACAATTAGCCTCCTAGGTTAAGAAGTTTATACTTGAGTCCCTTTTCCTGTAAAATTGCTGCCTAAGATATTCACACAGTCTTTTCCCTGATTTCCTTAGGGAATTATAAAGAGCAGTATCTCAGTAAGAATTCTCTGGTCATTTTATTTAGAATTGATTTCTCAGCACCCTCAAGGACATCTTCTCCTCTCCACTGGATGCTTCTGAATACCATTATTATCTTCTAAAATACTATAAAGTCAGCTTGCTTATTTGTTCATTGCATTTTCCTCCTTATTGCTCTCTAGAAAGGCAAGGAATTTTGCCTGATTTGGTCACTTTCTGTTCTCTCTTCTAATACGTAAAAAATGCCTGGCACAAAGCCGCTGAAGATTTGTGACTGGTCAAGTAACATCATGAGATGTTTGTGGAAGATGGTTTTGGAAATTTATTCAAGTACAGAAAAGTGCCTGAATCCTAAGTGTATAAGCACTGTTTGGGGAGATGTCCTGTCTGGGGAGAAGATTAGCGACCAATTATTTAGTAGTAATGTGGAGCAGATCTGCACCAGAGTAACAGAAATAGATGTAGGTTCTTGGCACATTGATCCTGAAAATTTTATGAATGATTTTTCTAGTTTTATTTTTATTGTCTTTTCTGTAGTTATCCAAACACTTGGACTTGTGCAGGAGATTCCCAAATTGAAATTGAATTACCAAAAAGTTTCTAATGTTACTCAAAGAATCCAAATCTAGCATTGGTGGGGTTGTTAACAAGCCTTTAGGAAGTTTTCTTCTAGGAATAAATGGTTGATTATTTTTAAAAAATTCACTTGCTACCATCATTTAAACCGTCAGGGGATACAACCTGTGGGGCATACCACCTTAATGTGTGTGGAAATGGCAGGTACATTTATTCCATCTGTGCATAAAACCACAGGGAAACTTACTCAACAAAATAGAAAAAGGTACTAGTGGGAACAGTAGGTTTTTCCACATCTTTGATTCCCAATGTTGGTGGGCGTCCCCTACCCCAAACCTAAAGATAGCAAATTACTCTTCACAGACCAAAACATACACATGAAAAGCTGGAGAAAAGGGAAAACAGATGGGAAGGGAAGAGGAGGGGGTGGAAGGAAATGAAAGGGAGGCAGGCTGACACCTGTTTTCCAGCACAATGATCATTAAAGACATCACATGTTCTGCCAGAAGCTTTATTTTAAATACCCTTGTCTGCTACCTTCTGGGTTAAATAGTTTTGAATATACATTTAATTCAAATTACTTTCTATCACAGTCAGTGACTGCAGTTAAATTTACTGAACAGCTTTAAGGTTTTCTAGAAAAATAATGAAGGGGAGGTACAGAAAAGGCTACCCCCATCTTGTTCATTCAGGAACATTCATTGTATCTGAATATAAAGTAGTCTCATTTGGTACCTCGATTAATGCTCCCTGATTAAAGCCAGCTATCACAATTCTTAAAATGTAAACATTATAAAAATAAGTGAAAAAAGGCTTAGAATAGGCAATAATTTAATAGATTAGTCCTAGCCCCAAGAGGAATTCTCACTATGAGGCTAGGGTTTAATCTTCAAAAGGAAATTTCTGGATACCTAAGCTATATCTATATCAAATTAATCTCTTACAAACATAAAGGTTACTAAGTTGTGCTGATTCAGCTAGCTGTGAAAATATGGATCAGTGTTAATAATTGCAAGGTCCACCTATGATATAGCAAGTGTTTTCTTTGTTTTTTTAAAATTAGTGTTTATTGATTAGTATATATTTATATGCTTCAGTGTTATTGCCATATCTATTAAATAAATATAATAATGTTGCTGAGCACAACAACTGCATTATGTTTTCTCTTGATATTTATATGTGTTTGTTGCAGTGAACATATTGATAATCTGGAAGTGTTAAGTTCTGACTGCTGTAGTGACACTTATGTTTTTAAACAAATGGTGTGTTGATTTAATCAGTAACCATAGAATTTATTACAGGCTGTTACTGTTACTGGTAGTTTTTAGGAAATCAATAATCATACATTTAGTTTAAAATGTATATTCTTAGATGAAAATGAACAGTGTTATAAAATTCTCATGATATTAAGGGGCTGGAATCAGCTCCAATGCTATGTCTTGTTAACTACACAAATGTATTTGATTCATTTAAAATAACTTTCCTCAGATAAAAAATGGGAATCATGTTTTGGCAATTGAGTAATCACTTGCTATCAGAATACTCCTCTGCCCAAATAAATTAATCATAAAATCTAGACATAATAGTAAAAACAGACACACTGGACAACGATCAGCAGAAGGCAGACTGGCGGGGAGTATAGACACTGGAGAAGGGGATTCGTACAAACAAAACTCCCAGTCTTGTGATTATGGCACAAGCAGAGGGTCTGCTGCTGTTGGTAGACTAACTGCAGTGTGGTGACGTAGGAAATCAGAAAAATGAATCCAGGGAAACTATGGCTACTAAAGGGACTGGAGTTCCTGGAAGGAAGAAACCAGAGAGGTGATCACATATTCCATTATTGACCCCTGAACTCTTCATACATGGTGTAGACTCAAATCAGCTAAACTAATTACAAAAGACTAGGTTTGAGATGGGCTTCTACCCAAGAAAAAAGAGTTTACATTTCTAATTTGTGTAAACTGACTTTGAAATGGCCCAGTTGTTGGAACTGGCAGACAAGAGTTTTAAAGTGGCTATTATAGCTCCCCTCAGTGAAGTGAAGCAAAATGTGCTTACATGAATGAAAATATAGGAAATCTCAGTAGAGAAATACAGATAATGTAATATAAAAAACTAAGTGGAAATTCTTGTAAAATAAATATACAAAATGTATTACTAGATGGACTTAGTGCAATGTAAATAATAGATGAATCAGTGAACTAGGAGATAAATGGAAAGAAATTATCCAATGTGAAGAACACAGAAAAATAAAGACTATAAATGATTAAGAGAGCCTCAGGGACCTTTGAGAAAATATCAGATGGTCTAACATACATGTTATTAGAACACTAGAAGGAAAATAAATGAGGAAATAGACCAGAAGAAAAATAAATAATTAATGTCTGAGAATTCTCTAAGTTTGATTTGAGTCAGAAGTTTCCACATAGAATATTCTTAACAAACAATAAGCAGATGAAAAAAATACAAAAAAGCTGTGCCTCAGCACATCACTATTAAATTGTTGAAAACCATAAATTAAAAAAGAGCTGTTCTTGACATCAGCAAACAAAATGTGACATATTATATAAACTACATAAATGAGATCATTGATTTAATAATTTACTTATTAGCAGTACATATATCCACTAAAGCATAATGTGGGTTGTGAACCTACACATTTACAAGTTTTGCATATTTTACATGAAAAGAGACAATGCATATTTTAATCCCTACTTTAAACAATAAAATATTATAAAATAAGCTGAGTTTTAAAAGTTGATAGAAAAAATAAAATTATATTCTAAAGGAAATGTCAAATAAGAAAAGAGAAAGAGAACAGCACCAGAACAGAAATGGGAGGTGGGTTAGAAAACAAATAATAAGAGTAGAGCTGCACTCAATCAACTACATTACATGGTTATTGGCAAAACACTTTAATTCAAATGTGGGATTGTCAGAATGGATTAGAAAATAACACACGCACACAAAAGGGAAGAAGTAAATATACGCTATTTGTAGGAATGCTACTTTAAATATTTAGACATAAACTAGACTTAAATTCATGAATATAAAAAGTTATACTATGCAAACAGTAGTCATAAGAAGGCTGAAGTCACTCTATTAATACGAGATTAAATAGATTTTAAAGCAGAATATATTTTTGGAGATAGTGGATCATTTTATGTTGATAAAAAGGTTAAATTGGCAAGGAAGACATAATCATAAACATGTAAGTTGCTAATCACAGAGCTTCAAATACAGGAATTACAAATTAAAAGAATAAGTGGGAGAGATTGGTCAATTCCACAGCCGTAGGTGGGTATTTTAACATCTTTCAGCAACTGACAGAACTAAACCAAAAATAAGGAGACTTATTATATTTAAATAATGCTACCACCTACCTTGATTTAATGTCCCTTTCTACTTGGTTTCAATGATACCCACATCTAGAAATGATAACCTACATATTTTTCTTTCTTTTGATTTTTCTGAGACGGAGTCTTTTTCTGTCACTCAGGCTGGATTCCAGCAGCACAATCATAGCTCACTTCAGCCTCAAACTCCTGGGCTCATGCAATCCTCCCACCTCAGACCTCAGGCACTTAAGTATCTGGGATACAGGAATGTAACCCCATGCCTGACTAATTTGTTTTATTTGTATTTTTTTGTAGAGATGGGCTTTTTTTTTTCTTTTTTTTCAGAGTCTTGCTCTGTCATCCAGGCCGGAGTGCGGTGTCATGCTCTTGGCTCACTGAAACCTCCGCCTCTCAGGTTCAAACGATTCTCTTCCGTTAGCCTCCCGAGTAGCTGCGATTACAGGTGCATGCCAACATGCCCGGGTAATTTTTGTATTTTTGTAGCGACGCTGTTTTGCCATGCTGGCCAGGCTGATCTTGAACTCCTGACATCAGGTGATCCACCTGCCTTGGCCTCTCAAAGTGCTGGGATTACAGGCATGAGCTACCATGCTCGGCCGAGATGAGCTTTTTAAAAATGACCTTCTGGTGTTTCATAACAATTTCTTCATAAATATAAAATGATTAGAATTATGGGGAAACTATTTTCTAACCAAAATTAATTAGAAATCGGTAACAAAAAATGCTAGGAAAGCTCCAAATATTGGGGGGAAAATGACACACTTCTACATATTCCAGGGAAAAGAAGAAATCACAAGATAGCTTTGAGTTACATGATAAGAAAAAACATTCAACAAATAAATATTGTGAGGGTGCGGCTAAAGTAATGTTGAAAAGAAAATGTGTAATTTAAATTAATATGTTAATAAAAAGAAAGGTCTAAAAAATTCAATAATCTAAGATTAAACTTAAGAATTTGAAAAAGAACAAATTAAACCCAAAGCAAGTATAGGGTAAAAGATAAAATAGAAAAGGGCAAGAAGTTAATTAAATATAAATCAGAAAAATAATAATATAAAATCAATAATCGATAACTAAATGAATTGGTAAATCTTGAAAAAGACTGATTAGAAATTAAAGATGTGGCTCTGTGGCACAATAGGTAGCACATTGGACTTCTAAAACAGACATACAGACGAATGGAGCAGGCTAGAGCACCCAGAAATAAAGCTGCAAACCCACAACCATCTGATCTTTGACAAAGTCAACAATAACAGGCAATGAAGAAGGGACTCTGTTCAATAAATGGTGCTGGGATAACTGTTTAGTCATATGCAGTGGATTGAAATTAGACCCCTTCCTTTAACCATACATAAAAATTGACTCAAGATGGATTAAGGACGTAAATGTAAAACATAAAACTATAAAAACTTTAGAAGGAAACCTAGGAAATACCATTCTGGACATAGGCCCTGGCAAAGATTTCATGAAAAAAACTCCAAAAGCAATTGTAACTCAAACAGAAACTGACAAGTGGGATGTAATTAAATTAAAGGGCTTCTGCACACCAAAATAAACTACCGAGGGAGTAAACAGACAACCTACATAATGAGAGAAGATAGTCACAAACTATGCATCCAACAAAGGTCTAACATCTAGAATCTATTAAGACCTTAAACAATTCAACAAGCAAAATACAACCCCATTAAAGAACTGGCAATGAATATGAACTGATACTTCCCCAAAGAAGACAAAAACATAGCCAATAAGCATGTGAAAAAAAGCTCAACATCACCAATCATTAGAGAAATGCAAATCAAAATCAAAATGAGATACCATCTCAGACCAGTCAGAATGGCTGTTATTAAAAAGTCAAAAACAGATGCAGGAGAAATTGCAGAGAAAAGGGAATGCTTGTACACTACTGATGGGAATGTAAATTAGTTCAGCCACTGAGGAAGGTAATTCGGAGATTTCTCAAAAAACTTAAAACAGAATTCTATTACAGAGTATATATATATATACCCAAAGGAATATTCAGTCATTCTACCATAAAGACACATGCAATTTGGATGTTCATGGCAGCACAGTTCACTATAGCAAAGACATGCAATCAACCTAGATAAGCACCTAGGTTGCCCATCAATAGTAGATTGGATAAAGAAAATGTGGTACATATATATCATAGAATACTACACAGCCATAAAAAAAGAATGGCATTATGTCCTTTGCAGCAACATAGATGCATTGGGGCCATTATCCTAAGTGAATTAACTCAGAAACAGAAAACCAAATACTGCATGTTCTCACTTATATGTGGAAGCTAAACCTTGAGTACACATGGACGCAGAGAAAGGAAAAATAGACACTGGGGCCTATTTAAGGGTGAAGAGTGGGAGGAGGGTGAGGATTGAAAAACTACTGGGTACTACATTCACTACCCGTGTGACAAAATAATTTCTGTGCCAGAACCCTACAACACAGAATTTATCCATGTAACAAAACTCTTCAGGTAGCCTCTGAAACTAAAATAAAATTGGAAGAAAAAAGTATATAAAAATAAATTTTAAAAATGAAATAAAGTTCAAAAAATAATAAAATAAGAAATAAATAAAAGAAGAAACATTACCAATATCAGAAAAAATGAGGCATCAGAACAGATTATACAAATATTAAAAATAAGAAAATGTTATAAACAAATTTATGATTTCATATTTGACAACCTAGATGGAATAAAGAAAATCTGTAAAAAGTGGATTGTATAAAAATAAATCCAAGAATAAATTTAAACTTAAAGAACTCTATATAAATTTTAAAAATTAAGTTTACAATTAAAACCTTTCCTGTAAACATAACCCCAGAATTATATGTCAATGCTGGTGATTCTGTCATGTATTTGGGGAAGAATAGAAACAAAAAAGAAAAACCACACACACACACACACACACACACACACACACACACACACACACACAAAGTAATTCAGATAATAGGAGTGATAGGAGCATCCCCTAACTTATTTTACAAAACTAATATTATTATTATTAATGTTTTAAAAATACATTGGAAGGATAGAAAACTACAGACCAATAATATTCATAAACTTACATACCAAAAAGTTAAAATTTGCCAAGTGGGACACAGCAATCTATAAAAGCAATAAATATATCACATTGTAAAATGAATTTTATCAGGAAAATGCAAGGTTGGTGTAATTATCTAAAAAATCCAACCAATATAACTAAGAAAATAAAGAAATATATATGATCATTTTAATAAATACAGAAGAATTTGACAAAATTCAACTCCTATTCATGATAAAAATTCTCAGCAAACTTTACATGAAAAGGAACTTTATAAATCTCATTAACTATTTATAAACCAACAAAAAATTAGAACTTGCATCCTACTCCATGCTTTCTACTTTGTATTAAGAAAAAAGCATGGTTGTGTATTCTCACTAGTTAACATTTAAAATTATATTGAAATGAAGCAGAGAAAAAATAAAAGGCATTGGAAAGGAAGAAGTGCAACTATTTCATTTGTAGACAACATGACCATGTGTTTTAAAATGTAGATTTTATTTGTATTTAGGTATGCTGAGGCTGTCAGATTAGGTGACAGTTTCCATTGAAATATAGTTTATTGCTCACAGTTCCCAAGAACAGGATACAGAGGGCCACGGGAAATAACACTGACACTGATCACAGGCAGCGAGAAAAGGGAACTGCAGTCAAGAGTTTTTATTATGATTTTTTTTTTTTTTGGAGGGAATGAACAAGGCAAGATAAGCAGGCTACATAAATTTAGGATTGGCTAGTTTGAACAAATTTAGAGGGCTCTTGCCTCTGTATAGGGGCTGTCCCTATTTGTCTAAACCTATTCCTGGGGTGATCAGGGCAGTGACATAGTGGCTTAAAGTATGAGAGCCTGATAAAGGAGGCACTGAGAGTAAGGGCCTTCAATTGGTTAGTATGCAGAGAAAAAGCATGTTCATAGGCAAGTGACTAGGAATCAGCTAACCCTGCTGGAGGCAGTCTCTTCCAGGTCAGCAAAGCCCTAGATGTCAAAGCATCAAATACAGAACCTAGAAAACATTGTTAATACATCATGTTTACATTCATATAATGTCCTAAAGAATTGTAAGAAAAAAATTCTCCTAGAATTAATCTGTGGATTTACCAAGACTTCAGGGCATAAGGGCAAATAACAAAAGCCAATTGTGTTGGGGGTGGGGTGAGTAGGGGAGGTATAAACAGTGAACAATTAGAACATTAAATCAAACTGCAAGTCCACTTAAAATAGCAAAAACTGGTAAATGTTTCAATAAGTTATGTGCAAGATATGGAAAGTACAAACCACTGGGAAGGAAAATGAAAAAAATTCTAAATAAATGAAAAGATATACAATGCTTATGCAGGTCTCCCCAAATTAATCTATAGATTCAGTGCAATCTAAATCAAAATTATGATAGCCATTTTTTGGAAAGAAATTCACAAGCTGATTCAAAAATTTCTGTTAAAAGGCATACGATCTGAAAAACAAAAACAATTTTGAAAAATGAAGAGAAGTTTAGAAAACTTACACTACTTGTTTTCAAGGTTTACAATGAAGGTACAAGTTATTAAGATAGTGTGATATTAGCATAAACTTAGAAACATAGCTCATTGGATCACAATAGAATGTAGACCTACTTATGTAATGACAATTGATTTTCAATTAAATGCTAAAGTAATTCAATAAGATATAGTGTTTTCAACAAATAGTGCTACAGCAATTGAAAATCTGCAGGGGAAAAAATAAGACACAGAAGCTCTATCTTTACTTAGCACCATGTGTAATTAGAAACTACAAAAGTATACTTATTAAAGCATATCAGTGGTTGCCTGGGACTAGAAGTTGGAGGAGGAGATTGACTTCAACTGGACTTAAGGGAAGTTTTCAGGATGATTAATATTATCCTGCAGTTTTATTAAAGTGATGTTACACAACTGCATAAATTCACCAAAATTCACCCAATTCTACACTTAAAATGGGTGAATGTTGTATGTGAATTATATCTCAATAAGTAGATGGAAATGAAAATAATATGGGCATTATAATACTTCTGAAGTTTACAAATTAAATAACGTATATAAAAGTGCTTAGGTCACAAATAATTTTAAAAGATCAAGGTGTTATAATTACTATAGTAAAAAATGTCCTTCCTAATTAGGAGGAATGTATCATTCACATAAATTGAATGTATCCAATGTGCCATGTAACCTACATACATCCTATTTACTTCAAATATCCATTCATTATTATACCACTTCTAGCAGCAAAATGTTTTGTAGAATATAAATGACTATGAAAAAATCAAACTGCAGAACTAAAATTGATAAATAAGTGTTTATATTATGAAGCTAAAATCCCTTCGTCTTAGTCATTGTGTGCTTTGTATTGAGATGTATTCATTAGGTTTAAGTGCTAGAAGTGCTCATCATTACAAATATTTCATATAGGTTTAGCAAGGAAGGGTTTTGCTTATGTTTTCATTTCGTGCCATAATAATTTAAAGACCATCTGATGAAGAGTGGTTTCCATACATTCTGCAAATGTTAGTTGTTTGCAGAATAGTCTATTCAACAACCTCTATAGCATGATAAAAAACAAATTCCTTCTTGATTTAATACATAAATAAGTTTGATGATTAGAAAAATATCTTTAATTTTATCTAGAAATCAAATGAAGTTAACAGTGCTTTACCACGTAAAATCATAAATATATATGTGTCTTAAATATGTTTTAAATGTTATTGTCATTTTTCTCATATGTTTTGATATTTACTGTGGCTGCAAGAAAGCTTAAAATAAATATTAACATTCAGTTTTAATAAATATATAGTTCTAATGTAATGACACATAATTCTTCCACATTACTTAATTTTATATGCATTTAATGTTTGTCAAATGTGTGATTTAATATTTTAACACAATGCCAATACTTTTAAGGCAAGAAAGCTACAAACACGAATAACAAAATAGTTTGTAAAAAGTAGTTTGTAAAAAAAAAAAATAGTTTACTTGTTTGTTCTTAATTATTTGGTTGCGTTCTTAAAAATCAGCATTTTTTTTAGGTCAATTTCCCAAACCAGGCATCTGGCAGCTCTGCTTTTCCTAAGATCTATTATAAATGCCAACGGCTGTTAAAAGTGACAGTATACATTAGCAGACTTTCATGACACTGTATGCCAAAAATGTATAGGTCCACATACACCCCTACACACACAGCCTTCCCCTCACATGTATGCACACACATGTAATTTTAATCAAGTAGATCTTTGAAAGTAAAGTACAGACTTTTAAATTTGGAATTCACACATATTTTTTCAAATACTTTTTTCAATTATGTTATATACATGTATTACTTAAGTAACATATAAATCTATTTTATGAATTGTAAAAGCAAGAGGAAAACAACTACTAGGTATGTTCATGCTGTGACATAGGGACATTCATTTCTGACTAAAATATGTGAGAAATGTATGTGATTTCTCTTTTAGATAAAGTCCAGAAATAGAGGTCGATGTAAGCATAAAGTACTGTGATATAGAATAATTTTCTTGAACATGGAATACATGTCACATATATATTTTCATATATGTAAAGATTACTTCAGAGTTAATTGATGCTCATGGGTCATTTTCCAAAACAAGTTAACAGTACCTATTCATTTATATGGCATTGCTAAGTTTATAGAGTCAATACACTGATGAAAAGAGAATATATACATGCACACATACACACAACTGGTTTGGATTATGTTTTTTCTATCAGTTAGGGTGGAGTGAACATGTTATATGCATTATTTAAATAGTTGATTTAAACATTCTCACAGCATACTCATGCTCATATCATACTCAGCTATTATTTTCAATCATTTTTCATATGTAAAACAAGTAATGAACAGAGGAAATACTTACATTTTTCTCTAAAATTGCATTTAACAGAACTTGATATTTTACTAGCTATACAGAATTTATAATAATCATGAGTGATGGAATTATCATTACTTGTTATTCCACTGATGAGAACTGAAATGGTAGAAAATAGTGCTCAAATGAAAAAGGGCCAACCAAATTTGCTTTTACATCTACAAGGATAGATAAGTATTTGTTGGTGCCAATCATCAATTCATGTTCTTCAGATTAAGTGCATAGATTTCCTGAATGATGAAAACTGTGAAATTGTGGCAGTGTTTTCTGTGCGTAGGTGGTCATGGTATTCATGAACCCATATGGAGAGGTTCCAGGTTGATGTGATTTCATCTTCTCTTGCGTGGCTTGTCATAGTATGCTTTTAAACTGCTCAGAGAACTCTATTATCACTGTAGATGCTAATCATTCATTCCATCATATATATCCCATTGTTTAGAAAATATTGCTTGCTGTGAAGATCGGTTGCTAGAGTCATTTGGTCATTTGGTTGGTGAATCTTTAATTTCTGAGTTCCCGTAGTAGATACACAGCTTTGAATATGAAATGTTATTATCTTGGCCAAGTTGAATTGATGAGAGTTGAAAAGTAAATCCAGAGATATATACATGAATCTTCATGTAATACTATATTTCAGCACTTAAAAAATTACCTTGCTATCTTCAAGGATCTCCACATAAGGTCAACAGGAGAATTAAAATATCTTCTCTAAAATTCAGGAGCAAATTTGCCCTTCTTAAATTCAGAAAGTGAAACTGAGAAATTCCTGGTCTCCTGGACAAATATCCTAATCCTACCCTTGAACTGGCATAATTACAAGTGGATTGTTGTTAAGAGTTCAAGTGAGGCTGGGAAAGACAGCGGTTGCCAGCCACCGCTCTCTAGGAAGCCCAACTAAGACCATAGGAAAACAAAACCATTTCCAAAGATCACAGACTTTGAATTAAGAGAACCCAAGGAAAAACACAGAGTGGTGTGAAAGTTATGAACTGAGATGGCTCCACCGGCTTCAATTGGGTAGTGTGAGCTTGTCTGAGGGGCACATTCCACCCACAGACCAAACACCTTATTCCCCATTAACAAGTATAATCATGCGGGTTTCTAACACAGTTGCCTTTTTCAGTTATGTGTTAACCACTCTTTAAATAGCAAAGTAGGAGGGCAGAGGAAAACTTTGAGAGTGGGAAATTCTCACGAGATGTCAACTTTTAGTACACAATTAATAACACAAGTCAAACTGTTTTTTTGTTTTTTTAATTATTGATGTTGATTTGAGCCTGAGCCTACAAATTTCAGTCATTTTGTAAATGCATTCCTCTAGATTTGACCTCAGAATCCCTGTGGGGTAGAAACTACTGGATGGAATTTCTAATTAAAAAAAAATAGGGCTCCCAGCAATTTAACCCCAAGTTCCCTCATCATTTACCCTCAACGCTCCCTCTTATAAGTGGCCCACAGTCTTTTATTCATATTGACAACTTGTACTTGACAGCACCCACGGAAGAATGACAGCTTTCCTCCAAAAGCAACACGCTCCATACTGAAGTTGCTTCAACACCTTGAAATTTACTTTTCAGACTGAAAGCTTTCATACGTGGTGACTAATACAAATCACAAAGGACCTATTTATAAAAGGATTCCTTGTGCACTTGGGGGATAGTTGCTAAAGCAATTTTCTTTTGCTTTGGGGCAAGACTGAGGAGAATTTTGACTTCATAGCTTCCTAGAACCCTCACAAATTTACACAGGTGTGGAGCTCGTACATGTTTAATATACATTGCTTTGCCTCTCTCTGATTTCTCTTTGTCTCTTCTTTACTCCTTCAGTCAGCCTCTGTCTGCATCCCTTTCTCATACTCCAGAACCCTCTTTTTAAAGCAGTTTTAATGTTTATGGTAAATGAAGCACACACTGGAAACTACATTACAATTGTTGATCAATTTTCAGATTCCAGATTTCTCTCACCAGGATGACTGACATTAAAATGGCTTCATTGTGCTTATTGGCAGGTTGGTCCATCCAGTCTTTTTCTGGCAAGTCTAGAATTTCCCACGGGTAGTTAATACATGGAAGGTTAAAATGATATCTTACAATGCCACCTTTGCAATTTGTTTTGGCTCTTGAACAGAGCCAGAGGAATAGAGGAGCCCCTTTTTATCTGTGGGAGATAGGTTTCAAGATTTCTTGTGAAAGCCTGAAACAGCAGGTATTGCCAAACCCTACATATACTCTTTTTTAAAAAAAAATGTACATAACTATGATAAAGTTTAATTTGTAGTTTAGGCACAGTAAGAGATTAACATCAATAACTAATAATCAAACAGAATAATTATAACAATATGCCCACATCACTACTCTTGCATTTTATTAAGTAAAGTAAGGGTTACTTGAACACAAGCACCGCAGTATTGTCATAGTCAATCTGAGATAGTTACTAAGTGAATAAGTACTGGGAAGCACAGGCAGCTTGAATCCACTGGACGAAGGAGTGATTCAAGACAGACGGGATGGAGCAGGACAGCATGAGATTTCATCACATGACTCAGAACGCTGTGTAATTTAAAACTTATGAATTGTTTGTTTCTGGAATTTCCCATTTAACATTTTGAACTGCGGTTGACTGTGGGTAACTGAAACCATAGAAAGTAAAATCACAAATAAGGAATGACAATTGTATTAGGTATTTAAATCACAACTCTTGAATCGTGGAATTCTCTTTCTCTCTCTCTTTCTGATATCCAGCACTAAATATATTAATTACATACCTAAGGAAATAACAGTAGGATACTTGGACAACTGCTTCACAAGTAAAATATTATACTATTTGCATTTGCTTTGAATTCACTATGGAAAATTATGTCACTGATCATTTTGTTGTAGACAACCTAATCTATTTTTATGTCCATTTTTGTTAACAGTATGTCCATTTTGTTAGTATATAAAATAGAACTTACTCCAAGTAATCAAAAATCAGAAAGAACAGTTCCCTTTGGTCTCTCCCAAGATATTTCCTCCAAATCCAAGGTCAAGGAAGCTATCTTTTCTGAGATGTGTTTATTAGATGATGCCACAGAGATAGGAAGTTAAGGAAATAGGTAGTGCCATAGTTATGTGTGGGCTTTAAAAATAAGTTAAAAGCACTCCAATCATTCCTGAGGGGTAGTGAAACGTTTAAAAGAGATATTACAGTCATAGAACTGAGTAAGGCCCATTTTTTTACTAATAGTTCACTCTTTAGATGGGTGTATTTTTTTTCCTTCATTTCTTTCTACTGCTGTTAAAATAATTTCTTTTACCACCTGTTCCTTCTGCTCTAGGCAGTTTATGCATTAAACACATAAAGAAGACTATGCCAATTAGGGGCTGAAGTGCACAGGCTATTTTGTTAATAGAGAATCCCAATTAAAATGTTTGTTTTTTATTCTGTTTAACTGTTATTACAAATTACATTAACAAGGACTGACCTTTGCATATTTCAGTTATGTACTCAGCATTGATTTTCTTTCATAAATTGGTTTTCTTGATTTAGACTAAGACAGATACTAAAGCTTAGTCACAATTCAAGAAGTAACTTATGACCGAATAATATTTCAGCCATAGGTAAAAGAATTCTCAAATAGGAGGTCATAATCAATTTTTACATTATCTTTGGATAGAAGACTGGATATTTGGGATTATTGATTATTGATTACCAATGATAAAATGACTGATTTAAAAAAAGAATGCTCCTGAGTGAGCTCTGATTGTTTAATACCTAAAGCAAAGTAGAAATGTTTACCTTTCTCACTGAAGACAGCCCAATAAAATCACCAAATCTTTAAGGAATACTTAACTTATGAATTAACCAACCATATCTATTCTAGAAATAGAACTTTCTAAACTTTTGTATTTGGTATTTTGTGTATTTATGGGTTAATATGAGCAGATTTGCCTTTAGGCCTCTTCCACACTAATCTTCCTTCCAAGAATAATAAAATCTGGAAAAACTTTTCTTGGTACCTTACACAACTCTGGCTTTTTCCAGTGGAAATTCATGTGTAGCAGCTGAGAGATGAAAAATAGTGAATCACAGCTGAATTACAATTATTATTCGAATATTTTTCGATGCAACTAAAATACATATATTGGGGGGTGTAAGGGAATATTGAAAGAGAAATAAATTCTCAGTTTTTTATATTGATATTTAGTAATACATCTCATATAAACATCTCAATGTATCATATATCTTTCTACATATTGTTTATATTAGACACTATGAAGAATTTTTACTGATTTTTATTTATTTATTTATTTATTTTAAAATTATTATACTTTAAGTTTTACGGTACATGTGCACAATGTGCAGGTTAGTTACATATGTATACATGTGCCATGCTGGTGCACTGCACCCACTAAATATTATTTAGTTCAAATAATCTTCAGTTACTGGGAATCTTTACAAACTGAATGTTAGAAGCAGATTACAGGATGTCTTAATTTTATGAGGTAGTCATCATGTTTGATAAGTGAACACTATGACATAGATTGGAAAACACTACATTTAGAGGCTTACAATAGACTTAAGGAGGTACATACATTTAAGTCAAGGCGTTTGAGGACCACCTTCCTATTTGTCTCTGAAGCTAATTTGATTTAAGGCAATCAGCACAATGTGATATAATCAGTTTACTCTATACCTAGAAAAATTTTCAACTCAAGGAAGATATTGGGTCGAAGTTATAGACTCACTGGATGAATGTGCATCCAACACAGTTTCAAATATTAAATATGAAAGTACAGACTGGCTCTGAATCAACCATATTTTATTCTGGCCCTTATTTCTAATCATTTTTTATTTAAAGCTGCAGTTTTCCTCATGCATAAAATGAAGATAATTGTAGTCATCTCATAAAACTCAAGTAAGGAATACATGAGATTATGTTTTAAAAGTATTTTGCAAAATGTCAGGCAGTTGATAATGCTCACATAAAAACAATATAGTGTTCTTTTTCTTCCTCTTAGCCAGGTATTAAGAAACATCTATGTACAGAACTCTCTCTGAAGAATAAAAAATGTATAAATTACATAAGAATGAGTAAGAGACAACAATATGAAAATATGAATTGTGTTTTGTGTTTAGAGGGTGAGGACTTTTCTAACTGGAATGGAACAAATTATGAATATATGGAAGTGAGGGAAGATAGATTGGGGCTGGTAACCCTTAGGCAGCCTTAAATTACAAATTAAATAGAGTTTAGATAATATTTTTTAAACAATGGGAGACACTAAAGCCTTCTGAACAAAGAAAATGACAGAATCAAAACTTACTTCAACTCACCTGCATTGTATACTATTAAGTGGAGAATAGCAGACCATATAGGAAGTCTGAACTAAGGAAATTGGGGGGAAATAAAAATAAAGTTTTAAGTACGAGGAAAATTTCAAAGGCATAATCAACAGGGTTTACAAGAGTGATTACATGGGAAATGGTCAAGGAGTTTAACATTATTCTGAAGTTATTATGTATATGGAGGTTGGAGACCAGTTGGCTTTGGAAGGAGATTATGAATTCTGGTTCTGACGTGATAAATGTTTGAGGCACTCATATAATATTAAAATAGAAGTATCCAGTTGAGAATGGGAAAGGCAGGACTGGGGCTGGAAAAAAAAGATTGAAAATAGAAATAGAAGTTTGAGGGTCATTGAAATGTGGGTAAATTGTGTTATGTAGTTTCTGGTAAGTATCATACTTCTCCTCCTAGTTGAGAATAGGCTTGGCCACCTAACTTGTTATAGGCAGTGCAACTTGAGCTGAAAGTAAGATGTCATTTTGGGGATGTGCTTTGAGAGCCATGTTTTACCTGGTCACAGCTCATTTGCTCCTCCACATCAACCAGCAATATTCCCCATGGCATAGGTCTGAGTTGTAGAGTGTAAACAATTACACGGAAGAGAGCCCCTAAACTCTTCCTGCCCCACCTTACTCCACTCCCACTGTCACAACAATGGCCGCTGCTGTGGACTATTCCTGGCCAAGGTCTGTGAGGGGAATAAAAACTGTGTTGTTGGCTGGGCACGGTGGCTCATGCCTGTAATCCCAGCACTTTGGGAGGGCGAGGCGAGTGGATGACGAGATCAGGAGATTGAGACCATCCTGGCCAACATGGTGGAACCCTGTCTCTACTAAAAATACAAAAATTAGCTGGGCGTGTTGGCGGGCACCTATAATCCTAGCTACTTGGGAGGCTGAGGCAGAAGAATCGCTTGAACCCGAGAGGTGGAGGTTGCAGAGAGCAGAGATTGCGCCACTGCATTCCAGCCTGGCGACAGAGCGAGACTCCATCTCAAAACAAACAAAAAATACACAACTATGTTGTTACAGACCACTACAACTTTGAGCTGTTTATTTCCACAGCATAACTTAGCATATTTTGACTGATACAAACAGAAGTGACCATGAAGCCTGTGAGTGAGATGGTATCTGAAATGAGAGAGAGTAAGGGGTAAGGAAAAGATGGAGATTGAAACTTCGAAAATAATTATGGAGGGTAAGTAGAAAAATAAAGCAATGAGTGACTTGACTCAAGAAGAATAAATTTTTTCAGGAATATTTATTTAACATAATAATATATTATAGAAAAATAAAGTAGCATGTTGCCTAAGAATTGAGGCACTTAGAAAATGCTGCTGAAGAAACTTCTAGCCTCTAATACTTGCTTTTAGAAGTGACTCTCAGTGTTTCTGCATCACTCTTTTGCTGGGAAGATATTTAAAGTTGCCAGCATTCATAGAAATGCAAAAAAATCTGACATCGTTGATACGTGCAATTTGTCCCTTCTCTAGAGATTTTAAATTCTACCCATTGATCAAAAACAGTTACCAGAAAAATCTGCTTGGTCCTCATTAACTTGTAATTTCCCCTTTCATCATTACTACCATCACCCAAGAAAACTTATTTTTCATTAAATCAGATATATAAAATGTATTTCTGCATTTTTATACAATTTTAAATATCATGATAGTCCTTGTCTTTCTAAGAAAACATTATGTAACATATCGATGTATAAAATCTTCTATAAAGATCCAAGTGATATATTTCTAGACCTTTCATTTCTTGGAAGAGATAACTTAGAGTGTCCCTGAGAACTGGGAAATGAGGAAAATAAAATCACTCTTTAGAGGTTCAACTAGAAGATCAACACATAAAACTTGAGGGAAATAATATGCAGATTTGCTCAGAAGAGGCAAAATACAATATTTTGACTGTAACTGGAGTTTTGCTTAGATTACCTTAAGGAAACATGTGTTTTTCTTTCTTTCTTTATTTTTTGTAAATATACCTGTGAACTGGAACTGAAATTGGAATACCATCAGAAATTGAGGCCCTCCCAGAGAAGGATCAGGACACCCCTGGTCCTATGAGTAGCTATCCATTCATGTCGGTCTAGGTGAGGCCAAGAATTATCTCTCAGCTTGGTTGCTTTTATCACGGTAATGTGCCCCATTCATTATTCTCTTGGGAGGCAACATTATCTACTGGTAGAATTTCTCTAATATTACCATATGATATGGGAAACATGTTTTCATTTACATATGTACATATCTGTTTCATATCCTCCTCTTGTAAATTAGTAAATCTTGTAAATCACCTAGAAATTGCCTGGCATATACTTAATGTTATGGAAATATTAGTGATGATGATTTTATGTAAATAATTGCAAGTTTCCAGCTGTGCAGCTTTATTTTTTCCATCCTCTGTATTTCTATGTAAATTATTCTTAAATTCAAATCAGACCACACCAAAGGCTCTTCAGTGTTTTACATACAAGATAAGCTTCAAGCTACCTTCTCAAGCTCCAAAGACCTTTATTTATTTTTTTTTTTTTTAAATTTTTTTTTTTTTTTATTATACTCTAAGTTTTAGGGTACATGTGCACATTGTGCAGGTTAGTTACATATGTATACATGTGCCATGCTGGTGCGCTGCACCCACTAACGTGTCATCTAGCATTAGGTATATCTCCCAATGCTATCCCTCCGCCCTCCCCCGACCCCACCACAGTCCCCAGAGTGTGATATTCCCCTTCCTGTGTCCATGTGATCTCATTGTTCAATTCCCACCTATGAGTGAGAATATGCGGTGTTTGGTTTTTTGTTCTTGTGATAGTTTACTGAGAATGATGGTTTCCAATTTCATCCATGTCCCTACAAAGGACATGAACTCATCATTTTTTATGGCTGCATAGTATTCCATGGTGTATATGTGCCACATTTTCTTAATCCAGTCTATCATTGTTGGACATTTGGGTTGGTTCCAAGTCTTTGCTATTGTGAATAGTGCCGCAATAAACATACGTGTGCATGTGTCTTTAGAGCAGCATGATTTATAGTCCTTTGGGTATATACCCAGTAATGGGATGGCTGGGTCAAATGGTATTTCTAGTTCTAGATCCCTGAGGAATCGCCACACTGACTTCCACAAGAGATTCTGGTATGTGGTGTTCCAAAGACCTTTATTTCCAGGCCAATGCCTAAGTCTATGGCCTTACTAAGCACCATGTTGTTAGCTTATCCTTAGTGTGAATTCTTTGAAGTTCCTTTGCATTTACCCAGCTAATTCATGCCTGCATGCCTTTGTCTTTTTCTTTTCCTTCTGTTTGTAATGTCCGCTCCACACCAGCCTTATTACCTAGGCAGGGCCTTTTCGTACAACATGATGTTTTGAAATATGTATACAAGGCCAGGCACAATGACTAATGCCTGTAATCCCAGCACTTTGGGAGGCTGAGGTAGGTGAATCACCTGAGGTCAGGAGTTCAAGAACAGCCTGGCCAACATGGTGAAACCCTGTCTCTACTAAAAATATCTTAAAATTTAGCCAAACGTGGTGGTGGGCACCTGTAAACTCAGCTACTCAGGAGGCTGAGGCAGGAGAATCGCTTGAACCTGGGAGGCGGAGGTTTCAGTGAGCCGACACAGTGCCACTGCACTCCAGCCTAGGCAACAGAGCGAGACTCCGTCTCAAAAACAAAAAACAACAACAAACAACAAACCAAGAACAGGCACATTAAACAAACAGAATCTGCTCTTGTTTCCCTATCCATTAGAAACCTATATTGGGGAGCAATGGGAAAAAAGCATAACAGTAAAAAATAAAATGTTTAAATGCATCATGTAATGGTTCCTGGTAGAAAAGCTAGGCAACCAGCAATGACTATGTTTTAGGCACTCTTCTCCATCTGCTCTGAAATGCAGTTATTTTATTCCCATCTCAGACTTGTAAAAATGGAAGATTTAAACTCAGTTCAGTGTCTTACTCCATTCTGAAACTCTCAGACCTGGTGTCAATCAAGCACAAATTAAGAGTTGGTTAAACTTCAAAAGGCAAGCGTGGGAAAAGACAGTCTGGGTTTCAGGCGAAAGATACAAAATCAAGACAATAGAGGCCAGGTGTGGTGGCAAGACAATAGAGGCTGGGTGTGGTGGCTCACGCCTGTAATCCCAGGACACTGGGAGGCTGAGGTGGGTGGATAACCTGAGGTCAGGAGTTCGAGACCAGCCTGAGCAACATGGTGAAACCCCGTCTCTACTAAAAACACAAAATTATCTGGGCACGGTGCCTGTAGTCCCAACTATTTGCGAGGCTGAGGCAGGAGAATCTCTTGAACCTGGGAGGCAGAGGTTGCAGTGAGCTGAGATCATGCCATTGCACTCCAGCCGGGGCAACAAGAGTGAAACTGCGTCTCAAAAAAATAAATAAATAAATAAAAAATAAAGACAATAGAAAGGAAAGTGTAGGGCATGTTGAGAAGAAAACACAGAATAGGAAGTTGCAAAGGGGAGAATAGAGATAAGACAGGAACAATAAATTAAGTCTTTGTAGTGAAAAGCTTCAAATGGCAGATTCAGCAGGGAAGAAGGAAAGAATGAAGTACTTTTGGAATCTGTCAAAACTGGGCAATGGTAAAGTTAATATGACAGTGAAAGATGTAGGATATACTGGATCCCGGAGTGACTGGATGTAGAGTGATGAATCAGGTGGTTATTCCAATATTTCTAGTAATGATAATAATGTTTCAAATTGAAGTATTGGTAGTGAAGAGAGAGGTAGTGAACAAATATTTGCTATACATGATTTGAACCACAGTATAGGTATATCTGTGCTATCACTGTGTGCATCTTAATTTTTTTTTTACCCAATGAACTGAATAAAAACACTGAAAGTAGTGTAGAGGATACTTGTTTGTTTCCTGTAATCATATAACAATATGTAATGGAATGCCAAATGCATGACAAGTTAAGTTATTCCTGCACAGAATCTGCCAAGCACATGAATAAAGTTGCAAAACACATTTGAAAGTGTCAGGTGGATGCTTTTGGAAAACTCTATGTACACTTATTAAAAAAAAACAATAGCTGCTGTGACACATACGTCAAAACCAATGTGTGTTTAAAAGTTTGGTAAACCTGCCTCAGATACCCTTTCATATAATGTGCTTTTTAGCAAAGCCAAACTTTGTTTAAATATTTTTCTTCCATATGATGTTAAAAGAAATGCCTTAGATCAAATCTAATTTAATTTAACTTAACAATTTCCCCCTTTCAGTCAGCCTTCCAATTTTGAGGACGGACACCCTTTCTGTCACCATCATAATAGACTCATTTGGTCTCAGTATGGATGTCTTAATTAACAATGTCAAATTAGTTGGATGACTTTTTAGTGCTTTCTTCATGTTTTATGTTTACTATAATGAGACCACTTGGTGTACAAAGGAAGGCTGCATACAAGCACTTAAGACTCTTCAGGGGATATGACACATCAGAGAAACTATTATGACGGCTATCAGGAGGACAATATCACAAAACGGAAGTGTATTCCTTAACAGAACTATCTGCAAACCAAACTGACCAAAATCAAACAGTTCAAAATTCAGGCAACAAAAATAGTTCAGTAGTCCAATGAGTCATAGTCTTTGGTATGATGGCAATTAAGGACCATAGTTTGTAGTAAAATGGCCTTACATATTCATTTTTGTATTTAGCATGGTAATACAAGTCATAGTAATCTAGAAACTCACTACAAATAGATAAATAAATAAATAAGTAAATAAACAAATAAAGATTAGAAAACCTTGGGTGGGTTGTAGGGGAGAGAAAACCTTGGAATAGTCAAGCAAGCTTGCCATCCACCATTTAGGATGCCTTCAAACCAACTATTAGCTGCTCTCATAAATACATTATATGTTTCTTCTTTCTGAGAAATTTTCTTTAATGTATTTAATGGCAGTGCCTAGAGAACTAGGAGTAACAGCCACCTTTCTAATTAAGCCTTCTGTGGTAATAAAATCAGGGGAAAGGTAAGTGCAACATTTCATTTTCTTCAGCACCACACCACACGAGACCCCAACATGGGAACAGTGGCACTCTAAAGCATTACGTGTTTTTGTTGAACATAAATATTCTCAACCACATTTTGGAGAGTGGTTTCTATCCATCTGAGCCCCTGGAAGGTCTGATTAACTACAAAAATCCAATACTTTTCCCATTTTACAAATTAGCTTTAAATTTCCTACAACAAGCACCTCACTACCACTAAACTGGGTTCCCAAGAACGCCACTAGAACTTTTCTTCAGTGGAAGCTAATATATCTTCATCTGTTTTGAGGTTGGTACTAATTTCAGTCAATGACCACTTTGCCCTCTGATTATGAGAGGTCTTATTGGGAATTTTCAGTGAAAGCTATTCAGAAGGCAGGACTGAGCCAGGCCAAATAGTAAAATCTGTATGAAGAAGGAGGTAGAAGAGAGTAGAAATTTCTCTACAGACTCCATATTGGACCTCAGATATGGAAAAGAAGGCTATCAAATGGTGTTTGAGCAGGAGCCAGTTAAATTTGTTTGCCTATAAGTCTGCATAGCTCTTAAGAAAGGTCCAGGGAAAGATTTACTTTTTTTGTGGTCCTTTTATAAAGCATGCTGTGAAGGTTCATAACCACATTTAGTGGAAAGGGAGCTTACTGTATTTAATAGAGTAACATCATACAAACACGTATTCTAGCCACTTAAGTAGTACCAAGGCCTTGAGTGAACAATGCCTGGAAGTACAATATACCTCTTACAGGCATCACACTTAGATAGATTTTCTATATTTGGTAACAATTAAGTTATTGATTGGAAAAGTCAGGGTATTATTTCCATTACCTATAGGAAAGCAAATAGTAGTGATGTCTAGAATATCAAGAATCACTTTCCATTCTTCTTTTTGGTTTCAGGATGACTCATATTAGGAACACAGAGACACACTGGCATTAGTGGAGTTGTTTTCTGATTTCTGAGCAATAGTTCTTAAGCCTAATAATTTCTCTGGGTTCTTGCTAGAGCATAAGCCTTTGCTACAGCAATCTGCAAATTATTTTCCCATGGATTTTTTGTAAGAAAAGGGAAAGGACTCTGTATTAATTCATTTTCACGCTGCAGATAATGACATACCCAAGACTGGGCAATTTACAAAGAAAGATTTAATTGGACTTACAGTTCCATGTGGCTGGGGAAGGCTCACAATCATGACAGAAGGCAAGGAGGAGCAAGTCCCATCTTACATGGATGACAGCAGGCACAGAGAGAAGGAGGAAGATGCAAAAACAGAAACTCCTGATAAAACCGTCAGAGCTCATGAGATTTACTCACTGGCGTGAGAGCAGTATGAGGGAAATCAGCCCCAGGATTCAATTATCTCCTGCTGGGTCTCTCCCATAACACATAGGAATCATGAGAGCACAATTCAAGATGAGATTAGGGTGGGGACACAGAACCAAACCATATTATTGCACGCCTAGCCCCTGCCAAATCTCATGTCCTCACATTTCAAAACCAAATATGCCTTCCAAACAGTCCCCCAAAGTCTTAACTCATTTCAACATTAACTTAAAAGTCCACAGTCTATCAAGATGAGATTTGGGTGGGGACAAAGCGCCAAATTATATCAGACTCAAACAACAAAAAATAAAGGAAAAGTAAATAAAAAAAAGGTAAGGCTTTCATGACAACAAAGCAGCTTTGATATACAATCTTGGGAAAGCTGTTCACATCTTGAATGCCGTCTGCTTCTGGGGAAAATTTCCTTGGTCAGCTTTATCTTAAGATCTCTAACAGGCATAGAGTTTCAGGAGTCTGGAGTGGCCCTTTAGAGTTGAAAGATATGGATCCAAGACTTGATGCCCTGAAGTTTTGCTGCAGAGAAGAATTTGTTATGGTCCCTTCCAGTGGAATTCAAAGGCTGTCTTTCCCTGGTGTGCTTTTTCCAAAAGATGCAGTCTCCAGGTTCTAGATCATGAAAGATCTGGTTGTCATCAATTGGTGAGTTACAAAGGATTTATTTCACCTGGTGAAACTATGCTTTGGTATAATGCAACAAAGCCTTGCACTATTGAGTCATGTCAAAATTTATGAGTGAGAATTACATGAGGTTCTATTACTAAAGGGATAGTCTTTGAAGTAACTATTTCATAAAGGGTCAATCTATGCTTTCCAGCGGGAGTAAGTTTGGTTGCCAACAATTGCTAATACCTTTGACTGAGGCAATCCAATTGGTTCAGTTAGCTTTGTAAAGTGCCACTGCATTTGTAATACCTAATTTAACTGGTTTACAACTTGTCCAGTGGAAGAAGTACCTCTATCACTGGAGATTTCTTCAGGACTGTCCCATAAGTTAAACACATTTTCTAACAAACTTTTTTTATAGCTGCTGTTATAGTACTGACCTTCATGCATGAGAAAGCTTTTATACACCCAGAAAATATACATTAAGGGTGACAGTTGAATGGAATCCATCTGCAATTGTTCAAACGATTGAGCAGATGCTGGAAATGTATCATCTGAGGTTTTTATTTTCTTATAAGAATAATGGATTTGACAAACCAAACATTGGTCATAAACCATTTTAGTCATTTTAGAATAGTAACTTCACCAATATTTTTTCATAATGTGAATTATTTTATCTCTTACATGGTGAATCCTAGAGTGATAGGTTGTAATAATGGAAGCTTTAAGGACTCAGGAAGGACCAAGCAGCAGTCCAACCTCTCTATGAGTCCATGCTTAACACTGAATTTACATGATTTCAGATACAAAATTTGTTTTTCCAAATCAGGTGCATTGCACTGTTATTAAAATAGGCTATTATAGGTAACTTGACTTGCATCAATCTTATAGAATTCATTCTAATTGCAATTCTTAAAAATTTTAATGCTGGGTGACACAGCATGAAAATCTGCCAAATAATTTCCTTGGTATTTAATTAATTCTTGTTTGGCTGAATATTAGGTTAGAAGCTCTATGAACCAGTAAGTTTCTTCTTTAGCGTTCTGGGGATTCTTACCTAGTCAGATGGTATGATCTTAAGTTTATCGCAAACCTGTACTTGTGAGAGTCTTTTCCATGAATCTCCTTAAAGGTAAAACACTTTCAGCTTATAGTTGTTTGGGAAAGTACTAGAGTACACAATTAACTGTCCATGAATTACAAGACTTAAAATGGCCATGGTTAAAGATCTGATGAGAGTTCATTAAAATAATGATGCAACTGACAAAGACATATGGCTTGTATCTGTTAATAATCTTAGAATATTATTTTAAGATAACTAGAATTATCACTGATAGTGTTATACCAGGACTAATAGATTTGTATGTATTTTATATAATTTACGAAACAGGTAGTAATGACACATCCCACATTCTTAGAAATACAACTCAAAGAAGGTTTTAGCAGTACTTATTTAACAATGCTTTCCATATAACTCTTTCTTACTTAAAAAAAAATTTCAATAGCTTTAGTGGTACAAGAGTTTTTTGGTTACATAGATGAATTACATAGTGGTGAAGTCTGAGATTTTAGTGTACCCAACACTCAAATAGTGTACATTTAATTTAATATATCAAGTAAACTGAATTATTTCAATATTTCTCTTTTTATAAGAGGTATACTTTTGAGATGTTCCAAGCGCCCATCTGGAAAATTCCCAAGTTAATTTAGGGTCAAGTTAAAGATTTAACTTAGAACTTAATTTTGGAAAGTTTGTTAAAAATACGAAAGGTCGAAAACACTTGATCAAATAGCATCACAGGCAGCTGTGAGCAATAGTAGAAAGTTCCATCATTGTAGAAAAACTTTAGCTCTTTTAGTAGACAACATGAAGCACAGAAAATTATCTGAGTGACACAAAAAATGTTGGTTTCCCAGGCCAATTATCTAAAAGGTAAAGAAAAATCTTTCATGATTTAATATTAAGAATATACTAATACTTTAAGAAAACTTTGTTGTTTTAACAGAGAGGACAAAATTCTAGTTTTGCAGTAGTATACTTTTGATATTAATTCTCAACTTTTAGAAAACAAATCTTATAAACAATTCCCTTCTAATCTTTAGCCAGCTTGATCAAATGGAACATCTTTCACAAGATTTATCTACAAACAGTCTTCTACAACTTTGTCTTTCATTCAGTTTTTGTCCTACACTTTTTCTCTTCTCATTTTGGAGCAACCACTCATCCTTCTTTAGGGCAAAAAGTACTTTTTTTTTCGTAAGAAAGATACAACATCCTCACATCTTCATAGCTTTTTCTTAACAAAAGCACATCTTACGTTCCTTGTGTACTTGCACACAGAATTGCTTCTCATTATTTCTAACAATTTTAGTTACATATATTAATTAGAATGTTTAATTCTTAGCAACCTTAATTTTCAGTGAACACTAAGAAGACAGCAATTGTGAACTGTCTGTGACACCAGCAATCTGTCAATTGGTAAATCTATGAATCATATTTTACAGAAGTATCTGCTTCTTCATTGTACAATTTGTCAATGTAGGACAGGACATGTTTACTAATACTACCAAATATATTTAGTATCTCTTTGATAAGAAACTATAAAGGAATCAAAACTTTATCTTTATACTCAGGCTTTTTGTTTTTTGTGGATAGGCCTGAGAATTAGATTTTTGTTTGTACAGATTTCCCTGAGGCTTATCTTTCAATTCTAATGAAAAGAATGTTAAAACCTTTTGCTGTAGGAAGGACATCTTTTACATAAGAATTTTATCTTGTTTACATCTATTTAACTAACTTATTTTAGCAGTTATGCTTGGATTGCATGTAAAGATGAGACATTAAACAGCTAGCTGTAATCTTAAGTTACTTTTCTGGTTTCCAATTTTGTAATATAGAGATAACTTAAGCTAATTTTACCATTGAACCTAAGTAGAAAATGCCATGCAACTGTATAATATTTAATACTAAAAACTCTGGAGATATGTCTGTTTTAATCAAATAAACAATATTCTTGCTTTCCAAAGATTACTGAATTTATGTGAACTTGAAAAGCATTCAAATTAGGTCGTCTTTTGTTCTAAGAGAATGCTTCATTTATATAAGTACTTATTTTTATTAAAGCCATGTAAATGCAGATATTTTACAATCTAATTTGTGATATCTTGAGATAAATGTTACACATATATATCATGCATACAAACATATACAAACATATAGACAGAAAAAGATCTTATAGATCTCATTCTAAAATTGTATTCCTGTACCAGGTATAATTAACACATGATCGATTATTTATTAAAGACTATTTGGATTCTACTTGTTTTTCTGGCCAATGGAACAAAATTTTCTGTACAGATGGCTAAAGATTTTGACTGATATTTATGAAAAAATACCTTTAAGATTTTTAATTTGCCTTCTCTAAGAAACTTTTTAAAGAGGAAATCTTGGTTTTATTTAATCTTTTAGATGTCTGTGTGTACCAACTAAAGAATTCATTCCATTGATGTTGTGGCATTTTTGATATTTTCTTTCTTAATGCACTTCACAAATGAACAGGTTTATCTAGGTTAAAACTTCCCCACTGTGGCCACTGTAAATTTAAGTTGTTCTTAGTAAGATTAAATCATTTCTCAAAAAATATACAGATTCTAGGCCCATAATTTTCATATTAACACATAAGGTTAACTGGTATCCTAATAGCAAAGATATATAATCAACTTAAATGCCCATCACTGATAGACTGGATAAAGAAAATGTGGTACATATACACCATGGAATACTATGTAGCCATAAAAAAGAACAAGATCATGTTTTTTGCAAGTACATGGATGGAGCTGGAGGCCATTATCCTTAGCAAACTAACACAGGAACAGAAAACTAAATACTGCATGTTCTCATAATTAGGAGCTAAATGATAATACATGGATACATCAATGGGAAAAATACACATTGGAGACTTCCAGAGAGTGAAGGGCAGGATGGGGGAGAGGATCAGGAAAAATAATTAATGGGTACTAGGCTTAATACCTGCATCAGGAAAAATAACTAATGGGTACTAGGCTTAATACCTGGGTGATGAAAGAATCTGTACTACAAACCCTCATGACACAAGTTTACTTGTGTAACAAACCTGCACTTGTACCCCTGAAATTAAAATAAAAGTTCAAAAAAAAAAAAAAAAAAGAAATCACAAAATGACAGCAGGCTGTCAAATAAATAAAAATATTTTACTCCAAAATACATTTCTTTGACCTATTTTGAAATGATCCCGCAAAGCTGCCTCTTGTGGGGGAAATTTACGTTTGGATGATGATCTCCTTCTTTATCCAGGCGTTTTTCTGATCCTGAAGAGACTAGCTGAGTCTAGTACCTTTTAAAGGACTGAATAGGAAGCATTTCCCATCTATTGCCTCTAAGGGCAGCCACCTACGAGACTTTGTCAACATAACAAGAACCTTGGTCTCCACAACCCCTTATACTCCTTTCTACTGTTTCCAGGTCTTCAGAGTTAAATTCTTAACTCTTTCAGCCAATTGCCAATCAGAAGATCTTTGAATCCATCTATGACCTGTAAGCTCCTGCTTCATTGTCCTACCTTTCCAGACTGAACCAATGTATACCTCACATGTATTGATTGATGTCTGCCTGTAACTTCTGTCCCCCTAAAATGTATAAAATCAAGCTGTTACTGAACCACCTTGGACGCATGTTTTCAGGTCCTCCTGAGGCTGCGTTGTGGGTCATGGTCCTCACATTTAGCTCAGAATAAATATATTTTTTAAATAAATATATTTTTTTAAGTTACCAAGTGTCCCATTAAGTAAAGTCACAGATTCCTCAGATTTGGATGAACCATTTTCAAAAAGTGGCTACCTGAGGCCTCTAACAGGATCCAATCCAGTGAATTATCGAATCCAATTCAATCCTGAACCAGTCCAGTAAAACAATGCTTAAATAAAATCAGTCAGCTCAAAACACAAATCCATGGAGCTGAAATAAAAGAGAAAACTTGTCCACAGTGAGAACTTGCTGCAAGAGATCAATAGGCACAAGGGACCCTCTTGAGTACCTTTGTTTGGTCACTCAGAGCTCCTGGGGGTCCTTGAGAATCTATGTTGAAACTCATTTTTGATGCAAATATCTTAAAAGAAAAATTTTCAATAAATTGAATTTAGCAGAGTTTATTTGAACAAAGAAACAATTCATGAATTAGGCAGTACCCTGAAGCAGTAAAGCTTCAGAGAGCTTCACCCAGAAACACGGGTGGGCTTTTATAGACAGAAAAGGATGTGACATACAGAAATAGCCTGATTGGCTAATGTTTTGCATTCACATTATTTGGACATGTCCAATCAGTTTGCAGCCTATGATTGGCTGAAAGCTCAGTTGCTGTGATTGGCCAAAATATGAAAATATTCTCAAGTTAAGTAGCGATTTGTTTACATATTAAGTTAGGTTAAAGTTTATTAAGTACAGAGGCAGTTACAGGCCAAATTTAATTTAACTTAACAATAGTAACTAGCATTCATTATTGTTCCACATCCCTGTGCACTGTTGATGGCTGTACTTTTTGTTATTTAGGAAATTTCAGGGGAAAAAGGGATACAATATGTATGAGTTTCTGAAGATGTCCAGAAACCAATTTTCTTTTTTTTCTTTCTTTTTTTTTCTTTTTTATTTGAGACAGTCTCGCTGTATTGCCCCAGCTGGAGTGCAGTGGTGCAATCTCGGCTCACTGCAACCTCCACCTCCCAGGTTCAAGTGATTCTCCTGCCTCAGCCTCCCAAGCAGCTGGGATTACAGGCACCTGCCACCATGCCCAGCTAATTTTTGTATTTTTAGTAGAGATAAGGTTTCACCGTGTTGACCAAGTTGGTCTCGAACTCCTGACCTAAGGTGATCCATGCACCTCAGCCTCCCAAAGTGCTGGGATTACAAGCGTGAGCCACCGTGCCCAGAAACCAATCTTCTATAGTTATACTCTAAACCCCCTTTTCCCCTCCTACCAAGTGACTGTTTCTTCAATATAAATTAAGTACATGTCTTTTTCTTATCTGCTTGGATTAAACTAATTTACTTAACATTTACTTATTCTGTCTTCTTTGGAGCTACACTTTGCTGCACTCTGCACAACATCTGAACTAACTATGTCACGTGTACATACTTTGGATACTCCTCTAAACTATAATTTCAGTCTCCTTTTAATCATGGAGTTGAAAGTCAAGAGACAACTGTTGAGGTTTTTATTTTGTGATTCCAACTTGTTTTAATAACAGACTATGTGGAAACAGGGTGGGCAGAGGGGAGTCATGTGAAAAAGGGAGCACAAATATTTCTTGACTTCAAAGCAAAGAGAAAAGAATAAATAAGTCACTATAGCCATCAACTCCATGTATTTATTACCTTTTAAAAATGGCCAGAGGTACTGAAATATAAATGAAAGAGATTACTAGGAAGTCTGACATTCCTCTCACTTCCAGACTATTCAACAATGCACTTACTCTGAGAATGCTGTGTGCACTTTTAATTTTTTTGTCTAAATTGAACAAGAAAACATGCTTGTTTAACAAATTTAAATAATATGTATATAGTAAGCTGGGTAAGCCCTTCTGTGCCTTTTCTTTGTCCTTATTAGTTCTACATTTATTATCTTTTAAAATTATTTTTCTGTGCATATAAACATAAATCTTATATGTTCAACTACAATTTTGTTTGATGTTTTAACAAATTGGGATTGGACTCTTCATATTGTTCTGTAGCTTGCTATTTTATTTAACAATATGCAATTAATATATTTCTAAATCATAACCTAATTTATTTATTTTAATTGCTGCACAGTTTTCCATTTATGATATTATGTAATCCTTTCTCTCTCATACACATATATACTCACATACATAGACACACACACACACACATTTTTTTTCATACCACTGGCAATATTGTCATGAGATTCCTTGTGCATATATTTATATATGTGTGCTCAAGTATTTTGTAGGAAATATATACTTATAAATTATTTAATACTTTATATATATTTTTACCATTCATAGTTCATATAGGGAATGAGAGACTCACACATACACTCACACACATATTTTGGCTGTGTCTTCATTATCTCAGTAGACTAAATAAGATATTTTAGGCAAATATTTAGAAATGTTATAACCAGAGTGCTAAACATGATTAAGTGTAATTCTCACTTAATGAAACATTTCTAGACATTACCCTATTCGTACCCTTATCTTAGCTCTGAATATTCACTAACATATTCAAATATCTTCTCATTCTGTATCAGCCCCCATATTCGCTTTATGGTCTAGTATCTTCTTCCTTCATTTGACATTTATCAACATGCTGCTGATGCTATTTTATTTTTCTCTGTTCTTCCAGCAATTTTTAGTATCAGCCTCTATCTGCAGTAAAGAACAAAGCTGCAGTGGAAATGACAGCTTCCCTAGAAGCCATCTAAGTACCTTCCTATGCTCTGGGTTTTTTTGTTCTTTTTAGAAAATTAGAGAACACAAAACATGGGCTATACCTGACAAGATTCTGAGTTGAACTCATTTTTGGTAGATGTCATGCTGTGGCTGACAGCTTTGCAGCCAGAAGAGTGATTTTGGACAAGGGAAGGGAGAATGGGACAGTATTGCAGCATTTAATATTTTATTTGCAACCACGTTGATTTTTTTAAAAGAAATATCTTGTGTTATAACAAAGATTATTGTTATTTTTGTTGAAAAACCATGAACTTAAAGGGACACTAGTTTTATGAAAATGAAATGAATCAGTTTAGTATTAAAGAGTGGACAGTTTATGTGTGCTTATAATTATGGAAAGACTTAGAGATGAGTATAAAAAGTGGAAAAGTAAAGAAAACTGCATATTTATTGAGTATTCTTAAAAACCTTTTGGAAGCAGTGTAGCTAAAAGAAAGGAACTATGTTTCTAGAACTATTGTGAGAACTAGGGAAGCCAAAGTCTATAAAATCATATTTTCATAATGGATGACTGGATGCAGAAAAACCTCATATTTTCAAAGAAACATTGATTTCTAAAGATAAGAATATTTGTGATTTTATATTATGCATTTATTTGAGAAACTCATTTACATAGGACAAACCTCCTCTTCCTGTACATATGGCAGCCCAGCAATTATTACTGGTAAGATGTAGGTTACTTGGACAGCTTAAGCTTGTTTTTTCATCAACAAATAGAAAAGATAAATCTATTTATACAAGATAGCAGTCATGAGAAAAACAAAATTGATTGAATCAGATCAATTGTTTTCATATGCAAGAAATAAATAATTTTAAACTAAAAACTGCATTTATTTCTGTTGATTGGCACCAGTTGAAAATCAGTGCGATGGAGTCATTTGGTACTCCATGCTGTTCTACATGACCCACATTATTTGGTTAATTTTCTGCTTCAGGAACATTATATAGTCACCACCAAGGCAGGCCAGGCAGAGTCAGGAAAGCATAATTTATGCAGCCTACCAAAATGCTATTGAGGTTATACTTATTTAAAAATACTTAAGCATTATTAGAATGGGAAATCTAAAAGTCAGGAGTGAAATAGTATATTGTATATAGTTTGATATTTAATAGTTACACAGAGGGAAGTACAAATAGCAATTTATTCTTGTTTTTAGTCCCTCATATTTACATTCTATTTCTGTATCCCCCAGTGAACTGGGGTAAGATTGATTGTGCTCTTCTCTAATCCTTAAGCATTATATACTGGATGGCTGAGAGTTGTACTGAGTACTGAAATTATGCCAATATAAGTATAATATTGCCTTTTACTTTTCAACAACTTGAGTTGCTCCATGAAAGGAGCAATTTACCCAAATACCTGAGCGAGCATCTGGAGACATGTCTTTTATTTACAATTTGACTACCAGACAAGTCATTAAGAATTTCAGAATTTGCTAGCTATGTTTTTAAGATAGGAAGTCCAAACTAAATTATGATTCAGAAAATCCATTTGGCTAAAGTGAAATTTTATGCAATTAAATCCACACAGTAAATATATTGGCAAATTATTTAGACTGCTCCATAGCTTTGGGACTATTTCCAACACAACTAAGATGGAAAGAAATCCTGCTTGTTTAAAGTGATTGCTTCTTCCACACAGAGTTTAGACACTGTGATTCTGCAATGCCTTATTGTGCTCTAGATCCAGAGCGAATGGAGTGGAGGTGAGGCCCTTTTAAAAGGCACTTTTTTCTCGTAAGTTGACTGCTCTAGGTTCAATTATGAGTGTAATTGTTTTTAATAAAACTCAAATATTAATTTAATTTTGGATTTTTTTAGAACCACTACTCATCCATTTGACATTTTTTGTGTTGTGAATTAGAGAAAGATGGCTTTGGAGTTGACAGCCTCTGCCAGCTGACAGCCTCTGCCAGCAATCCCTGCCCCCAACTTGTCTTCTCATCTGGGCACTGTTTTGCGGCACAATCGGTTCAACTGTTCATGACAGCTCTGCATTTTTAATTAGTCTCTAATTTAATATTTGTCACATTATTTCTTGCACATACTGTTGATTTTAAGCTTTAAACTATATCTAGAATGCGCTGATTTTGTCGAGGATGTTGTAATAAATTATAGAAAATTATCTGATTTATACTTTTTCAGCTTTTTATTTACTTTAAGTGAGTATTTATTCATCCTCTTTTTGTCTCAGACAAAGAAGTATTCCTCCTTGCTGCTGGGCTTAGCCTCTCATCGCTCCCTCACCTGCTCAGGTGACTGCCTGTTCCAGCATGCCCCTCTGGGTTTTACGCCTTCAGGCTTTCTCTCTGTACTGAATCCTTCATTTTGGTTTGCTATGTTCTCAAATCTCCACTATCTAAACCCCAGGCTTTTATTTCTGCAGCTTCTTCTACCTGGAAAACTTTAACCATTTATATATTCCTAAGCCTTTCTTTCTTTCAAAAACCGATAATAATGCCACCTCCTCCAATGAGCTTTCCCAGAAAAAAAAATGTGTTTCTTGGGTCAGGCATGATGGCTCATGCCTGTAAATCCCAGAACTTTGGGAGGCCAAGGCAGGAGGATCAGTTGAGTACAGGAGTTTGAGACTAGCCTGGGCAATATCATGAGACCCCCATCTCAAAAATGATAATTTTTAAAAATGTATTTCTTCCTTTGAAATCCCGTAGATCTGAACCTAAATATTTCTTATGGTAGTCACAATTGCATAGCCTGGAATAAATGTTATGTGTGTATAAGTTTCATCTAGCTAAGAAGAATTTGAGTATCTTGCAGATAAAATTCATATGTACTTCGAGTCTCTAACACAGAGCAGAATGCCATGCATATATTTGATACCTAATATGTTTCAGTAGGGAATTTAGAGAAGAAATTTTACTTTTGTAATGCATATCATTTTAGTACTTTAATTTCTTTAATGATTTTTAGTATGCTGTAATTTTTAGAGGAGTTTTAGTTTCACAACAAAATTGAGTGGAAAGTACAGAGTGTTTCGATGTATCTTCTAACCTCACTCATGCACAGCCTCACCTACTATTGACATCCTGCACCATAGTGGTACATTGGTTACAAGTGATGAAGCTACACTGACACATTATTATTATTCAGAGTTCATAATGTACATTAGGGTTCATTCTTGGTATTGTATATTCTTGGTATTGTATATTCTATCAGTCTGGACAAAATTAAAATGTCATCTGTTTACGATTATAGGATCATACAGAATATTTTCACTGCCCTAAAAATCCTCTGCACATCACCTATTTATTCCTTCCTCCTTCTACTCCAAACCCTGGCAACCACTGATCTTTTTATTGTCTCTATGGTTTTTCATTTTTTAGACAGTTATAAGGTCGGAATCATACATATGTCTTGTTTCATTTAGCAATATGCATTTAGGTTTTCTGCATGTCCTTTTATGAATGGATAGCTTGTTTCTTTATAGTGATGAATAATATTCCACTGTCCATATATACACCAGAGTTTATTTATTTACTCATTCACCTACTCAATAACATTTTGGTTGCTTTCAAGTTTTGGCAATTATGAATAAAGCTTCTATAAATATCTCTGGGCAGATTTTTGTGTGGATATACGTTTCCATTTTAATTGGGTAAGTATGAAAAAATGCAACTGTTGGATCATATGATAAGAGTATGCTTAATTTGGTAAGAAACTGCCAAACTGTATTCTAAAGTGTTGTATCATTTTGGATTCCCACTAGCAATGAGTAAGTGTCCCTATTGCTCCGCATCCTTGCCAGCATTTTGTACTGTCAATGTTCTGACTTTTGGGCATTCTAATAAGTATATTGTGGTAACTCATTATCACTTTAATTTGCAATTCCCTAATGACACATGATATGGAGCCCCCTTTAAAAAGCTTATTTGACATCTGCATATTTTATTTGCTGAGATGTCTGTTAAGGTCTTTGGTCAGATTGTTGATTTTCTTGTTGTTGATTTTTTTTTTTTTTTTTGAGACTGAGTCTTGCTCTGTCCCCCAGGCTGGAGTGCAGTGGCGCGATCTGGGCTCTCTGCAAGCTCCGCCTCCCAGGTTCACACCATTCTCCTGCCTCAGCCTTCCAAGTAGCTGGGACTACAGGCATCCCCCCAACTATGGCCGGCTAATTTTGTTTTTGTATTTTTAGTAGAGACGGGGTTTCACCGTGTTAGCCAGGATGGTCTTGATCTCCTGACCTCATGATCTGCCTGCCTCAGCCTCCCAAAGTGCTGGGATTACAGGCGTGAGCCACCACGCCCAGCCCTTTGTTGTTGAATTTTAAGAGTTTTTTGTATATTTGTGGTAACAGTGCTTTTTCAGGTGTATCTTTTGCATATGTTTCTTCAAGTCTATGGCTTTTTTTATCATTCTCTTGACATTGTCTTTTTCAGAGCAGTAGATTTTAATTTTAAATGAGTTCAACTTATCAGTGATTTTGTCATAAATTATGACTTTGGTGTTGTATGTAAAAAGTCATTGCCAGACTTACGACCATCTAGAAATTATCCTATAATATCTTCTAGAGGTTTTATAATTTTGCATATTCCATATAAGTCTGTGATCCATTTTAACAATTTTTTCACTCTATATTTCTGAAGTTTTTTTCAATGGTTTCTGTAAGATTTATCATATATAGATGCTCCTCAAATTACAGGTGCTACTTAATCTATGATGGATTGCATTTTGATAAACCCATCATATGTTGAAACTACCATCAGTAAAAAATGTAGCAATTGTTAATGGGAGTTCATTCATGATTTGGCTCTCTGCTTGTCTATTGTTGATGTATAGGAATGCTTGTGATTTTTGCACATTAGTTTTGTATGCTGAGACTTTGCTGAAGTTGCTTACCAGTTCAAAGAGTATTGGAGCTGAGAAAATGGGTTTTCTAAATATAGAATCATGTCATTTGCAAACAGAGACAATTTGACTTCCACTCTTTCTATTTGAATATGCTTTATTTCTCTCTCTTGCCTGATTGCCCTGGCCAATACTTCCAACACTATGTTAAATAGGAGTGGTGAGAGAGGGCATCCTTGCCTTGTGCCAGTTTTAAAAAGAAAAGCTTCCAGCTTTTGCCCATTCAGTATGATATTCACTATGGTTATGTCATAAATAGCTCTTATTATTTTGAGATATGTTCCATCAATACCTATTTTGTTGAGAGTTTTTAACATGAAGGTATGTTGAATTTTATTGAAGGCCTTTTCTGCATCTATTGAGATAATCATGTGGTTTTTGTCATTGGTTCTGTTTATGCATTGATGTTCATCAGGGATATGGCCTAAAGTTTTCTTTTTTTCATTGTGTCTCTGCCAGGTTTTGGTATCAGGGTGATGCTGGCCTCATAGAATGAGTTAGGGAGGAGTCCCTCCTTTTCAGTTATTTGGAATAGTTTCAGAAACAATGGTACCAGCTCCTCGTTGTACCTCTAATAGAATTTTGCTGTGAATCCATCTCGTCCTGGGCTTCTTTTGATTGGTAAGCTATTAATTACTGCCTCAATTTCCGAACTTGCTATTGGTCTATTTATCGATTCAACTTCTTCCTCATTTAGTCTTGGGAGGGTGTATGTGTCCAGGAATTTATCCATTTCTTCCAGATATTCTAGTTTATTTGTGTCTAGGTGTTTATAGTATTCTCTGATGGTAGTTTGTATTTCTGTGGAACCAGTGGTAACATCCCCTTTTTCATTTTTTATTGTATCTATTTGATTTTTCTCCCGTTTCGTCTTTATTAGTCTAGCTGGCAGTCTATCTATTTTGTTAATTTTTTCAAAAAAAAAAAAAAACAGCTTCGGGGTTCATTGATTTTTTGAAGGGTTTTTTATGTCTCTATCTCCTTCAGTTCTGCTTTGATCTTAGTTATTTCTTGCCTTCTGCTAACTTTTGAATTTGTTTCTTCTTGCTGCTCTAGATGCAGTTTCTTCATAGTGTTATTGGTTTTTACATTTTGGAATGTTTTTGCAGTGGTTGGTACTGGTTTTTCCTTTCCATATTTAGTGCTTCCTTCAGGAGCTCTTGCAAGGCAGGCCTGATGGTGACAAAATACCTTGGCATTTCCTTGAAGGACTTTATTTCTCCTTCATTTATGCAGCTTAGTTTGGCTGGATATTAAATTCTAGGTTGAAAATTCTTTTCTTTAAGAATGTTGAGAATTGCCCCCCACTCTTTTCTGGCTTGTAGTGTTTCTGCTGAGAGATCTGCTGTTAGTCTGATGGGCTACCCTTTGTAGGTGACCTGACCTTTCTTCCTGGCTGCTCTTAATTTTTTCCTTCACTTCCACCTTGGAGAATCTGACGATTATGTGTCTTGGAGCTGATCTTCTTATGGAGTGTCTTAGTGGTGTTCTCTGAATTTCCTGAATTTGAATGTCAGCCTGTCTGGCTAGGTTGGGGACGTTCTCCTGGATAATATCCTGAAGTGTGTTTTCCAACTTGGTTCCATTCTACCCCCCACTTTCAGGTACACCAATCAATCATAGCTTTGGTCTTTTCACATAGTCCCATATTTCTTGGAGGTTTTGTTCGTTTATTTTCATTCTTTGTTTTGTTTTGTTTTCTAATCTTGTCTGCATGCCTTATTTCGGCAAGGTAGTCATCAATCTCTGATATCCTTTCTCCTGTTTGATTGGTTTGGCTATTGATACTTGTGTATGCTTCCCGAAGTCCTCTTGCTATTTTTCAGCTCCATCAGGTCATTTCTGTTCCTCTCTAAACTGGTTATTCAAGTTAGCATTTCCTGTAACCTTTTATCAAGGTTCTTAGCTTCCTTGCATTGGGTTAGAACATCCTTCTTTAGCTCAGAGTTTGTTAGTACCCATCTTCTGAAGCTTACTTCAATTCATCTATCTCATTCTCCATCCAGTTTTGCACCCTTGCTGGAGAGGAGTTGCAATCATTTGGAGGAGAAGAGACATTCTGGCTTTTGGAATTTTCAGCATTTTGGGGCTGGTTTTTCTTCATTTTTGTGGATTTATCTACCTTTGATCTTTGAGGCTGATGACCTTTGGATGGGGTTTTTTGGGGGGCTCTTTTTTGTTGATGTTGCTGTTGTTGTTGCTTTCTGTTTGTTAGTTTTTCTTCTAGTAGTCAGGCCCCTCTTCTGCAGGTCTGCTGCAGTTTGCTGGAGGTCCACTCCAGACCATGTTCACCTGGGTATCACCAGTGGAGGCTGCAGAACAGCACATTGCTGCCTGCTTCTAGAAGCTTCATCCCAGAGGGCCACTGGCCTGATGCCAGTCTGAACTCTCTTGTATGACCCCTGTTGGGAGGTCTCTCCCAGTCAGGAGCCACAGGAGTCATGGATTCACTTGAGGCGGCAGTCTGTCCTTTAGCAGAGCTGGTGCGCTGTGCTGGGAGACTCCCCCTTGTCTGGATCAGCCACTCTCTTCAGACCCTACAGGCAGGAAAGATTCAGTCTGCTGAAGCTGTGACCACAGCCGCCCCTCTCCCCAGGTGCTCTGTCCCAAAGACATGAGAGTTTTATCTCTAAGCCCCAGCAGCTGCTGTGCTTCCTGTAGAGATGCCCTGCTCAGTGAGAAGGAATCTAGAGAAGCAGTCTGGCCATAGCCACTTTGCCATGCTGTGGTGAATTCTGCCCAGTCCAAACTTCCCAGTCTCCTTAGCGCTGTCAGGGGAAAACTGCCTACTAAAGCCTCAGTAATGGTGGCTGTTCCTCCCCTCACCAAGCTCGATCACCGCAGGTTAACTCCAGACTGCTGTGCTGACAGTGAGAATTTCAAGCCAGTGGTTCCTAGCTTGCCGGGCTCCGTGGGAGTGGGACCTAATGAGTGAGACTGCTTGGCTTCCTGGCTTAAGCTCCATTTCCGGGGGAGTGGATGGTTCTTCTGTTTTGCTGGAGTTCCAGGCACCGCTGGGGTAAGAAAAACCTCCTGCAGCTAGCTCAGTGCCTGCCCAAACAGCTGCCCAGTTTTGTGCTTGAAACCCAGGGCCCTGGTGGTGTAGGCTCACAAGGGAATCTCCTGATCTGCAGATTGCAAAAATCCATTGGAAAAATGTAGTACCTAGGGCGGGTCCATAGTCCTTCACTGCTTCCCTTGGATAGGGGAGGGAGGTCCCTCGGCTCATTGTACTTCCTGGATGAAGCAATGCCCCACCCTGCTTCTGCTAGCTCACTGTGGGTTGCACCCACCGCCTAACCAGTTCCATTGAGATGAACTGGGTATGTCAGTTGGAAATGCAGAAACCACCCACCTTCTCTGTTGGTCTCGCTGGGTGCTGCAAACCAGAGCCGTTTCTATTCAGCCATCTTGGCCCTTCCTCCCATCTGTATATCTTAATTTTACCTTTCTTTTTGAAAGCTAACTTGGGAGAATATAGAATTCTAGGTAAGCAGTTTTATTGTTGTTTTAAAACGCTTTGTACATGCTATTCCACTGCCTTATAGCCTGGATTATTGCTGCTGGGACACCAGCTGTTAATCTTATTGGGTTATAAGTGATGAGTCATATTTCTCTTGCCAATTTCAAGTTTTCTCCTTGTCTTTGACTTTGAGCATTTTAGTATAATCTTATTACAGTTGTATAAATCTTTTTTGTAGATCTCCTTGAATTCATCCTATGAAGCTTGTTGTGCTTGTAGAGTGATTTGCTGTAAAATAAATTTGGGAAGTTTTCAGCCTTTATTTCTTCAAATATATTTTCTATTCTTGTCTATATTTTTTATTCACTTCCATTGTGCTGAGGTTTGTGTGCTTAATGGTGTCTCACATTTTTCTGAGGTTCTGTTTATTTGTTTTCAATTTTTTAATCTGTATTCTTTTGCTTGAATAAACTCTATAGATCTATCATTGTTTTCAAGGGTCCAGGGATGTAAATTGCTGTAAAAATTAATGCAATCAAACTGTGGCTCCTTTGAAGAGCTAGCTTCTGAGGTCTATGGTCAGTATTTGTTCTGACCAAAGTGGGCTCCTCCCCACTGTCTTAATCATCAATTCTTATTCTATTTTTTCAAAGCAAATGAAATAATTATTGTTCACTGATTCTTTCTTCTGTCAGTTCCAATCTAGTGATAACATTCTTCTAGTGATTTTTTAAATGCAGCTATTATATTTTTTAACTTCTGAATTTCCAATTTCTTATTTTTACTATTTGCATTTTTGTACTAACCTTGTTTCTTTGATATGACATTGTTATCATACCTTTTAATTTTTACTCCTTAATCTTGTTTTCCTTTAGTTCTGTGAACATATTTATAATGGTTACTTTGAATTTATTTTTCTGTTAAATCCAACATCTAGCCATTCTCGTAGACGGTTTTTTCTGACTACTTTTGTTTCTGATGTATTGGTCATACTCTCCAATCCTTGTAAGAAACTGGATATTTCAGGTAATATATCGAAACATCTTCAGGCACTTCTCCCGTTGGAATATATATTGTTATTTACTTGTTTATGTTTTTTGTGACTGACCAGATTATTTTAAGAAAAATTATCCTCCCATCACACCTCCCAGTGTTAAACCTCCTATGGTGCTCCTCAGGGAGGCATAGAATTGGGTATTACCCACAGTCACTCTGCATGAAAGTGGTATTTGTAAGCCTCTCTTTCTCTGCCCACACTCAGCTGTTGAACTCCACTAATTGCCTTCTGATTGCTCTATGGTTCTCAAAAGCAACTTGGGACATAAATTGCTCTACAAATTAATGCAATCATACTGTGAATCTTTGGACAACTAGTTTCTGAGGTCTATATTCAGTATTTGTTCTGACTAAAGTAGACTCCTCTCCACTGTCTTATGCCTCAATTCTCTTCTGCAAACTAACTGACCAATAATCTAAGCTAAATCTTCATTCAATCTAGAAACCTCCTGACATTTCTCTTCCACCACATCTTTTCTTGTTCTTTAGAGTCACCACAGACTGGAAATTCTCCAAGTTCTGTTGCAAATGAGCTTATTGCTTTTAGAAAGATATTAAGAACTGTTGGCTTTATGGCCTGCTTTTCTCCACACAGGCAAAATTGTTGAGCCAAGGTCCTGGAACTGTGAGTAAGAAAATGACAAACCCATCTCTCAGTGGCACCCCTACTGCAGGAGTTGAGCACTCATTAGAGAAGGTCAGTAACCTGAGATCCTCTTGACTTATCTTTCCTGGAGCAGAACCACTGCACTGCAAGCCAGGGTAAGCAATAGGCTCCCCCACATTTATAGCACACCACACCCAAGGCAGAGTCCCCGTTTTATGAGTGGATGAGAAGAACAGAAACACCACTTATCAACTTCATTTGCCTGGGACTTAGCCTCAGCAAGAGTAGCTGAGGGCAGGATAAGTAACATTGAAGTTCTACTCTTTCTAGTAAGAAAGCCCTGCAACTGGGAGCTGAGAGAAAGCCCTGTGTTCTTGGTTGAAAAAAAATCTCAAAAGGAGTCTCTATTTCACTGAGCTGGGTTAAGGGAAGAAGGGAGTAGTCTTAGTTCAAATATCACAAACCCTCACTTTCTTAACAAATTTCCATTTATATTCATAAGTAGATATTTATTCATTTGCTTTTTTTCCCCTTAGGGATGTCTCCTTTAGGGTTGTTTCCAGAGACTTTGAATGTTTGTTGTTGCTTTTATTACAAGTTTTACTCAGGAGCAGGTTAATGAAATTTCTCCTACTGTCATGATGATCAATCTTTTCTGGTGCTTCTATTCTTTACATACAGGAGACTGGGTTGTCAGGTGTTTTCCGTTTTACATGAAGGAATTGTGTGTTGAGTTTTTAGCATGAGGTCCAGTAAAATCACTCGGAAAGTCCAGCGGGATTCTCTCTAGACACTGGCAAATAAGAATATGTCTCTTTGGGCTGGGCACAGTGGCTCATGCCTGTAATCCCAGCACTTTGGGAGGCCAAGGCGGGTGGATCATGAGGTCAGGAGATTGAGACCGTCCCGGCTCTCATGGTGAAACCCCATCTTTACTAAAAATACAAAAGAATTAGCCAGGTGTGGTGGCGGGCGCCTGTAGTCCCAGCTACTTGGGAGGCTGAGGCAGGAGAATGGTGTGAACCCGGGGGGCGGAGCTTGCAGTGAGCTGAGATTGTGCCACTGCACTCCAGCCTGGGGGACAGAGCAAGACTCCATCTCAAAAAAGAAAAAAAAGTCTCTTTGAAAGTAGATAATTAATATCATCCTTCCTTAAATACAGTACATTCCCTTAAAAATGGCTTAAAGAAAATAAAGTGCTAATGAACCATTGAATTTAACAAAATATACACATTTTATGTGTGTAAGTGTATATGTATATATATATTTCATAGATACTCATGTATATGTGCATATATATATGTGTGTGTTTATATATAAATTAAGGGATCAGAAAGGAGAAAGTCTAGAAAACATTCATTGCGTCTCTCAAATTTATCTTTTTTTTTTGGTGTCTCCAAATTTAAACTCAAGCAAATTTTATGCTAAAGTTTAAACTCTAAAATTTCACCAAGCTATATAATTTGGATATTAGAAATAAGCAAATCATATTTTTACAAATTTAAGTAATTTTACAATTATGTATCTTGGTAAGATAGAGATGACCTTGAATTGAAGGTAAGAGCACATTGCTTTATTGCTAGGACTGTGAGCAATAGCCTATGTTAATTTAAGCAAGTTTCTTAATATTTATGTTTCCCTATGTGCAAAATTGGATTAATTAAATCTGAATTACATATCATACAGAGGTAGGATTAAAAGCAATAATGTGAACATATTATTTAAAGGCAAAGTGTCACACACATCTTATCTTTAAGTAGAATCCATAAAAAAAAAGAAACAAATCTTCATGGATTCCACATGTATCTACTGAGCAAACGTTATTCTAGGCAGACAGGTTTCAGCAATGAGAAATCTAATTCTCATACAACTTATATTCTATTGGTGGATACAGAAAATAAACAAATACATTTATAAATGCAATTTGATTTTACTTTAACATAAAAATTATGCTTTTAAATTCCATCCCCAGTTTTGTTTTAAACTGAAATGATTGAAAACTCAAATTAACACATTTCTATAGTAATAATTTCTCCATGCTGGAGAAATGCACACAGGGAAGGGAGTATCCTTAGAAATACTTACCTGAATATTACACCCCTGGGGGGTTCATAGTTTCCTGACACCACTTTTATTTATGTTCTGATAAAGTAATGTATTTCAGTTTATACAGAATTGCAGTCTATTTATGATTCATAAATATTTATTAATTTCAACAATGTTATGACCTTTCTCGGCACAAGTGGGATGATTTCAGAGCCTACCTGAAGAAAGTCCTGCCCTATAATGATGGATGAGATGTCAAACATCCCTTGTATCAGAGACTCCTACAGAATCATGGCAATGTGAAAAGACCAATGGCAGCCTTTTCCTGGGAGAAAGTTTTAATTAAGAAGATGGAGGGAGGCATGGATATGGTGCCCACCCCCTCATTCTCTGCAGTAGTTAAGGAGGCAGAGTGCAGTCATGGTAATCTCTCTGAATGTTTACATATAGTGTCAGAGTGGTAAATATTCAATAAAAATCCAGAATCCTTACTGTGGGTTCATCACTCTACTCGGGCTAATGATTCAAGCTGAATAGAAAATAGGCTGTTACTGCAAATTGCCTAGAGTTAATTAGGGAAAGGTAACCAAAGAAATACATAAGTTGCCACAAGCAGTATAGTATCTTGACAGCAAGAAGTCCCAAAGAGGAAGATGCTAATTTCTTATAGATGAACAGGAAAAGCTATAAAAAGTAAGCAATCCTTCAGCTCATTTTTGAAGACAGATATGTCCACCCAAGAGACATGATGGAATGTGGGGTAGTGATGGCAGCCGGAGGGGATGCACAAAGATTTCCATATAAAATTGTTAAGCAGCATGAACAAATATGCACAAACACTTTCAAGAAAAAGGAATCTAGGAAAAACTTTAACTTTCAGGTTTAAAAATTTGTATGAAAGGAGGTTTTTGGCCAGGTACGGTGGCTCACGCCTATAATCCCAACACTTTGGGAGACCGAGGGGCGCGTGGATACCTGAGGTGAGGAGTTTGAGACCAGCCTGTCTAACACAGTGAAACCCTGTCTCTACCAAAAATACAAAAATTAGCTGAGCGTGGTTGTGGGTGCCTGTAATTCCAGCTACTTGGGAGGCTGAGGCAGGAGAATCACTTGAATCCGGGAGGCGAAAGTTGCAGTGAGCTGAGATCATGCCATTGCACTCCAGCCTGGGCAACAGAGCAAGACTCTGTCTCAAAATAAATAAATAAATGTTTTTACTCTGCTTCTCTACAAAATGTTCTAATTATCATTCTGTAATAATTTTGTTCTATTTTTCTTAAACCAAATATTCAGAAGAGGACTGCATTCTTATGTACAAGTATATCCAAAACGCTCTATTGACAATATTTCAAAAATATTTTTAAAACTCTAAAGTAAAAATGTATGCATCTTCTTGCATTATTTATATAGAAAGAATTGCGGGAAAATAACCACATTGAGCCAAGGTAATATATTTCAAATTATTAAAATAGTGTTTTCCAATCTTCAGATTTTAAAAATTATATGAAGCCAAGATATTACTGAAATTGATCATAGTCTAGCTATGGAGACAAGTTTCACAAAATACAAATCCTAACACAAGCATTTTTTGTGCACTAAAATGCACCCAAAAAACACAAAAGAAGATGTAAAAAGTTATACCTTCTGGAGAACAAAATTTTATTGCTATTCTTTGGTCCACTATCACACAAACTCCGACGTATGCCACAGAGGAGTTCAACTCTGTATGTTTTCGAAATACATATAAACCTTGACAGAATTTTATTATCCTTATTAAATATAGAGAAACCCCCCTGCCTACTTAATATCAAGTTGCTTTTTGTATAGAGCTGGTTCAATAAAGCTTGAAGAGACCTACCTGCATGATGGATTTTTCTTTGGGTAAATAGTTGGGTGTTTCGTTCTGAATTAGCAGAATGAAGCTTGACAAGCTTGCACAATGTTCTGCTATGCAAGTATGAGTCAATGTTGTAAGGCTTTAGGTTACTTCCTTTTCTAAAAATTAAAAAAAAATGTAATCTGCCATCTGTAAAAAGCTAGATATGAAATAAAAATTATTCTCCTTTCAAAACTTGTTCATTTCCCAGAAAGGCATGCTTTTCTCCATTAAGAAAAAGTTCAACCACACAAATTAAGAGCAGCCTACTTTTCAGTTCCAAACATATATTGTGGGATATAAGGAAGGCAGGAAGAAACGGTGAGAAATAAAAGGGGCTCTGGAGGCTCATGCCCAAGAAGTTTTCAATCACAGTTTAAAATTAAGTGTCTCAAATCAGGATTTAATTTACAGTTTAAGATTTAGTAAGACAGTCATTGCATGTTAATTAAACAGCAATGGATCATTTACCAACCTGTTTAATGAGGTGTAACAACTATTGAATATAAAACATACTGACATTATTATAACATTGCCATTAACTTTCAATAAATCTGTTTGAATAATTATTGGTATTTAAGTACTATAAAATCCCTAACATAACTAGGCATACCTATTTATATTTAATAAAACAGGAATTTTATTGTAGGAATAATTAAATTCCCAGGACCACATTCCTATTTTTGTATGGTGAACAAATCCTTTCTGCAACAGTGGGAGTTGCAGCTCCACTAAATGAAGAATTCAGGAGAGAAGAATTCAGCCCACACTGAAGGAACTATTATTCCATCATTATTTTTAGAATCTCACATTTTGTTAGGGGCAAAGCTTACCTTTCCATTCATTAATAAATATAATTGGAAGAGTTGTTCCTCTGTTATTTTTTTAATGGAGAATCATAAATCCTTACTTCCCTTCTGCTTACACAGGGTAGACTGGGAAGACCCTGCCTAAGAATCTGATTTAACCTGTGGTGCAGAAAAGCACTAATTTTGATGTTGGGAGGATTTTGTGCACCCAGCAAGGAGCAGAGCACTCTGCTGACTGCCGTAATATAGGTAACAGACCTTATTTGGTGCATGTGTCACTAGGCCGCCCATGTGATGAGAAAGATATGATGCCATAGAGAACTGATCTACTCTAAATAATAAAGTAAGTACAATGCTATGGTGCTGAGAGCAATTTCAAAAGGTCTGTGGGTGGAGGGAGAGCAAGCGGAGTTTAGCAAGATGGTAGGAATATGGAGCTGTGTATGGGATAATATTTGGTATCAATGACTTGAAAGATCTGTATTACTAAGATCTGTATTACTAGTATCTAAGTTTTGCGTTATAATTTATCAATGTAACACTTGCCTCATTTACCCAGATTTTTAAATAAAAGTGTGCTGTTTACTCCAGAGAGTAAATAGATTGATAATGATGTTGTATGAAAAGCACATGATATGTTCTGAAGACAGAGACAGGATCAGGAGTTCAGTGGAAGGTGGATATGCCATAAGGGAAAATGTGAACACCCAAACAATACCATTAATCATTTATTGGGAGCTCAAACCCTTTTTTCCCCTTTTAACAAATTTCTAAGTGAACAATACAATATTGTTGAATATGTGCACAATGGTGTAGCAAATGCCAGAATTCATTCCTCTTATACAACTGAAACTTTATACCTATTGATCAGCAACCTCCCATTTCTTCCTTTCCCCAGGCCCTGAAAACCATCATTCTACTCTTGATAGATAACTAGATAAAAGAAAATATGGTATATACACACAATGACATAGCATTCAACCTTTAAAAGAAGAAAATCTTGCCATAGACAACACTATGGATAAACGGAAGGATATTAGGCTGAGTGAAATAAGCCAATCAGAGGAGGTAAATACTCATAAATCCACTTATATGAGGTAGCTGAAATAGTCAAAATCAAATGTTTATGTAAATTCTGAAGGTAAGATGACCCTGTGAGGCTGGAAGACTTGCTTGAGTATCAGGTTTTGTTAAGTTTAGCAGAGCTCAACATGGTGCCAAGTGCTGTTAGTTCTACCGAAGGATAAGATATAAACTCTATTATCAAGTTGGATACAAACAGAACAATAGAGAATGGAAAACAGTCAGAGTCTATTTAAGTGCTAGCTATGTAAAACTGAAGTTTTATGAAGAGGAGATTTTAAAAAGCAGGAGAATCAATGAAGACTTAGGAAGGCTTTTTATAGTAGGAATTTAATTACTCCATAATGAGCAGAGATTGGGTAAGGAAAGGTGCATAGACTAGGCATTTCAAGGCAGGGTAAAAGCTTGAGAGAATATATGTGTGGAAGCATCTTAGCGTCATAAAAAAAATCACAACACTAAGAAAATGAGAACTTTGTAAACAGATAAAAGTCTGTGTTCTTATTAGGGCAGATAAAATGGAATCATTGCTAAATATCTTATTACTGATTAAAAAGAGTTTAGATTCACCATCAGAAGAAACGTTGAGTCACTGATAGATTTTGAGTCAAGAGATGCCTTGTCAGAAATTATCTATCTCTATCATCATTCCTTATCAATGTGTGGGTTGTAATTCATATAGACTCCAGCAGTAATTTGATAGAATTATATCATCTTCACTTCCTTGTATGGCTAATTTGTTTCGTCAAACAGGTCAACATATGTCTTAAATTTACATATTCAGATTTTTTAATCATAAAATATCTTTGTTACTTTGAACACCTTGCAACAACAAACTGCATTCGTTTAAAGACAGGAATTCCCCATATGTCTGAGGAAATATTTCTCAGAGACCTCCAAAAGTTATGCATTATGCTTGCATCAAGCTTAATGTTTACATTAAGCCTACTTGAACAATTGAAATAGTGTCTGTTAACAGTTTTGAAGTAACGAAGTTATAGCAATTTCTAACATAAATGAGTAGTGAAAGAGAAAATATTAAATGAATTATAAAGATGGGGCTTATTACAGGAGAGAACTATGGAAAAAATGGATATTCAGATAGTATAGACTAGGTTCATTGTCTACTTTGAGGAGACATGGAACACCACCCACAGAGGGCAGGGTGCATTAAGCCATCAAATATACTAAGGTCTAGGAATATTGTTTTGGAATCTGTGTCATCCGCCTCAGAAAGGTTGGCAAAGACATTCGTAGATAATACAGAGCCTTGGAATAAAAGCAAACCCTGAAGAAAGAAAATAAGCCCTCAGCTGCAATAATGCCAGTACCATTTTTATGCACACACACACACACACACACACACACACACAGCGCCACACATACACAAACACATACACACATTCGAGAGAGAGGGAGAGAAAATACGAGAGGCAGTGAGAGAGAAATAAGATATAATACAAATAATAGACTTTTGCCATGTAAGAAGTTTGCATTTTCTTTGGAAGGAAATGAATATTTACTGTGTAGCAGTGTTTGCCTAGTTAATTTAGGATGAAAAGAGCTTTGATTATGAGCGGTAAAAAAAAAAAAATTAACTCTGTTTTGACTTGTCACTCCTTATTTCACAGGACCAGAATTCAAATGTTGCCCAAGCAATGCTAGCCTTGGCTTAGAAAAGGCCCTATTAACATCTGGCTAAGCAAAGATAACTATGTGTACTAATTATAAGAAGTGCAAAAATATCCAGATTCTTAACTTGTTGTGTGAACTGATGTTTCACAAGGGAGGATGATTGAAACATTAAATCAAATAGGGGTGGGAAAATAGCTTTGAAGAGGAATTACGTGAGAATTCAAATGGTGTAGTAAATTCATTATGGTGTAGTAAGGGTCTTCTCTGAAAAGCTACGCTGCTCTAAGCACATTTGAATGACAGGCAATATTTACAAAGAGAAAGCCAAATGACCAAAGCCAGGTTCAGAACCATTTGCATTTCCATGGACAAAAAAAATAAAATAAAATAAAAAACAAGGAAAGGAGTGGAGTATTGTTTTGAGGAGTAACAAGAATAAATATTGTCCAAAGGAGGCTGATATTGGGTCCACTAAGCTCTCCGGAAACTTCTGTGAAAATGAGAAAAAATTTCTACCCTTAAATGTAAGTTTGATTAAGGGCTAGGTTGGTAGTATCTTTTATAAATTTTTTAAAATTCCTTTCTGTGTACTTATATGGCTACAAAATACACAGTTGTTTGGTGTTTACAGGTTCCTGCTAGGGGAAAAATATATTACTGCACCCAACTTGGCATTCAGGTTTATGAGGAATACATACTAGTGAGAAAGAGAACAAAGCCACAACATGCTAATCCGGACCTGAGCAAAGCTGCCTGCTGCCTCTGGACTGGTACTTTAATGTTTCTAACATGAGCATGAGAAGGGTAGCCACAACTTGTCATTGTAAGACCTGGCTCTAGACAGAAGACTGGGGCAAGTATCCAACAACCACAGAATCACTAGATAAGTAGCCATTAACCAGATGGAGAAAGAGCATTCAAAGTAAAAATAATAAACATTCTATAAAAATAAATAAAATATATTGGTAATTTTAATAAGTTACTGGCTATAAAGGCTATTATGTGTGGTTTAAAATAAAAGTGAATTTAAAATTCAGGTAAAGAATATCACATTGGTTGGAGGGGAGTGACCAATAGGTAGTTGATGCTTGCAAAATTCCTTGTGCCCTGAAAATTTAAAGACATCCTTCAGAAAAAAAAGTGAATGTAATTTGAAGTTTCTAAATCAGGAAAGATAAAGAAATAAAAAGTAGAAAACCTTATGTATTCAAGCACTGACCAAGTGAAGGATGGAAAGGGTGGGAAGAAAGTGAAACACAAGGGCTGGGAGCGGTGGCTCATGCCTGTCATCCCAGCGCTTTGGGAGGCTGAGGCAGGTAGATCACCTGAGGTCAGGAGCTTGAGGCCATCCTTGCCAACATAGTGAAACCCTGTCTCTACTAAAAATACAAAAATTAACCAGGCATGTTGGTGCACGCCTGTAATCCCAGCTACTCGGGAAGCTGAGGCAGGAGAATCACTTGAACCTGGGAGGTGGAGCTTGTAGTGAGCCGAAATCACACCATTGCACTCCAGCCTGAGTGACAGAGTGAGATTCCATCTCAAAAAAAAAAAAAAAAAGAAAGAAAGAAAGAAAGAAAGTGAAGGAGACAAGCATCTTTTCCAGTCAGATTATGAGGGTTTCGCTGTGCTAAAATATGACCACTAAGTATCATTTACACTGGTGTTGTTTTGGTTCTGACTACTTGTCTACTGTAGGTTGAGCTTGGCCTGGCTCCTTGTAATCATCATTCTATGACTGAGGCTGTTGCAGAAGTTTAAATTTGAAAATCTCTAGTCATGTGTACATATATATACATATATATATATGTATATATATACACACACGTATATATGCATATAAACACATGCGTGTGTATATATCTATATAAATATATAAATTTTAATTTGTATATACAAATTTTAATTTATATATAAACTATATACATAAATTTTAATTTATATATAAATTTCATATACATAAATTTTATTTTTTTATTTTCTTTTTTTCTTTTTTTTTTATTATACTTTAAGTTTTAGGGTACATGTGCACAATGTGCAGGTTAGTTACATATGTATACATGTGCCATGCTGGTGCGCTGCACCCACTAACTCGTCATCTAGCATTAGGTATATCTCCCAATGCTATCCCTCCCCACTCCGCCCACCCCACAACAGTCCCCAGAGTGTGATATTCCCCTTCCTGTGTCCATGTGATCTCATTGTTCAGTTCCCACCTATGAGTGAGAATATGCGGTGTTTGGTTTTTTGTTCTTGCGATAGTTTACTGAGAATGATGATTTCCATTTTCATCCATGTCCCTACAAAGTACATGAACTCATCATTTTTTATGGCTGCATAGTATTCCATGGTGTATATGTGCCACATTTTCTTAATCCAGTCTATCATTGTTGGACATTTGGGTTGGTTCCAAGTCTTTGCTATTGTGAATAATGCCACAATAAACATACGTGTGCATGTGTCTTTATAGCAGCATGATTTATAGTCCTTTGGGTATATACCCAGTAATGGGATGGCTGGGTCAAATGGTATTTCTAGTTCTAGATCCCTGAGGAATCGCCACACTGACTTCCACAATGGTTGAACTAGTTTACAGTCCCACCAACAGTGTAAAAGTGTTCCTATTTCTCCACATCCTCTCCAGCACCTGTTGTTTCCTGACTTTTTAATGATTGCCATTCTAACTGGTGTGAGATGGTATCTCATTGTGGTTTTGATTTGCATTTCTCTGATGGCCAGTGATGATGAGCATTTTTTCATGTGTTTTTTGGCCACATAAATGTCTTCTTTTGAGAAGTGTCTGTTCATGTCCTTTGCCCACTTTTTGATGGGGTTGTTTGTTTTTTTCTTGTAAATTTGTTTGAGTTCATTGTAGATTCTGAATATTAGCCCTTTGTCAGATGAGTAGGTTGCGAAAATTTTCTCCCATTTTGTAGGTTGCCTGTTCACTCTGATGGTAGTTTCCTTTGCTGTGCAGAAGCTCTTTAGTTTAATTAGATCCCATTTGTCAATTTTGTCTTTTGTTGCCATTGCTTTTGGTGTTTTGGACATGAAGTCCTTGCCCATGCCTATGTCCTGAATGGTAATGCCTAGGTTTTCTTCTAGGGTTTTTATGGTTTTAGGTCTAACGTTTAAGTCTTTAATCCATCTTGAATTGATTTTTGTATAAGTTGTAAGGAAGGGATCCAGTTTCAGCTTTCTACATATGGCTAGCCAGTTTTCCCAGCACCATTTATTAAATAGGGAATCCTTTCCCCATTGCTTGTTTTTCTCAGGATTGTCAAAGATCAGATAGTTGTAGATATGTGGCATTATTTCTGAGGGCTCTGTTCTGTTCCATTGATCTATATCTCTGTTTTGGTACCAGTACCATGCTGTTTTGGTTACTGTAGCCTTGTAGTATAGTTTGAAGTCAGGTAGTGTGATGCCTCCAGCTTTGTTCTTTTGGCTTAGGATTGCCTTGGCGATGCGGGCTCTTTTTTGTTTCCATATGAACTTTAAAGTAGTTTTTTCCAATTCTGTGAAGAAAGTCATTGGTAGCTTTATGGGGATGGCATTGAATCTGTAAATTACCTTGGGCAGTATGGCCATTTTCACAATATTAATTCTTCCTACCCATGAGCATGGAATGTTCTTCCATTTGTTTGTATCCTCTTTTATTTCCTTGAGCAGTGGTTTGTAGTTCTCCTTGAAGAGGTCCTTCACATCCCTTGTAAGTTGGATTCCTAGGTATTTTATTCTCTTTGAAGCAATTGTGAATGGGAGTTCACTCATGATTTGGCTCTCTGTTTGTCTGTTGTTGGTGTATAAGAATGCTTGTGATTTTTGTACATTGATTTTGTATCCTGAGACTTTGCTGAAGTTGCTTATCAGCTTAAGGAGATTTTGGGCTGAGACAATGGGGTTTTCCAGATATACAATCATGTCATCTGCAAACAGGGACAATTTGACTTCCTCTTTTCCTAATTGAATACCCTTTATTTCCTTCTCCTGCCTAATTGCCCTGGCCAGAACTTCCAACACTATGTTGAATAGGAGTGGTGAGAGAGGGCATCCCTGTCTTGTGCCAGTTTTCAAAGGGAATACTTCCAGTTTTTGCCCATTCAGTATGATATTGGCTGTGGTTTTGTCATATATAGCTCTTATTATTTTGAAATACGTCCCATCAATACCTTATTTATTGAGAGTTTTTAGCATGAAGGGTTGTTGAATTTTGTCAAAGGCTTTTTCTGCATCTATTGAGATAATCATGTGGTTTTTGTCTTTGGCTCTGTTTATATGCTGGATTACATTTATTGATTTGCATATATTGAACCAGCCTTGCATCCCAGGGATGAAGCCCACTTGATCATGGTGGATAAGCTTTTTGGTGTGCTGCTGGATTCGTTTTGCCAGAATTTTGTTGAGGATTTTTGCATCAATGTTCATCAAGGATATTGGTCTAAAATTCTCTTTTTTGGTTGTGTCTCTGCCAGGCTTTGGTATCAGAATGATGCTGGCCTCATAAAATGAGTTAGGGAGGATTCCCTCTTTTTCTATTGATTGGAATAGTTTCAGAAGGAATGGTACCAGTTCCTCCTTGTACCTCTGGTAGAATTCGGCTGTGAATCCATCTGGTCCTGGACTCTTTTTGGTTGGTAAACTATTGATTATTGCCACAATTTCAGCTCCTGTTATTGGTCTATTCAGAGATTCAACTTCTTCCTGGTTTAGTCTTGGGAGAGTGTATGTGTCGAGGAATTTATCCATTTCTTCTAGATTTTCTAGTTTATTTGCATAGAGGTGTTTGTAGTATTCTCTGATGGTAGTTTGTATTTCATAAATTTTAATTTATACAATATAAATTTTATATATAATATATACAAATTTTAATTTTAAAAAATGTTTAAATGTTTAAAATTATATATAAACACACACATATATACCCATAATTTAAAAAATATTTACGGGGTCTCTCTATGTTGTTCATTACCCAGGCTGGTCTCAAACTTCTGGCCTCAAGCAATCCTCCTGCCTCAGCCTCCCTAACATGCTGGGATAACCAGAGTAAGCCACTCTGTCTGGCCAGGAATGTCTAGTCTTCTGACAGAGGAAAAAGAGATGATAGCGAATCACATACTGGCCTGCAATGGTTCTGCTCATGGATGACAGGTGTTACTTTCACTCAAATGTCATTGGGAAAATCAAATCATGTGGCAAGAGTAACACTGATGAAATAAAAAGTATAATTTTTCAGGGAAGGGCACCATGGTGAGGGGTGTTGCAGGGAGAGGCAGCAACAACGTCAAAATTAATATGCTAGTTAAGAGAAAACGCACCATATGACATTGTAAATGAGTCAAAATATATCAATAATCACAATTAAAGTAAATTGGCAAAAGTAACTCATTTATAGAGAGTTTTACATTTTTCATGGTAGTAAAACTACATGTTGCTTTAAAAAAGAATTCTACTACAAATGCGTACAATAAGTCTCAAAATAGGTTAATCAAAAAACATACAGCAAGCAATTCCTAACCAAACCAAAGGTGCTACAGTAGCAGAATCATTAGCAGAAAAAAATAGAATTTAAGTCAATAAGCTTTAACAGAAATAGCCACCCAAGAAAATATTCACCAAGTAAATTTAAGCATCACCAATATTTAGCATCTAAAACCACAGCTTCAAAAATATAAATAAAAAATATGAAAATCATAAGTAGAAACCAACAAAATAGAAACATGGGAGACTTCATTATATTACTATGAGAAGCTAAGGGTGTGCATAGTAAATCTGAAAAGTAAAATTAAAATATTTTCTTACATAGATGTAGACAGACACATGATAGAGAGAGCTCTAACATCGATTTATATAATTTTTCACCTAACAATTAAAGTATGCGTTAAGTTCAGGATACATTGAAATTTACAAACTGGCTACAAACAAAGTCAAAGAGTAAATTCAAGTAAATCTCAAAGACCATTATAACAAGATATTATGATCTGTGACTTTAATGCAATTAAATTGGAAAATAAGCGTTAAGCAACTATACAACTCATATCTATTTATAAATTAATATATACATTAAATGTATTTAGTATTAGATGCAAACAAAATAATTTCATAGCAAAAACGTGTAGGGTGAGTATAGTGATATTTGAGAACAAAGTATCTGAAGAGAAAATTATATAAAATAACAAATTTTTTTGTTTTGTTTAGTTTTTTAATGAGATCTTTTTACATACATTAGTCTGTCAGAGAGTCCTATGTGCCAAGTATTGGAGAGCAGTGGAGCAAGAGATAGATAATGACACCATAAATTAGAAGTACCACTTTAGAGAACAAATATGACCATACCTGGTAAAGAGAAAGCTAGGCACACCCCACTATCTGGATATATAGACCATGGAACCTCTTGCACAAGCACCCAGGGACACATCTGAACGAATGTTCATTTCAGTGTTATTTGAAATAATAAAGAATTCACAAAAGGGTTCTCAACTAAAGAATTCATAAATATTATGAAACGTTCATGAAGTACAACTCTATAATCAGCAGCTGAAATTAATGAACTAGAGCTGCATGAATCAAATGTTTAAAATTATGGAACGATGTGCAGTGGAAAATAAGCAAGTTGTGTAATGATAACTATGAGAGTATGGGAACATTTATAAAAATTTTTTAAACATTCAGGAACTATTGTTGATTATACATTTGCATTCAAGGATTAAAACACAACAAATTAAGAATAGCAGTTACATTTTTCAGGAGTAGGCTGGGGAATGTGTTTAGGGAATTGTTCTCAAAGGGTTGTAGCTGTATAAGATTTTATTTTTTACAAATAACAAAATGAAAATATGTGAAGCAAATAGAGAAACATATTAAGACTAATTAAGCTGGATGGGGGGGTATATGGTTGTTTTCATCTTAGTCTTTTGAATTTGTGTAAGGCTGAAACAATGCATGATTAAGGTAAAGAGAAATGACTAAAGACATTTGGAGAAGGAGAGAAAGCCACACTATAAGTATGTGGCTTGATGTTCCCATGTATGGTTTCACCTCGTGTTTGCAGTCGTCCCTTATTTACCTTCTACCTTATCTGGACCACACTTTCATCATTTTTATCTTCTCCACACATGCTCCTAATCTTCAGCTTTTCCCCAACTAAAATACAGACTGTCTCCCTAACAGTCCATGTTGAGAATTGGCTGACCACAGCAAGAAATATTTTCTGTCAGATCACATGGACCATGCTCTCTGCTCACCTCTATAGATCCTGAGATTGGAGAATTCTTTCTGTTACAATAGTCTTTGAATAAAATATCTGCTTATCTTAGTGTGAATTTTATTGGACTGTTTTAAGGTAATGGGATAATTAGATGTGGCCCTAAGCTCTAGTCTATGTACTTCTCCGACCTTAGTACATGTACTACTAAAATTATCATTGAGGTCAGGTTTGTAAAAGAAAAGTTCAATCATTTTTTTTCTTAGCTTGATCTGAAAGGATGACAAACATAAATTGTTGTTGTTGTTTTGCTATTTTCCTCTGAGATAAGACAATCATACCTTCTGGCAAGTCTGGAACAGTTTACACTATAAAATTTTACACCTATTACAAATTAACACCTGTTCATTTTTTAGCATCCTTTATTTTAACTTTCAAAGAAGTTTCAGTTTAGATAACACATATACAGTCAACCTACTTAAAAACATTTAAATATTTAGACATGAGTAGATTCTATAATCTCTAGGGAAAGTTTAAATGTAAAAAATCCAAAGACAAAACTAATATAATGTCTATCTCCTCTTCTACCCTCAGCTGTGGTTTGGCTGAAATTCACCATGGGATGGGGCTGGTGTGTGCTCTCTCATTTCCTTCTCTTTTGTTTCTGCTATGTTGGGGTGGGAGAGGAGGAAGAATACTGGCCAAAGTCAAATACTAATCTGAGAGTCTGGGTGCAGTGGCTCGCACCTGTAATCCCACCACTTAGGGAGGCTGAGGCAGGCAGATCACTTGAGGCCAGGAGTTTGAGAGCAGCCTAGCCCCATCTCTATTAAAAATACAAAAATTAGCTGGGCGTGGTGGTGCCCACCTGTAATCCCAGCTACTCCAGAGCCTGAGGCATGAGAATCACTTGAAACTGGAGGCGGAAGTTTCAGTGAACCGAGATTGTGCCACTCACTCCAGTCTTGGAAACAGAACAAGAGTGTCTCAGAAAACAAAAACAAAAACAAAACAAATACTAATCTGAGAGATTTTTTAGTTTGCCATAGGCTGTAGTTACTTCTTTAGGTGAGACTTACTGGGCTTTGAGGTCCAGTCCAGCCTGCTTTGCTGGGTCCTAGTGTGTTCTTTCTGGAATCTTTGCATGGACAGGATAGTGCATCTTCAAGACACAATTTCCTCAAGTGGGAAATCCCCTCTGCTTAGACATCTTTAAATGATGGTGAGGTGCTGGAGGAACAGGGCAGTTTAATCCCCTCTGAATAAGCCCTGCCAAGATTTTTGGGTCCCCAAGTGCTTACCACACTCTAGTTTGGAGAATATTTGAAATTTCTCTGCCCTCCTCTTTCATTTCAGAGCAGCAGGAAATGGACCTGAATATCCTCTTAGCAGCCATGACTGGATGCCAAATGGGACAAAGAAGGTGAGTCAAGGGTGACTTGCAAGATCCTCCAGTCATGATGGTGTTGAAGTTTCCTGAGACTATGCCTGTGGCCTACTGAGTGGTCGAAATTCTCTATCAACTGGTAACTTGAAAAGCATGAATATTCTGACTCTATTCCCTGCCATTATCTTGAGAAACAGCCTCCCTTTCAGATCAGGAAGAAGGAGTCCTTGCAGAGCTTAAATGTAAATGTAAACTCTAATTTCTATTTTGATGTTAACTTAAAGCAAGTTTTGGTTTGTTTCCCTTTTTTGTTTTGTTCTGTTTTGTTTCTAGGATGTCATGACTCATTAGTGTAAACAGGAGGAAGTTGACTACTTCAATTTTCTCAGCAAAGATACATCCTAGCACTTTGGGAGGCCGAGGCAGGTGGATTGCCAGAGTTCAGGAGTTTGAGACCAGCCTCGGCAACAAGGTGAAACCCCGTCTCTTCTAAAATAGAAGAAATTAGCTGGGTGTGGTGGTGTGCACCTGTAGTTCCAGCTCCTCAGGAGGCTGAGGCAGGAGAATCACAGAATCCCAGAAGAGGGAGGTTGCAGTGAGCCAAGATCGTACTGCTGCACTCCAGCCTGGGCTAATACAGAATAGCATTTTTTAGATGGCAGAAGGTTAATTTTTAGATATTATGGAAAAGAATAACAATGAGGAGGGAAGACCGGAAGCAGTATTTCATTTATATATGTGTATGTACTATAAGTATTGTGTGTGGGAGTGTGTACAACGTGTTTATCTTGTTGCTATTGTTTTGGCATTTTAAGTGTCAGATTGAAAATACCCTCTAGGATGTTCCCCCCTTTTGTTATGCACAATATGTTCATGTAGTTTTTTTTAATCACCTCTTTTAGATAATAGTGGTATTAGAAGGCAGTATCTTTTCCTCATTCATCTTCTTATTCCCTGCAGTACAAAGAACAGAGCACTCACTCCATAAAGATGTGTGCCATCTTTAGAGTAAATTTCCTGAGGTTTGCCTTTCTTTTTACAGTTTATTCACCATAATCTATGAGGAATCTGCCTGCTGCGCGGACAGTTTTCAATGTAAATTTTCTTCTTAAATTTTGTAGCTTATTTTTCTATGTGATATAAAGAATAATAATGTAAATAAAATGTCCCAACCTGTTAAAATGTATATTTCAAGAAATAAAAATATTAATATCAAAAGAATTTTTAAAATATATATGTATGTTTTACTTTTTCCTGATATTTTCTAACGGAAAACTAAGTTCACTCTGCCTATTTTTATAATAACAATAATATTTAAGCTAATTACATGAAATGTTAAACATATATACTGTCTCTCTTGCTTATATACATAAATGTTTACTATATATGCAATTGAACACAAATGAACTCTGAATGGTTTAAAACCAGAAAAGGTATTGGTGTAGAAAATCTTAACATTTTCTTCTTGAGGTTAAATAAATAATTTTCTTTTAGAAATGTTTCACTTTGTGGACTCTTAGGAAAATGATTTCCAGCAATGACAGCAGGGTACTTAGGACAATAAAGAAAATGGGGAATAGATATGAAATTTCTAGTGAAAATGTATTGGAACTGAGCATTTTCAATCTTCCCATGTGTTTGTTATAAGTAGCTGTTTGAAATGTCCTTTTGGACAATGCTTTAGAGTTTTGCAAACTACGAGCAGATGGAAATGAATGTCTGGAATTCTTTAATTTCTTCAACTATAGCAGAGACTGTTAGAATGCTTGTGCTTCCTAGATTTTATTCTGACTCTGCTATTACATAGGTGGAAGTTTTGTATTCAACACCTGCTTTGCTGCTGCTGCAGTACACACACGTACGAATGCCTGGGTTTATCATCATTTATTAATTACTTAATCAATAAACTCTGTAAATGGTGACTGTAATTATCCCAGAAGGTCACTGAAATTAAGGAGAGTAAGGTCCCATGGCAATGAAGCCCAGGCTCACATCTGTTTATCTGAAGCTACATGACAAGATGCTATTTTTTATTTCTGCCTTGAATTTCAAATTAACAGCCAGCTGAAAAGACTGTGTTGAAAAATGAATCCATAATAAAGGGATGTACTTCTTTTCCCTTTGAGTTGTTTCTTTGCTGCCATTGATATGGATTAATGGCATACGTATACCTTAAGGGAACACAAGTACCCTTGGACTATCTTCTCTCTGGAGTATGTTTCAATGCCGTTAATGTCTTGCATTTCTAAACACTCGAGTCAATCAAGTGTTTTAGACACTATGTGTTTTATGAAGAGAAAGTCCAGAAAACAAAATAAAATTGAACATATACAGTGTGTTCCCCCTTGTGTAAAAAGAATTCTATGTACACTGTTTTCTTACTCTGCTCTCTGACTTTCTGTATATAGAACATATTGTTTCTCAAACATCTGATTGGTTCTTTAATTTTGACAAGTGCAAGATAGATTGACAGACATATGTGTTTTTTAACACATATATACGTATATATGAATAGATTCCATATATTCCCTGAAGTATACAGGGGAGTCATTCTCATCATTACTTGTTTGTGCTGTTTATTTTATTGTTTCTTTTAAGGTAGCTTTTTAATATATAATTTACATACATTAAAAGGTGTAAATTTAAGTGCAAAATACTATGAGTTTTGGCAAATATATCACATTCTGAGTATGGTATCAAACCACCAAAGTCATAATATAGAACTGCACATTTTAACACAGCAGCAACCAAATGCATATAATGCTTGAGCATTTGAAATATAGCTAATGCAACATGGTGAATGATATGGAGTTAAATAAAATATACACTGTAATTAAATTTAATTGTACCTCTTTCTTATTACCTTTCTAATCTGGCTACTGGACACCTTTAAAAAATTACATATTTGGCTGGCGTTATATTCCCTATAGTACAACATAGATATAGAACATTTTAATTAACGCAAAGTCTCCTCATGCCTCTTTTCATTAAAATGTTCAGTTCCTGACAACCACACATCCACTTTCTGTCTCTAGATTTGTCTTTTCTAGAATTTCAAATAAGTAGGTATATCATATTTATGTCTGGCTGCTTCTACTTTGCCTAATGCTTGTGTGGCATCTTATATTTTTATGGCAGTAGTTCATTCCTTTTTACTGCTCAGAAGTTGTCCATTATATCATAAAGCACCCATTTATTTACCATTCACATTTACATTATTTGGGTTGTATCTAATTTGGGGCTTATGAGAATGAAACTGCTATGTACATTTGAGTAAAAGTCTTTGTGTGAACATACATTTTCATGTATCCTGGAGAAATATGTGGGAAGGAGGAAGCTAGGTCATAAAGAAAGATTAAGAAATAATGAGACTGTTTTCTGATTTTCTGTATCTTTTTACATCTTACCAACAATGTATGAGTTCTAGTTGCTTCCCATCGTTGCCTACATTTGCTGTTTTCAGTCTTAATTTCATAACTCCTAGTGAGTGTAATGTGTTATCTCAATGCGGAATTAATTTTCACTTCCCGAATGAGAAATGTACTCTTCTCATATAATTATTTGCCTTTTGTATATCTTAATGTCTAAAATGTGTAATTTTTTCCATTTTCTTTTTAGAACTAACAAATCCTTTATTTAGAAATAAGCTCTTTATCAGACAAATGTTGCAAATATTTTCTATCCTGTGACTTCCCTGTTCATTTTCTTAACATTATTTTTTGAAGAACCAACATTTTGATTTTCATCAGTTTTGATTAATCATTTTTTCATATGGCTTATAAGTTTATTCTAAGAAAACAAATATTTTTCAAAGTTTTTAATCAAAGATTTTTATATTCTGGACTTTTGCAATTAGGACTTGACATATTTTTTGAAAAATCAATTGATCATATATGTATGTGCATCAATTTTGAGACTCTTTGTTACAGTAGTTTTATAGTACATCTTAAAATCAAATACCATGTCTTCCAGCTTTATTCTTATTTTAAAAATTATGTTTACTAGTCTAGACATCTACTTTTCCATATAAAGTTTTGAATAAGCTGGTCAGTTTCATTACAAAACCTACTAGGATTTGGAATGGGATTTCTTTGAATCCATAAATCAATCGGAAAGAATTGATGTTCTTTTTTGTTTGCCTTTTGTGTGTCGATTTTGTATCTTGCAACTGTACTACATTTGTTTACCAGCTCTAATAGTTTTTCAGTGGAATCTTTATGTTTTTCCAAATATAAGTTTATATCATCAGTAAACAAGGATAATTGGACTTCTTTCTTTCCAATCTGGATGACTTTTATTTCTTTCTCTTCACTGATTGCACTATCTAAAACTTCCAGCACTATGCTGAATAACAGTGGTGGAAGTGGGTATTCTTGTCATGTTCCAGATCTTAGAGGAAAGACTTTCATTTTCTCCCCATTCAGTATGACACTAGCTGTCTTTGTATATGGCTTTTATTATGTTGCAATATGTTCCTTCTACACTCAGGTTTTTGAGGGTTTTTCTCACAAGGTGATGTTGAATTTTATCAAATACAATTTCAGCACAAATTGAAAGGGTCAAATGGTTTTAGTCCTGTATTCTGTTGATAGGATGTATCACATTGATTAATTTGTGAATGTTAAACCACTGTTGCATCTCAGGGATAAATTCCAGTTGGGTCATGATGAACAATGTTCTTAATATGCTGTTGTGTTTGGTTTACCACTATTTTGTAGAGATTTTGGCGTCAACGTTCATCAGAAACATTGACTTATGATATTTTTCCTTTTTTGTTATGTCTTTGTCTTTTTTTGGCATCAGGGTAGTACTGGCCTCATAGAATGAGTTGAGAAGTATTTTCTCCTCCTCTGTTTTTCTGAGCAGATTCAGCAGGATTGGTATTAGTTCTTCTTTAAATGTTTGGTAGAATTCAGCAGTGAAGCCATCAATCACAGGCATTTTTATGTGGTGAAAATTTTATTATGACTTGATCTAGTCACTTGCTATTTGTCTGTTCAGGTTTTGGATTTCTTAATGGTTCAGTTTTGCTAGGTTCTATGTACATAGGAGTTTATCTGTTTCCTATAGGTTTTCCAATTTGTTGACATATAGTTGCTCATAGTGGCCTCTATTGATCCTTTGAATTTCTACAATATCAGTTGTACTGTCTCCATTTTCGTGTCTGATTTCATTTATTTGGGTCTTCTCTCTATTCTGCTTAATTAGTCAGGCTAAAGATTTGTCCATTTTCTTTATCTTTTTTCTAAAAACCAACTTTTTATTTTGTTGATCTTTTGTACCGTTCATGTCAAATTAATTTATTTCTGCTCTGATCTTTATTATTTATTTTCTTCTACTAAAATTAGGCTTGGTTTCCTCTTGCTTTTCTAGTTCTTTATGGAGCATCACTAGGTTGTTTATTTAAAGTTTTACTGCTTTTTTATGTAGGCACTTATAGCTATAAACTTCCCTCTTTACACTGATTTTGCTATATTGCATAGGTTTTGGTATGTTGGTTTCCATTATCATTTGTTTCAAGAAAATTTTCAATTGCCTTCTTAATCTCTTCATTGACTCATTGGTCATTCAGTAGCATATTATTTAATTTATAGATGTTTGTATACTTTCCAAAATTCCTCTTTTTATTGATTTATTCCACTGTGGTCAGAAAAGATGCTTGATATTACTTCAATTTTGTTGAATGTTTTAAGACTTGTTTTGTGACTTACATGGTGTATGCTTGAGCATGACCCATGTGCTGAGGAGAAGAATGTGTGTTCTTTGGCTGTTGGATAAAATGTTGTATAAATATTTAATATCTATAAGGTCCATTTGATCCATAGTGCAGATTAAATCTGACTTTTCTTTGTTGATTTTCTGTCTGGATGATCTGTCTAGTGCTGAGAGTGCAGTATCGAAGTCTTCAACTATTATTGTATTTGAGTCTATCTCTTTCTTTAGCTCTAGTAATATTTACTTGTCATACATGCGTGCTCCAGTATTGGGTACATACATATTTATAATGGTTATATTCTCTTGCTAAATTGATCACTTTATTATTATATAATGAACTTCTTCACCTCTTGTTATAGTTTTTTGTCTTGAAACCTATTCTGTGTCATATATGTATACTTACTCCTGCTCTTTTTTGGTGTCCATTGGCATAGAATATCTTTTTCCATTCATTTATTTTCAATGTGTGTCTTTATAGGTGGAGTGTGTTTTTTGTAGGCAACAGATTTGGGGTCTTTTTTTTTTAATCCACTCAGCTACTCTATGTCTTTTGATTGGAGAGTTTAGTACATTAACATTTAATGCTATTTAAGATAAGTAAAGACATACTCCTGCCATTTTATTATTTGTTTTCTGGTTGTTTTGTGGTCTTTTTTACCTTTTTTCTTTTCCTCCCATGTTCCTTTTAGTGAAAATAATTTTATCTGGTGGTTTGTTTTAATTTATTGCTTTTTATTTTTTATGAATCTATTGTGTGTTTTCGGATTTGAGGTTAGCATGAAGCTAGCAAATATAACCCATTGTTTTAAATTCATGACAACACTGATTGCATAAACAAACTCACTAACAAGCAAAAAAAAAAAATTAATAAAAGTGTACAGTTTAACCTCATTCCCCCACTTTTTTAAATTTTGTTTCTGTTTATATGTTATTATATGGTCTTGGTCTTCAAAAGTTGTTGTAGTTATTATTTTTGATTGGTTCATATTAGTCTTTCTACCTAATACATGGGTAAATATATTTACAATGTTAAAATATTCTGTGGTTTTCTTTGAACTTACTGTTACAGTAAGTTTTGTATCTTCAGATTTTTTCTTATTGCTCATTAATGTTCTTTTATTTTAGATTGAAGATTACCCATTGGTATTTCTCATAAAACAGATATAGTGTTAATAAAATCTCTCAGCTTTTGTTTCTCTGGGGATAGCTTTATTCCTCCTTCATACCTGAAGAATATTTTTGCTGGAAATACTATCCTAGTGTAAAAGTTTTTTTTCCTTCAGCACTTTAAATATGTCATGCCATTCTCTTCTGGCCAGTAAAGTTTCCACTGAAAAGTCTGCTCTCAGATGTATTAAAGCTCCATTGTATGTATTTGTTTCTTTTATCTTGCTGTTCTTAAGATTCTTCCTTTATTTTTGACATTTGAGAGTTTGATTATTAAAAATATTGAGTTAATCATTTTGTGTTAAATCTGCCTGGTGTTCTATAAACTTCTTGTGCTTGAATGTTGATATCTTTCTCTAGGTTTGGGAAGTTCTCTGTTATTATTCATTCACATAAAATTTCTAACTCTTTCTTCTTTCTACCTCCTCTTTAAGGCAAATAACTCATGGATTTTACCATTTAAGGTCATTTTCCAGATTTCATATGCATGCTTCAGTGGTTTTTTTATTCTTTTCTCTTTTGTCTCCTCTGACTGTGTATTTTCAAATAGCCTGACTTCAAGCTCACTAATTTTTTCTCCTGCTTGATCAATTCTGCTATTAAGAAACTCTGATGCATACCTCAGTATGTCAATTGAATTATTCATCTTCAGAATTTCTGCTTGATCCTTTTAAATTATTTCAGTCTCTTTGTTAAATTTACCTGATAGTATTTTGAATTCCTTCTCTGTGTTATCTGGAATTTCTTTGAGCTTCCTCAAAACAATTAGTTTGAATTTTCTATCTGAAAGGTCACATATTTCTGACTTTCCAGGACCATTCCCTGATGTCTTATTTAGTTAATTTGGTGAGATCATGTTTTCTCGAATGGTCTTGATGCTAATGGATGTTCTTCAGTGTCTGGGCATTGAAGAGTTAGGTATTTATTGTAGTCTCTGAAGTCTGAGCTTGTTTGTAGCCATCATTCTTGGGAAGGCTTTTCAGATATTTAAAGAAATTTGGGTGTTGTGATCTAACTTTTTGGTCACTGCAGCAGTAGCGGCATTAGGGGCCCCCTTAAGCCCACTAATGCTGTGGTACTTACAAACTCATAGATACTGCCTTGATTGTCTTGGATGAGATCTGGAAGAATTCTCTGAATTACCTGGCAAAGACTCTTGTTTCCTTCCTTGCTTTGCCCAAACAAATGGAGTCTTTTCCTCTGTGCTGAGTTGCCTGGAGCTATGGAAAATTTGACACGGTACTTTGTAGCCACCACCAATGGGACAGCTTTGGGGTCTTACCCAAGTCCTGCTTTCACCATGACCTGGCTACTGCCCACGTTTGCTCGAGGTTCTAGGGCTCTACAGTCAATAGGTGGTGAAGTCAACCAGCCAGACTTTTTTTTTTTTTCCTTCAAGGTGCCAAGTTTCCTCAGACCCCTGGGCCTGGGAGGGTTCAGAGATGCCATGTGGGAGCCTGGGTTTGCAGTCGAAAACCTTAGAAATCTACTTAGTACTCTATTTTACTATGGCTGCTAGCACCCAAACCACAAGACAAAGTGTTTAATCTCTCTTTTATCACCTTTCCACAGGAAAGGGGTTCTCTCCCTGTGGCCACCAACACCAGAAGCCCACGGGGGTACTGCCAATGTTCACTTATGGCCCAAGAGCTTGGAGTGAATGCTGATGGGCCTCGGAATCAACCTTTAGGGCAGTGGGCTCCCCTTTGTCACAGGGCAGGTCTGAAAATGTTATGCCATAGCCAAGGCCTGGAATTGAGACCCTAAGAGCCCACTTGGTGCTCTACACCACTGTGGTTGAACTCATTAAGCTACAGGACAAAGTCCCCTTTTCTCTTCCCTCTGCTTTTCTCAAGCAGAATGAATGTCTCTTCGTAGTGACCATGGCTGGGAATGTTCTGGGTCACACCTAAAGCCAGCACATCTCAGGATCTCACCAAAGCCCTCAATGTATACTACCTGGATATCACTGTTGATTATTCAGAGCCCAAGGACTCTTTAGTCAGCAGGAGCTGATTGTCACCAGGACTGGATCCCTCTCTTTAAGACAGTGCTTTCCCTTCTGACCCAGGATGTGTTTAGAAATGTTTTATGGGAGCTAGGGCCTAGAATGTGAGCCTCACAACTCTGTTTACTCTCTATCCTACTGTGGCTCAGCTGCTATTCAAGTTGCAAAACAAAATCCTCTTTACCCTTTCCTCCCCTCTCCTCAAGTGGAAATAAAGAGTCTTGGAGCAGCAAGCTGCACTGCCTGGTGTTGGGAAAGGGATGGTGCAAGCACTCCCTGAGCTGCCCTGGCTGATGTCTCACTTGATCATATGCCCCCAACTTCACTGGCTCTGAGCCCAGAACAGTACTAGGACTAGCTTAGGAATTGCAGTTTGTGGCCTAGACTGTCTTTCAAGTTTATTTAGGACTCTGTATCATATTAGTTCACAGTGGCAAGGCTTGCCAAAACTCAAGTTCAGACCTCTGGATGGGAAATTTCCTTCTGACTAGGGCTTATTGAAATACTCCCTCTATTGGCATCAGTTGAGTTCCATCCAATGTTGACAGCACTAAGTTCTGATGCAAAGTTCTACTATCACTGTGTTCTCTCTCCCCCAACCACACAGATTCTCCACTTTGCCCAGCAACTGCTGGGGGCTGGAAGAGGGGCAGCACAGACAATTCAAGATTGTCTTTCCTACCCTCTTCAGTGCCTCTTTCAGCAATATGAAGTTAAAAACCAGGTACTGTGATAGATCCTTTGATTTCTAGTTTTGTGAAGGTGCTTTTCTTCTGTACATACTTGTTACATTTGGTGTTCCTGCAGGGAGGATTATCTGTGGAGGCTTCTATTTGGCCTTCTTGCTCCACCTCCTAAATTATTTCTGTATTCATTCTATGCGCAACAACAGTTATAATTATTGCATTTTTCAAATTTTGTCTTTTAAATTAGATGGTCGACAAAAATGTGTTACAAACGAAAGAATCTCTTGCACTATGTTTTTATCTATGTAATTAACTTTTAATTGTGATCTTTAGCTCTCCATATGGATTCTAATTATTCTCTAGTGTACTTGCATTATAGTCTGAACGACACTGTTTAGTATGTCATGTATGGAACCTCTGAGATTAATAGATTTTCTCACTTTTTGTTTTTTTGGAATGTCTCAATTTCTACTTTTACAGAAATACAGTTCTGCCAGATGCAGAAATATAAATTGACGTTTTTGTTTTTGTTTTTTTCAGAACTTTGAATATGACATCACACTACCTCCTGCACTGTGGTTCCTGATAAGAAATCAGCCATTCATCTTACTGAGACTCCTTGTACGTGATGACTTGCTCGTCTCATATTTCCTTCAAGATATCTCTTTGCTTTTGGCTTTCTATAGCTTGTTTGATGTATCTAGATGTGGAGCTTATTAAGTTTAACTAACTTGAGGTTCGTTGTGTTTCTTGCATGTGTAGATTATTTTTAAATCAAAATTGAGAAGCTTCTATTTATTATTTTTTAAAATGTTGTTCACATCTTCTTTTCTCTTTTTCTTTTCTTCTGGGATTCCCATCATGTGTATTGAAACATTTGTAATTGACCTGGAGGTCAATTACACTTTTCTCAATTTTTTCATGCTTTTTTTCTTTTTCTTTCTCAAACAGGATACTCTTTAATTACCTGTCTTCTAGTTTTTTGATTATTGTGCCTTTTTAAATTTGCAGTTAAGAATTACTAGTCAATTGTCCATTTTACTAATTGCAATTTTTAATTCTGATATATATATATTTGTAAATTTCTTTCTTGATATTCCCTATTTCTTGAGACATCATTCTCATACTTTCCAGTATTAACTGAATTGTGTCCTCTCAAAATTTAAATAATGACGCTCCAACCCTCAAAATGACTATATTAAAAATAGAGAGAAGATAGAGCTTTGAATGAGGTGATTAAAATTAAATGAGGTCATAAGGATTGTTCTTATTCAGTAGGATTGGTGCCCTCATAAGAAGAGAAAGACACACCAAAGCACTTCCTTTGATGTGAAGATACAGTGATAAGGTAGCACTTTCCAGGTCAGTGCATTGATTTTGGACTTTCTGTCTCCAGAACTGTAAAAAGAAAATTACGTTTATGGTATTTTATTATGGAAGCCCAATTAAGACAGATTTTTATATCAAGCAGTGGGATGCTGTTGTAACAAATACCTAAATATTTAGAAGCAGCTTTGGAACTGGGTAACAGGTAGAGGTTGAAAAGTTTTGAGATGAATGCTAGAAATATGAACTTTAAAGGCAATTCTAGTGAGGTCTCAAGTAGAAATGAGGAACATGTTTTTGGAAACTGTACAAAAGGTTCAGTTTTCCTTGGTACAAAGCAGAAAATAACTTGGTTGAACTGCATTCTAGTGTGTGGAAGGTTGAATTTGCAGTGATAAAATTGGATATTTAGCTGAGGAAATTTCTAAACAGTGTTGAAGAAATGACTTTGCTTCACTTTGACTGCTTATGGTAAAATGTAAAAAGAGAGAGATGAATTGAAAAAAGAACTTTTAAGCAAAACAAGAAGAACTTGAAAATTTGGAAAACTCTCAGACTATCCAAGTTGCAAAAGTGAGAGAGGTTATTCTGAAGGGAACACTAAGGGTGTGACTAAATAACCATTTGATAAAGAGATAACTGTTGTGACGCATGGACTTAATTTTAGCCATTTTAGTAAAAACCAGGAATAGAGATGGGATTATATCAGCAAAGACATTGCCAGTTGGGAGGAAAGAGGACAGAGAAAGCAGGGTAGAATTAAAGAAGTCTGTAGAATTCATGGATTCTACAGGACTGGAGCTATTCAACTGGGAATGTGTACTGTTCTTTAAGGAACTGCAAGAATGGCCCTCGAGGCAATTCAAAGATCATCAGGGCTACCACTCTCGCCACCGTGGCCCCAGAGAGGAAGGCTGTTTTAGAACATATCTCAGTTTCAAAAGGTGAGGTCACCTCTTTAGATTCAGTGGGCCAGAATAACCCCACTACGTGCCTCATGGGCAGGACCACCTTTGCAGGAAGAGCCACATGGTTGGGACCCTTACCGAGAATATGATGGATGGGGCCTCCCTGGAAAACCAGGGGACACTGTTACCACAGTTGTCCTGGAGTGCAGAATATTGAACCAAAAATAATTATTGTCAAGCCTTAAGATCTAACAGCAATTGTATTCCTAGGTTTTGGACTTGCTTGAGACCTGTCACCCCTTCCTTTCTTCCACTTTCTCCTTTTTTTTTTTTGTTTGTTTTTTTGTTTTTTTTTTGTTTTTTTTAAAAGGTTTTTATTATGATATTATTTTACCTTGGAGATAAAAAATATATAGTAACTGAAAAAATAGCCCCTCCCCCAAAGTACATATTTCCAATGTATCCCCTTTTAATATCTTCATACAAAAAAGAATATAAAATACATTATTGATAGTCAGTGAGGCTCTATATCATAAATAAACTATTTCTTTTTTTTTATTACACTTTAAGTTTTAGGGTACATGTGCACATTGTGCAGGTTAGTTACATATGTATACATGTGCCATGCTGGTGCGCTGCACCCACTAACTCGTCATCTAGCATTAGGTATATCTCCCAATGCTATCCCTCCCCCCTCCCCCCACCCCACCACAGTCCCCAGAGTGTGATAGTCCCCTTCCTGTGTCCATGTGATCTCATTGTTCAATTCCCACCTATGAGTGAGAATATGCGGTGTTTGGTTTTTTGTTCTTGCGATAGTTTACTGAGAATGATGATTTCCAGTTTCATCCATGTCCCTACAAAGGACATGAACTCATTTTTTATGGCTGCATAGTATTCCATGGTGTATATGTGCCACATTTTCTTAATCCAGAAAAATGCTCATCATCACTGGCCATCAGAGAAATGCAAATCAAAACCACAGTGAAATAGCATCTCACACCAGTTAGAATGGCAATCATTAAAAAGTCAGGAAACAACAGGTGCTGGAGAGGATGTGGAGAAATAGGAACACTTTGACACTGTTGGTGGGACTGTAAACTAGTTCAACCATTGTGGAAGTCAGTGTGGCGATTCCTCAGGGATCTAGAACTAGAAATACCATTTGACCCAGCCATCCTATTACTGGGTATATACCCAAAGGACTCTAAATCATGCTGCTATAAAGACACATGCACACGTATGTTTATTGCGGCATTATTCACAATAGCAAAGACTTGGAACCAACACTTTCTCCATTTTGAAATGGGAATATCTATCCTTTGCCTGTCCCTCAGCGTATTTTAGAACATATCTCTCATCCTGTTTAAAAGGTTCACAGTTGGAGAATTGTTCTCAGTATAAATTATACCTTACTTCACCTGCAACTTATTTAGATGATATTTAAATGAGACTTTAATGCTAGAATGAGCTAAGGCTATGGGGATTGTTGGCAATTCATAGATCATCAAGGCTGCCACTCCTACTACTGACCTGGAGAGCAAGGCTGTTGGGATGGAATGAACATATTTTTGCCTAAAAGAAGAACTTAAATTCTGAAGCACCAGCTGAGGGAAGACTATGGACTAAATTGTGTTCTGGCAAAATTCATGTGTTGAAGCTCAATCCCATGTTTCTGTATTAGAGACACGGCCTTTAAGGAATTGATTAAGGTTAAATGAGGTCATTAGGATAGATCCCACATGTAATAATACTGGTTCCCTTATAAGAAAAAGAGGAGGCACCAGAGCTTTCTCTCCACCATGTAAGGACATAGTGAGAAAATGGCCATTTACAAACTAGGAAGAGAACCATCCCCAGAGCTCAGCCATGTTGGCTCCCTGATATTAGTCTTCCAACCTCCAGAACTTTGCTGTTTTTAAGCCATCCCTTTTATGATGTTTTGTTTTGAAAGACTAACCTGGTTAATACACTTTTCTTTAGCGTTTTAGACTTGGTTTCCTTTAGTTTTTCTAATGCATTTAACATAGGTGATGCAGTATTTATCTGGCTAGTCCAATGTCTGGGATTCCTCAGAAACAGATTCTATTGACTTGTTTATTACTTGAGTATGAAATATATTTTCTTGTTTCTTTGAATGTTTTATATCTTTTTGTGGTTGTTGTTAAAAACTGGCTTTTTTTTTTTTTTTTTTTTTTTTGAGACAGAGTCTCGCTCTATCGCCCAGGCTAGAGTGCATTGGTGCAATCTCGGCTCACTGCAAGCTCTGCCTCCCGGGTTCACGCCATTCTCCTGCCTCAGCCTCCCGAGTGGCTGGGACTACAGGTGCCCACCACCACGCCCGGCTAACTTGTATTTTTAGCAGAGACGGCGTTTCACTGTGTTAGCCAGGATGGTCTCCATCTCCTGACCTCGTGATCCGCCCCCCTCAGCCTCCCAAAGTGCTGGGATTACAGGTGTGAGCCACCACGCCCGGCCAAAAACTGGACATTTTAAATTACTAAATACTCTAACTCGGAAAGACAGATTCCCCCAGGATTGCAGCTGCTTATAGTTTTTGTTGCTCTTGGTGTGCTTCAGTGATTTTCCTCAATGAATTCAGTAAAGTCTGTGTTATTTTAGTTTTTAGGGCAACTGAAGTCTCTGCTTGCCTAGCCTAGTGGCCATCTAATGATTGGACAGATACTTCTCTAAGTGCCTAGATCCAATAAATATCCCAGGCTTTGCCAAGAAACTTTGTATGTGTTGGGTCATACCACCAATAGACAAGCAGTGTTTATAACTCTGTCTTATCCTTCACTATCTACTTGCGTAGAACCTCATGGTCAACAGGAGGTGAGACCTGAGGGACTTCAAAGTTCTCTACTGTGTATGTCCACAACCCTGATTATAAGTACAACTTGACAATTCAACATGACTTTCTAGATTCCCAGGAACATTTTGTACATTTTCAAAGTCTCCTATGGACATTTAATTCCCACATCTTCATTTTTAGATTTCTTATCAGCATCTTGTTTGCCCCAATTATTGTCACTGTTAGGCAGTTGCATTATTAAACAATTGTCATTGATCATTTTTCAGTAATGCCCCTGTGAAAAAGACAGTTTACACTGAGAAAAGTCTAATTTAGGTCAAATAATGACAAATCCTGTGAAAGAGGGTTCCTAGAGAATTACCAGACATATCACATAATAGCCATGTTCTGAGAACAGTGTTTGGAGGATTTCCAAACCTGTGTTGTCTACTCCAGTGGCTGCTAGCATTCAGATTTTCACTACTTTTGCAGGTTTGTGGAGCTAGGAAGGAGATGAGAACAGAACAAGCTAACAGGCTTACTTTTCTTACTAAAATTCAACTTTTCTTCCTGAGGTTCAGCTGTTTTTTCTGGAATAAATACTCCTTGGGTTATTGCAAGCTTTCTCTTATATTCCTTATATTCCAGGGTTCTGAAAAATTTCAAGTTTTACACTTTTTTTTTCAGAATTTGTTAATGCTCTTAAGGAGGAGTAGCTTTTAGAAGAGGCTTATTCCACCAACACCACTGATTTCACATAGCAATGTTTTCTATTTTCAGTGTGTATGTTTTCCTCAATTTTTTGTGTTTAATTTATTCCTAAGTATTTTGTATTACTGATGCAATAATTTTTCTAAATTTCAGTTTCTAATGGTGCATTGCTATTGTATAACAATACATTTAGCTTTTGTAAATTAATCTCATATCCTTTGACCATTCTAAATTTATTTACTGATTGTAGAGGCATTTTTATAGATAGGTTTTCAACACTCATAAGTAGGTCATCTGCGAATCATCCCAATTTTAATTTCTACTTTCCAATCTATGTAATTTTAATTTATTTTTTCTTGTCCTCTTTTATTGGCTAGATCCTCCAGTTACAATAGTAAATATAAGTAATTAAACAGACGTACATGTTTTGTTCCAGATCTTCAGGGGAAGGAATTCAGTTCTTTATCATCAAGTTTGATGGTATCTTTGTACATTTTGAAGACATGTTTAGTAGGTTAAAGAAGTTATCTTCTCTTTTAAATTTTTGGAGCTCTTTTTTTAATTAGGTTGGTGTAAAAATAGTTAAAAGTAATGGCAGAAATTGCAATTACTTTTACACGAACTTAATATAAATGTATACTGAATTATGTTTTCTTTTTGCATCTTTTGAGATGAACCTATGGCTTTGCTTTTTTAGTACATTGTTTCATCTGTTGTTGATGTTGTTCTGGATGTTTGTGGCATATTCTAGGTTCTTTGTATGTCTGACTAATTTTGGATCTAAATGTTGTGTATTTTACAGAGATGGATGTTAAATTTTGTCATATTCCTTTAAATATTGTTTGTTGATCTTTGATCTGAACATGCTTAAATTAATTGGAGTAGTTTAATATTTTTCAGCCTTTTATAGAAAACCTTTTCAAGGATGAGTCAAGAGAAACTTTTAATTACAGAAGTGATACCATTCCAAGGCTCTACCTTTAGGAATAGATTAAAATTACATAGATGAATATAAAATATCATTCTGGTTTGACATGAAGTTGCTTATGTTGCCCTACGTTTTAAGAAGTCTTTCAACTCTGACTAAAACATAAGCTATTCCCAGCCCAGTGTGAACTCTGGAAATTGTTCTGCCAACTGCTTTTCAATGGTTCTTTCACCAATCTCAGCTAGTTTTTTCTCATGCATGCACAGATCAATATTCAGCTAAAGCCTGGAAGAGTTCCCTTCTACACAGCACCTTGTCTCTCCCTCTGTTCAACACTCTCTTCTCTGATAGTTTATGTCAAGTGCGTCCGTGTGAAGAGACCACCGAAACAGGCTTTGTGTGAGCAACAAGGCTGTTTATTCACTTGGGTGCAAGTGGGCTGAGTACGAAAAGAGAGTCAGCGAAGGGAGATGGGGAAGGGGTTGCTTTGTAAGAGTTGGGTAGGAAAATTACAGTAAAATGTGGTTATCTATTGTTAGCAGAGGAGGGGGTTACAAGGTACATGGTGGGGAGATCATAATGAGAGACAGGACTAACTGGATTTCCTAGGTGGACTAAGAATTCCTAAGCCTAACTGGGGAAGGTGACCACACCACCTTTAAACATGGGGCTTGTAACTCAGCTCACACCTGACCAATCTGGTAGTAAAGAGGGCTCACTAAAATACCAATTAGGCTAAAAGCAGGAGGTAAAGAAATAGTCAAATCATCTATCACCTGAGAGCACAGGGGGAGGGACAATGATAGGGATATAAAACCCAGACATTCAAGCTGGGAGTGGGCAACCCCCTTTGGATCCCCTCCCATTGTATGGGAGCTCTGTTTTCACTCTGTTAAATCTTCCAACTGCACACTCTTCCGGTCCGTGTTTGTTCCGGCTCGAGCTGAGCTTTCGCTCGCCGTCGACCACTGCTGAATGACACCGTCACAGACCCGCCACTGACTTCCATCCCTCTGAATCCGCCAGGGTGTCTGCTGTGTTTCTGATCCAGGGAGGCACCCGCTGCTGCTCCTGATGGGCTAGAGGCTCGCCATTGTTCCTGCTAGGCTAAGTGCCTGGGTTCGTCCTAATCGAGCTCAACACTAGTTGCTGGGTTCCACGGCTCTCTTCCATGACCCGCGGCTTCAAATAGAGCTAGAACACTCACCGCATGGCCGACGGTTCCATTCCTTGGAATCCATGAGGCCAAGAACCCCAGGTCAGAGACCAAAGGCTTGCCGCCATCTTGGGAGCAGCCTGCCACCATCCTGGGAGCTCCAAGAACAAAGATCCACCTGTAACAATAAGATTTATTGTCCAGAAGAAGAATGTCACAAGGTCGATTGATCAGGTAAGGTAGGGCAGGGACAGTCACAGTGGTGGAATGTTGTAATGTTGGTTAATCAGTTAAGGCAGGAACTGACTGTTTTACTTCTTTTGTGGTTTTTCGGCTGCCACAGACTTCTTGGCTCCTGCAGGCCATCTGGACATATATGTGCAGGTCACAGGGGTTACAATGGCTGAGCTTCGGCTCAGAGGCCTGACAGTTTACTCCATAAATTCTAGTTGCTTTGATCTCCCAGCTCGTTCGGTCTTTGTCTCGCCTATTCAGCAAGGGTGCTATGTTTAGGTTCCTATTCTGTTTGACCTAGAAAATGAGGTCAGGCAAAGTGACTTATGCCTGTAATCCAAGAACTTTGGGAGGCCGAGGAGGGTGGATCACCTGAGGTCAGGAGTTTGAGACCAGCCTGGCCAACATAGCGAAACCCAATCTCAACTAAAAATACAAAAATATTAGCCGATGTGGTGGTGTGCACCTGTGGTACCAACTACTTGGGAGGCTGAGGTAGGAGAATCCCTTGAACCCAGGAGGCAGAGGTTGCAGTGAGCCAAGATTGCACCACTGCACTCCAGCCTGGGTGACAGAGTGAGACTCCGCCTCACAAAAAAAATAAATAAATAAATAAAAGAAATTGAACAGTACACTGGAAAAATTGTTGGGTTCACTTTAATAGTTTTTCCTTCTTTTACCACTCCTGGTTGCATATCATCTATTGTTCAATGTCTGAAAGTTATTGTTTATATTTTGCTATTTTATGAAAAGTGAGGGTAAGTCAATTTCCTGTTAATCAGTTGGCAAAAGGGAAAATCATCTTTAATTGTGTTACTAACCACATTTCAACAATTATTTGACTCAGATTTACTTTATGGTTATTTCCTGAAACTCTCATGCCCTAAAAAGATTAACAGTAAATTTACTCCAAAAGCCCTAAGTTGTTAAAGGGTACCAAAAAGTAGTTAGAAGGAATGAATAACACCTAGTATCTGCTAGCACAGCAAGGTTACTAGTCAAAAAGAATTTAATTATCATTTAAAAATAACTAAAAGAGTATATAGTTAGATTGGTTGAAACACACAGGATACATGCTTGAGGGGATGGATGCCCCATTTATGCCAATGTGATTATTACACATTGCATGCCTGTATCAAAATATCTCATGTAACCCGTGACTATATACACCTAGTATGTGCACAGAAAAAATAAAATATTTAAATTTAAAAAAAGCCCCAAGGTGATTTTAGCTTATGTATTACTTTCAAAAACTATGTGGCATGTCTCTCATAATGTCTATAGTGAAGGCAATGGAGCAAAAACAGGATTGAAAACAAGGGTTAGGTTAGTCAAAGAAAAGTGAGTGCTAAATTTCTTAAAAGCTATGACAACATTGCTGAAGAGGTCATGAACTAAAACTAAAGGACTAGCTGATCATTCAAGAGAGTAAATGACCACAGCTCAATGAGATTACTTAGAAGTTCAGGGAGAATTAATTTAAAAATTAACAGGCATACATAACCCAGTCTAAAATTATATTCAAAATTTTTGCTTTTAAATATTACAGAAACTTCAATAGTTAAAACTATTAAAAATATTCATGAAAAATATCAAGATGACATGGAACTCTGAAAAATGCAAATGAATAAGTTACGTTCTTACATGCCATTTCCGTGGAGTTGTGTTTCTCTGGACTGAATACCTATCTGCCAGTGCAAATCAAAGACTAGTGTTATTTTAAATATTTAAATGGTGTCTGTTTTCCAAGGTACGATGAACAATTTGAATCACAGCATTAAGGACATTTCTTATTTACCAAGTGCATGAAGAAAATGAAAGTTCACATTTTAGGGGGAAAGCAAATTCACACCCCATTGCAATGTCTGCTGCCATCCTATGATGTATTTTACATGGCCATTTCCTGCAGTTACTGGTATTCCCTACTGCTAAAGTATGAACACATTTTTGTATCTTTCCGCTTCCCATTGTGTGCTTCATCTCCAGATTTTCACCACGCTTCAGTTACTTATAGGAAAAAATTCAATACCATGATAAGCTGATTTCATAGTTAGAGGTAAACAGAGTACTACAGAAAGCTATTCTGCACACCAGGACAATGTGAGGTTCTTGAATTGATGTTTCTTACAAAATTGTACCACTTAATTCACAAAAGTAACTTAAATACAAGGCTTAATGCTTTTCACACAGGAGGGGTTTCACAAACACTTGTGGAGTTGAATTTTCTACTGAAAGCAATGCTATGTAGTGAAACAAGCTCAGAGGTAGAAGGGAGTTAGAGTCTAGCTGCAGTTTTAAGTGGCTAAGAGGACTTGATAAAGTTGAAAAGTTGCTTGACCTATCTTCATTTCAGTTTCCTTGTTTCCAATAGAAAGAAGCTGACCTGAATCACCTCTAAGATTTTTAAAAATCATTCTAGGAATACAAGAATATGCACCATTTAGATGAATAAACATTTATATTTGTCTGGAGAGGAATAAACATTTATATGTGTCTTGAGATGAATAAACATTTATATATGTTTGCAAGTAGACATTTCTATGTTTCACATGCAAATGTCTATATCTCTTGCCCCAAACACAACTACAATAACTGCTTCACTTAGAAATTTCTAGAAATCTTCGAAGGTATTTCTTTGCAATCCACTATTTTCTTCTATACCTGTTCTCACTCTCAGACTTACTAATGTTCATGCCAATACGTCAATGCCACTCAAAGTTATAGGCAATATTTCCAACATTTCTGTTAGTTAACACTATTAGGTCTCTGAGGCTGTTGCTCCCAATGGCCCATAGAGATTTCAGCGACACATTTCTTTTGCTGATTTCTTTTAGTATTTCTCAGATACACTTTCCTTTCATATAGGAATCAGAAATAAATCTTTGCTAAGAGGTTGAGAAGGCGCCCCGAATAATACAATTTTCCCCAGTATCATTCTCTAACTTACCAGGTGACTTCTTAACTCCTACACAACCATGAAGGATCTGCACTACTAATTTACCAGACATGCCCATGTGTCTGTATGCTGGAGTAAGCACAATTCAGTTTGTTTTTTTTTTGTTTGTTTGTTTTTGTTTTGAGACAGTCTCGCTCTGTCACCCAGGCTGGAGTGCAGTGGCGTGACCTCGGCTCACTGCAACCTCCGCCTCCCGGGTTCATGCCATTCTCCTGCCTCAGCCTCCCGAGTAGCTGGGACTACAGGTGCCCACCACCATGCCCGGCTAATTTTTTTGTATATTTAGTAGAGACGGGGTTTCACTGTGTTAGCCAGGATGGTCTCCATCTCTTGACCTCGTGATCCGCCCGCCTTGGCCTCCCAAAGTGGTAGGATTACAGGCGTGAGCCACCGCGCCTGGCCACAATTCAGTTTAAAGTCAGAAACTATGCTAAAGATGTGCTCAAAGCAGACTGGGTCTTTTCATTCAGTAAAATGCAAATTTTCAAAGTGCATGTAGATTTGACAAGATAGAAGATAACTTAATTAGCAACAACTGAAGTATTTTCATTCTCTGAGTCACATCAGGTGTGACCTTTCAGTTTACTGCTTTCCACTGGCCTTTTCAAATACAGAAGCTTATATGTAATGTGATCTTTAGCAGCAGCAAAGACAGGCACTCTCATAAGGATGAGAATAGGCAGTAGCAGTAGCAGGTGCTTTGTCATTCATGGTGGTAGCCTTGTTACAAATCACAAAGTAACTGGCATGGCATGAAAATCTAAATGAGCAAAACCTGCCCTATTCTTGGTAGTATATGCAAATAGTTATTATATACTCTAAATTCTTATAAAACGGTTGTTTAAAAATTGATAGTAATTGTTTTCTATTGCTGAAATAAAAGCCCCTAATCATATTTGCCAGATGTACAATGGTGAGCTCTCTAAACGTGCACCCTCATAAAGGTGAGCTATCTTATTTTAACTTCTATCTTGTAGAAGCTTTTTTCTGTGTGTTTCAACCTAGGATACATGATGAGAATGTCTAAGAATATGCTGAATTGAGACTTACCAAATTTTTGGTAAAACAAATTTTTTATCTCTCAATAAATATATTGATTTTTTAAACCTAATCTCTACACTTTATTTTTGTATGTTTTGTGTGTATCTCAAATATTTTTCCTGGTGAAATATTCACATTAATATTTTAGCTCCAATAGAAAAGCCTCAAATATTCTTATCTTTATATTCTAGGAAACTAATTAATATTAAAAATGTAATTATTGTACTTTATGTTGCGAAGAGATATAACAAAAAAGAAATAAAAAAAGCACGGAGATTTTAGTTTGTAAATTTAACTTTATAAAACTGTAAAAGACATTATGTTCTTTGTAAGGTAAACTTAAAAGTTAGTTTGTTCTGATTTTGTAATAAATGTCTATAAAAGTAAACTTTAAAAAGTATTTTTTAGGTAATTAAGGAATGCCTGAGTAAGTGTAGATGAACAATTAGTACAGAAACCTTTTTCTTTTGTATAGAGTTTTATTTTTTTCCTTCAAAAATAGGATATTCATGTTTTGTTGAAATGAAAACTCTCTGATCATTGAACACTATAATGCCAATACCACTTGCAAACCTCTTGAAGAGAAGGAACATGGCAACATGCTTTCTTTGTGGTGCTCAACAAAAGACAACTATTGGAGGAAAACATGCATTCGGATGACTTTACTATGATTTTTAACTGTAAGTTTTCATTAGAGCTTTCTCTCGTGACAATACGAGTGGGACAAATGCATGTTTGTTAAATAAATCTGCAGAAAAAATGTTCCGAATTGCTGCATTTAAAAAATAAATATCAGTATCAGCTAAATAGTTTAGAGTAGGCAATTAAAATAATGCATGTTTTGGTATGGAATAAGTGGTCCCGAATTGTCTGTTTTGCCTGTCTACATTGACTAAATTACCTTAAAAATTTTTTTAAAGTAAAAGGAGGTTGTGTGACTGTCATTCCATTCTACATGTGTACTTAGATGAAGGTTGAAGTAAGGTAGAAAGGAGATATTTTAAAATCTAATTCTAAATAGATTAAAAATAAATAAAACTTGTTGAATCAGGGTTCAAAACTGCCTGACTTATTAAAACAATACTTTGGGTCTGTTAAGACCTAAAACATATTTTTCCCCTGAACACTTTGGCTTTTAATTTGCCAAGGCATGTTTTTGAAGGAAATTTAATCTTCTAATTTCTCATGTACTTATTCTGAAATCATTAAGTTGTTATTTTGTAAAATCTATTTGAATTTCAAGAAACCTTTTAAGGATTTTATAAAGAACTATTTTTTAAGCCACTTTTCTAAAAGCAGGATATTGTGCTTTTTTGCCAAGTACAAGTGACCTTGAACATAATAATTCCACATTTCATTGGAAGAATCCAACTAAAAATAAATTTTAAATTTGTTTTAAAGTTGGTGAAATCGTTTCTTCAGCCCTCAAACATCAGTGTGGATAAGGAGGAGAGGTACAGGAATTTTTAGCCAGGTAGACTAATCCAACATAGGAGGATTACCAATTAACATTGTTCATAATTGTTAAAGAGAATCAGTGGACACATACTGCATTATTAGAAATTAATAAAATGTAGAAAAATCATGGCACCTTCCTGGAAATCTATATCTTAAAGCTGTAAGAGTTATTGCCACTCACTAGGCTACACTCTATATTTGGTTTATGAAGTATTTCTGTATTTATCATCTGATGTTTTAAGATGTTATTCTTCAAGCTGAAAATGATATATTTGATTTTCTTTTATTTAGTTTCCATTTTATCCTCAAGGCTTATCTCAACTATAACATTGAACATATAACCTTCCTTGTCTTATTCAGCCTTCTCTTCAATGAGATCCTATCACAATGGCATTCAGTAAAATTCAATTTAACAATAATGTTTCTTTTTTCCCCCTCTCTCTCACGTAGAATTGCTTTTAATCTCCTTGTAAATACTGTAACTTCTTTGGGGAGAGTCATTTTTATGTTTTACTGCACCTAGTACACTGTGGCTAATACTACTTACCCTCAATATGTAATTGAATCATTGTACATTCCCTATTTCAATAGCCAAGCTTCTTTCATTTTTCTTATGTTGGGATTATACCATAATTGTAATTTTCAATGAAATCAACATATAATGGTAAAATGACTAAAAGACAATAGGAAGTCTCAGTGATAAAACAAAGGTCCAAAGTTTCCAACTAGCCCACAAGAAGTTATAAACTAATTATGCTGAATAAATACTTTGCACAAAATTCTGGTGTTGGGGAACAGAATTGTAGACATGCCCCTGGCTGTTTCTGTGAAAGACAAGGCCCCTGGCTGTTTCCGTAAAAGACAAGGATTCAAGTACTGGTTCAGTCTCTACCCATATGACCTTGACCAAGTCACTTAATCTTTATTGGGCTTCAGTTTCTTCAACTATAAAATTAAGAAATTGGTCTGGATTTGCAGTTTTTCAATTTTTCCTGCTAAAAGCCCCAGGAAAGAGTTTAATTTCACCTTGGAGATGGTAGAGGAAGCTGAAAAGATAGAATTCTGGCCTTCCATTATTTATTTCATGAAGAACAATTCTAGCTTTCACCTGAAACATTTTGTTTGCCCATATGTGTTCATTTAAGAGACACGTGTATTTCAAAGCTAAAAACAAGTTCATATATTGTTAAAATGATTATCTGTAAAAGTCTTTTCTACTTTGAGGTCAGTTAATCTAGGCTTTTGTCTTTAACGTCAAGGAAGCTACTTCTTGAAATGTCCTATGGCTTTGGTCTCTGCGGTCATTCCAAGCCTCCATGATCCCCTTTAAAGAAATCTCTACTTTCATGCAACAGAATCAGGAACAAGAAAGCTCACATAAGCCCCACAGTGAAATGTGCCTCTTTATTCTATTCTGAAAAAATAGAGTAAATCAATTGCTTATTCTTAATTTTTTAAAATCTATTTTTAAATGTTTTATTGACAAACTCTTTTAATTAGGCCTGTTTCTGTCCAATAGGTAACTTACCAGACTCTGTTAATTCCACTGAACCAAGTTGCTTCCCATTAAGGTACCTAGGGATCAAGCTGTAAATTTTAAGTTAAAAAGGAAAAAGTTTTCCATAGTTATTTCTCCATTATACATTTCTATTGCTTTTAATGTTGTTGATCTGCATTTGAGACACAAAGGAACATTTGTACCTTTCACTTTTTAAGTGAAATTTAAATTTTTTAACAAAACTTGAGAAAGTACTATGCTAGTCTATACTTCATAAACTTACAATCCACAGGAAAAAAGCAATAAGAGTGAATCCTGTGAGTCTTTGTGTGGTTGAACATCCATTCTGCAATTCACAGACTTCTTCCTCTAGTGAAAAATGCATGGGGCATTTTTTAGGCTGTCATTGTATTTTTTCACCGAAAATATATTCACAGATGAAGACAAAATGTTATAAAGGTAGTGCAGAAATTCTTTTAGATGTTTTCTTTTCTTTTCATTAGAACCTGCCACATCCATTGATATATTGATACAGAAAGCAATGTGTTAAACACATACACACATGCATGCATGCACACACATACACTCATAGCTGTCAGTGTTATTCTCATTGCAAGCTAAGTTTGTGGCAATAAAATCAATGACATTAAGCATAGAAAATATTAATAGCACTGATAATTATATCACAATCAATTAAGTTTATAGCTTTGAAAATAGCTTTTTATTAAACCTGATGGACATTAATATGATTTTGTGTTTGAAGGGATAACATAAATCTGTTCAAGGGTGTTAGGATGGGAGGAGAATAGAATAAGAGAATCTGGCTGAAATTGTTTTGACCTAAAAATATGCAAGATAACCCCTTAGGTGAATTTGGAGGTCCGCGATCAGTAAAATGATGGTAATAAATTAGCCACAGATCTTGATGATCCACGAAAGGTGTAAAATTTCTACTGTTACTGAAACTTCTAAAGGTGGAACAGAAATGAAGTGGCAGTGATACACTGGAGAAGGTTGATTTGCAGCAACATCATTATTTAAGGCATCATTGTGCCATAGGACATACTCTAGACTGATTTCCAAGAGAGCAACTTTTAGGACAAGCTCTTTTACTAATTACCTCTTTAAATGTAGATAAACCTAGAGAAGTTCTCATTAAAAAAACAAAAAAGCATTAACCTTGGTTCTAGAATGCATTAAAAATCTTCAAGAGGACGTTTCAGGAATGCTAAAAGGACACTCAGTTCAGTATAGGGGATTTCTTTCAATGGAATTATGTAGAAATAAAATGTGTTGCATTCCTAGTTGATGAGATTCCTTAGAAAGTATTCCCAAACCAGCAAAATGGCCTTTTACTGGAGATTTTGCAGTGTCTGATGGATATGTGCCAAAGATATTTTGCCTCCAGGGTTCTTTCAGAAACTGAGTCAATATAATCCTTAATTTTATCTCTCTGAGCTTCAATTTCCAGATTTGCAAAAATTAAATTCAATCCTCACTGTATCTCTAAGATTCCTTCCAGCTCCAAATTTATGTAATTATGATATAATTTATCATTTTCTATTGGGCATGATGACTTTATTTCTCCAAATAAATGAAGAGTAGTCAATGTTAGACTGATAGTGCTATTGATTCAAATTGCTTTTGAGAGTAATGTGATATAGCATATAGTATGGACTTTCTTTTTTTTTATTATTATTATACTTTAAGTTCTAGGGTACGTGTGCACAACGTGCAGCACTACTCACAATAGCAAAGACTTGGAACCAACCCAAATGTCCAACAGTGATAGACTGGATTAAGAAAACGTGGCACATATACACCATGGAATACTACGCAGCCATAAAAAATGGACTTTCTTTTTTAAGTGTGGTATTTGCAGTCAAAGTTTTGTCAAGTCAAAGATAGGATAAGATATAAGTACTGCCACGAAGGAATAACTTGGAACCATCATTTTTTGTCTACACATACACACACATCTAGTTTGGATGTAAAGAACACACAGAGCTCTATAACGTATTTTTTCATTTGGGTACAAACTTCAATTTGAAATTGAGGAAAAGGTTAGAAATAGTAACAGTAATAAAAATAATAATAAATATTGTCATCAGCAGTAGTCATACCTCTAATGATATTAATAATTAGTATTGTTTTAACAGGAAAAAATCATTATTTAGCATTTACTATTTATTAGAAACTGTTCTATGCACTTTACATATGTTAATTCATTTGTTAATGAATACCCATGACAAGTCTGACATAGGTGCTAATTTTGCCTCCTTTTTAGAGAGAATAACACACAAAATTAAAAGAGTACCATTTACTGTGGTTTACAATATGAGAGGCTCTGTTAATTATTGTAAATGCTCCATATTTTATTGAATTCCCACACTAACTATGACTAGTAGATAATGCATTTTCCATTTTATGGATGAGGAAACTGAGGCTCCTGTAAGTTAAATAACTTGCTCAAGTGCAATGACTAGATAATCATAAAGAAGCTATGTAGTCAAATCTATATAACTCCATAATCAGGATTCTTAACTGCTATACTTGGGACTTCCCAGAGTAATTTCTTTTTAATAAATCTAATGATTCAACATCAGTCCAGTGGAGAAGATAAAATTATTAGCAAAAACATGTTTTGTAAGGTTAATCACAACTCAAGCTTCTTCAGATGCCCATAAAACCATAAAACCACTTCACTTTTTAAGGTAAGGTGTGCATTTGATCCAAAGCTCATCATTCATAGTAAAACTGAACCACATGAAATTACTGATACATGACGCCTAACAACAGTGGACTCATAATTTAACCTAACTCAGTCCTTTTAGCACATGTTGAGCAATAATTTGCCAACTCAATTAAATATTCCTTGTTGATCGATTGACAAGAGGAAGCACCCTAGCAGCTAATTTGTATATACATTTTTATTAAATTAGAATTTAGATTTCCCTGGCATTATTATATTTAATGGGTCATGACTTTAAAGCCAGACTTTGCTTATTCACTTACCATTCCTTACGTGAGAGGCTCCAAATTACCGAATGTCAGGGGCTTTAGAATTTAATAATTTCACCTCCTTGTGTCATCAGGCCCTATGTACTCAATATTCTTGTCATAACTCAGACATGGAAGTAAGCCCCAAAGGTAAACAATGAGAAGAAATAGGACAGCTACCTAGGGATGTTCCAATCAGATGTTTATACTACAAGCTCCAATGATAGGAAAGCCTTCATAATTGATTCATTCATTCCCCTGTTCTGGTTGTAAAGCTGCTGTCTCTCAGCTGTAAATCTTTCCCTCTATACTTGACTCTGTGGCTCTGAGACTGAGATACTGTAAACTACATTTCTTTTTCTTTTCTTTTCTTTTTTTTTTTTTTTGAGATGGAGTCTCACCCTGTCACCCAGACTGGAGTGCAGGGGCATGATCTTGGCTCACTGCAACCTCTGCCTCCTAGGTTCAAACGATTCTCCTGCCTCAGCCTCCCAAGTAGCTGGGACTACAGGTATGTGCCACCACGCCTATTTTTGTAGTTTTAGTAGAGACAGTGTTTCACCATGTTGGCCAGGAGGGTCTTGATCTCTTGACCTCGTGATCTGCCCTCCTCGGCCTCCCAAAATGCTGGGCTTACAGGCGTGAGCCACAGCGCCCGGCCCATTTCTTTTCTTTAGGCTCTCTCCTTCTTCGCTTCTGCCAGCAGGGGTGCTAGCTGGGACTGCAGAGCAGTAGGGTGCAGAAGGAGATGGTTCTTCCTGGCTTATTTTCTGATGCTATAAAAAATGATTTTACCCAGTGCTTTTCATCCAGCACTACCAGTTGACACCAGTAGAAATTGGTTCCAGTTTCCAGTTTCTTCTCCCAATCCCAGAACCAGCCTCCCAGAGCTTCCTCAGAGGAAACAGCACAAACTGTGCTGTCCTTTTGCTCAGAGATCTGAGTCCCAGCTTCCTGAGGCCTTTCCCCTTAGCTTCTAAGTTCTAACAACTCCAAACTCTACCCTTTTAATTAACCTCAGTGCTAGAAGGTTTGCTATCATGACTATCTCTGTGCTCATTCAAAGTTCTGGTTTTGCTTTCGATATCCATGTAACCAATTTGCTATAGGGTATTCTGTTTGTTAAAATAACTAGTATGGTTTCTGTCTTCCTGCCCGATACATCCCAAATATTCTGACTAATGTTAATAAGATGTTTCTGGACCGGGCGCAGTAGGTCACAACTGTAATCCCAGCACTTTGGGAGGCCGAGGCAGGTGGATCACCTGAGGTCAGGAGTCCGAGACCAGCCTGACCCAACATCCTGAAACCCCGTCTGTACTAAATAAAAAAAAAATCAGCTGGGTGTGGTGTTCCATACCTGTAATCCCAGCTACTTGGGAGGCAGGAGAATCACTTGAACCCGGAAAGCAGAGGTTGGAGTGAGCCGAGGTTGCACCATTGGACTCCAGCCTGGGCAACAAGAGTGAAACTCTGCCTCAAAAATAAATAAATAAACAAATAAGTTGTTTCTTTGGCATGGAGTTGTTTGTTTAAATCCTAATATAAATTGTGAGAATGACGCCTAGGAGTAGATCGCATGTTTACTAGAGAGAAATCTGGTTGGTAAATAGTTAAAATTTGACAATTCCAATATTTTGTATCAGTTTTGAATCATAGATTAGAAAAGAGAAGATATCAAAAAGAAATCAGAGAAAAGATACTCATTAAAGGCATACTCCACAATCAATTTTGAAAAGTTAGCTTTTTTCTGAAGAACCTCCAGGTTGATCTCACAGGTAACTTTATGCAGATAGAATATTATCTGCTGCATGAAAGCCTATGTTCTATATGCCCACATTTGCATTTGGTTTGTTGAACAACTTTTTTATTTTTAAGGAGTAACCATCACCAAGTACTCCGGCTGGTGAACCTGGTTCACAAATCAATTGTTCGTAAGAGTGAGACCCTTATAGGTACTTTCAAACTATTGAAGCATGGTTTGAGTCCATTTTTGCTGCCCCGTTTTCCATTTATCTTTCATGTGCCAGGGCATGTGGGGAGACCTTTTCTTTCTTTTTTTTTTTAACCAAAGTGTTGAGCTTTCTGTTTGAAAGGCATTGACAGCCTAACTGGTTTTATGGTTGCTGTGCTTAAATAATTGGGTCACTACCCACTGACCTAAAATCTACTTTCTCACTAGGTTTTTCATAATAAGCTAAGGTCAACAGCTTGTTCAGCTGAGGTACAGGAATTCTACATTATCAGGATGCTTAACCTTTCACATGCTCTCACTTTTTCAGTCTTGTCACTTTGACTAGTAGACATTCATCCTGTTGCTTTCCTCTAATACTGATGTTGAAAGAGCTTTATTTCTGGATTATTTATTCTAATGTTACAGCTTTGCCGTCTTCACCTGTGAATTTGTGGTTGCCATTCCCTTGTTTGCATATGTTTAATGAATTTCTCTTGATAAGAAGTTAAAGCATGATAAAGGACTCCCTTTAAGATCTGGAGCTCGCTCCCTCTTTACCCTTAAGTTCTCTCGACTCCTGCATTATGTTCTCCAGCCATACACAAACTAGCAGCAATTTCGAGAACGGTTTTTGCTTTCCTTCACCCCCTCTTCTTAGTGCATGTTATTGCTTCTTCCTGGAATATCACCACAACCCATGTCTTCTTTCCAGCAAACAACCGTGCTCCCGTTGGTGGAGAATTAGCCTAAGTACCCACTCTTCACTCTTCCAGTAAACATTTAGGATTCCTTTGGGTCCCCTCTTAGAGTTGCTAGCCTAGCACTTTGTGTTTTCCTCTCTCATAAATCTTAGTTCAATCTGTTGTAAGTGATTTTAAGGCTTTCTTCAATTTAATAATTGAGTCTTACAAAAAGTAGATGATATGTGTACATTATGAACATATTAAAACCCACCAACAAAACCAAGAACTAAAATACTACCAAACCTTGCATTTCGTTACGTATTTTCACTTACACATCTCACTGGCTCACTTCTCAGCGATATCCACTATCTTAATTTTGTTTTGCATTTCTTACTTCATTTTTAAATCTTTCGATCATATATGCAGATGTCCTAAACATTATATTTTTAGTCTTCTTTGAAGATGGTATACATTTATCTACATACATATGGCATATATATACACATATGTAATATATGTGTGCAAGTGTGTATAGTCTTCTGAAGTGTTTTTTAATTCAACAGTTTTGAGATCAACAAATATTTTCGCATGTAGTCCCAGAACCCTCACTTCTACTACTAAATTTGATCCTGTTGTGTAAATATACTAACATTTCTTTAGCCACTCTCCTGTTTATGGACCCGTAGGCTATTTCTAGTTATATAATACTGCAAGGAGCAGTGCTAAACTAAATATCCTAGTACACATGCCCAAGATCCTATTTAAGGTGTGTATCTACAAGGGAAATTTCTGGGTCACATCATGGGAAAATATTTAACTTTCCAAGATACTATCGAATTTAGTGCATATGAATTTTAATTGATCCACACCGTTTTTAACATTTTGTGTTATCACACTTTATATTTGGAAATGCGGTGGCTATAAAATGGTATCTCATTTTTTTATTCCTCTGATTCAGATAAGTTTGGACAACCACAACCTATTTTATAATTATTTCTCATTTGGATTTTTCTCTTTGTGTTTATATCTTTTGCACATTTTTTTCTATTGAATTTTTGTCTTTTCTTCAGACTGATTTGTAGGGTTCATTTTAGACTATTCTGTTTATTAGTTTCCCTTAAAATATTTTTTCCAATGTGTAGCATGTCTTTCTGCTTTTTTATCATGTTTTTGAGGTGACAGAATTTATAATTTTCAAGTGATCAAATTGATCTACTTTGTAAAATTGTACTACTAGATTTTTGTAATTTTAATTTAGAAATCACCTCTTACTACAAAGGATACTATTCTTTTATTATTTTCTGTAAGGATTTAAATACTTGTACATACTTTTAAGCACTTTGATTATCTAGCATTAATTTTTGTATATAATGTCAGGAAATAATTCAATTTTCTTTTCTTTTTTCTTTTTTCTTTTTTTCCTATAGAAAACCAAGTGTTGCAACACAATTTTATTGAGTGGTTCCATCTTTTTCAGTGATTTTTAGTGTCCCATCAGGATTTTGAAAATATATGTCTCTATCAGAAGACTTTATTCTATTGTATGTTGATTTGCTGCTTCTTTGGCAATAACATGTTACTTTTTTGTTTTTAGTGTTTTGTAGTTTCACTGTGAATTGATCTAGACTGGAGTTTTTAAAATTTATTCTGCTTGACATTCTAAATCTGTGAATTCATATCCTGTATGAATTCTTGAATATTCTCAATCACAATTTCTTCTAAAATTGCTTCTTCTCTATTTTATTTATTCTAATTTTTCAGGACTTCCCTGTCCCTGGATAGATGGTTCTTACATGGCCAAAAAAAATTACTTAATTTTACTATAAAGTATATCCACTTCTCAACTAGTAATCACATAATATCTAGCCAATGACAGTCTTAAAACTCATAATTCTTAGCAAAATTAGACTTCTTCTAGGAATGGAATCTAAGTTTGAAGGCTTGTGATAGAACAGGGAGATCCATGACAGATTTCTTCTTGCTTTCCTCTACCATCTCTAATTATTGCTGCTATTGTTAATTGCTACTATTCTGTTAAATAATAGTAAGGGAATACGGCCTGTGTTTACATGGTTAGAACAGTGTCATCTGGCACCAAGGTCCTCTGGGTGACAGATATGTAATTGCTGACTTTCTCTAGTGTGTTGCAGGGACTGCAAGATTCTACTTCCTTGATGTTAACAACATCTCTGTTCTTGCAGGCTGTACATGACTTTTGCTCGTTTGTGGCTTTCTGCCCATTAATGCATAATTAAATTTTCACTTTGAGATGGCACTGATCCTCTCTTATGGGTACATTTAATACATAAAGAAACTCATTCATCTTTGTCTCACCATCAGCAAATGTAAAATTTATCCTCCAATATAGCTTTTGCATTCTGTTTTCCTAATAGACAGACAGTTACAGCTCAAAAATGTTGCCTTTAATATTCTTTCATTTATTCAACAAATTATAATTGAACATCCTTTGTGTATATGTCAATATTTTAGATTCTGAGGTTATAACAGTAAACAAAAAAGATAAAACTCTGACCCTGCAGAATGTGTATGCTATTAATGAAGCAACCAAGAACTGAAATAATCTGTAAACTTATAATATATAAGGAACTAAGAAGTCCTATGGAGAAATACAAAGCAGTGAAAGGTAAGTGAGAATAGTAGGAGTGAATATGTTGTTTGCTGTTTTAAATTTGACATCCAGTGACTATCTCAATAAGGCAACATTTAAGCAAAGATTTAGATAGTCTCCTAATATTTCCTAAACACCAGGAGATACATATCCCTTGCATTTATATTCACCTGGTTTAAGATGAGGGGGAAATATCTGACTTCCAGGGATGAAGGTGAGGGTAGACTAGAAAGCACAGAATTTTGACAACTTTTTCCAAATTGATATTGTCTTTTTGAATCCTTAACTCCCACCACTTTATAGACTGGACAGAGTGGCCTCTGAAGTTGATAGATGAGTTTTATAATTCTTAGCATATTCTGTGTTCTTCACTGGTAGCCTAACACCTAATATATTGTTTTCTGCCTTTAGAACTTCAACTGAAATTAAGCAGAAATAATTCTCATTCCAATTCCTGGTTTCAGAAACAAATTTTAGAAGTAAGGGAAAGTAGATGTTGAATAAGGAGTTGAATAATCTTAGGAGGCGGACAACTTAGTTTTAGTTTTAGAGACATACATACTCATAGGTACTATGAAAAACTGGGCGTGCTAGTCTCATATCTCTTTTAGCATATGTCACCTTTAAGCCATGCACCACACTGGATCCTGAAAATATAGAGGTGAATAAAAACAAGCATAGTCCTAAATCTTAGAACTCCAATCTGACAAGGAGATGTGTACACGAAGCAAATAGTTATAACGCTGATGAACATCTCAAAGGAAAGCCTGAAGTGCTATGTGTATATGGAATATAGCAACTGGGCTTTTTTGGGGGATGTCAGGGAATGCTTTGAGGAAATTACATTGAAGCTGTGCCTTGAAGGTTGTGAAGGAATCAGGGAGCTATAGTTAGCTATGGGAGTGCTACTTCTAAAATGGAGACAGCCAGGGACATGTAGAGGAAGAAATGAACAGGATGCATTCTAAAGGGCAGAGGATAAAATCATAGTAAGATAGATAAAAAATTAATGGCAGAAATAACAGCAATATGTAAGATATTTGGAGCCAATGCAATGAATCAGGTTGTTGAATCGAACAAGATTCAGAGAGCTTACCCAGTTTTAAGTGTTACTAATAAATCCAAAGATAAAAGCATTAAGGAGGCACTCCACGAGACAAATACCAGATAAAATAGGTGTCCTTGCAATAAACTAATTTTGTAACACTCTCATCAAGGAGGAGATCTGAACTATCATACACAACTTCCCAGACCCTGCTTTCCTGGATTGGATATACCTTCTCTGGTCCTGAATAAGAGACGAGGTTCTTAAGTAAGTTTTGTGAGTCACTTCACACAGTATGGAGGACTAGGTTATGAAACACATCCAAGAATATTGTATACCTTGATGACTTAAGGTAGAAAATGACATAAATGACTTCTTCCAGTACCTTAAAAATTCATAGATCATGTACTCGTTTACCATCTGCAATCCAAAACCAGGGACATCTGTGAAGAGCACTCCATAGATGTGAACTTTCCTTCTATAGAGTATCATCAGTATATGTCTCCCAGATTCCCAGTTACTATGTTTCTAAGGAGATTAGACTAGGTTACCTGCCTACTTTTTCCTTGAAAGCATTTGCTTAGTAATCAGAAATGGAAGATATCACAGGTAAGTTGCTTTAATTATGTCTTCTCCAGGTGTGCATAGCATAGGCATTTCCAGTTTTTGTTTTTGTTTTTTGATACATTGTAGAGTCTTTTAATAAAATGTCCCCACTCCCAGACTGAGACCAAAATCTTGAGTGAGCAGAGGTAGCCTTTTTGTTTTATAATTTAAATCTTGAGTGAGCAGAGGTAGCCTTTTCATTTTATAATTTTTTAAGATCACAGCTTTTGTCAAATCCTTTGACAGTAGTATGCATGAGTAACTCCAGAAACCCAGTTAGGTAAGAAGAATATTGCATTATTTTCTTTAACTGAGGTCATTTTTGATTCTTAGTCTCCACTCTGGGTGGATGGCAGTAGTTTTAATCTTAGATGTTATTAGATTTACCTTCATTCTCTGAATCTGTGAATGTCCTAGGCAATTGATCCGCAGGAAAACAGTTTATGTGGCTACTTTTAAAATGCCTTTTGTCCAATCCTGTATAAGCCCTAAAGATTCTTATGGACCCTAGAAATATATTGGAGACTGTACTGTTCAGAGGCTGTACTGTTTAGCAATGAGTTAATTTTCATCCATGTGTTCATCTTCTGTCTTGCAATTAATTGAGGCCATATGTCACATTCTGGTCAAAGGGCTGTGAGCAAAATGGACATGTGTCACTTTAGAGCTACACCCTAGAAGACCAGGTCTGAGATGTCACTGTACTCTTTTCCTGCACTACATCAAACATGAAGCCAATGTTGAGATGGAAGAGACTCTATTAGTTTGAGTTACAGACTAACTGTGTGAAACAGGGATGTACAACATGTAGGATGGGTAGTCATAAATATTTCTTGTGACAGGCATTTGAGACTTAGAAACTTTTTTTTTTACTGCAGCTTGCCCCAGCCTCACACATTGATATGGTTTGGCTCTGTGTCCCCACCCAAATCTCATGTCTAATTTTAATGCCCATATGTCTGGAATGGCCTGGTGGGAAGAGATTGAATCATGGGAGTGAACTCCTTCCATGCTGTTCTCATCATAGTGAATGAGTTCTCATGAGATCTGGTTGTTTACAAGTGTGTAGTGCTTCCCACTTCACTCTTTTCCTCTTACTTTGCAATGTGAAGAAGGTGCTTGCTTCTACTTTGCCTTTCCATCATGACTATAAGTTTCCTGAGACTTCACAACCGTGCCTGCTGTATAGCCTGTAGAACTTTGAGTTGATTAAACCTCTATTCTTTACAAATTACCTAGTCTAAGGTAATTCTTTATAGCAGAGTAAGAACAAACTAATTAAGAAAATTGGTACCAGAGAAGTGGGGCATCGCTATAAAGATACCTGAAAATGTGGAAGTGACTTTGGAACTCAGTAACAGGCTAAGTTTGGAACAGTTTGGAAGGCTCAGGAGAGGACAGAAAGATAAGGGAAGGTTTGGAACTCCCTAGAGACTTGTTAAATGGTTTTGACCAAAATGCTGATAGTGATACGGACAATGAAGTCCAGGCTAAGGTGGTCTCATAAAGAGATAAGATACTTATCAGGGACAGGAGTAAAGGTCACTTTTGCTATGCTTTAGCAAAGAGACTGGCAACATTGTGCCCATGATCTGGAGATCTGTAGAACTTTGAACTTGAGAGAGATGGTTTAGGGTATCTGGCAGAAGAAATTTCTAACCAGCAAACCATTCAAGATGTGGCCTGGCTACTTCTAAAAGCCTATGCTCATTACATAAACAAAGAAATGATCTCAAAATAGAACTTATATTTAAAAAGAGCGCACAGCATAAAAGTTTGGAAAATTTGTAGCTCAATCACATGGTGGAAAGGAAAAACCCATTTTCTGGGGAGAAATCCAAGGCTTCAGAAATTTGCATAAGTAAAATGGAGTCGAATGTTAATAGTCAAGACAGTGGGGAAAATGCCTCCAGGGCATTTCAGAGACCTTTGTGGCAGCCCCCTGCCATCATAGGCCTGGAGGCCTTGGGGGAAATGTGGTTTTGTGGGCCAGGACCAGTGCCTCACTGATCTGTGCAGCCTCAGGACAAGACACCCTTCATCCTGGCCATTCCAACTCCAGCCATGGCTAAAAGAGGCTGAGGTACAGCTTGGGCCATTCCTTTAGAAGGTGAAGCTCTAAGCCTTTGTGGCTTCCACGTGGTGTTGAGCCTGTGGGTAAGAAGATAGCAAGGGTTGAGGTTTGGGAGCCTACACCTAGACTTCAGAGGATGTATGGAAATGCCTAGATGTCCAGGCAGAAGTTGGCTACAGGGGTGGAGCACTCAAGAAGGCCCTCTACTAGGTCAGTGATGGGGGGAAATGTGGGGTTGGAGCCCCCACACAGAGTCCCCACTGGGGCACTGCCTAGTGGACCTGTGAGAAGGGAGCCACCATCCTCCAGACCCCACAGTGGTAGATCCACTGACAGCTTGCACTGTGCACCTGGAAAAACCATAGGCATTCAACGCCAGCCTGTGAAAGCAACTGCAGGAGCTGTAACCTGCAGAGCGACAGGAGTGGAGTTGCCCAAGTTCCTGAAAGTCCCCCTCTTGTGTCAGTGTGGCCTAGATGCGAGACATGGAGTCAAAGAAGAATATTTTGGAGCTTTAAGGTTTAATGACTCCCCTGCTGGGTTTCAGACTTGCATGAGGCCTGTAGCCCCTTTGTTTTGGCCAATTTATTCCACTGGGAATGGGATCATTTATCCAATGCCTATAACCCGATTGTATCTTAGAAGTAACTAACTTGGCTTGATTTTTACAGGCTGATAGGAAAAAGGGACTTGTCTCACATGAGACTTTGGACTTGGACTTTTGAATTACTGCTGGAATGAATTAAGACTTTGGGGGAATGTTGAGAAGGCATGATTGCATTTTGAAATGTGAAAAGGACATGAGGTTTGGGAGGGGCTGGGCAGAATGATATGGTTTGGCTCTGTGTCTCCATTTAAATCTCATGTTGAATTGTAATTCTCATGTATCAGAGGAGGACCTGGTAAAAAGTGATTGAATCGTGGGGGCAGACTCCCCCCTTACTGTTCTCATGATAGTGAGTGAGTTCTCATCAGATCTGTTTTTTTTTTTTTTTTAAGTTTGTAGCACTTCCCCCTTTACTCTCTTTCTCCTGCTCTGCCTTGTGAAGAAGGTACTTGCTTCCCTTTCACCCTTCTGCCATGATTGTAAGTTTCCTGAAGCCTCCACAACCATGCTTCCTATACAACCTACAGAAATGTGAGTCAATTAAACCTCTTTTCTTCATAAATTGCCTAGTCTCAGGTAGTTCTTTGTAGCAGTGTGAGAACAGACTAATACATACATCTACTATATTGTATATTTTTATGGCTGTGAGGATATGTTTCTAAGGTCCAATTATTCTATGGAATCACTTAATATTGCATCTGAAGCTTTTATCATCTTTCTGAATCTATAATGAGGAATCTGTCATGAAACTCCACCATTTGTGGAATGGACACTTTTTAACATACTACCCAGCCTTGAGGGATATTGATTCTTAGTCTATCTCCAAGTCAATCCAAACCCTTCCTACTTCTAAAAAATTTCAAACATAATCTTTGTTTGCCTTTCCCTTTCAAAATGCACAAGAAGATAAATTATCTTATCAAAACTTCCTCTAATTTTAAGAAACACATACCCTACACCTCTTTGTTGAATCATAGAAAAGAAGGCAAAAGAGGTTAGGGTGTTTTAAACAGAATAAAAACTTTTTCTCCCAAAGTTTCTGGGGAGCATAAAGGTTGTTCTTTCTGATTACTTTATAGCAGTAAAAACAAACAATGAATTTATGTCTCAATAAATTTCACTGTCACACAACTAGAGTTCTTGAAAACTTGGCCCTGAATCTTGACATCACCCAGATTCTATTTGATTTATAAGCATTAACCTTGATTGAATAAAAGGACAGTGCACAGCCTTTAAAAAGAATTCTCTTACTATACTAAACATCCTCTATAGCTCTCACAACAAACTTTTGGAGATCAGACATTCTTAGGCAGGGAGAGAGAGATCTTTGACCCCATCTCCTGACCAGCAGTTTTCCCTCTGTTTCTCATAGTTTTTCTTCCTTCATTCCTGTTCAACATTTTCGTCATAAGGTGCTTCTCCTTTCTGTTTATTTTTCTTTCAAATACGTTTCTCTTTTTGCCTCTGTATTTGATGAATGATGAATGATGATTTGTTATATACAGCTGGTTTATAAAACATATGCTCTATTATTTTATTCAGGAAAAATGGACTATACTTAACAGTTCTTTTTTATTTTAATGGACAAACACTTCCAAAATAATTTTATTATTTTCTTTTCATAATTTGAGAAATATAAGATATTTATTTTGTGAAAATCTGGATGAGAGAGAAGAGTGATTTTTGCTATTAGCATCTGATTTACCCAGTATGGACAATTGGATTCATTATTATTCTTGGAGTATCTCCAAGGACTTGTCTCCTAAAAAGCAGTGCCCCCCTCTTTAAGTTATACTCTTTGTAACTGTGGTATTGTTGCCTGAATGCAATAGCTATGCTTCAGAATCAGGCCAAGGCAGTGAGCAAAACTGTACATTAAAGAGCTTTTTATTTTTAGATCTCCATTTTCAAAGCTACTTTTTCCCCATATTTAAGAGTTCTGTTTGGTATTCACTGGTCACTCTTTTCGATAAGCAAATGAATTCTTTTTTTAAAAAATTACACAAAGAGTTGGAATTAATTTTTTATTCTTATTGAATTTTTAGAATTTTAAATTAATTTATAAAATAATTACTATGAAGATGCAGCAATGACTAAACCCCAAAAAGGTGCTATTGTTCACAAGGGAAATTTATTTAGTTGGAATCTGTTTCTGTACCTGTAAAATTGGATTACATACGGGACACCTTCCTCGGCTGGAGTAAAATTGATTTCTAAGAGAATTGTTAACCATATTGATTTTATCAGTGAAAGTGGGGATCTAGAACACTCTGTGATAATTAGATGCTAGATATTAGAAATCAGAAAAGATTCAACCATGTATCCACAAATGTATTCACTTCCACATGCTTATGTTTTATTTTTCAACAACTGCTTTTAATTGGGGAGCAAGCTTACACAAAACAACCCTCTGTCCAGAAGTGATGTATAGCATTGAATTTTGCTGACTCAGTAAGCGTTGCTTTTTACAACGGAGACACAGTGAATCACTTAAGCATATTTAAATGAATATCATTCGTGCTAATACTTAGATGAAAAAATACTCAAGAAATTATTTTATTTTCACTCTGTCTTTTCTATTCTTAGATTCAGGTTGCTTCATTCTTTTGATGTTGCCAAGATACTAGCATGCTTCATTTACTCTTTTTTCCACATTTGAGGATTCTTTTTGCACATATATTACTTAGATTCTATAGATTCTGTCTTTACAACATATTTGTCAGTGCTTGACAGCAACATTTTAGCATTGCTAGACTAAATCCCACGGGGCAGTGGCTGTGTCTGTTGTGTTCACTGCTGTTTCATTCAAGCTGCAGATAGTTGCTGGCATAACATGATCGTAATATATGTTTTTGACAAACAGGACTCAGTTTTGCCAATTTTTAGTCACTTTAATGTTACATGCTACACATCTCCTTAAATATGTAGCTGTGGTCTTAAATCCAATGCAGACCACTCTTGGTTCTCACTGGTTTCATCGATTAGCTCCACCTGTTGTAGAATGCACTTCTGAGCTTATCACCTAAACTACTTGGCATTTGTTGATATTAAAATAAAGGAAAAATAATGGGTACTATAAATGCTCTTATTACTGTTAGCAAAATATTTTAAACTTTCCAAATTCTAGAATCATGGTGAATTTATACTGTCTTACCTCCTTGTGATTTCACTGGGCTTTGATACTAGTTCTGCCCAATAAATTTGAAGAGAAATGATGGACTGTAAGCAAGCATAGAATTAGCAGTGCTAGAATATCCAGAACTCTTTTTGTTTTTGCATTGCCACTGACCATAATCAAGATGGTGGCTGCTCTATCAGTCTAGATACCCGAGTGACTGTGATAAGAAGAAAACCTAAAAACCCACATTAGACAAGAGTGAGAAATAATCCTTTTCTCTATTAAGTAACTGTGTTTTGGAGTTGCTGATGCATAACATACCCTAATTGGTGCAGATAATTTACCGAAGTGTTAACATTTTAAATAGAGTGATTTAAAACTTTCATGCACTATGCAAAATGCCAGTTTTTAATATTTGTGCCTTTATAATGAGTATTTTTAATGCTGCTCCAAATTATACTTTTTCCTTTACCTATTCATTACTGCCTGTTTCACACTTCTCAGGAGTTAAAACTAACATTCTTCTAAAACTTTCATATTTCTCCCACTCTGAAATGTTTGTCCCTCATTGTGCAGCAGTTTCTATTAACAGAATGAGAGCTATGTCCTTGTCCTGAGAATAATTCACAATCTCTCCTGGCTGACTGCAAATCTGTGCACCAATGTTCACATGAACCTATATTGACAAATGGTCTAAATTTTATTAGATACATGCAGATAAACACCAGTCCACCTGTCATTAATTTTAGAACATGAACAGGGGCATTTTCATAAGATATGATATAAAGACCATTTTTTTTTGCATCATAGAATTTGTTTAAAGTTCTGATTAGCATACCTTCTCCAGGAAATCTTTTAATTGTGTTAGATATGTGTATATTGGCCCCTAAATTCCTCCATTCAGAGCACATGCTGCCTGATAGCTGCTGAATCTGGCTTTGGAGACAATCCCTCTCTGCCTTTCTGAATTTTATGCCCATTATTCTTTCAGAGTAATCTTTGATCTTTTTAAACTGCAGGGAAATTCTGACAGAACTATTTTAAACATCTTTTGAATCTCTTCATATTTTTTTAATCAACAAAGTAGACAATGGAAGATAGTCATTGTCCTACTTTTCACTAAGAAGGCATATGTACCAGATTTGTAAAATGCATCTGTAACGAAAAGAAAATGGGAGGTAGGGAAAGAAAACTTCCGTGAGTCACACCAATCCACTTCAGTGAGCCACACCAATCCACTTCAGTGAGCAATATTACCTTAGAATGGTTCATATGTTTGTGTTTCTGTCTCTTTTAAACTATGACTTTAAATTATTGAAAGAAAAGGAAAATCTATCTTCTGATGCTTTATGTCCCCTTATTCTACATAATAGGGTTGCCAGATAAAATATAGGACTCCAAGTTAATTTTAAACTTCAGAAAAGTCAGGAATATATTTTTAGTATGAGTATGCTGAATGAAATATTTGAGACATATTTGTACTAAGATACTTAATTGCTTATCTATAAATTATATTTAACTGAATGTTCTCTATTTTTACTTGTTAAATCCAGCAATCCTAAATAGTAGATGAGAACACTTGACAGACCCAAAACCTAACTTTTCTTACCAGTACTAGAAAATCTAGAGCCAGCAAACCAGAGGTTTCTAATTCCTTTATCCGATAGCTTTTCTTCATATCAGATCTGAATGTCATGATGGACATAAAGGCCTTGGAGAAAAACTATTCAGTTCAGCTGTCAGATCCACCACATACTAGCTTTTGGATTTAGGGCAATTTATTTATCTTTTCTGATCCTTGGTGTTCTCATCAGTGCAATGGGAATTAAAATAACATCCTGAGGATATACATGAAAATACTTAAGTTGACAATAATTGTTATTTCACAAAAATAGAAACTATGTGCAAGTCCCTTTTGTGTTCAAAGTCTTTTATGAAGGTCTGCTAACATCTAAAGAACTCTCAAAAATTATATTTTAATAATGCATTTCTCAACAATTTCAGAATATCAAGAATTTTCTGAAACCCAAGCTCCATGATGATGGAATAAATCTAGTATTAATTTTACTTACATTTTAGAACTCATTATATTCAAAACAGACTGTATTAAATGAGGTTATCTCATAAACATAATAGATCTGCTGTGTTACCAAAGTAAAGCTATCATTTCTTAACCTTGGGATCCCCAGTAATTCTTTCTTAACTTGTTCAAGCAAAAAGGATAGCGGAGCTAAGGCCCACAACTTGAGCTAAGTTAATGGCATATTGTTGACTGATGTGTTCTCCAGAGAGCTTCAAACTCACTTAAAGCATTTTGCTAGCTGGACACATATTTAATTTTCTTCGTACTGTATTCCTTGATCTGTAGCCTTGAACTTAAACAGTGAATTTTTCAGGGGTACTTTATCACAAACTACCAAAAAAGAAACTCTTCATAAAATGCTCTTCCATTTTAATTGCATAATCCAATATGATTTTTTATTATGTATTATCCAAGTATACTTTGTCTTACCCAGTAATTTTTATTTATTTTATAAATTTTAAAAATAATTCATGTGAATTGATTCTACCACTACCACTGGCCGTTAAAGAAAGTGAAGTATATAGAAACAAATGTAAATTATATATTTATTTGCAACCAATGCTTTATGCTTGAATGCCACATAAATTGCACAGTGAAGTAAAAAAGATTCAAAAGTTTATGTGTAATACTTTGTCTTTAAGATGTCCAGAGTCATTAACTAAAGGCCAGATCATTTTATATGGATTTTTAAGTCTGGCAATTCTCTACACGACAAGCGGCATTCCAGATGGATGTGTTATGTAAGAGGAACATTCTCCAGTTAGCAATAAAACTGCAAAGTAGCACAACTGCTTTATCTAGGCACATATTTTTATTAAATCATGTAAGAGAATTTTCATCCTCATATATTATTAGGAGATAACATTATTGAACTCAGTAAGGTTAAACAATTTTCCCAAGCTCACAAATTGGTAAATTTGCTGAACATCTTGTAACCTAGGCACAGTAACTCTGGATAGTACTTGGCTGTAGCAGCTGCTGCTGCTGCTAAAAGTCGGCATTTATTGAACACATACACAGATTGAAGAAGGAGTTTTGCCATCTGCTTTTGAGGATGACTTTTGTCCAACTTCACAACAGTATGATGCTGTGGGTACCCTTGTTATAGCATGTCCATTTTCAGAATAAAATAACTAGCTTTTTTTAAAAAAAAACCAAAGTAGCTTGTTCAAGCAAAAAGAATAGCGGGGCTGAAGCTAGGATTTGAAATACTAAAATTCTAAGGTTTATTACTTTGCATTTTTATATCTCTGGAAACATGATTTATCTTATGATCACTGTGCTTCAGACAACAAGGGTGACATAATTGTCATTTTTTGCCAGTAATTAAACTTGGTCATAGCCACCCTCAATGTCATTCCTTCAACTGAGTTATCTACATTGTTAAAACTACAGATGCTGAGTGTAATTGCCATTTAAAATGTCTTCAAAGAGATTGCATTATCCTATAGTTTAGTGCTAAAACTAAAAGTTACGGTTTAGACATTTTTTTCTTTCCAGTGTGGCACATAAAATAATGATGTATTTTATAATCCAGGCATTTAGATTTGAGAAAATCAAATAGATAGGCTTGTATTCAGCCCCTCAAATAAGCATAATAACATTAATCATTCTCTAAATGTCTAAACTATTTTCCATCAATCTGGTAGTATATTACCCTGTGCAAATGTCATAAACATACACATGTTAATTATAATATTTAAAAGCAAACATGCATAATTAAACACAATAACACAATAGTGTGACATGATGGTTAGATATTATAGAGTATGGAGACCCTTGACAGAGGGATAAAATATTTTCTCTTTAAAGATAGCTTTCTCCTGGACCATTTTTAGTTACGTACTACAAATGTTAAAATTAGACCAAGCTGTGAGTAGATTTTGTCAATTACACAAACGCCATGCCGTAATACACTTTAACCTTTCTTTGTATGAGCACAATAAAATTCAGAAGAGAAAGTATGTACTGAGAAGACTGTGTTCTTTGCTCCTCTTAGAGACTAGAGCACCCAGACGCATGTCTAGTTTTTTAAGGAGAATAAATTGACCTTAGAAATTAAGCTAATTAAAGTCCCTCTTCAGAATTATTTTAGGCAGATTCTCAACAACAAAAATTCGCACATCACAATAAATACATAAATAAATAAATAAGAAAGAAAAGGTTTTGGAAATACTAAATAGTTGCAAATCAGATGTGGTTTTTCTCTGACTTCTCTGCCTAGAAAATTTTATTTACAACCTCTCTCATTTTTACATTGCACTAATGATATATGTACGCTATTGATAATTAACCTAGATAATGACATTCCTGAATATGATGCCACATCTCTGGACACTGAAGTGTGTCCAATATGCCATTAAAATCCTATTAAAGCTTTATTTACCAGTCACAAATTAAAAATAAACATTAGTGGTACATAAGAGAATAGCGATCACAGTGACCTTGGTATGTTTCTTCTCAAAAGCCTGAGGACCAAAATAAGGGTGAGCTAAGACTGGAACATCAGGTAAAAAATTGAACTAGAAATCTTAGCAAAGAGCTGGACTCCTCATATTGCTTGTCTTTAGCAAATACGGTTTAGATGTTCCTGAAATGAAATGCACCGTCAGAAGAAAACTTCTGTTTTTTGTTTTGTTTCCTTTTTTTTTTAAAGAAATCATAGATATAAATGACTTAATGCCACATTATACATGAAAGTAATCTTTATGTGCTTACAGCCTACTACCTTAACTTTGAATATTATGCTTATTTCAGGAAGTTTTAGGTTAAGTTACATTAAATCCAGAGTAGGCAGTAACCATCCAGTGAATTATTAAAATAAGTTCCCAGGGATTTCTGTTTTTTTAAAGTTAAAGAATCATTGCAACAAATTTCAAGTTCTGTCTAATTCTGGAGGTTTATCCTCATCTTAGAGTGCTTGACAAACCACCATGGTGAGCTACTCAGTGTCTGTTTGCAGGGGACCAGACTTTTCTCTATGAAAGAATTAACCCTAAGGTAAGAAATAGCTAGATGTCATGAAATTGATGTAGAAATCAAGTACTGATCTTCAGGAGGTACAAAGAGTACTTTTAAGCCAAGCCGACTGGCAATTTTTGAAATGTGTTTTTTTTCTATTCTTGTCGTTGCATAACCAGGTCTTTGAGAAGAGGTGGCTGTTAAGTAAGCATAATGAGTGCTGTTTGATTAAGCCTTGAAATACATTGCAACCAAGCTTTTATCCTTCATCACTCATGAAATTATATTACAGCATGAAAGGAATGATTGACTCTAGTTCTGCCATGGAACAGAATACAGCTTTGATGACTTAGGTGTTTAATGGGTTCAGTGGAAAAGTTGGAGAAAGTATTACACAGAGTAGCCAATTAACAGAGCAATAGATGTACCTGCTGTGACAATCAAAGTTGACAGGGAACTATTAACTATATGAAGCATTAAAGAGTAACAAGAGAAACCATGATTTTTCAGAAGAAGAGCACTGAAGTACGATGATAGTGCCCAGCAAAGAAACACAAAAATCCTCCAAAGCATATGCTGAGAATTCAACTAAGGACTTGGAAGAGAGTAGATATTTGCTGAGGATTAGAGGCCCTGGTCAGCAGATAAACACTGTGAGCCAACAAAAGTATGGCTTTGATATTAATGTGTCCTTATTTTTATTTATGAATCAGTAATATTTGTGTTACCAAATAATTTCAGGCCTTTCCTCTTCACAGCCCCTTAGAGACAGTAGCGTGTTACCTCCAAGTGTCATACTTATCACTCAATAAAACAACCCTTAAAACATTGTTAAGACAAGAATTTTTTCATATTCAGGGCTTCCTGCACCAAACTGATGGTGTTTTGGGTCATGTAGACATCTAGATACAAAATATAAAAGTCCAGATAAAAGTATCACTTAATCTATTATGTTCTTGACAAAATGCCCAGTGTACCAGGCTGTGGTCTACCAATGTAGTTCCCATGCAGCCTAAAAGCTCTCAAGGATGCCAAATGTTTATTTTCTGTGTCTTGGTTGCATCTTAAGGCTGCAATAACAAGGAAGAGGATATAAGATGCATATGTTATGCTCTAAAAGTAAAGGCAGCCAGTATATATACTTTTTCCACAGCAACAACCAATGCTCCAATTCTTCACTATGAATAGGGTTTCCAACAATTCAATTTGATTCTGACACTAACCATCCAGAGTTAGCTCAGACCTCACAAGTTAGAACTCAGTCACACAAAACTGCCCCCACTTGAGACATCAGTTGCAAGTCCCAGGGGCCATCTGTATTTTTGACCAACCAGCTATAAATTTGAGGGTTCACACAACTTCCTTCTCAAGTTTCATAATTAACTAGAATGACTCACAGAACTCAGGAAATTGCATTACTAAAGTTAACATGTTCATTATAAAGGAAACAGCTCAGGGACAGCCAAATGGCAGCAATGCATCTCACATATTATGGGGGTGGGAGTGGCACAGAACTTCCATGCCCTCTTCTGAGCACACCACATTCCCAGCACATCAGTGTGTTCACCAACCCAGAAGCTACCTGAGTCTTATCATTTCAAGGTTTTTTTTTTTTATGGAGGTCCTATTACATACTCATAGTTGATTAAATCATTGGAAATTGGTGACTGAACTCAATCTCTAACCACTTTCCCCTCCCTGGTGGTCAGAAAGTGAGACCGAAAGTCCAAACCTCTAATGAGTACTTGGTTTTTCTGACCACAAGCCCTCATCCTGAAGCCCATAAGTCATCTCATTAGTATACAAAACGTAGTATTATGCCATTACTTTTAATGGCAAAAACCATAATTACTTTTGCACCAACCTAATAAATTCCAAGGATTTTAGGGACTCTGTGACAGAGACCAGGGGCAAAGACCAAATATTTATATTTTATTGTACCAGGGAAAGGAGGGAGAATTTTCTGCTATAGGAAATCAATGGGAGCCCAATGAAGCTTCAAATACTCTCTCTAAAGGCAGTGGGGAGCTCTATCCACTAAGGTCTAATACATGAGAGTGGTAAACCTTGAAACCTTGACGAGTTTATTTTTAACTATTACTCTCAAGTGATTATGAGTAAAAAAGAAAGAGAATATTCTGAATATTGAAAATTGTGTCTTTCTAGACAGAGAAGGAGGAAAGATGGAAAGACAACTTCTTTTCCCATCCAAGATTGGGTTAGCAGTAAGAAGAGTACAGAGTAGAACCTATGGTTACCATTTCAAAAGAAGAATCAAGAGGCAGAGTTCTGGGGCTATAACAACAACAACAACAACAACAAAGCAAAGAGATTATTCAAGGCTGTATATAAAAGGGGAACTGAGGAAAATCTTGTGTTCCAGTACAGAATCCTATGTGGGCTTCTTTGATCACTTTCTAACTTCCTGATCAATTCTGTCTTTTTTCTTTTCTTTTCTTTTTTTGTCATAGTAGGATATTTTAATCATCAAAAAAGCTGAATTTCATTGTCAATTTAACCAGACTTAACACTTAACAACAGATAATGTTTTAACAAAAATATTAAACTTACTTCTGGCATTTTATGACCATCAAAAATGTCAGCCAAGCAAAGCATACAGAATGACTCCAGATTAGATATCACATACAAAACTCTGCAAAAAAATAGAGCTGATCCCAATAAAATACAAATCTGTAACCGTGCACCATATTTCTTCTGATTTTTTATTTAACAATGGATATTTTGTGTTTTTTCAATTATCTTTTAGTCATGTTTACACTCAATCTGTGCTTTGTAAAAACTATTATTAAAATATTTACAAATTTCTACAAATCAAATCATTAGATTAAGACTGAAAATAGTAATTCATTATTGAAAGAGATGTTCTTAACCATGTTATGAATAACTATAAAATAGAATCTGAAATATAACTTCATAAAACAACAGCTATAAAGTTATTAGCTTAATATTGCACTTGTGAGAGTTATCTAAAAGATAAAAATAGCAAAATATAAAACACATTTATTGGCTGGATGTTAAAGGTGTTTGAAAAAATTACTTTTGGCTTAAATATATATTTATAATCCCTTCTAGACCAGATATTACAGCAATTTCTTTTTCTTATACATCTACTGGCCCAAAACTTTCATGTTGCTGAAAAAAGACAGCAGACAAGTATAAAAATTTCAAATATTCATACAAAATGGTCTCTACATAATTCATTCTTATTCTCAGAATTTGTTGGACCAACTTAAAACACCAGAAGAAATCTCTTAATGCCTCAGTGATTCTCATTTATACAATTAAATTACACAAAATATAATACAATAATAAAGAAAGGAAATACCTAAAATTAAGAATGTTAACTTTTGAAATACCCAAAGTATTGGTCCCAGAAAGAACTCTGAGTTGGGTAAAAGGAATTTTGTTTGACCATTTCCTTATGAGATGTCTCAAAGTAATGTTGTCTGCTCTTACATTGCTTGAGATGCCATTAAGAATTTCAGAGAAGCAGCATATTCATTTATTTATTTACTTACTAACATTTGTTTGTTCCATGACTATAGAAATGAGAAACAAGAAAGATACACAATATTTAAATTCATTGTAACTTTCATTTAAAGTTTTCCTTTTCTTCATTAGTCACAGTTGATTTAGAAATAGAGCCTTTCCTGGCACGAAGTCTTTTCTCTCTGAATGTCATTTTAATATTATTCTGTTTTTTTTATTCTCTCAAAAATCCCCTGCTCAATAAGTCTCAAGGAATTCACAGTCCAAGAAAAACTCTTGCATAATTAACGGGCCTCCCCAATTTAACCAGATAGAAGTGGGCTGAGCAGCCAGCATGAGTGGGTGAAGAGAGGGCTTCTTCCTCAGGACGTTCTATCCTTACCGTAGGTTTTGGGAAATAATATACAGAATGAAAATATAAGAGTCCAGTTCAGGATGATGCTCTCCATAATAATCAAGTCAGTTGAAATAATTCAGAAAATGTGAGCTGCAAAGAACACCTCAGTAGAGATTTGCTGCAAAATTTCTCAGCTTTGCAGAGCTTTAGGAGATGAAGAGAATATAGGAGAGTAAGGCCAGCAATGGAATGTCACCATTTAACAACAGGAAGTAAGGACAATTATTTGCAATGTATCTTGATACATTTTGTAATAAAGGAAATTCTAAATTGAATTCAGAGTTCAAGGCTGGACTCAATCATATGGCTAAAATGTTACTACATTTTTATTTAAGTTTGCATCTTACAATCTAAACTAATAACACTCTGTGTGTATAGAAAACACAATGTTTAAAGGTGTCTCAAAGTAGTTATCTATTTTCCTTTTTACAAATGCCCTCTGGTATTGTGGAGATTTCAAAATGACTGTTTTGCAGATGAGGAAACAGACAGTTTATATCAGTTGATAAGGATCTTTTGAAATCACAAGAAGAGTTGTGAAAGATCTGACAGTCTAATACACATTTTCTGAATTTGGGATTGAGACTCCTCTTGTTATAATATTTTGGATGTAATATATTGCACACTGCTATTATTTTTTAAAGAAGTCAGTAAAAATTAAAATCTTTTCCGAATTTTTAGAGAATATTTTGTTTTATTTGTCTCATAATACAAACTGGTGGGTAAACAGCCTTGCTCTATATCCTTTATAATGGCTTTGGAACCCCAGATATGAATGAACTTTTGAAAATGTTTCAGCAATGGAAGAATGTTTTTTTTCATTTATTAGGAGAGGATAGATAGATAGAGATAGAGATAGTCTCATGAAACTGATATGAAACAGTGTATATAAATTATTTTATGTGCATGGCAATTATAGGTAGTTATTATTTGGTAGCAATTGTAACTATATTTTTAATTCTACAAAACATTAGTACATCATGCTTTCTGATAACTTCTTTGTTAGGGTCAAATGTAATCCTTTTGAGTTGCCGAAGTATTGTCTCCAAACTTGTTACACAAAGACAGCTAGCAGAGCACACATGGCATCAGCATTCTCTTCAACCCACAGAGAGAATGTGATATGGTTTGACTCTGTGTATCCCCATTCAAATTTCATCTTGAATTGTACTCCCACGTATTGTGGGGAGACAATTTGAATCATGGGGGAGGTTTCCCCAATATTATGCATTTAAGTTGACTCCATGTCTTTTCATGGCTTGATAGCTTGTTTTTTTCTAGCACTGAATGCTATTTCATTATTCAGATGTATCACATTTTCTTCATTGACCTACTGAAGGGCATGTTGATTGCTTTCAAGTTTCAGTAATTTTTTCTAAAAGCTGCTGTAAACATCCATGTGCAGGTTTTTGTAGACACAGATTTTCAGCTACTTTGGGGAAATAGCAAAGATCACAAGATTCTCTCCAGCAAAGAATGAAAGTTTTTGTTGCTCCATATCTCCCCAGCATCTGGTGTTGTAAACGTTCTGGATTTTGGCAATTCTAACAGGTATGTAGCCGTATCTAATTGTTGTCTTTATTTGCACATCCTTGGTGACATATGACATGGAGACTTGTCATAGTCTTAATTGCCAGCTACATATTTTTCTTTTGTGAAGTATCTATTAAGGTCTTTGGCCCATTTATTTAATTGTTTTCTTATTGTTGAATTTTAAGAGTTGTTTGTATATTTTGAATAATGACCCTTTTTCAGGTATTTTTTCTCCAAATATTTTCTTCCAGTCTGTAGCTTGGTTATCATTCTCCTGATGGTGTCTTTCACAGAGCTGAGAATTTTAATTTTAATAAAATCCAGCTTATCAATTTTTTCTTTTCTAGATTATGCTATTGGTGTTGTACCTAAAAAAATCATCATAAAATGCAAGGTTATCTAGATTTTTACATAGGTTATCTCCTAAAAGTTTTATAGTTTTGGCCAGGCCGGGCGCGGTGGCTCATGCCTATAATCCCAGCACTTTGGGAGGCTGAGGCGGTTGGAGGTCAGGAGTTCGAGACCAACATGGTGAAACCCCTCCTCTACTAAAAATACAAAAAAATTAGCTGAGTGTGGTGGCACATGCCTGTAATCCCAGCTACTCAGGAAGCTGAGGCAAAAGAATTTCTTGAGCTTGGGAGGCAGAGGTTGCAGTGAGCCGAGATCGTGCCACTGCACTCCAGCCTGGCTGACAGAGCGAGACTCTGTCTCAAAAAAAAAAAAAGTTTTATAGTTTTGCAATTTATATTTATGTCTGTGATACATTATGAGTTAACTTTTTGTGGATGATGTGAAGGATTTGAATCTACGTCTAGATTCATATTATCTCATGTAGATGTCCAGTTGTTTCAGTATCATTTGTTGAAAAGACTATCTTTTCTTCATTGTGTGGCCTTTGTTCTTTTGTTAAAGATCAGTTGACTGTATTCAAGTGGGTCCATTTTGGGGCTTTCTATCCTGTTCCATTGACCTATTGGTTTATTCTTCACCCATACTACACTTGCTCGATTATTGTACCTTTATAGTAATTTTGAAGTTGAGTAATGTTCGTTCCACAGCTTATTGTTTTCCTTAATATTGTGTTGGCTATTCTCGGTCATTTTTTTCCATATATAATATGAAATTAGTTTGTAAATATGTGAAAAATAACTTACTGGAATTTTGATTTTCTTTTCATTGAATCTATAGATCAAGTTGCAAAGAATATCTTGACATTATTGAGTCTTTGTATCCACAGACACACAATATGCCTTTATTTAGTTTTTTGATTCTTTAATCACAGTTTTGTAGTTTTTGTCATATAATTCTTATACGAATTTTCTTAATTATATCCAAGTATTTTATTTTTTGCATGCTATTGTAAATTACATTGTGTTTTTAATTTAAATTTTACTTGTTTATTTCTAGAATAGAGGAAACTAAATGACTTTTGTATATTAGCATTGAATCCTGTAAACTCGCTTTAATTGCTTATTAGTTCCGGGATATTTTTTGTCAATTTTTTCAGATGTTCTACATAGACAATCATGTCATCTGTGAACAGAGACAGCTTTATTTTTTCATTCTCAAACTGTTTACCTTTTAGTTCCTTTTTTATCTTATTGCATTGCATTCAGTAGTACTTCCCTTAAGATGCTGAAAAGCCGTGGTGAGAGGGGACATTCTTAACTTGTTCCTCATCTTTGTGGGAAAGCCATGAGTTTCTCACCATTAAGTATGTTATGTGTAGCTTTTTGTATATATTCTTTTTCAACTTGAGGGAGTTCCCCTTCTATTTGGAATTTGCGGAGAGTTTTTCTTAATCATTAATTTTTTCTTAATCATTAATGAATGCTGGGTTCTGCTATGTTCTTTTTCTGCATCTATTGATATAATCATACAATTTTTCACCTTTAGCCTGTTGATGTGTTGCGTCACATCAATTGATTTTCAAATGTTGAACCAGCCTTGCATACATGGGATAAATTCCATTTGGATGTGGTGGATTATTCTTTTATACTTTGTTATATTTGAATTGCTAATATTTTGTTGAGGATTTTTGCATCTTTGTTCATGAGAGATATTGGTCTGTAGTTTTCTTTTCTTGCAATGTTTTTTATTTTGGTGTTAGGGTAATGCTGGCTTTATAGAATGAGTTAGGAGGAATTCCCTCTACTTCTTTCTATCTTCTGAAAGATTTTGTAGAAAACTGATATAATTTATCTTCAAAATGTTTGGTAGAATTCACCAATAAACCAATTGGATACTGATGTCTTCTGTCTTGGAAGGTCATTGGTTCAATTTCTTTAATAGATACAGCTATATTCGGGTTGCCTATTTCTTTTTGTGTGAATATTGACAGATTGTGTCTTTCAGTGAATTCTCATTTCATCTAGGTTATCAAACTTCTACATATAGAGTTTTTCATAGTACTTCATTATCATAATTTTTTAAGTCCAGGGTATTTGTAGTGATATTCCCACCTTCATCTCTGATAATAGTAATTTGTGTTCTTGCTCATTGTTTCTTAGTTAATCTGGTTGGAAACATGTTGACTTCATTGATTTAAAAAAATTGCTATTGGTTTCATTTATTTTTTCTATTAATTTCTTGTTTTCAAATGCATTGATTTTTGCTATACTTTTTATTATTTATTTCCTTCTGCTTACTTTCAATTAATTTGCTTTTTCTTTCTAGTTTTCTAAAGGAGAAGCTTTGGTGATTGATTTTATTACCTTCTTTTTCTGTAATATCTACATTCAACACTGTACATTTCCCTCTAAGGAAGACTTTCACTGCACCCCACAAATTTTGATACGTCATGTTTTTATTTTCACTTAGGTCAAACTATTTTCAAACTTATCTTGGGATTTCTTCTTTAACCTACATGTTATTTAGAAGTGTGTCATTTAATCTGTGAGCATTTTTAAACTTTTCAGCTTTTCTTTTATTGACTGATAATTTAATTCTACTGTGGTCTGAGAGCAGGCATTGTATGATTTCTATTCTTTTAAATTGGCTAAGGTACGTTTTATGACTCGGAATGTGGTCTGTCTTGGTGAATGTTCTATCAGAGATTAAAAAGAATGTGTATTTTGCTGTTGTTGGATAAAGTAGTTTACAGATATCTATTACATTCAGTTGATTAATGGTGTGGTGAGTTCAACTGCGTCCTTACTGATTTTTGTGTCTGCTGGGTCTATCCATCTTTGACAGAACTATGCTGATGTCTCCAACTATAATAGTGAATTCATGTATTTCTTCTTGCAGTTCTATCAGTTTTTGGCTCACATATTTTGACGCTCTATTGTTAGGTGCATGAGGTTAGGATTCTCATGTCTTCTTAGAGAACTGACCCTTTTATCATTTTGTCATACACTTCTTTATCCCTGATAACTTTCCTTACTTTGTAGTCTACTCTGTCCAAATTAATATGTGACTTCCACTTTTTTTTAATTGGTATAGTCTACATAAGAATTTGATGAAGATTTGTAAATAAGTTCTTCCTTGATTTTGATTGTTAATGGAGTTTCTCAGAATAGAAAAATAGCTGGATTATTATTTTTTTACCCAAACTTCCCTTGCAGTGACTTTTCTTTAATTTCTAATACTTAGAAATTAAACTTTGAAGCTATCCAAAGCCCAGTAATTCCTACAATATCTGGCTGTTCTTTGTTTGTGGGTTTGTTTTTCTCAAACTGTGAAGTGCCTTTTAAGAATTTCTACTAGTGCTAAACAATTTGTCCTTCGTCTTCATTCCTCACTTTGGCTAGACTCAGCTCCTATTGCTTGTAACCGCACACACTACAAGTAGTTTGGGGAGTGAAGGCATGGGTAGGACGTTCTTTAAAAAAAAAAAAAAGGTCCTTTCCAGGAGTAATTTTACAGACTAGACTTAAGTCACATATTCGTGAAGATATTTTTCAAAGTTACAACACTAGATGATGACAGAGATGAGCTTCAAACCCAATTTCTCTTCTTTACTTTTCTACTGGACTGTCTTATATGCACCTTGTCACACTTCTTAATGTTAGGTCCCCAGGTGGCAGTGTCAAGCTAATTTGTTCATTTCATGTATTTCATAGGCTCAAAAATCAGACAAAGCTATTTTTAATTTATGTTTTCTACTGTTAGGAAGTTCATGTTTCCAACAACACAAGAAAAAAGTTCTGTCTGTGACCTTTTTTCTTCACGGTATTCCACGTCCAATTCAGTATACATGTCTTCAGGAAAGAGATAAGCTTTCTTACACATTCATGTTTGTATGCAATGTTTGTTATTATTATTTGCTAGATTGTGTTCTAAGACTTGGACACATCTATGAACAAATCTTGAGAATAGATTGTAGCAGTAAATGTTTACCCCTCTTCCATAAGACAAGAAAATGTTTGACTTAATTTTCAATCTGAAATTTCTCCTGGAATGGTTACTGGATGTCTTATTGAATCAGGCAAATTAGTACAAATGAGTTGTCATTGGTAAACATGCCTCCTTTCCAGATGTCCAGAGACGGCATCAGTATTAGAATTAGAAGACAAAGTGCATTTCTTACGCCTCTCTTTGGCATGAGGAGAGAGAGCATTCTCAGTACTCCAGGCTTCTGGTATACCTCCTGTGTGGAGGTGAACAGGGTTACCTGATAATGGAGGCCAGCCTCTAATACACATTTCTGGACTGATTGAGTTAATCTAATAAGAGTCCTGAGCTGGGTAAATTGAGTATTACTCTCTTTCTTCTCTGTCAAGAGAGGTCACAACTTCAGTGACTATGAACTGTGTCTGCTCTAGAAATTCAAACTTTTTCATCAGTGACCTTTTTTTTTTTTTTTTTTTTTTTGAGACGGAGTCTTGCTCTGTCGCCCAGGCGGGACTGCGGACTGCAGTGGCGCAATCTCGGCTCACTGCAAGCTCCGCTTCCCGGGTTCACGCCATTCTCCCGCCTCAGCCTCCCGAGTAGCTGGGACTACAGGCGCCCGCCACCGCGCCCGGCTAATTTTTTTTGTATTTTTAGTAGAGACGGGGTTTCACCTTGTTAGCCAGGATGGTCTCGATCTCCTGACCTCATGATCCACCCGCCTCGGCCTCCCAAAGTGCTGGGATTACAGGCGTGAGCCATCGCGCCCGGCCCATAAGTGACCTTTTAAAGAGCCATAAAGAAGATAAGCTGTGAAAAATTTGGAAACTTATTTTTTTCTTTCAAATACACTGCATCTCCAACTAGCTTTTCAATAATACAGGTGTTATTTTCTCTATCTGATGATTCCTCTGGGTTATTTCTAGAGTTCAGAACTCCAGTCGGAAAACTTGATATTTTTTTCTGTTATAAGAATGTGCGTTTTCAGTTGCAGTGAAGTTGTTGGACAAAGGTAAAAGTGTGGCATACATAGTGTCGGGTTTTAGAAACAGGCAAAATTTCTGTATTTTATTGCATAAGGAGGTAGCCTGAACTGTACCCTTTAGGGTACTTTGGCAATATTTGTGTTTCTATTTTGAGAAGAATCAGTATAAAAGGCTGTTCTAACTCACAACATTCTGCTGATCTTTTCAGAAGTAAAAATCAGAGTGAAAAATAGACTGGTATCGTGTGTTACATAAAAAGGGTAAAAAGAAAGCAGGGCATCAGCAATATTATCTCATAAACAGAGTGCATTGAAAGCCAATTAGTTGGGCCATTATATTATTTTTAATATATATTATCTATATTAAAGGTGAAATTGTCAATGAAGCTTTAACATAGCTGATAAAAATGAGATGGATAATAATGGAAGAAACAAAATAAAGTGATGACCTCTGTTATTTAAGTCATACAAATCAAAAATAATCAATAGCAATTTGCTGTTTAGTTGTTTCCTCAGTGATCATTAGTTTCTAGAGATTACAAGTGCAAAACACACTTTCAGATGTAAGAGTAGCATTCAAAATGCAGGGCTAGAGTCTGCATTCAAAATGGTCTAAAACTGATATGTCCTTCTGCCACACTAACATGATTCTTTTTTAAGATCATATTCAAATAGGTTTCTTCACATTGACCCAGGTAATAAGACTGACATTGAAAAGCCTTTTGATGACAACAATTAATTTGATACTTTCAGTATATTTTAGTATTATAAAGGGATTTTTTTGTTTTTCCTCTTAATATTAACATTACTGTTTATTATTATAAATATAATTAACATTTTAAAATTCTTTATAAGAAGTTTTAAAATACAGGAATATATAAAATGATCATCCTAATTTTACTGAACTTTAGTTACTAAAGTAATATATATGTGATCTCAGTTTATACTCAGAAAGAAGACTTTCAATGTTAGTATAATTATCCTGAGATTACTAGCAAAATTGTGAGCCTGAGAGAAGTTAAATAACCTTCATAATTTCACACATATTGAAAGAGTCACAGATATAATTAAAACAATGATATTCTCATCATCCAAACAAAATTGCTATTTACATCTTAGTGTGTTTCCTGTGTGTATGCGTGTGTGTGTTCTACATTAGGATAAAACATAAATTTATAAGTTACTTTTTTCTTTTTATATTATGAGATTTGCTTCTATAGGTAAATATCCTTAGTAAACATTATTTTAAAAAGCAGATTGAGGCTGGGCGCAGTGGCTCATGCGTGTAATCCCAGCACTTTGGGAGGCTGAGGCAGGTGAATCACGAGGTCAAGAGATAGAGACCATCCTGGCCAACATGGTGAAACCCCATCTCTACTAAAAACACAAAAATTAGCTGGGCGCAATGGCGCGCACCTGTAATCTCAGCTACTCAGGAGGCTGAGGCAGGAGAATCGCTTGAACCTGGAAGGCAGAGGTTGCAGTGAGCTGAGATGGCACCACTGCACTCCAGCCTGGCAACAGAGGGAGACTCCGTCTCAAAAAAAAAAAAAAAAAAAAAAAAGCAGATTGAAATTCTATTACTTGTCTGAGCCACCATTTTTTACCTATATCGCCCCTATTTTTTTCCCACATGGTTGTCTCATAAACAAGACTGTGGTGAGCATCCTTGCACTTTAACTGTTGTTCAGTTCTCTGAATTGAAGTTAATGACTGGACAAAGTGGTAAAAACATTTTCCATGTTTATTGCAAAGTGGGCAATGTGGAAGACACTTACTGGCACTCCTGTACTCTATACAAAATACCTAAAATGATGAGTGTAACTGAAAGCTTGGACACTAACTTGACTAGATACCAAGAAACCAGGGAGATCAGTGGGCACTAATGTGAGGGGTTGTCCAGAGAGGCACTGTCAGTTCCTGGTGGTCAATGTTTTAGGTTTCATGAACTGTGTACACAGAAAGAGAGACAAAGCTCAGGCCTCTTTTAAGGCAGGAAGTTTGGACAGACATCCCTGTTTAAAGATAAAGCCTTATCTTTAAATGGTGTGAAATCCTCATGCCCCACCTTGACAGAAAGCCTGTAGAAAATGTTCATTACTCTGTTCTATGTCAGGGAGGAGGGTGGCTTTCTTGAGAATTCCTATTATAAACTCCTTCTCATAAGGATTTTGAAGGCAGAATTCATATTGCTTGTACAGCTCAACTATCCAAGATTAATTTAAAGTTGATTTAGGATTGTCAATGTCCCCAAAGAACATGGTACAGTCCAAGCTTACAATCTTTCTGTAGGAAACACCTAATAGCAAGGGTCAAAGGAGTGGAATACTTAAAGATAAATTTCCATGGAACCTGAGTCTGAAATTAACTAATACTACATCAAAGAAAACAAGTCGCTATAGAGAGTAATTAGTAATGAACAATTATATCTCTACCACTGTGATGTGTTGGAAGGATCAAATACAGAATATAAAAATAAGAATGTTTAATGTGTTTTAAAAAAGTAATAAAAAATGACAAAATATAAAATGCTGCACAAAATGGCCAGACAGATAAGAAAAAGAACTACTTTTAGAACTATTGATTCTAAAAGGAAAACTTTGAGAAATAAAAATTATAGTAATTAAAATTAAGAATTCAGTGTAAAAGTTAACTGCTTTGAAAAAAGCTGAAGAGAGAATGAATACATTATAAATAGATATAATAAAATGTCTTTCAAATTGATTATAAGTAGACAAAGAGAATAGAAAATTTACAGAGTCTCCAAGTCATCTGGGATGTAAAATTTTAAAAACTTATTTCTGGAATACTAGAATGAGATAATACAGAGACAGGGTAATAAGACACTAGTTACTGAGTGCAGAGATGATTCTTGACCAGAGTCCAATACACTGAAGTACCTCCTCCAGAAATTTAATTTGGAAATCAGAGATGTCAGCATTGATCTCTCTTCTGTCCTAAAGCATGGAAATTTAAATTTGTAAAGTGTTGATAAGCATCTCCTACATTGTAAAGTAAATTAACTATTGCCTTACAAATGTTACTAAGCTAAACTTTAATTTACTCAGATATAAAATTAGGGCAACAATCAGCCACATAATGCTTGCAAGCACATTAATAAGGGTACCTATGTTACTTGGTATATTAAATGATACATTATAAGTGATCACTACCTATAAGCTATTATCGAGGCTGTTGCTTAATCTATATATTTTTCTTATTCTTTTCCTATTAAAGAGGATAACATAGGAAATACCAAAATGCAGAGACAGAGGGGTATTCTTGAGGCCCTTAGAGCAATATAGATCTTTGGAACTGAGGAGAATGAATTCTCTGTACTATCATTTTGTTTTGTTTTGTTTTAATGAGCTCAAAAGAGCTCTTGTTACCTGGCATAAATATGTCTCAAGTAATACAATTATAGAATATCGTTAAAGTCAACTTAAGTGTCCATTAACAGATGATGAATAAGAAAAATGTGATATATACACATACTTACATTTGTGTATATAAACATATGTATGTATACACACACAAAATTGAATACTATTCAGACTTAAAAAAGGAATCCTGTCATTTGTGACAACATGGATAAAACTGGTGAACATTATGTTAAATGAAATAACACAGGCACAGAAAGTAAAACATCTTATGATTTCACTTATATGTGGAAACCAAAAAAATCAAATTCATAGAAGCAGAGAATAGAGAGTTGGTTATTAGGGGCAGGAAGTCGGGGGGGAGGACTCCAGAAATGTTGGTCAAAGGTAAAAAAATTTCGTTCAGACAAGAGGAATGAGTTCAAGAGATGTGTTGTACAACGTAATGACTATAGTAAGTAACAATGCATTGTATATTTAAAAAATGCTAAAAGAACAGAATTTTTTCTCATCACAAAAAATACGGTATGCGAGGTAACACATGTTAATTAGCATAATTTAGTCATTCCGCAAAGTACATATATTTCAAAACATTATCTTGTATGCCACAAATATATACAACTTCCATTTCTCGATTTAAATAATTTTTAAAACATGACTATAATTTAAACCTCCCTTAGACACATCCTGTATTAGGAAGGGAATTTGCAACATCTAAATAAAATAGTGGTTGCTCCAAAAGAGAAACATTATATCTGGGAGTTGCTTTATAATTGGTTAGTGGAAGCACTAACCCACACTCACTGTTCTTTCTTTCTCTGCTCCAATATAACTTTCCAAAAAGAGCTTTAAATTTGAAGTAGAGCTCAGCCACTTTCTAAATAGGTAATGATTGAACTTTTTTTTTTTCTTTTTGCAGGATCTTACTGTTACCCAGGATGAAGTACTGTGGCATGATCACAGCTCCCTGAAGCCTCAACCTCTCCAAGCTCAGGTGATTTCTTCCACCTCAGCCTCCAAAGTAGCTGGGACTACAGGCATGCGCCACTACACCCAGCTAATTTTTTTGTGTGTTTTGGAGAGATAGGGTTTCATCATGTTGCCCAGGCTGGTCTGAAACTCCTGGACTCAAGCAATCTACCCACCTGGGCCTCCCAAAGTGCTAGGATTACAGGCATGAGCCACTACGCCCAGCAAGGTAATGATTAAACTAAAAGTAATTGAAATATTGGCATCTTGATTTATATAATATGTATTTATCAGTTTTTCTATTATAAGAGGACAAATAAGACAGAAAGTTGGTAGTCAAGTCAGTCAAAACAAGACAGTGTCTAATTTGAGATTATAAACATTATAATGCATGAGAAAAACCAAACGCACTTCACATTAAAGGTATTTTTTATGCATTCACACTGGCGAGCATCGAAGTTTACCTTTATTGACACATAAAAAGTTATTGTAGATTGTTATGACACATTATTTCTTGCTGCCTTTTTTATCTTAATGACTTTCGCAAAACAATGTGATATAAATTGCTACTAGCATAAAACACATTCCAGCAATAGATAAAAACAGTTTCTTGGCTGCAAGAAGCATATATTTCAACACCTGCTTCAGGCACAATACATTGAAATTTATGCCCTCTACTGTTATTTGAGTAATGCTCTTTCTGTTGTTTCTCACTGGGGAACTACAATACTAATATCTTAATTTTTCAGACATCAATATTAGTTTAATGAGTGAGACATAATTGCAAAACTTGCTAATAAGGTACAAACCAAAAAGTCTTTAAAAAAATTGCAAAATCAGCAACTTGAAAGAGTTTTCGAACTTTAAAATTGATAAATCATACTCTGTTTAAAATTAAAGTCAATAAAAAGAGTATTTTTTCCGTATCAGTTGATTTTCTATAGGCTTAACGCCTATACTGCACTATAAATTCACTCAATAAAGGTCTTTTCTAAAAAAAATTTTTATAAAATAAAATAACCTGTACACACTATGTTTTATTAATTAAAAATATTAAGAGATAATTTTAAATGCCATCTTACACTAATTTCTGGAACTATAAAGAGAAATATTTCACCATCATAGACCTCAAAGGCAGTCTTTACAGGATTCAGACAATACGTCCAACATAGGAAGTGTTATGGGTAAGGTGAGAGGGCTCTGGGGGGTATTAGTTATGGGGTGTGGATGGGTCAGAGAAAATTTCCCAGGGTAGGTAATATCTACATTGCTTGAGTAACAGTTATTCCTACGGTGTTACAGAGAGCCATGACTACAAAAGCTCAGGGCTTAGAGAGAACCTGAGAGATTCTGCCAACTTCAGATACTTTTGCCTGGGTTGAATGTGGATGTGAAGGAGAGAAAATTGGTGAGGAACACCTCAGGGAACACATCATGTACCATATTAAAGAGATTGGATTTATCCTAAAAGCTACAGGGAGCTAACAAAGAAAGGCTGTAATGGAGGACACTGATGTGTTCTGATTTGTGGCTCGCGCTGGTAACAATATCAAGAGTGGATGCAGGGCATGGGGATGTGACAGTTGTTGTATCAATTATTGCAGTAAATGACAAGGGCCAGAATTTAAACAAATATGAAATGTCAGTAGGGATAGAATTTTTCTATCAAAAATAATTAGGCTTTCCAACTATGCTTAATAAATTTAATATGTTGAATAGCTTGCAGAGAATAAAATGAGTGTGTAGTGGATATAATGTGGAAGATACAGATCAATAGTACACATATTTATAAAGATATATTCTCCTCAGTCCAAGAATGAATATCATTTTGGCCAAAATCCATTACCAAGCAGCTGTGTTACCCACATTTAATTCTGTGGGCTTTGCCTGTTTTAATTTGAACAGCAGAACCTGTGAGGTAGGGGCTCTTATTCCTCTTATAAGAAACTGAGTTATATAGAGGTGTGTGAGTTTCCAAGGCTTCATAGCAGATTCTGGAATGAAAACATGTCTGTCTTCAGAGACAATGGTTGTAATAATTATGCAATATGCCCCATCTTCTAATTCAAATATTTGGAATGCTCTGCCTACTACTACAGTTAATTCCACACCAAAGCTGAAATTACTTATAGTAGGTAAGACTTCCATGAGCTAAGTGATTGAATCCTGGCTTATGTAAAGCCATCAGGTAATAGACACAGATTTAGCTGCAGGTGCCATGCTGCACATTTGCAGCTTAATGACCAAAGAGGGCTGATGAGTAGTCATGGTGGCAATCATTGCTACAAGGAAAGGAGATGGAAATGAGGACAGACTGCTGTGATGGGAGACAGAGGTTGGAAGCACTAATATCATCAATATTAATGCCAGTTGCAATGTGAGCTCAGTGCCAGGGAGGCTGGTGAAGTGGACACCCATGAGAGGCTAATAGCTACATCTAATCATCAAAGGGCAGATGTTAAATGTGATTCAGAGGAAAGTGAGAGGAAGTGCTAACAATGGCACAGATGAAGAGATAGGCTGATACACGTGGTGAAAATTGTCTAACACAAGCATTATCTTGGAGGAAAGAAGAGCAGAAGGGAGGGGAAGTTATTCCTCAAAATCCATAATTTTTTTTAATTAGTCCAAGCCAGGCGCAAGAAAAACAACATAACAAATATTTAAACACATTTACAAACCCCAATAATTAAACAAAAAGTCAAAGCAAGTGATTTTTTTCAAAGGAAATACTGTGGTGTTATCATGGAAATATGTCTTTTAAAACATCTTTATCGAGTGAAAAAAAGAATATAAATAAAAATGGCAAAAAAATCTCAATGCTGCCATTCTTTTTGTGTGTGTATCCACATATCTAGAGATCATCTTATATAGAGTGCCTCTTCTCATCTCCTTTGAGCTTTTGTGTTTTGTTGCTAAGGGATGTTGATGAGGCTAGCAGGAATTTATCATCAGTGTGTTGAAGTGGAAGATAGTAGATGTTGTTAATCTGTAGATTGTAGAGCTCTTCCTACAGTGCTTCAATCAGTTTACCTGTTAACACAAAAGATTCCTATTTCAAAAAATGCAAAACTGTACGTAATAGTGTGCCTGAGAGCATTCAAATGTATTTAACTTTGACCTTCCTCATCACTTCCAATTGAGTAAACAATCTTCCAATGCTGCTGACAGCACCACTCAGTAATATTACTGTAACTAGTACAAGTCATATTCCCAGGCCAAAAGTAAAAATTTCTTAGGGTGTCTGATCTGTAGTTGCAGCAGCTAGTGAATTTCTACCAGAGATAAATATTTTTAAAAGCAAAATTGAAACAACCATCTCAACTATTCACAATCCGACAGCCAAAAGCTAAATTATCCTCCAAATTGGAGAGGAACTCTACCAAGACTGAAAATAAAAAGTTATGAAGACCTGGCTTATAGTAATGTTTAGCATTAGAGCAATTGTACTTTTTTATACAACAAGATACACATCACATTTACTTCATATAAATAAGAATAGATGAGATATGTGAAGAAGCGAAGTAAATTATGGGAAAAAATATAAGATGATAGACTATAAGGGTAAAACAGGTGCATTAATATTAAAAGTAGTGAAGACATAGATGTGAGACTTTCATAAACAATATGTTATATATAAAACAAAACAGAAATACTGGAATGGTGGAAAGAAGAACAAGACTTCAGCAGCTTTAGATCCTAGTATTGCCCTCAACTTGCATTATCCACTCCTATTCTTTATAAATCTCAAAAGAGCTTCTAATTTAGTTAAGTTGATTGCCTTCCATAAAGGTTATCTATATCCTCACCTAGAAGAGTGAAAGGAATGATGCAAGAAGTTAACAACTATTTGTTGAGTTAAAGAATTAATGTAGCCTAAAACAGGTCTTTTGATTCCTATACTTACAACTTTGTTTCTATATTTCACCTTTTAAGTCGTCTTCTTTGAATGTTACTCAAATGATTCCAGATCCCTCTAAAAGTCCTTACCTATGGTAAGACATTTTTGGGCAGTTTTAGCCCCAAATAATTTACCTTGTAAAATTATATTTATTTTTGTTTCTATTAATGTAACAAATTATATACTGTATGAGAACATTTTAATGGTTATTTTGTGGTACATATGTATAGAGTCTTCAATGTTTGTATATAAGTGCTATGATCTGAAAGTTTGTGTCCCCCCAGAATTTACGTATTGAAACCTAATATGATGGTATTAAAAGATGGAACCTTTGGGAGGCGATTAGGTCATGTGTGTAGGACGATTATGAATGGGATTAACGCCCTTATAAAAGAGACTCCAGAGAACTAGCTTGAACTTTTCATGTGAGGAAACAGCAAGAAGGTACCATCTTTAAACCAAAACAGGAAAGGGGCCTTCACCAGAAACAAAACTTGCTGGTGCCTTTATCTTGGACTTTCCAGCCTCCAAAACTGTGACAAGTAAATTTCTGTTTATGAGTTACCAAGTCTATGATATTTTGTTACAGCAGTTTAAACAAACTAGGACAATTTATGTATATCTATTCAATGTCATGGTAAGTTTTTTGAAAGTCAAGAGCTCATCACTATATATTTGGTATATTTACTTAGTGCCCAGCATATTTTTGTGTCATGATATGTGTACAGAAACATTGAAAGAATAATGCAATAACCATTGAAACAAGGATGGAATTACAAAAAAAAAAAAAGAGAAAGAGCTCTGTGAAGACAAGTTCCAGACTCTTTTGCATATATTACTTAAGGAAATTAAAGAAAGTGATTATTAAATAATTTTTCTTCAAATTAAGTTAGAAGAGAAAATACTGATAATACTACAACTACAGATTTGCTCAGCAAAGCATTTACAAAGATACTTTCCTATAGTAAGAGAGAACTCTTTCTAAAATTGGTGCTGTAAGCAGTTAAGTAAATTAAACAATAACCAAAACATTCAAGTACTATTTTAACTTGATGCATCAAAAATTACATTAGCTTGTAAACAAATAATAAAAATATTTTTGTAAATTTTGCCTTTGTTTTTATTTGATATATCCATTTCAACAGACAAAATGCATACATTAGGTTTAACCCAATAAAATAAACTTGAAAGAATGGTTGGTAATAAACAAAGGAGGACAAAGAAAATGAGAGATGACATCATAAGAGAGTAACTGTGAACAATATCTTGAAAGTTGAAAAACACTGTCTTCAGTAGAACAAGGACAGCTGAAACATAAATGCTTACTAAAAGGGATAGTTATAAGAAACAAGCTGAATCACCATGTATGACATAAGAGATGCTCAGGATTGGACAACCTGTTGCTGTAGAAGAATGAAATAAACTTAAGAATATACCTTGATTGAAACTCTGTGGAGCAGTTTGACTTCTGGCACGCCCACTGATCTAGTGGCAGCTTAAGCCATTCTATTCTCCAATCATCATAGAAAATCTGAGTTTTTTTCCTTATAGAAATTTGTTCTGAGTTGAGAATACTAGGCTGGTAAGAAGAGGCATAGGGATGACATGGTATTTCAGCAAGCTGAAGAGTATAAGCCACATCGTTTATGAACCAATTGACATTAAGTTCCCAATATTCACTGTTAGACCAGCAAAAGCCTGGCTTACTTCCTCTTCCCATTGCAGGAAGCTTATCATGCTCCAAGTACATCCCACCACAATCTGAGCTTGCAAGAAACTTTTAAATTCTTCATGATGAGATATGAGTGGAGAGCAATGATTTTTATACATTTGGTGAGAAAACTAACATCAAACAGAGTGACAAAAACAATTGAATTAATAACAAGAATAATTAATGGCAGGTCAATGAGCTCATTCCAATTCAGTGTTTTACTTCTGGTGCTTACTATAAGTAATCCCAAGAAAGGGAAGCAACGAGACAGCATTTAAGTTCTGATACTAAGTGGTAAAGATCTAACACCACTAAAGCTCACTTGCAAAAATTAGAAGAGGTGGCTGTCTCCTCAAATACATAGGCATCATTGTAAAGATGCAAGAATCTTGAAAACTCAGAGAAATTTAACATAACCAAAAAAAAAAAAAAAAGAAAGAAAGAAAGAAAAAAAAAAAAAAACAATGCTCCAGCAATGAATCCAGAATTCAGGATCTCTGAAATGTCTGACAGATAATTCAGAAGAAGTTCAGAGAATCACAAGAAAATACGTATAAAAAACTAAATAAAATTTGGAAAACAATACAGAAACAAAAGATAATTGAGAAAGAAATAGAAACAATTAAAAAAGGAAATCCTAGAAATGAGTAATTTAATAACTGGACACAAACTCATTAGAAATTTTCAACATCAAACTTGATCAAACAGCAAAAGAATAAGCAAGCTTAATGACAGAACATATGAAATTACCCAATCAGAGGAGAAAAAAAAGAAAAGAATAAAAAAGAGTGAAGAAGGCCTATGAGGATTATAGGACACATCAATAAATTAATATCCACCTACTATGAATTCCTGAAGGAGGTGAGAGAGAAAAAGGCCTTGAAAGCAATTTTAAGATAAATAGTGACTGAAAATTTTCCAAATCTGGAGAAAGATGACAGCATTCAAACACAGGAGCCTCAGAGGACACCCATGAAATTCAACCCAAAGAGGAATTTCCCAAACACGTCATAATCAAATTAGTTTAAAAAAATAAGAATTCTCAAGGCATCTAGAGGAAAGAAACATATCACATTCATCGCAGCCCAAATAGGGCTTTCAACAAATTACTCAGTAGAAACCTTGTGTGTCAGAAGAAAGTGGGATGCTATATGCAAAGTGCTAAAGAAAGAAAAAAAAAGTGCCAATCAAGGATATTGTACACAGCAAAGCTAATGCTCAAATAAAAAAGAGAAATAAAGACTTTCCTTTCTCAGATAAACAAAAGCTGAGGGAATTTATCAACAGTAGGCCTGTATTACAAAAAAGTATTAAAAGGAGTTATTTAATCTGAGAGAAATAATAATGGACACTAACATGTAACAAAGAAACATCTAAAGGTATTAAACTCACTGGTGAAAAAATAAAACAAATTCAGAATAGTTTAATACCTTAATTGGTGTAAATAAATCACTTGCATTTAAGTATAAAGAATAAAAGATAAAACTATTCAAAAGAATAGTAACTACAACAATTGGTTAAGAGATAAGTCATATAAAAAGGTATAAAATGAAACATCAAAAAGAAAAAAATGTGGTGCTAACCTGAAGAATTTCTTTTCGTTGCTTTTATTTGTGATTAAAGTTAAGTCATTATCAGTTTAAAAACTAATTATAAGATTTTTTTTTGTAATTCTCATGGTAACCACAAAGCAAAAACCTGTAATAGATATACTAAAAATAAATAGCATAGAATGCAAACATGCTAATAGACAAAATCACTTAACCACAAGAGAGGTAAAAAGGAAGAAATGATTTGCAAAATAACCAGAAAACAAATAACAAAATATAAACAGTAAACCTTTATCTAGCAATAATAACCTTGAATATAAATGAATTCAACTCTACAATTAAAAGTGATAGAGTGGCTAAATGGATTTTAGAAAGACTCAAGTATATACTGTGTACAAGAGACTCACTTCATTTATAAAGATACTCACACACCGAAAATAAGAGGTGGAAAAATATATGCCAGGAAAATCAAAGACAAAGAAAAGTAAGAGTAGCTATACTTAGACAAGATAGACTTTAAGTCAAGAATAGTTAAAAACAAAAAGGCACAGAAGACCATTATGCAATGATAAAGAGGTCGATAGAGAAAGAAGATATAACAATTGTAAATATATATGCATCCAAACACAAGAATATGCAAATACATAAAACAAATATTAACAGACCTAAAAGGAGAAATTGGCTGTAATATAATAATGGTAGAAAAGTTCAACACCCCACTTTAAGCAATGAACAGATTATTCAGCAGAATTTTTATTTAAAATTGAATTTAAACTTCTCTCTAGACCAAATGAACCTAACAGATATTTATATAACATTCCATCCAACAGCTGCCCAATACACAATTTTCACAACAGCTTATAAAACATTCTCCAAAATAGAACATATGTTAGGTTACAAAACAAGTCTGAACAAATTTTTAAAAATGGAAATCATATCAAGTATATTCTCTGACCACAATGGAATAAAGTTTGAAATCACAACAGAAGGAACATTGGAAACCATACAAATTTATGGAAATTAAACAGTATGTTCCTGAACAATGAGTAAGTCAAAGAAAAAATTAAAAACAAAATTTAAAAATTCCCTGAGACAAATGAAAATGGAAACACTCTTACCAAAACCAATGGGATACAGCAAAAGCAGTTCTAAATGAGAAGTTGGTAACTATAAGCACCTACATAAAAAAGTAGAAAGACTTCAAATAAAAAACCTAATGATGTACCTCACAAAACTAGAAAGCAAAAACAAGCCAAACCAAAATTAGTAGAAGGAAAGAAATAATAAAAATCAGAGCAGAAATAAATGAAATTGAGACCAAAAATGCAAAAGATCAACAAAACAAAAAAGTTGTTTTTTTAAAAAAACAAAATTGGCAAACAATTTACCAGATTCAGAAAAAGAGAAAAGACCCAAATAAATAAAATCAGAGACCAAAAGGAGATTTAAAAGTGATGCCACAGAATTACAAAAGATTATCACAAATATAAAAAAAAAATGCCTACAAATCATAAAACCTAGAAGAAATGGATACATTTCTGGACTCACACGACCTACCAAAATTGTACCAAGAAGAAACAGAAAACCTTAACAGACCAATAATGAGTAATGAGATTGAAGCACTAATAAAAAGTTTCCCATTAAAGAAAAGCACAAGACCTGATGGCTTTACTGCTTAATTCTATCAAACATTAAAAAAATACTAATACCATTTCTTCTCACACTTGTCCAAAAAACTGAAGAGGAGAGAATACTTCCTAATTAATTACACAAGGTCAGGGTTATCATAATACCCAAACCAGGCAGGAACTCAGCAACGACAAAAGCTACAGGGTAGTATTTACGATGAGCATAGATGAAAAATTATACACAAAATACCAGCACACCGAATTCAACAACACATTAAAAATCATTCATTATGATCAAGTAGGATTCATCCCAGGGATGCAAGGATGGTTCAACATATACAAATCAATAAACAAAACACATCACATTAACATATCAGTGCAATGCAAATCGAAACCGCAATGAGATAGCATCTTGCCCCAATTAAAATGGATGTTATAAAAAAGTCCAAAAGTAGCAAATGCTGGTGAGGGTGCAGAGAAAGGGAAACACTAGTATTTTATGACTGACAATGTATAATAAATTAGTATAGTTACTGTGAAAAACAATTTCGAGCTTCCTCAAAAAACTAAAAATGGAACTATCAGACAGGTGTAGTGTTGCACAACTGTAGTTCCTGCTGCTCAGAAGACTAAGGCAGGAGGAAGGCTTGAGCCCAGGAGTTTGAGGATGCAGTGAGTTATGATCACATGACAGCACACCAGCCTGGATGACAGAGTGAGTCCCTGTTTCTACAAAAGACATTAAAAATAAATAAATGAAAGTAGAACTACAATATAATCCAGAATTCCACCACTAGGTATATAACCAAAAGAAAAGCAATTAGTATATGTTGAATACGTGTGCTTGTTTATTGCAGCATCATTCACAGTAGCCAAGATACGGAATCAAACTGTTTATCAATTGATAAACAGATTTTGTAATATACATAATGGAATATTATTCAGCCATAAAAAATGAAATTTTGTCATTTGCAGCAACATGGATGAAATTAGAGGACACTATGTTTAGTGAAATAAACCATGCACATTAATAACAAATATCACACATTCTCACTCAGATGTGAAAGCTCAGATGTTGCTCTCATGGTGGTAGAGAGTAAGATGATGGTTACCAGAGGCTGTGAAGTACTGAGGAAGGGGGGATAAAATGAAGCTGGGTAATCAACACAAAAATACAGTTAGATAGAAAAAGTAAGTTCTAGTCTTTGCTAGTGCAGTTGAGTGACCGTAGTTAGCAATAATTTATTGTACATTTCAAAATAGCTAAATAATAATATTTGAAATATTCCCAATACAAAGGAGTGGCAAATATTTGAAGCAATATTACTGACAGATACTGATATTTATCCTAATTACTCTTGATTTAATCATTATATGTTGTATACTTGCCTCAAATTACTACATGTACCCCATAAATATGTACAATTATTATTATTAATAAAAAAGAATTACAGCTAGAATAAGTTTAAACACATCAAATATGGTAATTTTTTTTGCTTTTATAATAATACTAAACAACATCAAACAATGATTTTAAAAGTATTCTCTTTGATTAAACTTTGAGGATGTTTGGGAAACAACTCACTATTTTGAAAACTAATAAATAAGGGAATATTAAACATTCCATTATTTCCTATACAAACTATGCCTCAGGGTCAGCAAATAGTTGATGATAATTTTTTTTCTTTATGAAAGTTTTCCAGCTAAATTATGGAAAAGAAAATACATAATGGAAACAGTACAGAAGAGAGGGACATATTTTAAATGACATCATATGGATTTAACTGAAACCTGAAGCATCAGAATTGAAATCTAAAGCATCAGAAATCATAGTAGGAGACAAATCAACTAATTTGCTCATCAAGTAAGTTGATAGGAAAAAAATGAAACATGTTCATTGAGAAATGTGAGACTGTTAAGAAGAACATCCACCTAGATCTTATTTGGATCATCATTTAAACACACACACAATGCACACACACTCACAGACACACACACAGACACACATAAAATCTGGGAAATGGGTCATTCACTGTATTAAAAAAATTGACATCTTTATGAGTTTTGTTAGTTTTGTTTGGGGTCTCCAAGAGCACTGCCAGACTCAATGATTTACAAAAAATATCTCACAAGACTCAGAAGAGTTATTATATTTACCGTTATAATTTATCATAGTGAAATGATACAATGTAAAATCAGCTTATGGGGAAAAGTTAAAAGAAGCCAGGCACACACTTCCAGGAGTTTTATCCTCGTGCAGTCTTAAGAACACACTTAATTCTCCCAGTAATTACATGTGACAGTATGTGCAAAGTCTTATGACTCAAAGAAGCCTTCCTGAGCCTTGGTATCCAGAGTTTTGGTTGGGCATCTGTCATGTATGCATGACCTAAGCTATTCTGACATGAAAACTGATCTAAGCTACTCAACCTCCAAAAACAGGTGTTCACATAAATCATAGTGTTAGTATAAATTATCTGATCAAACTGTTACTACATGGCCCAAAGCCTGAAGCATACAAAAATCCTTGTCTTAAGAAGAATATTCCAAGGGCTTAGCATGCATCTTCTAGAATCCAGCCAAGAACCATTCCTAAAGACAGATCTTTCTTGAGAATGTGTGGGGTTTCAGCAAGCCAAGCGTGTTGAGTTGTCACTTCATTGCACAGTTGTGATAATAACATTTCTATTATATTAAAAATAACTTTTATCTTCTAGAGGTTATATCAAAATATTTAAATATAAAATATGATGCCTGGGGTTTGCTTCTAAATTATATTATGGAAAAAAAGGAAGTTTGTTGGCTTTTAGATAAGATTGTTCATAATTTGAATTACTAAAGCCTTGTAATAAATACTTGGGGATTAATATATTATCCTCTCTACTATAGATTTGTAATTTTCAATAATAATTTAAAAGTATACATAAAATACAATTAACCTTATAGGACTCCTATGGGTGTAGCTGGGCACCTCACTCCTCTCCAAATTGGAGAGAAGACTGGAGGTTTACTTTCTGTTATACTATTGGAACTCAGAACTGAGGAATGGCATGCTAGGATGAAGATGCTCCATTTAAAAGAGGAAAATTAATGAAAGTCTAATATTTAACTTTAAGATCTAACATCTAATTAATGAACAATCTCAAGTTATTGAATAGGTGAACGGGCGGTGCGGGCGGTGGGGAGGTGGATTATTAAACAAATAATTTAAGAAAGCTTTCCAGAACTAAAGGATGTATTGCCTATGGTGTGTCTAAAATTCAAAAAGTATCACCAAGCATATGACTTTTTTAATGGCTGCCTGTGCAAGATGCAGCAGTTTAATTTTCATTTTAGAAGAAATATGTCAACATCTTCCACACAAAGTTCATACAATTTCATCAGGCTGTTGTTGTGCCTCTGAATTTTTGTGGGGGATTCTTTGAGACCATGCTAAATAGCCTGAGCTTTGGTAATTCATTCACTGGATTTAGTATTCATTGATGATGGTTGCCTAAATAAATTATTTATGACAATTGGCTAATAATGTTGTTCTAATTCCTTAATGCCTTCTATATTGATTAGTTAGCATTCTACTGTAAGGCAAATATTTTCTTCCCCTCCTCTATGTTATTATTCTGTTTCTTTATGTAAGTATACACCATGTCAATAGTCTATTACTACTAATATTTGTTTTGATGTTCAAAGGTCACAGATTGTCCAGCATTAGAACTTTCAGGAAACCTCCTTCATTCTTCTGAGACTTCCTAATCCTTATTTCAGCATTTTGTTAGCACATGGTATTCTAGGTTCGTCTTTGAATTTTCCCTGCTCTAGTACTGAAATGATCAATTTTTCTAAGAGTATTTTAACAACCGAGGTCTGGCTTTTTTCCTCTAAGCTCTTACAGTTAGCAAAACTAAGAAATATATGTTTACATACACACATGCACACACCATAACCATCTATCTATCTATCTATCTATCTATCTATCTATCTATCTATCTATCTATCTATCTATCTTCTATTTAAAATCATCAGTGCATTTCAATTTCTCCTAAACCAATCTGAAATTATTGGTTTTCTGTCTTCTCATATTTCTATATCACTTCTCTAACAACCAGAAAGCTGTTCATTATTATCCTCAAACTCTCCTGTAGGTATTTTCTGAAAAGGTGGATTGCTGCTTCAAAGGACCTGGACCCAGAGGCCCTGTCCATGAATGTTTCTTGCTTGGTTCCGAGGCCACCAAACATACTGGCTGAGCCTTCTGTATTCACCCTGGCCTATCAATGCCATCTATGAGAGCAGCCACACTGAGAGAGCAGCAGCATGGAGCCTACTCAAGGGGTAAGTACATAAAAGGGCCCATTGGAATCTGTACTTACGTTGACCAAATGCCACAGTGCAAGTGTTAAATTGAAATACCTTGATCCATAATTTAGATTATACCTCAGTGTTCTGTATGATTTTTTTTTAAAAAATAAAATTTAGAGAGAAATGTTTTAAAGTAACAAATTAGATGTTAAGGATTTTCTCCAAAACCTTACTTCAAGAAGAAGAAAAAGAAGTAGGAGGAGGAGTAGAAGAGGAAATCAATTCTTTTCCATGTAGTTTTCCTATCAATACTTCCATAATATGTAGTTCGAATTTTACAAGATCAGCTAGATGTTCACAAGGTAGAAAAACCAGAATGCAACTTGACTTATTTTATTAGGTGTGAAGACATTTGGCTTTAAGCATTTTTTAGTATTTATCTTTAGACTTTGTTTTCTTTTACCATTTGGTTCTCTGAGATAACATTATTATTTTCCTTTCTCCCCCCAACAAAAAAGAAAATTACAGTAACTTCAGAATAATAGCTTTTACTAGTACCAGGCTTTGTTTTGATGCACTGAGAGTAAGGCCTTTAATCGGAGTATTTCAAAACTTCTATGGATATAAATCACCTTTACTTTTTTCCATTGTCACCTCTATTCAAACTTCATTTCACTCATACCCTCATCAAACTCATAAAATGCCATTTTGTCAATAGATGAGCACTTCAATATCCAAAAAGGTAAATGCAAGGTTTGCCAAGTTATCAATTCAGTTATGACTTTTGAACTTTAAACCTAGCAGCAAGACCATTCTAATCCCATAGGAAGGAGGAGTTTAAAATAGCTTCAACAAATGTTTCCACAGGCAGACTTTTATCTCTGCCAAAAACTTCATCTGCTCTTCCCACTTCCTATCCCTCTTCAATGAAATATATACATAGCTTGAAAAGCACATATAGAATAAATATATCTTGCCTTTTAAAATAAAAGTAAAGGCAGTAGAGAATGTTACCATAGTTTTAAGGTTTTGTCTAAGTTTTAAGAAATGTATTGTGAAGCAGATTATTTTTACATCTAAAATTTAAATGAAATTCATTATACTGCATTTTCTCAAAATTCATACACCTTTGTTTTTAACATTTATGGTATCATCTATATGTTGGCACAAAATTTAAAAGATGATTCAAGATGAAATCATCTGATTTTTTAATGGTGGCAGAGTGAAGTGGTTGTTTAAACCCTTTTACACATAAAAATTATAAAAACAGTATCAATTTTGAAAGCCAATTACTTCAGGGAACTGAAAAGTAGCTAAAAGGTGACAGAAGCTAGAGGAGCATTTACTCTTGAACAGTTACAAATAAGAGGAAAACTATGAAGATCAGAATATTAGAACAATATGTTCAAATGATTCAGATAAAAACAGGAATGTCAACAGAGAACTCTGTATCTGACAAGTTTCAGATGAACAAAAACTGAGAGAATCTGGAGTCAGCAGAAAGGCACTCCAAGAAATGCTAAAAGGAGGGTGTCATACCAGAAGGCACCTTGGATTTCAGAAAGCAATCATAAGCACAGGAAGCAGTAAATATGTGGGTAAACAATATTTTGTTACACAGTGTTTACCATTTCTTAATTTCCTAAAAAAATCTGCTAAAAGCAGAATTATAAGATATTAAGAGATTAATAACATATATGTAATAATAGTAACACAAAGTACAGCATAGAGTAATAAATTGAAATATGCTGCCTTAAAGTTTCTATATGTTACTAGAAGTAAACTCAATACTAACTTTAAGTTGATTGGGATAAGTTAAGGATAAACAATTTGATTCCTGGACTCTTAAAACACACACTGTAATTCTAAACCCTAAATTATGAAAACAAACATAGCTAGAAAGCAAAAATAAGAAGGAAAATTGAATACTAAAAAAACCTGATTAACAGAAAATAAGACAGAAAAAAAGATGAACAAAGAAAATGAGAAAAAAATGGAAAACAAATATTGAAGTGGCAAATCAAACAATACTTTTGTTAATGATAAGTAGAATAACACCTAATTAAAAAGCATTGGTTTTCAGATTGTTCTCAAAACCAAGAGCCAACTCCATATTTTAAATGAGATATGCTTTAGATGCAAAACACGAATAGAAAGTAACAGCAAGAAAAAAATAATATGTAGGTAGTAAGCTAAAGAAACTTGAAAGGGTCATATTTATACAAGGGTGTCTTCGAAATGTTCATGGAAAATGCATATTTTGAGAAAACTATGCACAGATTTTAAAATATTGCTTGCACTAGAATGAACTTGTACTAACTTATTATAACATGTCTGAACAGGATCTCTTTTGAGGCACTAAAAGGACAAAACATCAGTTTGAAAAAAGCTCCTATCAGAGCAACATGAACTCTACTAAAATTAAAACAATAATAAACATCAAATTTACACTGAAACTTGGGTAGAAGAGTGATGAAATCACTGATGCTTTACCAAAAGTTTATGGGGACAATGCTCCAAAGAAATGAGCAGTTTGCAAGTGAATAACTCATTTTAAAAAGGGAAGAGATGATGTTGAAGATGAAGCCTTCAGTGGCACACAATCCACATCAATTAATGAGAAAAGTATTACTCTTGCTTGTGCCCTAATTGAAAGATGCTGATAATTAACAGCAGAAATGATAGCCAACACCATAGACATCTCAATTGTCTCAGTTTACACAATTCTAACCCAAGTATTAAAGTTAAGCAAACTTTTCACTCAATGGATGCCAATACTGTTGCACCCAGGTTAGCTGAAAACCAGAGCAGAGCTTCCAAAGGGAATTTTAAAAGTGGGGTCAATAACCTGAAGCATTGTTTTCAAAGACTCCTAACAGGAGATAAAACATGGCGTTACCAGTATGTATAATCCTGAGCACAATCAAAGCAAGGGCTACCAAGAGAGGAACGTGGTCCAGTCAAGGAAAAAGTGGATCCCTCAAGAGCAAAGGTCACAGTGACAGATTTTTGGGATGCTCAAAGCATTGCGGTTATTAACTTTCTGGAAGGCTAAAGAATAATAACATCTGCTTACGATGGGAGAATTTCAAGAAAGTCAGTTAAGCTTTGGCAGAAAAATGCCCAGTAAAGGGTCACTAGAGAGTCCTTTGCCACCACTGCTCCTGCTCATTCCTCTCGTTACACAAGGGCAACTTCGTGAGAGTTTCTATGATAAATCATTAGTTTTCCATCTTACAGTCCTGATTTGGCTCCTTCTGACTTTTTTTTTTTTTTTTTTTTTTGAGACAGAGTCTTGCTTTGTCGCCCAGGCTGGAGTGCAGTGGCGCGATGTCGGCTCACTGCAACCTCCGCCTCCCGGGTGCAAACGATTCTACTGCCTCAGCCTCCTGAGTAGCTGGGATTACAGGCATGCACCACCATGCCCGGCTAATTTTTGTATTTTTAGTAGAGATGGGGTGTCACCATGTTGGTCAGGCTGGTCTCGAACTCCTGACCTCGTGATCCACCTGCCTTGGTCTCCCAAAGTGCTGGGATTACAGGCGTGAGCTACTGCACCCGGCTTACCTTCTGACTTCTTTATGTTTCCTAATCTTAAAAAATAATTATAAAGGGCATCCATTTTCTTCAGTTAATAATGTAAAAAAAGACTAAATTTACATGGTTAAATTCCCAGGACCCTCAGTTCCTTAGGGATGGACTAAATGGCTTATATCATTGCCTACAAAAGTGTCTTGAACTGGATGGAGCTTATATTGAGAAATAAATATATATTTTTATTTATATCTTTTAATATTAATAATTCTATTTTTCTACAAACTTTTTGAAGTCCTCTCATATCAGAAAAAATAGACTGTGAGACAGGAAAATTACTAAGACAAGGATGAACACTTAATAGTAATAAAAGTGCCAATAAATCAGGAAAATAAAATTACATATGGGATGTGCCTAATAACAGATATTCAGAACTAAAAGGGGAAATCAGAAACCTAATAATTATATTTGGAAACATTAATACACCTTTCTCAGTATTTCGTTAAAAAAAAAAGAGAAAAAAACTAGCCAAAATAATGATACTATTAACCATCTTTTAACCTCCTGACATTTATAGAGACTACATACCCAACCGGTATAATACATACATATTAGAAAATAAGAAACTACTAAATGTAATGATTCAGTTTCCCTCTTTAGGAAACTAGAAAACTAATGAGAAAATTAATCTTTAAATAAGTCAAAGGATATAATAAAAGTAAAAACAAGTAAAAACATACAAAAGATAAAATCAAAGGGCAACTCTTTTAAAAAATCAGGAATATCCATTACACATGTCCAAAGATGTTCAACATCATTAGTTAACGGGGAAAAAAGAACCTTTAAAGCATTAGAATGGTTAAAATTAGAAAGACTTAAAATACCAAGTGTTAAGGAGATGGTGAAAAAATGGGAAATCTCATATATTGATGAATATTAAAAATATTATAATAAGCAAAAGAAATCAGATACAAAAGAGTAGATGCTTAATTATTCCCCTTACATAAAATTTTAGAAACTGGAAAATTTGTATGGTGATTGATAGAAAGCAGACGAGTTATTGTCTGGGGACTGGCGGTAGAGAGAAGGAATGACTACTAAAAGAGGAAATTTGGGAGTGATGCCAGTGTTGTTTGTCATGATTGTGGCTGGGGTTCTGTAGGTGTGCATGCCTATCAAACTTTAGTTCTACATGTTAAATGGTGCAGTTGATTATATATATGTCAAATATACCTCAATACAGTTTGTTTCAAAAATATATGGAAAACAAGAAAAACCAAAAGAGGAAACCATTTCTAATGAGGAGACTAGTTCAATTATTCTGAAGTCAAGCCCTGCTAATCAAGGAGGTGAGTAGTTGGAGGGGGAGGAGGGTTTTCAAAGAAAAGAGAGGAAAGGAACAGTCATGTGCTGAGTGCCTACTATGAGACAGAAAATTTACCAATTTACTAAATTTCCACAATAGTGCTCTAAAGGGGGTGCTCTCCCTATCTTAAAGATGAAACAACTGTGTTTTAATACAACTTATAACAAGAGTTCACAGAATAGAAAATACTGAGGTTTTTCAGATTTTAAAGATAATGTTATTTGTTACTTCTCACCCATCTTTTTTAACTGCTGTTCGCCAGAATAGTCTGAAAATATTAATGAAAATGGCTCGAAATAACTGATTTATTTTTATTAGTAAAAGGCCTCATGCAACACAAATAAGTGATCTATAACTTTAGAAAAAAAAGGAGTGAACACAGTTCTTTAAAATTCCTTTTAATTGAATATTAAAATTCAATTGCTTTTGTTCTTATTGCTAGCATTGTTGTGTTGGTGAATGATTAACCACCAGTTCACTGGAAAGACTAAAAAACAAACAAACCTGGGTTTGTAGTATTTGACAATTTCCATTGATGTGAATATTTCCAGCAAAGCCAATTTTAAGCTATCAGGTGATGTCACTATACACTGAATTGGAGAGAACTGCAGGCTGTCGGCTCTCCCCAGCTGATTCAAGCTAGCTCCAATGTATGGCTGCTTTTTAGCCTATTTAATAAACAGAATGGATTGAGATTTTTTTTAAAGTTTATTTCACAGCTTTTTTGTTAACAGCAAATTTCTTTGGCAGGTGTTAACGTAAGTTTAGTTTTATGACACTCTTTAATAGATTTTGAAACTCATTAGCAGATTTGTGTTACTAACGAGAAAATTTTCCTGATAACAACTTGAGTTTAGTGCATCAACAATACAGGTGACTTCAGTCTTCAAAACATATCACTTTATGTAACAGTATGTTTTGAAAATATAATTTCATGCCTTCCTTGACTCATTTTCTTTTACAGCACATTGTCGGTCTTTGAGAAAATCCTAAAGGCTTTACTTTTAACACACACCTCGCTATCTCTCACCACTTTCACTTGTACGGTCATCTGTGCACAACCTATCCTCTGGATTATGGCAATGGGTTCTCAACTTGTCTCTCTTCTTTCACCCTTGCTCTCTCATCATCAATTCCAAATACAGTCACCAACACTAGATTTCTGAACTCTAAATCTGACCTTGACCAGTGCTCAGCTCAAATCTCACTGACGGTTCTGCATCACATTTATGGTTGAAGGCAAGGTTCTGACCTTGACCTACAATGATGCCTTACATGATTGTAGCACCACTTAGCTCTCTAGCTTTACTTTCTGTTACTCTTCCCCACCACTGACTTCCCCAGCCATGCTATTCTCCAAATGCTTCTGACACTTTCTGCCCTAGGCTGTTTCCTCTGACAGGAATTCTCTTCTGGCAGATTTTTACATAGTTCACATCTTCATTTCCTTTATGTCTTTGGTCAAACATCACTTTTTCAGTGGAAACTCAGCCTCTACTTTCACTACTGTCGTTCAGATTGCACACTACCAGCCTATTCCTACCCTGCTCCTGCCCCCTGCACTTCCTATTCTCCTCCCTTGCTTTACCCCCACAACATTAGTGCCTTCTAATGCCTGTAAGATTTACTCCTTTATTTTATAGTCTGCGTCCTATTTCCTCATTGTAATATAAGCTCTGTAAGGGCAGTGGGTTTTGCCTGTGTAGAATTCCTAGAACAATATCTTAAACCTCATAGATGTTCAATACCATTTCTTAATGAGTGAATATAAATGTTCACATTAAATGACCATGCATTTAGGGAACAACTTACTGTGATCCCTGTCTGTTAAATTAGAGTACTGCTTTCTCCTGAAGGGAAATCTTTAATAAAAACCGTTTGTCCAGAAAGAAAAAGATCTGCCCAAACCTCTATTACTGAAAATGGAGCAGAAAACAATTATAAAAGATTGAATTACTACTATAGGATTTTATACATGATACAAATAATTGTTGAGACTCTTCTGAATATCTAGAAATTACTTGCTGAATTTAAAAGGTTTATCTTAGCCTATACGTTATATATGGATATCATTGATGTCATCAAATATTCTAATGTAAATATAACTTTATTAGCAGTTTTTTTTAAACAATGCATAGAGCTGCGTGTGTGATACATGAGCTGTGAGAGGCTATAGCACATGATTCATACGGTTAAGAAACATTAGAGAATGCACATGCAAATTACGAGAAAATCAATAATGTCCAATATCACCTGCTAGTGCCACATTTTTAAATATGAAAAGGAATGTAGGGAGAAAGTTAGGAATGTGGAAAGCCATAGAAACAGAGTAAAGTTGTCCCTCTGTATCCTTGGGGAATTGGTTCCAGGATCTCCCCAGGGATACCAAAATCCAAGAATGCTTAAATTCCTTATATAAAATGGTGTAGCATTTGCATATAACCTACACACATCCTTCCATAAACTTTAAATCATCTCTAGATTACTTATAATACTTTGTACACTGTAAATGCTACGTACACTGTTGTTATATTATTTTTTATTTTATTATTTTTTATGGTATTTTAAAATGTAATTATTTTTAAAATATTTTTAATCCACAGTTGGACCGACTGTGACATTTGGGGAAGCCCCACAGAACAGGTGGGTGTTACGCTGAGACTTTAGCAACTTCCTGTCACATGTGGAACAACCCGAAAAAAATTAGCCTTGATAAAACACTGTACCCTTAGATTGTATTCTCTGAAAACCAGCAACTTGATTGACTTAGTAGTAAGGGATCCTATATATTCATTTATCATTTTACTTAAAAGTAATTTTTGATTTTTAACATTATTAAGACAAGGAGTTGATCAGTTGAGAATGATGAGATTCTTCCTTCTAGGTGAGGAATATTTTCTCTTTATTTTCTACAGGCAGTTATATAAAATACACTTCCAGGAGGACTGAGCAATGCAGATTTGCACAATGCCAGGTTCCACAGGATTTCAGGGGCCCTAATACCAAATAGAGTCGTGATGGAAACTGATTTCTTTAAAACCAGAGAATTTTTCCTGTGAGTAGGGATGAGTGAATAGTCTTGCATTTGTGTATCAAAGTTCATCCAGAAAAACACAAGTAAGAGATATATATTAAGAGATTTACTACAAGATATTGGGTTATGAGATCATAGGCAGTTCCAAAAACCACAGGGCAGGCTGGCAGGAATAACAGGCTGATGCTACAGTCTGTAAGTGGAATTCCTTTTTCTGAAAAATCTCATTTCTGCTCTCAAAACCTTTCAACTGATTGAATCAGGCCCACTTAGATTTTCTGGAGTAAGCTACTTTACTTAAAGTTAACTAATTATGTACATCAATCACATCTACAAAACATCTTCACAGCGACCCCTATATTAGTGTTTGATTGGATAACTGGAAACCTGTAGCCTAAACAAGTTGACACAAACATCTGACTATCACAAGTACAGACTGATCTTTCAGTCTGTTTCTTTCTCTTTCTCTCCCTCTGCCTGCCTGTGTTATCCCTTTTGGTGGCTTAGCATTCAATGCTGCATTTTTGAAATTATATATTTATTTTTAACTAGAATCTTTATTGTCAGTGTCTTTTCTACTTTTTAAAAACTCATTATTACAATTACATAGCATCCTGCAATAAATTCTGTAGTCATGGCAATTGTACTTATTGGCAAGCTTTAGTTTTCTGTTCCTCATTTTACAATTCAATGGTTGCTACTCAAGGATGTACTTCAGCATCAGCCAGAATTGGTGCCTTGGAATTCATACTTTTAATAAAATACTCCCCAGATTATGCTGATGTATAGTTGGTGCTAAGAATTGTAGCTATACTTTTATGGCTATTTATCTGTGTTTTCTACTGAAAACAGCAAAATAAACAGTTTTAATCTTTTATTTTCTTTTTCTTTTTTGTTTGTTTGGTTTTGGTAAGGGTAGGGACTAAATGTTTTTCAGAGCAATCCTTTGCTTAATATGAAACCTGAAATAGACAGCCATTTTTTTTTTCCAAAGTCAACTTGAAACTACCTGTGAAAATACCAATAAGCACACAGTCTAGCCTTCTCTCACAGCCCAGGGAGGTTGTCTGCCTATTTAATCTCCAGCATTCTGTATAATGCATAAAATCAAAATCCTTCCCAAGCTGCCAATCAATATTACATTTTCCCAAGAGGGACAATAGCTAAGGAGGAAGATTTAACTTTATTAAGTAGGAGGAATTTCTCCCCTCGCTGAGCTAAACCATGTGGGGGAATGCATCTGGTACTCTTAGATTGTCAACCCCTGTCCTATGTTTCCAGCGGTGTGCAGTTGGTTTATAACAGGGCCATGATTTGACCTTTTCATGGAACAACTGCAGATCAGAGCACATAAAGGTCAGTGTGGCCTGGTAGCATCATGATATGCATTAGCAAAACAACCGGATCACTGTGGGTTTATTTTCTTTTATCTTGATTCTGGAAATCTGTATTTCTTCCATTTATACCTGTGGTTTAAATGTGTAAGGTTTGCCTTAGTTTTTAAAAATTCTTATGTAAAGAAATAAATCCCATGTGACAATGTTTTCAAGTAGTGTTTGTTACAAGGCAAGTCGTATTTATGTTCAAAATAAGTCAGAAAAGGAAGCATGAAACTCTTCGATGGCAAAACACAGTGTAGTTAATGACTAGCTATTAATTAACAGGCCCAGGGACCCATCAGGCTGCAACAGCCAAGGGCTAGCTCTTCTAGGAATAACTAGCTTCAGGCATTAATTGCTATTATAATCTATTTTCTCTGATTCAAAGGAGACCATTGGTTTCTACAGTAACAGAAGATAATAACTAGCTAATTGGGTAAACTCTTTGAACTCCTGGCCTCAAGCAATCCTCCAGCTTTGGCCTCCCAAAGTGCTGGGATTATAGGCATGAGCCACCAGCCCTGCTGAAAGCCATACTTTATATGCTAATTTATTGAAGATTTCATCACCAGTTTTCCAAAAATAGACTTCAGTGACTAATGGAGAAGTTATCTCTGCATTACAGATTTGTTGAGAAACAAATTACTTAATTTACTTCTGAAACGTGCTGCCAATCACAAATTTCCATCCATATATAAAGGGTGGTGATAATGATAATAAAAATGCTAGAAAAGGCCTTTTGCAGGGAAGCAGAGAACCCTCTCTAATGACTCCCATCATTTTGGTGCATCACTATTTAACAAAGATATTGGCCTGTAGTTTTCTTTTTTTTGATGTGTCTTTGTTTGGTATTTATATCAGGGTAATACTGGCCTCATAGAATGAGTTTAGAAGTATTCAAGTATTCCCTTCTCCTCTGTTTTTTGGAATAGTTTGAATAGGATTAGTATTAGTTCTTCTTTATATGTTTGGTAGAATTCAGGGAAGCCACCATGTCCCTGGCTTTTACAGGGAAGCCACCAGGTCCTGAGCCCTTTATTGGGAGACTTTTTATTATGGCTTCCATCTTGCTACTTGTTACTGATCAATTCAGGTTTTGGATGTCTTCAGGGTTCAATTTTGGTAGGTTGTATGTATTTAGGAATTTGTTCATTTCTTCTAGATTTTCCAATTTATTGGCATGTAGTTGCTCATAGTGACCGCTAATAATCATGTGAATTACTGCAGTATTAGTTATAATGTCTCCTTTTTCATTTCTGATTTATTTGTATCTTCTCTTTTTTCTTAGTCTGACAAAAGGTTTGTCAATTTTGTTTAACTTTTTAAAAAACTAACTTCTCTTTCATTGATCTTTTTTATTGTTTTCTTCATCTCAATTTAATTTCTTTTTTGCTCTGATTTTTATTATTTATTTTCTACTTATTTTGGGTTTGGTTTTCTCTTGCTTTTCTAGTTCTTTAAGATGCATCATTAGATTTTTTTTAAGTGTCTCTTCTTTTTTGATGTATGCACATATAAACTTCCCTCATAGTACTAGTTTTGCTGTATCCCATAGATTTAGGTATGTTTTGTTTCCATTATCATTTGTTTCAATAATTTTTTCAATTCCTTCTTAATTTCTTCATTGACTCACTGGTCGTTCAGGAGTATATTATTTAATTTCCATGTATTTTTGTAGTTCAAAAATTCCTCATTATTAATTTATAGTTTTATTCCATTGTGGTCTGAAAAGATGCTTATATTATCTCAAGTTTTTTGAATGTTTTAAGACTTGTTTTGTAACCTAACCTATGACCTGTCCTTGAAGTTTCAGCCATACACCTCAGTTGATAATCTTTTATTCATTTAAATAGACACACTTTGAGTTAGACCTCTGTGTGAGCTAACAAATTAGAAAACGTACACAGAATATTATTTCAAGGAGCACATACCCTTGAAGATACAATTGAGGAAAACAACTAGCTAGGAAAAAGATATTGGCTATAACATATGATTCAAAGTGTATAATGAGCATGTTGTAGGACAAAAATATCTTGGTTTTGGATAGCAGGCCTAACATTAAGGCTGATCCAAGTCAATGAGCCTGCAGCTTGTCCACTTTGCTAATCCCTTTTACATAAAATTAAATAAGAACACAAAATTGTGAATACACAATTTCTGCATCCTCAGAATCTTCAGAATCTTAGAAGGAACTGTGCAAATGGGGAATTCTGGAGCTTAATTCTCATGGTAACTCTACTCTTGCTGTGTAGCAAACACTGCCCTGGATTTCTTGAAATAATTTTCATTCACAAACTCTATTGTATAGTAAGACAGGGGACGCTAGGAATAAATTTTCCTATTTTTTTCTTGTTTGAATAAATGTTAACTCCTCATCTTCACTCCTACCTCTTTTGCCATGCATCTTCTATTAATTCTCCAAATTACGTCCAAATGATCTTTTCATATCCTAATCAAATCTTAGCACTCCCTTGCTTAAAACTTTCTAATGGCTTCCGATTATGCTGTGAACTAAACCCTGAAACTTTACAATGACCCACAAAACCTATGTGATCTGCCCTTTCCAGTCTCTGATCTGAGTCCGTACAATTCATCCACATGGTCTTGGTTCTAGAAACTGGGCCTTCTCTCCTTCCTTCCTTCCTTCCTTCCTTCCCTCTTTCATCCCTTCCTCCTCTCCCCTCCCCTTCCTCCCTTCCTCTCGCTTTCCTCCCCTCCTCTCCCTGCCTCTCCTCTCCTATCCTTCTTTGTTTCTTTCTCTCTCTTTTTTCTTTCTTTTCCTTCCTTCCTTCCTTCCTTCCTTCCTTCCTTCCTTCCTTCCTTCCTTCCTTCCTTCCTTCTTTCCTCCCTCTCTCTCTTCCTCCCTCCCTCCTTTCCTTCTTTTCCTCATTCTTTTTTTCCTTTTCTTTCTTTATTTTCTTCCCTTGAATGTGGCAGAGGTATTATTATTGAAGGGCTTTTGAACTTGTTGGTTCTTCTTTCACCTCTAAGAAGCCACGTATTTTGCATCGTGGCATGGGTGTTTTCTTTTCATCAATTAGATCTCAGCTCAAGTTTTACTTCTTTAGCAACATTTTCTATAACCACACTAATGTTGTCCTCTACCCATCTAGTCACTGGTCACTTGCTGTTTCATTCATGTGTTTCATTTCTTTGTAGCTGGAAATAAAAAAATATATATTTTTAAATTCATGTAACTTTTCTACTTTTTCCCACTGCAATATAAATTTATGAAGGCAAACACTTTGTCTTCTTTTTCCCTGCTATATCTACTGTGCATAGGACACATAGTAGAGGTTAAATGATTGTTTGATAAAAGATTGGATGAATTACATGAATCGGTTTATTATTAAGAGTGCCAGAATATAGAAAAAGTACCCTACTGGGTCACGTCTATTATCCGTCTACTTTAGTCCTCAATGGAATGTATTGCTGTGCTCCCTTTTTAAAATCATCCTCACTGACTGACATGTGCAGGTTCATATTCTAATTTATTATAATTTCTCTTAAGCAACATTTAATGAATTTATAATACAGTCTGGAACACAGTCTTTCTTCTTTCTTTTTTTTTTCCCCCAGAGAATGAACAGTTCACTAACAGAAAAGAGAGAGAGTTCAGTAATCTCTACATGACCCAACATGGTTTTGGAGATTCAAAATACAATATTCTGTATTTCAAATTCTAACCTCTTCTGGACTTACATTAGCTTTTTCAGGGATGATCTCATTCAAAATGTATTTTGCTGCATGATTTGAGCTGAACGTTTCAAAATTCTTCAGTACATTCCAAAATTGGTATTTATTCAGCAGGATAAAAAGGAAATGCTTGCCTAAGATCAATTCTTACCAAACCTTTTGAATTTTGGTTGCAAAAACCAAAATCAATCATTGCAGTAAAACCTTCAGGATAGATTTCCTTTTCTCATTGCATCTCCAGTCATTACTTAATGGCTGAATGTGCAGCTGGGACCAGCTAAGCCAGGGAGAGCTTGTGATCCTTTAATTCTCACAAAAGCATTTTGTATGGATCAGGTTCATTTTGCTTGTCTACACTCTCTATGGTTGTAATGCTCTATAATTTTTATTTTCCTTCTCTCCATATTCTACTTAACACACCACTCACTCTCAAGGGAACTGTAGTGAAGAAGACAAAGCAATATTTCTTTAAAAGAAAATGTTTCAATTGCCTAGTACAGGCTGCTTACATTGTATTATCTTCTGCTTTTTAAAATTTTCTTATTGTTCTTTGTCCCTGTAAATTGCATATGACCTTATGTGACTAAGTTTTAATTCTTTAATTTTAATGGGAAAATATGTGGAATTATTATGCAAAGAAAAATCACAAAAGCAAAATACAATCTAGGAACAGAAAAATCAGTCAAAGAAGTATATAGCTCATGATTAAATAAACTGCTAAAGAAATCAAGAATGATGTTGACACACATATTGTAATTAAGGGTTTAATTAATTAAACACAATTATTATGTTTTGTCATAATGCTACTGAAATCATACACTTAGTTGAAATAGTTATGGCAGCAGAAAAATATCATGAAATTTTATTTAAAATGACAATGTAGATATGCAATATTTCTGTTTTCAATAAACAGCCCCCCCCCCCTTGATTTCTCTCTCTCTCTCTCCTAGATTTTAGTATAAATAAATTACAACTCATGGCCCTTTAAAACTATTTAAAATCAGTCAAAAGAATGAAAGTTATACTTTTTAATAAGAATGGAAAAGGTAACCATCTTGGAGAATGGAAGCTTTTATAACATGTCTACAAACAACACAACTGATTAATTTTCATTTTCACAATCATTTATTGAAAGTCTATATATACTTCTGGTCAGGCACAATGGCTCATGCCTATAATCCTAGCACTTTGGGAGGCCAAGGTCGGTGGATGGCTTGAGCTCAGGAGTTCGAGACCAGCCTGAGCACCATGGTGAAAACTCCCTATCTACCAGAAAACAGAAAATTTAGCCGGGCGTGGTGGTGCGTAGTCCCAACTTGGGGGTTGGTAGTCCCCATCTTGAGGGTGCTGAGGTGGGAGGATCACTTGAGCCTGGGAGGTGGCGGTTTCAGTGAGCCAAGGTTGGGCCATTGCACTCCATCCTACCTGGGTGACAAAGTGAAATGCTGTGAAAGAGAGAAGAGAAGAGAAGAGAAGAGAAGAGAAGAGAAGAGAAGAGAAGAGAAGAGAGGGAGGGTGGGAAGAAGGAAGGAAGGAAGGAAGGAAAGAAGGAAGGAAGGAGAGAAAGAAAGAGAAAGAAAGAAGAAAGAAAGGGGAGTGAAAGGAGGGAAGGGAGGAAGGAAGGCAGGAAGGAAGGAAGAAAGGAAGGAAGGAAGGAAGTCAGGCTGGAAGGAAGGAAGGAAGTCATCTATATATGTTTTAGAGAAAATATAAACATTCCTGGAGCTTCATTGATTGTGTTTTATTTTTTATATTCCATATAAAAATATTTGTCATATATTTCCTTACTAAACAGATTTTAATTTGATTTCATAGTTCTATTTTTGAAAACCAATATCTACTACCTGCTGCCATGCTATTTAAACTCACACAAATCTTGGAAGATCTGTTCAGGCTGGCATATTTTAGGTGAAATTTTGCAACTGCTAAATGATTATACCATAGGACTGGAAAGAGGTATATTCTTAATAAAATAAAAGCAATAGAATAAAGCCAAGCTATGCTGAACAATGCTGCAGGACTTGTTATTGCAAGGGAGTGGATTGTTAAACAAAATAAAAATAATAATTTCATTCTAGCCTTATTTTTTTTTAAATGTGAAGATGAAAGGTAATTTATATCAAGTGGAGAAAAACAAAAACTTGACACTTGGCAGTATAGAGCTATAAAATCGCCTCTTTTATTTTTCTATCTAATACAAAAATTTTATAAGAGAAACAAATTTGTATAAAGTTGAGGCTTTTGCCTTACAGAATAAAGAAAGGAAAAATACTACAACAATATTTAAGAAAAGCTACATATTTTGATCCTTTGTTAAAGACTTTTCAAACAGGATAGAAGATAGAAAACCAGGCTCTCCCTAAGAATATTAATGAAGAGGGTAAAAATATGCATTCCTGCTGGACATGAGTCGAAGTAAAAATTTAATACAATGCACCGTATCTCTTAGCCTAACAATCAAACCTTGACAAACATTCAGTTACACATGTTTCTGTGCATGTGTATGCATGCTTGGGAGCACGTGTTTCCCTACAAAATACATGAGGAAGTTTGCATAAGCATTTTAAACAAATAACCCAATTGTAGAGATACTTAAAGAACACCTGAGTACCTCTGAAACATTTAAATTGATTATATTCTATTTACTTTTTTATATTTTGAGAGCAAAGAGACTTGCCTAATATGAATTTTGGTGACAGAAAACAGCTTTGTTATTAGTACTAAATTCAGTGGAATGGGTTATTTACAGCTTAATTTCAGGGTAGTAATTCTGTTGTCAAAACTATCTCTCAAAACTTTATAGTTTATTATCTTAACTTTTATGACATTCACAATGGCCTGAATATTTTTGTATTATACTGTTTGTTTTTCTTTAGACTAAGTTTATTTATTTTCCCCTTGAAGGTTGTGTTTTATATACATATATACATACATACATACATAAATACATGCATACATACATACATACATATTGTATTAGTCTGTTCTCACACTGCTATAAAGAACTGCCTGAGACTGGGTAATTTATAAAGGAGAGAGGTTTAACTGACTCACAGTTCCGCATGGCTGGGGAGGCCTCTGGAGACTTACAATCATGGTGGAATGGGAAGCAAACACATCCTTCTTCACATGATGGCAGGAGAGAGAAGAATGAGAAATGAGTGAAGGGGAAGCCCCTTATAAAGCCATCAGATCTTATGAGGACTCACTCACTATCATAAGAACAGCAGTGTTGTTGAATCATGAACACCCCCATGATTCAATTACCTCCCACTGGGTCCCTCCCATGACACATGGGGATTATCAAAACTACAATTCAGGATGAGATTTGGGTTGGGACATAGCCAAACCATATCACGTGTGTGTGTGTGTGTGTGTATCTGGATTATTGGATGGAATCAGGTTTCTGAATCAGGTTTTATTTCATCAGTGTATTTAGTCTGTTCTCACACTGCTATAAAGAACTGCCCAAGACTGGGTAATTCATAAAGAAAATAGGTTTAATTGACTCACAGTTCCGCATGGCTGGGGAGACCTCAGGAAGCTTAAAATTATGGTGGAAGGAGAAACAGGCACGTCTCACCTGGCAGCAGGTAAGAGAGAACAAAAAGCCTATGAGAAACTGCCATTTATTAAACCATTGGATCTTGTGAGAACTCCCTCGCTATCAAGAGAGCAGCATGGGAGAAACGTCACCCATGATCCAGTCACCTCCCACCAGATTCTTCCCTCGACACTTGGGGATTACAATTAGTGGTGAGATTTGGGTGGGGACAAAGAGCCAAACCATATCAATCAGTTAAGACATAACCAACTGATAGAATCATGTATAGAATCTTGAGAAATTTATGTTTTTTTTCTCAAATCAGGACATCAAATGCCTGGGAATTTAAGGTTTTTTTTTTTTTTTTTTTTCATAAGATCTAGTAGCCAACCAGTTAAGGACAGAGCCAGTACTGCAAGGCTTAGCATATCATTCTTTTTCCCATCTGTAAAATGGTCTTTTAATATTAATGCCTTAATAAATTGAGGTGTTTAATTTACTTTGGATGTATTGGAGGAAACCAAGAAGAAAAGGCCTCTTTCTCTTCACATGCTTGCTCCAAGACTCAAAGAATAGAACTCGTGAGGCTTCAGATAGAGCCAGGCAATTCCCTTAGGTATGGACTTCTTTCCCTATCCATTAACAGATTACAGAGAATTTTCCTAGAGGAATTCTTGCCACTCCTCATGAGCCTTACATGTGATACTCAGTTTGCTATTGTTAATAACAAACAGCATTTCGGGAAAATTTAGTTTTTCTTAGTCACACAGGTGACTTCAATTTCTACAACCATTCTTGCCCCCTCTCTCTTTCATTCCTTTGCTATCAACTTTGGGGACTTTATCCTTATTGACAGTGGTAAATGGTCATCTGGATTCATGCTTCAAAGTTTGAATGGTATTTATATAGCTCATAACTTTTTTGCAGTAGCATTTTCCTATGTGATGCTGATTTACATATGTCCTAGTTCATTTAATCTACACACAGCTCTAGGAGGTAGATATTATTATTATCTCCCTTTCATAGACAAGGAAATGAAGCTCAGAGAGTTATGCAACTCACTAGAAATATCAGCACTGGTACTAGATATAGGATTTGAACATATGAGGTCTCATTCTGGGCCTGGATCTTATTGCTGCCCAGTTAGTAAGAAAAACATATTGAGTGTCTGGTTTTCTGTCTGAGAGTCTAGGAAATGGGAACTGATAAGAGTGAGATATCGTTGATTCAGCCGAATGGCAAGGATTTTGTAACAAGCTACAAATTAGGGTGATCCGGATACATTAAAGATAGGTCTGGAGGTGAGATTCTGTGATGTTTACATATTTACATAGGTATACATATTATGATTCAATGTTCCTGAGGAAGCTAAAAAGTAAATTCCAATTACCCAACTGGCTCCACTTTCCTCCCCATCATACTCCCAAGTGTGTGTGTGTGTGTGTTTATCCTGTATATTAAAAATCCCAAATAATACAGGTCAGTCTGGAAGAGGTTTCAGAACATGCTTGCTTTGATAGATTCAGAATCAAATCCCTCAATACATCTAACATTTCTACTAATAGAAATAGTGGAGGCAACCCTGTATTACCCATTGGTGGATCTTTCTAAATATAATTTTTCTTCTGTTTGATTGGAACGATTTTACAAACATGTAAGTATGAATGACTCTTTGAAACATATTTCTTCTCTGAGTTGCATATACTTATGAAAGAATACTCGAAGTGGATTAAAATTCTAACTGGAATGTTTACATTCTAACATGTACAGCAATAAAGTCTACAGTAAAGATTATCACATTCTTCTCTTGCTCATGTTACCAGAGATAGAGCTGAAAATATCATAGTGATATATGCTTTTGGTGTTAGGAAATCAACAATCTTTGAAAATTTTGTATTCCAGAATAAAATAAAAAACCTTCAAAGGCCTAACAGGTGGCATACCATTTCTCTTTGATTCTGAAAAGCTACACACCACACACACTCACACACACAAACTCACATAGGCGCATGAAAGAAAAAGACCAAAAGATTATCTGCCTTTGTCTTGTTATGCCTAAAATATTCCACTAGAGGACAGTGCAGCTATTGTCATTCAGCCATGCCAAGTTTTGATCAAATTTCCTGATGCTTTTGCAGAATATAGAAAGCATACATTCATTTAAAATAAACTGCAGGCATTTGTTTTAAAAGCACTTTAGCTTGTACCTGATGGTTAATAGATCTGAATTGCTTGGAGCCCTGATGCACACAGAGTAGAGAACATAATGAATTTAGCAGATTTTTTAAAGAAGGGAGAGGTTGGGGAAGAAGACAAATATGAGCTAATTTTTTTCATTTGCCTTGATACCTTAAGGGAAAAAAAAAGCAGAAATAATGCACAATCATTATGAACAAGCTGGTAGATATAAGTATTAGTTTACATTTAAATGAAAATAGCTTATAGAGAGGGAGAATGGATATGACTCAAATAGTTTCCAGCATCTTGTTTGAAATGCAAAAGAGCAGTTTATATTTATATTAATTTAGGTGGATGCCTCTGGTTTTCTTGGGACTTCTCAACAAATTATTTCTATTTATCTTGGAAATGGGCATTCGGAACATGATCTGGAGGCTATGCAAAGACTTCTTGAACTTGAGACCTAGAAGATTTGATACCAACTCAGGAAAAAAAAGAGCCTGGGTTACTTGAACACCCTTCACAAAGGAGAAGCGGGCAGAGGGGACCCAAGAAATATGTTAGGGTGTCATTTCTTTTCATTGGCAAAATTTAAAAGAATAAACTTATAAACATAAGGCACCAGAAATAAAAACATCCTCTCGTTCTGTTTCCTGCAGTGACAAAAGATATATATTCTAGATGGTAGAGAGAGCTGCCTTGGAGATAAATTGTCTGATTTCAGCATCTCAGCGGTGGATAATAGATTCCCCTCAGAACCACATAATTAAAAAATGACATTTCTGCTACTTTGTGCCAACTTGGTACCGCTGCTGCCCCTGGCTTCCGGGCCTGGGAGCCCTGCAGGGTACAACCAAACAAATTTTGCATTATTCAGTGGGACAATGTAAGGTCATGTTAACAAAAAAAGTTCCTTCTGGGGGGACCGGAGGACTTTAGTATTTTCTTCTCCACAAATTCCTCTTTCTGCTTTTCTTCTTTTTTTCTTTTTCAACTCTGCCAACATGAAAAAGATATGAACGATGAGATTAGGACATCCACTTATTACAAGTTGGCCAGATGAAAGAGAGCATATGTGTGTAGCAGAATAAATTAAAGCGTCTAATTTTAGCACCTTTTTTTCCTCCAAGCAGATATTCAGAATCAGCCAAAGATGAGGCAAATGCTGTGAGAAAAAATATGTAAATCAAAGTGCTAAATCCATATCCTTAGACATCTTTAGGACGAAATGGTTAATCCTCATGTGGATCCTGGCCACCCCCCCGCCCCCACATCTCTCCAGGAGTTTCCTGAAAGGCAGTTGACTGCAGTCTGAACAACTGTTCTTTATGGGTCTCTCAGTTCACTATGTATCTCAAAAAAAGTGCATGTGCTAGACAAGCCTCCAATTAACAGTTACTAAAGTGTAAATGGATTTCCAAATGTCACATAGCTGGTAATTAGTGAAACCAGGACTAGCAATGGATTTTTGATTCCTCTTTGAAGTGTTTTAGTAACAGCCAGTATTCTGCAGGTGTCTTTAGTTCAAATAATGAAAGTACACTAAGAATATTCCTTTTTCTTAAAGGAAATAGAAGAAAATATAAGACTCTTTAAAAAACTACAATTCAATGAATTTAAATTTTGTGATTTCAACCATCAATTAGGATTTTGATTTTAGGTTCACAATGTATTATTATGAAAATACATATGAACCAGGTTATTCATTTCAGCATTGTTAGTCATTGTAAAATATTGGATACAAACTAAATATCCATAATATAAGTTGGCCTGGAGCGGTGGCTCACGCCTGTAATCCCAGCACTTTGGGAGGCCGAGGAGGGTGGATCACGAGGTCAGGAGATCAAGACCATCCTGGCTAACGTGGTGAAACCCCATCTCTACTAAAAATACAAAAAATTAGCTGGGCACGGTGGCAGGCGCCTGTAGTCCCAGCTACTCAGGAGGCTGAGGCAGGAGAATGGCGTGAACCAGGGAGGCAGAGCTTGCAGTGAGTGGAGATCGAGCCACTGCACTCTAGCCTAGGCAACAGAGCCAAACTCTGTCTTGGAAAAAAAAAAAAAAAGAAGTAGATTTCTATGAACTAATGTTGGATAATTCCCAGAATATATTGCTAAGCCAAAAAAAAAAAAAAAAAAAAAAACCCAAGAGCAACAGAGTTTTCTATAATATGTTTCATGTAGGAAAGTTAGGAATGTAAGAAAATATACATGTATATTTTTATTTATGGAGAAAAAAATACAGGTATGATAACCAGAAACTATTAAGATCAATTACTAACAGGGAGATGGTGAAAACAGAGTGAAGAGGATGAAACAATAGAAGTGGAGTGGAGTGGCACAGATGAGAAGACAGTGACACTGTTTGGAATATACTTTTTGAATTGACATGAAACTAAGTTTGTAGTATTGTTTCGCCTACCCAAAATATAGATTAAAAATTTAAAATCCCTCAGGAAGTGAGGGAAACCCAACATGGAATACAAGCAGTAAAGAGTAACCGAACTGTATTACAAATGAGTAACATACTCCCACTTAAGAGGGTGAAAAAGTAAAGTACCTATTTAAGGAACTTTGGAAGGCAGTATTGCAATGTAAAATTAAAGGTTAAGGTAAAAAAGAAAACAAGAGATATTGTACTCTAGTTAGCAACATTGCTTTTCGCAAATGTAGGCATTACAAAATCTGAAAATGCTTTTTTTTTGTATACTAGAATTGAACAAATACTCAAATATATTGTGGATAATGTGATCCAAGTTTCTGTATGTTAGATAAAGAAGTAACAATGTGGAAAGGAGAAAAGTTAGAATGAACTCTATGGTGCTGGATTGGAATTTATATCACATAAAGTCATGGATTTTGCATATGTCCATAGATAAATGGTAGAGAAATAAATATTGATGTGTGCATGGATACATTAATATATATCTGTAAAAGTGTGTATGGATGCATATTATATATAACAATATCACAATATTGTTGCCCAAGTAGCAATAAGCACACTTAATAACCAGGTCTTGATTTCTAAATGCTATTTTTTTAAAAGGATGGGATCTTTTATGAAGAAATGGATTGGGAAGAAAAACATAAGATAAGGTTGGAACCTCTTCTGGTGCAAGAAGGTAAAGAAGTGTTCAAATGATGATGGAGGCATTTAAAAGGGACACAGGAACCAACTTAAGATTTCAATAATCTCAACTGGAAGAATTTGAAGTAACAACATAAATCATGATAGTATTGGAATATGAACCATAAAATAAATACTTATGAGTCTGTGCTGATAGGAATAAACAACTGAATAAATAAGTAAATGGTGGGGAAGAAGCAACAGCTCTTCCTTATAATACAATCACAATTAAGCAATGTGGAAAGAATGACAGAAACAGATAATTACCCTTGGGCATGCATCATGGTATAATAGTTGCAGGCAAGAATCATTCATGGAAACTAAATGTATTGAGGAAAAGTATAATGGAGCACAGGTTATTTGCATAGTCAAGATATAACTCCCTGCAAGATTCCTATTAATTACAAAAGGAAAACCAATAGCTTTTCAGTGGAGAAACTTGGCAGACACAAAAGTGATGAATTAATTAGAGTTAACATCACCAGTTTTAAGATATATTGACATGACATTCCTCCTGATATAATGCAATAAAAAGGGTAAAACATTATTTTAGTGGCATTTTTGAAAAAAAAAACACAAAAATCTCCATGTAATCATGATAAAATGTCATACAAACACAAAAGGAATGAATGACATTATGCAAAATACCTGACTGTTATCAAAAGTGCTAAGGTTATGAAAGACAAAGAAAATGATAGAAAGACTCTTATAGACTGGAGGAAACTAAAAAAAAATGACTATTAAATGCGATATGTGATCCAGGTTGATACAGAGAAAGAACACTAGTGTGAAGACACAGGAAATTCAAATCAGGCTTCTAGCTTAGTCAATGAAAGTATATCAATGTTAATTCTCTGGTTTTGATAATGTACCATGTTTCTGTAATCTCTTTAGAGGAATCTGGGTAAATGATATACTGGAACTCTATTATCTTGCAATATTTCTATACATCTAAATTACTTCAAGATAAAATTTTTTAAAAATGATGAAAATACTAAAGAATTCAGGCACTTTAATATTTAGTGCTTATTTTAAAAAGGGAAAAGGAAAAAAGAACAAAATGCTTTAGGCTGAAGGTGATGACAGACTTTTAACATATGTCTGGAAAAATAATCTAATTTCCAGTAATAATAATGATTATCTAATTTAATAACTATTCAACTGGTGTATTGGAATGCATGTATTATGTCAACTTTATGAGATAGTTATTATTGTTCTTCTCATTTTAAAGAAGTGTCAACTAGCAATTAGGAGGGACTAAGTCATCTCCCCAAAGCACAGAGTCCAAGTTTGTTCTCTATTTACAAAGTAAATTTTTATTTATGGAGTACTTAATAAGATTTTATTTTGCATACATTATGTTTAAGCCTTGTAATATGCAAAATGAACTAATAGTCTTACTTAAGAATTAGAGAAATAAATTCTGAAAGAGGCTATATATTAACAGGGAATTTATATGAACATGTTTATGATTCTACTTCTGCTCTATACAGAAATATCTTATTTACTAACTTATTTACTAATTCACCTTAGGCCACAGAACTGATTCAAAAATTCATATTCTCTCCCTATGTATCACATTGAATCTATAGCTAAAAGGGCCTAATAGAAACTTTATCATGTCTTCCTTATTAAAGTGAAAACATAAATAGTATATTTCTATATAGTCATGATTAAGTGAATAGGTTTTAAAAAATTTCCGCAAAGTAAATAGAAGTAGATAGTATTATTGCAAATAGGATGGAAGAAACACAGACGCAGGCACACACACATGACTAAACCAACATACCTAAACAAATATTGAAAACTCAACACTTTTACTCTTTATTTCCTTACCTATAAATTCCTTTCCATAGTATTTGGCTGGCATATGGTCTAGTGACAAGCAAGGTGCTGGCCATAATTCAATAGCTAAGTTATATAACAAGGCTAAGCTTGAGCCTTGAGCTCTGGTTTGGAGAGTCAATCTCCTCTGTTTTTTTTATTTTATTATTTTATTATTTTTATTTATTTATTTGTGTGTGTGTGTGTGTCTTTGTGTGTGTGTGTGGTAAACTTGCATGGCTATTTGGATAAAAATGTATTTGTGAGAAGCACTGAGGAGCAAATTATCGCAAGGAAAAAAGAGAGCATATAAAAAAGCTTGGGAAAGATCAGAGCCTTGATTGTCAGAGTGAAAGGGGATTTGGAGTAGAATGTTGTATTTAATTATTCCTAGTTATGCCCCAAAGAAAAGGGCATCCCACATAGAACCAGGTCTGGCAGGATTCATGGGAGAATACAACATTAGAAAAAAGATTTATAAATTGTTTTGATTCTGAAGTAAGAAACAATAGGAAAGGGAAAGAGAATGAGACACCTTCTCCTGACATCTGACATTCACAAACCACTCTGTGTGTGTTCCCCTGAGGCTCAGAACATACTGAGAATGTTCATGTATATTTGTTTCCAGGGTTTTGAGAACACCTGGATATGCCTCATGGAAAGTCTTCGATGCAGGTGCTAGAGGTGCTGTGTAGAATCTTTCACAAGGTTGAGAACTGTGGAAACCTCTTTAAGAAACACGACCTAAGGCTATCAGAGGAAGAGAGGCAGGAAGTAAGGATTAGTATTTGATAGAGGCAACAAAATCTTCCCATATGTGGGTAACATAATCTGTAGAGACAAAAAAAACAAAAATTGAGTAAAATTTTAGAGAAGAGTTTCTGTGAAAGAGTACACTAACTGGTTTACAGAATGGCTGCAAAAATATCTAAGTGCTTGAACCAAAAGTAATTTCTAAGGTCAGTTCTAAGAAAAGTAGTTTTGCCAAGAATCTCTTCTTCATCTTTTCATTCAGGTCCTAAATATTACTGAGGATCTCTCATCTTCTAGGTGAAGCTCACAAAATTGCCCTGGAGGTTGCTGCCTTCCTGGAAGCCAGAGTGAAAAAAAAAAAGAGGACATGCAGTTGCACATGGGAGGATTTTGTGGGCCATGGTTATCAGGGCACAATCCCTTAGCTCACCTTTCTCTGGTGAGAAAACACTTCCAGTGCCACACCTCAGTCTCCTCCCTCTGGTGAAAAAAACACTTCCAGTGCCACACCTCAGCCTCCTTCCTCTGGTGAAAAAACAGTTCCAGTGCCATACCTCAGCCTTTCCTCTGGTAAAAAACACTTCCAGTGCCACACCTCAGCCTCCCTCCTCTGGTGAAAAAACACTTCCAGTGCTACACCTCAGCCTCCTTCCTCTGGTGAAAAAATACTTCCAGAGCCACACCTTACCCTCCTTCCTCTGGTGAGAAACTACTTCCAGTGCCACACCTCAGCCTCCTTCCTCTGGTGACAAAACACTTCCAGTGCCACAACTCAGCCTCCTTCGACTGGTGAGAAAACACTTCCAGTGCCACACCTCAGCCTCCTTCCTCTGCTGAGAAAACACTTCCAGTGCCACAGCTCAGCCTCCTTCCTCTGGTCACAAAACACTTCCAGTACTACACATCACTGCTGGAGAACTGGAGAGTGGAGTCTTCCAGCCCAAGAAGAAAGAAATATAGGATTTTGTCAAGTACCAGAAGTTTCTGCCACACTCAGTGGGCATTCTTTGAGTTAGTTTTTTTAGTATATTTCACTAAAAACTGTGAGAGAGGAACCCTTAATATAGGTCCTGCAAAAAACAAGTATTCAATAAATCCTGTTGAATCAATAAATGAATCACCTCTTCCAAAATAAGCTTAATTGTTTAAGTTACTAGCAAAATGCCTAAATGAAAATTAACCATTCTATAGAGACATTATTGAGTTAGTTCATTCAGCCATTCAATAAATGTATTCAGTGTATGTTTATAGAATAACTATAATTTACCAACTGTTTTAGGCATGGGGGGTACAGCAGTGAATAAAATCATCCAACTACCTATTCTAACAGAGATTAAATTCTAGTGGTACAAGCAGCAGACGAACAAATGAATAATTTCATATATTCATCCATGCAATAATATTGAAAATTTTATTTTCAATAAATAATCAGTGGTCCTCAACCTTTTCGGCATCAGGGAACAATTTTGTGGAAAACAATTTTTCTACAAACGGGTGGGAGAATGGTTTCAGGATGATTCAAGCACATTACCTTTATTGTGCACTTTATTTCTATTATTACTGCATTGTAATATATAATGAAATAATTATACAACTCATCATAATGTAGAATCAGTGGGAGCCCTGAGCTTGTTTTCCTGCAACTAGACAGTTCCATCTGGGGGGAATGAGAGACAGTGACAGATCATCAGGTATTAGATTCTCATAAGGAGCATGCAACCTAGATCCTTTGCATGTGCAGTTCACAACAGGATTCATGCTTCTATGAGAATCTAATGCCACCACTGATCTGACAAGAGGTGGAGCTCAGGAGGCAAAGCTCACTCACCTCCTGCTGGGCTACTTGGTTCCTAACAGGCCATGGACCAGTACTGGTCCATGACCTGAGGGTTGGGGACCACTGACTTAGATTCTAGTGGAAAAAGATGGGCTGTAAACAAACTATGTAAGAAAATAATACAAGCATATTAGTGGGCCAGCTGTAGCATGGTGGGAAAACAGGGCCATGAGGAAATGAACAAGCCCATTTTACCAGCTGGGGTCAGGAATAATAATGATGTGGAGTCCCTTGAGTATGGGGGAGCTACAGAAAGCAGAAACTGAACCAGGCTCTGGCCAGGGGACCCATGTGCTGCGGCAGTGCTAGGAACCTGCACAACTCAGCCCATAGCCCAGTTGAATTAGCCCATGCTGGCACCCACATCTTGCTTGGGCACTGTCTCACGGTTTGACACTGGAGATGGGTATGAAGCCCTCTACTGGATTAATAAAACAAATAATACCTTTGTTCACAAGATGATCTTAAGAAGAACAGCAGATGAGGACCCTGTAAAATTTTATTTTCCAGCAGAGAGGGTACAGAAGCTGATTTTGTGATTGATTGGAATGGGACAGCAGTGAGGAGCCACCATTTTGCTCACAGATGAAAGATCACCCATTGTAAGAGGCTGCCTGAAGAGAAAACAAGGTGTGTGTGGGTAGGGAGGTCTGGGTACTTGGGATAGTGGCCCAGTTAATGGTGTCCATTTTTTTTCTCTTTGGTGAGGTGAAGAACTTCATAAAAGAAAAGAAAAGAAACATCTGCATTAGAGGGAATCTAGCAACTATGGGATATGCAGGGGAGAATAAAACTGGGAGGCATCTAAACTTTGGCTTAGATTCCCAGGCCTTTCCAACCCAGGCAGCCATCAGCCTACCCAGGAGGTTGAGAATGAGGACCTGAATCTAGACTAGTTCACTGCTGATATTTTCTACCTGAATATAAGTGCCACAAAACTACCTTTATTGTAAAAGGCTATGGTAGCAGCCTGTAGATCTATTCCCTTCTCCCCATTCCTCTATGACACCAGCCACCTTACACCTATTTTATGGAAGTATTGGGTGAGATAGTCCCTATCTTGCCAGTATGCCAAGAATGCAAGGGCTTAACTGCTTTTTATCTGGGCCATTTCTCATGAGTTTGCAGAGAGAATAGTGAAAGATGAGATACTGTTTCCTTCAAGGACAAAGAGCAACCTTGCCTACTTGCAAGCTACAAAAGGAGTAGATTATGCAAAGCCGGTATTGTTCAGCAGCAATGAAAATCCACTGCAAGTGTATCATCCATCCTGGCCCCCTAACATTATAGGACTGGAAGGCAAGGGAAAACCATGCTAATATATTGATGCTAATACTGTTTGTGGTGTCATAGTAATAGTCTTTTATCTCTGACCCAAGAGTTTTGTGTCTTCTGATAACATCCATTAAAGAGTACAAGCTAATTTCTTTGCTTATAAGTGGGGTAAAAGCAAACCCCAGGCCTGTTAGGAACTCAGCAGTTGGTGTTTACTTTGGTCGAGTTGTGTTTGAGAGCTGTTTATTAAACATTCAAGTGAAGATGTCTAGTACATCTCGGGGTTGCAGTTCTGGAGTTGAAGGGAAAGGTCCATGCTATAGAAAACACTGGAAAGTCATCAGGATAAATACAGCATTCGAAATGAGTTCAGCAAGGGTGTGAACTATTTAGATAAGGACTGAGACCTGAGACAATGTTGATATGATAGCAAATACCAGTAAATGCAATGGAGTGTTTAGGGCTATTTTATTGCTGTGTCAGGAAAACAACATGGACTTGAAAGACGTGAAAGATTATGCCCTTTGGGTCATGACAGTTTGGTCTTTTCCTATCTTATCTCATACCACTCATACTCTAACAATATTGAATATATGCTGTTCCTTAAACACATATACAACTTTTCCTACCATATATCATTGCCTTCATCACATTCCTGGGCTTGGAATGCTCTTCCCACTCACTTCTTCTTTTTTTTTTTTTTTTTTTTTTTTGGAGACAGAGTCTCACACTGTCACCCAGGCTGGAGTGCAGTGGCGTGATCTTGGCTCACTGCAACCTCCACCTCCCAGGTTTGACACATTCTCCTGCCTCACTCTCCCGAATATCTGGGATTACAGGTGCCTGACACCACACCAGGCTAATTTTTTGTATTTTTAGTAGGGAGGAGGTTTCACTATGTTGGCCAGGCTGATCTCGAGTGCCTGACCTTATGATCCACCCTCCTCGACCTCCCAAAGTGCTATGATTACAGGCATGAGCCACCACACCCAGCCTTTTCCCACTCACTTCTAATAACTAACTCCATCTGTCCTTTTAGGTATCTGCTAAAATGTCATCTCTTCCGTAAGGGCTATTCCAACCACCCCACACCCAGTTATAGTTATCAACTATATTGTTTTCCTCACTGAGGATATCAGTTTATGTATTTATTTATATGCTTAAATCCTTCTTATTACTTTACATGTTAATGCACGTCTACTTACTTACTATGTCCTACATAACGCCCCACAAGAGGACAGACTTCAAAAGTCTTATTCTCTGCTATGTTCCCAACATCTGACCCAGTGCCTGGATATGGAAATAGTGAAATAAATATTTTGAGAATGAATCCAGGACGTGTTGTAGAATATTTGGCTTCTTAATCCATCTGAGCTACTATTCACTTATTTGAAAAATTATATCAATTTTATGGTTTTGTGAGATTAATTAACCTTATTTTTAAATACTATTGAAACATAGTAGGCCCTCAGTAAGTGAAAAATTTAATCATTTAGTATTTGAAGACTATATGAGAAAAATACACTGAACAAAATCCGTCATCTATTGCAAAGGAGAATTCTCTCTGCTTAGGAAGAAAAATGAATGGGTTAGTCTCATCTACCAGTGAATAAAGAGTGTATAGTGAAAAAAGACTTATAGACAGACTGAAACTTCAAAGACTGGGAGACTGGAAAAAAAAAACAAAATGAAGCTAAAGATACTCGAACCAAAGTGAGTAAAGATCCAAGCAACAAAGTAAAAAGAACATTGTACAAGGAGTGTCCATAAATCTAAGGAATGTTTTTGATTCAGAGGGAGCAAGAGATCAGCAAAGAAGAAGATAGGTAGTGAGAAATGACAAAGATTTTTCTTTGATAGAAGTAGCAGAGCTGTCATAAAATGAAAAATAATACTTGCTCTTCAGGATAATGAAAGAGAGTGATGAAGAAGAGATGCAGAAAACATGGACAAAACTTCCAGAAGAACTGTTAGTTGATGATGTTAAAAACTATCAATCCTGGGTCTAAATAACTGATTAAAAATTAAGCATTACATAACATTGACTGAACTCCCAGAAAACTCCAGAATTCATAAGAAAGAAGTCAAAATGTCTTAGTGAATAGTTTAGCTTCCTTACAAATCCAGATATAAAAGATGAGTTTTCCTTTGTAAGTAGGGAGTGCTTGGGGATAAAACTATATTAACATATAAGTATGTGTTTGTGTACATGTGCATATGCATACATACATAATGTGAAGATTACAATAAGCAAAGCAATCCAAAAGACTGTTATTAAAGAATGGAAACAGGGCCCATGTACACATACTAAACACAAAGTAAACATTCAATCACAATAATAATTGAATGTTATAATCCTAATAGTTTACTTATAATTATTATAAATCATTACCTGAATGAATGCTATACATTAGTATGAATATCTGAACTATCCTCTAGAGCACATGTATTTGTTCAGGCTTAAATTCTGGGACCTTGACCTGAGCCCCATGATGAGCAATGAAAGTCCTCAAATAAAAGATTCAAAGGACAAGTTTATTGGAAAAATTCCATCATAGAGTGAAACTTAAATCTCATATGAGATTTCAGAGTCAAGGGTCTTGGTAGTGTGGTGAAATTCAGCTGAAAAGAAGCACAGTGAAATGTTTTTATAAAAGGGGAAATAGAAAGAAGTCAAGAAGGGGAAGCCTGAAGACGTTTCCTTAGTCATGAAATAATTATATAGTCAGTAGAAAAACTGCTATAATAGTTAATTTTATGTGTCAACTTGACCACACCATGGGGTGTCCAAAATAAACCTTTTCTCTAGGCGTGTCTGTGAGGATGTTTCCAAATGAGGTTAGCATCTGCATCAGTGGTTCAGTAAAGAAGATGGTGCTCCCCAGTGCAGGGGTCATCAATCAATCTGTTGAGGGCCTGAAGAGTACAAAAAAATCACAGAACTGAGGGATTCACCTCCTTTTATTCTGCCTCACTACATGAGCTGGGATACCCCATTTCATCTTATTTTGAGGTTGGACTGAGATTTACATAATCAGTGCCCCTGGTCCTCACAGGCCTTTGAGCTTGAACTGAATTACACCATGCATTTTTGTGGATCTTTAGCTTATAGATGACAAATCGTGTAAATTCTCAGTCTTCACAGTTACACATGTCAGAAAAATGTATCTCTTTCCCCTTTCCCCAATTTCTTTCCAGATAGATAGATATCCTATTGTTTCTGTTTCTCTGGAGAACTGTAATTAATCCAGCTCTTCTAGGTTTTTGGATGGGCAAGGAGATGTTAACAGTGACACGGTGGCTGAAAAAATATGCAGTTATTAAGCAGATATTGTAAGCAGATATTTCACATCAGTGTAATCTGAGGGGACTCAATGTTAAGCAACATCAGATTCCTAAGGTGACTGACCTTGGGAATATCAAATTAAAAATTTCAATGTGTGCCTCACTTGCATTATTTTTCTCTTGCCCAAATAATAATCTATTAGTAATGGAATTGCATGATGTGCAAAAGAATGCTGAGACATCTTTAGTGGGGATTTTATTACTCTTCATAACGTTGACCTAAATAGCTCAAACACTGGTTCTTACAATAAGTTACCAGATCTTGGGTTGGCAAACTATGACCCATGGATCAAATTTGGCTGAGCAGTTCTTTTTGTTAATAAAGTTTTATTGAAACTGGAACTCAGCTACACCCATTCTTTTATGTATAGTCCATAGCTGCTTTTGTGATGTTGATTTATCATCATTGAAGTTCCTAGAGCCACATCTGATGGGGAAGTCTGCTCATGGATGTTTGGAAAACAAACGCAACAATGAAAACCTTTGTAGGATTTCCTCTCACTACTTTACAGTGTATATCACAAGGGACATGATTAGTGGTTTTGCCTTCTGGAGGCATTTCTCTGGCTTTATAGATTCTGATTGTCTAAAGAATTCTCTTGAAACAGAAATTTTGTTTTCACACGGACAGGGTATACCTGAGTTTATCATCATTATTCTTCATCTGAAATGTTGAAACAGCTTTTTGTTCCCCCATTTACTAGTTGTCCTTCATATTCCCAACAATTTTTTTAAGTCCTTGTAACATTATAACATTTTTGATGACTTCTCATTTCCTCCAGGAGAAAGTTTAAGTTATTTAATAAGGCATGATGGGCTTTGCATTATATGTCCCTGATTCAACCATTCTGGTTTGTTTCCCACCACCTTTCTATGTCACACTTTACTCTTGCCATACATCACGCTTTCTCATGCTTCCAAGATTTTTGCATCATTTTCTTTTCTTTTTTCCTTTTTTTTTTCTGAGACAGAGTCTCGCTCTGTTGCCCAGGCTGGAATGCATTGGCGTGATCTCGGCTCACTGCAACCTCCGCCGCCCAGTTTCTAGTGATTCTCCTGCCTCAGACTGAGTAGCTGGGATTACAGGTGTGTGCCACCACACCTGGCTAATTTTTGTATTTTTAGTAGAGACAGGGTTTCACCCTGTTGGTCAGGCTAGTCTCGAACTTCTAACCTCAGGTGATCTGCCCACCTCGGCCTCCCAAAGTGGTGGGATTACAGGTGTGAGCCACCGCACCCAGCCTTCTGCATCATTTTCTGTACTCCAAGAACCTTGTGCATGTTCACATAAAAGTACTCATTCATTGTTCATTTCTGCATCCTTTCTTTTTCATGAGGTAATTATTGAGCTCCTGCTCTGTTTCTCAATCTGTGAGGAAAAAGGAGGGAAAATAAATAAATACACTCCATTCTCAAGGAACTAATAGTCCAGAGACAACTTCAGCCATATAAACATATAATTGCAATTTAGCAGCATACCAAAATTAAGAGAAAAAAGCACACGTTTTAAAAGCAAAGGACAACTGTACATTAGAAATCTTTGTAAGAAATATCTTTGTGTAGTATCCAAGTGAGGCTTGGATCTCATCTAAAGAAGCACTAAAATAGTCTACATTGTATCAGAGTTGTCTGAAACCATTTCAACTTTCTTTGCATTTCTACCTTCATTTCCTGCCCCTCATTTATAGCTAACTAATATATATATGCACCTGGGTATTAGTTGGTGTCCCCAGTTGGTGACTCCAACCCTAAACTTATATTTCCCACCACACCTGGCTTTCCTGTGTACACTTTTTTACTCAATTATCTATGAGTATCTTCTAAGTCATGTAAACCACACACTCACACAGAGCTTAAATTTCACTTACTCTGAGAGATCTTGGCTAGTCAACTATATTCATTTATTAATTTCTATCATTTTTGCAATATTTATCACAATTTCATTAGGTACAACAGTAATAATTTATTGTCTCTTTCCACCCTCCAATCCCACTAGACTACAGCTGTATGTAGTACATAAAGAATGGACTATTTTATCCCTAGTATCTAGCTCAGGGTCTGGCACAGAGTATATATTTAATAAATCATTCACAGATGAATAAAGGAGACATTAGTTCCGTGTCAGATTATTTTCCAGATTTGTTGAAATTACTTCCATAAAAACCTTGTATTGCAACCTTCTGCCCTAACGTTTGTCAATTTAAATCACTTGTCTTCCACTTCCAATTTCCTACACACAGAGATTGCATCACTTGAACCATCCTTCAAATTAATTCACCTTCTTAACTCAAAAATATGTAATAAGTCCACATTAGCAAAAGAATGATGCCCAAACTTTTCAGACTGGTAATCAATGTCCCAAATGATGTCTTCCTGAAAACTATACTACATTTTTCAGCTGCTGTGGTTGGCATATGATTTGCTTGTCCCCACCAAAACTCACGTTGAAATTTGATCCTGAGTGTGATTGTGTTGGGGACATGTCGGGGGTGTTCGGGTCATGAGGGTGGATCCTCAAGAATGGCTTACTGTCATTCTCTGGATAGGGAGTGAGTTCTTGCCATGGAAAGACTGGATTAGTTCTCACGAGAGTGAATTAGCTTCTGCAAGCGTGGGCTGTTATAAAGCCAGGATAGCCCTCCCTCAGTTTTGCTTTTTTTGCATGTGTTTATTTTTCTTTTAACCTTCTCTGCTATGCTATGACATAGCACAGAAGTCCTCACCAGAAGCAAGAGCCATGCCCTTGAATTTGCTAGCCTAAGTTAAATAAACCTCCCTTATTTATAAATTCCCCAGTTTCCTCTATTCTGTTATAGCAATACAAAATAGACTAAGACAGCCATCCTTAAAGTTAGGTGTGCACATGTAACTGAGTTTCAGTCAATGCAATTTGAATCATAATGATGCACCTCACTTACAGAACCGATCCATCACAAACTCCAATACGTGATTCTCCATGATCTTCTCCTGTTGTCTGCAGAACAAAACCCAAGGCAAATCTTGGAAGCTATGTTAAAGAGGGCAGAGCCTCCAGCAGATACGGTTGAATGTGGAGAGCAAATTCTCTATACATCCAGCATATCTACAAATTGGACTTTATACAGATCGGAAGTATCATTCTATTTGATTAAGCCACTGAGATGTTAAGGCTTATCTGTTACATCATATAGTATTGTTTACATAATATACCATTGCTTATATCAATATTCTCCTTTAGAAATATTTTTCTGTAGCAAAATTGAAATCATGCCCGTTTCACTTCACATGTGTAAAAGACACACCTTGTATGCTGTATATTGCATATCTCACAGCAATGAGGGTTTGTAGACCAATACTTCACATTATTCTTCCATGAAGTCACAGCTGCTTGTACAAATTATTATATTTTCAAAACTGAATTAATTGTATTCTCTCTCCCAAATTAGTACAAAGGCTAGTTGGACTGTGACAGGTACTCAAGCAGAAAGAAGACTGGAGATACCATTTTGAGATAGTTTTAGTGGACCACATATAAGAAGGGCAGAGAAAATTGGTATGATGAGAGAAAAAGTCAAAAGATGACACAGGGAGAATCAGAGATGAGCATTTGTTTTCTTTACACAGAGGCAGAGAAAAGAGGAACTGCTTCCTTCTCAGTGATGTTCATGTCCTTGTTCTGGGCTCTGGTGAGGCCCAGATACACCACTGGCAATGGCTTTCCTGTGATACCCAGGTGTCCTTCTGCTAAATTTTCTCTTTCTGGATGTTCTACTTTGAGTTGGCCTCTGTTGAATTCAATCAAATACCCATTTGCTAAGGCGGTAGTACTCCAAGCTGTTGGTCTGTGTGATTTGGCTTGATCAATTTCCTTCTGTGAAATATCATACTACTGACTTCTACACTTTTCAGTTATACTTTTTCTTCATGTTCCCTCTCATGTTTCTAGGACCATTTAAAACTAAGAGGAAAGGTACATTCTCTATTCTCCAAATTATCAAAACATATATTTCTATCAGAAAAACAAATAAAAATACATTCTTTAAATGCTCTATGTAAATATGAGGAGCTGTGAACACTAATTCTTCAAAATCTGATAAAAAATATGTTACAATTCATAAAGCTGGTAAGATAAAATTATGAGCATATTTTGACATACTAAAATACACAAAATATTTTAAAAAGAACAAAATATTTTCTCAAAGGTACTGGCATATTTTACTAAAAGCGGGTGCAATGTATCTAGTTAATTAGAAAGTTTCAAATACAAATCATAAAGGGAATATTTCTGAGGCTTCACAACAGTACATGTGTAGTTTCTTTTTTATTATTATATTTTAAGTTCTGGGATACATGTGCAGAATGTTCAGGTTTATTTCATAGGTATACACGTGCCATGTTGGTTTACTGAACCCATCAGCCCATCATCTACATTAGTTATTTCTCCTAATGCTATATGTAGTTTCTTTTCTCGAGTTCACTTTCTTTAAAAAAAGACATTGTGGTTAAAAAACAATCTTTGAAAATAATTTATTGATTGTAAAATTTATCCCTCCCATTTTCTAGTGTTAAATTAGTAGTATTTTGTCATTTTCCTAGGTTATAATCTGGATATTCTCATGCCTGGCAAGACACATTCTGATATGATCTCAATTATGCATAGCTCTTCTCTCAGTTAAAAATGCAACACATTTGACATTCCATCAGGCTAGAGTTTATGCTCTTGGAGAAGTTGGGTGTTCAAAGGGTGTGGCTGCAGAGATCCAGAGAGCTTGACTTTAAAACATTTTGATACTTAAAAACATTTTGTTTGATTATCAAGAACATTTTGATATTGATCTAAATATATTGAGAGACCTTTAAATTCATTTGATTTATAATAACATTTCTTATATTTCTTATTACTATCTTCTGCCTCTTTCTCACTTTCACCATCATCAATACCATGAATCAACTTAGTTCTCTGTGCCAGTCACTGGTTGATGTTTTATGCAAATCAGCTCAGTTAATCTTCACAATCAGAGGATGAGGCAAGTGTTTTTCTGGGGAGGAGGTTAGATCTCAGAGACCTTCACAAGCTGACCTGGGTTCACATTTTAGCTGACAAACAGTTTTTGAGAGCTTCAGCCTAGTTCAGTCTATAGCCCACTTTCTTAATCTCTACTCTTTCAATGAAGAGAATAGAGAGGAAAATCAACATTGAGGAGCAGTGGCAATGTAGGAAAGTAAGATATCTGAGCCTGACAGTCATTCTGTTTTGGAAAAGTGGTGATAGAGGTGGTCAGAAGATAGAAAGCTATGGCCACACAGAATATCATGGGGATTTAGGACAGTATTTACTGTGATCTCCCTAAGAATGTACCCTCCTGGAGGAATTAAAATGACAAAAGAGTTGGGTAGAAAAATCCAAGTAATACTCTCCATAGAAAAGAGTACAGGCAGAATGCAGGCTGTGCTTAACTTACTGTATATATTATTACCAAACCTGCTACTTGAAAGGAGGGCATCCTGGGCTGTAAATATTAACACGTGATAGCTAGGAAAATGTGTCTGCATGTACTATATCACTACTTAATGCTATATGCTTCTTCCTTCTCTAGAAATAACATGGTTAATCATTTGTACAATGCTCTTATTAGTAAGAGGAATCGAGCAAGCGCGGAGATGGTGGACTTTTCTATTCGGAGCTATTTCAACATTACCATCTGGAATCCTACTATTTTGGCTTTTGCTCTATTTCTGCTACATTGTGCCCAGGCCTTGAGAATGCTTAAATTCCTTCAGCAGGTTGGAGCCAATTCCAGCATTAATTTAGGGCTACAGCACATTCCCACTGGCTTCACATTCTCCCCTTTTTAACAATTTCCCCATATCTTATTGAGAGTAAGGCAATCTTGCTTCGAAAAAGAAGGGGAAATTCATTTCTGAAACCCCGAGGGTAATTGCTGGTTGTAAAGTAACTGTGGCTTGCTTCTTTCTCCACAGCAAGAAAGACTGGCCAAATTTGCAGTGCGGAGGTCCAGGAAAGAGCCTGGATAGTGAGCAGGTTGTTTGCTGCCGACCCTAAAGATGCAGGAATCCAGCCATGACCATGCAGTTTTGGCCACACAAATACCTTTGTTCAGAGAGGTTTTCAGCTGAGGTGACATTTCTGCAAACAAAGTAGACTTGGCTTCCCTGGAAAGTGATGGAACCATTGAAAAGCCAGAAAAATAAAGAGTTTTAATGGAGTAAAAATTACAAATGCCACATGGCATATGGGATACATTGTGAAGAAGTAATCATGAGACTAGAAGCCATAGATTTAATAAGACTCGATTCTCACCACATGTACAAACAGAATTAGGAATAAATCGCATACAATGGTATGGAGAAAGTAGAACGATCATTTATCTTTTATTACTATTCTTTATCTGTTTATTTTTATAAATGGACAATGAATAGTGTTCTGTGCATTTACTTTAACTCTTATGAACAAATGCATGCAGTAAAATAAGGGTAATGCTTGAATAATGATTTTAAAATTTTCTTTCTCCTTTTAGACAGTTCATTGGTCATATGATACCATAGTTAGAAATTTTGCTTCATCGTCAAGAAAGTGAATGCTTTCATACCTCAATGTAATTTTGAATCTCTCTTTGTGGTATGGAAGCTGAAGACAACTAGCAACATTTGGAAACTGGGGCTTTCTCTGTGAATTTAATTTTATTTTATATTTCATTCAGCATGATGCATATATAGACTGATTTATTTAACTTTCAACTTCTCAAACATTTTGTCTATATTCTTGTGGCTGGTTTCTTAAATTATGAGTAGAGGCTTAAATATAATACTGCCTGAGCTTCTTTTCAATGAAAAAAGTGATGGTGAGGTGTTTCATATTAAGTCCCAAATTATGAACAAATATCAGTTTTAGAATCTGAATTTACTGGCGTTATTTTCAATTTTCCACTTACACAAAAGAAAATGAAATTTAACATAAAACCAATTACTTAAAAATACTTTTTAACACCCCATCATCAGTGCTTCATGTAGAAAAAACTAATGCAGTTTGAAATTAAATTATTTTACTCACCACTGGTGGCAATTATAATAAAGATTGAAATAATAATTTTTGTTATTGCTAGTGTTCATAATTTCTTCATTCTTTTTTTCCAGCTCTGGATCATAGTATTTCAGGATTTGGGACATATTTTGTTTAATTTAGCAAATAATATTTGATTAGTGAAATAATGTTTGACATATGAAAGTATGTATTTTGTATTTTTACATTGTGAACAATTAATGAACTATATACACAATCTTCATTTAAGCTACCTAAATATTAATACCTACTCCAATCACATGACCCTGACTGTTTTCTAGCACTAACCACTATCCTGAATATATGTTTATAATTTTCTTGCTATTTTCTACATTACAATTTTAACTCACGTACATGCAGTCTTAAGCAAAATATGCTTAATTGCCCACATTTTTAAAGTTCTTAAAGTGGTATCATACTGTTGGTAGCCTTCAGTTGTTGGTTTGATTTTGCCCAATACTGTTTCATGATCCAAATGTTTGTTGCATGTGGTGATAGTTTGTTATTTTCACTGCTGTATAGTGTTGCACTGGGTGGGTATACAATTTATTTATGGATCCTCCTGATGATTACCATCTGTGTTGTTTTCAGATTTTGTTTTGTTTTATTTTAGTTATTACAAACAACAGTATTGTACATTGTATTTTACATGTCTCATAGTTCTTATGTGCAAGAGAGTTGTCTAGGGAAATGTCTTTGAAGCTTTTTGATAGTGACCCACAACTAGAAAAACTTCATACTGTGACCAGAAAAATAATGTGAAGAACTGTGCAGGTGTAGCATATTGTCCTATTTGCAAGCTAATTACCCAGCCTGTTATTATTTCATAGATCCCGGTAGAAGACACAAAACTTCCACGTCAGAGACAAAGGATTTCATTACTCATGGCAAAAGCAGGAATCAGAGCTTCACATTTGCTGGTGTCAATTTCTCATACCCTCAAATCCCAGAAGCATGACACAAAAGAGTCCATGATGGATGTCTGAATACACAGTGGGCTGTGTTAGAAGAGAGTAACACTGAGCTCAGGTGATCTCTGCTTCTGTAGTAAGCTTGCACTTTGTCTCGGGGGAGACATTCCCTCATCACTCAAGACTGTTCCCTGCAAACACAACCTTGAATAATGGCCCAGAAGAGTGGTGAGAGTTCTAAATTCCTGGCACTTCCAGCAAGTATGCTCAGGAACACCAGGGCCCAAAGTGGATTGCCTCTTCCTAAAAATATGTTTATGACTGAAGCCCTTTCCTTTAAAATGTTAGGTGAATATGGATCTTTTATTTGCTGTCCTATTTCATTTTCAATAATTCTGAGTATGACTCACCAAAATGATTTCACAAAATAATCTGTAGTAACCTTCAATTTAAACAACAAACAAATAAAAAAAATTGCTATGTTAAGTATATATTTGAGAGTGTAATTGCAGAATTACATTCTTCCTTAACATACAATGTGAATGGTTTTATAAAGTGATTTGTCAGTTATTTATCATTTGCTTTTCACAAGCGGTGTATGAATATTCCCCTTGCCATATGTCTCCACCACCACTTGGTTTTGTCAGACATTTATTGTTTGATAATCAAATACTGCATAATTATATCTGATTTGGTTGTAATTTGCATTTTACTTATTATTAATGAGGTTTAGCATTGCCATATGTGTATAAGTCATTTGTTTTTCATTGTCTGTTAAATGTCTGCATATGACTTTGGCCCGTTTTAAAATTGAGATATTTCTTTCTTTTAGATTGATACATGAATTATTTACATTTGTGAGTTATGAATATTGTCAATAACGTCTCACTGTAGATCAATTTTTCACTGAATTTCTGGTATCATTTTATAAATTAAATTTATTTTAATGTTTCAAGTATTCTATTTTAAACTGATATTTTATGGTATTTGTCATGTATAAGAACTCATTCTAGATCATTAGTCATAAAGATATTCATCTAAATTTTCTTCAAAACTGTTAAATGTCTTTAACATTTAAGTCCTAAATACATCTGAACTGGTCCAATAATCCAAATGAATCAAATATCTAAGAAAAACTGTAACAAAGGAAGAGACAAATCTATAGAGAGTACATTATAAAACATTCTTGAGGGAGAATCAATATGAACCTAAATTAATAGAAAACTATTTATGGAGGGAAAGACAGTATGTAAAGAAGCAAATTATCTTCAATTCATCTGTAAATTTACTGCAATCTCAATAAAAAGTCAAGTAGAAGCTTTTTTGTTGAAATTGATAAGCCAATAATAAATTGTAAATATTCAAAGATCTAATGATAGCTAATGCAATATTGAAGATAAACTGAAATTTTGGAGAATCAAGACTTATTTGAGGATTGCAGTAATGAAGACAGTGATTAATTGTGCAAGAATAGACAAACCATCCAAGAAAACAAAATAGAGAGCTGAAAAGCAGACCCAGGCTTATATTGATCAGTGATATAGGTGGCATAACAGGAGGGTGACAAAAAGACAGTTATTTCCATAAATTGTACTTCATCAATTGTATATCTGAGAGAGAGAGAAAGAGAGAGAAATTGTTTTTATTCATAGTATAATATATAATTGCTTCTATTCATAGAGAGAAAGACAGAGAGATAACTGTTTCTATTCATAGTATAAGCATCTTAATTTCAGGTGGTTTTTAGATTTTTATGTGAAAGTTAAAAATAGTAAATCCTAAGAGAGGATAATATAGAGGACGTTTTCACCACATGGGGTATATAAAGATTAATAAAACTGGACACAAAGTCTCTGATTATAAAAAAAATTGACAAATATTTTGACTGTAAGAGATTATATTAATAAATACACAATACAATTTTAAGAGAAATGAAATGAGAAATGAAAAGAGCAGCAGTAGAGTGGGATGTCAAAGTACATATGACTGACAAAAAATTACAAAATCAAGACTAAAATGGCATACCACTAGAGCAGCTATAAATACAAAGAGTAAAAATGCTCTTCTGTTTGGAGGACGTGAAGCATGTTCTTGGGCACTGATTACGTGAGTAGGTAGCTTTTCCTGATTATATCCTCTGCAGAGTTTTCATAGTGTATCATGTCTAGATCACAACTGGAAAGATCTATGGCAAATTCATCATCTGTCAATGAGCGCAACCAATATTTGTTACAATTTTACCATGTTTAATTGTGAAAGAGTTCTTAGAGCATCAAAACACATATCCAGAAATACTATCCTCAAGTACCAGGCAATATTTATTTTTTTTCAGTTACTTTTCTGCCCTATATTTATCACTAAGCTCATATGAACTTTTAATTTTTTAAAAAAACCTTTAGGTGTCTGTTTTACTCATTCCAGAGAGAAGGAACTTATTGGCACATGACTGATTTATTAAATACACTCAATAAAAGTTGGCATTTTTACAGTCAGCAAGCTCAATAAAGTTCACAAATAAATCTTCTATAGTTCTCATATTTACATATTTCTCATATTACTCTTTACCTAGGTATCTATCAACTTTGAAAGATCCAAAAATAGAACATGAGGGCCATAATTGTCTGGAAATGAGGAGAGGGTATATTTCTTTGTGAGAATTTTTTGTGTAAATGAGTAAGTTAAGATGATATTATAAAACCAATTATTATAAAATTCCTGAGGATATCCTCTATAGCATGTACTTTGGCATTGATTATCTATATGAGTAGGTAGCTTTTCCTGATTACATCCTTTATAAAGTTTTCATAGCATATCATAGCTATGAAAATATTTTTCAGAAAAAGATAAACCACACAGGAATAAATGATAAAGTGAATGATAACTTTTCAGTTAAAAAAAGAACTAAATGTACAATGAAATTTGGGACTAAATAAATGGCACTTCTGCACAATTCAGATCTTTTTCCCCCTTATGCTGAGCCTACTTTGTTGTTTTGCATAACCTACAACATGTAGACATCTCAGTTAGAGACCTCTATCCCATACCCTTTTTCCCCAAAAGTTCTTTCCTTTCATCAGTGATGGCTGAGTCGATTCTTAGACTAGTTCCAATGTATTCCCTTGATGTAATCATCAGATCTGTCTCCCCTCAGCACCTTGTTTGGGGATGCTTCTCATTCTCTATGCCTAGGTACAATTTCAAATCCAGAGTTGGAGCTGTCATCTTCATAAATTCTCCTTAGATTATAGGAGTTCACAAAATCTTGTCATTTCTGTGTACTCTTCTCGGTCTTAAGAAATGTTTCTCCTGGAATAACCTGTGGTCACCCTCTGATAGGTATGTTCTGTTATTATGTTTTTGTGTAAATTTTGTCAAGCTAATGTAACTGTGATTTTATTTCACATGATCTATAGGGCCTTACACAAACCTGAACCTAATAAAGACATGTGGGACATAATCTCAAAATGATATCACTGAAACTCATTTCCAACCCAATTAAACTGTTCTCCTAGGGTTGGTTGACAGTCCAGAATTATTAGGCTTCTCAGTGGAGCCAGAACAATCTGTCCAGTGATACTTGATCCGATCAAGTGTTTTCATGGGTGGTTTGGAAACCATGTCTTGCTTTGCAGATGTTATTTATCACAAAGTTGCCCCTAGCCCTTTAATGTTGAGGATTTGATATTAGTGGAGTTGTGGAAGTGAAATTATTAGGGTGTCCTTAAAGTCCTTTTCCATAAATGAATGATTTATTGGAGCAATGAAAGAAAGGAATAAGTTTGCCTGCTCAATATAGCCCGTCATTTTTGATGAATGTGACTCACCTTTCTGTAAGAAGTTCAATTTAGCACTGGTACCAATTCTTGAATTTTATAGAGAAGGAAATTGTAAAATGTCTTAGAAATGTGGCCACGGAGAGAACAAACTGAGGTTGAATGATGCAAAATCAGAACTACACTGAATGCAACGTAATGCCAATGCTGTTCAATGCCAAGAGACTTACAGGATAAAATTTGGCTTTTTCCTTTTGAAATAATATTAGCTTGCTATTGAGTAAAATCAGGTAGCAACACTTCATAACTCCATTACCTACCTGTTTTGTATTCATTAAAGTGTGGCTTTCTTGGCCTGACTGTCAGTGGTATGCTGAGATGGCTTGCCACAGCTCCAGAGTGCATTGTATATATTTCTTCTTGACTTCACGTTAAGTGACATTATGTTGGTAGCTTGGAATTGGTCATGATGAAGCTATATATACCAGGAAAACTGGCACATGCTGCAAATGAAGGCTCCTGCTCTTCCAGAGATCTAACTGTTAAGTATTTATCAGCATACTACTAACCTGTGTTCAAAGGTTGAACTGCAGAAGCCTCTCAAATTTCCACCAAAGTGACAATAATAACTTTGTCAGCATAATGCTGTGTTCATCTAATAAATACAAAATTCCTTCACATTCACAACTTCGGTTGGCTATTACTAATTATTAAATAAAATAAAATACTCAAAGAAAAAAATGGATATATACAAATTCCCAGGTAACATAAAACATAGTTAATTAGAGCTCAACTTTTACAGAGTAAAATTACCATCAACCGTAGAAGACATGAACCATGGAAAAAGCACAGGGAATCTGGACTTAATTTGAATTCCATTTCTTATGCTTATTATGGGAGTCATCTTGGAGAAATTGTTTAATTTCTTTGAGCTTCTTATGGCACATCAGCAAATTTGGAACTGATAATGTGTGTATTACAGAATTGCTGTAAGTCATTTAAGTATGAGATCACATAGTGTCCAAAATATAGCAAATACACACAAATACACAAACACACACACACCACTCCCCCCAAAGAAAATTCCTAAATCCATTGAGAAAAGGGTCAGAATAGTCTCCACCCCTTTGTCGTTCTGCTGTTTTTAGGGTGTTAGTTCTAGAAATCGTGTCTCTGCCCAATTTGCTGGAATCGTGTTGGAAAAATTACTCCTTTCCTGGAATCTCAGCAGTGACCTTAAGTAGCTCAAGTAGTTGCGTGAGCCTGAGACTGTCACTTAACTGATACAAGCCTTAGTCACCTCATTAGCAAAATAAGAATATTGAAACTTACAAACATTTTATTAGAATTACAAGAAACAATGCATTTAAAGTAATTGTCACAGAGATGTTAGCTAGTAGTTTCTTAGTGATAATTTATGTCTTTGTTAAAATTATTATTATTATTGTTATTTTTACCAGTACCACTTCCATTGTCTTTAATTTGTCATATGTCTTGGGCGTATACTTCTCTCAAAAAATACAAATGGAAGACAATATAATGATGAATCCCTCCTTTCACAAAGGGTGTTAAGCTAAGAAATCCAGGTCACTTATCCAAGGAGACCAACCTAGCATTGACACTGACTAGAATCTATGTCACCAGATGGTTAGGTGATATTGGGACATCCAGCACCCCTAACTTTATCTTTCATTTCTACATAAGGTGCATAAAACATACACTAGATATCCCCTCACTGGGGACAAAATTATGAATATTATAAAAATGGGACGTGACTTTGCTTGAGGTTCCTGGGGAAAAAGCAGAGCATCCTGGGAACGGAAGTAGAGGTGATACTTGGCCTGTCCTCATGCTTGTCCTTTAACCCAGGAGTTTCCTGAGAGGCTGAGGCAGGTAACAAAAGCATTATGAAAATGGTATGCACTTAAGGCTTGTGTTTTAAGATTCGGATGCTGAAATTTTAACCTAATTTATAGCTAATGTATTAGGAGGCCTTCAGGAAGTAACTAGGTCATGAGAGTGAAGCCCTCATGAATGGGATTAATGACCTTATAAAAGGGACCCCAGAGAGTTCTCTTACCATCTTCCTATCATGTCAGGATACAAAGAGAAAGCAGCCACCTGCCACCCAGAAGATGGCCCTCACTGGAACCCGCTAGCACCTTCATCTCAGACGTCCAGGCTCCAGAACTGTGAGAGGTAAATTTTAGTTATTTATAAGCCCCCCGGTCTATAGTAATTTGTTATAGCAGCCCAGACTGATTAAGGCAGGAAGGCCAATTTACAGTTTGAGGAATTAGATACAAAGAATATTTATTTGGGAGGAGAGAGCCCTAAAAACATTTTCTTCAGTAATCAACATATTCTAATCCCTAAATTGATCTCACCCTCACAACTGGTTATTGCATTTTCTTCTTGTGAAAAACAATAAATCCTAATCTCTCTTCTTTGCCACCTTTTCCACAGCTCCCAAACCCGTGTCGAAGCTTTCAACTTTCTTTCTTCCCAAGGGTTCCCCCAATTTTTTCCAATATGTGCCTAGATCATACCAGCTGCTTCCACTGTGTTATCTCCCGGTAGTTCTACCTCACAGAAATCGTTCCCTTCATTTTCAAAATGGGGATAGGTGGTTTAACTCACCCACAACCACCAGCTTTTAATGGCATAGGAGGAATTTTTATAAAGATAGATTCATTTAAAAGCACCTGCTTTTTCCACTTGAGTTCACTAGCCCCAAAGGCAGGGTTGGATAGAAATTAGGGGATCCAGGCAACAACTCTAAGTAATCCAGGTGACCCTCTAAAGGGTTGTAATTAAAGCTTCTCTATTCTGAAAACTCTTTATGAAATAAAGAAAAAATCGTAAGGTGTCCTGAGAGAGAAAAATTCAGACAAAAGAGGCTCTTGGGAAAGGCAGAGTCTGGCAGAAGTAGGATGGAGTATGAATGGAAAGAATATCGTTCCTAAAGAGAAAGAAAAAAAAAAAAAGAAAGACAGGTTTTGGGGAGATTTGAAGCATTACTCACTCTTTGCTGGTTAAAGAAGTTTATTTCTTATGTGACAGGTAAAGATTTATTTATTCTAAAGGAGAAAATGTGTGTTCTAATCTCCTATTCTTTACCTACAATTATTGTGTTGACTGATTCCCAAATCTTGAAGTTATGACAGAGGAGTGGAGAAGCCATAATGTAATAATACATACAAGCCTGGCTTAAGAAACAAAAATATAAAAAGCAGAAATTTCCTCTTTCTGGTTGTGTTTTGTGGGCCATGATTGTCTATGGGGATAATGCTAGCTCCAGTCTTCTTTCCAAATAAAGAAAGCAGGCTGCTTCATGGGTTTTGAGGTTTGTTTTTGTTTAAAACTGGTGATCGTGCCATATATATTCAGTTCTCATTCTCTCTCTCTCTCTCTTTTTTTTTTTTTAACTGAAGTCACTCCTTAAAGTGACTGCAATATATCTGGAAGACATTGATTATTTTAAATGTGTTCCCAGTTAATCTGCTTCCTCGTTTGCCCTGGTTTGCTCTGCAGACCACAGTTACAAGAAAAGAGCTTACCTACAAGGTTTCTGCATGGGAGAAATAAGTGGCTTGTTTTTTAAATGAATGTATTCTTGGTTCCTCTTATAATTTGCTCATCCTGATTTCTGACCTGAAGGGATTAGAATTAATGTTCTTATTATAACCAGTACAAAATGCATTTTATAAAATAAGTGTAGATTTTCATTGGAACCTGAATTAGGCAAGCCTTTTGGCTTAGCATTTTTAAAAGGAGGGAGAGTATAAAATAGTAGTTAATCCTGTGCACTCTGCAGGCAGATCTGGTTTTGAATCCTCTTCTAAGTACAACACTAAACAAGTCACATATCCTGTCTAAACCACAGACTTCTCATCTGGAAAATGGTGATAATATTAGCTCTCACAATCATTCACAGTAACTCCAAGTGTATATGAATGAAGCTATAAATTTTGAATGTGATTATGCATAAAAAGGACTTAGAAAAGTGCTTTGCAGAAAGGAAAGCTGAAGTAAATACTGTTTTTCTTGTCATTATTCTTCCTTATTTACATCTTTCTCTGCTTCCTTCTATTCTATCTCTTCCTATGTTTTGTAATTTGATATATCATATGTTCATCACCTCAATTATAGTACATTTTTCTGGTATGGAGGTTAGGAGATCATGAAGGATTTTATTTAAATTATATTTGCTATTGATCCTGCTATGATTAAACTAATGTTCTATGAATCAAACTTTAATCATTCAGCCCCATTCTACAGTCACTAAATTACCCTTAATTTTAGCAGCCATTGGCACTTGAACTTTTCTAAGGAAAGAAAATTTAGGTGAAGTTCTGTGGCTGTAAAATAAATCCTTCAGCTCTTAAAATCCACTCCTTGAAGAATAGGGGATACAACCTGGGCAGCTGCTTTTTTGCCAATGTGAAAATATTCTGAGGGATATCTGAATATGAGCAGGGTTTTGAAACCAACCCAAAAGTCCCATAGTTTTTTGAATAAACATAGTTGATCCTTCTAGTCTTATATTTGTTTTATCTGAGTTTCTTCCTCTGGAAAGGATCCCACAGACCTCTCAAAAAAAGTATCAAAGAACTGAAACTCACCAGATTATCCCATTCAGACAATGAGATGGGGGACACCTCATGCATTGTGATTGCTTCCTTTTCCCTCCCTAGCTCCTGTTTTCTCACATGTTGCTACATCTTCCCCCGCTATATAAACCCCTAGTTTTAGTGATCAGGGAGATGGATTTGACCCTGAGCTCCTATCTCCTTCTCTGCCACCGGATTAAAGCCTTCTTCCTTGGCAATATGCATCTCAGTGATCAGCTCTCTGTGTGTCAAGCAGCAGGACCTAGACAGAACCTCTGTTGTTTCAGTAACAGTTTGACAGACTATGACTGTGATGCCTGAAAGAAAACTAATATACCGTGTATGCATAACAGTAGAGTATCTTCTTTGATGAGAAGATAGTGTCATTTATTCTATATATTACTGGGAGAGAGAAACAGGTTTCATTCCAAGAGGATAGAATACAGGATAAGGAACAATATTCTGACTATGTAATATTACATTTTTTGTTCTCTCTGGGAGAATGTTAACAAGCAGAATCTTAAATTCTGTGATCTGTAGGTTACCCTTAGAGGAACCAAGACTGGCATATAAAATTAGCTTCTTCCTTGCATTTGTTTTCTCCAGTATACTTGTACGGGTTTTCTAGATAATTATTTTCCCTAAACTATGCTTTATATTAAGAGAGTAGTATGTTGTGCCTACTGAAAAAAAAATTTAGTTGTAAAATGTATCATATTAAATGCTTCAATTACTTAAAACTCTTGTTATGTAGGAAGGGATACTCTCTCTCCTTTGGTGCCGTGCAGAGCATAGTTCTGCTTGTGGCTTTCACAACCAGAAAAGATGTATACTTCTAGGTCTTTTATTTCATGAGCAGCTACCTTTTTGTCTCATTCATACATTAATACTTTCTAACACATTATGATATACAAGAATCAAAATGCAAATGTCATTTAACATGAGTGACTTAAATTTGAAATTATAATGTCTACCTTGTTCAGCCCACAGCAGTGGTCTTACGTATGGCTGACTCTTTTAGTAAGGACAAAGCAGTCTTTTTAAGAATTTTTTTTGGGCTGGGCACAGTGGCTCACGCCTGCAATCCCAGCACTTTGGGAGGCCGAGGCGGGTGGATCATGAGGTCGGGAGATCGAGACCATCCTGGCTAACACGGTGAAACCCCGTCTCTACTAAAAATACAAAAATTAGCAGGGCGTGGTGGCGGGTGCCTGTAGTCCCAGCTACTCAGGAGGCTGAGGCAGGAGAATGGCGTGAACTGAGAAGGCGGAGCTTGCAGTGAGCGGATATCGCACCACTGCACTCCAGCCTGGGCGACAGAGGGAGACTCAGTCTCAAAAAAAAAAAAAGAAATTTTTTTATTATACTTTAAGTTCTAGGGTACGTGTGCAGAACTTGCAGGTTTGTTTCATAGGTATACACATGCCATGGTGGTTTGCTGCACCCATCAACCCGTCACCTACATTAGGTATTTCTCCTAATGCTATCCCTCCCCTATACCCCCCACCCCACAACAGGCCCCAGGGTGTGATGTTCCCCTCCTTGTGTCCAGGTATTCTCTTTGTTCAACTCCCACTTATGAGTGAGAACATGCAGTGTTTGGTTTTCTGTTCTTGTGTCAATTTGCTGAGAATGATGGTTTCCAGCTTCATGCACTTCTTTACCAGGCGAAGCTGACATGTATGGCCGTGTCATGACTGAATGAGGGAATTTGTTTCTTCACCTCTGTAAACCTCATGCTTCCATTGTCAAGAAACTTGCAACTCAGAAATCACCACACCTGTTACATCTCATGAAAATATTTTTATCAATAAAAATAAAACAAAAAATTAGGTGGGATTCCTTATATGCTTGTGGTAAACCCAGTTTCCCACAAAGAGTCTAAGCACTGAAGATAAAGCTTGTTAAATCTTCATTTTATACCCAGTCCATACAATTTCTAAAGCCCATCTGTGGAATTTCTATGAGTAAGAGCTCCTGATGCAGAGAAAATCAATGACAAACTATCAAGGCAATGAACATTTTCAGGGAAAATATCTAAACAAGCAGGGCTTGCTATATTGGACAAGGTATCCTGGCAAGTCCCGGTAGTATTAATAAATATGTAACAACAATTCCAACAGCACATGTTCTGTGAAAAGGTTGCACATGCAAAGGAACCCCCAAATGCAGAGGACGCAGAGAAACCAAAGAAGAAGGCAGACAAATCCACTTTGTTTGTAATGGTTGATTTATTGGGGGAACTTAAAGATAGAGGTGTGATCTTGAGTGGCCACAATACAGGTAGGTCTCCACACTGTTACTCTCCTGACTCAAGGCTTATATACCACAGGGAAAGGGTATATGGGCCCTAGCAAGACAGCTAAAGGCAACCCTCCAGACAGGCAAGAATGCTGTGTGTGTCACAGCCTACAATGTGCGCAATAGAATCAAGGTTGCTTTTTTCTTACGCTAAGAACATTAAATAAAACAGAAATCAGGAGGTATTCACAGGATTGGAGCTAATCAGAAGTCAAAATGACAGATGAGCATCCAGGATGAGTCACTTTTTTCTCTACAGCAAATATCAAAAGGAGGCACATGGATTTTAAATGTTCTATACTTGTGTGTTGTCTAGAAAGAGGAGAATTTTTGAAATTACATTACACTTGTTAAGTCAAGAATTTGGCTAGCAATCTCAAGAGGAAGCCCTAAAATACAGTAAAGTAATACTGTCAAATTATGAGAGGAGAAGATAATGTTTTAAAGTAAAAAATAAATCATTTAAAAGGCACAAAGAAAGAAAAGAAACAGGAGGAATATGAGAGCAAATAGTAAGACTCACATTTACATAATAGTAATTTTATTAATATAAAAATTAAATAATGCAATTAAGGATAATATGGTTAGCCTAGTGAAAAAAATGAATCATGGGTCTTTTCCAAAAGCATATATAATATAGAAGGATAGAAAAAGACTGAAAATAAAGAAGTTAAAGATATATAACATGTAAACCTAATAAAAGGTTAAAATATTATTAGCTTCATATTAAAAATGTACCTTTTAATGCAATAATGGAGAGCTCAAAATGATTAAATATTTAACCAGGAAGATAAAATTATTTCTTTTTTTTTTTGAGATGAGTCTCGCTCTGTTGCCCAGGCTGGAGTGCAGTGGTGCGATCTCAGCTCACTGCAAACTCTGCCTCCCAGGTTCACGCCATTCTCCTGCGTTATCCATTTTTACACTTGTTACCAAGTTCAAATATCTGCCTTATTATTGGTAATTAACATAAGTATTATGAATGAGATGATAACATCTATCTCCTATGTTTGTTGTGAGGATTAAATTAGTCCCTTTATACAGTGTTCCTTCATGTGTGTTGCCTTGACCACACACACATATCAAAACTGTAGAATTGTAAATTTGAACCCAGACCTACTGAAATAGAATTTCAGGTTAAGGTGGTCCCTGACCAGTGAAAATTTTGATAAATTGTACAGATTATTTTTAGGCACATTGAAGTTAACTTTAATTTGGAGAGTTCATCAGTTCAACTGATTTTATACAAAATATATATTAAACATCTGGTATGCACAACAAGAAAGTTTGATAGATATGAAGTTTACAAAAGTAAGGATAACTCTCAGCCTTCTAAGAAATTACAATATAACTAGAGACATGAGAAAAAGAAATTAATATTTAAAACAACATGGAATAAATAGTAGAAAAGGTATATCTTTTCAAGTTGGATATAATAACAGTAATTATTGTAAGGATTAAAATGAAACAAATTGTCTTCCAGGTTAACTTTGCTAAGAAAGGCATCCAAAAAAGGGCAAGCTTTGAATGGAGTTTTTGTCTTCAGTATTTAAAATAGTGCTATATTAAAACTAATTATAAATATTTTGATGCAAATTTTCATAGCTTGTGTATTAATTTCATTTGGACTACATTTCTTTTAGGCTTAACTCAATCAAATTAGATTATGCCTATGGGAGTAAAGATTGAATGTACTCTAATATTCTTATCAAACATTCATTTTAATATCCATAAAAAGTGGTCAATCCTCTGAAATTTACTGACTCATTCACCCCAATGGGAAGCTATGACAATTTGAGAAAAGTTATTTGCTTAACAGATTTTCTCCCGGAGATTGTTTTGGTTGGTAACACATGCATTTGAAAGTGAGGGCATTATTCAGAATTCTAAGAAAAAACAAGCAGGGGAAATAGCAAAAAGTGTTCTGATATCTAAGAGGACAAAATTAATTTTTGTATATATTTTAATTTAGATTAACTTCATAGCCATCCACAATGCTGCTATTTCTCATCTTTCTTCAAATCACTCAAGTGATTGCATTGTTTTTGCATAAGTTTTGCATTACATTTAATTTTGTAATCTCAGTAGAAGCAACATATCATTTTATTATGCACTTCTCTACTTCCCCCAAAGTCTCCACAGAGATCAAGTCATATAATCGTAACAAAAACTAATCAGCTTCCACTTGTGAGAAAGAAAATATGTCTGGGAAAGTAAATAGAAGCAGTGAATCAGGGCACAATTGAGATGGAAAACAGAGTATGAGGTTACTAAATAATCCAAAAAGAGGTGGGATTGGAGACACAAAGAATTAAGCTTTCCCATTTTCTGTGATCACATTCTTCACTGTCTTGGTACTTGGAATATATTCTGCTTGTTAATGAGAGTGGGAAGAGTAAATTATTCTTCCTAATGAAAATTTAAAATGAAAGTAATCATCATTCTGGATCCCCATTTTGCCCTTGGTAATAAATGCATGGGAAGAGAAAAGAAGGATCTTGTATTTGTCTACAGCTACTGTATTTTTTTTCTTTCCAATTCTTCCTTTTAAAAAACCTCTGTTAAAATAATAATGGTCTTTTTACAGCTATTTAGTATGTTCACAGAAGTTTTTGAATTATATTAAATGTTGTTAAAGCAATTTAACACCTTTATTTTGAAAACAAAATTTGAGAGGGTGTATTACTGCCATTTTAAATAGTTTTAATTAAAGACATTATTTAAAGCTTATTGCCATTTTTCTTAAATCATGCTAATATATGGGCTTGTAATATTACCCGCTTTTATTGCATCATGATAATAAAATTGACTAATCATAATTAACTAATGTAATTGTCAATTTTTCCCTTAAAGAACTTACTTTTCATCAAACGAGAAATAATGTTTGTTTTCAAATTATTCTATATATTATTTTTCTTTCTACTCCTTTTTTTCCTTCCTCAATTCAAACAGCAGAGCCAAATTATAAATTGGCATGGTACAAAAAAATTACAAAATAACTCTTGAAGGACAAACATCATCTGTTCATTCATTAAGAGTTGTTGGCTATATTATATCAAGATGCATAGGGCACTTTGTCACTTTGCTGTCTAGTTAGCCATCAAGACAGATAAAACAATTCCATTCTGTAATTCCAGATTTTATTTTCTAACCATTCGCTAAATAAAGAACAATAAGCATGAAAGTGAATGGCTTAGTGTCCCCCATTATTTTCTCTGGAAGGGAATGTAGCAAAACATTGTAGATAATTTTTCTCTTGTGTCAAGAGAATTAAGTTTGAATTTATTTCTGCTAGTTAACCAAATGAACATCTCAAGTCATTCATTTATTTTCCGATATTTAAAATGGAAATAACAGCCTCTGATCTCAAAAGATGAATGTAGAATATAATTGCACAGTTCACATCATCTGTGATATACTATTTCTAAATAAAGGATTGTTACCATTTAAGTGTAGATCACAACAATCGGTTTTCTTTTAAGAGAGGAATGAATTTAAATTAGATTGGCCATCTTGCTGGACAATTTGAAGATATATACTGATAACTCTTTCAAAATTCTAAAATTTTTTAAAGCCATGCAAAAATTAACTTAAAAAAAGAGAAATATAGACCAATCACATTTGTGAATATTGATGTAATGACTTAAATAGTATAGTATGTCATAAAACATAGGAGCATAGTCAAGTAGAGTACTAAGCAAAACACGACCAAAGAAAGATTATGCCAAAAATAACATAGTGGCTCATTATTAAGAAATTTATTAATGCAATCACATTGATAGAACTTATAAAAAATCATATGATTATTACTTCATAGGTCCAGTATGGATGCACATAAGCACCATACAGAAAACAACATAAAGATTAATTTAGATTAAAACACTCAGTAAAACAGAATTTACTAGATATACCATTAGCATAATTATACACACAGGCACACACATAAACAAACACATCTACATGAGTTCAAGGAACAGAAGCTTATTCAGTGGGAAACACAAGAAGCTTCTCTACAAAATCAGCAAAGTATGACTGTTCAACATCTCCAGTAACATCTAACCATTTATAGAAATTATAGAATATTAATTAAAGCAATTAAACAATTTAAACAGATTAAAATTGTAAAAATAGAAAGTGTAAAACTACAAGCGTATAATTATACATTTGGAAATTCCAATAGAATTAATTAATAAAAAAACTATTGCAAATACTATTTACTGAAGTAAAAGGCAGAGTAATGCTGGAGCTGGCTTGTACTAGTTTGTAAGAGTATATTGTTAAAAGTTCAGGAATTTTGTGAACCACTGGATGAAATATTGAATATTTGAAATTGTCTACAGTGGGAGTATCTATTACACAGAAATTAGCAAATAATACAACTAAGCACACCATTGAAAACAGGTAATGAAATCAACATAGAAAAATAAAAATAAGTTATATGTATTAACAAAAGCTAGAATGAACCTATAGCAGAAGGAGGATCACTTTTATTACAGTAAATTAAATAACAAGAAAATCACTAAAATATAGAGCTATACGCTAAACAGAATTTCCTAAAAACCCTGAGTTGGAGATTCTCAGAATATGGCAGAGTAGAAGGCACCACAAATCTGTCTCTATGCTTATACTATTACACAAGTAGAATCTGTCTGATATAACCATTTTAGAATTTCTGAGTTTATTTCAGGCTTGTAATTTTCTAAAGAAGACTTGGATTATAAAGTGAGGTTAATTTCAGCTCTTAGCACTCACCCTGTACACATGTTTCTGGAAATTCTGCACAAATTTTGTTGTGGGGCAAGACAGGTATATTAAATCCTTTTCACCAAGTATTGGGGATTTATGCTCTGATTTTTTATTGCTGCTTTTGAATACTGAGGTGAAGACAGATAAGTTGGGAGTCATTGAGGTTGTACTGCTCCTTTTGTTGCAAGCTGCTCCAATTTCAGCTCAAGGGACTTCCCAGAGGTTTTAAAGGGATAGGACCCCCATTTTTGCTTTTTAAATTTTTTCCCTTTTTCTCATTTTTGGGAGTCAGACATTAAAGATTAGAAAATTCAATAACAACTACATATATGGGTAAAATTAGAGAATAACCACACATACCTAGGTAAAAGCAAAAGCTTACAGAATATTTGAAAAAACAATTAATTTTACATCAGGCTAATCCTTGGCAGACAGATAAGCTGCAACCATCCCCCATCCTAAAATAATAACATAAAAACAGAAAACTTTGGTGACGGATAACAATATGATTTCCACAGTTACAACAGCTTCAAATGTCCAGTTTATAAAAAAGACTCACAAGGCATACAAAGAATCAAGAAAGTTTGGAACATTTAAAGGAAAAAAAATAAAAAGAGATAATTTCTAAATGATGGATTAGATGAAAAGCCTACTAGACAAAGCATTTAAAACAACTCCTCAAAGTACAAATGGAAAATGTGGAGAAAGTCAAGAAAATGAGGTATGAACAAAATGGAAATATTAATAAAGAGGTAGAAAAACTTACAAAAATCAATATTAAAAGATAAAATATCTGAAATAAGAAATTTCTTGAGGGATTCAAAGATAAATTTGAGTAGACAGAAGAAAACATCAGTTAGCTTGAAGATAGGACAATAGGCAATATCAAATTGAACTAACAGAAAGAAAAGGTATTATTTAAAAATGATCAGAGCCTAAGGGAGTTGTAAGCTACCATCACATGACCAACATATGTATTATGAGAGTCTCAGAAGACGAAAGGAGAGATACAGGAACAGCGATAATATTTAAAGAAACAATAGATGAAAAGTTTGCTAATTTGATGAAAGACATGAATATAGACATGCAAGAACATCAAAGAACTCCAAGCAGAAAGAACTAAAAAAAGATTCACACCAAGACATATTATAATCAAATTGTTTAAGCCAAAAACAGAGAGGCTCAAAAGCATCAAGGAGGAACCAATTTGTCACACACAAGTGATCTTTAATAAGATGATCTGCAGATTTCTTATCAGAAACTTTGATGATGACAAGGCACTGAGCCAATATACACAAACTGTTAAAGAAAAGCAACAAAAATCAAGAATCTTATATCTGCCTAATTTGTCCTTCAAAAGTATGAAAGAAATTAAGATACTCTCAGATTAACAAAAGGTGGCAGAGTTCATTATCACTAGACCAGCTCTGCCACCAATAACGGAAGCAGTGTGCAAGGTGAAATAAAAGATGCTAGATAATAATTGGAAACCATATAAAGATATACATGTCTCAATAAAGGTAAATACATGGAAAATTATAAAACAGTATTATTCCAACAATAGCTTATAACTTGATTTTTAAGTTAATTTTTGTTTTCCACATTAAGAGGATAATGCACTTAAAATAATTATTAGTTTATGTTTTGGGAGACATAATGTATAAGGATGTAACTTTCTGACATCAACAACTGACAGGAGTGGAGATAAAACTGATAAAAAAGTAAAGTTTCTATATTCTATTGAATTTAAGCTCATACAAATTAATATTAAGGATTATAGCTTTAGATTATTACATGTATTAATATTGTAACCACAAATAAAATATTTATAGAATGTAGATAAGAAAATAAAAATGAAACATACTTTTCAAAATCAAAACATAACAAAAAAATCAACTAAACACACAGGATGGTGGTAATGCAAGAACTGAGGAACAAAAAATATCAAAGTGAAGGAAGTAAGTTAGTCTTTATCTGCAATTACTTTAATTGTAAATGAATTATACTTCCCAATTAAAAGATATAGATTAGTAAAATGGATAAAAATAAACGATCTAAACTTATGTTTTCTACAGGAGACTCAATTTAGCTGCTAGGAAACAAATAAGTTGAAAATGAAAAGATATTCCACACAAATTTTAACGAAAATAGAACAAGGGTGGCAATACAAATGTAAACAAAATATACATAAATCAAAAAGTTTATGAGACAAAGAAAGATATTATAATTAATAAAATAAAAATATTATAATTAATAAAACATTTAATAAAGAAGATAACAATGATAAACATTTGTGTACCTTATAACAGACCATCAAAATTTGTAAAGAAACAACTGACAGAATTGAAAGAAGAAATAAATAATTCTACAATAATATTTGGAGACTTCAGTACTCCACATTCAATAATGGATAGAGAAAATGGACAGAAGATAAGGAAGAAAATAGAGGACTTGAGCAACACAATAAACCAACTGGGTGTAACAGACATATAGACAACATTACTTCACAGCAATGACATGCACTTAGGTTATTTTCTAAAACTGATGACATATTAGGCCAAAAATTAAGTCTCAAAGGTTTCAAAAGATAAATATTCTACAAAGTGTATGTCCCAAATAATGGAGTGAAAATAAAAGTAAAACTGAAAAAATCACAAATTTGTAGGAATTAAAAAGAATACTCTTAAACAACAAATTGATGAAAGAAGAAATCAAAAAGGAAATTAGAAAATACTTAGAGACAGATTTAAACAAAAATACAACATACCAAATCTATGGAACACAGTGCTAAGAAAATAATTTATAGCTATAAATGCTGATACTTTTTAAAAAATCTCAAATCACCAATCTAATTTTACAACTTAAGAAACTAGGGGAAAAAAAAGAACAAACTAAAACCAAAGACTGCAGAAAGAAGAAAATAAATATCTCTTATTAAGAGCAGGGATGAACACAGTAGGCAATAGAAAAACAATTATGTGTGTTTACCCATTGTTTTCCATTTCTTGGAAATATACAATTTGGTTACAAAGTGGATGCTATTACAATTATAAAGTGTAGGTAAGAAAACCCTTATAAAGAAGAGGAAATTGGAGTTTAACTGCACTAAACATTAAAGTATAATATGTAGTCTCTTTAGTTAAAACAGAATAATATTGGTGTCTGAATAAGCAAACATAACAAAAAGGAAAACTAGAACAAATATTATAGGATGTTTTATATATAATAAAGGCATGATCTAAATTCAGTGAGAAAATATAAATACTTAATAGTTGGTGTTGTGATAACTAGATAGCCTCTTGGAAAATAATAGAACAGGGTTGATTCCTCACAACAACAGAAATACCAAATATCAAATATTTAAGCCAAAAAATAAAATCATAAGAACAATAATATAAAAATACAGCTGAATCCTTTTAAATCCTGGGAGTTAGGAAAACTTAACTAAGTTGAAAATCCAGAAACAATAAGGAAAACAAAGAACAAATTGATTATTTAAAAAACACTTTTCCAAAATAGACCAAGGTTTAAACATAGGAGCTAAAACTATCAGACTCTTAGAAGAAAACATAGTGGGGAAATTTCATGACATAGAGTTTGGCAATGATTTCTTGAATATAACCTCAGCAGCACAGACAAGAAAAGGGAAATGGAATGGACTCCATCAAAATTAAATATTTACTGTCAAAGGACAAATCAAGACAACTTATGTAATGGGAGAAAATATTTGTAAAGTATGTTTAATATGGGGTTTATATCCAGTATACATAAAGAACTCCTACAATTCAACAACAAACAATTAAAAACTTTAAATATGGGAAAATACTTGAATGCACATTTCTCCAAAGATATACAAATTGCTAAGGAGCACATGAAAAGATGTTCAACACCACTAATCATTATAGAAATGAAAATGAAAACCATAATAAGCCATTTAAACCCATTAAGATGATCATTATTAAACATACACACACACAACACACTCATATAAAGTGAGTTAGAAATAGACAATAAAATAATGGAAAGCACATTAGAGGAAGGCAGAAGGAAAAAAAGATGCCAACCTTTTATCTTGTTTTATTTTTGAGTAGAAGGAGATAAAACATTACTTGATCATGTTTTACAAAGAAATGGAAGAGAACTTTAAGATCCCGAGGAAGAGAGAAGAATAAAAGATAAATCTACTTTCAAAGGAAGTGAGTCAAATGAGATGAATGCTGGCAGGTTAAATTTATCCTGAACAGTGAGAAGTATATTTTTTCCTCACAAGCAGGAGGGAAAGAGGTGAAATGGTACACACATGGATAAGATGGAATAAATGAGGAGATTAGGAAAATTTAATGTTGATGCACATTATGAAAATAACTGACTCTAAACTAAAATATTGCATTAATGGTTCACAATTCTGATTCTATATTTTGAATTCTTTGTTTTTTATTTTCTTTAATTCGGCTCTTTCCCTGTGTTGGTTCTCAAGAGATGTAGTTTCTAAATGATTATAAGCAAAATTTGGAACTCTTGCCTTCTTTGTGTATGTTTAAGCTATGAATCAGTTGAGTTGACAAAAGTAGGATGTCTAACTATCCCCAGGAGATTTTGATAAATAAGAGCATGATTATTAGTTTACCATATCCAAATGTGCTAGATTTCAGATTCTCATTCTGAAAAAAGACATAAATTAATTTACCTTGTAGATGTGAGGTTTTTATGTATGTATCCAAGAAGAATTAGTGATCTTCATTCCTATCTCAGCAAATAATCATATCCTTGTGGAAACTTTCCATGAACATATTGTTTTCTTAATCATATTTCTATGCTAAATGCTGTTGTTGAAATCTTACCGATATAATTTGCTGTGTATTTTTGTGCCTCGCTGATCAATGATACATCATTGCAGTAAGGATCTTGGGCGATGTAACAAGGCGCCGTGTTTGAATCTTGGTTCTACTGAAAGGAATTAGCTTGCCTTAGGTAGATAGCAAGGGAAGGGTCCCAGAACAGCCCCTGGCCCATGGGTCAATGCCTCATCCCCACATAACATAAAAAGCAGCCTGGGAAGAAATTCAGACTGCAGGCACCAATAAGGGAATTAGCACAGGGTGTTGTGCCTAGAGACATACCCACAGCTGCACAGACAATTACAAAACAAAACGAAACAAAACAAATAAAGAAACAAAAAACTCTCTAGCCCATTTGGATAAAAACTTGCACAAAACTTCCAGCTCATTCACATAAGGGAATAAGGCCTGGCATAGAAATGTCTTTGTCCTTTTTATAGTCAGCAGGTTCCCAAGAAAAGTTTCTTCTTTTTTTGTGGGTATGGGCATAGTGGACCCAGGTAGGTGGCCATCAGAGAAATGCAAATCAAAACCACAATGAGATACCATCTCACAGCAGTTAGAATGGCGATCATTAAAAAGTCAGGAAACAACAGGTGCTAGAGAGGATATGGAGAAAAAGGAACAATTTTACACTGTTGGTGGGACTGTAAACTAGTTCAACCATTGTGGAAGTCAGTGTGGCAATTCCTCAAGGATCTAGAACTAGAAATACCATTTGACCCAGCCATCCCATTACTGAGTATATACCCAAAGGATTATAAATCATGCTGCTATAAAGACACAGGCACACGTATGTTTATTGTGGCACTATTCACAATAGCAAAGACTTGGAACTAACCCAAATGTCCATCAGTGATAGACTGGATTAAGAAAATGTGGCACATAGACAGCATGGAATACTATGCAGCCATTAAAAAGGATGAATTCATGTCCTTTTTAGGGACATGGATGAAGCTGGAAACCATCATTCTCAGCAAACTATCACAAAGACAAAAAACCAAACACCACATGTTCTCACTCATAGGTGGGAATTGAACAATGAGAACACTTTGATACAGGGTGGGGAACATCATACACCAGGGCCTGTCATGGGGTGGGGGGAGGGGGGAGGGATAGCATTAGGAGGTATACCTAATGTAAATGACGAGTTAATGGGTGCAGCACACCAACATGGCACATGTATACATATGTAACAAACCTGCACATTGTGCACATGTACCCTAGAACTTAGAGTATAAAAAAACAAAAAACAAACAAACAAAAAATCCTCTAGCCCAGTTGGATAAAAACTTGCACAAAACCTATCACTCAGATAGGGGAATAAGGCCTGGCACAGAAATGTCTTTGTCCTTTTTATAGTCAGCAGGTTCCCAGGAAAAGTTTCTTCTTTTTTTGTGGGTATGGGCAGAGTGGGCCTGGGTGGGTTCTGGTGGGCACTATCCTTTATTAGAACTATACCTCCAGCTTCTATGAATCATCCTTTCAGCCCCTGATCGGTCCCAGGCCAAACTTCTGGGCCAGGCTTTCGCTTCAGCTTCTGATAGGTGTTAGGCCAAGCTAAACAGCATCTGTGAATCATTATTTCAGCTCCTGATTGGTCCTGGGCCAAGGTCCCCGTCCAAGCTAAGTCAGGCGTTGGCCAAGACAGCCCGCAGACTAAACACATTCTTTCCCCTTTCCAGTCCATAAAAACCCAGAACAGGCCCCACAGTGGGTACGCCCAATCAGGACTCTCTCTTCTGCTGGCAGAGAGCTTTCTTTTTCTTCTTCGTCTTTTTTTTTTTTTTTTTGGAGAAACAGTCTCGCTTGTCGCCCAGGCTGGAATGCAGTGGCCCATCTTGGCTCACTGCAACCTCCGCCTCGCAGTTTAAAGCGATTCTCTTGCCTCAGCCTCCCGAGTAGCTGGGATTACAGGCGCCTGCCACCACGCCCAGCTATTTATTTATTTATTTATTTATTTATTTATTAAGGAGAGATGGGGTTTCACCATGTTGGCCAGGATGGTCTCAATCTCTTGACCTCGTGATCTGCATGCCTCGGCCTCCCAAAGTGCCCTGGGATTACAGGTGTGAACCACCACGCCCGGCGGCGCTTTCTTCTTTAGCTTATTAAACTTTCGTTCCAACTTCACCTTTGTGTCCGTGCTCCTTAATTTTCTTGGAGGTAGGACAAAGAAGTCCGAGTGTTATCTCAGACAATGAAAAACTTACACTACTACTTACTAGACCATGTTACTGTGGTTCAGTTAAACTTCTATGCTTCAAGTGCCTATTTTATAAAGATCATAATAATATCTACCATTGGGGATATGGTGAGAATATTTAGGACATTTTCTAAAACATAGTTAATAATATCATTTTCCATACTGTATATACTTCATTAGGACAGAGTTCAAGCCAGTTTTTGCTTACTATTATGGGTACAGGTATAGTAGAAAAGCTGAACTGCATTTTACTTCAATTATATGTGTTAAGAGAATTAACCCATGAATGATAAATGTATGTATTATAGCCAATAGCTATCATTTATGGTTATATGTGTCAGGCACTATACAATGCATTTTATATACTTGATTAAAACTCATGAGTCAGAGGAAAACTATCACCATTTTCAGATTAGGAAATTGAAGCTCACAGACTAAACGATTTGTTTGAGTGTCCCTCAACTATAAAGAAACAGAGGTGCAAGTCAAAGGCAGGTTTATTTGACTTTACAGTGTTTTCTCATTTCATAATATTGTGTTCCTCCTCAATCTATCCAAGACGGGTCCCATTAAATAAAAGTAACATCACAGCTAACCATTCCCGTTGAGACTGTGACTTATGGAACATTATTTTAATTCTTTCTTGAAATACTGATCATCTCTAAAATTCTGTAGTCCACAGACCATTCTGAAAAAAAAGTAAGAGCCATGAATCTCTAAACTTAAAATATTCAAGTTAAATTAAACCCTTACTTTTAATGAACAAATCTTTATTAATGTATTGATGATTCACTAAAAATAAAATATGTTTGAACTGCTCTTTGAGAGATGAATAATAATTTTTATTTTTGGTATGCAAAATGTTATATTTTTCTCCTTGCATTAATACACCAATATGTAGAGTTAGATATTCTCATAATACTCTCCCATAGCACGTAAGTATTCAGAAGAATACTCTAAATGGGTTTCAGCAGTTTCCTTTTGTAAGGTGTTTAACTCACTTTACATGCAATTATATAGCGTCTGTAACTTTTTCGTCAAAATATAGGTATAATTAGTAAAAAATCATTTTAAAATATGTATTTGGGGCCGGGTGTGGTGGCTCATGCCTGTAATTCCAGCACTTTGGAAGGCCAAGGTGGGCAGATCTCACCTCCTTGGGCAGACCTCAGACTCCTGAGGTCAGGAGTCTGAGACCAGCCTGGCCAACATGGTGAAACCCTGTCACTACTAAAAATTAAAAAAATTAGCCAGGTATTGTGGCGCATGCCTGTAATCCCACCTACCTGAAAGGCTGAGGCAGGAAAATCGCTTGAACCCGGAGGCGGAGGTTGCAGTGAGCTGAGATCGCACCACTGCACTTCAGCCTAGGCAACAGAGCGAGGCTCTGTCTCAAAAAAAAAAGTAATAGTAAAAATAAATAAATAAATAAAATATTATTTGATAATATTTTTATTTCTATGTTATTTTAACATAACATTTTAATTTTTTCTTTGTAGTCATCTCTAGAATAAAATTAATAATTTATATTTTCTCAAAAACTGATTTCATTGGTAAGTTTTTATTTCTCTACAGCTGTGTATTATATATTTTATATATTACTCTAAATGGTCTTCAGTAAACCATTGTAACATATTTTTTATTTTATATTTTCATTAAACCAATTCTTGAATACATTTATCATATTAAACAGTTGTAATGTTTTCTTCTACAGTCATTCTGTTTTATTATTATTCTTCCCAACATCTTGTGCTTCTTGTGATTGATTTTGATATTTTGTCAATATATTTGGCTTGAATAAATTGTAAGTATATTCAATGTTTGTTGGTTTGCAGGTAAATATTTCAATACTATGAATTAAGCTTAGTTATGTGTTGGTGACTTCTCATGTATTTGAGATGTATTATCTTTTATACTGCTTTAGAAATAATCTGAATATAATTTTAGGTTTCCTCTTTAGCATGACTACTCAAGAGACTTTTCTTAATTTTTCTTATATGAGCATAATTTTCAAATAAAGTTACTCAAACCTATGGTATAAATAAGCCAAAATTAAAATGATCCTTTCTTGACCCTACGCTTAGTCTCATTCATCAGATGTAACAAACAGGAAATTTAAAATTTTTAAATTTTCCTGTTTTCTCATTATTTTGACTTCTGATGTTAATCACATTAAAATATACAATTGTTCAATTTCTTGATTGTGATCTTTACTTTTGTTAACTTCTTACTAATGGGAATTAAGGAATTTATTCTATCACATTTAAAATACCTTCCTGCTGACTATTGTCTCCAAATTTTTTTTTCAAACTAGATTTCTAGTAAATCAATTCTCTATTTTCAGTTTGTTCATTGGACACTCTTTGGTAACTACAAGGAGCAAAAGTAAAATGAACGGCACACACCATTACAGTTGCTTGTAAACCAAGACATTTCTCAAAATCTATTAGGTGAATAACCTGTACAGTATCCAGGTTTCAACTAGAGTGCAGTCCTTATGCACAGTTTGTTTTGCCGTTAGATTTTAAAACTCCACTCACTGCCAACATTGACATTTTAGCCAACACAGTTCAGTGAGGTTCTTTTATACATCTATAATACAATTAGATTGATTTGTCATATTTTACATTCCATCTTTGAGTTCCCTCAACCTCCTAAATTATTTTTTTTTCAATTTGCGTGCATTAAAGTTTTAGCTTTAAATGTCAACTGGCATTGACACATGCATTTTTTTATGTATCGGCAAGTACACTATCACACAGAACAATTTCATCACTCTAAAAAAATTCTGTGTGCTTCCCCTATTCGACCCCTTTGATGCTGCCTAAATTCCTAGTATTCACGAATCATTTTATTGACTCTACTGTTCAATCTTTTCCATAAAGTCATAAAATTGGTATAGTAAGATATATAGTATTTTTTGACTGGGTTCTTTCACTTAATAATATGTATTTAAGGTTGATTTATGTGTTTTTATGAATTGATAGTTCAACTCATTTATTTACATGGCAAAATAATATTTTATTGTATAATGAATCACAATTTATAAAACCACTGGCCTACTGATGGACAGTTTTGTTGCTTCTAGCTTCTGACAATTACAAATAAAACTTCGAATCCATGATTTTGTGTGGACATCAGTTTTAAAGTCAGTTGGATAATAGAGAGAAATGTCATTGATGGGTTATATATTAAAAGTGTGTTATGTTTTTAAGAAACTGCCAAACTGTCTTCTAAAGTGGCTGTATAACTTGCATTTCCAATTAGCAATGAGTGAGAGTCCCTGTTGATTTATATCTTTGCCAGCAATTGATATTATCAATTTTTTTAGAAGCCAATCATCCAAACTGTTATAATTGCAGGATGATCATTGATTACTTGAAAGCCACTGCTTACTAATGCTTATAAAAGGTTTTTTGTTGTTGTTGTTTTCCTTTAAGTTTATATCTTCTTCTGAACCATCTTGGAAATAATCAATTTTTCTTCTGGAGATTGTGGCAGCATATTTGGTGTTCTTTTACCAACTATTTTCTTGACTGTCTTCAAATTTTCTGGTTTACTGCTTCTTTATTTCCTTATTTTAAAAACACTGTTATTATTTTGTTCTTTAAAAATTTCTGCTATCTAAATTTGAACTTCTAGAGAAGGCAAAAGAAGATGCTTCTGCTCTGTATATGTCCGAGAACCAAATGTAACCCTGATATGAAAACCAGACGAAGAAACTATACATAAAGAAAATTAAAGACAAGTATTACTAAAAAAAGATATGAAAATTCTAAATAAAATATAAATAGATTAATTGAGCAGTTAAAAACAATTTTCTTGCAATGTTTACGTTGATTTTTAAGTGAAACAATATAAAAGACAATTCAACACAGTGAAATAGAAAAATTTAATCAATACTGATAGTGAATTTTAAAAGTTTTAAGACACTCACACTGAAGTTTTTCTTTTATGACATACCAAGCAGAAGAAGGAGATTTCCCTAAACAAATAATGATATCTATCAAATACCTAAACAAACATCATACTTGATGATAAATCTTTGAAAATAGGCTCTCTATAAATCAGATTAAGTAATTGCTTGATGAGTGGCCACCACTATTCATTATTATCTTGAACTTTCTTATCCAGAAAACATTAACTGAATTAAAGTTTTAAACAGCAGGGAAGATTAAAAAAATCTTATTTGTGGATGCTATATGGTTACTTTGGCAAATGAGTTAATTAATATCAATATTCTAAATTTATAACTTGTAGATAAATTAATGGTCAGATGTTTATAATTCATGAATACAGCCAGTGTGCTAAGTGTAACAATAACATAAAATAATGTATAAAAAAAGAAAATAACTATAAATTTTAATATAGAATTAATATTCAGTTAATAAAAAATAATAAACATCTACATAGTTTTAAAGTAATACTGTTAATAACTCTTGAGTCCAAAAGGAATCTGAGTGAAAATGTCCAAGACTAGAGATATATTAATTACTTATCGCTACATCTATATCTGTATTAATTTCTTTATTTCTACCTATATGCTCAGAGTCTTTGTTAAAAATCATCTAGGTAAGGTATGCAGAAATGGCAGAGAGGAGGGTTAAGGGGAGCACTTAGACACTGTGAAGCTTAACTCTATCCCTCAAAAGAGACTGAGAAAAAAGAGAGAGTGATGACACATGAAGAAAATCAGGAGCATGTTGTATACTATATGAAAAATATTTCAAGAATTTTGTGGTTAACTGACAAACTATAATGTGAATTTGAGTAAATCAAAGGCAGATAATTGACTACTGGATCTGACAAGATGTTTTAGTTAACATTAAAAAGAACCGTTTCTATATGGTGGTGGGTTGGGTACTTCTATAAATTATCTATATGACAGTATCTTATTTTCCATATCTGGCTGCCCTGGAGACTGGAGGCTGGACCTAGTCTGTTCTGACATTGTATTAGAGATAGAAACAATATGTGGTCAGAAAGATTTTGACCATGTTATTAGCCTACACATGATTTTCTTTCTCTAATATATATTGTATTCTTATTCCAACATTATGTTGTTTGAATTAAAGACAGCACCATGTTTCATCAAATCTAAGATTCTGCCAATCAATCAAAGGATGCTTCATTATTCTATGTACTACTAGGAATGAAAAAGAAAGAAAAGCAAACAATCCAAACCTTAGTCAGTGAAATTATGGCAATACCATCACTTGTAAGATATATACCAATAACAGAGTTGTTAAGATGTAGGGGAAAATTGAATCTTTCAACTGATAACATACTGTAAATCTCCTCTTTAATAATCTGAGATTTTAGTTTTATACTAAACAAGCTCACAAAAAAATCAGAAAAATAAATAGTTCCAGTCCAGTAATTATGCCTTAGCAGTTAGGCAGTAATAGAAGACTAATTCCTAATATCGAATATTAATTAATATCCATTAAAGAGATAAAGACTATTTGGTTTCAAAACATATGCATATTTGAATCTTTAACTGCATTTATCTTGCTTTAGCTTATGATTTATGCACAGTATATATTTTAAAAATTAATCCATATTTGTATTATGTAATTGGTATTATATAATTAATATTTGTATTATATAATCATCGCAAACATTGGTGAATTTAAAACAAAGATGGGCTTATTTGAAATTTTTATTTCTAGGTCACTGAGAGATAATTTGAGAAAAGCCTAAGAGAAATATTTAAAACTTGGCAGTTCTAAGAATAAGGTTGGTAGCAAAAAATTGACAGAATTAACAGGATGCTTATGCATGATAAAAAGCATTTTCTCTTATCTTCAGAACAAGTCAGTAACGTTTTAAAGTGATGGCCAATTTCTCTGTCTCTTTCTCTGTCTCTCTCTTTCTCTCTCTTCCTTCATATAATGGTAACGAGATCAATTTCTCTGTCTCTTTCTCTCTCTCTCTCTCTCTTCCTTCATATAATCATAATGAGATCTATCTGAATGGCATTAAAAATTCAATTTAAAAAGAATGCTGATTTGAGTTGGTCTCACATAGTCTTGGGTCTGTAATATGAATGGGAGTTCCGTTAGAAGTAATGAAGTCTGAGATTTTAGGCAAAAAATACATTTTATTATGTCTTTCAAGAATATTTTAAATGCTAACATTAACTTTATTCATTCCTTTGATACTCGATTTAGTTTTCCCTTAGGTTCTCAGTAACTTTGTTACCAGGGTCTCTGGATTTCTAGTTATTACTTTATTAGTTTTTAATAGAATGAACTTTGCCACTGGCAATGTTAATTTAATATAAAATTTTAAGAAAATAATATGTTAGGAAATCTGCATATTAAAGCATGGGAAGTATTTCAACTTCAGTGTAGTGTTTTTCCAGATATTTTAAAGAAGTAACAAAATATAATACTTAAATGGATTTATACTCTGAGGTATTAGATAATTTTAAATTAGATAAATTTTGTTAAATTTTAATTATTAAATATCTCATAAAAATAAGTACAAAATGTATTGAAAGGATGGTTTATTTAACAGAGAGAATTGTCCTCTTAGATTACGTATTTAAAATGCTGTGTTTTTGCTTATGGTTAGATAATCAGAAAGCTTACTTCACTTACTTAGGACCTATAGATTAGTCCAGAAGAAATCTGGACTATTCATCTATCTATGTGGAAATGTTTTAATGTCCTTAAAAGAACATATACTAATCATATCCTTTCATCTAGTTAGACTTTTGAGTAGAAAGAAGTACAACAATGATAACTACATAGGATTAAGGAACAGGAAATATATTCATGATTTACAGTTTATCAGTAGAATAAGTAAATAAACAAATATGAACCTATTTGGAAAGAGAAATAATTACCCAGTAAACATTTTTAAAGAAAAATTTGGCTTGAAAGTAAATTTTATCTTACAGCAAAAAGAAAAAGATTCTGATAAAGAAAAGGAGAAAAACTAATCATGAATGGTATTTCAAGAGAAGGAAATAAGATAGGACTGGGCAATAGTAGAGATGGCCTCAAAGAGTCCTGCTTTAAAGTTCAGAAGGGTAGAATATGAGTAGAAGTGAAGTAGAAATGGTTTTAGACATGGTAAAATCTATCCCATGGTTATCATCAGAATTTGATAGAAGGGAAAATGAAAATGAGCACTACTTTTTGTAAAGTATGTATATGTGTGTTTGTACATGTGTATTTGCTTATGTGTATACAGAAAAATTTCCTTACAGACATTATATGGTTCCACTATAGACTTTGCAGGAAAATAGAAGATAATTTCAATATAGACTGTAAATCTTGCTAAGAATGTGATTAGGGCTTTCAACTATTTATGTGTCCCAAACATGTGACTCTGATGAAAGGAAGCATCTTTGAACTCCTGACCTGATGGTAGAATATGGAATACCTTTTCGGGCTAAATTATTATAAACATGGTAAAACTAGTTGATGACATGGAAATAAATTTAAATTTGGATGTGAATGCTCATTTTATTATAAGTTTACACAAAATAAAGATTGAGAAGAAGCAGGTGAGTGTGATAGGTGTAAGATCAGACAATATGTATGTCCCAGGAGAAGGATTTACAGTTTTATCCTAGAGGGAAATAAAACTTACGAGTGATTGCAGTCTTGGATATTGCCTAATTTATATTTTTAAGAGATCCTTCTAAAAGCAATGGGAAAAATAGAATAAATAATATCTTGTATAATCCTCGGTAGCAATGTTCCCGCATTGCATAACAATGTACTTGGAAAGTATTTTATAGGGGCAATAAGAAATGCATTTCTGATTCAGTGATTTTTTTCATACATCTGTTGAATATTTTGGAGGATTGGAGGGACATACTGTCTAAGCAGACTTTTAAGATGAATTCATAGCAACGTTTTATGTATAATCGATGATTTTTGATACATTATTTGTATAAAATAAAACCTGAGAGAGGGAAATGGTCATAACTTTTTTACCTGTTATATCAATTTTAAAAATCTGCTCTCCTTCATATTCATGCTACAAATTATAGGCCATTTCAGATGCATCACATTTCTGGCTTTGAAGTTCATCACGATCTTTTCAAGCAGAAAAGGAATGTTTTCAATTGGCAAAGTGAGTCTAAGTGGTTTGAGAAGCTTTACAGAGAAAGATGATATGCCAGAGATGACACTTTGTGAAGTTGGCAAAATCAATGAGAAACTGGATTTTAAGACTCAGGCATTAGTTTTCAATTAGATCATTATCTTTTCTGCGCTAATCTGTCTCTAGACTTAAATTAGGACAAATGTGAGAGGCCAATCATCTGATGAAATTGAAAATAAAACCACATTATCTCCTTCTTTCAGTGTTGACATTATGTATATATGTGTTCCAAAACTTACCCCTACTTTATGTTACAAAAATAATGTGATATCATATATCGCATATTATCACATTTATCACATATGTAAAATTCCTTCTTTCTCTTTCCTTTTGTGTGTTTCTCTCTCTCTCTGACTCCTTCTTTCTGTCTTTTTGTGTGTCTCTGTGCGTAAAAGCAAAAACAACAAGTTATAATGATATTTAGATAACTTAAGTGTAAAGTTAAAATGAGAACATTAATCTGAGAGTTGTTGTGATGGTTAATATTGAGTGTCAACTTGATTGGATTGAAGGATACAAAACATTAATCCTGGGTGTCTCTGTGGGGGTGTTGCCAAAGGAGATTAACATTTGAGTCAGTGGGCTGGGGAAGGCAGACCACCCCAGCAGATTAAGGCCACCCTTAATCTGATGGGCATAATCTAATCAGCTGTCAGAGAATATAAAGCAGGCAGAAAAACTTGAAAGGGGTGACTGGCCTAGCCTCCAGCCTACATCTTTCTCCCATGCTGGATGCTTCCTGCCCTTGAACATCAGACTCCAGGTTGTTCAGTTTTGGGACTCAGATTGGCTCTCCTTCCTCCTCAGCTTGCAGACAGCCCAATGTGGGACCTTGTGATCATGTAAATTAATACCTAATAAACTCCCCTTTACATATATACACACACACACACACACACACATACGTGTATCCTATTACTTCTGTCCCTCTAGAGAACCCTAATACAGATTTACAATGATTCCATAAAGCTGGAAGTTAAGATTACCACCTGGATACTATATATATATCCTATTAGTTGTGTCCCTCTAGAGAACCTTGACTAATACAGATTTACAATGATTCCATTAAAATGGAAGTTAAGATTGCCTCCTGGACACTTTGGGGTCCTCCTACTAAGAAAGGAGTTATAGTATTGGCTGGGGTGATTGACCCAAACTATCACGATGAAATCTGTCAACTACTCCATAATGGCGGTAAGGAAAGAGTATGCATGGAATACAGGAGATCCATTAAGACGTCTCAGTATTACCATGACCTGTGAGTAAGGTCAATGGGAAACTACAACAGCCTGATTCAGACAGGATTACACATGGTCCAGACCCCTCAGGAACGAAGATTTGGGTCACTCCACCAGGAAAAAATTTACGACCTTCTGAGGTGCTTGCTGGAGGCAAAGGGAATACAAAATGGGTAGTAGAAGGTAGTCAACAGTACCAGCTATGACCACGTGACCAGCTGCAGAAACAAGGACTGTAACAGTAATGAGTATTTCCTCCTTATTTTGTTAAAAACATGTTTGTGCATGTATACACTTGTACTAAGAAAATATCTTCATTGTATTCCCTTTTCCTTTATAATGTGATGTAAGATTTATTGACTTCATGTTAGCGTTTAAGTATTGTTAACTTTATTTGGGTTGGGGATTGGTGTACTTCCAGTTGTACAAAGGATAGTTGTATTATTTTAGGTGTAATTATGACCTTATTATTGTCTTCATTTGAAGAGTATGTATGATCTCAGGAGATGTGTATGGGTTCAAGTTGACAAGGGGTAGACTTGTGATGGTTTTTACTGAGTGTCAACTTTATTGGATTGAAGGATACAAAGCTCTGTTACCGCTAACATACCTATCCTTTCTTTTTCAAATGCCACTTAATTTTTAAATTAGTTTTGCTAGTGAATTACTTGAATTAGCTGTTCTATCACAGAAATTTATGGAAACATGTAAACTGTATTTTTAGGACTTCAATCATATTAGCAGAATTTGATGGCCCCTCTTCCCTGATACTTTATGATACAGCAAGTACATATGATAATAGCCAGATTTTGAATCGTCTTTGGACCAGCTGAGATGGATAACAGAAAAGCTTTAAGAAAAACTTGAGTTAAACCCTCTATGCAATTTTTCAACAACAATTTTAAAATACAATTAATGTAGGAAGTGAAACTTTATTTATCCTTCATGTGTTTTTTTCTCCTAATCACTCCATAAATATTATTCATGTTTTTATTGTTTACATTTAAAGTAAAAGAGCTGTTTCTTTTAATATGCTTTATATTTTAATGCATCATTTTTATACCTGTCACTGTTGTATGACCACTGAGTTAATCAAGGTTCTCTAGAAGAACTAATAGGAGATATTTATATATATATATAAAGGGAAGTTTATTAAGTATTAACTTACTTCTTCTTCTATATGGACTAAGTCAAACCACTCTCCTTTCCAGATTCCCTTGCATCTAGAAGTGGACATGTTATTGGATTTTGGCTGGTGAGATGCATGTCAAGGTCTGGGAAAGGCTTCTGAGAATGTTTTGTTTATGAAACAGGATGAATTGGGTATGCCTTGGGCCTATTGCTCTTCTTGCTGCCCCGAATATAGAAAAGATGAAAGATTCATCTTACCATCAGGAGAATAAAAGCCATGTGCTAGGGATGGTGAAGCTCAAATGAGGAAATAATTTCTTTTCCAGTAAACGTCTTTTAATATTTGAACTAACCCTGGGTTATTACCTCTAGAATTCGTGTGTGGTGAGAAAAATAAAGCCTTTGTTTAAGACATGATTAGTTTTTAGTTTGTTTTCTTTCGCTTGTGGAAAACATTCCTTATTTTTATAATATGTAAAGGGTCTGGGGATCCCGTAATATAATTTGTACTTAAAATATTTGAGTCTACCTCTAACCTTACTCTACTGACTGGCTAACAAGAGGAAAAAAATCATAAAACAACTAATGAAAATTAGAAAATTATCTATACAGTGTAGTTAGGCTTTGAAAGAAAATAGCTTGTTACTTGGAAGAGCTGAACTAAGAGTAGCAGAAACTCTCAGGGAAATTGTTGTTGTAATACTAACCAATTTTAAAGCAGAATACTGCTGTTCCACACATTACAACAACCAATCGAGTTTTCTAACTCATTAATAAATCACAAGCATTTTAGTAAGGAGATGAGACAGGTTTTACAACTTGCCATTTCTACTGAAATCTCATAAAATTCTTCATCAAGCAATTCAAAGTTCTCCCTTTTCAGTTCATACATCTCTCATTTTCTTCAGAGACCCTGAAAATCACCTTTCATGCCTAAGCCATTCAGGTATTACTCCCATTCTGCCAAAAATTAGCTATTGCCTATTGTTTCCAAATCATGTCCACAACTGAGGCAGGGAGGAGGGGAGTGTGTATGTAGAAGATGAGTCTCAGTTTATTCCATTACAAGTTCAACGAAATGGAAATGAAGTAAATAGGAACGATTTTAAATGCTCATTATTTAATAAAATTATACATTGTTATGACACAAGAAAAATTACTTACAGTAATTCTGTTAAATCTAATAAAACTGTTCCCTCGATGGATCACATTTTGTTATCAAAAAGCAATTTAATATTACTACATCAGGTAACTTATTAGTACACAACTGTCAAAGAAAATCAGAGCTGGACAGTAGTTTAAGTGGTAAAAACAGATGTTATTCAGAACTATTGCAATAGGGGGAAAGAGATCTGTACAGAAGTGGGTCCAGCTCTAAATACAGCATAGAGACATGCAAATTGATAGCCAAGGACAGAGTGGTGATCAGTGGGTAGGAAATTACTAAGAGGAAACATCAAGTGTAAAGGGGGATATTGGCTTAATCAACCTAACAGGATTTTGCTGATGATGGGCCAGGGCGACCAGACATCGATTGGGGAATACTGGAGAATGAGGAATTCAGTGAGGTATCTAGGATGGTCACTTATGGAGGATCAGAAATTCTGGCTAAAAGACATCAGCAGAGTTTTAGCTAAAACGGTATTTCACAAGGACGTGCACAGATAGTGAGAGGGGAGCTTCAGCAGTCCAAATGAAGTTCGGTCAATCTTCGTCAGAATTTAGCAACAAAAGATGCAGACAGTAAAATAAAATTACCCAAGCCTATACTTCCTTTAAATTATAAGTATGTGGGTACAGGAAAATAAAAAAAAATTAAAATTCAAAGGTTTTAAAACTTAAAGCCGATGCTATGCTATGTTATGCTATGCTATGCTATGCTATGCTGTGCTGTGCTGTGCTGTGCTGTGCTGTGCCATGTCATGCCATGCTATGCTATGCTATGCTATGTAAATGAGCGAGGTTATGGACAGCTGCAGCACCAGTGTGTATATTTAGGTCTGATTTTAAAGAGATATCCTAATCCTCTGTAATGACATTTTTAAAAAAAACAATTATGTATATATGTTTGGATACCATCAGGTCTTTTAAGTAAAACACACACTTGTCTCACTTTCTTTGTGTCTTGGGCTTAAATATTTATTTATTTTTATTTCTGTTTGACTTTTTCCATCTTTGAGAATGAAGTATAATATTATCAGTCGGTTCACTGATAGAGAGTCTTGAATGAAAATCGATTGATTCTTGCAATTAGAGAAGGGGTTTGTTTTTTATTACTGTTCCCAGAACAGAACTCCCTATTTTGTGACACCGACCACAATGGAAATCCTTGCTCTTATTTTTGGAGGGGCTTTTGTTGAAACTTGGCAGGGGAATAGGCTGCAAACAAAGATGCGCTTCTCTGTGTGTCAGTGGCAGTTTCACTTCTGCATCTTCACATATAAGCAGATCCTATTGAAAAGCCACTCAGAGAATATTCACTGTAGAGCTTTTCTTGCTTCTAAAATGTGTACGCTAAGCCATAGAAATGCACTTCTGCTTTGGCGCTTACATTTATAGAACATTTTCATCAGGAATCTGTATCTCTACTTTCCTTCAGATGAAACAAGGGGGTTCAAGATATTATTTACTTTGTTCTTTACTACTTAGAAAATTGCTAAATGATAGAAATGATCAAATTTTAAAAACTAAGGGAGATAGGAAACTAAGAAAATTTCTTGTAAAGCTTTTCCAATGTGTCAGGCACATGCTTGGTAAACTACATATATCATCTCATTTAATCCCCGAAATAAATATCTAAGGTTCGACGAATAACACCACTTTTACATGATAAAATTGAAGCTGAGGAGAATTAAGCAATTTTGTGCAGGATCAATGGCTATCAAATTACAAAGCTGGGATTCAAACCTCCACTTGTTTTATTCTGAAATCACTCATCCACTGTGTGTTGTGATGTGGAATGGAAGCCAGAGGCAGGAGAGGGCTAATGGTTAATTGTGTCTCTCTGAGCCCTAGAAATTCTAGGAAGCTGGGTAATAGCAAAATAGTTTATTTACATTTCATATATTTAACTCTTATGAAATATTTGGTCTTAAGAAAATACTCTTCTACAAAATTAAATGTAAAATTTGTCACTGTAACATATGTACCAATTTTTTTTTTAAAAAAAGAGAAAAGAATACATAGCTGTAAAGAAGCTGGGTTTTATTTTTTTTACCTTTATCACAATATTCTCATTTTTCAGTATTTTTATTGTTAGTTGATTCATTTCTTTCTCTATAACGTTTCACATATTTACAGAAATGCACCATAAAATGTGCATAAGAGATTTCCAGATTCACAATGAAAGTGAGCGGCAACATCTGTTATCTCACTTAGGAACACTGGAAGGAGATAGCTTCAGGGCTGGGTCATCAGCTCAAAAAGGCCACTGAGGACAACTCTTCCTCCAGCTTCAGCTTCACCAGTCTGCGTTGGTTGTTCACCTCATGTTATTGTCTGTGTTCAGACTAACTACAGCAACTCTAGTGTCACATTCCTTCGCTGGGTCCAAAGGCAGGAAGCAAAAGACAGGTCAAGAAGGCTTTCTCGGCCAGGCGCGGTAGCTTAACACCTGTAATCCCAGCAGTTTCAAAGGCTGAGGCGGGCGGATCACAAGGTCGGAAGTTCGAGACCAGCCTGGCCATATGATGAAACCCCATCTCTACTAAAAAATACAAAAATTAGCCAGGCTTGGTGGCATGCCTGTAGTCCCAGCTACTCAGGAGGCTGAGGCAGGAGAATCGCTTGAACCCGGGAGTTGGAGGTTGTAGTGAACCGAGATCGTGCCACTGCACTCCAGCCTGGGTGACAGAGGGAGACTCCATCTCAAAAAAAAAAAAAAAAATGCTTTTTCCTTCCTAAGCTCTGTCTCTTTAACTAGAAAGAAAACCCTGCCCACAAGCCCCAGAACAGACTTCTTTCTACCTCAATAAGTAGGTCTTGGTCACATGGCCACCCTTAGCCATGTTAGGATTTCAGAATGGCAGTTCTTCACCTTAGTCTACAATGTGAGATGAATAAAAGAGAAGAGGATTGGGAATGCCTGTTTTAGCCAACTAGCAATTTCAGTACATTTTTCTCAAGCTTTCTTCTCTAAATCATGCAGAGATTTAAATATAACAAAAAGATGAAGATGTGGGATAGAATTGTCCCTTTTATAATTGTAGATAAAATTGTATATTTATTATTTTTCACCTGTCTGGCTCAGCAGTAATTTAGATCATCTTTTTTGTTTGTTTGTTTGAGACAGGATCTCACTCTGTCACCCAGACTGGAGTGCAGTAGCATGATCTCGGCTCACTGCAACCTCCACCTCCCAGGCTCAAGGGATTCTCCTGCTTCAGCCTCCCACGTGGCTGGGATTACAAGCTCACACCACTGTCGACCAGCGAATTTTTGTATTTTTAGTAGAGACGGGGTTTCACCATGTTGACCAGGCTGGTCTTGAATTCCTGACCTCAAATGATCCACCTGCCTCGGCCTCCTAAAAGTGCTGGGATTACAGGCATGAGCCACCAGGCCTGGCCCAATTTAGATAATCTTTAATGTTGCTAAATAAGGATTTATAATTTCCTCTTTAATCTCAGATATGTAGACATATGCATCATATTATATAGTACACATTTAAAAATTTAAAGTTTATATGTGCATGTATATTCTGTATATATATATTTGTATAGATAGATATGACAGAGAGGAAGCACATATGTACTCAATGTGTTTATTATTGTAATTGGTAGATATTTTAAGTGTCACATTCTGTCTGTAGTTTATAATAGTGGAATTGATTTTAACATATAATTTCTATTTAGCCACTTTGCTAAACTATTTTAATAATTCTAAAATTATTTTGTAGATTTAAAACATTTTCATATAAATGATCATATTATCTGTAAGTTTTTTTTTATTCTTCTAAAGCTTTACACTTTTTACCATGTCTTATTGTCTGATAATTTTTAGCTGGTTTTCATGTATTTGCTAGTATAACCAATTCAATTTTCTGTACAAGTGAAGATCCATTGACACTGTTATGGGTCAAATTGTGCCCCCCTCCAAATATATTGATATTCTGATCCCTGGTGCCTGCAAATGTGAATTTGTCTGAAAATGGGGTCTTTGCAGATATAATTAAGTTAAACAAGGTCATTGGATAGGCCCTAATCCAATATGACTGGTGTCCTTATAAAAAAAGAAGACACAGAGACACAGATACAAAGGGGAGAATACCATCTAAAGATGGAGGCAGAGATTGGAAAGATAGATCTACAGGACCAGGGACCCCAAGATTAGCTGGCAGCATTGGAAGCTAAATGAAAGGTATAACAAATTCTCCTCTAAAGGCTTTAGAGAGAGCATGGCCTAGTTGGCAAGGACTTTTGGACTTCATGCATCCAAAACTGTGAAAGAATAAACATCTGTTGTTTCATGGCACACAGTATGTGGGACTTTGTTATGATAGCCCAAGGAAACTAACGCATGCACCATTCAAAAAATTTCTATGGGAATATTTCTAAAACTGTACTATTAAGAGGAAAGTTTGCCTTGGCAAACATGAAAGTATTAATTGCTGCCAACAAGCATTATCAAAGAATACTAATTTAGTGGATTAGAAATAAGATATTTGCAAGGTCTCAAAATATCTCTTCACAGGATGTTCATAATTATGACGATAAATTGGTTAACTTTATAGTTAAAAATGTGGCAGAGGCCACCATACCCAGTGATCAAGTTAGCATCACCAGACCTTATGAGTCTCCTGACATGGTACAGTGAGAAGGACGTAGCACCACTTTTGTGGAATTTCTTCCAAAATGCACAAGAAAAATTACAAGAAAACATCAGACCAACTGAAATCGACAAATATTGTGCAAAATAAATACTCGACTATCTTCGAAAGTTTCAAAATAATGAAAGACAAAGAGAAGCTAATAAACTGTTTCACACTGGAAAATATTAAAGAGAAATAAAAGGAAATCCAATGTGTAATCCTGGATTGAGTCACCTTCTATTCGTAGTTTTCTAGGTTTACATTTTTTAAATCATGAATGTGTATTATAATTCCTCATTATTTACTGATGTCATAATTTTTTCTCCACTGATATTATTAACATTAATGCTCACGTTTATAAATTTTATAATGTTAATCCACATTGGATTGAATTCAATTTTGTTGGATTAGATTTGTATCTATTATCCATGGCTGCAAATTATTAAAAATTGTATTTGGGAAATTTTTATTCATGTTTATTAATGAAAATGACCTTTAATTTTCCATCTTTATACTGTTTTTACATGGTTTTGTAACAACGTTATGCTAATCTAAAAATAATAAAGTAAGTGCAACTTTTGCTATCCTCAGAGTTTTATATAACTGAAATTAGCTAATCTTTGAAAATCTGAGAGAACCATCTACAAATCGTTCAAGTCATAATTTTTCCTTCTTTTAACATCTTGAATTATGACAATTTGTTTAAATCTATAAGATTCTTTGGTATTTTAATTTCTTCTTCAACATACTGCAAGTTTAATTATTTAAAAAATTTCCCATTCTACTTAGGAATTCAAAATTATTGCATAAAATTATTTTATTTTTTTTTTTACAAATTTTAAATATATGCTATATTTGTAGTTAACTTCCCTTATTTATTCTGAGTAGTTTCTATACATGGTTTCTTTCTCAAAAGGTTTGTTTATTTTATTTATATTTTTCTAAGAACTTTCTCTTTTCTTTATCCTCTATTGTGACTTTATTTTCTAGCTTATTGATTTCGCATTCTGATTTATCATCCTCTTTCTTCCATTGTCTTTATGTTTATTCTCTTCTTTTTGTAATTCATACAATTTTCAGCTTTATTTTTTAAAGAAAACTTAAGGCTATGATATCTGTTGTAAGCACTGTTTTATTGCAGTTCAAAAGTTCTAGTAGAAAGAATTTCAACTACAATGTAGCTATAATTTTTAAAAAATTTTCCATTTTTTTTCCTTTGGCTCATGAGTTATTTAGAAATGTTTGTTTCATTCCTGTGATAGCCCTTATAAGAGAGAACCAAGAGAGTCAAGGTCACAGAAGGTGATGCGCTGATGGAAGCAGAGGTTGCAGTGCTGCAGTCAGGAAGCCAAGTAACATTGCCAGCCTCTAGAAGCTGGAAAAAGCAAGGAATAGACTCTTCCTTGGAGCACCAGTAGGAAAGCAGTTCCACTGACACCTTGACCTTAGCCCCATAAAATTCACTTCAAACTAATAACTTCAGAGCTTTGATAGAATAAATCTTTGTTGTTTAAGCTACTTAATTGTTATTTGTTACAAAAGAAATAGAAAAGCACGTAACTTCTATAAAAATAATATCCATAGAATTTATAATCAGAAGTTGGCTAAATCTAAATCCATGACTATGTTAAGATGTTTCTCTCATGTACCATTTGCTGGTGATGCAAAAGTATAAGAAGAAAAACATCTAGTTTATCCTGAGGAAATAGGTCTGGGCATTAAGATGACTGATACAGCAGAAGACACGAGAGTTACCCAAAGCAAAGGGGATATAATGTAGGGATGAGCAAGTAGAGGGAGGCACTTCTGGCAAAGGGAAAAAGCATCCTGGAACAAGTTACATTGCTTAAAAGCTTAAGAAATGCGGATCTGAAAGAACTCTTACATGTCCAGAGTCTTCAAAGGGATGGAAAAAGTAATTTAAGATGAGGCTAGTGAGTTGGACAGAGTGTAGAGCTGGTGGTGACTTCAAAGTGGACAGTCACAGATTTTTGCCTTTTATTTTAGCAGAATTAGAACACCATCATTGGGTTTTAATGCACCCAGTTGGGAGAGTTTGTATAAATGTTTCAAATAAACTATTTCATTTTATGGCATGGCTCCCCTTCTCCTGCCTTCATTTAAATATTCCAATGCTTTTTCTTCACCCCACATTAGAATGATCTACAATATAGTTCATGGATCATGAAAATTTTAGAATTTCACCCCATTATGCATCTGCAATAATGTAAACACAGGAAGTTATTGTAACATTTCAGCCAATGGAATACCATGCTTAAATGCCCATATTTCTGAGTATTGAGTAAGCAGTTTAGATAATGAAACTTTGTTAGTTGTTCACATCATCTTAATCAATAAAAGTTAGATGGACTCAATATTTCTTCTTGTCCTTTTGCCCAGCCCTAATGCAAACAGAGATGAAAAAGAAAAATCACTGTGATTAAAAACAAATCTTATACAAATGAACTTTAAAATTAATGTGCCCCTCATGATAGTCAAGGTCCGGATTTTATTCTCAATTAAGTGCAATCTAAAAATGAATTAAAAATGACAGTTGTAAATGAATGGAAAAGAAATCATATATAACAGTGATTTGGTTTTAAAGACTCGATGATGTTAGCTCTTTTAAAAAGTCTGAAAGTAAGAATGAATTGACCTATAAAACTTCCAGCGTCAGTTTTTCCCAGAGACAGATAAGGCCCTACTAATTCATACTTATTTGAATGGGACTGATCTAAGTTTGATTAAGGATCTTTTTTAGGGGGAGGGATAAGGGGCTAAAGGATGGTATGTACATTATTTTATATATGCTCTGGGGAGGATAAGAGGCTGAAGGATATATACTTTATTTTACATATGCTCTATCAGTGATGAAAAAGAAATTGAAAGGTAAGTCCCCACAAAATCCTCAAAAAACAGATTTTAGAATAAAAAAATTAAAGTGGCTGAGCTAATTATAATCAACTAAATCGTGTACTCTCTCATCACATATTTCAAAATAGATATAGATGAAATCTTTTAAAATTATGATAAGCCCAGAGTCTTTTGCACATTAGCATAAATATTTTACTAGAATATGAGTAATGCAGACTAAAGCAGTAGGTCTCAGTTATAAGTTGTTTTTACTGTCAGGATGAACTTTTCTGACACCCCAGTAAAAAAGTTTTTCTCTAGTCAAAATATGGTCTCATTTTTTTTATCAGAATCATTACATTCTCATGAAAATATTTTAAGTACTATAATCAAATCAAACAAACTCACCATGTACAGTCTTAGAGATAGACTATCAGATCCTGAAGTCAGAGCTCATGCAACTGAAATAGAAAGTTCTTTCAAATGGTCCTTCACCTATTGATTCCAATTTACTCCCATTCCTCCTAGGCAAATAATTATTTTTCCTTTTTCATATTCCATTTCTAAAATAAGATCTTGTTACTTACAATATTACATAATTATTAAAATGTCCTTAAAAGAAAGATTGGGTAGAATGGCTTTGGACCATGACAGTTTTATCATTTACGGTTTGGTTCCGTATGAATTTCAGATTTTATTCATGATCTTGTGTTTTAGGAGACATCCTTGTACATTTATATTAACAATCTCAACCCCTTTATTCTTAAAATATTAAGAAGGTTTATTATATTGGAAACCAAAAGTTCTCCTAAAATTTACATTAAACAGAATTAGGATATAAGTTATCACGGTTATGAATCTCAACGGGTTAAAATAACTCTTAATAAAGCAATGCAATTCCTGAATTTCTATGAAGTTTGTTACTTTAGAAAATTCTGTTCCAAAAGAAAAAAGATCCATCATGATGACTTTATTAATGATCTGCAGAAATACACTATTGCATCATTAGGAGGTTAAATGACCTATATATGTTCCTCTTCCTTTTTTATGTTTTCCAGAATCTTCCATTAATTAAGTGCTAGTGAAGCTAATAGACTACAATTGGTTTCCTAAAATCTTTTCATGAAATATTCAGGTATAGTTATATTAAATCTAATCTTAAACTTAATGAAAAATGACACATGTAACCAACCAACCATCTGTACCAAGATAGACTATTATCTGTGAATTAAAGTAATACTGGTCAGTTTTCTAGACCATATACAGATGTTATAAAACTAAGAATTTATTGTAATAGTCCATTGAAATTTGCTGTGTGAATATGTATAATATATTAATAGAAATATTTTTATATTACATATTAATATAATTATATTTATATTATACATTAATATAATGAAATATATGTTCATATACATGATATATATAAGGGGAGATTATACAGATAATCTTTCCTTCAAATTTCCCTAACAGAGAAAATATAATCAAACATGGTTGGTGTTGAAATCTGGAGAACTAAACAAATTAAAGTTAAAGTAATTTAATGCTGAGGTTAACTGGTGCCTTGAGAGGCTCTATTTTTATCTGGATGACTTAGAAATGAGTTAATATTTTTCTCCCAGAAATAAACATATAGTAATGGAGGGCAAAGATGAGTGCTGGGACTTTCATTTCTACTGTTCTTCTAGGGACAAAGGATGATTGGAGAAATCACCTTCATCACATATAAGCAGGATGCATGTATTACCTAGGCATTTCAAATCATAATACTAAAAACTTAGTGATATGAAACAGGATATTTATTAATTGTAAGTGAAAATTGAGGCAAATATGGCTTTATTACTTCCTTTGCAATTGAGAGAGATTAAGTCATGTCTCCATGACCAAAGTCACACAATTGTTTAAAAGCAAATGAAGAATACCAATTTAGATCTAATATGATTATCTTTACAACAAATTCACTCTTGTTTCATACTATTGCACAAATTTACAGAGAGGAAAGAAATAATAGTAATAGCGCAATTACCGTATAGTAAGAAAAATATCCCTGCAAGGTTTATCAAGTCCAAAAAAGTTATCATTTTGATATTTCTGCAACATTGTTAGAATTAAGTAAAAGATGATTCACTTTATGAAATGTCATCTATTTTAGAGTGTGTGAATCTTTGCTATTTGCTTTGGCTGTTGTCTTTTTTTTTTATCAGTGACTTAGTTCATTTGTACTATTATAACAAAATACCTCAGAGCAGAAGATTTATAAAGGACAAAAATTTAATTCTCACAGTTCTGGAGGGTGGGAAGTTCAAGTTCAAGGCACCAGCAGGTTCGTTGTCTGAGAACAGTTCAGTTACTGCTTCTAAGATGGTGACTTGATGCCGTATTCTCTCGAGATAAAGAATACTGTGCCCTCACATGACCGAAAATCAAAAGACAAAAGAGACAAACCCCCTCCATCCAGCCATTTTATAAGGGCACTTACTCTCATTCATTACGGAGGAGACATCATGGCTTAATCACTTCTTAAATGGCTCCACCTCTTAATACTGTCACATTGACAACACCTAAATTTTAGAGGGGACACATTCAAACCATAGCATTCTGTACATCCTTCCACTTGTTCTAGTAATGGTTCACTGATTTTTCTATAAGAAATCACTTTGCTCCTTTCTTAGTTCATATAGTTTCAGAGTGGAATCTATTAAAGTGGGATAGTAAAGGTGGTGTCAGAGATAGATACACAAATAAATAAAAAAGAGAGACACCAAAGAGTGAGAAAGAAGGCATGAAAATTAGATCTACCCTGGACCATTTGTTGTAGAAACAAATTTTTTTTAGACAAATCAGTCTTTATAAAATTTGTCATTGTGTATAACTTGATACTCTGATCAAGGTCCACAACAATGCCTCTGGTTCATGAAGATAACTTTGTGTTATGTTCATTATTATCACCTAATGAGACAAAGATATTCATAATCGGGTTATTCATTTATTTTTTTTTCTCTCGGGAATCTTACTGGGTATATAAGATTTTCATGATCCAAAGGGTAAGCTTCAGATTAAAACAATAAAATTGCTGGTTCAATTGTCTAATTTTTACAAATGGAAACGAATTCCCTGAGGAAATCAAAGCATTTCTCCAAATCCCCAAACTAACAGTGGCCGACTTGGACAAGAATCTTTACCTTTTGACCATATAGTACTCCATAGTCTAATATGTCCTTCTTTCCCCACTGGTTGAGTGGCCATCATTGATAAAAAAAAAAAAGCATTTACCAGTGTATATTCGACTCAAAACATTCTTACTTATAAAGATAAATATTTTTACACATAGGTAGGTTTTTTTTTAATGACACTCAGAGTAACTGAATTATTAATTCCTTGTTATTGAACCACCTTGTAATTCTATATTCAACAGAGTAAAATAACTGCTTTAAAATAATAATTTTTATTGTTTGTTTAATTAAGCAGACAGGAAATAATTATTCTTGGTGTCTTTTCAAATTTTTTTCATTTTTCTAGTGAAATATATGACACAAATTATACAAAAGATCAAAATATTTCAAGAATGTAAGAAATTATTATCATAAAAATTGATGCTTACAAAAATTAAACTGATGCATAATCAAACTCTGTTATAAGATCAGAACAATTTTGCTATAAACGTTACTTTGACATATATAAACTCATTTGAATTTGTATTTCCTATACTTAGTTTAAAGTAACTCTTTCCAGTTTTATAAAGTCAACATGGAATATAACATCTTCAAACCATTCTTAGTGCGATAATTAACTTAACTGTGAGTTAATCAGTGAGAATTTTTTCTATCAGAGCACAAGATATGATGGGACATACCATGCTAAAATGAAAAGTCACCTATAGTATAAGGAGGTGTATAATTTTAATGAAAAAAGAAAAAAATATGTACAGATACTCCTCGACTTACAATGGGATTATGTCTTGATAAACCCATCATAAGTTGAAAATATTATAAATGGAAAACACATTTAGTGTATGTGACCTAACCTACTGAACATCATTGCTTAGCCTATCCTACCTTAAATGTGCTCTCATTTACATTAGCCTACAGTTGGGGAAAATCATCGAACCAAGTCCTATTTTGTAATAAGGTGTTTACTATGTTATATAGTTTATTGAAAACCGTATGTCAAAATTTCAATGGTTTTGCACCATTATAAAGTTGAAAATTTGTAAGTCAAATCATCCTCATCCTAATCAGGGACAATCTGTGCTTTCTTTTCTTTCTTTTTTTTTTTTTTTTTGATCTAAGCTGTAAGTGATTTTATTGAAAAATGTTTTTTATCTTCTCAGCTGTACTAAGAAAAGATTCTATTATTGCCCACTTCATGAATGAGGAAACTGAAGCACAGCATGTTTGGGTAAACTTGGCCAAGGTCACACTACTGAGAGGAAGCGGATGCAAACCAGGCATTCCGGACCCAGACCCTACGCTTTAACCAGCTTGCTCTAATCTGCATATTTTTGTATCCCCCTTCTATAAGTTAAATAGTGCTACTAAAAATAAGCTTAATGAATATTAAAATAAAATATACATTTATATATGATATATTTATCTTTATACTATTTATATAATATTTTCTAAGCACATTTTATCTATCTACACATTTACATATGTTATAAACAGCATATTTGAATGAATTTGGATATGTGAATAAAAAGAACTTGAGACTGAGATAAAGTAGTATTTCCTACACTTGTAGAGTCATAACATACACTTATTTTTAATCTTTCTGAATATTTCTTTTTTCTTTTTCTTTCTTTTTTTCCTTTTTTTTTCTTTTTCTTTCTTTTTTTCCTTTTTTTTTTTTTTTCTTTTAGTTGAGCTACATCTTTTGACAGAGAAAATTCACTTTGAAAGTAGGTCAAAAATGCTGGTAAACCTCACTGGATTTCCCTGTGAGGAATTAATGCCATTATGATTTAAAGCTGTATTTAAATTTGCCTTATCATGAGAGAGGAAATCCACTGGAAATAAATATTAATCAGTCTTTTCAAAACCAAATTTACCAAAACTTGAAAATACAAGAAAATAATAATGAAGATACATTTTCTGGAAATACGTTGACTAGATACTATTTCACAGGAAAATGAGGACCTTAATTTTTAAAACAGAGAGCCCTGGGGGGATAAAACAAGAAATGTCTCGGTGAGTAAGAAATGTGGCCACATTTTATTGATTTAATTTTGAACAAACTGTTCATTAGAGTATTAATTCCAAGAAGAAAAGATTCTGCTAGTTAGTGGTGTAGGTAATTAAAACAAACAAACAAACAAACAAAAAAAACAGAAAATGGAGTGGACCTATTCAATCATGTCATTTTTTTCCCCCTCACATGACAGTCCAGAGACAAGTGAGCAAAATGTATTCAATCCACTGATTCAATTATATAAGGACTCCGGTTCCTTCTATGTTGAATTTGTGGCATCCTCTTAAGTGTTGTATTGAACAAGGGATCAACGCCACCTCGCCAACAGCGTGTCTGTTTTACAGTTAGAGAAAAGGTTGTTTAGGGAGGATAAGAGAGAAGTGGGGAGGAAAAAGAAGACGGAATTACAAAAGGGTGGAAGGAAACTTTTGGAGACAACAGTTACGTTCGTTACGTTCGTTGAATGTGGTAATGGTTTCACACGTACGTGAAACCATATGTCAAAATTTACCAAGTGTACACTTTAAATACGTGCAGTCTATTTTATGTCAATCACACCTCCATAAAACTGTTTTTATTTAAAGTATGAAAAAACCCACTCACACAAAGAGTTCCTTCAAGTCACTTGAAATCAAAAAACAATTTCGTTAGAAGGATTTTATGTGGAAGTCACATGTCTTGCTTCTGCTTACCTTTCACTGGTTGAAAGTTACTCCAATGCTGCCACATGTCGTTTAAATGGAGGCCAAGAACTCTCTTCTCTAAATTAGGTCACTGTGTGTCCAGCTAATCCACGATGATAGGTTGTGGAGAGATCACAAGGCTCTGTGGCTCAGGGAAAATGAAGATAATGAATTCCCGGGAGCATTGGCAGTCTCTGCCCTGGCTACTCTGTTTCGCGAGTGTCTCATCACCTGAACAAGCTCCTGGTCCATTGTGATTGCTAAATGAATATTTTTCCTTCAGGAAAAATAAACCGTAAGGAAGAAAGTACTTTTTTACCCAAAGTGAATTACAGTAACTTATTTATACAGAATTTATTATTTCTGACCTTAGTTTTTGCAAAAGGTATACTGCAACTGTAAAAAGCAACTGTCTGGAATGCTCTGGACAATATAATCAGATGTTTTAGTACTCTTACAAATAAGCAAGAATATGTTGATTAAATCATAGTTTCTCAGATTTAACCACAAAAATGTAGAAAGTAATTTTTCTCACTTCCTGCCCAAAATTTATGCTTGCTTTCAAATCCCTTTTGTGCTATGAATTTTGAATGAGACTTTGGTTTTTTCCTCAGCTAATCTTATATTGTCCAATTTTTATTACTAAAATTTTGAAATATACTCATCTGGTACTGATATCTGATACATTGATCAGGGCAATATAAGATCTGGGTAATTTTAAAAAATTTTTTGAATTGTTATATAATTTGTTCTCCCACTGCTAATTATCACTTCTCTTTATTTCCTCTATATTTTCTTAACTTAAAAGCTGAAAAATGACCTCAAAAATGTAAGTGAATGTTCTATTTCACCATTATATTTTCTACACGTAAACTTATGAAGTCATCAAAATTATAATTTTGTATTAAAATAAAAACAATTCTATACCAGTTTTTATAAAAACGGGGCTTAAGCTTTGGCTTGTATTTTAATTGTATAACTCAGCCTCGATAATCATGTGAGCCAATTATCCTACTAGATACTATATAGATATATAGGGTATATCTATGTATCCTATATATAGATATAGATAGATCTATATCTATATCTATATCCATATCTATACTTGTCTATTAAAAGTAATAGCAAAAACCGCAGTTACTTTTGTCCAACCTAATATTTATTTATCCTATTAGTTCTGTCTATCTGGAGAATCCTGGCTAATACAAACATGATTTCCAATTATAGGTCTAGGGTAAAAGAAAATACTTATTTTCCCTCCCACCCTTTAATAGTACTATGGCATGTTTACAACTCTGTTTGGAATTTAGAAAGCTAGTCACAAAATTCTCTTGCCTTGTACTGACCCACATCTCTATGGAAGACTACGTAACAGCTTCTCTTTATTATTATTATTATTATTTAAGTCCTAGGGTACATGTGCAGAACGTGCAGTTTTGTTACATAGGTATACACCTGCCATGGTGGCTTGCTGCACCCATCAACCTGTCACCTACATTAGGTATTTCTCCTAATGTTATCCCTCCCCTAGCCCCCCACCCCCGACAAGCCCCAGTGCGTGACGTTCCCCTCCCCGTGTCCTTGTGTTCTCATTGTTCAACTCCCACTTGTGAGTGAGAACATGCGGTGTTTGGTTTTCTGTTCTTGTGATAGTTTGTTGTGGCTATTCCTCAAGGATCTAGAACTAGAAATATCATTTGACTCAGCAATCCCATTGCTGGGTATATACCCAAAGGATTATAAATCATTCTACTATAAAGACAAACACACATGTATGTTTATTGCAGCACTATCTACAATAGCAAAGACTTGGAATCAACCCAAATGTCCATAATAGCTTCTCTTTACTGCTCTCACTTTTCCTCCTTTGTTTCTGTTCTGGATGATTACGTTTTCTTTCCTGACCATAGAATTGTGAAGAGACTGTGGGTGGCGCCATCTGTAATGTTAGAAGTCTTGGAGACCCAGTGTAGAACATTCCATCAGGCATTTGAAGAAAACTATATATTGAACACATACTTTAGTAGACCTGTGTATTTCAGGTTCTATTTCCTTGTTGGTATGGCCATATGGCTTACTTTAGGCAACAAATTATAAGGGGGAGTAAAAGGTGTCAGTTTTAAGTAAAAAAATATCAGAAAATCATGATCACCTCTGTGGTCTCGTCACCTGCCATGATGGTTCTGGATGTGTGTTGATGATATTGATGTTCTTCAAGGGCAAAACAGCCTGCAAAGTTGAAGCATGATATTGGGACTGCTGCTCTGGAGAGTGTCATAAGCCCGTAGGGAAGTTTGTGAGACTGAGAAATAAACCTTGATAGAATAGAAATATATTTTCCATTGTACAGACTGAAGGATATAAGGCTCAGACATAGTTCCAGGCAATAAGACAGTAGTGAAAAATTAGATGAAGTTCTTGCTATTAGGTGTACGTTCTAGAGAAAGAATGGAGATGTAAAAATATAAGCAAATGGATATAGTGTTATAAATTTAGAAAGTCAGGAATGAGGCCTTGTGTTATTAGCAATCTTTTTATTCTTCACCAGTTGGATCATAAAACGTTTTACATTATTGTTTTATGTTGTAATTATTTGATCACTAATAAAATGAAATGTTTCATATGTTTAGTCAGATTTTCATTTCTTTTGTAAATCATAATACAAAATGTTTTACATTGTTGTTTTATGTTGTATTTACTTGATCACTAATAAAGTTAAATGTTTCTTATGTTCAGTCACATTTTTATTTCTTTAGTAAATAGACTCTGTTTTTATATTTTTTGAGCTTCTTTTTAAAGGTTTTTATATTTTACTCAATATAAACTAATCTAGATTAAGGATATTAGGCATCTCTGCTTCATGTGTTGTATTTTATTTAGTAGTCAGTTGCATTTTAATTTACTTCATAATATTCTAATTTATGCAATTTTACATTTAATATAGCCAAATCTATTATTTTTGTTATATTTCCAAAACACTCTTTCCCATAACGTATAAATATTTGCATATATTTTCCTTCTAGTTTCTTCATGATGCTTATACTAGAAACAATTCACAAGTCTTTCCCTGTGGCATATGATAAAAAACATTTGAAAAAATGACTTTCCCATCAGCCTAGGTTGCAGTAAGGGAAGAGGTGGAGCAGAGCCCCGAAATTCACGAGGAACATGTGTGAATGTGAGAAAAAAATGTTTCTTGTTTGACGACTTAGCCTATACTGATTTATGCAATTATTTTTACATTAATTCAGCCCTTGAATCTAACTTTAAACAGTCTTGTAGTATAGCATGTGGAAGGGAGTTTCTTTTTTTCCTAGGGCAATAAAAATTTCCCAGATCTCTTCTGGCAGTGGGGAAATGTTTTAGATATCTTTAGTATAGGTGGGGAAAGAATTACTAAATCTTAAGTTACCTGTTTAATCCTCATAGTTTTTTAATTTGTTTCTGTATTTTCAAGTAAAATTTCCCCGAAGTGTAACAGTTGTAGTTTAAAATTTTTACACCATGTGATTCACTAGGGTTTTGCTGTTGTCTTTCTTAATTATAAACTTTCAAAATGACTGCATAACAATGAAAGGTCATAAATATATTAGATAATAAACATTAGTGTAGCCTTTTACAGTGATAAATCACGGACTCCACTACAGTGTGTCATTTAAACTGAAAATTAATTAACCTTGCCAAAGAAAATATAATAATGAAATATGATTTGGTTAAATGTAATAATGATAAAATAACTTTTCAAATAATAATAATGATAAAAATGATTTCAAATTTAAAATATCTGGCTTCTTTCCCTTAACATCATGTTTTAGGGTTCATCCAGCTGTAGCATATATCAGTACTTCATTTTCTATATATAAACATCATTTGACTCTATAGATGTAACGTATTTTTTATTCATTCTTGAGTTCCTGGACATTTGGATTAATTTTCAGTTTTCAGTTATTTTGAATAGTGAAATTTATATATGAATATGTATATGAAGACAATATTTTGTATAGATACATTTTCAATTCTCTTGGGAACATAACTAAGAGTGGAATTGCTGAGTCATACAGTAAATTTGTGCTTTACATTTTGAGGAACTCCTAAGTTGTTTTACAAAGTGGCTGCATAGTTTTACACTCCCACCAGCAAAATATGAGAGTTGCAATTTCTCTAAACCCTGGTCAACTCTTGTTATTTTGCTTTTTTAAAAATTATACATATCCTAGTAGGTATAAAGTGAATTTTGATTCAGATTTTCTTAATGATTAATAATATTGATCATCTTGTTGTATTAGTTAAGGTTTTCCAGAGAAGCGGAACCTAGGATTTGTGTATATAGATATGCAAGTGGGAATTTATTATAGGAATTGGCTCACATAATTATGGAAGTTCCATGATATTCTGTCTGGGAGCTGGAAAACTAGAAAGGGCAGCGGCATAATTCTGTACTGTACAAACGCCTGAGACCCAGGAAAGCCAATAGTGTAATTCTCAGTCTGAGTCAAAGGACTGAGAGAAAGGGGTGAAAAGGGGGTTCTTGTATACATTCTGGTGTCTGAAGGACAACGGAGCTCTTATGTCCAAGGGCAGAAGATGCCTGTCCCAGCTAAAGAAGGAAAAGCAATTTCATCTTTTCTCTGCCTCTTTGTTTGAGTTGAGCCCTTAAGAGATTGAATGACGCCCACCCACATTGGCGAGGATAGATTTTCTTTACTCCGACTACTAATTCAAATGCCAATCTCTTTCAGAAACGTCTTCACAAGCACACCCAGAAATAATGTTTTGCCAGCTATCTGGGGATTCCTTAACCCAGTCAAGTTGAAATATAAAGGAAACCATCACACCTTTCTTGTGTTTATTGAGTATTTGTGTAGCTTTTTAAATTATTTGCCTAGTATTAAACTGGCTATTTGTCTTTCTGTTATTAAGCTTAAAGTGTTTTTTATATATTCAAGACACAAGGCACTTAACAGATATAGGATTTGAAAGTATTGTTATCAACTGCATAGACTGTCTTTTCACTTTCTGAATGGTGTCATGTGAAGCACCCGAAGTTTTTAATTTTGATGAAGCCCAACCTATCTATATTTTTTGCTTTTGTCCTTCTTGCATTTGGTATTATATGTATGAAATCATTTTCTAATCCAAGCTAATGAATACTTAACCAATGTTTTATTTCAAGAATTTTATAGTTTGAGTTCTTACATTTAGGTCTTTGGTATATTTCAGGTTAGTATTTGGGAGATATGTTTTCAATTTCCTCCTCTTGCATATGAATATACAGTTATCCTGCACTATTTATTGAAAAACCTTTTTTATTCCCATTGAAGGTCTTTTTGACATTGTCAAAATAAACTTGCCATTAATGTAATAGTTTATTTCTACACTCTCAATTGTTTTGACTACTCTGAGTTTCTTGCATTTCCATATAATTTTTACAATCTCATCAATTTCTTCAAGAAACCAGCTGGGATTTTAATGGTAACTGCATAGATATACAGATTGATGTTGAAAGTAGTGGTACAATAATAATATTTTGCCTTTTAAATTATAACATGGGCTATCTTCTCATTTATTTAGATATTATTTAAGTTCTTTTATATTTTATAGTTTTTATATAATATCCTTACCCATCTTTCGTCAAATTTGTCTCTATATTTTATTCTTTTGTTGTTATTATAAACAGATTATTTACATTTTGTCTCTTATTAGTGTAGCCACTCAAGCTTTCTGCTCAGTACTTTTTATGTGGTATGTTTTTACATCTATTTACTTTCAACTTATTTGTGTTGTTGAATCTAACGTGTCATATCTTGTAGACCGTATGTTGTTGAAATACATGTTGTTTTTTATCCATTGAACAATCTCTGCCTTTTTGTTGTAATGTTTAGTGCTTCACATTTAATATATTTATTTTTAAGGTAGGATTTCTGACTACCAATTTGTTTCTATGTCTTATGTCATTTTTCTTCCAACAGTTGTCTGTTACTCCCATCTTTTATGTTAAATTTCTAATATATTCATTTAAATTCCCTCTCATTTTTTTAATTATATTTTTCTAGTTACTTTTTTAGCAATTTCTAAAGGTTACAGTTAACAACTTAAAATGTTAAGTTTGAATAATATCAACTTAATTGCTCCAGTATACATAAACTTTGCTCTTATATAGTTCTATTCTTTCACCCTTCCTTTGTTCTGTTTTTGACATACTAATTAGATCTTTATGCATCATACTAATCAATGCAGATTAATAATTATTGCTTTATGTAGTTGTCATTTAAGCCAGGCAGAAGGCAATATTTCCAAATAAAAATGTATTTCTCATTGTTCTTGTATTTATGCATGTAGTTACATTTCCTGATATTTCCTGATATTTCCTATTTTTTCCTTGGATTTGAATTACTATCTAGTGTCCTTCACTGCCTAAAGGCCTCCTTTTAGTCTTTGTTGTAGAGATGGTCTGCTAGTAATGAACTGTCTCAGTTTTGGCTTATCTGCAAATACCTAATTTCTCCTGCATTTTGATGGATACTTGGCTGGATATAGAATTATTTGTTAACAGTCTTTTTTTTTTTCCAAAGCCCTTTGAATATGTCATTCCATGGACTTCTGGACTCCATTGTTTCTGATGAGAAGTTAGGTGTTAATTTTATTGAGAATCACTTTTACATTACATGCCACTTTTTTTCTGCTTTTAAGCTTATTTCTTTGTATTTCCCTTTCAAAAATTTCACTACGATGATCCTAGATGTAGATCACTTAAGTATATCCTACTTGGAGTCCACTGATCATCTTGTATGTGTAGATTAAAGTTTTTCATAAACCCTGAGAAGATGGCTATTATTTTTCAAATTTTCTTACTTCTTCTTTTTCTCTCTCTGTTCTTCTTTGGAAAATTCCATTACACATATGTTGGTATGCTTTATAGTTTCCAAAAGACCTATAAGGCTTTGTACATTTTTTTGTTATATTTTTTCTGTCTGTTAAACCAGCAAAATCTCAACTCACATATCCTTATATTCACTGATACTCTCTTTGGCCAGTTAAAATAAATTGCTGAGCCCCTCAAGTCAATTTTTTCACTTCTTTTATCATAGTTTTTATCTCCAGAATTTCTATTGGTTTCTTTCTTTATAATTGCTATCTCTTTAAAGGTTTTTCTGTTTTATAAGACATCATTTTCATACCTACCTTTATTTCTTTAGACATGGTTTTCTTTAGTTATTTCAACATATTTATAAAAGCTGATTTAAAGTATGTCTTAAGTTTAATATCTTGGCTTATCAAAGGATGGTTTCTATTAACAGCATCTTTTTGTGAGAATGGGCCACACTTTTCTGCTTCTTTGTGTGTCTCATAAATTTTGTTGCTGTTGAAAACTAAACATTTTAAATAACATGTTGTGACATCTAGGAAAATCAGATTGCACACCTACTCAGGGATTGTGATTGTTGATGTTAATTGTTTCTTTTTTGTGTGTTTGGACTCTTTCTGTAAAGTTAGTATTCTCTGTTATGTTCAGAAACTTAAATCTCTGCCCAGTTAGCTTAGTGGTCAGCTTTTGATTGGACCACTCAGTGGTGCTAAATGCCTTGAGCCTTGCTGCCTTGCTGAGGGTGGACGAGGCAGTTTATAACTCTGCCTTAGTTTTCACCTGCTGTTTATGCAGAATTTCAAGGTTAGCCATCGGTGACACATTAGGGATTTTTGAGGTGATTTCTGGGCATGTGAACAGTCCTGCACATATCTGTGACCCTCTAAATTTTTAGAAATTATCAGAATTTTTCAAAGCCCACTATTGGCATCTTTTTCCCCAATTTGTCCATTTAATATTTTTGTGAATCTCTTATTAGCCTCAACTGGTATCACTACCTCGAGCTTAGGTGATGTTAAAGAACAGCCAGGGACTATTTCTGACAAATGCCTTTGATATTATTATTTTTGCTGAAAGCATGTTCTGAGTTATATCAGCACCAACAATCCTAAGAATAAAGTTGTTTGGGGCCTTTTCATACATGTTAGTGTAGGCATAGACTTGTCTGAGTAACTCCAAATTCATCTGGTCCTTTGCAATGACTGCTAAGCTACTAGGATGTTGGTTTTCATAGTTACTATAATTGCAAGACTGTTGGTTTTCAAGGACACCAAGAACATGTCAAGAGGGGATGGACAAGATTTATTTAAAGTGCCACTAAACTTGCTATACTCACTTGAGATGTAGCTATGTTTTCTAGCATTATTCTGGGATTATTCTTGAATTATTGCAGTCTTTTGATTCATTTTCAAAATTTCGGAATTGTTGATTTCGTAAAAATTCGGCCATTATTCTCAATACTTTTATGCAGAAGAAGACTTTTGGAGATTGTTACTCTATCATTTGACATCTCCTTCTTGTAACTTAACACGACTCTATCATTTAAATTGTATCTAAATAACTACTTACCTTAGTAATTTTTACCATCTCTTTAAATATGGTAGATGTTAGCTTGTACTGGAAAAGTCTATAGTAGAATGTTTTAATCTTTATCACATTTTATTATCCTTTCCTGCAGGTTGAATACACAACACAACTCTGTTGAACTCAATAATGTTTTGCTCATGCCTGTAATCCCAGCACTTTGGGAGGCTGAGGCAGGTGGATCATGAGGTCAGGAGATTGAGACCATCCTGGCTAACACGGTGAAACCCCGTCTCTACTAAAAATACAAAAAAATTAGCCTGGCGTGGTGGCGGGCGCCTGTAGTACCAGCTACTCAGGAGGCTGAGGCAGGAGAGTGGCGTGAACCTGGGAGGTGGAGCTTGCAGTGAGTCGAGATTGTGCCACTGCACTCCATCCTGGGCTACAGAGCCAGACTCTGTCTCAAAAAAAAAAATATTTAAAATGTTTTCATAAGTTCTTTAGGTAAATGAAATGTGAGGAGAAGGGTACTTACCAATTCTTCACAGAAATGCTAAGTGCCAATGCATACTTCATCAAACCCTCACTGTTCTCCATGAACATAGACGTAGTTTACATGGAAGTTGTGCCAACACTGCAAGGAAGACTTTCTGGAAAAATTCACAGTCTATCGTAGATGAAACTGTAGCATAAATCACTGAGATTTTCAAGTTTTCTGTTGCAACATAATATAGCTTATTTAGATTGATACAGTACCTAGCATATATATGTTAAACAAATTCTTGACTTTTTAATGACTTGGCTCTATATCCTTCTTAATGATATACAGAGTTTTTGTTGTCCATTTTGAAAAACAAAGCAAAACACAATTCTTCTATATAGCAAGTCAGTGAGCTGCATATGACAGACTATGTAAGATACTTAAATATGCTGTACCTCTCAAAAAATATCAGAAATTAGGTTCCTAAGTGCTATTTGTATTTATATGTAAGGACAGTGAGTTACATCTTATATATTTGAAATGGTAGGATTAAGGCAGGTATATACAGAACACTTCACAGAAGATTGAAATTCTTAATTCAATGTTGTATTGTTCTCATTCAAAAACAAAGGCACAAAAATAGCAATAATGACTCTGTATGTCCCATTCAGAATACACTTTCTTGTTATAAGAGGGTGTATGTGAAAACAGTTAATAAAAGTTTACCCCTATCCTAGCATAATGCAATGATATGATGTTTCATATCTATGTAAACTTTCAAGTGACTTATTCTCACAGTCTAAAATCTCAGATTTGATTACAGAATAACAAGTTATTCTACTAGGAATCAACTTGAGAGCTCATTTTTCCCAGTCCCTTTATTATACAGATAGAATCTGAGGTTCAGGAAATGTAAATGACTTTTCCAGCAATCCATCCTGGATAATCAAACACTTTATCCACTAGGAAAACAAGGCCTTCTAAATCTCTAGCCAGCTTTGGTCAACAATTAAGAAAAAAAAACATGAGGCCAGGCAATGTGGCTCATGCCTGTAATCCCAACATTTTGGGAGTCCAAGGTGGGAAGATCAATTGGTCCCAGGAGTTTGAGACCAGCCTGGGCAACATGGTAGACCCTTTCTCTATAACAAATTATAAAATCAGTTGCGCATGGTTGCACATATTTGTAATCTCAGCTACTGAGGAGGCTGAGGTGGGAGGATGTCTCGAACCCAGGAGGTAGAAGCTGCAGAGAGCCATGATTGCACCACTGCACTCTAGCCTGAGCAACACAGTGAGACCCCATCTCAAAACAAACAGGAAATAATAATATACAAATATTAGGCGTATATTGCATATGTTTTCTATGTATGTATTATATATTCACATCTATTGCATATAATAAATACTTGTAATCACACAGATTAGACAGTCCTAAATCAAATAATGTCAGAGTAGGCTTGAAAGAAAGATCAAAATGAGTTTCAAACGGAGAAATAATGACCGTTCATGGAATGAGGATGTTTGACTCTTAAAAATCAGCGATTGTAGCACTAAAGCATATTTGATTTTGCACAAGAGTTCATGTTTGGAAGTTGTTTCAAAGATGATGTGTTTTCCTTTAAGTTAATTGAAAACTTGGCTGCTTTTTCCTTGTGTAATCCTCTCCCTCACTTTGCTTTTAACAGCTGCTTGTTGTAAGTAGGAATATATGTGTCATTGCTGTCAGTTAAAATTTTTTATATATTTTATTTAATTAAAAGTTTAAGAAAATGACGTCTTGCAGTTAACCCAACCTTCCTCTGTATATATTTCCACAAAGTATTAGGTAATCACTGCCATTCAAGACCAGTTGCTATTCTTTGAACAGGACACTGAATTAAGCCAGTCACTCTAAACTTCAAACTCAGCGTGGTTACCTGAATGACTTGAGAAGCTTTCCAATCATGTGGACAGATAGCCTACATGCTGATGTGAAAAAGAAAAAAAAAATGAAACCTGAAGATTGTCAACACATCATCAGCCCACAGCTTCTCACCCATGTCCTAATTCCCAACTGAACATCTTTACTACAACCAAGCAAATGACTCTGCCTTGTCCTCTTTTGAAACATGTCCTGTGGATCAGACAATTCTGTTGCTTTTTTCCAGTTACTGTTGTTTTAATTTAGTATCCCATGGGGGGTAAAAAGTTTGTGTTTTTTTAGAGAGGGGAGGGCCTATGTGAGTATTTGCCCCTGTCTCTGCTTTCCTCAAGGGATTTCCTGTGGCCAAGAACACTGGGTGAGTTTTATGATGCAGACTCTGCTCGCAAACCAGTCATCATGCCTGGGAAAGTAGTGCAGAGGCAGACATGCACGCTAAAAGAAAAACTCTGGGGATTCTTGTTACTTATCTCTCCCCTAAGCATATAACCACTGTATCAGAGGATCCTTTGAAACAACACACATGGATTTCGCTCTTTTGGCTATGTCCCTATTTCACCAGAACATTAGGCTGAAATCTGCCTTTGACATTTCCTGGGGGTTGTATCTCAACTGCTGGCAGATTCTTTGATTCTTTTTGCAGCATCGTTTGGAGTGCTTGTAAAGCTAGATCAGAAATACCCATGTGGCAACACATTTAAGCTTTCTTATTAGAAACGAATTTGCAGGCAGCTTTTGCTAGAGTGTGTTGCAGGAGCTTGAACAAGAAACCTATTTGCACACACAGTGTGCTACAAAGGCCAATGTGATCTTTCCAACCTCAAAGTGCTCCCTGGTAAACAGTCTCAAAACTCCTAAGACTGCCTGGACACTCTCAGGCATGAACTTCTGTGAATGCCTATTTAAAACTTGGAACACAAATTTGTAAATTTGTTGGGAGATATTAATGTGTGAAAGGTTTGAAAGCGGACACTGTACTTTGTATACTGTCTGTCTTCAGTGAAATCTACATAAATAGATTTTCTGATGAACTGAACTATTATAAGCTGCTGCTTTTGTTTCTGTTGAGGGGACTTAATTGTTTTGTTTATAATTGCTGTTACATACAAAGCACTACATTCTGAAGAGATAAATGCCATGTGTATTTTTGAAACCTTCTCAACTAAATTATGTTGCTTAACCAAATAGACCTTTTTAAAATGCATAGTGTTGCTTCAAAGACCAAGCAATATGTACCGTGGTAATTGAATGGTAATTGGTAATTCCATTTGTACTGTATGTGGTTATGGTATTTCAGAGGCAGTAACCTGCCTTTAGCGATGGCGTTATAAAGTATGTGAAGAGGTTATTCTTCAACGTTTTAGGTTAAATTTATAATTTGATTTGTACATTAACAGGAAAACACCAAAAAATTAGCATCTATGCCTGTTATATCACATAAAACAGGATTCAGAAAGACGTGTGGAAATCTGTAACTGCAGTGCTTATGCAAAGAATACAGATACTAATTTTTAAGATATTTTCCAAATGTTGGTTGCCAGGAAGAAAAATGGATATGTCAGGTTATTCAAGGGGTATTGACAGTTCAAGTGTCTAAAAGTTCTTACCCTTTGATTATCTAATGTAACATCCTATTACTTTCTACATAGTTCTTTATTCAACATTCCATTAAGTACTATCTGTTAAGTTCTTCTATGTTCTAGACACTCTTACAGGCACATGGGCCATATCAGTGTGGAAAAGGGCTCTTAGAACCCTTAAGTTTTAATTGGTCCATGATAAACAACAACTATAATAAAGAAATACATTTGATAGTATAGAAATATAGAAGAGGATAATTGGTGTGGATTTAAGATAACAAGCAATGTGAGGAATGAGAGTGGGGTGGAAGGATGGGAGGAAACAAGTTGCATCAATAAATAGAAATCTGGCTTCCTTAAAAAGACTTCAAGAAGATAAAAAGATTGAGCAATGTTTTTTATCTTAGGAAAAGCTTTCCAGTTAAAGGAAAATGAATACAAAGGTTCTGGATTCCTGATGGGTTGGAAGGACAGGAAAGAGGTTGTTGCTTGACTAGCTGGCTGCAAGTGGGGCAATGGGGTTGGAGGAGATGAGATCAGAGAATGAATATAATATGGGTGGGGAGATCATGTAGAATGTTGTAGGTTATTTTAAAATCTCTGATTTTCTCATTAATAAAATTTAGAGCTTGAAGGATTTTGAGCAGAGAATCTGACTTACTTGTTTAAAAGATAACTCTGGCTGCCATTGGAGGGAAAGATACACTAAGTAGAAAGCTATTTCAGGAATTCATATAAGGAGTGATTGTTACTTAGATCGAATAGTGGCAGTAGAGGTGGTGCGAAGTGGTTACCTTCCTAATACATGTTGAAGGATAATCCAAAAGAATTACTGATAGATTGGATATGAGTGTGAGAGAAAGCAATTCAAAATGACCAAAAATTTTCTACAAGGATGGAGTTGTCATCGACGAAGATGTGCAAGACTGGGAATTCAGTAACTTTGGTAAGGCAGGGTGCTTGGGAAAGATTGGGTCAAAATACTTTTGTTTGGTGATTACCAGTGGCAGTTAAAAGGTCTGCAGTTCAGGAGAAAATGGTGATCTGGACATAAACATTAAGAAATTGTTTATCCTTTAGATGGAATTTAGTCATGATACTAGACAAAATCACTTGGATATGAATATCAATAGATAAGATGAAGGAAGGAAGGCAAAGGAACAGGAAAAGTAGGAGAGAAGCAAAACAAAGAGAAGCGAAGAGAAGAGATGATGGGCAGGGAAGGCAAGAGAGAAGTAAGGGTGAGCGGGGAAGGATATGAAAGTTCAAAGAAACAAAAGTTGGTTTTTTGAAAAGATAAACAAAACTGACAAACCTTTAGCCAGACCCAATAAATAAAATCAGAGATGACAAAGAAGACATTACAACTGTAACTGGAGAAATTCTAAGGACCATCAGTGGCTTTAAGTGGTCAACTATATTCCAATAAATTTGAAAATCTAGAGGAAATAGATAAATTCCTAGACAAATACCACTTACTAAGATTGAATCATGAAGAAATCCAAAACCTGAACAGACCAACATCAAGTAACAAGACTAAAACTGTAATTAAAACTCTTCAGCAAAGAAAAGCCTCAGACCTGATGGCTTCACTACTGAATTCTACCAAATATTTAAGAAGTTAGTACCAATTATCTTCAAACTATTCTGAAAAATAGAGGAGAGAATATTTCCAAACTCATTCTAGGAGGCCAGGCCAGTATTATCCTGATACCAAAACCAGGCAAAGGCATATCAAGAAAAGAAAACTACAGTCCACTATATTAGATGAATATTAATACAAAAATTTTTCAGCAAAATATTAGCAAACTGAATTCAACATCACATTAAAAAGATCATCATGACCAAGTGGGATTTATCTCAAGAATACAAGGGTGGTTCAACACATGCAAATCAATCAGTGTGATAAATCATATCAAGAGAATGAAGGACAAAAAAAAATACCATCATTTTAATTGATGGTGAAAAAACATTTGATAAAATTAACCATCCATTTATAATGAAAACCCTCAAAAAATGAATACAGAAGGAACATAAGAACATAGTAAAAGCTATATGCAACAGACCCGCAGCTAGTATCATACTGAATGGGGAGAAACTAAAAGCCTTTCCTCTAAGATCTGGAACACACAAGGATGCCCACTTTCAGCAGTGTTATTCAACATAGTATTGGAAGTCCTAGCTGGAGTAATCAGAAAGGAAGAAAGGAAAGAAAGGAAGAAATCAAATTATCTTTGTTTGCAGATGATATTAGGTTGGTGCAAATGTGATTGCAGTTTTCATTAAAAGTAGTGGCATTTCTATCTGCCAACATTTTCTATGATATGATTATTACACTTTGTATGCCTGTATCAAAATATCTCACGTACTCCATAAATATAAACACCCAGGAACCTATAAGAATGAAAAATAAATAAATTTAAAATAAATAAATGCTATCTCCATAAATACCTATTATTACCTCAACATATCCAAGACAAAGTCACCTGTCCATGTAATAAACCGTAAAGATTTCCAAACATTTCTACTTCTAATTAAATCATTGTCTTTGTTTTTGTTTTGTTTTTTGAGATAGAGTCTTGCTATGTCACCCAGGCTGGAGTGCAGTGGCGTGATCTCGGCTCACTGAAACCTCTGCCTCCTGGGTTCAAGCGTTTCTCCTGTCCCAGCCTCCTGAGTAGCTGGGATTACAGGCATGTGTTACCACGCCCAGCTAATTTTTGTATTTTTAGTAGATACAGGTTTCACCATGTTGGCCAAGCTGGTCGAACTCCTGACCTCAGGTGATCAATTTCTTACTTCCCTGGTTCAGACTTTACATATTATTTCTAGGTATCCCCACTACCTCTCCTCCTTCACCTCATCAGATCCAGTCCACTGTTAATCTGTTTATGCAGTTATTCTCAACTATACCTTGCTCAACTTCTTTTATTTTTCAGTTTATCATCATCATGAAGTTCAAGGTCACATGATCTACTGACTAGATAAATTCTGGTTTGCCTTTCTGCTACTAGATCTCTCCCCACTGTTCAACTGCCCTCTCACCAATAATATAATACTATTGATTATATCACTTTTCTGCCAAGCAATCTCAATACTTCATTCTTGAACAATTTGTCAGCTGAACATTTAAAGACCAAGATTCCACGGACTTAACCAGCTTTCAAAAACTTTTCTTCCAAACCTTCCCTTCTTACATCATATATTCCTGCTGCGTGGACTACAACCCTTTCCCTTAAGGACACCTATATGATTTTTCATTTGCTTTTTCTCATCTGTCCACCAGCAATTCAAGCTCTTCTTTTACCTACACCCTCAGTTTCTCTGCTGGTCAAAATCTAATTCACTAGATGTTGCTCCGTTTAATGACACTTCCTTTAAAAAAAAAACAAAAACTGTTATCCAAAATACCCAGTGCACCATACACACTAAAATATTCTGCTGTCCTGAATCTTGATAACACTGTCTCTTTTATATCTTGTTCTAAAAATTGGCTGTTCACTATTTTCTCTGTTCTCCTAGGGTCCAACCTACTTCATCACAGAGACGGTATCATCTTAATTACTATATTTACAACCTACAAAACCCAATGTCTTATGCGTAAACTGTACACCATAAATATTTCATAAACAAATGTCAAAAGAAGGAACTGAAAACTTCATATGGTCTTCATCTTACTAAACATTAGGAGGCAACGTAGATTAATGAACTGAAATTATGATCTCACACATTTAGATTTGCTCTCTGACTTCCTCCCATTGTGCATCTATTTCCAGAGGCTAAATAATAAATCACACATGAGACAAATGCAAATTAAATCAATGTTAAGGAAAGTGTTATTAATTCAAAAGAATACATTATAACTACATTTCCCTGTTCAAATGTATAAATTCTATGAATCTGAGGCAACTTTGATGACCCCATACATGTATCACTGAGAATTTAGAACTAAGAAAATGCGGTTAAAATATGTTCAACATCAGTTAAATAGGCTAACAGTTGCTCTTATGTAGTTATATTAAAAAAACTTTCAAAGTAATACTAAATTAAATAGCATAGTCATTTTTGTTTATGTTATATTTTCAGTGAAACTATTTCATCTCTCCATAACACCACACTTGCTCACATTAACTAAAATATTTCGATGTTGATGTTTCACATTTTTTTGGCTTTCTAAAAAAGTATTTTGAATTAGTTTCCTTTTCTATTAAGGGATGATTGACAAATAAAAATTGTACATATTTGTGGTATATAAACTGATGTTTTCGTATATGTGTACACTGTGAAATGATTAAATCAAGCTACTAATTAACATAGCCATCACCCCATGTACTTTTTGGAGGTGAGAACATTTAAAATCTATGCTCTTAACAATTTTAGTGTATACTTGTATTGACTGTTTTCAACAAGCTGTACATTAGATCTCCAGAACTGATTCTTCCAATATAACCAAAACATTGTACTTTTAGACTAACATCTTCTCATCTGCTGTTCCTCCCCTAGCTTCTGTATCTACCATTTGACTCTCTGCTTCTGTAATTTCAACATTTTTAGATTCCACCTATAAGGAAGGTTGTGCCGTATTTGTCTTTGTGTGGTTTATTTCACCTAGCATAATATCCTTCAGGTTCATCCATGTTGTCACAAATGGCATAATATTCTTCTTTCTGAAGGCTAGTTGAAAATGTTTCCGTGTGTGTGTGTGTGTGTGTGTGTGTGTGTGTATGGGTGTGTGTGTATATGCATTTTCTTTGTTCATTCATCTATCAGTTGACACAGGCTGATTCCACATCTTAGCTATTGTGAATAGTGCTACAAAACATGGGAGTGTCAAATATCTCTTCCACATACTGATTTCATCTCTCTTTGACATACTATATATTTGGAAGTGGAATTGGTGAATCATATGATAGATGTATTTGTAATTTTTTGATGAATCTTCAAACTGTTTTCCATAATGGCTATACTAATTCACAATCCCACCAACAGTGCCCAAGGGTTCCCTTTTCTCCAGATCATACCAACACTTGTAATCTTTTGTCTTTGTGATAATGTAACGCCTAAGGTTCTTGCCTAACCACGCCAAAGAATTGGTGTGGCGGCTGACCGTGTTGAGTGATAGAGACACGACCGAGAGAGAGAGAGAGAGAGAGAGAGAGAGAGAGAGAGAGAGAGAGAGCAGTAGGTTTTACTGAGCAGAGCAAGAGTACAAAGCTTCCAAGGCGTGGAAGGGGTCCCGAACGGGTAGCCAGAGTTAGCTTATACGATTGCCTTTTAAACTCTTTAAGGCGGGAAATACGTGCAGCGGGAAGATGTTACCAGAGCGAGAAACAAAGGCAGTAAACTATTTTGTGACATGTCCTAGATTTTGAGGAAGACCGGAATTGCAGCTTAGGTTTTATCTACTTTATGACCTTGCAGCGGCATGGCAAAGGAGACAGGATCTTACAGGACTTTACAAGGTAAGTTTACAAGGAATTGGAATTGGGAGTATAGATAAGGTCCGCTGGTCACAGAAAAACGGGCAGTTACCATTCCTTTTCGTTTCGGGGGACGGGGAAGGGAGAGAGGACACAGGGAAACTTACAGCAAAAATTTCGCTGTTCATAGCTTTCTTGGGGAAGAAAACACATGCACACATCCTAGTGTTAGGAATATTTTAAGCATATATCTTCTATATTATTCATCTAGGACCGAAGTAAGTCCTGATGCAGGAAATGAGTGAGTTTCACAGCTTTCTGAGCCCCTACTCGACCCAGGAAGCCCAGCTGGCACCTCCTCTCAATAACAGCCATTGTATTGGTCTGTTTTCACATTGCTATGAAGAACTTCCCGGGACAGAGTAATTTATAAATGAAAAAGGTTTAATTGACTTACATTTCCGCATGGCTGGGGAGGCTTCAGGAAACTTACAATCAGGAGAGAAGGGGAAGCACGTAAGTCTTACAAAGTAGCAGGAAAGAGAGTGTGTGCAGGACAACTGTCATACTTACAAATTCATCAGATCTCATGAGAACTCACTATCACAAGAATAGCATGGGGGAAACCACTTCCATAACCCAATCACCTCCCAATAGGTCCCTTTGACACGTGGGGATTATGGGGATTACAATTGGGTATGAGATTTAGGTGGGGACACAGAGCCAAACCATGTTAGCCATATAGTCATTCTAACACATGTGCAGTGATATCTCCTTTTCATTTTATTTTGCATTTATTTGATAATTAGTGATGTTGAAACTTTTTTTAAAAAAATAGCTTTTGGCTACTTTTTATTTTAAAACATATGTATTCAGATCCTTTTCCCATATTTTAATTGGGGTATGTGTCTTTTTCCTATTGAGTTGCCTGAATTCCTTATATATTTTGGATATCAAGTCCTTATCAGATATATGATTTCAAAGTATTTCTCCTCTTCTGTAGGTCTCTTCACTCTGTTGATTGATTCCTTTTTTATACAAAAGACGTTTAGTTTGATGCTATCCCATTTGTCTATTTTTGTTTTTGATGCCTATGCTCTTAGGTTCATATCCAAAAACTAATTTCAAATCCAATGTCAAAAAGTATTTTTTCTATATTTTCTTCTAGTAGTATTACAGCTTCAGGTCTTACATTTAAATCTTTAAATCATTTTGAGTTGATTTTCGTATATGGTGTGAGATAAGGGTCCAATTTCATTCTTCTGAATGACATCTGGTTTTCCCACCATCATTTATTGAAGACTGTAATTTCCTCATTGTTCGTGGACACTTTGGTGAAGATTAATTGACTGTAAACGTGTAAATTTATTTCTAGTCTCTCTATTCTGTACCATTGGACCATATGCCCCTTTTAATGGAAGCAGTATGCTGTTTTAGTTACTATAGCTTTGTAGTATATTTTGAAATCAGGTAGTATAATACCTTCAGCTTTTTTTTTTCTTTTTCAAGATTGCTTTGGCTATTCAAGGTCTTTTGTGATTCCATACAAGACATGAATATTAATTTTTTTCTATTTTTTATTTATATGGAAAATGTCATTGGTATTTTGACATTATACTTGTAGATCTCTTTGGGTGGTATGTATATTTTAACAATATTATTTCTACTAATTTATGAACACAGGCTATTAAATGTTTATCCATTTATTTGTGTCATCTTCAATTTCTTTTATAAATGTCTTATAGTTTTCAGTGCATTGATCTTTCACCTTTCTGATTTAATTCATTCTTAAGGGTTTTGTAATGCTATGGTAAATGGAATCATTTTCTTGATTTCTCTTTTTGGCTTGTTCATTATTAGTGAATAGTAATACTACTGATTTTTGTATGTTAATTATGTACTTGCAGCTTTACTGAATTTGTCAAATACCTTTTATGCAGTTATTAAAATGATCACATTATTTTTTATCTATTATTATTTTAATGTGGTGTGTCACATTTAAAGATTTGCCTATTTAAACTATCAGTGCATGTTAAAGATAAATTCACTTGATTATGGTGGGTGACCTTTTTAATGTGTTTTTTGAATTTGGTTTGTTAGTACTTTGAAAATTTTGCATTTATATTTATCAGAGATATTGGCCTGTAATTTTCTCTTTTTTTGTACTATCGATGTCCAGCTTTGGTATCAAAGTAATGCTGGCCTTGAAAGATGAGTTCTCTTCTTTTCAATTTTTTTGGAAGAGTTTGAGAAGGTTTGATCTTTGTTATTTCTTAAATGTTTGGCAGAATTCACCAGTGAGACCATCAGATCTTCGGCTTTGCTTCATTAGGAGGTTTTTGATTACTGATTCAACCTCCTTACTCATTATTGGTCTATTCAGATTTTCTGTTTCTTCCAGGTAAGCCTTAGTAAGTTGTATGGTTTTAGGAATTAGCCATTTCTTCTGCATTTCCAAGTTGTTTGTACATAATTGTTTGTAGTAGTCTCTTCCGATTTATTCGTATGTTTATATTAAAATTAATATGTAGTCTTTCATTTCTAATTTTATTTATCTTTTTTGTAGTCAAGCTAAAGTTTGTCAATTTTGTTTATCTTTTCAAAAAGACTGTTTTATTTATTTTTATATTGCTTTTTCAGTCTCTATTTTATTTGTTAATATTTCTACTCTAATGTTTATTATTTCTATCATTCTGCTGATTTTGGAGTTAGTTTGTTCCTTCTATGGTTCCTTTAGATATAAAGTTAGATTATTTGAGATCTTTCTTTTCTGTTAATGTAAGTGTTTATCACTATAAACTTGCCTCATAGAACTGTTTCTGCTCCATCCCATAAGGTTAGGTGTGTTGTGTTTTCATTTTCACTTGTCTCAAGATCTTTTTTTATTTCCCTTGTGATTTTTTTTTCTTTGACAATTGGTTTTTCAGAAGTATGTTGTTTAACTTCACATATTAATGAATTTTCCAATTTTCCTTCTGTTATTGATTTCTAGTTTCATAATTAAAATTTTACTTTAAATGCAAACTATGAATTTTCACAGAATCTTATTGTACTGCAAGTAAAACAATGTTTTAACATTCATTGGCATTCAGAAAAGATACTCTATGGAATCTTTTCCCATGAATGTATCCTTTTGAGTGTTTCATTAAAATTAATAATAAAACTTTTTAAAAAAACTTTTCTACTCAGATAAATTAGGAATCACTGGGTTCCATTTTTTACTACAAAAATTTCACAATGTTTTAGTTTACTGATTTATTTAATAAATGTCCAAAAAGGGATGTGCTCATACTTGCTCACAAAATATATGACCGTGAAGCAATAATATTTTTCTTGTTTATGTAAAGTCATATCAACCAATCTACTAATGTACTGAGAAATGCACTTTGGAAAATAAGTATTGATATTCCTGTTTAAATTAAATATTTCCATGTGTTTTGTTAGCTAGTGTGCTTACATTTTAATACTTATATTAAACATTTGTTGTTCCATGGTTTGTTTCATTTATTCCTCCTGTGTGATAGCAACACCTCAATCCACTTCAAGGAATTCTTTTTAATTTAGCACAGAAATGATGAGAATCACAACTCCATCCCATGGTCAAGTAATGAATTATAATCACCCAACCTGGGTTAATTGTGTTTTCTTCCTTGGAATTTTATATGATGTGTGGAAAGACAAAAAAAATAAAGAGCTGATTTATTTCAGTAACAGCACCCTGAAAATACTGTTGAGTTAGGTCAGTAGAATAACCAGCACCACTACCCCTTGCCTAATATATACATATTATATATAATATATAGATATAATATGTATAAAAATGCTTGTATATATATTATGTATATATGTATATGTATAATGTATATATGTATATAATATGTATATATTAGAACATTTTTTGTATAAATATTATATATAATACATATTACATGTATTATACATTATATGATTCTGGGGATTAGAACATTTATATATACATAGTATATACATATATACTATTATATGTTTACATATAATACATCATAACATGTATACATGATATATTATGTATATTATATATCATTGAAATATATTATGTGTTATGTATATTATATAGAAATATATATATAACAGTATATACATATATACTATTATATGTTTAATAATATGTATGTATTATATGTATTATATATAATATGTATTAAAGTATATTACATATGATATAAATATATATACTAGATATTACATATAAATGTTATAATCCCCAGAATCTGTGGCTAGGTGGGCATAATGTAATCCCAAGGATCCTTGAAAGCAGAAGAGGGACACAGAAGGGGTGGAATCACAGAAGTGAGAGTGTGAAAAGGACTTTTCCTGATCTTGTTGACTTTGATGATGAAGCAAGGGGTCACAGGCTAAGGAATGTGTGCAGCCTCTCAAAGTTGAAAAGGGCAAGGGAAAAAGTTCTCCCTAAGGCTTCCATAAAGAAAATAGTTCTGCTGAAACCTTGATCAGTCTTCTGAAACTACATAATGATAAGATAATTCGTGTTGCTTTAAGCCACTAAATTTGTAGTAATTTATTACAGTAGTTGGTCACAGAAAATTAATACAATGGCCAGACACAGTGGCTCATGCCTGCAATCCCAGCACTTTGGAAGGCCAAGATGGGCAGATCACCTGAAGCCAGGAGTTTGAGAGCAACCTGGCCATCATGGTGAAACTCCGTCTCTACTAAAAATACAAAAATTTGTCGGGCATGGTGGCATGCACCTGTGATCCCAGGTACTCAGGAGGCTGAGGCAGGAGAATCGCCTGAACCCAGGAGGTGGAGGTTGTAGTGAGCTAAGGTTGCATCACTGCACTCCCTCCTCGGCGACAGAGCAAGACTTTGTCTCAAAAAAAAAAAAAAAGAATTAATACAACAAGGCTTCTATCTTAATTTCTGAAATAAGCATAGGTTGTGTCCATTTCTAAATGGTTCTTCAACTTTCTTTTTACATAATTTTTCTTAAAGCAGTCTTAGAAACTCTACTTTTGTTAAACTTAAGCAGAATCATTTTCTGCAACTTTGTAAAAAAAAAAACACGTAAGATGTCCATCCATATATTTTGATTGTCTTTTGTCTTCATTAAATTATAAATATTCCATAGAAAAATGGTAATTTATTCTAAATATAAATGAAATATTATACAATCTTTTAAATTTTCTTATTCAATAAATATATGCTGCTCATAATTAACTGAATTCATAAAAATTTACAAAAACAATAATTCACAGAGGAATAGATAGTATAAAAATTTTATTGGAAATAAAAATGGAATAATGTGAAATTAGTCATGAAGCATTAAATTATTTCTCTCTCTCTGAGACCTTCTTTAAATGTATGCCTACTATTAAATAATTCTAATGTAGCAGTTGTATAATTTTTATTTTCATCTTGTACTTAAGCATTTTGTATGTTAGCACATTATCTTTATTGCTTTTATTTTTACTGGCAGTAGAATATTTCATTGTTATGATAAAATTCATGACTATTATCATTTATATTATTTTAATTTTTAAGATAATAATAGATGTTATTTCCCTTAAAATAAATTCCCATGAGTTCTAATTTTTTGTACAAAGCCATTAATCTGATTCTATCTATGGGTTGTTTTCCAAAAGTTTGTACTACTAAACACTGGGATAAACTACATATGAATGTAAAAACCTATGTCATGTTTTTGCAAAATTTGAGACCATTCCCTTTTTTTTGCATAAGACAATTCATGGAAGTCAGTAGACAATTTATTTTTCTATTCTACTGGACTTCTGGCTTCATTATTGATGTTAAGAAGTTAGCTGTCAGCCAAACGTTTATGCCTCTTCAATGTGTGTGTGTATGGATGTGAAAGGGTGTGTATTTTTTTAGGTACTTCACAGATAATTTCTTTGTCATCAGTATTCTGTGGTTTAATTATGTTATGTCTAGGTGTGACTCTATTTTATTTACACTTCCCAGGATTCTGATTAAGAAAATTTTTTAATCGATTTATTTAGGTGGCTATATTAAAAAAACTAGTGTTTCTCAAAAATTCTGGAAATGTTTTCACTAATGTGTCTTCAAATTTTTTTTCACTGTTTTTATTTGTTGGAACTCTGATTTAATGTATATTCATCTTTACTATCTTGTACATCCATGGCTCTTCAACACATCATATTTTCCATTTTGTTTTCTTTTTTTAAAACCAGTTATATTCATTATTTTTAATCTGATGCTTACTTACATTTTGACAATTTTAATAATTATATGTTTAAATGTGTGTGCATGTGCGTACATACACTTATATATTTTAAGAATTTATAAGCAAATTTAATTTATATAAAAACTACATATTTTATTTATTATTCAGATATTCAAGCCTTTTTATGTCTGTGAACAATTATTATATTAATTTATATCCACTTCTACTTTCAAAGTCATAAGTATTTTAAATCTTCTAGTAGTAATTTTGATTTAATATTTGTCAATTATGGTTTCTTATTTTCTTAGCTAATTTGTGATTTTTGAATATGAGGTTTCATTCTTTTGTGAACCTATGGAAATCCAGTGGGCATATGTTGAAGTTGAGTTGCTTTGAACACTATTTTCTTTTACCATCACTTAGTTGTCTGGATGCGCTAGAAATTTAGGATCATTTTAAATTAAATTACTGGTTAAGATTTTTTAAATGACACAGTGTCTTGGTTCATTGTGGCCTGCTATTACAAGTTACCATATACTGGGTGGCTCATAAAAAACAGAAATGTATTTCCCATAGTTCTGGATGCTGTGAAGTTCAACATCAATGTATTGAGAGATTCACTGGTGAGAATCTGTCTCTTGCTTCATACAAGAAAGTCATTTTATTGTGTTCTCACATGGGTAAAGAAGCTATCTTGTGCCCCTTAAGGAGGGCACTAATTCCAATCATGAGGGTTTCACACTTATGAGTTAACCACCACCCCAAAGCCCCACTTTATAAAATCGTTGCCTTAGGGGATGGTTTCTCAATATATAATTTTCTTTCTTTTTTGGGGGGGGAGTGGAAAGTGAAAATATTCACACCATAGCACACAGGTTGTTTAAATTTGGACCACAGACCTGAAGGATTGTTTAAAAAGAGAGAAAAGGGACTTTAAATAACTATTATTTACCTTTAAATAAATTTACACACACAAGTAAATATATGTTTTAACATTTTCCAATAATATTTAAATAAGAGAACTGCTATGTAATGAGAAATTTTATTTCTCTTAGGCATTGCCCTACAGTCATTTTGAAAATGGCTAAATATTGATAAGAACAGTGAGATGGATGACAATTTAATTTGCCCTCATCCTATTCAATGCCCTCTAGCCCAGGTATAGACTTGTAAAATATTAGCGCAGTCATGTTCCTGATACCAAGACAACAGAATAGAGTTGCCATTATTTCAAAGACTCATTCAAAAACAAAACAAAACAAAACAAACAAACAGTATTACCTGACCTGTCTGGTGGTTCTCTGGAAACTCCCCATATAAAAAGCTTAAAAGCTTAACATTTTAGACATTATTCAAACACACATTATACTAAAAGCTTCTCCTGGAGAGCATTTGTTGAAAATATTTACAGGCAAGTGTAATGTTGCAGTTGTTGGAGTAAAGGATAAAAGTTGTGTCAAACAATACACTAATCAAAAACTTAAATGGAAAAGCTGAGAAAAGAGATGCTGTATTAATAACCTAGGGGTGTCGTAAGAAAATAGCATAGATTGGGGGAATGAACAACAGAAATTTATTTCATATAGTTTTGGAGGAATTTTGCCATAAGGGTGCTACCAGCATTCATTTCTGGTGAGGGATCTTTTTCTGGCTCTCAGATAGCAATCCTTTTACTGTGTCCTCACATGTTGGAGAGAGAGGAGATCTCTCTCTTCTTCTTATAAGGTCATAGTCCATTGAATTAGAGTTGCATCTTTATGACATTATTTAACCTTAATTGCCTCCTAAAGGCCCTCTCTCTGAATACGGTCATACTGGGAGTCAGGGCTTAAATATGAATTTGCGGATAGGATGACACAATAGAGTTTATAGCAGATGCTATAGTGCTTTTGAAAACTATTGACGTATTTCTGGGAATCTAGAATTCCATGATTACTTGTGCGGCCATGTGCATGCTCAGGAAAGACCTGAAAAGGCCCAAAGCTCTCACCTCTAGCTGACATTGAAACTCTGCACAAGCAGGAAATTGATGGCTAAGGCAAACTGGTAAATGGCAAGGCTGAGTGTTAAGGGTATGCCGTGACATGCACACCACATTTTTTTTAAATATAGAGAATTTATTGAGTTGGGGCATTTAAGGACACCTTTCCTTCCAATCATCAGCTGACCACTAAGGCAACCAAGCAGAAACTTCAGTGGCCACACGAAATAAGGAATACATATTTTATAGAATTTATAAATGGTTTAATCAGACATAACCCTAATGTAAGTCAAGGAGCATCTCTATTTGCAGAAATAAAACAAATACCTCGTAAATCTCATGAAAATTATTAATCTTCACATTCAAGAAGCTCGACAAGCTTCAATAAAGATAAATTCAAAGATATGTATGTACATGTAGACACATGTCATAATCAAATGGCCAAAAACAAACAAAAAAGAGACATATTTGAAAATAGCCAGAATGAATCAACTCAACACATACAAGAATCCTCAATAAGGTTAATCATCATTTTTTAATCAAAAACTATGTAACCCAAAAAGCAGTGAGATGACTCATTTAAAATGTGCAAGTAAAATAACTGTAAACTAATAATTCTATATGTATCAAAATTTTCATTCAAAAAATGCAACAGAAATTATGATATTTAAGGATAAACCAAATTCTGAGAGTGCTGTTTCTAGAAGATCAATGTAAAACAAATGCTAAAGTGTGTCCTATAGTCTGAAGTGAAAAAAACATTAGAAAATAACATAAATCCAGATAAAAATTAATGAGTACCAGTAAAGGTAACTACATAAGTAGAAATAATAGCATAAATATACTTTAGGTTTATGACTCCTCTTTATTTTTTCTGATACAAAGGGCAGCTACATAAAGCAACAATTACAAATCTATGTAAGTTTGCACACACTGAATAGAGATATTATAATAAAATACTAGCATAAAGGAAGGAGTAGAACAGAGCTATACATGAACAAAGTGTTTGCATACTATTCATATTAGTCCCTGATATGGGAAGGAAGAGAGTGAGGAACTCAGCAAGCAGAATCCTCCTCCTGTGCTTGCTTTGTTCTAGCCACACTGGCAGTCCACTGGATCCTGCTTTTTCTCATTGAGGGCAGGTCTACCAGTCCACTGACTCACATATCAATCACCTCTGAAAACACCCTTAGAGAAACACCCAGAAACAATGCTTCACCAGCCATCTAGGCGTCCCTCAACCCACTCAAACTGACACCTAATATTAACCATAACACTACTGAAATTAAATTGGTATTAATCTAAATACGTTCTTATAAATTGAGAAGTTAATCCCCAGAACAATCAGTAACAAAATAACTGAAAATATGTATTGACACAATAGAAAGAAATAGATGTATCAACAAATTAAAATGTCAGATGATATATAGAAAAAATACAGCTAAATGTCAGATGTAACTCCTACGTTATCAGTAACTATATGTAATATACAACTGACCCTAGAACAACAGATGTTAAATTATGTGTGTCCACTTACATGTGAATTTTTTTCAATAAAAGTTACACTAAATGTACCTGTCTCTCTTACCTCAAGTTCCACCTAATGGATCTCTTCCACCTTTGCCACCAGGAGACAGCAAAATCAACCCTGTCTGTACTTCCTCCTCAGGCTACTCAATGTGAAGACTATGAGGATAAAAATTTTATGGTGATTCACTTCCACTTAATGAAAGGTAAATATATTTTCTCTTATTATTTTCATAATATTATTTGCTTTTCTCTAGCTTACTTTAAGAATGCAGTATATAATACATATAACATATAAAATGTATTGATTGACAGTTTGTAATATTGGTAAGGCTTGGGGTTAACAGTAGGCTATTAGTAGTTAAGTTTTGTGGTAGTCAAAAGCTATATGTGGCTTTTCAACTGTGTGAGGGGTTGGCACACTTATCTGTCACAATGTTAAAGGGTCAACTGTAAATGATTTAAACACTTCAATTAGAAGGCTGAGGCAGGAAGAAGGTTAAGATATATGACCCAACTACATACTGCCTACTTTAACCTTTATATGTAAAGACAAAATAGGTTACAGTAAAAGATAAGAGAAGATATGTCATGCAAACTGAAATGTAAAAAGAGCTGGAGTGGCTACACTAATTACTAACCAAACGATGTAACCTAACCTAACAAGAAAAATTTCTGGAGACAAAGAAGGATATTTTATGATAAGAAAAGTGGCAGTCTATTGAGAAGATATAGTGATTATAAACATTTATGCAACTCATAAGAAAGCTCAAAATCACATCAAGCAAAAGCTGTAAAGAATCAAAGTTTAAACTTAAAATTCAACAATAAAAGTTACAGATTCTAATATTCCAGTATGAAGAATGGATATAATGACTAAACAGAAGCTCAACAATAAAATAAAAAAATTGAACAACACTATACAGCAACTAGAACTAATAAATATCTATAGAACAAACCACCCAACAATAGCAGAATACACGTTCTTATTAAGTGTACGTGCAGCATTCTCCTGTAGAAACCATACGTTAGACCATAAAACAAGTCTCAGTAAATTTAAAGGGACTGAAATAATACAAGGTATGTTATCCTCACAATAGAAGGAAGGTAGAAATCAATAGGAGAATAAAATTTAGAAAATTCAAAAATATGTGGAAATTAAAGAAATAAAGCTTCTATACAACTAATAAGTCAAAGAAGAAATAGCAAAAGTAATTAGAACACACTGTGAAGTGAATGAAAACAAAATCCTAAATTATCAAAACTTATGGGAAGCATCTGAAACAATTCTAAGAAGGAAAGTTAGAGATGTAAATGCTTACATTAAAGAATTTTTAAAATCTCAAATTAATAAGCTAACATTCTATGTTACATACCAAGAAAAATAAGAGAAAATTAAGCTCAAAGCAAGTAGAAGTAAGGAAATAATAAAAATTTGAGCATGAATAAAATTGAGAATAGAAAGAATCAATAATAATTAGCTAAAATTTGATTCTTATAAAGATCAACAAATTGAGCAAATTTAGCTAGACTGCTCAAGAAAAATCAATAAATAAAAAGAAGATTCAAATCACTAAAGCTAGAAATGAAAGAGGGAGCATTACTCTCCTCCATAAGGAAACAAAAATTAAATGAGTACTATAACAATTCTATGCCAACAAATTAGATAACCTTTTTGAAACGGACAAATTCCTAGAAAGAGAAAACTACTGTAACTGCCTCAAAAATTAAAAAATAAATAAATAAATAGACTTACAACAAGTAGGGTGAGTGAATTAGTGATTTAAAGAAAAGCAAAACCCTAAAACGATAACAACTTTCCACAAGAAAAAGCTAAGGAACAAATGGCTTCAATTGTGAATTCTATCAAAAATTTAAAGAAGAATTTGCATCAATTTTTCACAAAATCTTTTGAAAAATAGAAGACAAAGAACATTTCTGACTCATCCTTGGGGCTAATATTACTGTGATATTAAAACCAAACAAAGACATTAAAAGAAAAGAAAACCACAGAACAATATCAGCTATAAATACAGATGCAACAATTAAACGTACTAGATTATCAAAATAATTTGATAAAATCCAACAACCATGGATGATAAAATCACTCAGCAAACTAGGAATATATATTAATTTCTGAAACATAATAAAGTGCTTCAATGCTAAATCCACAAATAATATTATACTTAATGTTGAAGACTGAAAAGTTTATTCTTCAGATCAAAAACAACACAGAGGTGTCTTCTCTTATCATTTACATTCAACACTGTACTGATGGTTCTAGCCAAGAAAATTAGAAAAGGAAATGAAACAAAAGGCATACAGACAGGAAAGTAAGAAGTTAACTATATTTATTTGCAGATAGCATAATCTTCTATAGAGAAAAGCCTAAAGACACACACACAAATAATAAAAATTACTACTCATTAAAAAAAAAACTAATATGTCATTCTTTTCTTCAGTATTTCTTTACTTCCACAGACCAGTTTTATCTCTCATCTAGCATTCAGGGTGTTTGTAATCTAATACTAATTAATGTACACTGTTACAAAGATACACATCTTATTATCTAATTAATATCTTGAGGGCACGGTCATTGTTATTATTCCTTTCTTCTTTTCCTCCTTCCTCTTTTATTATTTTCTTCATTTTTAACAGTTATGATATATTTATTGTATATCTAATCAGTATAAAATAACTGCTTGGCTCAAGATAGGTACTTACAAAATATATATTAAAGACTTTTTTAAAATGATATTGGATGAGGGTTTTTTTTTTGCTTGAAGTCACAAGATTAGTATGTCTAGTCGAGATTGAGATTGATTCAAGTCTATATGTGAACACTATATTAAAATACAGTGCTTATAACATTTTAATTATTTTTCTAACATTTAAATAGTTATATGTTAAGATTAAATGCTACCTAATATTACATACCTATCTTTTTGAAGAGCAGAATATCCATTGATCTATTTGTGTATCTGTTTATATCTGTAAATACATACACACACTCAAATACACATATATATACTAAAACTGTGTTTTATGTTTCTATTTACATAACAGGTCCTTCGTTTTAAGTGAATCAAGTAAGATTACACATTTTAGAGCTCTAAGTAAGAGGAAACAGTGAATTTTCATTTCTAAATTGTCCAATTAATATGTAATGTAGTCCTTAGAGACAAGAGCAGGATCTCTTCCCTCTTATGATAATTTATTTTACTCTCTAGTCCAGGGTACAGTATTCACAGTTAGCAATAAGTATCAGCAGATTTAGAGGCCTTCCCTTTATCAGTCTCAGAATAAGTAATGGTGTTCTTTACTGATGCTTCCAAGAACATTAAAATTAATCAGTCTGTCTTCAAACTTGCATTCACTGAAATAGTAGGAAAATGCAATTTTAAGAAAGTATTTGTTTTCCAAATTGAATTTAACATATGAGTTATATTAATATAGTCTATTTCATTATATACATCAACAATATTATATAGATGTTCTGTTATTTATTTAACAGAGAAACCAATTAAGACACAGAAATGTCAAGTAAAAACCTCAACTTTTCAGATCTATTAAATAGTAAAACCATGATTTTAACCAAAATGCCTAATAATTTTACTGTGCCACATGTCCTAACATTATATTAAGAGATGATTCTTGAAATCTGTTTGGTGATGGAAAATACAGTTTGTATTCTCTTGAAAAAATATTGTGGCAAGAGTAATGAAATCTGGGTGCCTCCAATTTTTTTATATATTTGAAGTCGAGATTAAAGAAATGTCCATTTTCTAGCATTATTTTGCAGACCTAATGAGATAATATATGTGAACTCTCTGTGGAACATGAAGAATGTTCCATTTATGGTTTTGTTTTTGTCTACTATTGTATTCAGGAATACAATTGTGACCACAGGCTGAAGGCCTCAGATTGAAGACTGATCAGTACATTTTATTCCCTAAGTATCTTGTAGAATAATACCTTTGTCCAGACGAGTCATTTCCAAGCAGTTTTTATCCCACATTTGAAGGATTATCACCTTTTTTTAAATGTTACGTCAAATTGTAATAAAGTATATGAGTACACAAAGCCAGATTATGCACTGGATATTTTTTGTCCCTGAAATGGCCTTTCCAATCTTTAGAGCAGGACTTTTGCCTGGAGCTGTCTTTAATAATATATTAAGCATTAAGCGTATGAGCAGAGCACAAGCACATTTGATTTTTTTGGTGTCTTGAATTCCACATTCGTATATACCTGCACTCATTTCCTTTCAAAGAAATTGAATTATTTAAGTGTAGAATTTCTTAATTTTTTTTGCTGTGTGTGTATATAAAACATATAGCTTTTTACATATTATTCTTAATTGGTAGTATCTTAACCAATGCTTTCAAATTTTCTTAAACCTAGACTTTCCAGAGTTTTAAAAACTGTTAAAAATAGAAAAAAAAAGTGTTGCCACAAGTTAAATCGGAAGCAAACATAGCCTTCTTGTAAGTGGCACAGTTAAAACTGGGTAACATGAAAAGTAATTTAAGTACCATCATGAACCATTTCAAATTCAATAGGGGACAATTCCAAGAAGGATCTCATTTTTTCTTCTTCTTCTTCAAATCATGCTCAATGCACTAGGTATTGTTCCCTAAAAGCTCAATTAGATGCCTAGGCAGAGCACTGTGGGACTGCCTGCATCAATTGTGCATAGGTCAATGAACATCCATCAATAAAATAATCAAAGTTGAAATACATCTCACTTATAACTTCTTTCTAATATTCTAAGAAGAAACTGTAATCATCTTTTCCTTCAGCTCTGCCACTTCGAAGCCAGCAGAGGAACAGAGCTTTAGTGGAGTCCTCCTGATTGGATGAATTGGTGGGCATGAGTTTGAAACATAGGAGAGTAAGACTGAGAAAATCTGATTAATCCTCTAACAATAATACATATTTCAATTCAAGAATTATAAGGTTGGCCACTCTGAAGAATGCCAGAAAGTTTGTGGCTACTCACTCAGATTCAAAAAGTATCATGGAAGAAGATTCCTATCCTCCAAATTTTTCACCTTAATTCAAACCAAGGGATAGAATTTTGTCTTAGTACATAGAATGACCATAATGATTCCAGTGGGCAGATCCTGAGGGACTCTCCCTCCAATATTTTCCCATTTCATAGTATTCACAACTTTGTGTAATCCCCTCTTTTTGAGTGGGGGTGGGACTGGCAAGTTGCTTCTAACCAATAGAATATGGCCAAGGTAATAGGATGTCACCCTCGTGATTAGTTTACATTCTATAGGACTCAGTCTTAGCATACTTCAGAGGGTTGCTCTCCTGCTTGTCTTGAAGAGGTAAGCCTCCCTGTTGTGAGCACATAGAGAGGACTACAGGGCAAGGATCTGTGGACTGCATAGAGAAGCAGACCGCTGGCACAAATGTGAAGACCTCAGATTTATAATGGCAAGATGGGTTTTGCTAGCAACCTGAGGGAACTTAGATGCAGCTCTTTCCAACCTATGCCTCTAGATGAGTAGGCAGCCCAGCCATTACATTGATTACAGCCTTGACAAACCCTGATCAGACGATTCAGATAAATTGTGCCTGGATTTCTGGACTATGGAAAATATAAAATGCAAATGTTTGTTTTAAGCTGCTAAGATTATAGTAATTTTTGATCTGTCATTGAACACATGTACAATAATGAAGGAATAATGTCCATGCATACAGCTGACAGCACAGATAACTGATTTAAAAATGCTGAGACATTGAAGTATGTATATACAAATGGTTAAGTTTGTCTCAGTGAAGTTTCTCATTAATATGAGTTATCTGTTTAAATGAGCATGCATTACATAGCACTTAAGAGTATGAACTCTGAATTCCTGGGATGAAATCCCAGCTCTTTTACATCTAGCCTTATGACCCGGAGCAATCCATGAAACCTTTCTGAGCCTCAGTTGTTTCATCTGACAAATTGATAATAATTTTATCTATTTTGCAGTATTGCTATGAAGATTGGATGAGTAAATAGCACGCTGTCTATTTGTTGAATTATTAAGATAAATATTTTCATTTTCTCAGTATAAATATACTGTAAATTGTGTTATCACTGCCAAAATAATTAAGCTTCAAAAAGGAAATAAATAGCTCCTCTCACTGTACCTAGAATTAATGTCAGGAATGGTACAGGCTGTAAAACAATAGAAATGTGCAGATGCCCATGATAGAAAGAAAGTTAATTCAATGAAAGAACAAAAAGAACAATGAAAAATGTCATGGATTTGCAGCAGATTACACATGTCACAGAAAGAGATCTCGTAGAAATTCACTTTCAGAGAAAATGGGTTACCTACTGGTAAAACAAAGTTTCAATGGGGAAATTTTGGCTCAAGAAAGCTGTAAAAGAGTGAAAAAGTTACCTAATAAGGATACACAAACAGTAGAAAGAATGGTTAGTAAAGGAGTAATCATAGCAATAGTAAACTTTAGTGAAATTCTCTAAGACAGAAGTCATGAAAAACACAAAGAAAGAAGACACTCTCATGTCTGTTGCAGCCACAATAGCCGACATGTGCAAACAACTTAAGTGTTCAATGACAGACGAATGGATAAAGAAAATATCACACACACCCACACCCACACACACACACACACAGGAATATTATTCAACCCTAAAGAAGAAGGAGATTCTGTCATTTGCAACCACGTGGATGAGTCTTGAGGACATAAAGCTAAGTGAAATAAGCCAGAGACAGAAAGACAAATACTGAATGATCTCACCTATATGTGGAATCTAAAAATAAACCAAACTCATAGTAACAGAGTAGAATGGTGATTTCCAGGGACTGGAGGAAGGGAGAAAGAGGAGGGTATTGGTTATAGGGCTATGAGCTATAAGATGAATAAGTGCTGGAATCCTAACACACAGCATGGTGACCATAGTTAATAACAATGTGCTGATTTTTGCAAAGAGAGTAGATTATAACTGTTCTCATCACACACACACACACACACACACACACACACACAAATGTAACTACGTGATGTGATATGTTTCTTAATTTGTGGTAATCACTTTGCAGTGTATACACAACATCAAAACATCGTGTTGTATAGCCTAAATATATCCATATTTATTTGTAAATCATATCTCAGCAAAGCTGGAGAAAAGAAGAAAGATTAGCAACGAGTCACTCCTCATCCAGGCACATATTTTACAAAAATAGGTCAGAGACCAAACTCAGTTATTCCTGGTTGGAAAATTATTATCAATTGCTTTATGATGTTGCTTTGATGTTGCAATGTATTTGGTTACGTATACTTTGTATTTCTGGTGCTTATATATACTTCCAATAAACAGTAAATCTGTGTATAAATGCATCTGCTATACAATGCTGATACTGGCAAAACACATTTTATTAGCTATTCAGACAACTAATGCAGTTTCTCCCTGAAATCATCTTCCTCAATGGATTAGTGCATGATTAATTTTTCCTTGGACTTCTTTCTCAGACATAAATGTTTTACTCAAATTCTTACAATCAAAAATGAGACTATGTAGTTGGAACAGGCAGAGTTTACATGGCCTTAATTTAAAGAGGCATTGTCTTTGGTCAACTTTTTAAAAATTACATTTGGTCTAATCATCTTTACAAATGCTTACATTCAGTAGGCAAAATGATTGAAAAGCCAGAATCCTTTGAATCACATTTTTCTTTGTTATCATTTGAGTATAGAGGCAGCCTTTGTTTTCTGCCAAAAAGATGAAACAGTTATAAAATAATCAACTTCAGAAGAAAACATTCTTCTAGGGAAAAATTAGACCAAACTTTCATCCATTTGACTTTACCTAATGGCAAAGTTAGATGGTGGGCAGAAAGAGAGTACTTACATTATGATAGCTTCCTATAAGGTTCAGATTTACAACTCGGTAAAGTCTGTTTTATATTATTGTAATAAGTCATAAAAATATAACTAAAATAGCAATAAACATGACCTTTTTAAGCATTTGTAAATATCCCTCTATTTTTCTCTGTCACCCTTCTCTAATTTAGAAAGATAAATAGAATATAAATATTGCTGAGGTTTTGAATCAACTAGTTATTAGTATTTAGAGTCCCAATGTTTTCTCTTTGAATAGCAAAGCTTTCCGATAACTTTGTATATCCATTAATTAAATACTTATCAATGTGGTAGCATTGTTTTTATTTTTTAAATAAGTAAAATAATATTTTTATTTTTAATATTGAATGTGCCTATGTATAAAACATGTATAAAACATGCTATCTATAATTGGGTTAATTATTTATATCAGACCTCAGAAACAGTTTTCAAAAATATAAAACAATGGGTAAAATTGTATGTGTGTGTATATTATATATATGTTTGTGTATGTGTGCATGTGTATGTATATGTATATTTGTAAATTTTTGCTTATATTTCTCTTTCCTATGTTTATATGTAACTTGTCCTAAAATTTTATCTCCATTGATGCTATTGTTCCAGTGTAAAATTTGGGCAATTCTGTTTTAACAATTATATGGATATTAGTATTAAATCTATAATTTCATATATAGATCTGAATATTCTGTAAATATTTATGGCCAAAATTTAATGGATCATGCCAGACTGCTGATGAAAATATTGTCTATATGAACTTTTATGGCCAATCCTCATGTTTGAAACAGGAATGGTGTGAAACTGTGGTACTTGATATATAGATTAAAAAATCTGCGTCTTTCTTTTCTCTTTCTATACATAATGATATACACTTATATCATCGCCAGTCAACAGTGACTTTTTCTGTAAAGAACTATGGATTTAGTAATAGTTTATGTTATATATTCAAATTAACACAATTGGAAAATCTACAAATGATGTCTTTAGTGGTGAAAGTTACCAAAATATTTTTGTCATTTTTCTTGAAGGTAAGAATTTTCTGAAGCACAATTATGCAATGTTAGGCACAATTAGATGGTGCCTCCATATAGAAATCGGGACATTAGGGAGAGAAAATAAATATTAACTAGTGGATCACTCAATTATATATATATATATATAAAAAATTGTATATCAATTTTATGGTGAATACAGCAACACATGTAGATTGAATATATAAATATATATATGCATTTAAATAAATATGTATAAATTTATATATATATAATTAATATGTAACCTGTATGTGTTGCTGTATTTACCATATAAATTCGATTACCACTTTACTTGGGGGAAAGTTATAGAAAATACATATTAAATATAGCATGTTAAATTTGAGACGCAGAAAGGTGATTTTCTTACAAATTTTAAGACATGGATTGATTGCCTCTCTACCACATCAATAATAATGTCAATTAGCTTTGTGGTGACATTAAGAAATAATATTGGAAATATATATTAATAAAAAGTTCCATCGATACATTGTTTCCTGCATTTTTAAAGGAGATTACTTTTTCTTTAAAGAGTATGCCATATATATCGAAGGCAGTTATTTTAATTATTAATCTGCTCATTCACTGTATTAGTCCATTTTCACACTGCTGATAAAGACATACCTGAGACTAGGCAATTTACAAAGGAAAGAGGTTTAATTGGACTTACCGTTCCACATGGCTGGGGAGGCCTCACAATCAAGGTGGAAGGCAAGGAGGAGTGAGTCACACCTGATGTGGATGGCAACAGGCAAAAAGAGAGCTTGTACAGGGAGACGCCACCTTATAAAGCCATCAGATCTTGTGAGACTTATTCACTATCATGAGAACATCACAGGAAAGACCTGCCCTGATGATTCAATTACGTCCCACCTGGTCTCTCCCACAACATGTGGAAATTCAAGATGAGACTTGGGTGGGGACACAAACTATATCATTTACCAACAAATGTTATGTAAGAAGAACTTTTTGAATGTATTTGGTACATCTCAATATGGCCAATTATCTATTTTTCAGTCCAATGTACAATTTTTTTATCTAAATGATTGATTCTTAGAAAAGCGAGGGAAACATAATGAATCATATAATAAGGTCACTGAAAAAACATTATTGTATTGATAGTATTTATCGATAAATTATTTTATTGGTCAATTATTAGAAATAATTGCATTATTGTTATATGTAACAGTAGTTGTCATTTTTTCTTGCCACATCATCTGATTGGTTTAAAATGTTTATTAAAGTTTTACTCTTATATAAAAGCTCATATAGCAGTGTTTATAAAGCTAGTTATTTTTTAAATACATGTGTAAATGTAAATTTATAAGTTTATATGTGTACACATATATAATTATTCACATTCTTGTACACACACATTCTTATATGAATACTAATGTATTTGTGTGTATGTGTATTACATAATTGACACAAATTAACAATTTTAAAACAAAGTTTTATTTAAACTCATGATGATTTTATTTGACTTGATTACAAGGTGTCAGCAGCAATTACTGAGAAGAAATTCAGGGAAGATCTGAGAATATCAATATGCTTCTCACTCATAAATAATGCAGACATATCTACAAGGCACAATCATTTTCTGAAAATTATTTCTGAGCTCTCAGAATGAATAGAAATAGAGTAAAATCAGTTTGCATTGATTAGATGGAAATGACAATGTCAAATGAAAAGGGGATAAATTGTAATATTTTTGGTAGCATATACATATTTTGCAATGTAATATACTTAAAATATATAAATATAAAATTGTATATATTCTTAAAATTATGGTAACTTTTTGTATTATTTTTCTTCCCCCTAAACTGTCACATAAATTGTCAATATGATATACTCAGAATAAGGTGGATGGAACCTTAAGAAAATTCTTAGATAACTCAAACAATAACATGAAAAAAAACTTTCTTAGCTGATTTAAAGAAGAGAGTGGTAGGAAGATTGATGATATGTTCAAATCATCACCTCCACAGTTTGATTTCTTTATTTCATGACTCAATAATTAGCAACCACGGACAGAGTGAAATGTGTGTACAAAAATAGACTGAGAAAGCTGACATTGTTTTCTTCCTCCATAGACAGGTGACTGATGTTGAAATATCATCTTGTTAAAAGGTATACAGTGATAACTGTTTTAATTATTAATTCTCATTACTTCTTACCTAGGATTTTCTTGTGATATATATTTTAAAATTTTATATATATATACATATATTTATAAGAGTTAATACTAGTAAGAAGATTTGCTTTAAACAAAATCTTCTGAGACATACTATTAATTTGAGAATAGCATTTTTCATTCACTTCTACAAAACAGGCATATGCAATTGAGAATTTTCTCTTAAGAGTAACTAGGTTCAATTAGTTTAGAATTTCACTAGAAATTGGATTCAACTGCTACGAATGTAATTTTGAAATGACTTGTTTGTGGGAATTTAAATTAAAATGCCATCAGGAAATCACTTTGAACCATTTAGAAACTCTATTCTCATCTAAATTACTCATCTTTCTTATTTTCATGTTGAAATTTCCCATTAATTTAAAATCCTTTTATAGAGAAGTCAGCATAAATAAGGAGTTGTTTTCTTTCCTGTGCATTTGCTCCCTTTCACAAGTGACATAATTTCTTAAAAACTGTGTTTTAAATATGATCATTTTAAAGCAAAGTGCTGAATATATGTAGGATGTCTCCGTTCAAACACTGAGTCAATCCATTGCCTAAAGGAAAGCAGGAAATGGACAATAAAGAACATGTCTCATTTAACATGTAGAAACATTTTATATTTGAAATACTTTGGGGGAAAAAAATTCTGTGCCCAAACTTTCTGTAATGAGTTGGAAGTAAATAGGAAAAGAGAAGGACCTAACGCTTATTAAAATCTACCATGAATCCAATAATTAAAAAAAAAAAAGTATACTCCTTTGCCTCTGGTAGTATTCTGGCCCTTTTCCCCATTGTTTATTTACTTATGGGTTTTTTGTGGTTTTTTTTTGTCTTGTTTTGTTTTTGTTTTTGTTTTGAGATGGAGTTTCACTCTTGTTGCCCTGGCTGGAGTGCAATGGCACAATCTGGGATCACTGAAACTTCTGTCTCCCAGGTTCAAGCGATTCTCCTGCCTCAGACTCCTGAGTAGCTGGGATTACAGGTGCCTGCCACCATGCCCGGCTAAATTTTGTACTTTTAGTAGAGACAGGGTTTCACCTATTTATGATTCTTTAGTTATGTGTATGTTACTGAAGGATTGCCTTTCTCCGACCCCCACCCACCGCCACAAGTTCTGTGACAATAGTAGCTAAAAGTTTTACTTAAATTAGCTAAATTGTCTTTGCTTGTTCAGCTGGTGGTGATTACGTCTAAAATTTGGGGAGCATTTAGTATATTTTATTCCCAATATTCTTTGCCATGCAAGTTGTCAAAATATGTAGACACACAAAAACTTTCTGTCTTTCTGTGTTCCCCATCTTAATGTACATATGTATAGATGTACTACCCAGGACCAGGAGTAATATTAAAATTTGGATGAATCCATTGATTATTTTTTGAAATTATGCCCACAAAAGACTCTATCTTAAAGAAGTGTTATTTAAAATATATTTCAATATTCTCAAATACCTCTTTCCCAAATGTCAAGGCATTTGATTGTTTGGAGGTGATTATTTATGGTAATTAAAATTCCCTGTAGGTTCATCAAGACCTTCTTAGATTAAAAGGAAGGGACCTATTCTGATATCCTAAAGATAACGAGGATTTTAGTTCATTATAAATTTCATAAACATTTTCAAGTTAAGAATTTTTTCAATTTTTAGTATTGAGGAATTTAGGGCTTGTCCATGTGATTAAGAAGACTAACGTATTTATAAGAAATTATTAACTCTATATGTAAACCTCTCTGTTAACCCACACATGAGCGAATCTCTGATTGAAAGCAATTGATAACTGAATAAAAACATTATACCCCTTGTGTTTGGGATCTCAAGCATGAAACTGGCATTTCATCCAACAATAACAAATATATGCACAGCAAAGACTTGTGCCATGATCAACGTTGTCTTTGTATATAAATGAACAGATGATTATTATTATATTTAGCTAGTTTTGTTACTCTGTGTTTCTCAATACTGCCTTAATTTCCAGGAGACATGTATTAGCAAACTAAGACCCACATGCTGATAACACTTTTTTTTCGTAGCACTTTTTTGGTTGTTTCTGTTGTGTTTTTAATTTTAATTATTCTGTTTCACATGATGTTTATTTGCCTATATCCCCTCACATTTTAAGTAAATTTATTAATGAATCCTATCTGAAACATTCAAGGTAATAATACACTCAATGTTGAAAGAAAATAAGCCTACTGAGAAGAGATCTTTTCTTCCTATCTTTAAAAATGAACATATTAATCACTGCAAGTATGAAAGTCATAAGGGAGGAAATAGTGGTTTAGAAACTGAGATGGGAGACGACAGGAAATAATTAGAAAAATCAATATGTTTAAATGATGAAAGATCAAAGCATCATACTTCTAAGAAATGTACAAATATCAAGTAGAGTAGTTTTCAAAAAGCAGCATTATTCTTCTGGGGGTGGAAAATGAGATGAGGGTATGAAACATGATAATAGGGGGCTTAAAATAAAATGGAGTGTTTTGCAGAGAGTGGGAATAATACAGAGTTCCAGGAAAGAAGAAAAATTATGACAGATTACAACATTCTATTTGAGAGTCTTGCTGATAGCAGTGCATTGTAAAATCAGTGTCCACGTGTGTGTTTGTGCGTCTTTGATATTCATGTGTGCATGTGCTTATGCAGGACAAAGAGAGATAGAGTGATCTAATTATGTGAGTCTACACAACACTGCTTTATAAAAAATAAAGTTTAACATACATATATTCTAAATTGGCAATTCTAACTTCTGGTGATTATCCAAGATAGATTAATAGAGATGTCCAAAGAAACATTTGGGCAGTCATCTTTATAATAATTTACTTATAATAGTCCTAACCTAAAAACAACTCAAACTTCTGCCAATGCACAAAATGGATAATCACATTGTGGCGTATTTGTTAGCAATAAGAAATAGTTATCTTTGTACGGTAAAAATTTGTCTTTCACTGTAAGTAAAATTTTCTGAAAAAGGAACTATAAACAAATATTAAATTGTAGTGAATAATATGAATGCTGATGCAATTAGAAGTGCAGGGTACAGTAGTCTGAAACTTTCATTAAAATGTACCAAAAATAAGATGTAATAATTGATGATTAGAAGCATATGTATGCAATAAACAAATATAATAATAATTATAGAAATTAAATGATAGGAATATGTCTATTAGTTGTACAATTATTTCAAATGTTATATATATCTAAAATATTCATGATAAAATGTTGAGTTTTAATTCTATCTGTCTATCTATCTATCCATCCGTCCATATGATACATGTAATACATATAAGAATCTTAAAAACATTATGTTAAGTAAATGAAATGGAACACAAAGAGTGTATACTCTATGATGCCATTACCAAGATCAAGAAAAGGGAAAATTAATACATGATTATATAAATCAGAAAAGTGGTTGCCTACAGATAATGGTAGTGGTCTGAAAAAAAAAAGGCCCTTTGGGGTAGTAGTTACATGAGTGTACACGTGACTACAGTCCATCACTTGTAAGCTTAAGATTTTACCCAAAAGAAAAAAGTAAAATAAAAATATTTTAAGATTTGAAAACTACTGAGATGACTTATCTACAATATAATTTTAATAAAGCAAATACTAAAAGGTGTTCATCAGAAGAATTCTAGCTAGTTGCACAGAAAAACAGCAAAGTATAAGGGACACAGAATGAGTAATTTGTAGCCAAATCGAGATATAAAGATATTTTAATAATGTTCTATTGTGCTTAAAATGTATATGAAATTAAAGTAAGTGATTAAAATAGCACACAAGAAAGAAATAGGCAAGTCAAGTTAAAGTTATGAAAGGTCACTGAGTTGTGAAAATATTGCAAAAGTACTAACATTATATAGCTTGATATATCAAAAATTATTTTGTAACCTCTACAACTGTGAAAAGAACAACAAATTATGCATAACTAGAAAGCTATTAGAAAGAAAATGTTCTATAAGTAGACAAGAAAGGAGATACTCAGTAATAAGACTTATTAAACCTTCAGTAAAGTTATAAGCACTTACGTATTCAGAGCTGAATCACATTGTTGTATGCCACTTTATTTGAAATTTCCCCCCAAAAGTAAAACAAATTGATGGCTAAACATACAGATGGAAAAATTCGTAAAATGGTTATGAACTAAATATAGCAACATAAAAGAAAGTTGGAAGTTACACTTAAATTCAAATATGTCAATGATTACATAAAATAACATTAACTAATTAATTGAAAGTTAAATCATGTAAGATTGGGTTTGAAAGGGAAAAACATCCTATGTCACCTATAAGTAACCCACTTTCAATATGAAGATACAGAAGAAAAGGAGATAAGGCAAAAAAATAGGAACACACTACCCAAAAGAAAACTCATGCAGCTATAATACTATCTGACAACATAAAATTTAAAGCAACACTACTAAGGTAAACAGACATATCTCTAAATGATATAAGGATGATTTAACAAAATAGATAAAAATATTAAATGTGAAAATGCCTAATAGCATAAACTCATAATATGTAAAGAAAAATGTCAGAAACTAAAATAAGAAATAGTTAAGTTCAGAATGACATTAGAAGATTATAATCTGTTTCTTGTGGTAGCTGGTAGAACAAATTAATAAAAAACGTATAAGGATGAAGAAAAGTTGCTTCTGAATGAGAATTATAATCCAATTTTCTTTTTTTTTTTTTTGAGACGGAGTCTCGCTCTGTCTCCCAGTCTGGAGTGCAGTGGCGTGATCTTGGCTCACTGCAACCTCTGCCTCCCAGGTTCAAGCAATTCTCCTGTCTCAGCTTCCTGAGTAGCTGGAATTACAGGCGCATGCCACCACGAATGGCTAATTTTTGTATTTTTATTAGAGACACGGTTTCACCATGTTGGTCAGGCTGGTCTCGAACTCCTGACCTTGTGATCCGCCCACCTCAACCTTCCAAACTGCTGGGATTATAGGCGTGAGCCACCACACCCAGCCTATAATCCAATTTTTATATGTAAAACAGTACCAACCACTGAAGCTAATTCTTTTTAAAGGCCCATGCGATATTTACCAAAACACAAATATACTGGGAAATGAAGTAAGAGGATATTGTATTACCAATGTAAATTTAAGATTGACATCACCAAATAAAAGATAATTAGAAACAAATCAAGTAGCATACCTCTATATATCCAAGGGATGAAAGCCATACAAAATCAAAATTACAGAATATTCTGAACTCAGTGAAAATTAAAATATGGCATTTATAATCTTTTGTTATGCACGCAATGTTGTATTTAGGGGAAAATTGTAAAGTTATAAATGTATATATTAAAAATAAGAATAATCATTTTTATATCAGTATTTAACTAAGACCTTTGTAAAAAAGTAATAGTTTAAATTAAAAATAATAAAATCAAGGGAGTAATGTAAAGAAGGCATGCTTATTACGGGCAGGCATGTGGGCAGCATGACAGGGTCCAAGCGATGCCCTGTTATGTATGCGCGTTTTGTTTTCAATAATTCACTTAGCTGTGTTCTTTTGAGGTGTTTACTTTTTTGAGAGTATGTTTCATTGTATAAAAATAATGATTCCAACTTGACCTGATTAATGTTTCCCTCAATTGCTTTAACATCCCTCCCCAGATAGATCATATCTAAAAAAGGTGGATCTCAGCTGTTGTGTCACAAAGATTTGGAAGGGGTCAGGTGTGGCACTGTGCCAGGTCCTCTAATTCACAGTCACAAAGCATGAAAACAAGGGACAATTATGAGGAACAGTTCTCTACACACCGCCAGTGACCAAGTTACAAAAAAGAAAAAGTAAAACTTGTAGACATCCAGGAAGGGAAACAAAGGCACAGAAATCAGGATGGGAATAGATTAAGCAGAAAAGAAAGCAGGCCCAAAAGATTTCTTGTATTGGAAAACAAGATTGTGAGGAAGTGTGCTTTCTAAGGTAGGCTCTCAAGCTTGATAGTGCTGGGAGAAAACTGGCTCCCTATGAAGCAAAAATATTTTGTTTCAACTTGGTGAGAGTCAGCACTCCTCTGGTTGTGGTGGCTTCAGTCCTCTTCTCCTACTCCTGATTTCTTGTATTGGCCAACACCTTGTTGAGGCATGGCTCATGGGGAAATATGGCTTTGTATTTGATCTCCTTTCTCTCACATGTCAGCCTCTAATCAAAGCAGTGTCCTTTGCCTACGCTTAGCACAATGTGTACCACGTCATTTCATGGTTAACTATCCTGAGTATGATCTCCTAGAAACTCATGATTTCATTTTTTCCTTTAGTGAACATTGGAACAATATTGGTAAAATATACACAAAAGAAGTTAGATGATTCAGAATTCACAGCACATGTGAGTTATATAATGATAATAATGGTAACAAACAGTTTCATAGTCCTGACCATAAACCAGTCTCTATTATGAATGCTCAATCAATTATTCCTTAGAACAGGCCTATTAGGTGGATTCTATTATAAACCCCCTTTATATATGAGGACACTAAGGCAGGAAATGTTAATTAACTTTCTCTGGTAACAGAAAAAATAAGTGCTGCCTTAAACCAAGGTAGTTTTTAGTTCAAAACTATGCTGTTGGCTATTGGGCTATGCCGCTTCTTACATATGTAGAAACACAAATAAATGCGTATTTGCTTCTTCATTGCCTGCCACCCAACCTCTCTTTTTTGCAGTTAGGACCCCTGAGTTAATCTAATATAACCTAATTTTAGAATTTATCAACCCAACTTATTTTTTTTTTTTGCAGTTAGGACCCCTGAGTTAATCTAATGTAACCTAATTTTAGAATTTATCAATCTGAAAAAATAAAAAATCTTTGATTTTATTGTAGTGGGTTTTTTTAAGCTAGAGAAAGATAACTTATAAATTAATTAAATATTTACTTACTAGCCATTCACCTTTTACCATTTAATCTCATGGCTGTATGCATCTACTTCAGGAGATGTTATGTTATTGTTGGCTGTTTTGGCAGAGCATGGCCATTCAAGGTAAATGCCTTCGTTTAAATCTCAACTCAGTGATTTCCTAGGTAAGCGAGATCAGGCATATAACACAAACCTCCATAAGCCCAACGTTCCGCTCTGTAGAGATAAAATGATAATTCCTGTTCCACAGAAAAGTGTTGAATGAAGTAGATGAAAAGGCAAAAGTCCTTATACAGTGAGAAAGAGAGAGAGAGAGAGAGAGCAATCAATCAATGCATGAAAAGAATTATAACACTGTCTTTGACACTGTCCTAGGTGCTTGTGACAAGTACAGAAGAAACAGGTATGATCTGGCCTTTAAAGAGCTTCCATTCCAGTTGAGCCCTGAGTACCAAGAAATTCTAAAGAAGAACAAAAATAGCAATCACAAGTTATAGTTAACTGCTAATTAGTGTGGAGGAAAACAGTTGTCAAATTTAAATATATATGGCTTACAAGGCTCTCTATAATATGGTCTCTATATATCCCAACATCCTCAGTTCATAAGTCTCCACTGGGGCTAGGAGCAGTGGTTCATGCCTCTAATCCCAGCACTTTGGGAGGCCCAGGGAGGATGATCACTTGAACCCAGGAGTTCAAGTCGAGCCCGGGCAATATAGTGAGAACCCATCTCTAAAAATGAAAATAAAAATGAAGAAAAAAGGAAAAAAAAAGACCTCACTATATTTTTCTGTTTCTAATTATTTATTCGGTCTTACCTGGATGACCTGTATCTTACGGCTACACGTTCTTTCTTCTAGGAATGCCTAAACTGTCTCCATGTGTCTGCGTGGCAAATGCCTAACTGTCCTTTGAGTTCTAACTCAATTGTCATTTTCTATTAACTTTTTTGACTTGTTTACAATGTTGGCGTATCATTTCTTTAGACTACACTATATTAATAGTGTACTAATTCTATCACCTTTACACCAAATTGGGAGATCACATGCTCCAGTTAAAATTCTTATATCTTAATCATTGCTCTAATAATTACTTATCAAATGCCCACAGGCGAGTTAGTTAAACTCTTTATGCCTTGGTTAACTCATCTGTAAAATAAAGACAAGCTTTTACCAAAATGGTAGTATACACATTAGATAATGTTGGCTGGTAGTAGGTAGTAAACCGTAACAGCTGACATTGTTGAGTGTTTACTAGATCTCAGATATCATTCTAAATTCCTGCATATATCAACTAATGCAAACCCTGTATATTTGTGTTATTATTTTCCACATACCACAGTTGAGAAATCTGAGTTCCAGGGTATGTTTAAAATCATGTAGAATAGCCTTATTTTAGGACAGATAGTGTTACTCAAATGATTTTTTTTTTTTACTCTTGGCCAGTAAAAAAAAAATATGATTTTCTAAATATATAGGATACAAAGAGAAATGTATAACAGAAAATAAGAATGATAGTAAATATTTTAACTTTACAAAATCTATTTTCAGAAGGATAAATTAAGGGTGGAATGATTTTTTTTCCTTTTGGTTCTGTGAATGAAAAAAATACTGGTTTTCATTTTAAAAAGCAACAAACATTTATTTCTAATTCTATTCTGAGCTCATGAAATTGCATTATGCTTCATCAGTTAAGATGTAGACACACTCTTATGTTTGAACATGATCAGGCTTGAAAAGTCAAATTTTCTGATTTCTTAATAGGCATCACTGGATGGTTTATAAATTCAATCTATTGTAATGAGTTCATGGAGGAAAATTATGTTGTTTAATATTATCTAACCTGAACGGAGAGGTTCATCAACAGAATTATTTTGCAAATCAACTATGTTATGTTTTACATAATCATGTAAATTACTGTTGTATCTATCCATTCTATGCAATGAATGATATTTAAAGTAACTCTGCACTTGCCATCAAGGTTTAAATTACAAGAGTATGCAGCAGGCGTCTTATGGTAATGTCAAGTAAACATGTTATCAGGCACACTTAGAAACCACATATATACCAGTTTAGTCTCATCTAAAGGTAAAGTTAATTTCTTCAGCCACGATAAAGAATAAACACTTACCTTTGAGCACAGAGGTTGATGTGGGAAGACACTAATTACTTTCTCAGAAAATTTGACTAGACAATATTACCATACTTGGAAGTTACATTTTTCCCTTAAATTGGAGAAGGTTGTCTTCCCTAAAATTGATGTTTGTGGACCTCAGATTCCCCTCTTGAATTTTATACCTTTTCTTCCACGCAACATTTACAATGAGTGCAAAAACTCTTTCTTAAATTTTGTTATAAATTTTACTTTTATTTTTCCATTTTCCTTATTTTTGTCCTCTTACAGAAGAATTACTATTTACCAGATTTATCTAACATATTTTCTCTTTCCAAACCCATACTGAAACACTTCATAAAGGGTTCACATAAAAATATTAAAAAAAAAACTAAGTATATGTGTCTTCTGTGGTAATGGGAATGATTTCATTGGCAAGAAATTTCAGAATTTGTTAAAATGTCTATATTAGGATAAAATCTTACTGAACTTTAAATGAATCTACTGTATGAAAAGTCAGTCTATATTTGAGAACAACTAGTTGGCAGGCATGGGAAATGTTTGAATGCAGGGAAAACCAACTAGTGATTAGTGATAGGCCAAAGTTTTTTCTTGACTGGAAATTCTGTACCTTTGAGAAATAACTAGTGGAAGGCTCCCAAACTGATCTTGTTTACTCAGGTTCCCAAGGGAGTTTACCCATAAGCCACAGAGAATTTAACAGACAAGCTGCAGAGTTCTTGTGCCATGTAAGAGACGTTAAGAAGTCCCAGCTCTTGTAAAGACCATTCGGCCATCAAGCATGACATTTTGGAGACAAGACAGAAATAGATTCATGGTGACTTTGATGACCTTAGTAACTTTCAGTGTAACAAAACATATTAGAATCATTTTATTTTAATCTCTCCAGCCTTAAAATTGATTCAATCTAACCATGGTATCTAATTAATTGGGTTATTCTGAGGAGTAAGGAAGATTAATTTATGTAACAATATTTTTAAAAATATAGTAACATTTCACTTATATGTTCTTTGTTAATAATAATTATTATTGCTCATATATTTAAAAATAAAGGCTATGAGCTACCAGAGGAAAAACAGAGTGATGAAAAGGTCAAGCAAAGAACAAAACCAGGTACGATTATGACAGGTTCATGGATGATCATGAAGAAGCCAGAATAGGAATAAAGGAGAGAAGACTTTGAAATGTAGAGCATTAGCTCAGAAAGACTTTGAATGCTAGGCAGTGTTGTTCATATTTTATATCGTGTGTAATAACAAGCTCTATATCTATAAAAAGAACCACACTAAAATAAAAAATAATATTTGAGCTAGAATAAAAAATAGTATTTGTGTATTATTTTGATGGTATTACTGACTTATAATGCAGGAGGCTGAAGTTGTGAAGATGAACTTCAACTAAGTGTTTCAATGTCTTGCAATTTCTTATGATTGTTTTCATTCATTTGGATGAGGGCAGTTACAATTTGGAGTGCAATCTGTTTCCATGGAGCAAGGCAAAGCTGATTGACCGTTAATGCAATTAAACCTATGAGCTTGCCTCATTAGTTAACATATTTAACCTAAATAAGCTTGTGTGTTTATCTAGAGTAATTGCCCTTGCAGTCAAAAGTTTAGAGTAAATAAGGTATAGTCAACTTCATAAGATTTCTTGTGATATATTTCCCAACATAAAATAATTAATTTTAGGGTTATTATACATTTTGTTTTTATATGATTTTCTCACCCCAAACACTTAGAAAACCTGCCTTCTATGAAATACAGCTTGAAATATCTAAATATCTTTTGAAAAAGGAATATTTCATTTTTAGTAAACTTAAGCTACCCAAGTAGCTTACATTTTTTCTTTCAAATCAATATGCTCACCTGCAGATGAGCTATGAATTTCTATAAATGCACTAGTATTTCTGACTTGTGTGGGTTAAATGATGGGTCATATATTAAACACATAATCAGGTGATTAGGAAGTATTACATAGTAAAATCTGAAATAAGTAGAATATAGTAGATGCAATATTAATGCTATGCTGGAACTGAACATTAATATTTATTAACTGACTGAAAGTATAATAAAAAAAAGTTACCATTTATTGATCAGCAACTATGCCCATGGCAATGTACTAGAGACTTCATCTACAGATAACAGTCAGTGAGGATGGTGTTTATTTCCCCATTTTACAGGTAAGTAAAAAAGTCTCAGGGAGGTGAAGTATTGTTATAACCCCACCCACTCCATGAATGTGAGAATCATAATTTACAAGCAGAACTGATGAATACAAATTCAAAATTCATACCATTTTGATGTTTTCTCAGCATCAAAGATGTAGCATTCACCTCACTAAAATGAATACATATAAAAGTTATTAATATATTTAAGATGTATTAATATAAAAGGTAATATATTAATAATATGTAAATGCTAAGTATAATATGTGACTATTAGTGTACACATGGAAATACAATAACAAAACAGGGTGTCAAGAGAAATGGCTGTCAAACTACAGGTGGTTTTATAAGGGCGAGAGAGGCCCAGTCAGAAGGCACATGCACCTGCTGACCTGGACTGCTGATCTGATTACCAACAAGTCATTGCTACTTCTTCTACTTGGTATATTTTGATCATATGTAATATTTCAGTTGTAAAAAGAATGTGCCTACTGGTTCCATCACTAACTACTGGTATTATCTTCAATGAGTTTTATGCATATTTTCTCATTCTAAAATTAAGGATAGTCAGTGTCTACTTCAAGGCTATGCTGAGGGTTAAGTGCTATATGCAGAAGACTTAAAAAGTGCTGGCTACAATATAAGTGCTAAAAAACATGACTAATTTTCATTGTTAATGTACTATTATTCCTGGCTATTTATTATTATATTACACTCTGGCAAAATATTTTACTCTGTTTTTATTACAAAAAGAGTGAAATATCAATATTCATGTTTTCATTAATTTTCAATATGATTGATATGCAAATTCTTATCTTCACCCATTTCCCAAATGCTTACTTTTGTAAAAACATTCAAAGATGATATCTAGTTTCTAGACTACTAAGAGAATACAAAATATTCCTGAGATGTGCAGGCCTAAAACGTTTTGATTACATCATAATATAGGTGAGTATGTATGACATAGACAAGTATATTAAACAAATTTAAAAAGTAATTATGCAACTTTATCACAGCATCACGTCTGACCAAAACTATTTCTTTGATTCTATTAATTTACTTTCAACAATAGAAGAATTTAAAAATTGACACAAAACACTGTAGTATTTTGACTCAGCCATTACTACAAAGGGAAAAGTTTACTTTTAGTTTAGCTCAGAAGAAACGAAATTCACTCAAGATTTCATGAACTATGCAAGGGAGCACAGTTATTTCTCTTACCAAAATCTTTCTAAGTCTATTTTTGTGATTAGGGTACATCCAGATTATGGATTTTTGTTTGTTTGTTTGTTTGTTTTTGTTATCCCAAGAGTTTGGAACCAAGGCCTTTATTCACTCAGTAATTTTCTCCTGTTTCTCAAGGCAGGTTGAACACCGCTCTGGAAGCCCACAGTCCAGAGGCACGATGCCAGCACTCAAGTGATCATGTGAGCCAACATAAACACAGAATTACAAACTTTATAACACTTAAGTGTTACAAGTGGCAGGTGTTAAACAGGAATAGCACAGCTATGAAAAAATGCAATATAAGGAACTGATTAAACTATGATGTAGTAAGCGCAGGGCAACATGAAAACATACTGGCCTTTCATCGAGGAGTAAAATAGAGAGACTATGTGATTACTTTATCAATTAGGGGTGTTTTGCTAACTTGTTTTGGATAACCTTTTTAACCAAGGTTTCTCAACCTTGGCAATAATACTGACATCTGGACTGGACAATACTGACAATTGGATCCAACTGGACTGACAATTGGATCCAATCCAATACTGACAATTGGACTGGATCATCTTTTGTTGTGGGGGCTGTCCTGTGAATTGCAGGGTGTTTAGCACCATGCCTAGCCTCCACCTTCTAGACGACATTAGCACTCAGTTGTGACAACCAAGAATATCTCCAGACATTGCCTAATGTCTCTTGCGGAAATCTCCTCTAACAAATTGTGAATCAATGGGCTAAAATAGCAAAAAATAAAACTTACAATGGCTGGTACCACTAGAATCTATTTTGCTCACAGAAGAAGAGGCTGCTTCTTCTATTGGTTCATTAAGGACTCTAAGATTCTCTTGCATTTTCTCATTCTTATGCTTAACGTCAAGCATTATGTCCACATCTGAGGAAAAGAAAAAAGAAAAAGAAGGTAAGGAACAGTGAAGCTCTACCTGTCCCTTACCAGGAAAACCAACATTTTCCCTTGCCTTGCACATCAGCCTAATTTTGTTAAGCTCTTACGAGTGGGAACTGTGTTTTATAGCCATTCCTAGTTCCTAGAGAAGCTGACTCTCTTTCCCATGTCTCTGTCATGGATGGAGAACAGAAAAAAGGGATATTTTTGGAATGGATATTGTGTTACTGACCAAGTGCCAGCCATGCTTTCTAATAACTTCTAAACATTTCTCTTATAAAATATTTACTTTTAATTATGGATTTGCCTTTTTTCCACAATATATTTATGTTCTTATTCTCAAATCCACTATATAAATAATATATTTTAAGTATCTAGTTTTAATTGTAATAATTTAACGTCAGTGGATAGAAGATGTCATTTGACTCTATACTTACATATTGTATATACCCACATATATATATATATATAATATGTATGCGTGTACTCTTATTCAGGTGATATTCTTCAACCACCCCGTTCATCTTCATCAAAGAAAGATGAATCGCCATCATTCTTTTGCCATGTTCATTTTTACCACTTATTCTATGCTTATCATTTTGACATCACAGGGATATACATTATATTTTTTCTTATTACCAAGTTTTTAAGCACTTAACTACAAAATGTCTTCTCATATATTGAAGTTTATGACATGTCTCATAGTAAGAAATCAGTATTGTTTGTGGAATAAATAAATAAATGGAATAGGCTAGTATGGTTGACTGATAATTATAGTGAAATCTTTGTTAAAATGTCGTTATTCTTTTAAGATGTGCACGGCACCACAGTGTTGAATCCTAATGGTACCATCTCATATCATCAAAAGCTTTTTGTAGCCCATCCAATCATAAAATAATACCAAGTTCAAAAAAAAAAAGAAACAAAGTTACATGTGGATAGAGAATGTGCTATAATGCATTAGTGCCTTCTCAATTAAAAAAGGAGATCAGTAAATACGCAAACACCACTCACACCAGAAGGTAACATTTCTGTCAAATAAAGCAGCCACTTAGAGTGGATATAAAAGATTAATGCTTTCACCAGCCTTCACCACTCAGCTTTCTCTCTCACTCTTTATGGAGTGATGGAAAAAAGTAAGCAATAAATCAATCAAAATGATCCAGTGATATGTAATACAAACATTCCTGATTTCTCTCCTTCTTTTCTTTCTTATTTATTAGAGGAAAGATAAAGTTTCCTTTCAGGTATGTAGCCCTGGGCGTCCCACTATTAGGTTTGTCTTACAAACCCTGGTGCCGGTTTGAGGAGCAGAAACAGCCTCTGCTGGAATCAAGGTGTTGACAGAGGAATATCTGGTACAATTGATTCTTCAGCTGGTAGACTTTCTTTAGCTGCCTCTCTTCTTCCAAAGGGAAATGGCATAAGGACGCAAGCACAGAAATAAAAATAGTCTTCAGGAGAATTAAAAAAAAAAAAGCACCTCATGACGCAGTAATTTGGTCTTTCTTTTTTTTTTTTTTTTTTTGGTTCTATGGATGTTCTTGAAATATACTAGAGACACATGTGCCCAGCTTCCTGCTGAGCCTCTCTGTCCTGCAGACATCTGAGCAAAAGCAGTTGCTGGCAGGGATTTTTCCCAGTCTTCTCAGAAGTTCACTCCTGCACAGTAGGGTCTTAGAGGAAAAAGGATTAAAGTCCACTTATGTAGTCTGAAATATGTGGATGTAGAATCTTGTCAAAATACATGTCTCTGACTAGAAAGGCAGCTGGCATTAATACATTTAACATACAAGGAGAACTACCCCCTGAGTAATGGTTTTCAGTCTATTTGTTCCACTCTGACACATAAACAGACAACACTCACATATGTACGTTATCCAAAGTCACATTGAATATCCAGTGAAAGAGTAATATGATTAACAGTCTCCAATTCATTCTTATTTAAGAAAGGGTAAAATGTTGCAATTTTTGATGTTTTATCCTTAGGAACAAATAGCGTATCATTTATTTCACCATTACCTGATACATTAGTGAGTTGTGACACTTGGGTGAGAATTTCTGATACAGAAGGCGATATCTTGAAGTTACTTTGGAAAAACAGCTATTCTAGTGCTTCCTGAGACCACAGTTGCCCTGGGAAACTCTTGGTAGCAGGTCTGCTTTGTTTTTATTGTAAGAAAGGTCAAAGACAGGAATTTTGCTTTCATTCCCTCCTCTGGACCTTTGAAGAAGTATACTTTGCCAACCCTTTCTGAAATCGTAGGCTCTACGTGTTCTCTAGTTTACTTTGTTTCATGACCCTGCAAAATAGTCATTGCTTCTAGCACTTGTTTTACATTTTTTGTCTTCTAGATTTCTCAAAGATATAAGGAGACTGTGTGTGTGTGTGTGTGTGTGTGTGTGTGTGTGTGTGTGTCTCCTTGTCGTGGAGTACTTTTCTAGAAGAGAGTAGAAAAATAATGACTTTACGTTATAATCTTCCTGGATCTCAGACTAGAATTTAGATTGATTTGTTATGAAAGGGAGACAGCCGTATATCCCTTTAAGTAATCCATTAATTTCACACCTATTGGCTACGGCATCTGTCATATATTGAGTTACACATATCCCTGAAACTTTCCAACTCTAATCTAGACTCAATTACTCTATTTATGTAAGTACCAGACTGCACCGTGTTAATTACAATCTTGATATTCTTTAAATCTTGATATCTATCAGCAATTTTTGGCACTTTACTTTTTCTTATGAATTTGTAAAATGTCTTATGGAGTTCCAAAAAATTGATGTATTATTTTTAATTGTATTGAATTTATACATTAATGTGGGTAGAAATTGATGCTTATATCTCTTCATTTATTCACATTTCTATTTTTGTCCTTCAATAATGTTGTGTAATTTTTGACAAGAATTTTAAGTTTTGTTACATATTACTATTAATCTTAATGCTCCTGATTCTATTAAAAATACATTCTTTTTCCAAATTTTACATTTTCTAATTGGTCATTACTGATATATAATGGTTCACTATTGTTACTGAGAGTCCTGAAAAATTTTCCTTTGCATTATTATGATTTGACTTTTGACAATCTATGATTTTTTTATGTAGAAAATTAAAACATCTGCCACTAAATAAAGTTATTCTCTTCCATCCACATCCTTTTTCTCTCTTTTTATATCTTTCTTTATTAAATCTTCAATAAAAAAAGCATTAGACATTAATTAAGTATAGTGAGATTAATGTACAGAAGTCATGGGGAAAAAATAGATTTTCCATGATATGAGTATGCTGCAAACAAGATCCAACCTCAGTTAGTATTTATTTTTTAAATAATAATCTCCCCTCTGTCTTCAAGTTAATTCCACTAATTCTATCTCAGGCAATCAAGTTGTTGGTGGAAGTTTTTATCATGGCTCATTTTTGTTCTTTCTGAACATTCAGCCTCTGTTCATATCTGATCTGGTCTTTGTCACCAGCTCAAAACCTACCTAATCTCAAAAGCTTTAACTTTCTCAGACCAAGATTCTTGCTCTCATTTGATTTCCCATAGCAATCATTTTCAGGGCAATTTTCTGAATATTAATTATGCATAACAATAGAACAATTATTCCACTGTTACAATGTGTTATGTTTAAGACATAATTTAAAATTTTCACCTTGATATGTTGCTTCTCAAACTGAATTTTAAATGCTTTGAAGCAATGGACTGCTCACTGTATCTTCCCCACTAGTCAAAGGCTGATATTTACTGAAACAGACACTCATCAACTTGTGTTCATGTTTCTTCTATGGCCCTCACAAAGCTTTCCCAGGATTCTTTGAAAATGTAGGGATATTGAGTGAATACTTTCCTAAATAAGATACAGAATTTTTCATTATTTTCATAGAGCAAGACTAGTGGTAGTTTTTAAAAATATAGTGTATGAAACTCTGCATTTAAAAAAATTATCTTGAGTATGCAATTTTTTGATAATCTAATCCAGAAATAAACAAATTTCAAAATTAAGGTGGGGAACTTTTTCAAAAAGAAGGATTTAGTGCATAGGCTCATACTTTTCCTCTCAAACTGCCCCCTGTCTCAAAAGCAATTTTCATGGAAATTTCGTGTGTGTGTGTGTGTGTGTGTGTGTGTGTGAGTATGCATATATATACATACATATGTGCATATGTGTGTATAAAAATATATTTACATATATGTATATACATTTGTGTATGTTTACATGTGTATGTATAAAAATATATATGTATACATTTTTTTCACACCTGATTTCCCATAATGTAACTTGATTTTACTCTATGTATTTAAAATTATTTGTCTCATTAATATAGGAAGCAAAAATATGAAAGAATAAAGACTAGAGAGGTAGGAGGATGAAAAGATCCCGATATGTTATAGACTGAATGCTTATGGCCCTCCACTCCAAATGCATATGTTGAAATCTAATCCCCAATGTGATCATATTTGGAGGTAGAGTACATTTTGGGGGTGATTAGCACACAAGGACAGAGCCTTTATGAATCGAATTAGTGCCCTTATAAAAGAGACTCCAGACAGCTCTCTTGTCCCTTCCACCAGGTGAAGACATAGAGAGAAGTCAGCCATCTATGAACCAGACACCAAATCTGCAGGCACTTTAATCTTGGAATTCCCAGCCTCCAGAGCTGTAAGAAATAAATATTTGTTGTTTAAGCCATTCAGTTTATGAGTTTATGATATTTTTGTTATAGCATACTGAATGGACAGGAACACCACATACTTAGGATTTTTTTTTAACAGGAGAGTATAGCTTATGAAAAAAGAATTAAGAAATCAAATTAGATCCTTCAGAACAAGAAAAATGTCAGGAATTTAGGGGAATAAATGTAATGGTGAATGGGAAATGAAGATAAAGGAAAAGGATGCTGACTGTGGAAATGATAAAGGGAAACTCCTTAAGTAAAGAAAAAGTGAGTGGAGAAACTTATGGCCAAAGGGTCAAAATTGCCACATGTGAAACATTTCCAAACTGATTTCTTATTACTAAATGTGAAATAATTTGGGTGTGGTTTTTGGGTGTATTAAATTGTTTTCTCTCTGTGGCAAGACTTTGGAATTCCTTTCATTTTTGTAGGAACTGTGATGTTTTCCAGTGTTGTCATACATTGAATTCATTGTTCTGAATTTCTTGCAAGGACTTGTGACTACCATAGTTCTAAGAATTTCAGATCCCCCTAAAAACTATCACTTGTTAACCTTGACTCTAGATTCTATATAATATATATTCTATATGATATATTATACATATTATATATTATAGTATAATATATAATATGCATATATTATTATGTGTATATATAATTATACTATAATATATAATATGTATAATATATCACATAGAATATATATGTATATGGAGAGAGATACACATATGTTTCTTATTATAAGGACAGCTGATTTGGGACATACCTCTGAAATATTTCAATTCCACTCATTTTGAAACTTAACAAGGGATTGTGGTTAATCATAAATAAATGGATTTTAAAGAAGTACATTTTTTCACCTTTACTGGAAACTGAATTTTTAGTTATGTTTGAAAGAATTAAGCTTAACACTTTCCAAGGGCTGGACGTAACTGTCAGATAAAGAGAAATTAGAACTACGTGATGAATCTACTGAAAGATAGACCAGAACCTTTCTCATTCAGTCATGCTCTAGTTGTTAAACTAAACCCTGTTTTTTGATTTGGGCTCCAAATTCATTTCTTTTATTATTTAAGTGAAACCTTATGACATTCAAAAGCAACTTGGAGTTCATCTGCAAACCAAAGCCATGAGAAGAGAAAAAAGTGGGCTGTCACTTTCCTGACTGTGGCTGATTTAGGGGTCTAAGTGCTAGTGCTTCTATTTTTCTTCCTTTATTTCAATTTCCTGGCTAGAAACTGGCATTTTCCACTTACTTCACCCTTTCTGATATTGGCACATACCATACACAAAAGAGTGGCCACAATTTTAAGTCATCAATCTTCATGTAATACTTAATCTTTAAGGGTAAGGATAATGTATTTAAAATTTGCTGGTGAAAAAAATGACACAAAATGATATCTTTTACTTTTGAGATCTAGAAAAGCTTTAGGATAATTGTACAAATTTCACAAATATATTTTTTACTTCAAAAAAATACAAAAAATTGCAACCTCGTCCTCAGTTTCCCTCTCTCTTTCTCCTTTTCTTCCTTTTTAGGGTCCCACCATCAAACTCCTTCTTACCTCTTAGTCTTTTATGTATGAAATGCAAAATATGAGGACCAATATGAATAATGGTCCCCCTAATTTCCCAGGGAAAAGTAATCTATGCTACATTTATTTGACGGCTGGATGGATGTCTCTCTATATGAGAAAATATTACATGTCATAAATTCTAAAAGCTAAAGTGATTCTTACTTCTTTCCTATCCTGAACAATCAGCTTAAGCCACTTATAGATGGGTCTTAATCTCCTCAACTGAGATATGTTGAGGTTTTTCCTTTGTTGATCACAAAGAGGATCTTAGATCCCAAAGGATCTTAGATAATATCCATCTATGTACTACAGAAATTCTCTATTTTCAAGATCTATATAGAATGGGATGTGGTGTTTCTAGCCCCTGGTTTACAAGCTCTCCCCACCTTCTTCTTTCAATACAAATTTTACAAATAACAACATCTATCATTTTTAAATTGATTTTGGTGCTTTTGATTTCATTCTCCTACAATATTAGTGACCTGAACAATGTTTCCTTATGTTTTAATGGACATTTGAATTTCTTTTTTGGGTGTGTGTAAAACGTTTGTATTTTGGATGGTCTATTTATGCTAATGATAACAATCCCCTTTCATGCTTGTGGCAAAGATTTTCCACTTATTGAAAGCCTACTGTTAATTGCTAATTTTATCTATCAATTTGGCGCTGGTACTCAGTTGTCTGGTCAAACACCAGTCCAGATGTGACTGTGAGATATTTTTTAGATGTGATTAACATTTAGATCGGTAGATTTTGAGTAAAGCGGATTACCTTACATAATTGGCCTCATCTATTCACTTGAAAACCTTAAGAGAAAAGACTTAGGAGTTCCGGAAGATGGGATTTCTGCCTCCAGACTGTCTTCAGACTCAAGACTGTAACATCAACACTTGCTGAAATTTTTAGCCTGCCCTACAGATTTAGAACTTCACAGCCCCAGAAATTTGATATTTGCAGATGGAAAAATAAAGGTTAGAGATAGGAAGTTAACGAGGCACCAATCATAGACTAGGGAGAGACAGGGGTTCTGTGTCCAGCAGAATCTGTGCCTTTTTTGATTCCAAAGACTGTGTTCTTTCTATTGTGTTGCTCTGCTTACCTTATTTTAGACATTGGACGCCATAGAAGTAACTCTTTTTTTTTTTTTTTTTAAACTAAGAAAAAATAAGTATTTTGCAGGTTAGGTTTTTTCCCTTAGTAAATAACAAATGTTTCATGTTTGTGGGTTTTGTTTGCTTGCCTTTCCTGTTTGTTTTCTGAATTAAAAATAGAATTTGTATCAAAAAGAACAATTATGGCTGGGCGTTGTGGCTCACACCTGTAATCCCAGCACTTTGGAAGGCCGAGGTGAGCGGATCCCCTGAGGTCAGGAGTTCGAGACCAGCCTGACTAACATGGCGAAACCCCGTTTCTACTAAAAGTACAAAAATTAGCCAGGTTTAGTGGCGGGCGCCTGTAATCCCAGTTACTCAGGAGGCTGAGGCGGGAGAATCACTTGAACCTGGTAGGCGGAGGTTGCAGTGAGCCAAGATCACGCCATTGTACTCCAGCCTGAGCAATAGAGCAAGACTCCAGCTCAAAAAAAAAAATTATGAGTAGCTTCTATACCTAATTATTTATTTTATACACCATATGCTTTTTAAGGGAGCCAGAAAATCACACAAAATGTGTCCAAAAAATTCAGTGATGGAAATTTTCCCAAAGATATGGACAGAGTGAGGGAGATTAATAGGAAATGGCGAAACAATTCATTTGCTAACAAAAATAAGAAACTCCCTGGTTCTAAAGAAAGGTGCCATCGGAGTTGTCGGAGGAAACACAAAGTGATCTGCAGCCGCAGGAAATGGCTGTGGATAGGAGCTGCAATGTGAAAAAGAGGAGGGCACCTGGTCTTATATGGAGGGAGGCAGGGGCATAAGTACCCCAAATTTTCACTCTTTACACTCTCAGCATACAGATTTCTCCCACTAAGTAGAAGCGAATGGTCTAAAAAACCCAACCAGTCCACTCCATCAATTGGCCTGCTCTCCAGCATGCAAACAGTAATGAGTAGTATGACTTCTATTTTGAGGGCAAATAGAGACCGCTTAGCACATCGCACACAAAAGAGTTTATTCACTAAAAGGAAAACAAAACGTGACTAGTTTTTGCTCTACTCCCTTAGAATTTTATTAGTGTGATATACAAAGAATGGCTGAAACTTCCAAAGTGTATTACAAAAGTAAATAATTCAGGTAATTCCCAGAATATGTCATGAATGCCTTAAGAAAAACAGATAAATAATGATCAAACTGTAAATGGTTTCCTTTTGATAAATCACTGTTTCTGTTCTCAATAATTTTAGGAGTCTTTCCAATCCTACTGGCCTTAGCTTACGGTAGTTTCAGCCTCACAGGTAACTTCCGTTTTGTACAGCGTGACAGTATTGAAACGAGCAAAGCCGTGTCTTCTACAGACCCATCAACTGTTGTTTCCATTTCTATTTCACCTGCCCAGTCATCCCACTCACATGGCCTTTGTCCTGTGTGCAGTTGCTTGTTTTCTATATCAAAGCTAGTTATAAGGAAATGAAATGACACATCCAGTTGTTCCCAGGAGTATAGATAACTATAATCATACCAATGTGTTCTGAATAGGTGACAAATGTCTGATGGGTGCTCCAGACATGGGTGCTCCCCAAATGTCTGATGGGGGTATGAGAGATGACACAAGAGCTCTAGCTTACTGAAAGGTTGTGGAACTGGTAAACGCAGGATTAAAGAAAACACACAATTCAAGAAATTCTCAGAACTTTTTTTTTTTTTTTTCAGACCAAGTTTCACTCTTGTTGCCCAGGCTGGAGTGGAATGGTGCAATCTTGGCCCACTGCAACCTCTGCTTCCCGGGTTCAAGTGATTCTCCTGCCTCAGCCTCCCAATTAGCTGGGATTACCTGCATGCATCACCACGCCTGGCTAGTTTTGTATTTTTAGTAGAGATAGGGGTTTCTCCATGTTGGTCAGGCTGGTCTCGAACTCCTGACCTCAGGTGATCCGCCCACCCCGGCCTCCCAAAGTGCTGGGATTATAGGTGTCAGCCACTGCACCAAGCAGAACTTTTTGTTTGTTTTTCAGCCATGCTTATCAGAGCATATTTTTTCACAAAGCTAAGGATTTACAAAGCATGTTTGCATGTTCGTTAATTCCATTGCACTTTAGGACTACCTTGAGGAAGAATTGGCGGATAGCTTCTTTCTTTTTACATACATGGAAACTCACATCTTAGAGAGGAGAAATCAGATTGGGGTCACACAGCTAGTAGGTAATAGAACTGGTGGTTTCCACAATTTACTTAATTTGGAAACGTTATTAAATACTGCTTAATGTTTAAAAGATTCTTACTTTCCAGTGAGTGCTATGAGTCAGTTATCTATAATTATACTATAGAACTCTGTAGAGTAAACAAAACATGGTTTGAAATACTGTCTTCATATCAGAATCACCTACAAATCTTTAGTAGATTAAGACTCTTTGAGAGTCGCACTAAGACCCTTCCCATGTACAGTCCAGAATTTTAAGTCAGTTAACTAAATAAGAGTTCATAGCAACATTTTATTGTATGGTCATACCATAATTCATTTTCCTTCCTGAAAAAAATATAAATAACACTATTGGAAGTGGGAGATATGGAGTAGGAGGAAAAGATTGGCAATCTAATTGAAATAGCAAGAATAAAATCTATCTTGAATTGGAGAAGCATATTTATACTTCCACTAAAATTTATCAAGCATTTTGAGAATGAATGATGACAGCAGTATTAACAGTTGACATATAAATAATATGCTGTAAGAATTTAGCTTGAAAAATTATTTTATGAGTTTTCTTGCATTCAAGGTTTCTGACATTTACAGTAAATCTTGGGATACATTTCTCATTCTTTATTTTCCTGTTTTCATTTTTAAACATCATGGATATTTGAGCCACTACATTATGATTCACAGTAATTCCTGTTAGATTTCTTCATTGCAAAGCTGAATAAAACAAGTATTTCTTTTGAATTCTTTTAAATAAGTGAAATAGCTATACTTTGTTGTTATCAAGGCTTAATTTTGGGTGGCAATGCATAAAAATTTCATATTTCAAACCATAAATTACTTAAAATTTTCTGTGTGTGTATCTAGAAATACCTTCCTTCTGTATATCAAGAAAAAGAAAGTTCACTATGGTAAAATTTATTTGCAGACATTAAATCATGATTTCTTTGGACACATTTATCTATATACCAATTAGAGAGGTAATGATTCACACACTGAGTGCTTAGTAAATCTGAGTTATCAACTGGGGATGTGAATATTCTACTATGCCTTTTTTGTTCTATTACTCTAAATTTCTCAAAAGAATTCTTATAAATTCTCTGAATTTATAAAGATCTCTAAGTTTAGTGAATACCTTAACTGCTTATGATTTAACTTAACTCTGTCAATGATAAAGAAGTATTTAATATATGAAGGACATAATTTCCCAATCTCTTAGTAAATTAACTCTTTCTGTGAAATTACTATGCACTTATTTATCAGATATTTATGAAATGACCATTAAGTGTGAATCACTGCATGTGTGTCCCTATGACTGTTATATAGATAAGGAATTCAGTATAAGTATTAGATCTTGCACAATTGTGAAAGGATCTCCAGAAGTGATAGTTTAAAAGGGGAAATGGAAGATCGGAGGAGTCACTAACAAGCCAAGCAGAGAAGCTAAGCTCTTCTAGCTTTCAGAGTGGAAGAGGGAAATTGCATGTGGCAGTCTATGGGAAGCTGTTGACTTTTTGTAGCTATCACTTCTGTTGATTCACAGTCAAGTTCCTGGTGGTGCTCTAGGGTTCGCTGTGGTGAACTGGGCTACGAGTTGGTCAGAAGAGTAGAAGAGGAGCAAAGGACAGTAATGACAGGAAGGAACTTATTAGAGACCTCTGCGTTTATTCGTCACCACATCTGAGTCTTACAGTGTTCACAGAGTAATGGTAGTTGTTTTTACTCTGCCTTCCAAATATGCCATAACTTCCACTTTTGACTAATTCTAACCACCTATTACATAGAACCATTTAAAAACCACCTCCATAATAATTATTTTACTTGTGAGACCAAAAAGAAAGTAAGCCAGGACAACATAATGAGACTTCATCTCTACATCTCTATTTCTACAAACAGAAAATTAGTTGAGCATGGTGGCACACACCTGCTCTAGCTACTTGGGAGGCTGAGCCTGGAGTATCACTTGAGACCAAGAGTTCAAGACTACAGTGAGCTACGACCACACCTCTGTACCCCAAATGTGGGTTAGAGATTGAAACCACGTCTCCAAAACTAAAAAGAAATTATGTTTTAAACAATTTATTATTTTTTCTGTTACTCATACCATATATCAGATCAGATTCCCCGGAAGTAACTTCTAAGAGCTAGATTTATTTGAGATTGATTTAATAAGAAGTGTTCATAGGAAACTCTGGTAGAAAAGTAGGAAAATGGAACCACAAAGGAAAGGAGGTCAAGAAGAGATGTGATATCACACAAAGTTCCATAGTGGGCAACTTTGGGTCTGTGCTAAAGGGGAGCTGTAGAGGAAGTATAGGTCCTATCTCCAAGTGGTCCTGATTAGGGCAAAGGAACTGGAATACTAATGTTCTTGCCTCTGTCTGATACTTATTAAGAGATGCACGTGGAAGAAATGTACATATACAAGCTTTTTCATATTCACAGAATTTCAGGAAAAGTACACTCTGGAAGTTTGTTGGCAGTCCTCGAACAAAGGGAGACATAGCCATGGCTATTGGTACTGAAAGCATAGTGGCCAAGGGATCCACAGGGAAGTGGCAAGAGCATCTTTCCACAAGTGACCCTAATCCTAGGTAATACTCTTGCTGCTGTAATAAGTAATATTTTTTAAAAGTATACCCACATAAGAACAAAGAAAGGGAAACCAAAAGGTAAAAAGTTGGTGGTGTTTTGTTCTTTTTAAATTTAAAAACATGTAACATTTTTCTGATTTTCAGAATTTTATTGAATATGCCCATAAAAATAAAAAAAAAAGAGAGAAAACTAAAGAATGGTGATTGTGGTGAGGTGGTTAAAGCTTTTCTGCAGATGTGTTAAGTAGAATTCAGGAGTCCAAGTGAGGAAATACATGCCCTATTTTATCAGTTACACAATAGTCCAGTTTCTCTGTATACTATTAGAGCTTAAATTATGACAACAGAACAGTGGCTATTAATGGGTTTTTTAGGACCTGAAAATACACACCATTTCCCATAATTCAATTTGCTATATGAATTATTTGATCAGTTATCACAAGCCTCTAAGAGAAAATGAAAAAGAAATTTAAATGGGATCCTTGACAGTTCCATTCACCATTGGTTGATAGCAAGGTTATCTTTTTTATTGACCATGTTTATTTTAGGAGATGACATTCTGTTAATACAGGACACTGTATCAAACAACAGAAAAAAATCTAAACATACTAATCACATGAAATGTGAAAGTGAAATAAGATACTCTTATGAAGCATATTTTATCTTCTTACGGACTGATTTTGTGATTGGTACTTTTCATGCAAGTAATTTATTATGTCAAAACTCAAAAGAAAATTGCTAAAATTCTGTAACACAATAAAAAAATTCTACAGTATGATGGGCCATGGTTTTAATGGCCATATAGATAATCTATGTTATAAAGATAAATTGCTATATTCTGTGTGCTCTTTTGGAAGTGAGTCTGCCCCAGAAGAGGAAAAATATATTCCTATAGACTATAGATGAATTATATCATTCCATTACAAAGGTGTCATTGATAAATGTTTTAAATATAGGTATATATGGGAAAACATTTACCAAAGATAACAGTTTGCTCATCAACAAGACGACATTTATGATGTTAGGTTTATCTACAGAAAATGTAGTTGTATGACTCTCTATGAAAGCTGACTTATGTTCATGTATGTGAGGATAAATATCTGCAATTTACTTATATCTTAAAAAATGTTAAGTATGCTATAGGTATCAAATATTATATTGTTTCCTTTTTTGGCAGGCACTTATAACCTTTATTTATTTAATGCATAAGAAAAGTATATTTCTCTTATCCTCTCAATGAATTCTTTTCTTTTTTTATTTTTCCATAAGTTATTGGGGACAGGTGGTATTTGGTTACATGAGTACATTCTTTAGTGGTGATTTGTGAGATTTTGGTGTATTCATCACCCGACCAGTATACATTGCACCATATTTGTAGTCTGTTATCTCTCCCTCCCCTCCTACTCTTCTCCCTAGTTACCCAAAGTTCATTGTATCATTCTTATGCCCTTGCATCCTCATAGCTTAGCTCCTGCATATGAGTGAGAATATACAATGTTTGGCTTTCCATTCCTGAATTACTTCACTTAAAATAATAGTCTCCAATCTCATCCAGGTTGCTGGAAATGCTGTTAATTCATTCCTTTCTATGGCTGAGTAATATTCCATCATATATATATACATATATATATATATGTATATATACATATATATATGTATATATACATATATATATGTATATATACATATATATATATATATGTATATATACATATATATATCACAGTTTCTTTATCCACTCGTTGATTGATGGGCCCTTGGGTTGGTTCCACGATTTTGCAATTGTGAATTGTGCTACCATAAACATGCATGTGCAAGTATCTTTTTCAAATAATGACTTCTTTTCCTCTGGATAGATACCCAGTAGTGGGACTGCTGAATCAAATGGTAGTTCTACTTTTAGTTCTTTAAGGAATCTCCACACTGTTTTCCACAGTGGCTGTACTAGTTTACATTCCCACCAGCAGTGTAGAAGTGTTCCCTGATCACCACATCCACACCAAAATCTACCGTTTTTTATATTTTGATCATGGCCATTCTTGCAGGAATAGGGTGGTATGGCATTGCGGTTTTGATTTGCATTTCCCTGATCATTAGTGATGTTGAGCATTTTTTCATATGGTTGTTGGCCACTTGTGTATCTTCTTTTGAGAATTGTCTATTCATGCCCTTAGCCCACTTTTTGATGGGATTGTTTGTTTTTTTTCTTACTAATTTGCTTGAGTATGTTGTAGATTCTGGATATTAGTCCTTTGTCAGATGTATAAATTGTGAAGATTTTCTCCCACTCTGTGGGTTGTCTGTTTACTCTGCTGACTGTTCCTTTTGCTGTGCAAACACTTTCTAGTTTAATTAAGTCCCAGCTATTTATCTTTGTTTTTATTGCATTTGCTTTTGAGTTATTTGTTATGAAATCCTCGCCTAAACTGATGTCTAGGAGGGTTTTTACAATGTTACTTATAGAATTTGTATAGTTCCAGGTCTTAGATTTCAGTCCTTAATCCATCTTGAGCTGATTTTTGTACAAAGTGAGAGATGAGGATCCAGTTCAACCCCTCTTACAATAGCTGCAAAAAAACAAAAACAAAAACAAACAAACAAACAAACAAAACCCTTAGGAATATATCTAACCAAGGAGTTGAAAGACCTCTACAGGGAAAAGTATAAAACACTGCTGAAAGAAAACATAAACTACACAAACAAATGGAAACACATTCTGTGCTCATGGATGGGTAGATTGAACATGGTGAAAATGACCATACTGACAAAAGCAATCTACAAATTCAGTGCAATCTCCATCAAATTACCACCATCATTCTTAACAGAATTAGAAAAAAACAATTCTAAAATTCATATGGAACTAAAAAAGAGCCCGCATAGCCAAAGCAGGACTAAGGAAAAAGAATAAATCTGGAGTCATCACACTACCTGATTTCAAGCTATACTATAAGGCCATAGTCACCAAAAGAGCATGGTACTGGTATTAAAATAGGCACATAATCCAATGGAACAGAAGAGAGAACCTGGAGATAAATCCAAATACTTATAGCCAACTGATCTTCAACAAAGCAAACAAAAATATGAAGTGGGGAAAGGACACCTTTTTCAACAAATGGTGCTGGGATAATGGCTAGCCACATGTAGGAGAATACTGTTTCCTTTTAGTGGTACGTATTTTAAGAAGTTTCCACTAAGTTAGATAAGCGTAATTTGCCCCAAAGCAGTTAATTGCTTCTGTTTGGATTTTGGTTTTGTTTTGTTTTGTTTTGTTTTTGTGACAGGGTCTCCTCCGTCACTCAGGTTGGAGTGCAATGGCGCAATCACGGCTCATGGCAATCTCAAACTCTGGGGCGTAAGCAAGCCTCCATCCTCAGCCTTCTGGGTAGCTGAGACCACAACCATGTGCTACCACACATGGCTAATTTGGTTGGTTGATTGTTTATTTTTTTATTATTTTATTTTATTTTATTGGTAGAGACAGTGTCTCACTATGTTGCAAAGGATGGTTTGAACTCCTGAGCTCCAGCGATTTTCCTGTCTTGACCTCCCAAAGTGCTGAGATTACAGGCATAAGCCACCATGCCAGGGCTAATTGGGATTTTAAAAATAAGATTTAAATTTGTAAAAAAACAAGTCACATTTCCAAAATTTCTAAAGATGTATCAACATAAACTAGGAAGGTTAATGGTAAAACTATGATTGTATATCAAAAGTTTTTGTGTAAAAAAGGTCAAATATTTGGATTTTGTAAAATTTAGTTTTTGTTATTCCTTGAAAGGGGATAAGATATACTGTTTTCAGAATGTTGCTTTACATATACTATTTAATTTAATTTTCATTGGAACCTTGCTATTTACTCATTGCAGCTATTAAAACTAGGATACATTATTTCAAGTTATATTTTCTTGTTGTTGGTGGCAGGGTCTGAAATTACTTGAATCATCCACATTTGGGATTTTGTAAATTAAAAAACAAACAAACAATGTTTTCCTTGGTAGTTTATTAATCTAACCCTCCTTCCGTCTCTTTGTTCCTTCCTTCATGGAGTGTCTGTTAAATGCCTATGGTGTGCCAGGCATTATTCTAGGAAATGGTAAAAACAAAACAACAACAACAACAAAACGATAACAACAACAACTAAAATAGATATACCTGCTTTCACACAAAAAAATCAGCCTGATGGAGTACATAAATGGTAATTTTTAAAAATCACAAAACCTATTTTTACGAACTGCAATATGTACCTGGTGTGTCAAATAAGCACATAACAAAAAGATATGCCCCACCCTGTGAAGCCATGGAAAACACACCCACAGAAGCATGCTGAAATATCCCTGATTTGACAGGGTGGACTAGGGGATTGGTGTGTGGGGGGGCATGCTGGCAAGGCAGGCAGGTGAACTAGAATGTGCAGAGCCCTTGAGGTAGCCACAGAAAGACACATTTGAAAAACTGCCTGTCCTTGTGGATATCACAAAGGAATGGGTGACGGGTAACAAGGCCAAGGTAGGCCAGCAAAGACTGACTAAGGGAAGGACTTGCCACAGGCTATCCTAAGGATTTTCGCCTTCATGCTAAGAAAAATGCGGCAGTTTAGGTGGATCATGCTGGAGGAAAGAGTTTGATTTTGAAATTGTTGCATTTCAAATGCCTTTGAGATACCAAACTGTAAATATGGACTAGTCAGATATATTGTCCTGAAGATCAGAACAGATCAGAACTTGTTAGTTGGATATATTGTTCTGGAGATTTGTATTAACTCTGTGTGATTTATTTTAACTGTGAGTGTTCTGTTCCATCCACACTTATTCCATAAATATGCATGAGATAGAACAAGTACACTTACACAGAGTTCATATCAGTCTATCTTATCAGTCAACATATATAATGTCTAAACTTCAAATTATTTTCATGAGTATACCTGTTGTGTGCTAAGAGACATAATTAGGAAGCTTTCAGGGAAAAAAAGCGGTTTTCTCAATAGAATCTTCTCATCTGACAGATGAATCCATAATTTTATATAGTTTTTAATGTTTGATATTTCTGAGCAATGATCACAGAGTTTAATGGGTTTTTATGTAATACATTTCTAATAGGTCATAGTTTTATACTTCATAAAAAGTTTTGTTTGGCATTGAAAAATAATATTTGGAAACAGATTGACAGCACTAGACCAGCTTATATGGGAATAATTTAAAATTTATAAGCTTATTTAACTATAATAAAATTGTTATTTAATATGCAAATATATATTAGATACCTATATCTACCTATCCTATCTCTAAAACTTCACATATGAGAATATATATTCACTCAAATATCTGCTTTGGAAAATATAATTTTTAAAAAAAACACTTAGTTTCTTACACAGAGAGATAGGTATGAGTATCCAGAACTGTCAAAAAGTGTGCTTTCATTTGCTAAGTATTAACCAGCAATGTTAAATTAATTATAACTGATTTATCCTAAGTAAATTCAGTCATATTGTACATTTAGTAAAAAATATTGACAAAAACCTTCTTTTCTAGAATATGATAGATCATAGTGGGCTAATAATTACGTCTCATCTATTAGAAAAAGCTGGACCAATTTTTAAAAAATATATAGAGATATCAGAAATCTCTGAGCTAGCTATAGAAAGTATAAAACCAATACAAGGTTAGCTGAAAATCACTGACAATTTTCCCATTTAGGAGGCATTTTAGGTGTGAGTGGGGAGCTGCTTCCTAAAATTGTTACTTCTGTGATACCTTCATGTTTTTTTTTACTTTTCGAGTTACCTAGGTAACAGTTTTATATCTAGTTAAAAAAACCTCTTTATATCAATTTATTTCTGTTAAAAAAACTAGTGTGATCTATATTTTCTAGCTGGAGTTTGACTAACAGGTGGAATTTAACATGTATTTAAAACGAGGAATATCCAAACAAGGATCTCTGAGAAAAAAATATGAAATGAGAAATAATAGAGTAAAGAAAAGAATGAAATAGAATTCTTGTAGATTTCTTCAGTTGTGCATATCCCCTACTGAGAACATGATACTGCTCTAAAATTAATCATGCTGAATAATTATTCTATAATTGCAGATTAATTTTCTTTGGTAAATGTGATGGTTAATATTGAGTGTCAACTCAATTTGAAGGATGCAGAGTATTGTTTCTGGGTGTGTCTGTGAGGGTGTTGCCAAAGGAGATTAACATTTGAGTCAGTGGACTGGGAGAGGCAGACCCACCCTCAATTTGGGTGGACACCATGTAATCAGTTGCCAGCCTGGTTAGGATAAAAGCAGGCAGAGGATCGTGGAAGGATTAGACTGGCTAAATCTGTCCTCCATCTTTCTCCCGTGCTGGATGCTTCCTGCCCTTGAACATCGGACTCCAAGTTCTTCAGCTTTTGGACTCCTGAGCAAACACCAGTGGTTTGCTAGGGGCTCTCGGGCCTTGGCCCACAGACTGAAGGCTACACTGTTGGCTTCCCTACTTTTGAGGTTTTGGGACTCAGACTGGCTTCCTTGCTCCTCAGCTTGCAGACAGCCTATTGTGGGACTTCACCTTGTGATCGTGTGAGTCAATACTCCTTAATAAACTCCCCTTCATATATACATCTATCCTATTAGTCCTGGCCCTCTAGAGAACCCTGACTAATACAGTAAAGATTAAGCTGAATGTTAGAGCTATCACTCATGTCTAACGCTGCTTTAGAAGGGATAAATTTTCAGGTGTGTTTGTAAGAAATGTGCAGTGATGAAGTAAGTAGCTAACCCATTTTGTGGTATCCTGGATGTGAAGAAAAGACAGGAAGGCAATTTTATAAGAAAGCAAAATAGAAAAAAACAATTTCAAGATGTAGGTGGATGTTTTAATTAATACAAATAGCTTTTGAGTCATGTTCAAAACAATATTGTAACTATTTTAGTGACTAAACATTGTAATAATATTTACTGGTTAGTAATATGATCCACCATGAACACCCAAAAGCAGTCTTCAATTATAGCAGGTGTAGGGAGAGTGAGCTTAAGGATTTTCTTTTAGATTGTACAATGTAGGTGTAGAAAATAGACAAATATGAAGTACTTTTGTTGTAATGCATTTACCTTTTTAGCAAATAATTTATATAGATTTCCAAACAGCGTATTTTAAAATCACATATTATCAGTTTTATTTTCTCTGTGTACCCAATCTTTTCAACTAGGAACGATTCTTAAATTTCTTCTCAATATTTAAAGGAGTCAAAGTTATTTGTCACCTCTCCATTGTTTCCATAAAATAATAAGATTTATATTAAGGCAGCAGAAATGCATGAACTAGAAGTAAAATATGTTTAGCTGTCAGGACAGAGTGGGGTAGCCAATTTTGGTATCCAACTCACTGAGCTTTTCAACATATGTTTCAACATCTCATGACTTGTTACTTACAGCACAATTCACTTGACTCTCCCCATCATAAAAATAAAAATATATAAATCATTCATCTTCCTAGATTTTCAGACATAAACCTGGAAACATCTGTGGCTTTTTGGTTCACTATGCAATGTTCAGACCAGTCATTTAGTGTTTGACTCCCCACCCAAACACCCCATGCCCTCAATTCTAGAATCTGTTTTTATATGAACTACTACCTGTCCAAACCTGAATATTTTGACAGAGTTTTGGGTTACTTTTTTAGTTTTCCCTTGATAAGTTTTACTATTAAACCAGGATTTCTTAAGCTAATGACAGTTATGACCTAAAGGCAGTGAAAAGCACCAGTATAATATTTAAGACTGAAACATCTGGTACAGGAAAGACCAAGAAAAAAAAGGAAATATTTTATCACTAAGTAAAATGCAAGGTCTGGAATTGTAAACTGTACTCATAAGTTGTTTTTAACTTCAAGGTTTTTGTTGTTTTTTAAAAACTTTATTAGTAGTAATACTATTCACTGCTCACTGTCTCAAAGTCAATAAATAGATGTATTCAGAGAAATATTTTGGTAACATGGCGTATTTGTCTGTTCTCATGCTGCTAATAAAAACATACCTGAGACTGGGGAATTTATAAAGGAAAGAGGTTTAATAGACTCACAGTTCCACATGGCTGGAGAGGCTGCACAATCATGGCAGAAGACGAAGGAATAGCAAAGGGACATCTTACATGGCAGCAGGCAACAGAGAGCTTGTGCAGGGGAACAGCCCTTTTACAAAACCATCAGTTCTCATGAGACTTCTTCACTATCTCAAGAACAGCATGGGAAAAGCCTACCCCAGGATTCAATTACTTGGACCCTCCCACAACACGTGGGTATTATGGGAACTACAATTCAAGATGAGATTTGAGTGGAGACACAGCCAAACCATATCACATGGGAATGAAGCAAGAGAATCTGGAGGCAGAAACGGCTGTACAATGATATAAATCCTATTGGCAGAATGTTCATTGAGAAAACAAGAAGCCTTAGGATTTTAAATGTGATGAACATAACATGTTACTATATGGTCTGAATTGCTTTTAAATGAGTCTTTTTTTATAAGCTATTTATTTTCAAAGAACCTGTATGTATAAAACAAGGAGATAATTCCAGATTTTCTCTATTATTTTTCTCTCAAAAACTTAGCTCTAAATACAGTTGTCTCTCTTAATTAGACACCATGCAACTTCAGATTTTAGTAAAGATTCTCTAACCAACACCAAAAAAAGGATAACCACTGGCAAGTATGTTTCTCTTTATTTGGCTTTTGTTGCCCAGGTCTTAAGTGGAAGCAAGCTTTCCTTAAAAAATGTGAACCAGGAAGACCAAACTTACAGAGAAGCCTGAGACATATTTTAGTCATTCATTCATACATTTAATCCTTTAACAAATAAAACCATTTCAATAAACACATCATAACAGCTGAATTTAAAAAATAAAATCTCTCTTCCCTAAAGGAACTTACATTCCTATAGAAAGACATGATATGCAGATGGCCAATATAGTATTTTACCCATTAAAAGAGAAATGACTACAAAGTAAAGCAGGAGAATCAGACGTATCAATGAGGACTCCCTAGTAAAATGTACAGTCAAAATCTTTCACTTTAGAGGTAAGACTTTATGTCTTTTAACTGGGTTTTAAAAGGATGACTAGGAGTACATCATTCAAATAAGACCAGGATGATGTTTTATTCAGATGACAATATATTTGAACAAAACCAGAAGCATGAGGTAGGAAGAAAGCATGCTAAAGAACTGAGTAGTAGTTTTTTAAAAAACAACTTTTGTTAGAGCAAGAGTCAGGAAAATATACTCATTGGCCAAATCCACCCTGCCACCGGTGTCAACATTTATTGGAATTCTGCCACTCATTCTTTCAGTATTGTCTATGGCTACTTGCATGCTATAAAGGCAGAGTAAAGTAGCTAAGCTAGAGACAGTATGGCCCTCAATGCATCAAATATTGACTATCTGGCCCTTCACAGAAAGAAAATTGCTCACCCATGATTAAAGAAAATTTGTACCTAAAGGAAAGCAAAAGGAATTGTTATGTCCTTGATGATCCACTGAGGGAGATTAAAGGAATGCGTAATTTGAACCCATCTGCATTTCCACAAGATCAGTGACAGCTGTGTGGAGACTTGTTGTGAACAGAGTGAGGCCAGGGGCTTAAAAACCCCTGAAGGAACTATTTTCATATACTCACATGAAGACAATTGGTATCATTTGTACGAGTTAGGGTCCATTCAAAAACCAGAAATTGTAGAAATTATACTATGTGTTTCCACAAAGAGATTTCAGAAAAGGAATTCATCAGAAAGTGTTGGGGAGGCCACATGCAGTGGATCAAGCCTATAATCCCAGCATTTAGGGAGGCCGAAGCAGATGGATGGTTTGAGGTCAGGAGTTTGAGACTTGCCTGACCAATATGATGAAACCCCAACTCGACTAAAAACATAAAAATTAGCTGGGCATGGTGGCGGGTACCTGTAATCCCAGCTACTTGGGTGGCAGAGACAGGAGAATCATTTGAACCTGGGAGGGGGAGGTTGTGTGAGTCGACATTGCGCCACTGCTCTCCAGCCTGGGTGACAAAGCGAGACGTCATCTGAAAATAAATAAATAAATAAATAGATAGATAGATAAAATAAAATGTTGGGGAGTTGAAGAGGCAAAACAAACACCAACAAGCAACGCCGAAGCAATGCAGAGACAGTAACTGCAGGAAACAGCATACCACCTCCTCCCGCTCCCCAACTAGAGTGATGGGGTGGTAGAGAAGTTGTTTAATGTATTAGGACTAGAATCACTGAGGAGCCAATCCTCAGAACTGAGTCAGCCATCCTCAGAACTGAGTCCCAGCTCTAACAGGAGGAGCTGTCTACCTGGTGCTGGTACTCCAGGAGCTCAGAGGAAGGACCTTGCAGGGTTAGGACTCTGAAGAAGGGCAGTGCCCAAATGGTGAAGTACTCCTGAGGGGCACATGGAGGCTGGTTCCAGGACTGCCTGAGAAAGATATGGTTTCTCCCTGCTTAACATACACATTTTGCACCGATTATATGACAGACATTATTAGCTAGTAGTTCCCCAGTAGTGTGCTGTTACAATCATTAAAGTAACTTTTGTTTCTCACTTACTTTTTTTTAACTTCTCAGTTCTTACCTATTTTACCACTTCTTTGGTAGTAAAATGCTTATGTCCAACAATTGAGAGAAATTGCTTTATGAGCTAGTAATACTTTTTACAAAGGAAATTCAAAGAACTTTTCTATATTTTATACATAGTCCATGAGTCAGATATTCTCTATATTTTATTGACTGAACACCTGAAATCTTGAAAGTGTGAACATTTTTTTTTCCTAAATTCAGATAACTTTCAGTAGCTTCAATACAGACCTTCAGATTCACAGGCACTGATGTTTCTGCATTGACAAAGCTCTCTTCAAAGCCAAGGAGTATTTTAGAGCAAGCCAGTTATCCAGAAGTCTATTCTGGTATTGCTGGTCCTTTTAACAATATTAACTGTTCATTTAGGTTAAATGTAAAGATTGCCTTTGTTTTTCTATCTTAGGCTAGTTTTCCTAAATAAAGCAGAGCCAGTAAAAGGTTTACATGTAGGTAGTTTGTTTGGGAAGTGATTCCAAAGAGTAGAAATGACAGGGTAATGAAAAACAGAAAGAACAATGGCAACTTGTGTTTACACATTGACCATAGGTGATGCTGAGCTTTACTTGAGCCCTGTGCCCCTGGCAAACAGCAATGGCTGAGAAATCTTCCATTTGTGTTCCATGAGAGGGCTTACTACAAAGAACCACCTTTAGGTAAGACTCCTGGATGACTGACCCCCTTGTTTACTTGCAATAAAGACAGACACAGACTTTACAAATGCCTATTCATCTCATAGTTAACTGAACTGCTTGTTCCTACTCACCAATCTGGATGAATCTCTGCTAACTCAATGAACCTATATTAAGATTTCTTCCCTCAGATCCCTAAATTTTGGCTCTCTTCTGAGCTTTGGAAACCAACCCTCTCAATGGCTTTTCCATAGAATCAACTGACCTCATGGAAAAAACATTCCCTAATAAACTCTCTAATCATACCCTTGGCTCAGCCTAATCCCGGATACCCAGTTTTGTCTCGTCTTGTTTACTTTTGTTTCTCTGCAATAGTCTCCCTATTGCAATAGTCTTTTTGAATAAAGTCCCTTATTACCTAAGTATGAATTTGCTTTTTTTATTTGACTTATGGGACTCAGAACATGCTATCCCAAGTATGGCACCTTGGCATTTAAGAAAATAGCAGTAGTAGAAAGGTATCTCTGACCTTCTCCCAGCATTCTCCCATGAAGTAGACCACAGAAGAATTATCTGACCTTCCAACAAAGTAGCTCATAAGAGCTTCATTTGAGAGGTGTCCTCCCTGTACCTGGAGAAACAGAGTGAATACACAGAGTCACCAAGACTAATCTGAATAAGTGGGCCTTGCTAATTTTCCCTTAGTTTATTACCATTAGATCGTACTTTTTTGTCCTGCAGTCACACTTCTGCATGACTGTCATAAATGTACACAGATTTCCCTGTTTCTTTAGGCCTTCATTTCTGAAGTCTCCCATGTCATGTAAAACTTATATAATACATTAGTGTGTTTTTCTCTTATTAATCTGTCTTTTGTTGTATGAGTCTCAGCCATAAACTTTGCAATAGGCAAGGAAAAGATACTAATTTTCTCTCCTATATGACTATGTTATTTGAACTTTGTGTATGTGCCTTCTGTCTCCTTCTTTAATACTCTATTAAGCCATCTCCACTTCATTTACTGTAGGCTAGCACTTCTTAAAATTAAATATGGAGCAAATTACCTAGGGTCTTGATAAAATGCAGATTCTGATTCAATATACCTAATAGAACATATAATTCCGTATTTCTAACACACTTTTGGGTGATACTCATGCTACTGGTCTGTAGGTCACCCTTTAGGTAACAATGTTTCTGACAGTTATTATGCTGCAAAAGGACATCTCATTAAAGACAGGTTCCAAGTGCTTCTAAGTCAATAAATCTCTGTCTTATATTTGAACCCTTTGAACCAGTACTCACAAGACTTACTGCACATATTCTGTGGGTTTTTTTCTTCCCCTAGGACCTCTTGGTGGTTCTATAATTTTTCCAATATGTGAATAATTTCCTGTTAGAGAAGAGAAGATATTTTCCTGTTGGATTTTGGTGAGCCTGGACACCTCAAACCAAGAGGAAAGAATAAAACAAATAGTGAAAGAAGTAAAGCCACCCAGTGTTCAGTCCATTATGACTTTTGGAGGAGCTTTGTGAAATACTTCTCAGACCTTTCCATTCAAGGAAAAAATGGTTTGATTTCTTCCCAAATGCATAAATCCACTAGTTTGAAATTCCTTGTCCTTCTGTGTGCATATGTATAAGATTGGAGGAGGTTTCCATGGGTATTCTATGTAAAGGCTTCAGAAAAGCCCTGGGGTAGGAAGTAAGGAGATAGCATGTTGCTAAAACTTCCATGGATTGAGTCAATGCAGTACTGGCTAAAGCTCAAGGTAAGGCCAAAAGTATTTGAAATGCCCCAGAAGTGTGTTTATATACCATTTATTGTCCCGAACCCACCTTCCTCATGGTGTTCTCCCCTCCCCACTCTCTTCTACTCATGTTTAGGTGCCATCTGTCAGCAATAGCCACTCAGTTACCAAATATAGTCCCTTAAAGACTTTTTCTAGCACTGGGCCTGTCTTTTTCAGCCTCTGAGCTCTGAAAACCAGCTCTTATCTAGTCCTACTGAAATAGAGTTCCAGATACTTGAACCTGAAAACCTGCATTGAAGTTAAGCTCCAACTCTGAATCTCTAAGCTGGAGTATTTTATTCTATTCCCTCATCTGAAAAGCAAGGGTAATGATAATAGTACTTGCTAATATGCAAAAATGTAATCATAATATGTGGAAAATTGTTCTGGAAACAATTGAATTCTAAGCAAAATATAATCTGCTGTTTTTATCCAACAATTAATTAATAATAATACATAACGAGGAAAAAGACCTCTAAAGTGCTTAAAATGTGTATTCCTCCCAGAACTACTTGACTTAAAAGGAGGAAAATAAAAGAGCTCGTAATTTCAGCAAATTTTGATGGGAAAGGTATTTTCATAGTGCTGTAGAGGTACTTCTCAAAATCTCCTAACCAGATTATCTGCCTCTTTGACTGTTTGTTCTTCTGCTTAAAAACAAAAACAAAAAACTCAGTATCAGTACAATATAACTATGCTTTTCTGAGCACTCACTTGGTACCAATAATCTTAACTTTTTAAATCTTATCACATTTACTCCTCACAATCAACTAGAAAGACAGATATTGTTATGGTTACAACTTTACATATAATGACTAGTCTTTTTTGTTGTTGTTGAGACAGGATCTCACTTAGCCGTCCAGGCTGGAGTGCATTACGGTGATCTTGGCTCACTGCAACTTCTGCCTCCTGGGCTAAAGTGATTCTCCCGCCTCAGCCTCCTGAGTAGCTGGGATTACAGGCATGCACCACCATGCCCAACTAATTTTTGTATTTTTTGTAGAGACAGGGTTTCACCATGTTGCCTAGTCTTGTCTCAAATGCCTGGGCTCAAGCAATCCGTCTGCCTCAGCCTCCCAAAGTGCTGTATTACAGGTGTGAGCCACCACATCTGGCCAACAGTAGTCTTTAGTGCTTTAAATGATGTCCTAGGTAAAGTACATTTAGTTAATGGCACACCCAGAGCCTGAATCCAGGTTTGTGCAAAAATACTTCTAAGTCCCTTTATACATTGATTTGATAGCCTTGATCAATAGCATGACCACAACTCTTGAATTGTCCTGAGCAATCTTGAGCCTGTCTCATTTTGGTCTAATTATCAATAGTTCATTTCACTCTGAAAATTATCCTACTTTTAATGACAAATTATATGGTCACTCTATTAGTCAGCCTTTTTTTGTCTCGTTTTGTTTTTATATAAAGTTTACAAGTATCTCAAATACTTCATATTTTTCAATCTGTTTTTGGTATTTTTCAATCAAAACAGTCAGATTGTCTAAGAAACATTGTATTTCATGAGAGTAGCTAATTGGCTTCTTAAGCTCATTTGGGCGTGAATGATGCCAAGAAAAGATTTGCAATGAAGTAATTGTTATAGCTAATATCCTAAAGTAGCCAACCTACATTTGGTGCTAAGAATCAAAGCAAGCAAAAAAATGCTAATACATATTTCTTGTGTTTCTAGAACTAACATGTTTCTTAGATTTCTATCCAACATTTTTATATAAGTTTGTTTTGTACAAACACACAGATATTACAGTTCAGAGAATGTTTAAGCCTAAAACTTTCTAATATGAACTTGTGGAGAAAAAAATATTAAGCTCTCTACCAAAGAGTTAAGTCATCTGTAATGGATTATCCTATATTTAAACTCAAATGTGGTATTATCATTTGTAGAATTCACGTGTTTCTACAGTGTGTTCAAAAACAGGTTTTATAAAATGGCTAATTTGTGGAGCCAACACAGCTATAATAGAATCATTTTGTGATTTTTGCGTCATTTTTATAATTGTCCTGGAAGGAGAAAAAAGTAACGGATTGTTCTTTTTCTACGTATCATCTATCAATGAATTAGGGATGGTAAATTCCAGTTTTCAGCTGCTGATTTCAAATTCACGTAATAACACGAGTTACAGGTAAATGACTTAAAATTGCAATCAAGAACTCTTCCCTTCCAAGTCGTGTTACTTGGTCATAGTGACCTGATTTAGAGTGAAGAGGAGATCTGACTAGGAAACTAACATATTTCATAGATATTTCAATTCCTATGGTGCAACAATTGACAGAATTTTTACTTTGATAATTAAATTAGAAGTGTAGATTTCTTTCTCTGACAGGTTTAGTGATAAATGTATTTCAAACATTTAGTTAAAAATAATCCACTTCAAACAATTAGTTGGTAATATATTCAAGCATACTGCTTACCTAATATATACATATACACATATATATACACACATACATATGTGTGTGTATTTAAGTGCCACTTTAACTTGGTATAGTATTGGCTTTGTTTATTTGGGCTACTATTGCAAGAATACCGTAGACTGGGTTGCTTAAACAACAAATATTTATTTCTCACAAATCTAGAGACTGGCACTAGTCTCCAAGGACTAGTCCAAGATCAAGGCAGCAGTAGATTTGGTGTCTGGTGAGGGCTGGCTTCCTGGTTCACAGACGAACATGTGGTTGCGTCTTCTCTTCTCACTGTGTACTCACATGGCAGAAGAAGCCAGGAATCTCTCTAGGGCCACTTTTATGAGGACATCTATTCATAAAGGTTTTACCCTCATGACCCAATCACCTCCCAAAGTCTCTACTTCATATTGGGCGTTAGGATTTCAATATATGAATTTTGAAGGGACACCAACATTTAGCCAGAACATATACATGTTGGAGTTTTTTTACTAGAAGTAATGATTTTTAAATAGACTCAAGTGAGGCTGTTTATAACTACACAGACTACAAAATGTAGCAAATTAAAGAGCAATGTCATTACATAAAAGTACCTAGAGATATTCTCTATAAAAGTATTGGTATTAGTTTTAATTGTTCTTTTAATTTTTTTATTATTTTTATTTTGTTTTTGAAACAGGGTCTTGCTCTGTTGCTAAGTCTGGAGTGCAATGTCATGACCTCCTGGGCTCAAGATATCCTCGCATCTCGGTTTTCTAAGTACGTAGGACTGCAGGTGCACGCCACCATGCCCAGTTAATTTTCAAAATATTTTTGTAGAGATGGGGGTCTCACTTTATTGCCCAGACTGGTCTCAGACTCCTGGGCTTAAGTGATCTTCCCACCTTGGCTTCCCAAATTGCTGAGACTACAGACATAAGCTACCAGACCTAGCCTAGTTGTTCTTTTTAAAATAATTTCTTATTTTCAAAAATTTATCTATTTCCATGATGGTATTTTTGTCATATATCTTTCATGATGAATAAATTTCAATTGAAATAAATTATCACTAACACTTTTTTTTTTCCTAATGGATGTTGTAATGAAACAGAGAAGTCAAGAACTGGAGTTCAAAAATACTGATTACTGTCTCTTGTTCTCCCATTGTTACTTATTGGGTGTGTGAATATAGGCAAGTTATTTAAGATGCAGGAGTTCAATTTTATTACCTTTCTAAGACAAATGAAGTTGTTTTAGATTTAGGTGCCAATCTTTCCAGTCCTAAAATTTAAACCTTCTCCTCCATATTTTACTTTAGAAATTGGAGTAAATCTTATTGATACTGATGCGCTATTCCTAATAAATTTGTTTTTTAGAAATGTACTAAAGGATACAGGACTTCAGATATGAATGTCTCCCCTTTTTCCAAATTTTAGGAATAATTTAACATCTATACTCTAACAGCAACATTTATTTGGAATCAATTATAATTTTATAATATTCTGTTTGTAATTGGTGGTAAAAGATGAATTATCTCTAATAAACTTATAAGCTTCAAGTTCCTTCTTGTCAACAGTGACTATGAGGACTCACTTAATAAAAATGCAAACCCAAATTAAATTTTTATGGAAGTAAGCAGTATAATGACCTCCCAAGAATGTTCACCCCCATGAAGAGGTTATGTTATATGGCAAAGGGGAACAAGGTAGTGGATGGAATTGAGATTGTTAACTAGAAGACATTAAGATATAAAGATTATCCTGGATTATCAGGGTGGGCACAATGTGATCATAAAAATTCGTAAATGTGGAAGACAGGGGCAGAAGAGTAAGTGTAAGAGTGATGCAATGTGAGAAGGATTGAAAACAATTGCTGCTTTTGAATGTAGCCATAAACCACGGAATACATGCAGCCTCTAGAAGCTGGAAGGAAATGGATTATCCCGTAGAGCCTCCAGAAAGGAATGCAACCCTGACAGCAAGATCTGTCCAGACTCAACTTCCAAAACTGTAAGATATAATTTTTTTCTGTTTTAAGATGATAAGTTTGTGGTAACATGTTATAGCAGCCACGGGAAAGTAATACAATCACTAACAGGAAAGAAGAGTATCTTACTAATCAGCCACTTTGGTAGGCATTTTGTGTTATACATTTAATAAAGAAAATGATTTTTAAATGACTTCCCAATATCATAATATTCTTTTTAAAAATTTTAACACACAATTAATTATAAAATACTGTTTGTGTAGTACTGTGTTAGGCAATTCTTGTATTGCTATAAAGGAATATCTGAGACTGGGTAATTTATGAAGAAAAGACATTTAATTGTTTTACATGGCAGTGATAACCCTCGGCTTCTGTGGAGGCCTCAGAGAGTTTTTACTCATGGCAGAAGCAAGAGCTTGTGCATTGTCATATGGCAAAAGCAGGAGCAAGAGAGAAAGTAGGAGGGTGCCACCCACTTTTAAATGACCAGATCTCATGTGAACTCAAAGCAGGAGCTCACTTATTACCAAGGGGATAGCCCAAGTCATTCATGAGGGATTCATCCCTATGATTCAAACACTTCCCACCAAGCCTTACCTCCAACACTGGGTATTACATTTCAACATGAGATTAAGACACGGACAAATATCCAAACTGTATCATTACAATAACCATAAAGACTTTAGAAAAATAAAATATATAAATATAAGCATAAAAATAAGATAAAATAATATATACTATCATTTCAATGGTATACTCTATGAATGCATATAGAGAAGGTTTGGAAAATAGCATGAAACATAAATTTTATAGTGCAGGTGAAATGAAAGTTTTTAAATTTCATGTATTTTCATTGTTAAATCACATTGTTCTTACTATTTGTAAAATCAGTATAAAAATCAACCAGTGGGCACCTCAGGGAGCTAAGCCTTCATATAGCCACCTGACATCAATAAGGCAGAATTAGGTGGTGCAAGATGGGTTAGACAATACTCCGTATTTCCTTTCCCTACTGTTAGTTTAGCTCAGTGGTGAGCCTCGCTTCCACCCCAAGCCAGTATCAACGAGGTAGAACGACATGGTGGTTCAAGTGAAGGTAGTTGTCACTCCACATTTCCTCTCCACTCTATTCTGCCTCACTCCACTCCTGGTATGACAGTCCCAGTAAAGTGTTGAACTTTTACCTACCCAAACAGCAACAAGACAATGAGGGTTAGTCCTTTACTTACTATCTTCCTGGTGATGGAGGGCCCAGTGTGAAGCTAAACCTATATTTCAACCTGAATACAATGAGGAGGTGAAAATTGGTGTTTTCTTTCTCTGAGAAAGCATCAGCAGGGCTGAGGGAGAGGTGAAGTTTCACATCTGCTGCAATGAGGCAGTGTGACTGAGTACTCTTGCTAGGGTGTGTGTGCGACACAGTGGAAAACTAAATATATACACCCACCTGGCCCTTTCACTATACCCTAGGGAACATCCAGCTGAAAAAACAAGATTAAATAGGATCCAGAGTCTTATAAGAACTAAAATGTCAAGAATATAATTGAGAATGCATTCATCATAACAAGAAACAGGAAAATCACAACATGAATGAGAAAAGATATCAACAGACACAAAGTGAGATGAGCCAGATTTAGAATGACCTTACAAGGATTTTTATAATACAGTAAGCACAATCATTAACAATCAATTATGACTTCTCTTGAAACAAATACAAAATAGAAAATTCCAGTAAGATGTAAAAGTTATAAAATGGAACCAAATGAAAAAATATAGACCTTAAAAATAATAGATGATTTAATATATGTTGTGTTGAAGTTATTTTGCACCACACACATGCTAAAGGTTATACTGTATTTTACCATTTGGTTCTGTCTTTTCAAGGGAAAATTCTAGCAAAATGAAGTCAATGGTCCTGGATTTTTGCTGTTAGTGCTTGTTAATACATTTTTGAAAAGCACAGTATGTTTAGAACACAAAATTTCCTTTCTGGTACATTAAACTAGCTCTTTCCACACTGTCTCCATCTCAGTAAATGGTAATTCTATTCATCTGTTTGCTCATGCCAAAAACTTTGGGGATATCTTGATATCTTACATTCTCTTGTAATCACCAGATATGTTCTTCCTTCCCACTGCATAGACAAAACCAATTCACTGAGATCATGGCATTATAGTAAAGACAGTTTAATTGATACAAGGCCAGCCAGCCACACAGGAGCTGGAATAATCATTCAAATTATTATCCCCAAAGGCTCAGAAGTTAGAGTTTTTCAAAGATAATTTGATGCACAGGGGACTAGGGAACGGGTGCTGCCGATTGGTTGGAATCCAATCATAGATATTTGGAAAATGGTCCTTGTGCACTGAATCTGCCTCTGGGTGGGGGGGCCCACAGGACTAGTTGAGTCATGAGTCATAAATCATAAATCCAGGTAGGGTCAGTCAGTTACCAGAATGCAAAAGTCTGAAAAACATCTTAAAAGACAAATCTTAGGTTCTACGATAGTGATGTTAGCTATAGGAACAACTGAGGAAGTCACACATCTTGTTACTTCTGGCCTTGACTCCTGAGAAGTAAGAGATTATAGAAACTATGCCTATATCTTAGTGGGATTCAGGATTCTTCCATAATTCTAATCTTATGACCTTTCATTAGTCCTACAAAAGCTGTTTCAGACCCCAAACATGGAGGAGATCAGTTTTAGGGAGGGACTATTATCATCCTTGTTTTAAAGTTAAACTATAAACTAAATTCCTGCCATAGTCAGCTTGGCCTAAACCCAGGAATGAGCAAAGACATGTAACCTTGTAACCTTGCTTCTAACTATAAGATTAGAAGCAAGATGAAGTCAGCCATACTAAATTTCTCTCACTGTCATAATCTTACAAAGGTGGTATCATCTTACTTCCAATATACACCCAAGTGCAGTAGCTCTACCTTTAAAACAACTTATTCTCACTTCTCTTTCTGCCACTTGTGTATCTAAGCCCTCACCATCTCTGACCAGCTTTTCTAACACTGTTCCTAATATGATTCAAGTGTACGGTAATAACAAATCCTCTTACAATCAGTGAGGGCTGAAGAAATTAGAGAAACTGGGAACAATTCCTGATGCTGAGCGGCCTCTTTTGTCTTCCTAATGTATGGCATAGGCACTCTTAATTTCTATATGAGCTTCCTAGAATGAGAAAGATTGGAGAGAAGTGGTTTAAGCTATTGAAGCAAACTGCAATAGTTTTCTGTTCTATCCCCTCCCTTCCTTCAATATATTTTGCACAGAGAAAATAAGTGATTAAAAGATAGCTAGATAGATATTCATATCTATCTCTATAACCATAGCTATCTATCTATCTATCTATCTATCTATCTATCTATCTATCTATCATCTCTATCTCAGGTAATACCTATACCTACTCAAACATTTCTAAAGCTTACTGCCAGTTGTGGCCATTTAAAATTTGGCTCAATGTCAACACTGTTAGTGACACACACACACACACACACACACACACACACACGGGTCTAAAAAGGTTTCTCACATAGGATATTTTTTCGATAAAGTGGGGCCACTCCCAAGGGAAGCTGAAAATGGCTTGAGGGAGCAAAGCAAGACTAGCTTGAAGCTTTCACTGTGGTTAGACAGTTGGGTTGGGATGAGAGTTTCCACTTTGGGATAGAAGCATATGTAACTTAAACTTCCTGCTGGCACCAAAGGAGGGAGCACTAGGGCATTCTCCTCAGCTTACTCAGATATGAGGCAGAAAAGAAAAAGGAAGGGGTCAAGCTTGAAAGCTCTCAGCCATCAAACATCAAAAATAGAGTCAGACTCTTCATTACATCATCTTAGTGAAAGCACTATATATATATATATATATATATATATATATCCACTATATATATATCCAGTCTCTATACCATGGCCTAGAATTCCCTCCCTTCTACATCTCTGAACTACTTTTACCTTCCTCATTACCCATTCTGCTTCACAATTGCCCCCTTTTCTTCCAACAACCCAAGCAAATGCCCAGTACCTAGACTATTGGTTGGTAAATATTTGTTGTGTTAAGCAATACAATTTTTTTTTCTAATGGTTTAAAGTCATTCATTGTACCTATTCTTCTTTCAAACAAAATGAGATTCTTATGTAAATTAATTACTTATGAAAATGTATGAAACGTGTATCTACCACTTTTCTTATTGTGGGGGCTGAAGCTATTGAAATTTCCTTTGCAAAATTATGACTGAGATAGTGAAAGAGATCTAACCTAACCAACTCCATCTTGGTTCTAAACCTTAAGCTATCCTTGTTTCTTCCTGGACGTAGGCTGAACTAACTTTGAGAGGGACTTAGTTTAAAGTTTAAAACAAAGACAATAAAAGCCTTTTCCCAAAAGGAACCTGGAGACTAGACTGCTTTTGTAGGACTAACAAGATAGCTGCAAGATTAGAAATTATGGCATAAGAGTCATGCAGCTGGAAGCTACAAGATTCTGACCCTCCCTAAACTGCTCCCAAGATCAATGCTTGAGATATTTTGCAGACCCTGCAATGGATGTATCAGCTGGCACTGCCCAGATTGATTAACTGGCTCATTTGATCTTGTGGCCCCCACCCAGGAACTGACTCAGTGCAAGAGGACAGCTTCAATTCCCTATGATTTCATCTTCTACCTAACCAAGAAGAACTCCTGGCTCACCGGATTCCCCTCACCCACCAAGTTGTTCTTAAAAACTCTGTTCCCTGAATGCTCAGGAAGGCAGATTTGAGTAATAATAAAACTCTGGTCTCCTGCACAGCTGGCTCTGCATGAATTACTCTTTCTCTAATGCAGTTCCCCTGTCTTGATAAATTGGCTCTGTCTAGGCAGCAGGCAAGGTGAAACCCTTGGGTGGTTACACTTTTGACTTCCTAAAGTTTTGCTGAAAAGCACTGACATGAGGCAAATTGAATAATCGCAGAAAAGGCATACCAATTTATTTAATGGGTATACATAGAATGAAGACCTTCAGAATGAAGACCCAAACTCCCAATGAGGAACAGAAGCTTATATACCACCTTGAGGTTACAGAAAGAATGGGGGCTTGGATGCTGGTAAAACAGAATTTGGGAAGGGAGAGAAGAGGAATTCTGTTGAAGGGCCATAAATGATTACTATCTAACAGAAACTGACTTGTAAATAGCTCTCTTTAGATTTGAAATGATCCTCAGAAATAGTCATTATCCTGAAAACAGGTCTGTTCAAGTGTGGTTACATTTGTCATCTTCTTTCTTGTAATGAAAAATAAGACAAAAGGGAGGGAAATAAGAATAATTTTTCTCCTTGGTGGGTGAGTTCTCCCTTTATGTAGATGGGGAAAAGTTTCTTTTGTCACTTATTGATCTCTTAGGATTTTTCATTTAAAATACTCATTATACCAGGGAGACATATTTTGGGTGAAATATTTTGATTTCCTTCATTATTAATGACCTCTGGACACTTAATTTCAACCTTTTTATTAAGTAAAATTAATGATGAATCATTTTACTTTAATAATAAATCAGTTTATTTTAATAGTCAGTTTAATAATAATTAAAAGAAATAGTATATTTTACCAGTTTCTAAACACCCATTTATTTTTTGCTCTGTACTTCTTACAATCCAGCTAGTTTCTCCCTTAAGTAATCCTCTATTGGCTCTTTAGTAACATCTATCTAGACAAAAACAAAAACAAAAAAACTCTTGATTTGTATGCATTGTTAAAATAGATTTAGCCTAGAGCTGTTTCCTTACATATTTTAAATTCAGCCTAAAGTTTTTTCTGTGCATGGTGAATTGTATCCTGACTGGATGTGTAAACAGACTGTAACTTCCTCATTCCAGTCACCAAGTTTTGGCCAATCAAAGGCAGCCAACTGTCCAAATTGTGTTCAAATAAGGCAAACGCTGAACTGTAACCAATCTGGCTATGTCGGTACCTCACTTCCATTTTTTGTACATCACCTTCCTTTTTCTGTCCATAAATTGTCTTCCACCATATGGCTTTGCTGGAGCATCTCTGGGCCTCCTCTGGCTTCGGAAGCTGCAGAATTTGAGAATCATTCTTTGCTCAATTAAACTTGTTAAATTTAACTTGTCTATGTTTTTGTCTTTTAACAGATGAAGTCAGAAGTGTGATCTGAAATAGAGCTTCTAGCGACCTGCAGGAGCATTGAGTGACCAAGTGGGATGCCTGGAGTGTATTGTATCCATTGCGCTCTCACAGCCGCTGGGAATCGTGGCAAGTTCTCTCTGGGATACTGAAGCTCGACAGATTTGTGTTTTGAACTATCCAAGTTTATTTGAACGAAATTTTTGATCCAAACTTTCTTCAGAAGTCTCAACAGAAAATGAACTGGGTCCAGAATTAGATTCAATCTGTAAACTAAAAATAAAATTCTAAGGCCCCCAACCAACTGAATGGACCCCTTCTCTCAGCCAAGGGCATTTTAAAGTTAACCTGAAAAACTAGTTCAGGCCATGATGGAAACAGAGGTTCCATATACCTCATTATACTTTCCTCCCTTTGGAATTCAGGCACAACTGACCAGCGTTAACATTAAAACAAAGATCTAAAACCGGCAAAACAGACTCTTTGTAGCAATAAGATACCAAATTCCAATCTGACCTACTATAGACTCACATGACAGATAACAGGCCCTGAAAGAAATGAAAGCATTTTATCCAAAAATATTTTTCCATGACATATTTTAAAATGGCTTTGCAAAGCTGTCTTGTGTGTGGGGGGGGAAACTTACAGTCTGTAGAGAATCTCCTTCCCTTACTAGGTCTTTTCAGGGGAGTCTAGCACCTTTTAGTGTCTGATAAGAAGACCTTTAACATCTATTGTCTCTGAAGCCTGCTAATTAGAGGCTTCATCTGCATAACAAGAAGTTTGGTTTCCACAGTCTCTTTTATCTTGACCCCACGCATTTTTTTTTTCTGCTAACTTCAACTCTTTAGCCAAAATTAAACTCTTTCAACCAACTGCCAGTCAGGAAATCTTTGAGTCCACCTATGGCCTGGAAGCCCCCATTTTGAGATGGCCTGCCTTTCCAGAATAAATCAATGTACACCTTACATATACTAATTGATATTTGCCTATAACTTCTGCCCTCCTAAAATGTATAAAATCAAGCTGTGACCCCAACACTTGGGCCATGTTCCCAGGACCTCGTGAGGCTTTGTCGTGGGCATGTCCTTAACCTTGGCAAAATAAACTTCTAAATTAACTGAGACTTGTCTCAGATATTTTTTGGCTTAAAGATCCTAAAAATAACTGGCTTGGATCCAGTTATAAACCCCTTATGTCTGACTGGGTCAGATTAAAAACCAATAGTAAATGGTAACATTGCAGGAGGTGCAAACTTTAGCATTTAGAAATTTGCAGAGATTTTTGTATTTTAACTCCTTTCTTTCTTGTGTGCTTATATGAGGAAAGACATCGGCTAAGTTGATTTAGGGGATATGAGAGTCAAAGCAAAGATTCAAGATAAAAATGAGATCTTTACTTTCTTAAGAACTAAGTAATCTACCTTCTGGCTGTGTCTACATTTACATGTATAAGTATTAGCCCAGAATTAGCAAATGCTTATAGAAATGGCAAAATCTTACTAAATGTAATGTAAAATACAATGTAACATTCCAAATGAACAATACTGCACTTTAAAAAGTGCATTTGAAAATGAAATCTCCTGAATTAATCTCATCTGATGAGGTCTATTAATGTCCAGAAACTTCTAAAAAATTTTCAATATTTTATTGTTATTTTAAAAAGGACTCTTTATAAAAGGCAAATAAAAGATTTAAGTGACTAGTAGATAAGAAAAATTAAATCCTCCAACCTTTTGGCTTAGTTACTATCCAACTTTGAAGGCACAAAGGAATCTCTTCTAGATAGATAGAGTGTTTATTAAAGACAGGCCCTCAGGTAAAGTAGACTTGCTTCTTTTTCAGATCTATCTGTCCTGATTCCAGGCAGAGAGAATGCTTTATTTGCCCTGTTCCTTAATGGGCTTCATCCCAAACATAGTGATTTTAGCTAGAAACCATAGTTAAATTGAAAGGTTCACCTATGGAACTAAAATACAGCTTTCTGGTATTTAACTAGCTATCTTGAAATTCTTTTGTAAAAGAAATTACATCTTGGTATGGTTTGGCTGTGTCCCCATCCAAATTTCATCTTGAACTGTAGTGCCCATGATCCCCATGTGTTGTGGGAGTAACCCAGTAGGAGGTAATAGAATCATGGGAGCAGTTACTTCCATGCTGTTCTCATGAGTGAGTTCTCATGAGATCTGATGGTTTTATAAGGGTCTTTTCCCTGCTTTGTTCTGCACTTCTCCTTCCTGCCACCATGTGAAGAAGGATGTGTTTGTTTCCTCTTCTGCAATGATTGAAAGTTTCCTGAGACCTCCCCAGCCCTGCGACACTGTGAGTCAATTAATCCTGTTTTGTTTATAAATTGCCTAGTCTCAAGTATGTCCTTATAGCAGTGTGAGAACACACCAACACAGTAAATTTGTACCAGGAGTAAGGCACTGCTATAAAGATACCCAAAAATGTGGAAGCAACTTTGGAACAGGGAAACAGGCAGAGGTTGAAAGAGTTTGGAGGGCTCAGAAGAAGATAAAAAAAGTAGAAAGTTTGGAACTTCATAGAGACTTGGAGGGCTCAGAAGACAGAAAGATGTGGGAAAGTCTGGAACGTCCTAGAGACTTGTTGAATGGCTTTGACCAAAATCCTGATAGTGATATGGTCAATAAAGTCCAGGCTGATGTCATCTCAGATGGAGATGGGGAACTTGTTGGGAACTGGGGTAAAGGTCACTCTTGCTATGCAAAGAGACTGGTGGCATTTTGCCTCTATCCTAGATATCTGTGGAACTTTGAACTTGAAAGAGATGATTTAGAGTATCTGACAGAAGAAATTTCTAAGCGGCAAAGAGTTCAAAGGAAGCAGAGCATAAAAGTTTAAAAATTTGCAGTCTGATGATGCACTAGAAAAGGAAACCCCTTTTTCTGGGGAGAAATTCAAGCTGGATGCAGAAATTTGCATAAGTTATGAGGAGCCCAAATGTTAATCACCAAGACAATGGAAAAAAATGTCTTCAGGGCATGTTAGAGACCTTCATGGTGGCCCCTCCCCTCACAGGCCCAGAGGCCAAGGATGAAAATATGGTTTACTGGGCAAGGCCTGGGGACCCTTGCTTTGTGCACAGAAATCAAGAATTAAGGTTTGGGAACCTCCACCTTGATTTCAGAGGATTTATGGAAATGCCTGGGTGTCTGAGCAGAAGTCTGCTACAGGGGAGGAGCCCTCATAAAGAATGTCTGCTAGGGCAGTGCGGAAGGGAAATATGGGGTTGGGTCTCACACACAGAGTTCCCACTTGGGCACTGCCTAGTGGACCTGTGAGAAGAGGGCCACCATCCTCCAGACCCCACAATGGTAGATCCACCAACACTTGCACAGTGTACCTGGAAAAGTCACAGACACTCAACACCAGCCTGTGAAGGCAGCTGGGAAGGGAGCTGTACCTGGCAAAGCCCAAGACTATGGGAGCCCATATCTTGCATCATGACCTGGATGCAAGACATGGAGTCAACAGAGATCATTTCAGAGCTTTAAGATTTGACTGCTCCAGTGGATTTTGGACTTGAATGGACTTTGTTTTGGCTAATTTCTCCCATTTGGAATGGGTGTATTTACCAAATGCCTGTACCCGCATTGTATCTAGGAAGTAGCTAACTTGCTTTTGATTTTATAGGCTCGTAGGCAGAAGGGACTTGCTTTGTCTCAGATGAAATTTTGGACTTGGACTTTTGAGTTACTGTTGGAAAGAGTTGAGACTTTGGGGGACTGCTGGGAAGGCATGATTGTATTTTGAAATAGGATGAGGGCGTGAGATTTGGGAGAAGCCAGGGGTTAAATTATATGGTTGGCTGCATCCCCACCCAAATCTCATCTTGATTGTAGTTCACATAACCACCTGTGGTGGGAGGGACCCATCAGGAAGTAATTTAATCATGGGAGCAGTTACCCTCATGCTGTTCTTTTGATAGTGAGTGAGTTCTCATGAGATCCGATGGTTTCATAAGGGACTTTCCTCCCTTTGCTCTGAACTTCTTGCTGCCACAATGTGAAGAAGGACATGTTTGCTTCCCATTCCACCATGACCGTAAGTTTTTTGAGGCCTCCCCAGCCCTGCAGAACGGTGAGTCAATTAAACCTCTTTCCTTTAGAAATTTTCCAGTCTTAAGTATGTCCTCATAGCAGCATGAGAACAAACTAATACACATCTCTAAAGGAAATCTCCATATGTTACGTGCCTTTCTGTGTACATTAGAAACTCTTCTTACCATTATTTTAAATTTACACAAGTCATACCTTAGTTTAAGGTGCTTTACTGGCCATCTTGCTTTAACTGTACTTTTACTTATGCCATTTTTTCTTTGGCTTGAGCAAAAGATGCAATATTCAGGCTGTATTAGTCTGTTCTCATGCTGCTAATAAAGACATACCTGACACTGGGTAATTTATAAAGAAAAGAGGTTTAATTGACACACAGTTCCACATGGTTGGGGAGGCCTCACAATCATGGCAGAAGGCAAAGAAGAAGGAGAGTCACATTTTGCATGGCGGCAGGCAAAAGAGAGCTTTTGCGGGGGAATGCCCCTTTATAAAGCCATTAGCTTTCATGAGACTTACTGATTATCACTAGAACAGCATGGGAAAGACCTGCCCCCATAATTCAATAATCTCCCACCAAGTCCCTCCTATAACATGCGGGAATTGTGGGAGCTATAATTCAATATGAAATTTGTGTGGGGACACAGCCAAACCATATCATAGGCCTTAAATGTTAGCTCTTTGCTTTTGAAATATAAATTTTCTTGTTTCACCTAAGAATTGTCCCTTTAGAAATGCACATTTGTTGCCTAGTTAACAATTACTGAGGGCAATGAAACAGGTAATTAAAGAATTAAGAGTCTGAATGGGGAAAAAATTATCTAAAAGCCAGCAAATTGGAATCCTTTATGAAAGCTATATTTTCTGTTCTTATGTTTGTATGTCTATATGTATTATGTGTATGGGATAATATTCTGTAAATGAAGCTAGTTTAAAAATTGCTAATAAAATAGAAATGACTTTAAAATTATCATTTATATATAATTTGACATGTTCTTGATTTGGCTATTAGCTTTTGTTTTTTATTTTGAGCCTCTAGATTTGGAGGCCTGGATAGGTAGTTGTAGTGAGGTCTGGAGACATGTTCTCAGTGCCCAGGCCAGCAGCTAAAAGTCAGAGTCAAGTCCAATATAGCCCCTTCTTCACACCCAAGCTTTGTCTCCAGGCTAATCTGGTAGGAATATATATACATTTTTTATATATAAATTTTATATATAAATTTATTTAAATTTATATAAATTTTTATATAAAAATATATATAAATATGCACATATTTGTATACATGTATATATATACACATGCACACACATATGTATATACATGTAGATGCTTATGTATGTATGTATATATGTATACATGTATATAGGTATGGACTCTGGCTAAGCAGCATACTCCATATTCTCCTCCTGATAATATTATCCTCCTTCTGATAGTCATAATAGCAATCTCCATTGTGGGTTATATTCTCCCACAAGTTTTAAATGTTTGCATGCAGCCATGTCCAGAATATTAAATGATCTCTTGTCAACTAGAATGACAAAAACTCTAAGAAATATATGACCATGAGGATGCAATTATCTATGTTTGGTATGCCGAGGGCAGAAACCCAGAATGATGGTAACTGAGAATGTGCTAAACCCCTCAGTTTTGGTCACTCTCACTTGAGTAAGAACTTAACCAAACGGTGGGAATTTTTTTAGACATATTTGTGGGAAGCCATTGTTTAAGACTGAGTGTGTGCACTAGGCCCCAACAGAGCAGAACAAACCAAAATGAAGTCATTCATGCTGAATGCGACGTAATCAAACTAAAACTTGAAGGTGAAAGATCCTAAAACAGAGCATGTTTTGTTTTTCTACTCAAAAGAGGTGATTCCAGCACAAGAAGGTCCCATCTAGTCTAGTCTTTTAAAAAAATAATAGCCTGGAGTCCTAGTTTCCACCTTATAAAAGCCAGTTTTGCTATTTACCGGCAATGATTTGACACCAAATAAGAAAATTTACAATGGTGACAGTGACGTCAATGCCTAAAATTTTGATCCTCTCTCAACATTGAGAGGATGACCAAAAAGGAGGATGTTAAACTAAGTTTAGCCTAAAGTTATGTTCTTACATATGTAAAGTTCAGCCTAAATATTACTCCGTACGTAGTGAACTGTAGCCTAACTGCACATGTAAGCTGACTGTAACTTACTCTTGTGCCAATCACTGAGCTTTGGCCAATTAAAGGCAGCCAACTGTTTAAACAGTGTTCAAATAAGGCAAACACTGAGCAATACCAAATCCGTTTCTGTACCTCACTTCCGTTATTTTAGATGTTATTTTCATTTTTCTGTCTATAAATATTCCACCACTTTGCAATGCTGGAGGCTCTCTGAGCTATTCTGACTTGAGAGGCCAATCAATTTTCAGATAGTTCTTTGCTTAATTTAACATTGTTAAATTTAATTTTTCTACATAGTTTTTCATTTAATAGTATAATTTCAAAAAGCTTACCTATTTTTTTTTAATACACTGTTTTGTGACAGTAATTTTCTGTAAATGTTTTGAAAGGATACTCTTATCTTCTGCCATTTGTCATTTCTGGTGAGAGGAGGGCTTGTCTAATTATTGCTGATTTGTGGGTAATCCATCTTTTTCCTATGTCTGATGGTTCATTAAGGAAAGAATAGATGTAGATCTGTTTATTTATTTGCTTTTAATCCAGATACATTTTGAGTGAGTTTGTTTGTTGTAAAGGTCAGTGTTGGTCTATTATCATACTACTCTGTCTAAAATTTTCAGTTGCTGACCGCTGGAGCTCTGAGTCCAGATCAGATTGTATTTTGGTAAGCCATGGCTTCTGTGCACTTGTATGGTTTAGAATATGGCATATTCCGTCTATGAGACAGTGAACAGGCCTCTGCAGGCCCCAGCCATCAGGCTCTGTCTATCTCTTCTCATCTCCCGGGGTATGAAATTTTAAGTAGCCTGTGGATCCAGAGATAGGTAACAATTTTTTAGTCTCTTCCCAGTCCCAAGTTTTATGCAGTAAGCACAGCTCTAGTCAATTTTCTTATTTTCTTAGAGTACTTTTCATTTCTGACTCCATCACAGTCTAATCCATGTCCTGCTCTGCAGGCTTCCACACCTAGATTCCAGCACACATGCAGACTCCAACCCTGATCGCTGTTTTTGTGTTGCTTTTCCAACTAGTCATTTCTGGGAATACAGAACAGCAATCTCTCTCTCTCTCTCTCTTTTTTTAGTAAACATTTTTTAAAAGTGTGAAAGACAGATAAGAGCACATACAATCAATTTACAGCTTGATAAATCACCTCAAAGTGAAGACACACAAATAACTACAAACCAGATCATAAAATGGAATACTATCAGTATCCCAGAAACTCTTCTCATGCTCCTGCCTAGTTACAAATCACATCCCCCACCCCAAAAGATCCTAACTTCTTCCAACTAAGGCAATAAAAAAGGCTATGACTTTTCAATTTTCTCTTTTCACATTTTATTTATTAATGCTATGAGTTTGCAGCAGAGGTAAGAGGGAGGCAAGGCTTAAAGTAAGAGCAATGATGATACCTCTTTAGAAAGTGGATCCAGATGAACATTTCTTAGACAGTTCTTGCCTTTGGCGCCCCCTACTGGAAGATTTATGACAAAGCCCCTTCCCTCTTGTCTGTGTGCTTTCACTGATGTCATGTTATTCTGGAACCAGCCTCTGATAATTACAGCCAGTAAGAATAACATTCACTGCTTCTGTGCTTATACGGATTGAAAATATCAGGATTAGGAGTATTTACATGAATGTGAATAATAATAATATAATGGACTACTAAGTGCTCACACATTCTTTTAATTTTACCATAAAACTTCCTTTGGCCTAATTCTCATAGATAATATAGAGTTGGGGAGATTGATTTTAGTCTTACGTGCGTTTCTTAGGTTAGCCCTGTCAGTCTAAACTGATGCCATTTCTGTCTTCCAGATTCCTATTAAAATAAGTGACTTGGGACATTGCACATGTGTCTGTATGTTTTTTAAATGAAATCTAAAACTGGTAAAAATTATTTCGGTTTGACTTTTTTCTATGTAAACCCTAAATGGGGCTCCTGAGAAGTGTCAGGTGAACTTGGCCCAAGTTTCAGGAGAACTCACTCCCTCCCAAAGGATATAAAGAAAAGATTTATGACTCCAGGTGAAACGCATAAGCAAGCTGGTGACTATAGATGATTTTAGCTTTGGGTTTCTGGTTCATTGGGCGTCTAAAATGAAACTTGGCCAATGCAAGGGGCATGCTTCTATAAATGAAGAGAAAGGTCTTGCAGAATCTGTGCAAAATGGGCTTCAGTCTGTGACTGTCTATTCACATACACCATTTCTCCAAAGACCATAGAGTAAACTTGGAGAAAGTAGGCTGTATTTTTATCTTGAGCTCAAATGTTGTCAATGACGTTTTATTAACAGTTTGGAATTCCCTATTTCCTCAATTAAAACAAATCTTGATAACATTTTGCTTTACTTGCAAGTGTGACTGAAACACTAGCCCTGAAATGGTCGTGGTCTGTATTCCAATATGCTCTCCAGTATTCTGAACAGGAAATCAAGTCATGTCTGTCTGTATATCCCTCACCACGTACATAATTCATTAAGGAATTAGAGCTCTGAGTTTTTGGAGAATTTTTTTCCTGCGATGGAATTTTTAATATGTAAGCTAAATCAGGGTGTCTGCTTGTGATTTAAAAGCCCCCAAATTGAAGACTTTTGCAGGTGCATGTTGGCATGTGGGTGGGATCTAGACCATGGACTAGCTCGCATTTCAACACCAAAGTAGAAAATGGGTGTGGAATGAATCCGCTCTTGCCCCGTTAACAACTGGCCTCAGGGGCACCATCTGGAATTCTCATAGGTATTTTGCGAATAAAATTGCAGTAGTCATTCCACCATTGGCTGTAGTACTTCTGGGCTAAGAACTGCAACAAAGTCATTGAAAGAACAGTCTTCTCATTGATTAAAAAGCCCGAGTATGTTTCTCCTCCAATTTATGAGGATTATGCAAAACTATAGACATTTGCTCTACCCTCTGTTTCTAATTTAGTGTAGTATAGTGCTTGATTGTCTCCTGTCATGTAAGAAAATAGAAGTGAGCAGTTCTTACAAAGATCATCCCCCTTTAGTCGACCCCTGATACTGCTAGTCTTGCTTTGCTCACGTCCATGGTGTCAGAGGTCTCATAATACATAGGAAAGTCAATAGAACTTAAAAATGGTCAAGATACGGGTTTTCTCCTCCATCACAGTGAAGGCAATTGGTATATTATAAAGCTGATTTAAGGCAGTATTTAGCACTCTGTAGTTTCCTATATTCTTTTTTCTTAAAAGAATAAGGTTCTCAGTGGTTCAGATCAATTGATTTGAGTGAGATAAAGCACCTGAGGAATATTAAGAAACAGCTGACATCTTCAGAGAAACAAATGAAATAGAGAGAGGCTTCTGAATGCTTAGATAACTTGATCTTGCTGAAGAAAGAGGGTCTTACATTTGAAGAGATAAATTAGGAAGTATTTTCTCAGCCCCATGATAACGTGACAAGGCACACATACTACTCGGGAGCTCATCATTACCACGACGTTAGCACTAATACATACCGAATGCTTCAAGAAGCACTTTCTTTCTTCAACGAAGATCCAAGGACCCTGAACCCAGAGTAAATGACACATAAGAAAAGAGCATGGGAACAAACCCTCACTCTCAAGAAATCAAATTCTCATTTATAAATAAAGGTAGCTGTTTTTTTTTATGGAAAGGCAAAGTCTTCATTTCTTTCAAGAAATGGAGAAATGTTTTAATATTTCAGTCACAGTGTTAGGCTCTGGACATATAAAAGCAAGCTGGATACCTGGTGTCATTAGCCTTATGGAGTTGGCAACCTAATGCAAGGTACCAATAAGTAAACATTAGGAATGATTTGATGATCTAAATCATCAGAGTGCTCGGAGAGACTGAAACAGAAGTGGTAATGGTCAGAAGAGGCCACTCTGAAGAAGTGATATCTATACAGATAATGGAAAAAAAATGAGATCTTAGCTTTTCAAAAAGCAGGGACAGAGAATCTCAAGGCAGGTCAGGATGTGCTAAGGCCCTGGGGCAAGAAAAACTGCCATTTGTTCAAGTAATTGAAGAGAATTGGGCAAGAGGTAAAACTGGGCAGGAAACTGGGCAGGAAGGCAGAGGATGCATGAAATAAAGGATCCACTGAAATTAGCATGTGCCAGGGGATTGTAAAGATGTTCAAGTCTGAATAATTTTAACCTGAGAAGACAGCAAGAGGAAAACTGTTTCTTTATGACAAGAAAACTTGTATATTGGGCAGAAGATCATTTCTAATAGTCCTGTATATTTGTATAGAGCTTTTGAATCAGCAAATATTTTTCACAAGTGTTCTTTCCAGTTCTACAAAATGTTCCTAAGTGAAGAGGATTTAGGTTTATGGTCAATTTCTCAAAAAAGATATTAATACAATCCTTGAATATACAGGAAAATCGATGCCAATTAATCTAGATTAGAGGTTAGGCAACTTCTATTGAAAAAGCTCTCATGATAGCTGTTGACCTGATTTTGAAACATGACCAAATCTAAGTGGGATCTAAAATCTGTTTTTGCCTGGTATTCTCTAAATCAATGCATGGGATGAAATTCAAGTTATATGAAGTTCAGTAACAGTCAAAACTAATAGTGGATGCCGCTGGTAGTTAATGTTTGATTGGAAATGGGAATACAGAAATATGCTAGGTTGTTGGTAATTTCCTATACACATAAAAAAATAAATGAAATAGTTGTGTTTGGATCCCCAGGAGATTTTAATTCGTGGTCAGATTTGAAAATCACAGTTATTAATAGAATATCTTGATCAACCAGATTTTACTTGGTGTCATAGAAATAAAGAAAATCAACAAATCACAAAATTGATAATTGTGACAGTTCTAGCTTCAACCCCCGTGCTAAAAAGGAGCTGTTTCTCACAAGCATCCTTGTAATTGTAATATTGAAGAGATATTGATGTAAACTTTTACTATAGTTGTAATTATGCCCTGAAATGAAACTTTAAGTCATAAGAAATAATTGATGTGATGCTGATATTGAATACCTGGAAAATAACTACCAGGCATTTAGAAATTAAGATTTGTTCCTTCTTAATGAAAATATGTTTCATTCATCTGTATTGATTTATTTACATTTATTACCTGTCACATTGGAAGTTGTGAGAAGTACAAAATATCCTGAACAAGGAGAGCTCACAAAATACTTGGAGAATTTAGCTATGTCTTCATATGACACTTGCAATAATTGTCAAAATGAAGAGTAATAGATCTCAAATATCCACTAGAAATCTGTTAATATTGGGACTATGATTTAGTTACTTAAAATGTTTTATAATGTAATGGAACATTGTTATTCACTTTTATATGCCTGATCAGTATATTTTCAATCTTTCCTAATTCCTTTTTAATACCAACCAACCTTTTTTAAAAAAATCACTCCCACTATTTAATGGTGATATATCCCACTTCTTAAAAGTATTATAGCATATATTGTTTAGACTAGAACTATAAATTTGGAGAAAATAGTACAAAAATCTAAAATCCATATTTGGACCAGAAATTTTATGGACTGCATTTTTTGTGTATGTCTGCCTTTAGGTTCATTTGCCTGTGTTCTACCTTGCTGACTTTTATTCAGAAAATTTTCAAACACTAATGCTTCATTAATTACTCATTCCAGAACCCACAGAAGTCCTGGTTGAATTCTAAACAACTAATAGAGACAAGAAAGAAAGGAGTCATGTAAGACATGTTTAAAATGCTTTTAAATGCAGGTTGCAAAACAAATTCGTTCCTCCAGTGTAAACCTCAAAGTGCTTCATCTGTAGGCTTTTGTGGTCTCTACTCTTCTGAAATAGCAGGAAATGTTTTAACAATTAGAGTGAGCAAATTGTAAAGGGAAATACGGTAGTACATTACCAGCTGAGTCCTTAAATAAAACATTCCTTTCTTAATGTAGTCCTGATGCTGCGCCATCTTCTATTAGTTAAGGCCACTGTATTGCCATAGGCAAGCATCAAATATACAGTAGTTTGATAATGGTAATACATACAGCAATAAAACAAAAATGCTATTATGACAGGGGCAAAAAACACATACACTGCATTTACCTTCAGGCATCTTTTTGGTTTCCCTTGAACAAATTAAAACAGAGACTAATTTCAATGATGTGTCTTTATCTCCTTTGCATTCTTTAAAAAGTTCTAACTTTTCTAAAAGCTGATGTTAGTTTATTTATTGTATGAAACTTGGCAAAGGAAATGTGGGTGCACGCATTATATCCATTTATTGTTATTTGTGGGACATGGCAAGGATATGTGTTCACAAATTAAAATGTTCCATGAGTAGATAGAAAAGAACTTTAGGTAAAAAATACAAATTTTAAAATTTCTACCAGAAAAATAAAAATATTTTCAAAGTCTTCATATATTAATATTAAGATGAATGAACTCATCAAAGCTTTATCTCATCCAAGGACGTTGAGGGGTGGAGGGAGAAATGCTGAGTGGATACTTAGTGGGTACAAATATACAGCCTGATTCAAGAAATAAGACACTGTTTCATAGATCAGTAGGGTGATTATAATTTACAATATTCTCTTGTATATTTCAACATAGCCAGAAGAGAACAAGTCAAATGATTCTAGCATAAAAAAAGAAAAGTATTTAAGGTGATTGATATTCCAAGTATACTGATTTGATCTTTACAAATTATATGAATGTATTAAATTACATCACATGTGTCCCCAAAATATGTACATCTACTATGTAACAATAAGAAATAAAATTTAAAAAGGGAAAAAAATCCAAGAAAAAAATTTAACATCATTCTATGTGATGTTTGTGAAGATTATTTTCCTTTAAGAGTACTGTTTATCCTAGGCCAAATTTCCTGTGTAATTTTGACTAAGAATTAGAATCACAAACAACAAGTGCAGTAACCAATAAGAAGAGCTAAAAAGCAAATCCTCAAATTTGTATATATGTTTTGAGCATGTGTGACTGTATAGAAGATACAAAGTTAGTAATAAGTTTGAATTCAGATATGACCTGTGTTTAATAGTATATCCCATTATAAAACATTTGTTAAAAACCTGAGCCTTGGGGTGAGACTTCATTGGTTCAAGATTGTTCTCTACCACTTTACACATTCTTGGACTTCCAGGAAGTATTTAACCTACTAAGGCTCAATTTTATAATTTCAAAAGCTTGGATAATAATGTAATCTATATTGTTGGGTGCTATGACATTGTTATGAAGTAATTCATCCAAGGTATTCCACACGGTAGTTGCTTTCATATCACAGTTAGCTAATGTCAATTACTTGAAATCGTTAATGTGTTTGGTGTATTTAGTTTCTGTCTCACTTTATTGTAGTCTTTAGTCAAATTATTTTTTCTAATTCATGTGTGTTTGGGAGGATTTTGAAAGAAAAGATAAAAAATTCAGTTGGAACCAGTAGTTTCCTTATGAGGTACCATATTTAGTAAAGAAAAATAGTCAATCAAATGGACCATTTTGAATACTGGGAAGTTTGGCAATTTTTGTCCATTGGATTTTCTCATGTTTTCACTAGGCTGTCTGTTGCATTGTATAATTTGGTGTAGAACGTAAATCTAGGAATTATTCTTCACCATTTCATGCAGCCTTATTTGGTAAACCTGCAGACATCTATAGATATTCTTTCTGAATAATATCTTCTTTGATCCTGTATACAATTATTTAAATTCAATTTTGATAAAATTTACATTTTACTTCTTCTCTCCCTCAAAAATATTTGCCTTGTTTGGCTGCTTTCCTCTATAATACTGTTACCTTTATTATCAGCAGCATAAATTAAGTACTTAGAATTATCCTTTATTGCTAGTTATAAATGCAATATGCCTTCTGCTATATCACAGTTTCCACATTTTACCTGTTGGAATTCATAGTACTTACAATCATTTCATGCATATATTTGGCACTAAATAAAGATTTGGTATTAATAATAGATACGTGATTGTAATAATATATATTTGATGATAACTCTAAATTTTTAGACCAAGCATTAAGTTTATACAGCGTCTCAACTACAGCACTCAAAATCATAACACATTTTAAGAATTTTAATTATGAGGAATTTCTCTGTATATTATGTAAATGATTGTGTTTGGAGGAGGACATATCTATTTCTAGACATATTATGTGAGTGATTGTATTTGGAGGAGAACATATATACCTATTCATTTTATTTGGAAAGAGAGGCACTTTGGACTATTAGTTAAGACAAATAGCCACATTCATTAGCAAATAGTCACCTAATACAAAATTAGGAATGCATTTAAAATAGTGTCAGAGAGAAGAAAAAAGTGGAGTGCATCAGAAGTTTAACAAATCTGACTCAGAGATCTCAACTTCTTCTACATGTGGAATCCATCAAGCTGACTTTAGTGGCACTTGCAAACTTCCCTTTTCTGTAACTGTTCCTCATTAAACTCGGAGGGATCGAGAATAACTTTTTTCAGTAATTTATGACATTTGTGTCTATTTGCAACAGTTGTAAAAATACAGTATAACCAGGAAACATCATAAAACACTCATAAACCCTTCGAAAGGCAGCCAAAAAGCTAGACTTTCCACAGCAGTTAATGATACAAATGTGAGCGAATTATCCCTCAGCTGAGGCTATGTGAGATCTGTGAACTATGTAATGCCTTTCAGCAAATATTTAAGGCATAAAAATAAAAACAAAATCAGTTTTATATAAAAGAAAATTTCTCAATAATTCCACCAACTTCAAGTACCTTTTTGTATGGGAGAAGGACCCATAATAATGTAAAATATCTATTTTTTATAATCTTTTAAAATAAAATTTTTTCTGAGAAGTTACAAGTTACTTGCTTCTTAAAACCAATGAGCTCTGTTCATTATAGGTGTAAAGCGAATTGTTTTCCTAATAGAAAAATGCATACTAATATTCTATAGATGGACAATGCTATAAAAAATTGCAAACATGGCAGATACCCATTTATAAAATTGCTGATACATGTATATATGCATATATCACTTCAGTTTAATTTTATTTTGAGTGATATATATTTTACAACTTCTTCAGTAATATCTGAAGGACTTTGGTGCTTTGAGAGTTCACATTTTTCTAGTTCCTTTTACTCCTCCATATGAAAATAATTCTAAAGTAATATTAGCAAAAAAAAAATTTGCTACCCAATTGATAGTACCTGCTGAATTCAATTTATTTTCTATTTTCTGAGTTCCCAATGTGTCTTTGTATTTATTGGAATATATGAGACCTTTCCTCTCCAAACCATACAAGAAATGCCTTAGAGTTGAATTACAGTCATCAGACTAATCTTTTCCCCAGAAACTAAGCTGTTGAGAAGATTAAGAAGAGATGGAGTTTCATGGTTATGCTACTAGTTTGAATCATTCCTAGACTGAAAAGAACAAAAATTAGGTCACATTCTAGGTTTGCTTGACATCAGCCACACAATTCCTGATGCTACTATTGAATCTCTTGGGGATGCCTCCTTCTGAAATCCAAACATTGCCCAAACACGAAGATGGAACTCTTTTGGCCCAGAGATGCTCTGTACTTCAGCCAAAAAATAAATAAATAAATAAGCAATAATCAGTTGGAAGAGTCACTTGCCAAACTACATTTATTCTAGATTTTCTTCCCAGGAGATTCAGAAAAATGAAATATTAGAGAAAAACATAAACACATTGTCATCTCTGATAGTCAGCTAAAGATAGTAAAACTAGTGATAAGATACAGCAAAATAAAGCAGAAACACTAAGGACAGTGAGTCTTACATAGAGCTATGGACAATGAAATAAGTTTAGTGAACCTGCATGCTCTCCACAACTCCTCACACTCAACAAACTCCTAGTCTTTGAGTACTCACCTCTGATCATCTATCACTGAAGATTTTAAGAGCTGAATTGTAGAGTCAGAAAAAAAATAAAGAATGAGTGCATTTTAAAATGAGAAGCGGATTTAAAAAAAGCAGAATAGTGGAGGTGAAGATTTGTCAGACTTGAAGACGTAGAAGGGATAGAAAAAGATTGAGGCAAAAAGATAATAATGTCAGTCTCCTTTATTTCTTTAAATTGGAAGTGCTAAATGTAGGGGACCACGTCTTTGTGCATAATTATTTCATGATGCGTATCTGTATCAATCAGTCAATTAAATGCACTTACACACACATATGTGTAGGTGTGAATTTAAACATGTGATTTTAATGAAAAATCAAAATTTTCATAAATAACAAAAACTAATTGAAAACGAGGATGGACACAGTCCAAATGTCCTCTGTCATCTCGGTCTCATTGTCCAGGCACCAGCAATGCAGAATATTGACATTACAGAAAGTAAACACATCCATGACACTTACGTCACTATGTCACATGCTGTTAATCACTAGCATGCTGTGAAATCAGCTAACCTGCTGTAAAATACACAGTTTTTTTTTTTGGAAATGTTTTAACTTATTGCCTTTCTTTCTAAAAATGACTTGAAATTGATGTTTTCAAGACATGGCTAAACATTCATGACAATTGTGAAGAAACAACATAATCATGTATACGCTCACTAACATTCATTTAATAAAGTTCTGCTGGCATATATGATGTTTCTCTAAATTGGTTGCTACTTAGGAGCTTTATTCTAATGGAATAAAGAAGAGAGTTCTCCATGCTGATTAATAGAAAAATGTGTTGAATAATATTTCAAAAACAAAAAGACAATGAAGAAGTCATTGCTGGTGAGATTTGTGTTCCAGATTTTGCTAGTAAGATCTGGCAAGCCACTCTCCACACCTTCATTAAGATTATAAATGCTAGGTGAAAATGAGGAGGAATGGCTAGGATGTTATATTAGCCATAAAGGTGGTTTATTTTCTTGATTCTTCTGCTCAGTTCTTAGATGTGGTCTTGATTCTATACCCTTTGAAATATGAGAGTGTTCAAAAAATTCATTTTGATGGATTTTATGCTTGCAATAGCGTGATATTCAAAAGCAGATCTTATACAACCAGAATTCTATCCTGACTTCTGTTGTCTTCCTAAATTCCTTGAGTTATTTTTGGCAACTGCATAATAAGAATGATTTCTGATCAGTTTTTGCTTCATGAAATTAATTCTCATCCACCTTCTAAATCTTACCCTTACCCACTTCCTCTGTTTCTTTATTTACTTTGTGGAAAACTTCTACATTTACTCTTAAACTAGCTCAAATATAGTGTCTTAATATTGCTGTTCTCACTCATATGTGGGAGCTAAGAAGTTGATCTCTTGGAGGTAGAGAGTAAAATGAGAGATACCAAAGGCTGGGAAAGGTGTGCATAGGAGGGATGGGGTAAACAGAGATGGGTTGATAGGTACAAACACACAGTTGAATAGAAGGAATAAGTTCTAATGTTCCATAGCAGAGTAGGGTGACTGTAGTTAACAAAAATGTACCATATATTTCAAAATAGCTAGAGGAGAGGACTTGAAATGGCTCCAACACATAGTAGTGTTGAATACTCAAGGTGATGGATACCCTAAATACCTTGACTTCATCATTATACATTTTATGCATATAACAAAATATCAGAGGTGTCTCATAAATATGTACGTATATTATGTATCAGTTAAAAATATGTCTTCTTGGAATTGTTCTCTGCTTCATAGGGGGAGTAATCCCTCTCTGCTTGATGTTCCCATAGGACTTTGTATATAATTATTACAGCATTTATCACATTGTTTCATTTTATGTCTGGTTCTACAACTAATCTGTGAGTAACCCCAGTGGAATGGATAGTATTTTATACATCTTTTTTTTTCCATTCTTCTTTAAAACTTGTGGAATTTTACACTAAGAAGTCACTAAGTGCCTGCTTGTTAGTTTTCTAGTACAGGGGTGATAAAAGTCATTTCTTTTTCCAACCACTATGTATTTAAGTTTTCAATAATGAAACTGCAGAGAGATAAGATGGCTGGTTTTACATTTTGCGTAGTGGAGCAGTGGAATTGAAGAGTTCAAAGGTCAAGACACAGCCTTCCTATTTTTTCAAACAGTCTTTACATACGATCTTGGCTAATAGTACAAATGAGAAGTGAACCAGACTCACATCTAATACATTTTCTGAATTTTTTTTTTCTGTAATTACATCTAGGGGAAGGAAGATTGATAATGTAAAGGACTAGGAGACAACATAATTATTGCTTCAAATAAAGCTTTTCAGCAAATGAAGCTTTTCAGGAAGGGAATGTTTAGAAAACAGATTTTCTATTGCTTTGTTCTCAGTCGTCTAACTTTGCACACAACGACTCAGGTTACATGAGAGATTCCAAAATTTGGAGATAAGCCATTCATCTTATGACAACAAATAGAGAAAGAAAACATAAAAACTATTTCAACCTATGTATGAAATCTGTATTTCAATTCAATTTAAACAAAAGTTGTGTAATATGTTCCTGAAAAATAATTTATGGAGCACCTTAGGCCTTGAAACTATTTTAAATCAATTAAAGTCATATTTGTTTTTCAAAAATTACTATTCTTAATAAGATAGTCCTCAATAATAGGAATGAGAAAATTTACCAAGAAGAATGTGTGGTTCTTTATTATTCAATATAAAAAAGTAATATTATATGGCTTCTATAAAAAGACCCATAATACTGCTTAAACCGTGTCCCATAGGTGTGATTCCACAATAATGGGACAGATATCCCAGCACTTTTTAAATTTGGGCATAAAGACATAAGTAGCATAAATATGTAAAAATCCAGGAAACTAAAGATTATTATAATTTTTCAGTTCTGCCATTTTAATAAATTTTCATAAAGCAAAATCTAGTCTATGATGAATAAAATATAAAAATCTTTTAAAAAAATCTGACCTGAGGACATAAATTGTAATATTGTATATAGGACCTGGTATTAATCTTTCCAATACATTCAGTGAGGTCCATGTCCTTTCTATAGTCTAATTAAAAAAACATATCAGTGGAGAAGTAAAGCACAAATTGTGGTGATGGGCAGAAAATTAACTTAATGAGAAAGCCATATTTAGAGAATTTCACCTTATCGAATAAAAATATGATTAATAAAAGAACATTAAAGGGAGTGTATTTTATACTGTTTGTTCATTAACAAATGGAAAAGAGACAGAACAAAATGGTTTAAATTAAAATAAATTATATTTAAACAGGATTAATATAACAAAGTTTCCTAGCTAACAAATTCCCTTCATGAGAATTAAAGTTATTCTCAGGTTACTCTCTATGGCTTGAAGGAAAAGTGGAGCATATTTGTTAGATTTAGTGTGGCCCTGTACAGCTAAAGTTAAAATCATAATGTATTAGATGGTATGAAGGGCCAAGCAAGACATATTTCATTGCAATACAGCTTCTGTTACTTACTACCCGAGTAAATGCTTGAAAGGAGAAAAACAATATGTGTCACTATTTTCAGCTGTAAAATGGGAACACTTATCTCTAAAAAGGCTTGGTTAAAGACATTAGATTAAATGAGAAATGCAACATTACCCATTTTGGATTATCATAAACTTAATTTCCTTTCATTTCCCACCTTCATCATTTTTACGTTCTGAGAAATAAAAATGTAAACGTTTAAATTGATTTAGGAATATTTGTTTTTGTTTATTATGAAGTAGCCTATGAAGACAAAAACTCTCCATAGGAGTGACTAGAACAGCTAGATAAGACATCAAAAAAAAAAAAAATCTGCTGGAAAGCACCAGAGGATTGCTGAGCCAGTCAGGGGTTCAGAGGCCTAGATTATGGCAAGAAGAAAGCCATAGAGAAGGGCGTTTGTTTTCTTTAATCTCTCTCCCCATTGGAGAATTTGTTGATTCTTGGTGTGGGGTCAATAGTTAAGAATCCAGGCAGAGGGGAAGAATCTAGAGGCTTTTTTTTTTTTCAATTCTGTGGGGCTGAGGTAGACAAAATGGAAATTTTGGGGTGCCAAGGTTTACATTATCTGAGTAACCATGATGCTGGGAGGGAGAGAGATACAATGAAGTATTCAAAGTACTCAACTCTTATTCTCCTGAGACACTTGGCAATCTATGAAGATTTATAAGGAAAGAGGCAAAGATGTCAAGTAAAAAGCCACTGAGGGCCGGGTGAGGTGGTTCACGCCTGTGATCTCAGCACTTTGGGAGGCCAAGGAGGGTGGATCACCTGAAGTCAGGAGTTTGAGACCAGCCTGGCTAACATGGCAAAACCTTGTCTCTACTGAAAATAAAAAAAATAGCCAGGCATGATGGCACATGCCTGTGATCCCAGCTACTTGGGAGTCTGAGGCAGGAGAATCGCCACCTGGGAGGTGGAGGGTGCAGTGAGCCAAAATCACACCACTGCACTCCAGCCTGAGTGACAGAGTGAGAGACTCCACCTCGGAAAAAAAAGAAGATGAAGAAATTTAAAAAGCCACTGAAAACACAGTCAACTTTTCTAGTGTCTTAAAATATAGACTGGAGAAAACAGGAATTTAAAATTTTCTAAGTAGCGGGGGGTCTTAGTACACTTCTAGTTTCTCAGTTGAGAAGCCTTGTGGGCTACACCATAGCAATGAAATGTAGATCAAACAAACGAAGAATCCCGTAGAAATTCAGTACTTGTCTGAATTAAGGTAATTGTCCCCAACTCAATTTTGGAGAGGCAAACTTCCAAAAGAAGATAGCATTAGCATCATTCAGATGCCATACTTTTTAATACACAGTGGCTGGCATTCGATCAAGAATAACCAGGTATATGGAAAAAAAAGAAGAAAAAATACAAAGATAAAATGCAACTTATGTATTAAACAGATTTGTAGTTTGAAAAACACAGTTTTTTTAAAAAATGTGTTTAATGTGATAAAAATAGAAATAGTAAGATGAAGTATTCCAAACAAATCAGACTGAATAGAAAGATCATGTAATCACATTTATATTGTTTCCAAAATGAAACTGTAGCAGGCTGAACTAGTTCCAACAAATGAATATGCAGAGGCTAGAAAACTATAAGAAAACCAACAAATACAAATGTGAGAACTGCGAAATGCAATAAATAAAATTAAGAACAAAATTGGTAGACTTAACAACAGATTCATCCGTTAAATAAATAGATTAACACAGAAGAGAGGAGTGTGTTGTATTATAAGAGAGTAGACAATATCCTGGCTGAATCAAAAATAATTTCAAAAAGTTAAAAAAAACCCTAACACATATACACACACAAACATAAAAGACATATGGAATGTAGCGAACATGTGTGAAATATGTATATTTACGGTTCTAGAAAGACTGGATATTTCAGTCTAGAAAGTTCAGAAAGACTGGATAAGTTACTGGATATAAGTAATATTTTAAATGATGGTAGCCTTTTATTTTTTATTTTTCGAAACTGATGGCGTATCTCAACCCACAGATCAAGAAACACTATATAACTGAAGTGAGACAAATATAAAACATACCTAAGCACAACTCACTCAAACTACTAAAATATCAAAGACACAGAAAATTCAAAAAGTGATTATAGATAGAAAGATATATTGTTACTTAAAATGAGTGACAACAAAACATAGCTCAACTCTCAACAGACACAATGGAATCTAGAAGATACTGGAAAAAAGTAGATTTAAAACTATTAATAGTTAAATGGTGGGTGATAGTTTCAACTATTTATTGGTATTCTTAATTTTTATCTTGAGTTCAAGCTTGCAATGAATTGTAGTAGTCACCTTATAAAACATGTTCATAAAGTAGCAGATTATAGACCTTGTTTTTATGACTTTGAAAATCCACATATTCATTAGTGTTCTTAAGAAGACTTAGAGGACTGGTCAATAGGTGCAGCAAACCACCATGGCACATGTATACCTATGTAATAAACCTGCACGTTCTGCACATGTAGCCAGGGTTTTTTTTTTTCATAAGAAATAAAGAAAAACAAAAATCTTAAAGAAAGAAAGCAAAGTTACCATTAGAAGGCTGTGATTAAAGTAGTACAATTGTTTTTTCTCTTGCTTATCTACTATGACTTATTCCTGCAACTGGTTAGCCTTTCAAAACTTCTAAGTTCGAAACAACATGTGGAAGACTTGCTCATGTTCAATTGTTTTTTCGTTTTTTACATATTTTCTGTGTAATTTTGTGGTTTTCACATTCAAGAATAAAGGCAGCATTTCAATTACTTTGTAAAAGTATGCTTGAAATAACCAAAAATTTAAGAATAATAATGGACTGCATTTATTAAGACTTTAATAAATTAGATATTGGGTATTTTAAAATACAGAATGAAGCCAATATTTCCATATTTATCTGTCATTCTTTCCTACAAATTAGCTTAGTTTGGCACTTAGTATTAATGTTTCAGGTTATAAAATAGAAATAAATCAGTGTAAATGTAAGTATAGCATAAGAGAGTTCCAAAAATATATCATTTTCAAAATGACAGTGGTGGAGGGGGACATAATATATGAGTTATACAAACACATTTAATCTTTGTGAAATTTTTCCCAGCTGTAACTCAATCTTTCCTTCATCTTTGCTTCCTGAATACTCCACCTCCTCCAGTAAGTGGAAAGCCTTCAATATCTTGTGGTCCATATAGAGGTCACTCTTCACTCTCATATTTTCTACCTTGTCTCTGATAGTCTTTAGCTCAGCTTGAACTTAGTAGGTAACTTATATGTGAACATAGGAGCTAACCTGAGAATGCGTCAGATTAATGGTGTTTAAAGTACATGAAAGTGATCAGCTTCTGTGAATTTTCTTCCCCTTACAGTTGTGCGTATGGCCTGATTCATCAGTGAAACATCCAGGAACTTCTTCAGATTCCGCAGATACCGACTTTTTGCTTGAAAGATTAAACGTTGCACATTCTTTTCTAGACCTAGGCCAACGTTATTAAAGGGAGCTTTGTTTTAGAAGTTTTAATTCAATAATTGCTGATGTCCTGTTCATTCCATAGAGAGCCCTACTTCTGTGAAAAGATGGAATATACAAAGAGTTTAATTTTTTGTTATGTCACTGTATGCATCTTATCAGCAAATGTTATTGCATCTGAAAGTTGAACTTCTTTTTGATCCTTATTAATAAGGAAAGGCAAAAAACATTTAATTTGGTAAAGAGAATACAATCACCTTCCATATGGAAAGCAAATCGTGAAATATGTTAATTTAAAAGAAAAATGAGACTCAAAATAGTTGGGAAATTGAAATTTTGCTTTACAATATTCTCTTTTGGTAGAAAAAAAAATCTGTACTTAAAATAAGATTTCCACATGATAGTGACAGCTTTTGAGACAGAAAAGCACAACATCTACAAAGCAGTGAATCAAGACACTACTGAGATTTCAGATGGGAAAGGTACTTTTAGAAAACAGCACATTTAATTGGAAAAATCATTTCTTCATGTTTGACCTGCTTAGTTTAATGGAGATGTTTGAGTAGAGGGCCAGACCACTTCACTGAATGCTCCTGAAGCAGGAAAATAGGGTCTTATCTTATCCAAACTGTGTGTGGACAAGTATTTTCAACTTTCTTTTTGGTGAGTGACAGTTAGTTATGTTCTATAAGTCTTTTGACTGGATGAGAGATACAGGGATGAGTTCTTGTCACCGTGTGAGGTAAAAATTAACTCATTCATTAATTTAAAAGAATATATAGTTAAAGAGTCATATTAAATAAAAAATGCTGAGTATAAGTAAGATGGATTCTTGTTTGAAATAAGAAGCAACCAGTTTACCCTTGCTTTGCTAATTTAAAAACTCATTAAAGATTTTATACTTTAAAAGACAGTGTACCTTTAATCTTCTTCAAATTGAACTGTTTTAATAAGTCATTAACACTGAAATAATAATCAATGTATATGGTATGATCATGGTTATAGTGATCAATAATTATTTTGAAGTTTTTTTTCTAGTTTAGTTAATGATACCATGGAAAAATTACAAAAGAATGAGTTGTTAGAGTTGTGTAGCAGATAGCCAACCAAGGCCTACTAAATTAAATCTAAGAAAGGTATTATTTTGTATTCCAGGAAATAAGAAGCTTAGTTTGTTTTATGTACTTTTTCCTTGTTTTTCTCTACTAATACTGGTAAATATATTGCATCAAAATGGCAATAATTTTTTTTTTACTTTTTACCTCTTAGGAAAGAGTGCTTGCTAACTATAGCATACACTTTGTTTTATAAACTAGTATGTTAGATATATTACCAATGCCTCTGTGATGAATAAATGCTCTACTGATCACATGTAAAAACTCACAGCTGCTTCTCCACAGCTCCCAGATTTCTCATATTTTCCTGTCATTGCTAAGTATAATTGTTTGCACATTAGCTTTTAATGTGAAACTTAGCCAGATACAGCAAGGTAAGATTTAATAATAATGACTGTATTTATAGTTCTCCAAGAGTCAGGGAGCTCAACTGTGTTCACATCCCCCAAATTGTGTAAATGTGGATCCTGGGGATGATTGCAGGACATACAGCAAGTTGACAGCAAACCTGGACAACAATAGTATTTTATACGTCTATAAATGTTTTACAACTGTCAACACACTTTCCAAAATTATCTCATTATATTCTCAAAATAGCTCTAGGAAATAAGTAGTCTAGACATTATTTCTTTATCTTTCCTCCTCTTATGGAAGAGTAATTTAGGGGATGGGGAGTCTGTATGACTTAACCAAAGTCACAGGGTTAGCAAAAAACAACCAGTAGAAAACCTTAATTTCCTTGGGAATAGCCACCATTCCCTTCAAATATTTACTCAGCACCACTGTGGACCAAACACTATTTTAAGAATACATCAGTGAGTGGCCCAAACAAACTCAGTGTCTGTTCTTTTAGAGCTTTTTTATAATATATTCTAGTAGGGAAAATATATACTAAACACATTAAGGTAAAAATACATATTAAAATTTTCTATAATTATACATACTATAAAAATGAAAACACAATAATGAAGTGGTTGGCGACAGTGGCAATGGTGACTAGTTTTAGTACAATGGTCAGGGACACACTATTTGATGAGGTCACAGTGACATAAAGACCTGAATGATGAGAATAAACAAGTGATGAAAAATTTATGGAAAGGCCTTTCTAGGCAGAAGGAACAGCACTCATATGAGGGAAGGGGTATATTTGATATACACTGGACAATGTGGCCTCAGACTACTGAGAGGGTATGAGGGGAGAAAAGGGAAGGGCAGAAGGTCAGCAGACAGATGATCTTGGTGAGACGCTTGAGTTTTATCATCACTTGCATGTGGAAGTCACCGCATAATTTTCACAGGGAAGGGTACATTTTAAAGAGATCTTTTTGAATGCTGTTTTACTTTTTATTTACAATGTAATCTTCATTTCATTTTATAAAGTGAAACCTAATTTTAAAGTATCTTTTGTCAAGGAACATGTTGGTGTTTAGAATTAGCTCTATATTAAAACTTGTCTGCACATTTGCATGCCATGCAATATTCTGGATTCCACTTCCTTTATCAGGAAGACGGATGAATAATGACTATCTATTCATCCATGAGGGCTAGCATAACACATGGTGATATAACATATATACCAGGCAGCAGTATTTTTTTAATTTGTAGAGACAGGGTCTTTCTATTTTGCCCAGGCTGGTCTCAAATACCTGGGCTCAAGCCATCCTCAGACCTCTGCCTCCCAAAGCTTTGGGACTGCAGACATGTTCTACCATGCCTGGCCAGTATTTGTTTGTTTTTTATAAATAAGGTACTATTATTAACTTAGAAAAACTCTGTTAAAATTAGGGCTTACCAGTTAGATATAGGGCTTACCAAAAATACATTGATTAAATATCCTGAATGTCTATTGTTTAAGGGTTATTTTGAAATATAGATGGACAGAGGATAAGCTACATAAATTTGTCCTTTACATTTTGATCTTTAAACTTTAAATGAAATGGGAAGTCTTAGGCTACAGAAAACAGAAACTTATACCAGATGGCAATAGCACACAGATGCATTTCTTTAAAACGGAAATATATAATTCATGTTTATAATGCAAATTCTCCAAGAGAAAAGGCTGCATTTGGTTATTTAGATTGTCAGTAGATTTGGTAATAAATTCATATATATCTGGGTGTTTTAAAAAAGTTTGTTAATTAATAGCTAATGAGAGATGACATCAGTGGGAGGTGACATTTATGAAAGGTTTTAGAAGATAATGGTAAAAGTTTCAAAATTAGGTTTTTCACAATTTTTAAATGTCAATGAGCATTACAAACCTTGCTCACAATTCTTTGTAAAGCTCTTGGTTCACTTCCTAAAGCTTTCCCCTGTTATGAAAAATGTAAAAATAAGCTTCTTAGGAAAAGATCATTTTTTTCCAAAATCAATAGCAGCAAAGACAAATACCTTGGAAGTCACATGCCATTTTCACTGGGCTAAATTTTCTATAGACAAATGCAGATTTATATTGGTAAGTAAAGAGAAACAGTTTTTATGAGTGCAAGTATTTATGAGCCCAGATGAACTAAAGTCCATAGTAGGACTCATTAGTCAAGGCACACACACACAAAAATCCTGGGCTGTATACAAAACAAGATAACTTCATTGTGTATAACATATTTCATGTAAACTGCATTCCAAAAAATGTTTTACAGTGTTAAATTATAAAAGGCCTTGGATAGTACATGTAAATTATGGACTATAAATTATAGAAGCATGTAAATACATTGCATTGTGGCTAAATTAAGTATTTAATCATAATGCCAAGAGCTGAGGATGAAGGGAAATAAGAATCACAAGCAAAAATAGGAAATATAAAAAGAATATTTTAATACAGTATCTATAGTCAGAGAAAGGATGCACTGGACTACAGATAGGATGAGAGAAATGTCCAAATACAGAAAACTGTGAATAGACAATTGAAAAAATTATAAGAAAGCAAATAATAATAAGAGACCTTGGAAGTCAACTGTACTGGGCAACTCTGGGCAGTTGGCTCATAGCTCACACAGCTGTTTAGCTTTAAACACATAGCAATGACAAATATCAAAAGATACAATCTCAGAAATTAGATCTGCAGCTCTGTGAATCAGAAATTCAAACTAGGCAGTTGGACTAAATCTGAGGATCTGTTGGATTCTGGAGGAGGTGGCTGGGAGCTCAGTGTTTGTGAGTAAAGAGAATATAGATAATAGAACATAAATGGTTCTATAATAAGATGGTGAGTCAGCATGAATTCCAAAGCTTGCAGCTAAGAACTGAAGCAGGACTCTCAAGCATGTGGAACAAAGTTGAAAAAAAAATGCTGTAGGTTGGGTTTTCGTTTTAAGCTAACTGAGAACCTAGAGAAATGGAGACAAGTGCACAGCCTAATGACAAAGAATAGATCCAAATAATCCATAGTTATGTAACTGGATCTGTGAAAGCATCAATCCATCTTTTGTGATGCCATCTCTTGGTATTGATGGTATCACAGATCTAGTTACATAACTAGAAAAATAATCAATCATCACCAATAACAAGAGACAGCAGGCAAAATCACAAAATACCTTACATTATTTTAACTTAAACACTGAAGAAAGTCAAAAGCATAATGGAAATCTAAAGAGGCAGAATTTAAGTTTTAGAAACCATACAAGTAAATATCAGTCAATACCACATTTTGTCTTGATTCTGTCCTAAGAGTCATCTGTTATGCTAATAGAATTGTATGAGAGGAAAAATATAAAAGGCTAGCAGGAGTTAAATCATGTGATCTTTAGTCTACTTTTGCGTCACTGCTTGGAGAAAAATCAGGACTCCAATAACATGGATTGTGCTCCTGCATTTACCATTCACCCAGAAGGTTAGAGTTACTTAGAGTGAAAGATACTGGAGGAGTTATCCAAGATTGCTGTAGAGGATAATCCCCAAATGCCACTAATGTCTTATTTCTAGTCTGAGAGTTTAGATATCTAGCCTGAGACAATCACAAAAGTTAGACAAAGAAATGAGCGAAAAACAAACAACACATACAAACAAACCAAAAAACAAACAAACAAGCCAAAAACTACTCAAATACTGAGCTGGAAACCAAAGTCCCAAGTTTTATAAGAGGTTCTAATGTTAACAAAAACAACCTACAGAATCAATGACTAGAACATAAATTCACTCTAAATTTATATATAAATTTAGACAATAAACACTAGCTTGAACACACTGAAGAGAGAAATGGCGAATTTTATTTCCTGATATACAAGTTCTTGAAAGTACTTGATAAACCCTTGCTCTCCAAACATCTAGAGTGATAAAGATATTTCTAAAAAGGATAAGCAATGGACCTGGATGTTCTAATTACACATAAAAGAAACATTCTAACAATATTTGTGTAGAAAGCAGCTGGATATAGGCAAAATTTTTAAAAAAAAAGTAATTCATAGATTGAATTATTGGAGAAAAAGGAAGGATAAAGATAAATTTACAACCACACATTTTATAGTAAATGTGCATTTCATCACTGATAAAGAGAAACTGTTAAAACTACCAGAAAGATAAAAGTGATCATATGCAAAAGATTTAATTAAGGCTGATCACAGACTTCTCACCTGACAGAAGATGAAGAATAAATACCCTTGTCATGTAGTTTGGTTATTTGTCCCCACCCAAATCTCATGTTGAATCTTAATCCCAATGCTGGAGGTGGGGCCTGCTGGCAGGTGTTTGGACCATAGGAGCAGAACCCTCATTGCTTGTTGCTGTTTTAGTGAAACTGAGTTCTTGCAAGAACTGGTCATTTAACCCTTTTCAACTCTACCCTGAGAAAACTTGCAGCTGCAGCATTTATCCCGAGATAACTTTGCCACAAACTATTTCCCTTTCATTATTATTTTCACATTGCTCTAGCACAGTGACTGAAAACAAAAGACATCATTCCATTTATACCATTCTGTTTTTAGTAGCGGTATTTCCATTGACAAAATATAGTAATTCTCAATTGCTGAAAATGTCAAATCCTGGAAAACGTAGCATTCCTACACATGATATTAACATCATTCTCCAGCAGTTGTTGGCTGGAATCATTTGATGAATTTGATTTTTCTGAAATAGACAATTCTGATCATTCAGATGATTCTGATGTTAGTTTTGTTTAGAAATAACTCCAAGAACAGTTTCTATATTTTCTTTTCACATTGAAAATCAGTCAGATTTTGTTCAACCTCAAAGAGTGTGTTTACATAAAATTAAACGAGTGTTGGCAGTGAGCTGCAGGGTTTTTTATTCTTAAACAGGAAAAGGGTTAAAGGTGTGTGGCTCCTCCCTCTGCCCCCCCCCCCCCCGCCATGTTCTCTCTCTCTCTTGCTCTGGTTTTTTCCATATGACGTTCCTGTTTCCCTTCAACTTCCGCCATGATTGTAACCTTCCTGAGGTGTCTCTGGAAGCCAAGCAGATACCAGCACCACAATTCCTGTAAAGCCTGCAGAAGAGTGAACCCATTAAACCTCTTTTATTTATAAACTACCTAGTATCAGATTTTTATAGCACTGCAACAATAGTCTAATACACCTTGTAAAACTAAGAGAATATAATTCCAGTATTATATATCATCCAAACTGCCACTCTAGACCAAGGACAGGATATTGAGACATACAAATGTAAGAGAGTTTAACACTCTATGACTCAAGCTAAAAGAGTGAGTAAAGGCTATACTTCACTGAGAAGAGTGAAACCAGAGAGAGGAAATGATACAAAAAACATCATTGAGCACAGAGTATGCCCTGGCTAACTTCATTAAGATTGACTCAAAAGTAATAAGTATTTTGTATTTAAAATTATATGAAACTTAAACTCTATAATTAGTTCTATGAGAAAGAAGACTCAATAGGCCATCAATATGCATGAAAAGTTCCTGAAGGTCCCTTAGTTATGTAAAGCAACATCTAGAGTTACCTATGTATGTGACAACATTGTCACACCACTAAAATGATTGGAATATATTCTAGATGCTTCAAACCAGAAATGGGAGGGGGGATATCAAGAACTTGATCAATCCAGTCAAAATTTTAAAGGAGGGGTGGGGAGAGATTTCAAATAAAATGGAGAGCATACGGAAAACAAGATGGTACTATACATATACACAATCACAATAAATATAAAATATTAAGTTTTCATATTGAAATTATTATTATACTGGATTAAGAACAATTCCATCAATACAAAATCAGCTATATTCTGTATATGGGGCACACTTAAATACAATACAGCAATGAAATCCCTTATGCCATGAAAACAATGGCAAATGAAAATAGTAGGTAGAGATATATTAATGAGAGATAAAATGTACTTTACGGTGGAAGTATTAGTAAGGATGACACATGATACTACATAATAAAGAAAATACACAAATCTCTTAAAGAAGATATAAAAGTCATTAATATATAATCACTTCACATCACGGCCTACAAATATATGAGGCATAAGGTAAAACACTTTCAATAAGCAATTAAGAAAATCAGTAGTGATGGGGAAGTTTTCCAGTACATATCCAGAAATTGATAAACCAGTTAGGAAGAGTAGTCAGTTAACAAAAACTACAGCATGTTCAAATTAACTGCTATTTACATAGGCCCTAGCCCTCCCAAAGGAGAAAAAAAATGCCAAAACCCTTGTATTTGCTTATTTTCATTTACAGTATAAGCGTCAATATACGGTGATATCCCCCTATCTGCAGATTCCCTTTCTGTGGTTTCAGTTACCCGCAGCTCACTGCAGTCTGAAAATATTAAATTGAAAATTCCAGATGTAAACAATTTGTAAGTTTAAAATCACTACCCTTCTGAGTAGTGTGACAACATCTGCTGCCATCTTACTCCTTCCCCTTCCAACCACATGAATCCTCCCTCTGTCCAAGAGATCTCACTGTAGATGCTCTCCAATTGTCAGTCACTTAGGAGCCTTCTCGGTTATCCATCAGATGGACCATCGTGGTATCACAGTACTTGTGTTTCAGTAACCCCTATTTTATTTAATGACGTCTCCAAAGCAAAAGAGTAGTAATGCTAGCCGGGCACGGCGGCTCACGCCTGTAATCCTAGCACTTTGGGAGGCCGAGGCAGGCGGATCACGAGATCAGGAGATGGAGACCATCCTGGCTAACACGGTGAAACCCCGTCTCTACTAAAAATGTATTCTAACAAATAAGTGCCTACTCCCAGAAATGTAAAGCAATATACATTTCAGAGTAAATGATAACTATACTATGCTAATGGAGTTGAAAGGTGAAAAAAGTATATGAGCTTCTCAAAATAAGTAGGTGTAGCATTCAATAAATTTCAATATTTAACTTATGACAGAAACTCCTAGTTGGTTTTCAGCTCAAAGGGTAATTCGTTAATCATCTTAAGGGCATCAAGAATGAAATGTCTTAGACATTGCATTATAGAGACTAAATAAAAGAAATGGTGCAAAAAAATAGAAATTGTTCTTATTTATGGTGTTATAAATATCTCAGTAAAACATCAGAAAAAAATTAAACTATTAAAATTATTTTTTAAGATTATCAAGTTTTTTAGATTCAAGATCCACATAAGAATCAATAGTATTTCTATATTTCAATAACAAATAGGATATATAGTAGAAATAACAATGCTGTATTTATAAAAATAACAAAACTTTAAGGTCCCCAGAAATAAAGCTGAAAAAGAAGATATATAAGAACTTAATGGAGAAAATTACCAACAATTATTGAAAATATAAAAGAAGTTTTGCACAAAGAAGTATCTATGCTATATCCAGGGGATGGAAGAAGCCAACTTTAAAATACAATTTTTCCCAAATTAATTTATGAACCTAGAAGTAATTTAAAGATAGTTATTTTAATGATTTTGATATATTGATACTAATGTGCATTTGGAAGAATAGGGGTAATAAATAATACATTTTAAAGGAAATATAGGAGGTGTCAAAGGAGGTAAACGTTTTAAAAAACCATTTTAAAGATAATATGGAAAGCCATAGCTTTATCAAAGCATAATATTGGCAGAGGGAAGGGCAAGTAGACCAATAATATTGATAGTAACTCTATATAATGTTTATATATGTGAGAGGTAACATTACCAATTAGTGGGGAAGAGCCGCTAAGTTCAAATAGAAGTTGTCCCAATCACTGGAAAAAACTAAATCTCTACTTCATACCATAAACAAAAATAATTACAGGTTGCACATTGAGAAATATGTTTGAAAGTACAATTTGAAATCATAAAATATGTCAACAATATTTTTATAACATTGAGATTGGAAAAAAAATTCTTCAGGCAAGACTCAAGAAATATAAACCATAAGGAAAAGACAGAGAAATCTGGCTCAATTAAAGTGGAAACAACCGTCCTTCTATTATTGTAGATAGCATAAAACTTTAAACATACAATCGAACTCTATGAGAATATATTTGCCGTAGATTTAACAATAAATAATTAGTATTCAGATTTTATAATTAACATCTAAAAATAAAAAAAAACTTGAAAATGAACAAAATTTTATGAACTTTCTATTAATTTAATAGAATTTTTTTAAAATAAAATATACTAATAGATGCTGTTCTTAATAATTATAAAATTTAAACCACAAGTAGATAATATTTTACATCTTTGAATTAAAACTTACATACCTTCAAATGTTATTGCAAATGTGAAAAAATGGTACAATTCTTACTCCATTCACCAACTGGACCACAATGTGGAAATAGCTAATGCATTTTAAAATGAAAATACTTTTTACAACAAAATTATACTTTTAGGTAGACATGTCACATAAAAATGCAGAAAAGAAAATATATGTTCCTGTATCATTTGTAATAGTGAGAAGCTGGAAAGTTTTCAAAATATTCATTAACTGAAGAATGAATAAATATGTATTATATTCATACAAAGAAACACTATAAAGTAAGCTAATGAATTACCATTATACATGAAATTGTAAGTAACTCAAGTTGAGCAAAAAATTTTACTTAAAAATCAGCTGCATTATGATTTGTACTATACAATGGCATTCTTACAAAGTTTTACAAATATAAATGTAGAAATACAAATTATCTGATAATATATGAACATGCATAGGCTTGATAAACTCCAAATTTACATATGGGTAACCTGTAGGTATTAGAGAGTAATATTCAATAGTCTTATCAAACATCTATAATATTCTATGTCATTCAAAAGATAAAGAGATTTTAGCAAAATATTAAAATCTGGTAAAGTTGTACATGGATATATAGATGATCTGTATATTTTTAAATGACCTCTTTATTTTTGAATAGATATAGATTTCCAAAAAAATTGCAAGATAGTACAGAGAATTCCTGAATGGCTCATACCATTTCATTTATTAATATCATCTTGCATTAGTATTGGAGATTTGTCACAATTAATTAACCAATATTGATACATTACTTTTAAATAAAATTGATTTTATTCAGATTTTCTAAGATTTTATCTTAAGTCCTTTTCCAGAATTGCATCCAGATTACAACATTACATTTAATTTTCAGGCCTCCTGAGGCTCCTCCTAGTTATGCCAGTTCCTTAGACTTTCCTTGTTTTTGATGATCTTGAGAGTTTTGAGGTACATTTATAGGAGATTTTGTATAATGTCACTGTATTGAAATTTGTCTGATGTGTACTCATAAGTAGCATGGTTATAGGTTTGGGAGAGGAAACTCACAGTGGTAAAGTACCATTCTCATTACATTATATCAAGGGTACATGCTATTAAAATGACATCACTGTTGATGTTAACTTGGTCATCTGGCTAAGCAAGTGTTTGTCAGGTTTCAATATTGTAAAATTATTATTATTTTTTTTTTTACCTATTCCAGTAGTCTGCTCTTTGAAATTTACTATATGTAGTCCACTGTGGAGATATGCCCCACCTCTTTGAGAGCAGAGGATCTACATTAGTTATTTGTAATTCTTTGGCAGGGCATATTTGTTTCTTCTTCCATTTATTTATTGGTTCAGTCTTTTATTTGTATGAATATGGATTTATAAATATTTATTTGTTTTACTTTGGGTTATAATGCAGTACTTGTTGGACTGATTTTTTTTCAAAAGGTTCTAGTTTTGGCCATTGAGAGCTCTTTCACTTTCACTGTGTCCTCTTTACATACCTTCATCATCTTGTGTTTTTGTGTGTGAGAGAGAGACTTTGTATTTTCTTCCTTGCTAAAGTTCTACAAAATAGTCCAGGTTCATCACATCATGTGCAAATGAAAACAGATTGATTGTCCTCTCTCACCACTCCTATTTAACATTGTGCTGAAAGTCCTTCTTAGTGCTGCAAACAAAGAAAAATAAAGATATTCATGAAAGAAAGAAAGAAAGAGAGAGAGAGAGGGGAGGGAGAGAGGGAGGGAAAGAAAGAAGAAAGAAAGAAAGAGAAAGGAAGAAAGAAAGAAAGAGAGAGAAAAAAGAAAGAAAGAAAGAAAAAAGAGAGAAAGAAAGAAAGAAATAAAGGAGGGAGGGAGGGAAGGAGGGAAAGAAGGAAGGAAGGAAGGAAGGAAAGAAAGAAAGAAAGAAAGAAAGAAAGAAAGAAAGAAAGAAAAGAAAGAGAAAAGGAAAGATGTTCATACTTACACATGATTTGTCCCATGGACTAAAGTCTATGTTAAACCAAAAAAAAACAAGAAAAAAAAAAAAGAAACATTCTCCAAAAATCCTGGAATTAATAGTTATTACAACAAAATTATGTTATGTATAGTTAATATATTAAAAAATTGTTTTCCTTTATATCAACAATAAACAAAATATTTTATTTAAAATAGAAAATACCTGACAATAGCAACAAAAAACAAGAAATAAAAAACAAACTACTCAGGTGTAAATCAAACAAAATATGTATATGCAGAAAACACTAAAACTCTGAGAAAAATTAAATAAATAGAATGAGAGATATTCTATGTTCATGGATTGGAAAACTTAGTGTTTGCCTATATCTTAGTTTGTTAGGGCTACTCTAAAAAAGTACCTTATACTCTGTGGCTTGCAAGCAATGACAATTTATTTTTTACAGTCAGGAGAATGGGAAGTCCAAGATTAGGTGCGGCAGATTTGGTTTCTGATGAGGATCTGCTTTCTGGCTCACAGATGGTGGCTTCATGCTGTTTCCTCACAGTGAAAGGGGCAAGGCAGGTCTCTGGAGTCTCTTCTGTAAGGGCACTAATCTCATGCATGAGGATTCTATTCTCATAACCTCATCACAGCCAAAAAGCCTCACTGTTTACTGTTATTATCTTGTGGATTAGAATTTAAACATATACATTTGGGGAGACACAACATTTAGACGAGAGCAACCCATATGATAAAGAATGACACACCTATGAAACTCAAAGGCAACAGTCATTTCAGATCACCCACTGAGCTCACTCAGCACTCAGTTTCTAATTATCTAGATTGAAAGTCCACAAGATGTCCCTGAGTAATTATGGGCATCAGCTTTTGTTTCATAGACAGCTGAGAATACTTATTTATTTTCAGTTATTAGGATTTCCCAGGTGGGTGTGGTTGTACAATGTATTCTAGAGCATGAGTGTTAGAAAGCAAAGTAAGACTAATTCTAATGAATATACTTACAGAAGTATTTATTCAGCAGTCTAAAAATTATTACTGAAAAAAATTCACACTTTGAGAAACACTTGTGTTTCAAAATGTTTAAATTTTTACAATTTAATAATAAAATAAAAAAACAAAATGAAAATAAGCAGAAAAATGGAACAGACACTTAATAAAATAAAACATATGGCTGGCCAATAAACTTATTAAAATGTTTTAGCATCATTATCTTCAGGGACATGGATGGTAAGATGTCCCTATTTTGAGCTGACTAGAAAGAGTTAACTTAAAATATTGAAAATGCCAAATTACCATGAACAACTTCAATTCTCATACTTTCATGGTAGGACTGTAAAATTGTATGATCACTTTAAGAAGATGCTTGGCAGTTTCGTGTAGAGTTTAACGAGACCTACCCACCCTATGATCTGTAAGCCTTAAAATCTGCTTTCTTATTGTATGTAAGATGTACCTCAATTAAACAAAACATAGTGGGAGAGGCAAAAGGAAGAAATCTCTCCAAAACATCTGGTCTAATTTTTCTTATAATTTAATTACATTATTTTAAACTCACATTCTTATTAATGAAAACATACATGGAATAATGTATGTAAGAAGTTTTTGCTTATTAATGAATACACAGTAAATATTAGCCTTGATTATTTAAAACATTTGATTCAAAAATAAAAATTTCTTATAAACCTTCTTAATTCACAAAATTTAAGCCTACATTATGCATATTATACTTAGAAAGCAGTAGTTTGTTAATGAACATGTACAGTATCAATAGCTTTGAGTCTCCACTTACTTAAAATTCATTTAAAAATAATAGTAATAAATTCCTTGCAGATCTGATTTCTAAGTGAATTGTTTATTCCAGTTCTCCTAAGTGTGAAGGAAATAATGTTTGTAGAAGCTTTAATTATTTAAGCAGTGCATAGTTTTCAAGCATAGAGATAATACCTTGAGTGCTACAGAGTTGAGTTATAGAAGGATTTACTTTATTATTGTAGTAAAAATAATCTCATCCATTTATATGTGACTAAACAATTTACTCTAGCTTTTTCTACACAATGTTAAATATTTAAACAAAAAGGAAGAAAATAATTCTAAATATATAATTTCCATATACAAATGTCCCTTTGTCTCTAAATATTTTATGATCTTATAAACTATGAGAAAAATAATTTTCTATATATTGTTTTACACATTTTCAATAGCATGTATGAAGGGATGGAAGATTAACATCTCACAGGGAGGTCCTGAGAGGATGTGGCTATTTCTCTTCTGTTTATTCAATACATAATAGTTGAGCAAGTAATGCTGTCAAGGGCTAAACTGTGTGCAGTAAATATAGAGCAGGGCTCTGGAATGTTGATCCTTTAAAAGAAATCTTGTATACGTAAAACAAGAAAGGAATCCTGTAAAAAAATTAGAGCACCACAATATGGTATCAATAAAGTATAAGATAATGATAGTAAGGTAGGGCATAGGAGAGATTGGTTAATTTTAGGGAAAAGGAGTTGGTGAAAGTAAACTCTATGAAAAGGAAGAACAGATAATTTATTTCAAACTAGGAAATGTTATCTAACATTGAAATAAAGTGCTGGGTTTACAGGTGTGAGACGCCCAAAGTGCTGGGATATAGGTGTGAGACAACCAGCCGTCACCTCCATCTTTAATCCAACAAGTCACCACTATTCATGCTAGGGAATATAGGGATAGAGTCCCTGAAATCGAGACACTTATACACTGATATGATAGATTGTGACTGCCCTGAGGACAAGGACTCTTTTCTGCTTCTGTTTTTCCTCTGCAAGTAGCTCTTCAGTGCTGCTGTCATATTTCTAGTTTAAACTACCATTCTATTTTGCCATGATTACTGTAATTGACAGTAATTGGTCTTCTCCCTTGTTTTCTGCTTCATTTTCTATTGATGCTGTTACAAATTGCCACAAATTTAGTGGTTTAAAACAACAGCCACTTATTATCTCATAATTCTGTAGGTCAGAAGTACAGGCCGACTTAACTGGTTTCTTTGCTGAGTCTCAAAGGCAGAAACTAAGGTGTCAGTCAAGCTGTGCTCTTACCTGGAGGCTTTGGGGAAGAATCCACTTTAAACCTCATTGAGGTTGTTGGCATAATTAAGTTTGATGTGGCGTAGGAGTGACTGTTAGCTGGAGAAAGCCACTCTGAATTTTAGAGACTTACTTGTATTCCCTCTGAAATGGTCCCCTCCTTTATTTATTTATTTATTTATTTATTTTTGAGACAGGATCTCACACTTGTCCAGGCTGGAGTGTAGCGGAATGACCTCAGCTCACTGAAGCCTCTACCTGCTGGGCTCAAGTGATCCTCCTGCCTCAACCTCCCAAAGTGCTGGGATTGCAGGCGTGAGCCACCACGTCTGGCCGTCCCCTCCATCTTAGCTGGATAAAGGCACTCTCAGTTCTAGAGGCCTATTTGTATTCCTTCCGAATGGTCCCCTCCTTTTTTTTTTTTTTTTTTTGAGACAGGGTCTCACTCTGTTGTCCAGGCTGGAGTGCAGTTGTGCCATTTTCAGCTGGCTGAAGCCTCTACCTACTGAGCTCAAGTAATCCTCCTGCCCCAGCACGGGCCAACCCACCTGGCAAATTTTTTGTATTTTTGGTGGAGACAGGGTTTCGCCATATTGCCCAGGCTGGTCTTGAACTCCTGGGCTCAAGTGATCCTCCTGCCTTGGCCTCCCAAAGTGCTGGGTTTATAGGTGTGAGACGCCCAGCTGTCACCTCCATCTTTAATTCAACAAGTCACCTAAATCCTTCACTAACTTTGCATCCTGTGACTGCATTTTTGTGAGGAACCATAGAGAAATGTCTTTTTAAAGGGCTCATGTGAATAAATTAGTTCCTCCCAGATAGAAACTGTCCCTAATTTAATGAGAATATAGTAGTAAAGTCAATTACAAGTGGAAAATCTATATTGCCATGTAAAAACATAATCATGGTACTTAATGGCCGGAGGTAGAGGTCATGGAGAACTATCTAGAATTCTGCTTTACCATTTCTCTAATATTCTTTTCTCTCTCCTACACTATTTACTATTTACACAGCAGCCAATATTGTAACTTTATAACATGAAACATATACGACTCTCCCACTTTAAATCCATTGGACCAGTTTTCGATTTATTGTCTCTTGACTCTAAAACCATTATACTTTTTCTCTAATCACTAAAAAAAAAATAATCTGATAAACTTAGGCTTGTAGCTGGTACACATTGTACACTTTGTCAGATGACAACCTTCCTAAGTTCAGGTTTGATCATCTGTACAATTTTCTGCCACATGGTCATTTTGTGACATAAATGAGTTTCTCTCTCTCCAAGTATACACACACATACTTACATATGCATACACACACACATATATATATACACACACACATATACATATATATAAACTACCAAAGGCCATGACTTAATGTACACATTCAATAAAGGTACATCCAAATCATCCAATCCTATTCCCCATTTTGTTTGTCTACTTAGACCAGATAATGCTGGCTGCTTATCTTTTTATATTTTGCTCAAATGTCTATGTAGAATAACCTGTCTAGATAGCAGGTATGACACTAGGAAACGGCAGATATTCATTGCAGCAAACACACAGGAATCCCTCTCTGAAGCACTGTTCTAAGTTCCATGAAAAGCACAAAGATAACACAAACTGTAGACTGTGTCCTTCAGGAGTTTGGTCTCTGATGGTAGAAAAGCAATTAGAAATGTCACGAAATAGAATTGACATCTCTGCTATAAACAGAACTCAGGTCGAGTTTCAGGGATTGGGTATGTCTGTCTCCAAAAGGCGACTTCTCAGATTCGGCCATTTATTTAATTTTGAATTGTGGTGGAAGAAATTTTCTGAAATGAGATTTATTAGATATGTAATAGAATAAGGAAAGTAGTATGAATATGCCCTACTATTTCCAAAAAGAAAAGTGATACATGAGCTTAAACCACCATTGTAGATAGTCATTGGAAAATGATGATTCTAATTCATTAAATATGTTTTTCATAATTGCTATTTAGTTAACGACTGCAGTTAAACAAGACGCTATCATAAGATACTCTATGTTAGATGCTTATTTAAAACATATGTTTTAGACTAAGCAATTATAAAACACACTATTCATCACATAAACTTAAATAAATAGATTCTCAATCATTCACTTTTACATAATTAACAAACATTATTACATTAGTAAGCCTATACTCTAAGGTGAAGTTCATAAAAAGAAGGAACAAAAATTGTGTTCAGCTTCCCAGCTGTTATTTATATTTCCAGATTTTGGTCATCGAATTCGACATAAAATAGGATAAACTCCCTTGTGATTGACAAATTTGAGTCGAGTAAAAGAACAAAACTTATTCACAACAGTAGCTCTTAGAAGAGACGCTAAATAGCAACATGTGATCCTGAGACTTAGTCTATAGATATTTACTTCTCTTGCCCTTTCTGTTCATCTTTAAACTTAAACTTGAGGAATAAAAATGCAATCAAGCTTGGCCCATGCATGTAATTATTTGGAAGGCAAAATTTGATCACAATTTCACTTTAGCTTATATCTATCTAAGTGACAAGTAGACTCCTTACCCTCTGCCTATCCCATTTGGCCCTGAACATGATCACCATATTAGTTGCTACCTTAAAAAAAAAAGTGGTAATATTACAGTGGTTAAATATTTTGAAGCCTTCAGAGGTTGATTATAATCTGTAGCAAATTTCTCTTGTGATAATGTGTAGTAATATTGAAAGAGAACCAACCTTCCCTATCTGCTAAGGTCACTATGTACTTCTCTGTGTTTTCCTAGGATCTCAGTGTAGCCCTATATTCACAATGACCATTACATTATGATTGCATCGTTATGTATTTATACTGCCTACTAAATTATAAGTCCAAGAACCATGTTTTATTTACATATATAATTTCAGCATCTTATAGTGCATTGTTGGAATTCTAGCAGGTGCTGAATAAATGTTGATTGAATGAATCACTGAATGAAGCATGTGGTGTTCTGATTTGGAAATTAAATTGCAAATCATTTAAACTGGTTGTGTCTGACTTTCAGCATCTATTAAAGAAGGTAGTTAAATCAGTAAACTACAGTTCAAAGTATCTAGAGTGAGATAATTTAATCAAGAACGTAATTTTATTAATTCTCTGGCCTTAAATTCTCCATGTCTGCATTTTATTTATTCATATATCTAGTGTATTGCATTCTGAGCTTTCTTATATTATGTCATATAATCAAAAGATGGTGTCTGGATTTTCAGTATTGGAGATTTTCCTGAAGTAGGATCTTTGGTTCAGAAAAATTAAAATGATCCAGGGTGTTTTGATGAGGAATGTATTAGGCTGATTGGGAATTTCTGTTGTTTTAATTGAAAGCTTTACAGAGAATTGTTAGGGTTTTTTTCTAGTTGTTTATCAGGGTTGGCAAGTTTAGAATGGATACAGTAACTTAGGGGAGAATTCCTTCTAGAAATAAAGATTACATTTCACTGGAGAAACCATTGTCTTGCATTCTTGGGAACTTGAAAGTAACTTGGTGATCACATCACTTTCATGTTTAAACTATTATTATTATTGTAATTATTGATGAGAATACAAGGAATGGCAACATAACATCTTGGTCTATACCATTGTACTCTATGACCTAAATAGCTCCTTCACTTTTCTGCTTCCAGATTTACCTCAATTAAATTCATGCTCAATATCGCTATTAGACAAATTTTTGCAGTTACTTTCTTAGGAAACCTCAATGGCTTTCTATTAACTAAAAGATTGATTCAAAACTTCTCTGCTGACTTTTAACACCTTCTGTATCTAATCCTGCTCAATCAACCCAATTGCTGATTTCCCACAAAATGCCAGTACACACCATTTGCTTGAGCAAGCTTAATTATGGTTATCTTGAGTCTTCCCTCAACCCTTCAATTAATCTCTTTAGTTCCTTAAGTATTCTTTTTTTCCTCCCTTCGACATAGTAAACTTTTACCAAGCCCATTTAATTAGCCTGTTCAACTTACAGTCTTCATTTAAATAGACTCACGCAGACATACAAGCACATGGAAATTAAAAAGAATGAAAGCCCTAAAGATGTTTTAGTATTTTTTTTCCATTTGGGGTAAATGGAAATCAAAATTTTAAATAGTTATACGTTGGTATCAATGACTTTATTCCTCATCATAATCATCAGAGCCAACATTTATTTTGCGCTCTCCACATTTCGAGTTCTGATGCCTTACACATATACTATCTTACTTAATCTTCCCACCTTGTCTATGAGGAAAATAATATTACTATATTTATTTTATAGATAGAAAATATAAGGGTGAGAGAATGTTCTTTTCTTGCTCAGGGACACACAGCCAATAAGGAATACACATGGCTTCAAATTAAAGAACAGTTGTACTCTACTGCCTAGCTTTATAAAATCAACTGTATAGGCACATTTTATTACTGAAAAATAAAACTGAGGTATTCTGAGGACATCCTGGACAGTAAGCTACCCTTGTTGGTATGTGTTGCTAGATGAAGATGAAAAAGCATAAAACTGGTAGTTCTCCTCCTCTTTGGGTGGGACACAATGATCATTTTATATTGTTTTATAAAAATGAGTTATTCTGGACTACCTTTTAAATTTTTCTAAGTTTATGGTGTTACCATTATTATTGCCCTCTGAATTTTCTCCTGTGGGTTTCATTAGTCTTTTAATGTGACTCAGCTATTAAACCATGATTTGTTTTTGGTTAATTCTACTTTCACATGCAATCAAACTTATTATCCCAAGACACATTTCTAAGAAATATGCTTTTGGAAAAAAAAATAGGTTCATGAGATTTTGAGATAGATCAGTTTTGAATTCCATTTAAAGGTTTAGTGGAGAGAAGCTGCATTTTATGGTGGGAAGAACTCAAGACATGGAATTGATTAATGTGAATTTAAATCCTGTATGTATTCTCAGGTCATTTGTGGAAATTTACCTTATCTCTTTGGTTTTTATTTACCTCACTTACAAACTGTAGATAACACTATACCATATAAGACTTTCAATTGTTAAAAGAAGTGTGAAATAGCATAAATAAACGTTCAGGCATGTAGTGACAATAAATGATAGCTATTTTGATTAGTATTATTGTTATTGTTCTTATTAAAATTATTCTTATTTCTAAAATTCCCAGAGGCATCACTTTAACAAGCTGGACTTATTCTGTTTATGTACCTTGTAAACACATCTGCAGCATGTATTGAAAGGATCCAACGAATGAGCCCCGATACCTTGAAAATGTATAACATTAGTAATTATCATCTGGACCCTGAAACATATTTTTATGGCAAAATCAGACTCCCTAAGGGAATGCCATCCCTAATTGTTGATTTGATTAATTTTGCAATTTTTTCAACTGGACCTAATTTAAAAATATATTTCCAATATGGTTTCATTTGGACAGCTAATCTTTTAACTTATCATGAACACTTATCTCTTTTGTTCTTTGTTTTTTTTGGAAACTACCTTGCTCCATTGCCCACGCTGGAGTGCAGTGATGCTATCATGGCTTATTGCAGCCTTGACCTCCTAGGCTCAAGGGATCCTCCCTCTTAAGCTCCCAGAGTAGCTGGGACTATAGGTGTGTGCCACCATACCAGGCTATTTTTTTTTATTATTTTTTGTACAGATGGAGTCTCACTATGTTGTCCAGGTGGGTCTCCAACTTCTGGTCTCAAATGATCCTTCTGCCTTGGCCTCCCAGTGTTGGAATTACAGGTGTGAGCCACCACACCTGGCCCACACTTATGTCTTTATTTGTGCTGTAGTTATCTCAGTAACCTATTAGCAACATTTTGCCTCCTTCACAGAATTGTCTCTTCCTACTGCCAACCATAACTTCCTCATAGGAGCTGCTTTGTTCATGCTGGAGTCACTTTCCTTTGAGTTAAATTTTATAGGTACATTATCAATCTCTAAGCCAATCAATCTCTTCCCTGGGCAAACTGAAGCAGTGTCTGGGCAGGTGTCAAAACTATCTGTCTGTCTGTCTGTCTATCTATCTACATATTTCCCACGCAAAGGACGTTAGTCTACAAAAAGAGAAAAAGTCTAGCACAGAAACATAGAAAGGTGAAAATTCTGATGGCATTTCAATTCTTCAGAGCAATATTCTTTTAAGTTGAAGTGACGTATTGGCCTTCCTGGACTTTTGCTATTGAACTCTGCCTCGGATTCTGCAAAAACTCAGTATTCTGATTCTATAGGGTTGCTTTTCTCTCATTTTAGACTTTATTTTTGTTTTAGTCTAATTGAATTGATTTTTTTTTTACCTGAAATAGTCCTGTTTTAAAATGTATGCTTAAATAGAGCACTATATTTTTTGTTTAATCAAGCCCCAGGTATTAAGTGTTTAGTAAAAGTTTGTTAAATTGAAGTTTATCAAATTGATTGGATTTAAGATTATTGGACTGATTGAGGTTGCAGGGACTGAGGAAAAAGAAGACCCCACAGTTTTCTTTGATTCATTAATTTCTTTTATTTCCAAAATAACCTTAACAGAAAAGGAAATTACAAGCCTGTACAGAAAGATACTTGGCTATTTTTACTGGATTGTATAGCTATAGCTCAGCAGTAAAAAGCAGTCTTTCAATCTATTAAGGAAAATAATATATATATAAAAGACCTGTTGGAACCCAAGCAGTTATACAAAACAGAAATTGACTTGGCCCAGTCCACAGAAATCCTGTTGCTTTTATTGGAAATGGTTTCCCTTTTAGTAAGTGTTTTTTTTTTCAGTTGCCCAGCCTGGAACTGTAGCTACAGACCCTTGGTTGAGAAAATGGTCACACAGAGACACTGCCAGGGAATCTTGCCTAAAAGGGAATTCTGGGGAGGAAAGCATGGGTATCTCGCAGTGGGATTGTTGATATAAGAATCCACGTTCATTGCTTTATACTGTTAGCGGTTGAAAGCTTTTCTTCTTATGAAAATCCATCCACTCTGAGCCTAGTATCTTTCTTTCTCTTTCACAATGTTACTGCTAGAAAAAAGAAACAAACCCAGAATGTTGGCTTCTTTTCAGATATATTCTGGTGAGCTACTCTACTCAGTGAACTAGTTTCAATGATAACCCACCCCTGGACCATGAATGGCAATTCAGCAACTGGTCACTTTGAATTATTCATGAAACAGTCAACCTTGACATTCTGAACATTGTGTTTGAGGATAGAAGAACTTGAACAAGAGACCCACAATGGTCATTATTAAGAAGCAATAACTGCTATTCAGATGATTACTAGCACCCAGAAAGAGTAATCAAGTCTAAAATGGAACTACTTTACATTTGAAAGAGTTCCATACAAATGTCTTTGCGAAATATAACTACTTTAGGTGGTATTTATTTTTCATCCTTTTCAATTTATTAGGTATTTTACAGTAGATTTTCTTATCATATTACCTTCCAGGCAGATCTTTGGGCTGCAGTCACAGATGTATTTTAGAAGCAGTATATTGAATGAGGGATGTGTAAACAACTCCTAATTGTCCTACAAGGACATTTGTGACTTTTTTCTCCATGTACTTTATTCATAGAGTTTCAAATAAAAGGGAGAAATGAGAGAGGGCTGCTACATGAAGGAGAGCAGTATTCTTAGCAAAAAAAAAAAAAAATCTCTAAATTGCTGAGTTAGAGACATTTCAGCAGATTACTAAGGACATCTGGGCTCAGCAGCATACATATCTTGATAACACTGGATTGCATGAATTATAATCTTAATGACTGTGGCTTGAATTAAGCACATACACAATCTCTTACAAATTTCAAGGTCCCCTCGTAATTTACTCATACAACCATTTCAGGATGTGATGACTTTGATTAGATGCCAGGTTGTATCAAATAGGATAATCCAGGGGCCAAAGTGTTAAATACGCTATGTAAATTTAACCTAGATTATGGTCAAATTTAGGTACCCAATCAAATCTACTACATTTCTACTGTTGTCTGAAAAACAATAAGCTTAATTCTTTGAGGCAGCTCTGGTGCATGTTTAATGCAGCTCTAGAATGTGTTTTTAAAAACTATAAAAATCTTTGTTTGGATTTAATGGTTTTATACTAGAATGCAAAGCAAGCCTTATGAAAACAGTATACATGACCATTGTTAAAGATACCTGATTACCTTAATGTTCACATTCATCAAGACACATGATAATATTGTTAAATCAAACTAAATATGATCTGAGAAGGACTTCATACTTCAATATTTGAGTCTTTGTGGATGAACTGTAACCTAGCTTCATAGGCAGAAGAGATCGAAAACCTAATTTAGGAGTATGTGCTGTAACAATAGCTACATCTTGCCCCATCCCAGCAGCCATACTTCAACCACTCATCTACTGCTAACTGTTCAAACTCTGTTCAAATAAGGCAAATGCCAACCTGTAACCAATCCAGCTGTTTCTGTACCTCACTGTCAATTTCTGTATGTCACTTCCCTTTTTATGTCTGCAAATTTGTTCTGACCACAAGGTATCCTCGGGTTCTCTCAGAATCTGCTGTGATTCTGGGGGTTGCCCAGTTTGCGAATTGCTCATTGCTCGATAAAACTTCTTTAAATTTAATTTGCCTGGAGTTTTTCTCTCAACAGAATGGATTAATTTAATGTGCATATCAGGATGGCCTCTATTACCATGATTATCTTACAGTCTTTGATTCTGGGAGATTTCAAAAAATTTCTGAAGATCACCACCACTTAGGAGATATTTATGATTTTCTACCACTAAAAATAATTTCCCTTTAATTTATGTTTCAAGGTTTTATTAAAACATATATGCTGGAATTGGGAGCACTTTAAGCAGTTATCAATCAGATAGTTTAATTAAAATTAATTCCAGAACTTTCAATAAAAGCGAATGTTTATTGTGGAAACCATGGAAAAATCTTAATGAGAGAGGAAAAGGAAATTTCAATTAGAGAGAAAACGGTCAAGATAAAGATAGAAGAGATTAGGAAAATGTCCTAAATCACAATTGTTCCTTCTTTGAAACTACACAAAAGTGCTTATAAGTCTATTGGGTTTGCTTTTCTATTTTATTTTAAATAATAGGTTTATAATGGTTTGATTCTTTTGTTGTTTTTTGAGACAGGGTCTCACTCTGTCGCCCAGGCTGGAGTATAGTGGTGTGATCTCGGCTTATTGCAACCTCTGCCTCCCGGGTTCAAGCGATTCTTCTGCCTCAGCCTCCTGAGTAGTTGGGAGTACGGATGTGTGTCACCACGCTGGGCTATTTTTTTTCTATTTTTAGTAGAGATGAGGTTTCACTGTATTGGACAGGCTGGTCTCGAACTCCTGGCCTCATGTGATCCACCCGCCTCGGTATCCCAACGTGCTGGGATTACAGGCTTGAGCCACCACGCCCGCCCAATAGTAGATTTATAAAGGTGAAAATAAATGAGGAAGAACACCTCATTGGTAAAAAGGAAGCACAATAATGTGTTACTCTCCTAGAGATAGGAAGCTGAAAACATAATCTTTTACTCATTGACTTAACCTGGCCTAAAAGACTCTTCCTGATCTGCATGTCACTTTACTCCACAGAGCTTATCTTCCACCACTCTTTCCTTATCCATTTTCCAGCCACATTTTCCATCTTCCACTCCTTCTAGAATGTGCTCTAGAATCATTCTCACTTATAGGACTTTTATAGGAGTTACTTTGACCATCTGCTGCAAAAATTGTAACCCCATCATTAAGGCTGATCCTTTTCAGCATTTAGATATCATATCAAATATTTCCCTAGAGACATCTTTTTTTGACTACTTTGATTTAAAAAAAAATCCAATTCTTTATTTTCAAATGACTTATTTTATATCTTTAGAAATGGTACCATTCCTTTGAAATTAATGACTGATTTATATAAAGCAGGTAAACATCACAAATGTATGAACATTTCCTTGTCTATTAATATATTTCTAGTATCTAGAAAAGTGGCTGACAAATATCAGGGACTCAATAAATGTTTGATAATGGAGACATGATTATATTCAGATCCATGACTCTATGATTAGATGTTAAAAAATTTTGGAAGTGTTTGTTGTGGTTAGCATTAACTGTTTACCTTGGTCTATTTATTTAATCATTACTTATTCTTAAAATGTTTTCCTGAACTAACTTAGCATTGTAAACAGGACTGCATTCTCTAAGCTGTGGAGAGCCATAGAAATATTTTAATAAAGTAATGTAGTAGTTTGTCATATATGTATATACATACACACATATATGTGTGTGTATGTTTGTGTTGTGTGTGTATGTGTTTCTTAGTAGATAATTCTGATATCTGAAAAGAGAGGGAGTTTAAAGCAGGAAAGTCCAACCACTGTGGTAGTTTCAGCGACAGATGATAAAAGTAGGAAGTGAACAGATCTCAGATATTCTTTAGAGGTAAAGCTATCAGGACTTGCTAAATGATAGAAAGAGATTTTATGGATGGCTCTTAGGATTTGGATGACAGCCATTGTTGGTGTCACGAATTGATTAAATGAATGCAAGTAGTATGTATGAATTTAGTCTTTGACAAGTTGAGTTTAGGCCCTTTGGAACATCCATATGGAGATGTCCACGAGACAGTTGGAAACAGTTGTTTGAAGCTCAGGAGAACTGCCTTTATGAGAAGATGTATATTTGGAAGTAATTAGTTACTGTAAGAATATAATGAACAGAGAAAGAAGAATACACAGAGACAGAGAAGGGAAGTGAAGAGAGATATTAAATAAAACAATGTGAATAATTTCCAAAAAGATGACTTTATTAATGTTATCAAATGTAGTAAATGAAAGTGAAGTGTGATTAAGAGTGAAAAACTATTAGAGTATATAAACATGCAATTCCTAGTTGCATGTTTATACAGAATCAAGAATTTACTACAAAATATACTAGTATGAGGCATTTTACAGAATACTCTTTTCCCAGACTCTTGGGAAAAAAATCCTTCTGTGCTTTTTCATTTCCCATACAAGGTATGATAACTTAGAATGAGTGTTCTGCAGTTATTCTGTTCCATGTTCTTCTTACCAGTTCAAAGTAATTAACAGATATTGCTGTAATTAATGAGAACACATTGTGCAGGTGGGAGAATATTAGATAGAAATAGAACATGAATCAATGAAATCTGAAAACACTGATAGATGTTCATCAATTGCTAAGGAAACTTTAGTTTCAGTACTCATGGCAATGAAACAGGAATATTATCTATGCACAAGGCAGCTAGGATCTATCTCAGAAATGGAAATATTGTGCCTGGGAAAGGATGAGCAACAGGCTAAGACTGTGAATATCAGGATCTTCCAAACAGCATAACCCAACAGCTACCCAATATGATGCTGATTGTGTTACCAGAACAGGGTCCTGATCCAGATCCTGAGAGAGGGTTCTTGGATCTCACCCAAGAAGGAATTCAAAGTGAGTCCATAGAATAAAGTGAAAGCAAGTTTATTAGGAAAGTAAAGGAATAAAAGAATGGCTACTCCATAGGCAGATCAGCCCCAAGGGCTGCTGGTTGTTGATTTTTATGGTTATTTCTTGATTATGTGCTAAAGAAGGGGTGGATTATTTCATGCCTCCCCTTTTTAGACCACAGAGGGTAACTTCCTGACATTGCCATGGTATTCGTAAACTGTCATAGCACTGGTGGGAGTGTAGCAGAGAGGATGACCAGAGGCACTCTCGTCGCCATCTTGGTATTAGTGGGTTTTGGCCAGCTTCTCTACTGGAACCTGTTTTGTCAGCCAGTCTTTATGACCTGCATCTTGTGGCGACCTCCTAGCTCATCCTGTGACTTACCTAGCTCATCCTGTGACTTAGACTGTGTAACTGGGAATGCATGCAGCCCAGTAGGTCTCAGCCTTATTTTATCCAGCCCCTATTTAAGATGGAGTTGCTCTGGTTCAAACACCTCTGACAATTCCATCTTCAGTAATGTGCATCACTGTGTTGAATACAGAGATCTCATTTACTTGGTCACCTCAAGACAAAATCTCTTCAGTGTTCCCAATAGTAAAATAATTCTTCATGCCGCTATTTAAAACTAGCCAGGAAATTCTTCTAGATCTACTATCCTTCCCATTGTATTTGGTTGTCCACCCAAAACAAACAATGTTATCCTATAAAACTCATCAAGTCAAAAGTGTTTTGAAAAGAAAAGGTAAATCCAATACCAACAAGTAGCAAAACATAATAAAGGGTAGAAATCAACAGAATAGAAAATAAAAATAAAGGAAATCCACAAACTGGGTATCTGTAACTGGATATAAACATGCCCTTCAAAGTTGTCTTTTCTTTGAGTCTTTTGTTTCACCTGTGTTTTCTATGTCTGTGACATTTTTGCTATTCCTACATTCCCTTTTTCACCAAAGCCTAAAATTAGTTCATCCTTTCGCTCACCATCAACATATGATCAGTTACCAAATCCTGTAGCTACTACCTCCTTAATAACTCTTTTACCAGTGACCACTCAGCTTCCATTGACAGCATTTTAGTGGAATCCAGCTCCTTCTGCTCCTAGATTATTACAATGGCTTTTTGCTATCTATTCTCCTTGCTCCAAGAAAGTTCTAAAATGAATCCATAATTCACATTGCTTTCAGAATAATCTTTTCAAAATGAAAAATCTGATCTTACTTCTTTCCTGCTTAGAATCCTGCAGTGATTCTCTAGGATATTAAGTGTATATTTCAAACTCTTTAGCTGAATACATGGTGCCATTTCTAACGTGGAATCTGCGTGTTTTTTGAACTCATATCCTTCTAGTATTTATTTAAATCTTCCCTCTGGAATCTTGAGTCACCGATTTTAGATTAAAGCTATACATTTCTTTGTAAGCATCATTTTAGTTGCAACCTGAAAAACTGAATATGCTGTATTTTATCATTTAGTTAATAGCAGTTTCTAATCCTTGTGTAATTTCTTCTTTATGCCATAGATTATAACTATTCTGCATAATTTTCAAATATTTGTATTTTTCTAAATATTTTATTATTTGTGATCCCATTCCATTTATAATAGAGAACTTATTCTATATGATTCTAACGTTTTGAAATATCTTGAAAATATTTTTATGGACCAGCATATAATTTATCTTGATAAATCTACCATATGTACTTGCAAAAAATGTGTACTTCGTAATTGTTGTGAGTATTGCTTTTGGAATATCAGTAAGGTCAAGGTAGTGGGATAACGTTGTTCCGATTTCTATGTCTTTACTTTTTAAAAAAATAAAAGTCTAGGACGGGCGCCATGGCTCTAGCCTGTAATCCCAGCACTTTTGGAGGCCGAGGCGGGTGGATCACAAGGTCAGGAGATCAAGACCATCCTGGCTAACACGGTGAAACCCCGTGTCTACCAAAAAAATACAAAAAATTAGCCGGCGTGGTGGCGGGAGCCTGCATTCCCAGCTACTCGGGAGACTGAGGCAGGAGAATGGCGTGAACCCAGGAGGCGGAGCTTGCAGTGAGCAGAGATCTTGCCACTGCACTCCAGCCTGGGCGACAGAGCAAGACTCCGTCTCAAATAACTAACTAACTAAATAAATAAATACAAAAATGTCTAGTTCTATCAATTGCTGAAAGATGTATTAGCATTGTTAACCATGTTTGTGAAATTGGCTCTTCTTTATTTTGCAAATTTTTTCTTCATGATTTTAAAGTTCTGCTATCAGGTAAATATAGATTTATGATTGGTTTTTGTTCTTGACAAACTGACTGTTTTATCAGTAATAAATGTCTATGCTCTAAATCTATTTTATATATTAATATAGCTAGCCACTTCAGCTTTCTAATTCATACTGTCTGTGTGATACATACTGTATCCATTCATTTAATAGCTCTCATGCATAGAGTTTAGTGTTGATTTTTTAAATCAGTTCTGACATTCTTAATTTTTTTATTGAAATGAATTTATTAACATTTAACTTAATTATCAATATAATTGGATTTAGCTCTAACTTACTACATTTGTTTTCTGTTTGTCCCTCTTCCATTTTTTTTGTCCTTTTCCTTCAAAACAAGCAATATTCTCCTATAAAACTCATCCAACATTGAAAAGTTGAGTAGGAATTGCTTTGAAAAATGACTAAATCTAGGCCAAACAAGAAGGAAACAAATAATAAAGAGCAGAAATCAACAGAATAGAAAATAAAAATAAAGAAAATCCACAAACTAGTTATCTGTAACTGTTTATAAACATGCCCCTCAAAGTTGTCTTTTCCTTGAGTCTCTTATTTCACCTGTGTTTTCTATATCAGTTTTTGTCCTTCTATCTCTCATTTCCTGGCTTCTTTTCTGTTATTTGGATTTTATTCATATTTCATTTTAGTTTATATATTAGATTGCTAATTTTTACATTTTTAAGTGATACTTAAGGAATAACACAACTTAAACTTTTAGTCTGCTTAGAGTTAATATTTTATCAGTTCATGCAAAATGCAGAAATCTTGTAACTCTTTAGGACCCTTGATCTTTATGCTCTTGGGTCATTTGTATTATATATACATATAATTATAAATTTATATTATATTAAGTAGCCATATACATTTTTAAACTGAGGGAAAAAATAGTATCTTATATTTATGTAATATTTATCATTTCTGACATTCTTCATTTCTTCCTGAGGATACAAATTTCCACATCCTATCAGATCCCCTCACGCTGAAGAATGTCTTTTAACATTTCTTGTATTGAAGATCTCCAGATGATACATTCACTTATTTTTCTTTTATCTGAAAATGTCACACCATCCGTTTTGAAAGATATTTATGCAGATATGGAATTCTGGCTTAGCAGTGTTTGAGTTTTAGAACTTTAAAGATACGTATTGCTGTATTCCCATTTTTATTGTTTCTAGTTAGTCTTTGGCCATTCACATAATTTTCTCCCTCTATGTAAGTTATTGTTTTTCTTAGGCTGCTAGCGAGATTTTTCTCTGGTTCTCAACAGTTGGCTATGGAATACTTAGTTATGGTTTTCCTCATATTTATCCTTCTTGAATTTTACTGAGGCTCTTGACTGCAAATTTATGTTTCTCACCGGATTTCAGAAAATTTCAGGCCATAATATATGTTTATATTATTCAGGCAATAAATATATATTTTGATCTATTGTCTATCAACTCTGGGATTCTAATCACACACATGTAAGACTTTCTTTTAATGTTCTGTTATCCCACCGGTCCCTGAAGCTCTCTTCACTATTCCTTTTATTCCTTCTTTCTTTTTCAGATGAGATATGTTCTATTAATCTATCTTTTTAGTTAGTGATTCTTTTAAAAGTCCTCACTATTTTTCTGCTAAGACCATCCTGTGCACTTTTAATGTCAAATGCTGCATTTTTCAGTTTTAAAATTTCCATTTGCATCTTTTCATTGTTTCTGTCTTGCTTTTGAGGTCTTCTATCTTTTTATTCATTATAAGTTTATTTCCTCCTTTCAAATCTAGTTATATCTGCTTTAAAGTCCTAGTCTAAAAGTTCTGTCATCTGAGTTATCCATTGTTTGTTGATTATTTTTTCTTGAGAATAGGTCACATTTTCCAAGTTGCTTGTATGCTTAATAGTTTTGAATTATATTCCAGAATTTTAAATATTATATTATTAAGACTCTAGATTCCATATTATTCCTTGAGAATGTTGGTATTTGTCTTGTGGTACACAATCAATAATGTTTGATTCAATTTGAAAACCTCAGCTTTTGGATACAAAGGATTTGCATTTAGTAATTCGGATTTAATATGGTTGCTAGCAATTTGTCTCACCTTTGTGCATTTCTGGTTTCAACCAGAGGTTTGAGAAGAGTTTACACATAGAATCTGGCGATCTCTTTCTCTGGTCCTGTATCCTTCAGGATTAGCCCTTCATATTCTAATGACTGTGGTTGCCTTAAATTATGACTTCTGGTACTTTAGGCCAGAAAGGCTGTGTATTTTCTTTCTGAATTTCCGCCAGCAATTAGGGAGCTAACTATATCTTGCCCTCTAGCTCAAAAAGCCACAAGAATGAGTAATTCATTCTACCTACTCTCTTTTTCTGGAGTTAGACTCTCCATCAGAAGATGTCCCTGATTTTGCACATACTTCAGAGACCCTCGGTAGGTTGTTTTTATTTTTGTGTGTGTATGTGTTTAAATTTTGTTTGTTTTGTTTTTTGGTTTAACATTTATAGGAATCTATTTAATTATATCAATAGCACAACACAGATATTCAATTTGTATTTTGTCGTACACTTTAGCAACAAGAGAAAGAAGCCTAGAGTTAGATATAAAATTCATTCCAATCACCAGTTGCTATTAAGTTAGATGTGAGAATTTTCAGATGCTACCTGGGGTCAAATAAGACTCTACTTTCAATTTTGAACCTAACTTCTGGTTTCGAAGCTTGTAATCAAAATATGACTGTTAAAATATGTTTTAAAAAAGTGATTTTTTTCTGGAAATTATTACACAATTTTATAATCTTCTTTTACATACTTAGATATGTTTATGTAAAAAAACCCTTTTGTTTGACAGTTATTTGCAATCGCATAGGTATCCCACCAAGGTACTGACTTTTATTTACCTTATATAAAGAGCAACTTTTTATTATATTTAGCATTTATATTAATGAAATAAGACCTGCCTTGTGAGAGAATCATTCCGTGAAACATAGCCTCAGTATAATAACCTGGTAGCTATCCAAGGGATTGGGGGGAGAATGATTAACATGGAAATGGGAAACGCTGATAGCATCTTCTTTAGACTCTAAGCTTATTAAATGGTGAAATTGTAGCTTCACTATTTTCATCTCTAGCATCTAGTTCCATGAAATGTGTACACTGCATTGGGTAAATTTTGAGAAAGCAAAATCTCATGAAGAACAATTTTTGTTTATTAAATAATAATTTCTTGATTCAGTCTGAAACACTTTATTTTATACCAGGGTTTGAAATTTAATAATAACTATAGTCAGGTAAGTGAATTTGTTTGACTGTAAGTGACATTTTCTACAAAATGCCAATAATGTTAGCTCACTAAGTGTACAAGTAATATAAGATAATGTAGGTGAAATTGTTTTTGAAGTATCAAATTGCTAACAAATGGTAGGCACGATATCTGTGTATGACACAGTATGCTAGGTTGTCTAGATAACACAAAGTAGTCAAGATAATGTTCATTGCAACACAGAAGTTGCACACAAGACTTGGATGAAAATGTAAGCCTATAAATATTTATTGAACTTCTACCTATGCCTGTGAGACTCACGTGTCCAAGTGAATTGTCTGTGATTGAAGATCCGAGTAACATTCCTATGAGGTGATATCTACAATCTCTAGAATATAAAATTTGTGATGTATTTTTTGCCTTTTGGAGCTTCATGCTTTGCTGTTCCCTTCCTTTCTTGGCTTTCAAATACTCAAGGAAACTGAATATACAAAATATTTTATATACATTTATATGGTTACTCTAATGTGTGTATATATTTACCCATTTATTACTTATATATTAAAGATTATTTTTAAGATGTTAAAAAAAGCAATCCATTTCATGGGAGAACATAACAGTCCTCTCTCAGGCTCTTGTTGTGTCGTACTCTTAGAGAATAAAGTAAAATATGGCTAGTGCCTTGCAATTGTACTAAGGATTTCCAGGGGTACAAACCTCTTACTATGATTCTCAAGCAAGGTCTCCATGCTTGAGTTCTCCATTAACTTTCCTTCTCCATTATGTACTTCCATATGTGGGCAAAACTAAACTCTGTCTGAGAATCCTTTAAAAAGTGACTTGAGATTCCTGTTTTAAAGCAATAAATTTTGTTTTTCTGATTCTAAGTTACAAGTAAACAACTTAGAAATTAGAGTTTAGAATTTAGTTCCAAAAATATCTTCTCTGTGAGTCTTGCTCCTTTTCTTTCCTATTTAAAGACCTAGCTAAGTAATTTTCTTTAAACAAATCAAACACTACGTAGTCCTAACTACATGTTTAACTACAGCAGTGGACTTGGTGAACATGCTGTTTTTAAGTGGATTCTGTTCTAAGGATTTCAGTGTAACTGATGCATTATTACCAGAACATTTGCTTACCTCTTTTTCTTAACTACAGCTTGAGGGAGAAAATATGTTTGTTTCTTTATTCTTTTTTTTTTGTTAGCTCCCCATATACTAACAACCCACCATACCAGGACACAGGCTTCTGTCTTAAGTGCACTGGCTTCTTAGGCCTTTTCAGCCTGTCCTCTGGAAATGGTTTGGATCCCTGTGTCTTGAAGATTAATTCCAATTTTCACGTTGATGAAAAGGTCTTCCAGTTTCATTGTGACCTTTATATCATTGAATAGACATCTCATTGCTAAAGTAAATTTATACATAATATATCTCAGCTTTAAGATTCTTGGATTTTAATTAGAGGATGAAACATAAATCAGAATTCAGGCTACAGTGGTTACACAGGGCTGTCCTTTTGTTTGTTTCTTATTAGACTAACAATGCCAATCACAGCTTGCAAACATAAATACTCTACACCATATTCCTGTTCATTCTTGAGAAATACTTTGTACAATGTTCTCTTTTGTATCAGCTAAAGGAGACATTTTCAGCATTGAGGCATTCTGGAGCAAAATGTATATTAAAGTGTCCCACTAAAAATAAGTTCAAAATGTCTTACCTGTCTGGCTTCCTCTTTTCCTCCTTCCATTTTTAATATACAGAATGATGAGTAAAGGAAAAAAACATGAATTGTGGTATGTATGTTTTTACTCACTGTATTTTAGGGATGTTAAAAATCTGCTTGGCTTTTGTAACACATTTAATTGCTCATCTATACGTGTGTGTGTGTGTACATATATAAATATATATATATGAAAACATGTTTAAATGTATAGTTTCTAAGTTTAGTGATGTATTATAATGGTGTGTTTTTGGAAAACAAAAAAAAAGAGTATATTTTTGGAAAATATGCCGAGGTTTAATGGTATATTTTTGGAAAACCAGGGAAAATATGAAACACCTGCTACTATACCAGCCTGTTTACATGTTCAGATCTATTCTTAGGCAGCTAGAGAACCACCAAATGCAGTAGTGTACAAAGAACCACAATGCATTTAGAATTAGCCACAAAACAAATAGGACATCCACCCATCCAGGCAAAAAAAAAAAAAAAAAAAAAAATTGATCTGCTGTGGCAAAAAGGAAAATGTTCTGTGACAATATGAAATTCCAAGGCATAATTAGTGTCAACATGCCCATGATTTCCTGCCAGCCAAGTAAAAATGTCAAAAGTATCTTCCTTTAAATAATGCATTCTATTTTGTTTTATTGAAATTGATCCTGAAATGTATAGCTGACAAAGTCTCACTGTATTGTTAATACAGATTACCTTTGGGGAGAGGAGTGAAGGAATGGAGAAAAGCAAAGGGTAATTTTCACACATTTCTGTGTGTTTTAGAATTTTTAAATTTATTGAGAACTTAGACACATGTAACTATTGTAAAAAGAAAGAATAGATAGATAGATAGATAGATAGATAGATATAGATTTGAATGAACATATTAGAAAAGGGAATTCTAGTTAATTATTTAAATCACTTTTTTTTCTAATACTCTTCCCATGTGCAAGGGAATGTGATTGGCATCAGTAATCCATTATTTTTTTAAAAAATACCCAGGAAAGCCTGAATAGAGGTATTCATAAATGTTTAGGGAGCACAGAGGAGAAAGATACACAGGGAGCTGAAATGCCAGGAGGAGGCAATGACAACTGCTAGCTTGCTGAGCACCATGGAAAAAAACAACACAGCTGGGTTGAATGCAAAGGAGCACAATCCAGACAAAGAGAAAAGCGTGTGTAAAGCATGTATTGGAAAACATTATGGGGACTTTTCAAGACCATATTGGCAGGGCTCGGTGGCTCACACCTGTAATCCCAGCACTTTTGGAGGCCGAAGCTGGCGATCACTTGAGGTCAGGAGTTTGAGACCAGCCTAGCCAACATGGTGAAACCCTGACTCTACTAAAAAATATAAAAATTAGCCCAGTGTGGTGGTGGGCTCCTGTAGTCCCATCTATCAGGAGGCTGAAGCAGGTGAATCTCTTGAACCCGGGAGGTAGAGGCTGCAGTGAGCCAACGTCACGCCACTGCACTCCAGCCTTGCTGACAGAACAAGACTCCATTAAAAAAAAAAAAAAAAAAAAAAAAAAAGATCATATTGCCCATCCAAGAGGAAACTAAGAAAGTATATTTTCAGGAAAGTGACATGGAATGAAACTACATGCACACACCAGAGTCTTTGCACATTAACTAGGGATCTAATATTAATTCTGGGCCAGGAAGTGAGGGCTTGGAAAAAACAATAAGCAGAAGACTAAAAAATCAGATGTACATTTCATGGTGCCTGAGGATCACAGCCTACTGACCCCCCAGTATTTATCTGTACTTCATCTGATGCCAAAACCATTGATATTTTGACTAATTGTGATGCAACTACCTGGCAGAGATTACCAGTGTCCTGTTTCTCATCTGCAAAGGATTGTTCTTTAGTCCTTTAAATATACCAGCAATTTAAACGCAGCATCTCATCCTGAGTGTCTGGTGCCTGTGTCTACTTATAAATCTAGCAGGGAAGAGATTGCTCAATCAAAGGGATCTATTTCTTTTTTTTTTTTTTTTTTTTGAGATGGAGTCTCACTCTGTTGCCCAGGCTGGAGTGCAACGGCACTATCTCGGCTCACTGCAACTTCCCCCTCCCAGGTTCAAGTGATTCTTCTGCCTCAGCATCCAGAGTAGCTGGGACTACAGGAGTGCACCACCACGCCTGGCTAATTTTTGTATTTTTAGTAGAGACGGGGTTTCACCATGTTGGCCAGGCTGGTCTGGAACTTCTGACCTCATGATCTGCCCATATTGGCCTCCCAAAGTGCAAGGATTACAGGCGTGAGCCACCGTGCTCAGCCAAAGGGAACTATTTAAAAAGATATGAGCAGGCTTAATAGAAATAGTAGTGAAGCATCCTAGGTCTGAGAACAGTGGACAGCAGTTACAACTCCTGGGTCTAAAAAAAGAAGGGAAAAGATAATAATGATAACCCAGAACAAGTACCAACAGGAAAATGTCCCCTTAGAAGCTTTGGTCTTTGACAGAGACACAGCCAACTTGCTGTGATTTTGCAGGGAGGGAGGGAGGGTAGTAAGTACTAGATTTCTCTCCCGTCCTCTGAATTCCTGTGGGTGCCAACCCTTCACTAGCCTCAAGTCAGAGGCAGGATGCTCTTTCGTGAGCTGACCAGCCACCTGGGACATCAATGTGAAAAGGGTGGAGCTAATTTGGAAGCAAGAATGAAGACTATGAATCACAGTACACCTCTTTGTATCACAAGGAAGTTTTCATAAAATGATGGTTCTATAGTATGTTAATAATTTAAGAATATTCAAGTAGTCAAGTAAAATTATATTCAATGCAGTTAAGAAAGATGTCCATACAGCTGAGTGACTCAGATCTTTATATGCTGATATGCAACGTACTCCTTCAGGGGGGAATAGAATACACAGTGTTCTTAAATGTTTCTGAATGTTAAGCTCCTCTTCAGAGTTTAGGTTGGAGGATTAATTGGAAGCTGTGAGGCTATTCCTATGATATATTAAACATTTGACCAATTCCAGAAAAAGAAGTCGTTCAAATAAATCTTTACCTTATTTCTTCTGACTGACCCAACGTGTTAACTGACTTTAAGGATTCATCTCCGATGTCTCTCATGTTTAAGAAAGTCAACTTTTTCTGTTAGTTTGCCTCTTTCATCACAGAGCTATTTCCATGATCAGAGTTCCTTGGTTCGCGGGCAATATTAAAATTTTATCCCAAACTATATATGTGTACATCATTTCCCAATAAGATCTGAAATAATATTTATAAAAACTCCAAAATTATAGAGATGTCTTTTTCAATAACTAAATCCTTTTGGCTTGGGGCTAGGGTTAGACAATCTTTTCCTTGATTTCTCTACTGTTAATATTGTATCTTTTAATAGAAAACTCACTTTGACATTTTAACTGCAAATGAGCTGCCTAAGAACCAATATCATGGTTTCATCTTCTGGTCATGGATGTGGAATGCCGTAGGTACCTCCTAATGATTAGTTATCCAAATCTCAAGTGTATGTTGTCTTGCCTATTATTTTTTCCAATGTTTACCTTGAAACCATTCCATGTATTTTTAATGTTCTTAAGTGAGGAATATGTATAATCACTGTACTTTTCATTGCAGTTTGTACCTTTGAATAGTAGAAGAGAAACTGGACTGAAAACTAGGAGGTTTTCATTAGTTATAGTTTCAGATAAGTGGCAAATCAATACATCGTATTATGGCAAGATATTTTGGAAATTTGAATAAAATATCTATTTTGACACTATAATTTTTTTTTTTTTTTTTTGAGATGGAGTCTTGCTCTGTTGCCCAGGCTGGAGTGCAGTGGCGCGATCTTGGCTCACTGCAAGTTCCACCTCCCGGGTTCCCACCATTCTCCTGTCTCAGCCTCCGAGTAGCTGGGACTACAGGTGCCCGCCACCACGCCTGGCTAATTTTTTTATATTTTTAATGGAGACGGAGTTTTACCATGTTAGCCAGGATGGTCTCAATCTCCTGACCTTGTGATCTGCCTACCTTGGCCTCCCAAAGAGCTGGGATTACAGGCGTGAGCCACCGCGCCCAGCCTCGACACTATAAATTTTAAAAAAATGAGTGGGTCTATTTAATCTGTGATGGGCACACTTACTTTTTGCAGATGAAGCTTCATTTGAGATCTTGAGATCACTTTCGGGTATGCAGAGGAATTAGAGTATTCTATTTCTTATTCCCCTACATTTTTCGCCTTTCTCTCATTCACTGCATGATATGATTGACTTAAATAGAAACAACAAACAGTCATAGAATTTTGCTGTAAATTCTTTATTCTGACAATAATTATGTGTGTTTTGAGTCTACTGATTTTTCTCTTCCTTTCCTAATATGGTAACTTATTTAAATACAAAATATGGATTACAGACCATAGACTATTTATTTTGAATTTTTCAGGGCATAATATAGTTTTTGGCAAACAGAGAATTCACTGGATGAAAAAAATAGTTTGTTAGGGTTTATAACATTGTCCCCTCTGTCATGTGTTAAAAAAGAAAGAAAATGCTACTAAACAGGGAAAAATAGTCCAGTATCACTCACTGTATGTAACATTTCCGTATTCAATATTTTACCCCCCAAATTATGAACTTTAGCAGTGAATGGAAGGAGAATGTTTAAATTGTTCAAGAGATAGTATATTATTAAAAAGGATGGCATCTGTCACTAAAACTGATTACTTAATAAAAATATCAATGGTAATGAATAAAAAGACTCTCCAAAACTAAACTACTGAGTTGCAAATCCTTATTTGAATATTTGGAGCTCGAGTCAATGATGAGAGGAATCATGATATTGGCATGTTATATGCTGAGAGATTTTAACATGATTCATAGTAGAATGCAGTGCCCCAGATGATGAAATGATTTTTTGCTAAACATTAATTTTGACATAAATTCATTTGAGGGATATTTTAATAATTAATTAATAAAACAAAACATTTCATAGTCATATTTTCTGTTAGTTTTTGCTTAAGAATATTTTGCATCAAAAATCTGTGCTTGAAGATAATTACAGTAAAGTGTTAAAAATTTATATGTAAGCATGTGAGTGCATACATGTGTAGTAAAAATGTAAACTGCTTCTACCCAGTGTAAATCAATCATTCATTTATGCTAAAATTGCTGGTATGCTTTTTGTGTGAAAATGAATAAGCCATTCTTGATTTGGTGTTATAATGTATTCATCTCTTGTGGGTAATAGTCTACTCTCTTTATAAAAGAGTGCTTCATAGTACATCAAAAATTGCAACAGAAGCTCTTTCTCTTGCCATTTCTATTCTAGAAAGAAAATCATAAAACTAAAGTGATCTGTAGGCACTCGATGTCCATGTGCGACCAGAGGCAAGAGCATCACCTTGATTCATATTTAACTCATATTATGTAATGGGAAATACTAATGGAATAAGAATAGTTGTTTGGTAGATTCTTCAATTTAGACTGATGATACTAATGTGCAGGCACACACATAACTTTCATATCTAGTGAATTAATTCTTAATAAGAAAAGATTGATCAAAATGTTTCCACAAGATGTTGCAACATCTTTTCTAAGAGTAGATATGGTTGTAAATAATGGTGATCTTTGGAATCAGACAAATGTTTGTTATAATATAGATTTTTATAATATTTATACATTAGCTTAATTATAACATAAACAACCATCTATAAATGCTTGCTTGCTGTATTAATCAGGGTTGTCCAGAGAGACAGAACCAATAGATTATTATATATATCATACATAATCTCCAGCTTGCAGAAGGTCTGTCATGGAACTGACCACTGTATATATATAATCTATATATCTATATGTAGATAGATACACACACATATATATGTGTACATATACATATATATTTTATAATATATAATATACACACATACATATATATGTATATATACATATATATCTATATGTATGTATATATGTGTGTATATATATATGTATATGTGTGTGTGTATCTATATACCTACATATAGGTATACAGATTATATACATATAGCGGTCTGTTCCATGACAGACCTTCTGCAAGCTGGAGACCCTGGGATGCCTGTAGCATGGCCTCAGAATCAGAGAAGCCAATAGGGTAATTCTCAGTCCAAGTTCAAAGGCCTAAGAATGCAAGGGGCCACTGGCATAAGACCCAGAGTCCCAAGGCAGAGGGCCTGGAGTTCTGATGCCCCCAAGCAGGAGGAAAAGAGTGTCTCAGCTCCAGAAGACAGAGAGAGAGAGAGAGAGAGAGAGAGAAATGACCTTTTTCTGCCTTTTTTGTGCTATCCATGCCCCCAGCCAATTGGGTGGTGCCTGCCCACACTGAGGGAGGATATTTCCTACTCAGTCCACTGACTCCTGTGCCAATTTTCTCTGGAAACGCCCTCACAGAAACACTCGGAACTGATGCTCTACCAGTTCTCTAGGTAATCTTTAATCCAGTCGAGTTGACACCTAAAATTAACCATCACATTTGCCATATGTTCAATAATAAATTAAAGGTCTTGTGAACGTTATCACATAAAATCCTCAAAGGAACATTTTGAGGCCTTTCACAGATCATAAAAATGAGACAGAGAAGTATTATGTATTAGACTGTTATTGAGGAAAAAAATTAAAGTTAAACCCAGGTCAGTCCAACTGCAAAGTCTGTACTCCCCACTCTTGTGTCCTACATGCTTTCAAATTACATAAAAATTTTGAGTTTGTTTTCTCATCTGTAAAATGGGAATACCATTTCTTCCATGCAAGGCTCATGTCAGGATTAGAAAGCATACATATAAAATCCTTGGCATAGTATCTGACACATAATTATCTGTAAAACTAAATTGCAACTGCTATTACTTCTACAGATTTTGAAAAGACATTTCATTGTAAATGATTAACATGTATGATTATTATGATTCTTTTGTGATAGCTGAATTGCCAATTTATGGTTCTTCATATTGAATGTACCATTCCTCACAGCGTTAGTAATGGCTGTTTGCCTTGTTCTCTCTCTCTGCAGGTAAAAGCAAACAGTTGAGGTTTGTTCTTCCTGCAGAAAAATGGTAATATAATTAACTGAGATAATTAGTGATGTAAAAATAATAAATAGAATAACAGATTGACTATTAAATTTGCATAAAATATAAATAAATTATAATATGTCCGTTGTAATTTTTTTTCATCACAAACTTTCTTTTTCCTTGATATTGGAATGGGAATATCTAAAACAAAAGTGGTTCCGAATAGCAGAAAATAATTGGCCAATAACAATGGCTAACATTTACTAAGTGCTTATTCAGTGCCAGATTCTGTTCTAAGAACTTTTTATATGTAAACTATTTTAGAAATCATGGAAATCCTATGAAATAGGTATGTAATTACCATCTTTTAATGTATGAGAAAACTGAGGGGCATGTAAGATAAATATTAGCCGGGCATGGTGACTTATGCCTGTAATGAGAGCAATATGGCCGGACCCCGGCTCCACCAAAAAAAAAAAAAGCTAAATACTTGTTTCAAGGTTACACAAAAGATCAGGCAGAGGCTGTGTGGCCAAAGAGTTCATACTTAAAAGCAAGACACAATCGAGTATGTATATTATATTGTTTTCTTGTGTTCGTGTATACTGTCCCTCTAGTATTTAGGCACGATGACTTTAATTAAGGCTAGTTGGTAAAATATAGCACAAAGGAATAAAACACTGACTTTTGGTATTTAAAAATGCGTAAAATGCCAGTGTTCACAAACATTAGCCATGTGACTTGAGGCTAGGCACAGCTTCTCTGACTCTCAGTCTCTGTCCTGTAAGCTGGCATGACACTATTTGTTTCTGTGGTTTGTAAAAATAATTTTCAAAGATGCCTATATTAAAGGCTGGCATAATTTGGCATGTAGAATATCCTTCACAAATGTTCAGTAAGTATGAAACTAGGAGGCATCTTGAATTTTCAGTTGTAAAATATTATTCTTTTAAAGCATTTATTGTGGTTTAATCTACCTAGTTTGTTAATTGTAAAATTAGTGAATACCTTTAAGATTTCAAAGTATTAATGAAAGATATAATAGAAACAACTTTATAATATAAGGTAACATAGCCCCCCAGGAAAATATTATAGAGGATTTGAATTCAATAAAGAAATAAATAACTTCTCTGAACTGGCTTTTCTCTTTCCTATTAAATATCAGAATAGATTTATTTTAAATTATATTTCTATTATTTAATGCTACATGGAGGTTTAAAATATAATGTTTTTTAAAAGAATGGTCACAATTCATTAAAAATACTTTTTTGCCATATGTAAAGTGCTTTCATACATGCGATCATAATTTGTTCTCTGTGAAAGGTAATCTGTGAGAAGTAATATTTCCCAATTTACAGGAAAAGCACTTGAACTTCACAGAAGCAAAGCCACCTGCTGCTAGCTACCAAGTACAGTAATCCAGGTTTAAATTCAAGATTGTCCACTGAAAGAAACTGCTGCCCAGCACCAGTACAGCTTTAGAAGCCCTGGATGATTCTCGCTGATCATCTGCTGCATAGCATCTGATTCATTAAAATAATATAGATCTAGTCTCGCATTTCAAGTAGCACAGTGATTTATAATCTATCATTAGCTAAATGTCCGACAGTGGTACTAAAAATTCATGTTGAGGCATTAACATGACTTCACAACTGGGCAATTGCATTAATGTTCAGGAACCAGAAACCAAAAGCTGCTTTCTAGTTAGTGCATCTGTTTTCAATTATGATGTTATCTGGAGGCCCAGTTCAAGCCAGTGTGCTGACCCTTTAAAAAAAAGCAAAAACAAAACAGTGCTGTAGGTACAGCTTTCTTGAGTTACTGCTTTCTGAAATAATTTTGCTTCTATTGTTGTATAAATTTGCAATTAATTGAAGAGTCTTAAACCATGTCTATGCAGTCAAACCACACTGATGAGAGACAAAGGGAACTTTCATTATTCCCAGACAGAATAACTAGTGCTTGCAGTGATGAATGATTTTGTACTAATTGCTATATTTGGCCAACATCAACAGAAGTTTTATTAAGTATGTATTAAATTTTATTTAACTGTAAGATCAACTATAAAGCTACCATATGCCCATTGGTCAGGAATGATATGTATGGAGCATACTGTCAGAATATGGGTTATGTAGCCTGTGTTAGGTTTCAGTGAGCTGCATGGTGGAATCAGGAATTTGTTGTGAAAATGTATGAAGTTGTGCAGAAGCACAGAAAACCCAACCTCCAAAAATTCTGGTCGCAAAGAGTTGGAACTTCGCTCGGGATATTAACATGTAGTGGATAAATACCTACGGAAGGGAAAACTTTACCTCTACCCTCTTAGGATCTCTGGCTGGGTCTGAGAACTAAATTCTTATAAGACAGATTAACATGAGAAAAGCATACAGATTTTCACATGTACATGAAAACCCACCTAGGAAAATGAAGACCCAATGGAGTGGCAATACTAAATATATGTATAGTAAATTGAACAAAGAATGGTAACTGTGGAAAAAGTAACTAAAGTAACTAAATTGGGAGGCTAAAGGCAGAGTTATTTTAACAAGGTCTGGCTGTACAGAATTTTCTAGGCCTTGACTGTCTATCTCTGGTGACAAGAATGTTTCTTCCCTCCTGTTATAGGGAGTGCATCTTTCACATGGGAGTTTTCTCTAGTCTCTAGTGATGAGAATGTTTCTTTCCTCCTGGTGCCAGAGCACAGTGTCCCTTACAATTGCTTTTGTTCAAGTGCCTTTAGCTCAAAATAATCTTCATGCCACACTTGCATATTTTTGTGTGCATATTCTACCACCTTCCGCTTACTCTTGAGGAGTAATTTTGAAGAGCCAGATACTCTTCAAGGTTTTTTGTCATTATATGTTAATTCTATCGACTCTAAAAGCAGACATTATCATACCCATGTTATATATGGTAGCACTCAGATTTAAGAGATTTAATAACATACACATTCTCTCTGACACATAGCTGGTAGGTGTCACAGCTGGAATTTGGACTTGGATTTGGGCAGGAATAAATTGATGGGGAGGAAGAAATAAAGCAAAACAAAACAATCCCATCATGTTGGTATTCTTTCTGTGCTTCTCCCCGGCCCCCAACACTATGTATTTTCTTGGCTTTCAATTTTTACAAGGAAAAATTGGTGATATTTGAATATAATGTAAATGCTCCAAGAATATCATAAAGATATTAACAGGAGGGATTCCATACTATATCAGCAAAGCCAAAAGAAATATTGGCATGAGCATGCAGTTTGGATTCTGAATTTTGCCTCTTACCAAATATATAATCTTTACCCACCTTTTTCAGACCCCCATTGTTTAATATCCCTATTCTCCTCACAGTAAATGTAAATAATGAAGCTAGTCTATTGATCTTCACATGTCTATTTTCTAGCATAATAGATGCTCTATAAATGTTCACTGAATCAATATATAAAGAGAAAATTGAATGTAAGGCTATGATTATTGATAAATAATTTTAAATAAGTTTAAGGCTCTGAGATTGTAGCATTCTTTGGCATGGTCCCAGCACTATGTCTAAGTTGTTTATAGTGTTTTGTTATAAGTCTGTGTGCTTCCTACCATAGAAAAAAAATGACCAAATATTGATGCAAATTTCTATTATACTTGACGTTTATGTATCGTAAAAATACTTAAAAACTACTAATTGTACTATAAGATTATATACTCCAGAAAATTCATACCTCACAAAGTCATTTACCAATAGGCATGCTTTTAGAATCTCTTAAGAATGTGTTCTCACTATTCTTTAGATATACTCATTTCATATTTTCTACATATATATTTATATGTGTGCGTATAATAGCATATATATTATTTACAAGAGAAATTTAAAAGTGGTTAAACTCTTTTACCTTGTTATAAGATGCTAGTCACAATACAAACAAATTTGCAGTTTAATCTATGGTATTTAATTCATATGAAAATTCAGTTTAAATTATTTAGATAAATTTGTTCTGATGAAAATATATCCAACTTGAAGAACATTTACACCAAATACTGGGGAAGAATACATTTTGCTTGTAATTAATTTACTTTAAATAAAGTTTTATTGTACAACCCAGACAATAATGTCTCAAAATAATACTTTTATTATTCTTGATGATCCATCATCACAATGATGCGTTTCTTATCGGTCAGTACTGAAAATCACTTTTCTTAGTTTGTACACTATGAGGATTTGAGTTCAAAGGTTATTGTTTAAATAGGTAGGATAGTTTATGTGGAACAGTTTTGCAAGTTTTCTCATAGTTTGCCATATAAAATAATCTATTACTTATTGTTAATGTTGAACACATCTCTAATTTTAAAGCAAAATAACACTCTTGCAGTGTTCTCATGGAAATTTTAGCTCCCTGCTCCCCACCCGAGGAAAATATACACACACAGATGTAACTACTTACCCACACATTTTCAAGTTTATAAGTATCCTTAAACTTATCCATGGATCTCAGGTAAATACTTGTTTTCAAGTAAATAATTAAAAGGATTTTGCTTCTGAACAAATATCTAGCATTGTGCTATGTAGTGAAATGGATCTGGGATAAATATGAGGGCTTATTCCTGCGGTTTTGGAGGTCATGGCTAGAGTTACATATAAATAATGCAAAAAAACAGCAGATAAAACTCATTTAGAGAGAAATATTAAAGATCAATAATACATTTGCAGGAAAAATATTGGTTAAATGAATGAGTGAATACATTAGTCAATAGGAAAGATCAAAAAGCAGAAAAATAAAAAATTCCTTATAGAAAAAGGAACGCATGACCAGTATTAAAAGATTCTCGGCCGGGCGCGGTGGCTCACGCCTGTAATCCCAGCACTTTGGGAGGCCGAGGCGGGCGGATCACGAGGTCAGGAGATCGAGACCATCCTGGCTAACACGGTGAAACCCCGTCTCTACTAAAAATACAAAAAAAAAATTAGCCGGGCGCGGTGGCGGGCGCCTGTAGTCCCAGCTACTCGGGAGGCTGAGGCAGGAGAATGGCGTGAACCCGGGAGGCGGAGCTTGCAGTGAGCCGAGATCGCGCCACTGCACTCCAGCCTGGGCGACAGAGCGAGACTCCGTCTCAAAAAAAAAAAAAAAAAAAAAAAAGATTCTCAACCTCAGTCATAATTAAAGAAATCAAAATATTACAAAAAGAGTCGCCATTTCTTTTCTATCCATTTGGCAAGGGTTAAAAAGTTTATTACCTGCTCAGGAGGAAATAGAAGAGCAATTTTATATAATATTAAAATTGTATAAAATTTGAAATTTAATTTTGTGTTAAATGTTGCATTAAAGTGTATATTGTATTGTATTAACATTTACCACTTCCTCTTTCTCTTTCCCTGTTTTTTCTTCCAACCTAATCCCTTATGATTAGTTAGTCCTATAGTTTTTAGGGAGACACTACAAGTTAGATGTTCACACAGGGGATGAGAGGCTGCTTTGGCTCAGCAAGAGGTGACAATCTAAGCAGGGTGAGGAGGACATCCCTACAGAAGAAGCAGTGGTGGCTGAGCTTTGCTTGGTGTCAAAACCCAAGTGAGGATGAGGAAGGCATCTGCGTGCAGGAAGGAGGGCAGTAAATATATCACGAATGATAGAGCCAGTGAAATATGTTACAAATACAGAAAGGGAGTAATATAAAAGGAAACATTGTGTTGGATAAGAACTGCTTGTATGTATAAAAATGCATAGTTTTCAATATACAGAGGTAGAGAAATAAATACAGTTGGGGAAACATAAAAATAAATGTCATGCAAAAGATTTAGGTAGAAATAGATAAGTTTATATGGACAAGCACATATAACATTGCTCTTCCCTTTAACAGGTCTGAGAAGCAGTGATACTTCAACAGCAATGATGATACCTAGCTCCACATTTTAGCTTTAAGGTACCAATCTCCACTAAAAGGTTCCAGGATTTTTTGGAGAAATTGCCTATTCCAGGAATGCAAAGGGAAAATGCAAAAGCTCAGGACTTTTTGGCTCAGAAAGCAAGGAACTGTTTAAGAAATAAGGGAAGCAAAGAAAGTGTGACAGGCTAAAACACTTACAGATTATAGCCTACTTTATTAGTTAGGGTTCTTCAAAGAGACAGAACCAATAAGGGAGAGAGAGAGAAAGTGGGAGGGAGAGATGATAGATAGATAGATAGATAGATAGATAGATAGATAGATAGATAGATAGATGATAGATAGACAGACAGACAGACAGATGAGAGAGTATTTATTTGGAGAACTGGTTTATGTTATCATGGAGGCTGAGAAGTCCATGATGGACCATCCACAAGCTGAAGATGCTGAGATGCTGATAGTGAGGCTCAGTCCAAGTCCAAAAGCCTTGGAACCAAGGAAGCCAATGGTGTAACTCTCAGTCTGAGACCTAAGGCCTGAGAACCCTGGGCAGTGGCTGGGGAGCGTATAAGTTCTGGAGTCCAGAAGTCAGGAGCCTAGAGTTGTCCAAGAACAGGAGAGGAAGAGCGTATCCAAGCTCCAGCAGATAGATAGACATGTTCATCTTTTCTCTCTTTGTTGTTGTTGTTGTTTGTTTGTTTGTTTTCTCCAGGTTCCCAGCAGATGGGATGTGCCCAATGACATGGAGAGTAGATTTTCTCCCACTTAGTCCACTCAGACTCACATACTAATCTCCTCTGGAAACACCCTCTCAGATACACTCCAAAATAATGCTTTATCAGGTTTCTAGGTATTCCTTAAACTAGTCAAGTTGGCACCTAAAATTAACCATCCCATCTACTAAATAAAATAAGAAACCCTGAACCCAATAAAATAAGTTATAAACTAACAGAAATATTGATGAGGAATAGAATAATTAAATGGTTTCAAAGGAACACATTTCAAAGTAGAAAAATCAAAGAAAAATAAAGGTACTATACAATGAAGAAGGCTGGAAAATCACTTAACAAATAATTAAAGTGGACATTATCAATAATTGCACAAATCAGAAATGTGAACCAATTGAAAGGAAACCATGAAAAGAAACTGCATGACCTACCAAAGGCACATGAACTAAATCTAATCATGAGAAAACTTCACACAAACTAAATTGAAGAACATTCCACAAAATACCAACTGTCCACTGTCTAAAGCATCAAGATCATAAAAGTCAAGAAAAACTAAGAAACTATTTGAGACTGGAGAAGACTAAGAAAGATACGAAATAAATGTAAATGTAATTTTGATCTGGATATTTTCATTGTATAAAGGAAATTAAAGAGACAGCAGTTAAAACTTGCAAAGAGTCTGAGATTTAGGGGGAAGAAATGTATCAATGCTACGTTCCTTTGTTTTCATGGTTTTACTCTGGTTATGTCTGAGAATGTCTTTGTAGGGAGCATATGCTATAATACACAGAGTGGTGAAGATCAGGAAACTAACTTACTCTCAATTTTAGAAAACAAGATTCTTTTATGTTCTTGCAATTTTTCTATACATTTGAGATTGCTTCAACATTTTGAAAAATAAAACAACTGTTTATACACTTCAACTTAGTAATATTACAGCAAATAATTTATACCAAATAAACACTGTCAATAGTGTTTAAGATTATACACACACATACAAATGCATACATATCATAACATTTGAGATTGCGATTTATGTGCTAGGTTGCAGAACTGTGTAAACTATAGTTTTTAAATAAAATTAGGGGCTGTAATACATCACAGCATAAAATATTAAATTTTTTTATAGTGACATATGATTACAAATAATTTTGAACTTTAAATTTTAGAGTATTTCTGTAAATGCCAATCATGTTTAAAATTACAACTAGCATTATACTTGTAAATTTAATATTATAAATACCTGCTTCTCCTTTTTTAAGGTGTAGTTTTTATCAGACCAACTCTCCCACCAGAAATAATTATATAAACATGGATAAAATTTTACAGTGGCTGTTTAAAAGCACCATAGAGCATTTGAGTCAGTTTGCACTTGTGGAGCTAAGAATAAAGTTGTAAATTACCAACTGCTTTGGAAAACTGAGAGTATCTACTAAACATGAAGGTATGCCTATTCTATTGCCTAGCAATTCTGCTGCTAGGATAAGGCGTACAGTAAAAATACTTGCCTATTGTGATAGTCCATTTTCACACTGCTGATAAAGACATACCGAGACTGGAAAGAAAAAAGAGATTTCATCGGACTTACAGTTCCACATGGCTGGAGAGGCCTCAGAATCATGATGAGAGGTGAAAGGCACTTCTTACATGGCAGGGGCAAGAGAAAATGAGGAAGAAGCAAAAGCAGAAACCCCTGATAAAACCATCAGCTCTCGTGAGACTTATTCGCTATCCCGAGAATAGCATGGGAAAGACCAGCCCCCATGATTCAATTACCTCCCCCTGGGTCCCTCCCACAACATATAGGAATTCAAGTTGAGATTTGGGTGGGGACACAGCCAAACCATATTACCTATGGATACCAAAGCTGTGTAAAAATAGTCGTACATGCATTATTCCTAATAGCAAAAACTCAGAAACAACTCAAATATTCCTCAGCAAAAATAGGTCATGCAATGCAATAATATAAAGCAATGAAAAACAATAAACCAAGATTTCCTGTTTCTGCTTAGGGTAGAAAGATGTGAAAAGAGTTGCTCCTATCTAAACAAAAAAGAAAAAGCTGAATAATAAAAAAAATCATAATTTTCATTAACCCATTAAGGAGCTGAAGTGGCAAGAAAAATCAGCAAGCCTGAAATCTAAAGAAAGAAAGATATTTCCATGCAGAAAAAGAGAGAGCACAGGATGAAGTCAGGCTTCCAGAAAAGCAGGTAAAAAAGAATTCAGCTACTTTTAAATGAATTCCTAAAGGCCAAATTATGAATGTGTAGACTCCCTGGCAGCTGCAGGTGTAAGGGAATTTGCACCTACTGGCAGGCTCTACTCCATGTAATTTCTTTTTCTTTCTTTTTTATTTTTATTTTTTCCTGAGACAGAATATCAGTCTGTCACCCAGGCTGGAGTGCAGTGGCACAATCTTGGCTCACGGTAGCTTCCACTTCCCTGGTTCTAGTGATTCTCATGCCTCAGCCTCCCAGGTAGCTGGTACCTCAGGTGTGTGCCACCACGCCTGGCTAATTGTTGTGTTTTTAGTAGAGATGAGGTTTCGCCATTTTGGCCAGGCTGGTCTTGAACTCTTGGCCTCTAATGATCCACCCACCTTGGCCTCCCAATGTGCCTGGATTACAGGTATGAGCCACTGTACCCGACCTTGCACATTTTTCTTTATTATCGTATGTCTAAATAAAATCATATTAAACATTAAATGTTAATAGTTAAACTGTTAAACTCATAGTGATAATAATGTTAAAATTATGTTATATAGTCACTCAAATAATTTTAATCAATGTTAAATGTTCAAATTTCCAGAAAGATTTGAAATAACTCACTGAAGAGAAAGAATTATGAAAATGCTCTCTCAAAACCACAACTGGTATTGCAAATTATATTCCTAAATCATCATCACTTGCATGTAATCAATATGATTTTAGTGAAAGAGGAAAACAGAGTTCAATAGAGTAAAAATCATAAGCTAAGATTTTTGTTAATGCCCAAATGTAATTGAGAAATAATCATTTGTATACTCAATACCTTAATCCCTATTGTAGACTTTTTTTTAAGCCATTAAGATAATTAAGTCTTAACCTGGTAGGGCCATAGTCTACTGCTAGATAAAAACATGCAAACAGTGGAAAAGAAGAACAAACAAGAATAGATAAATGGCTTTGTCATTTGTTTAATGAGATACACATGCTATACTTACTTCTTTTTTTTTTTTTTTTTTTTTTTTTTTTTTTGAGACAATGTTTTGTTCTGTTGTCCTGGCTGGAGTGCAGTGGTGAGATCAGAGCTCACTGCAGCCTCAACCTCCCAGGCACTAGCAATCCTCCCACCTCAGCCTCCCAAGTAGCTGGTACCACAGGAGCACACCACCACACCTGGCTAATTTTTGTATTTTTTTGTAGAGATAGGTTTTTGCCATGTTGTCCAGACTGATCTTCAACTCCAGGGCTCAAGCAATCCACCTACCTCAGCCTCCCAAAGTGCTAGGATTACAGGCATGAACATGCTACGCTATTTTTAAATTTAAAACAACTATTAAGTAATGTTGTTAATATAAATGAAAAAATGCTAGTGAAACTAGTGAATGCATCAGGCAAGTATATTGATATGTTTACTCATAGTATATTTACTAATATTAATGATGTTTGAAAAACAGCGTAATTCCAATTGTGCCTGTGAAATTCTGACATCAGCCTTGCTCTCCATGAGTCTTTTCCTGCGCATCATGTGTGAATCACCAAATTGAAATATAAGATTGTTTAACATTCACTACATCAAAACAACTTCCTTTCAGATTCTGTTGTAACATTTCACTATTCCCTTCCTCTATGAAAAAATATTACAATGCTTAATATTCAAAGCACAAAAGAGGGTGTATACTTCATGCTGTTTGTTTTCAATTTACACTTCACCATCACCTCAGCATATCCATGAACCTGTAAAACTGTTATTTTCAGCCATCTGGGAGAAAGTGTGAGTTCTTCTTGTAAAGTTGTTGCATTCAAAAAACAAGAAACTTTCCTGTAAATAATAAATCTTAAGGGATTGCACTAAGAGAATAGTAGATAACTGATTTTCCTTAAGCTGTAGTTGAAAACTTCCCGAGATGAACCAATTGATTTGGATACATGCTAAGGGCTATTTGAAATTGATTTGTCCATTCACTTTTAAATTGCCCTCTATCTTCCTATGATACAGTATTGCTGTGTGCCCACGATTTTGGCCAAATAGTAAAGATCTCTTTCCCCAGTAACACATTTTAGGCTGACTTTTCCCTCTATCTTCTACATTAAGTTAATATTGTGTTTTCTAAATATATTTAATTAAAAATAATTAATAAGTAATTATTAGTAAACATGCACAGAGATGGATTTTTTGTTTTCACATAACTTTTCATTAAAATAATATTTATTATGCTGTACTATATTATACTTAGTTCTATATGTTTGTATCCTCTTAGCCGTATTAATAATGCAGAGAGAAGAATCCTTTGCAACTTTTCTGTAATTTTGAAATACAAAATAAGTCTTTATCTGTTCCTGGACTCCATACTAACTTCTACCAGTTTTAATATCAGTCTTGCCACATATAATTTTATTTTTAAATTATGTTTTGTCATCCTAATACATCTTTACTTTACCCTCTACTACTTCACAACAACACTGAAAGTTCAATGATAACCTCTACTCATACATTAGGTCACACCATCCCCTACTATTTTCATTGAAAATATAAGATGATGTATAAAGATATAGTTACAGATATAAATATATAGTGAATAATGCCATTTAAAAGTATACATATTGGTCGGGCGCAGTAGCTCACACCTGTAATCCCAGCACTTTGGGAGGCTGAGGTGGGTGGATCACCTGAGGTCAGGAGTTCAACACCAGCCTAGCCAACATGGTGAAACCCCATCTCTACTTAAAAAAACAAAAACAAAAACAAACAAAAAAAAAAACGCCAGGCGCGGTGGCTCACGCCTTTAATCCCAGCACTTTGGGAGACCGAGGAGGGCAGATCACAAGGTCAGGAGATCGAGACCATCCTGGCTAACACGGTGAAACCCCATCTCTACTAAAAATACAAAAAATTAGCTGGGCGTGGTGGCGGGTGCCTGTAGTCCCAGCTACTCCGGAGGCTGAGGCAGGAGAATGGCGTGAACCTGGAAGGCGGAGCTTGCAGTGAGCCGAGATCACACCATTGCACTCCAGCCTGGGCAACAAAAGCAAAACTCCATTTCAAAACACACACACACACACACACACACACACAAAGTGTACATATTTTCTGTTTTCTGGGTATATTTTTTACAGAGTTGAATTCTTTAGATATTCTAGGATCTGTAATACTGAGTACTTCTGTTTCTGGATATGGCAAAGGAGTTTGTATTGGACCCAATCTTCTCTCCAAACATCCAAAAAGCTGTAAAAACAACAACAACAACAACAAACAGCAACAACAAAAAACAAACTTTAGACAAATTAAATTTAACAGAGTTCATTTGAGCTAGAAATGGTTTATGATCAGACCACACCCTGCCAATAGAGGTTTGGAGAGCTCCACCCAGTAAAATGAGTAGGCAGTATTTATACACACAAAAAAGGAAGTAAGGTACAGAAATAGGTTGATTGGTTACAGCTTAGCATTTGTTTTGTATAGACATAGTCTGGTCAGTTGGATGCCTTTGATTGGCAGAAGCTCAGCTGCTGTGATTGGCTGAACTCAGCAGTTTGTTACAAGAATATATTAAGTCAGGTGGCAACTTGTTTTCATACTGTTAGGAGGTAATTTGCTATGTAAAAATGCAAAGTACAGAGGCAGCTTTAGACTAAATTTAATTTAATTTAATGCAACTAAAAAATGTACAACAAACAAACAAAACCCATATATTTGAAGGTATTAGAAGAACACCAAGGAAGTCTGAATTTGAGGAGCCAAAATACTTAGAAGGATCTTAGGAAGCACAGTGAGGTGAAGTTACCTCCTCTATAACTTTCTGCTGAAAACATTTGATGATTTGCAGATATTAGCATTTAGGCTCAGCAGAAAGTAGCAACCTAGAGCATATTTTAGTCTCCTATGACTGGAGAGACCAAAAATTGAAACTTAGGAGTCAAGACCCTGGAGAAAAGAGACCAGGTATGTGAACCTATAATTCCATAAGATTTTGCTCCCGAAATGTTTGCTGAATCCTAAGGTTCCCAGAGGTAAGAAGCTGAGAAATCAAGCAGAAAGAAGTTGATAATTGCTAAAGAACTAAGCAGAATTTTTTTAGCAGTTTCATAATGCTGGACATTTAAAAATTGAAAATATGGTCTTGTCAAGAGTCAGGGGCCCTGGTTAATGATGCCCAGGCTTTCAATTGAGCCTGCTGAAGGATTATATCATTTTAATAAGTGTAAACTGGAAATACGCTGGTGCTCAAAGTGATCTGTCCCAGCTCTAACCCAGAAGACACTCCATAAAAAGAGAATTATGCGTAACCACTACAATTTTCCATGCACCATGTCTATCAGATAGTACACAGTATGCCAGTAAAGAAAATCTAATACACACAAAACCAAGAGAAGAAGTAGCCAATAACAATAGATCTACAGGTAATTCGGGTATTGGATTTTTCAGACACAAACTTTAAAATAATGATGACTAATTTTAATAACTGATTGATTTACCTGATTGGATATTCTATTTGGAATAACGGGGGACGGATGAATTTACATATATTAATTTGTTACAAGATGTGAAACTCTTGATCATTTTTACTTGTGCTACAAAATTTTATCTTTGCATTAATCTTCTAAGAGTTATCATTCATTTTTCTTTTATTAAAAAATGGGGAGATCAGGCTCAGAGAAGTTATATATGCCATATAACTTTAAAAATATACAACATATCTAATTCCACCTACCACAAAGACAATACTTACTTTAAAGAGATTTTTGAAAGAAGAAATTGATAGCATTCCCAAGGATTCTATAACATGAAAAAGTAGATGAGTGTCACTCTGACAAGGAAATGAATCAGACTTAGCATAATCAATGAAACAAAATCTATTTTTTAGCATTTACAAATGGGATCATAATGGGCCAACAGAGATTGGATAGTCTAATTCTACCTGTGAGAGAATGAAAGTCTGTTTAAAGGAGATTCTCTTTCATTTCTCATAATGTTCATCTCTTCCTTCTACACTGCAATCAGGCTAAAGAAAATGAGGTATTACCGAGATCTCTCTATATTAGCTCACAGAAACACACTCTGGGCAGAAACTCCCACAGCTGATTATCCCAAATGAGGAACGTAGACTACTTCTGCCCCCCTACCCCTGGATCTGACTACATATTGGTTTTGTCCCCAGTTCTTCTATTTGGGGGATAAAATGAAATTACGGTTTCACATACTATATAACTACCATAGAGCTACCACATGAATACATTGTGAACCCACTTTTTGGCTGATTTGTTCAGAAGTGAGGACCTAGTCTTAGAAGGACTGTCTATGACTTTGTAAATGAAATAAAAATAGAAATCCATTTCTTTGCAGCAAAATGGATGTTATGTTAACTCTAGAGTTTCTGGCAACCATTGTCTGCCACATAGTTTAATGAAAATATAAATAAACAAGGTTTCTAGGTAATGACAAAACTCTAGCTACGCTTCTGCCTGTGAGCCCTCCTTTTGAGTAGACTTCTACCTTGGCCTCTAAAGATTGAACAAACACTAACAGTTTCTCACAGTTCAAATTTGCAACATTAGGATGACCCTAGCCTTCCCCTTAATGTGACTGCCTGAGAAAACTCAAGGCTGCTGAAAAAACTTACTGTTTACTCCAGCCAATACTGAAAGATAAGGCCCCTATCTCCCAGTCATTTTGAGAGGAAAGAACCTAACTTTTATCACTGCAATTAACACATCCATTTAAGTTTCACATAGGCCAGTCCTCTTCTGCCTACATTTTGTAGTTTTTCACTTCCCTCCTTCTGTTGAGCTCCTGCTTGCTCCACCTCTCTGCTCCCTCATTCTCTCTTTAAAAGGCCCAATATCCTCTGAATAAATGGAAAATGAGTTCAGTTCACACTGGATTCTTTTCTCTATTGCAAAGGTAGATTAAAATCTGTCCTTACCATTTCAGTGTCTGGCTTTGTTTCTTTTTTATAGTAATTACAATAAATACTTGTAGAGCTTCTGGCGATCATATTATGCCATATGGATCCAGGAAAAGAAAAAAATTAAGGCTTCTAGATAATTAGAGTTAAGATTACTCTCTTGGAACAGAAAAGAATGGAGTTAGAAACAAGAACACTCCTTAGGTCTCTCACATAATTTTGGTCCTGTTCCTACAAACAACTCTTGATCTTGTTTCCCATGATATAGATCAGGATTCCTCCAATAATTTTCCTTTTGTATGTTTTTCTAAGCAAGCCAGAGTTGATTCATAGACTTGAGCCAAAAGTCTTAATAATTAAAAATCATTGTAAAATTTTAAAATCAGAATTTTAACAAAAATCTTGGAAATATTTACATATATTTTTAGGCTGGGCACTGTGGCTCACTCTTGTAATCCCAGCACTTTGCGAGGCCAAGGTAGGCAGATCATTTGAGGTCAGGAGTTTGAGACCAGCCTGGCCAACATGGTGAAACCCCATTTCTACTAAAAATACAAAAAAAAATTAGCCAGGCGTGGTGATGCACACCTGTAGTCCCAGCTACTTGGGAGGCTGAGGTGGGAGAATTGCTTGAACCTGGGAGGTGGAGGTTGCAGTGAGCCGAAATCATACCATTGCACTCCAGCCTGGGCGACAGAATGAGACTTCTTCTCAGAAAAAAAAAAAAGTATGCAATTTTTTAAAAAAAGTAACATGTTACAAATTAGAAAATTCTACAATAGTAATTTTACTGGTACAACAAATTTATTAAAAGTTTGCCTATAGTAATATATGCATGCAGTGTTAACATTATCAGGGTAGAAATCATATACATATTTTCATATAAAATTTCTTTAATGTTATTGAAATATTTAAACCATCAACTTTATTGTTTCAATCTTGTAACATTTCTTTCTGAATATCCTGTCCAAAAAGAAAGTTTTTGCCGAGATTTGCTTTACTTTCATATAATCTTTGGAGTGTTAGCAGTTTCATATGAGCTTATCAGAGTGTTATGAAAGTGAACTGTGGTCATAGTGTTAAAAATTTTTTTGAGCTATTGCTTTATGCTACTTCAAAAGCACAAGAAAGAATGGTCTTAATAACAACAATGCCAAAGCAATACCAACAATATCAGTACAGGTGTGTGATTCCTAATCAAAGAAATCTCTTCACTGTGGATAAGGGTGAAAATGTAATTGGAATGTTTAGTTCAGGTAATATGAGGAATTCCCAGCAAAAGGAATTGATTTAAGGTAGTGCCTATATAAGTCAAAAACTAAAGTCATCTTTCTGTATTCTTTTACCATCTGCCGTGAAATTGCATCAGTCTTTTTCAGGAAAAAAAAACTGGCACAAATAAATCTAAGTTCACTGGGAAAAAGAGTTTGTGTTTACGACAGTGCCCAGTGTGCTGGTATTGCTTAATAAATGTCAAATCTGATGGATAATATTCATTTAGATGTTACATGGCTGCTTTATATTTCCCATTGCAAAGCTTTGAGTTGTAGACAGCGTTGTTAAATATCTTTATTCTAATCTAATTTCGCAATACCCAATTATGGTAGCTCACCATTTCAGCTAAAGTGTCTTGGGCTAGGAAAGCATCACACATTTTTTTTCATTTATGCGTACATGTATTTAACAAACATTTATTGAGACCTCTTAGGAGCCAGACATAAAGATGTATGAGAGACAATTTCCATCTTCAATAATATTCAAATCTAATTGAAGAAACAATTAAAAAATTAACTACGAGCCAATGAATTGATGTTACTTTGGAGCACACATTTTGTGCATTTACCTACTTTGGTTATATCCACCTTTAACACTATGACTTTTTATTTTTTTATTTTAGAATTTTTTCTCCATATTTTATCTCCTGTTACATCATGCTCTGTGGGTCATATCAAAATCCTGTTTTGGAACAATTTGGAAAATGGTAAATACAAATTGGATTAACAAATGGACAAATAAAGAATAATTTACCACATGTAATTATGGCTATTAACGTGCTATGAGTGAAAAGAGGAAGCAATTCATTCTGTGTATTATAACTGAGGAAACTACATGAATAAATGGTTTTTGAGATATATTGAAGAACAAGTACAATACCAAGTTACTTAAATAAATTGATAACCAAAATAAAACTACCAGATTTTTACCTATGAACCTTCATTTTTTCAACGTTGATATTTTTTCTCATTTTACCATTTAGCACAGTTTCTTGGAAATAATAAATTAACTGATTTAAAGCAGAGGATTTTTTTTTTAAATGTTCATCTTTGGCATAAACACCATTAAACAGTGGAACATGCTCAAAAAAGAGGAATAAGAAAATAATGAGCCAAGCACGATGGCTCATGCCTGTAATCCCAGCACTTTGGGAGGCAGAGGCGGGGGGATCCCCTGAGGTCAGGAGTTCGAGACCAGCCTGGCCAACATGGTGAAACCCAATCGCTACTAAAAATACAAAAAGTAGCTGGGCATGGTTGCGGGAGCCTGTAATCTCAGCTACTCAGGAGGGTGAGGCAGGAGAATCGCTTTAACCCGGGAGGTGGAGGTTGCAGTGAGCCGAGATCTTGTCACTGCACTCCAGCCTGGGAGACAGAGCAAGACTCCGTCTCAAAAAAAAAAAAAAAAAAGAAAAGAATGGTTATAAAGTTGGCTATGGAAGTTTTACCGAGTAACCAGGGATTCAGTTTGTGCTCTGGTGCAGAATGTGGAAAAAAAAAGTCTATTTAAGACCTGAGAAAATAAAAATAATTTTTAACTATGCATAGGAATGTTTTTTGTCTTTTATGCTTAAAAAATCAAAGTCAGATTTATGATGCTTATTTTCTTTCATTTAATTCATTCTTCTTGGAGTACAAATGAAAAAACTATGCTTATAAAATACTAATATCATCAGTTCACTCTTACTTAGAAGCCTCCATAAACTTTTTGTTGCAGACATAATAAAAAAGAGAAAAAAGAAAAAAAATATTAATGTTGACTATGAGTTTCTTTAAGGTGTGTCCTTTGCAATTTGTGTCTCTTGCACAATCATGAATGCCTACCATGATTTTAGTTCCTTGAAAATGTCATGCTTTGTGTGTGTTTGTGTGTTTGTGTGTGTGTGTGTGTCATGGACAAGTGGTTGTTTTGGAATAGAGTGCATTACTCTGACAACTAACTCCTAATACCTAACTGTCTCCTAGTTTCCTCATCTATACAATAGGTACTATTACAGTATCTACCTCAGAGAGTTATAAAAAGAGGGTCATTAATACAGGAAAAGCACTTAGAACTGAGTCTAACTCACAGTAAGTGCTCAATAAACCTTGGCTATTAGTGTCAGACATTCATTATTCCCAGCTTAAATGTCAACGTTCTCTAAAAACATTCTCTGTTCATCCCAAGATGAAAATGCATAATTTTATCACAACTTTCCAAGTTGGAACATTTATAATTACTTGTTTTTTGTGACTATTTATCCTTAGACTTTTAGATTCATGAGGATAGAAGCTGTGTTTCTGTTACTCATTAAGGTATCACCAATGTGTAGCACTATGCATTTAATTAGTAATTCTTGTCTATATCACTGGATGCTTGAGTGAATAAAAGAATGTGTTTTTTAATTCTACATTATGAAGGTTTTTTTAATTATTTTGAGCCAATTAAGACATATGGCCAAATTGGGTGAAGCTCAGATTTATAAGTAGGCTTTCTAACATTATTCCATTAATAATTTCAACATTAAAGTTTTGGAAAAAAACACTTACTATACTTTTCATGACTGTTTTAACTGTAAGAAGGTATTCTTCTACCTCTAATTTACCTCTAATTTAGACCATCATGAATTTCTTATATATAGTTAAAATCAAACTGAAAATACCTCTACAGGAAGTCCTTCACTAGAAGGACTAGAATTGATGTGTGTAATATGAAAGTACTAGAGAAATGTTAGGGGGAATAGGGTCAAGAGTTTAACATTTATTTTGTAATTTCAACTGAGCAACCATTCTTTATTCTTGAGATCAAACTGAAAATATAAATCAAAGAATGTTAAAAGAAAAGAAGAGCTGAAATATACCTGAGATATGACAATGAGGGAAGATTTTTTTTTAAATGTCAACTTTCCTGTTTAAATAAAACTGGAATATGGAATAGGTTATAGTCTGGTTATAGGAATACAGTGTGAAAAATTTTGAGACAATATTTGCTCGTGTAATAGTAAACATAAAGTAGCAAAAACTCCATTCAATTTAAGATGTCTTATAGTAGAAAAGTTGGAAATATGGCACACATACAGAGAGGTTGGAAATATTCCAGGACCTCTATAATTTCATGTAGTTTTAGAATGAGAGAATAAGAAGAGTTCTATTTAAACTATGGTTTAGTTTAGCAAAGAGCTTGGTGATAAGAAATGTACCAAATGATGGAACTGGTGCCTAAGGATAGACCATTAATAGGAATTAGCAAATGGCTTCTTTTTTCATTAAATATACATGAAATGTACAAGCACCTGTTGAACCAATAAGAGAACTCCTCAATACCCCATTTGTCTCAGCCCTCTGGCTGTCTGCTGGTATGTACAGCATGAAAATGTGCTTATTTCATAATCATTGAGCAGTTTTCTCTGCTTGTTGGGTTTTTTAATTTCTTTTTTCCCCCCAAGAAAACATTGGTATATTAACTTTGCCTCATTCTTCAAACTATTTTGGAATGAATTCGATACATAGCTTAAGTTGTTTTTGTTTATTTGTCATAATTACATGCTTTAAAATAAACATGCTACTATGCCAACAGGAAATCTTTGAGTGAAAATTACAAAGTTAGAACAAAAAGCAATCAGATGATCAAATGTCATTCCTAGTTTTGGTGATCCAGGAGAAACAAAGTAAAGATGTCATAAATGCAGGTGTTTTTATTTAAATGATTATACATTGATAAAATGTTGAAACCAGATAGTACTTTTCAGAATGATTAGAGGGCAAAAATAATTTTAAATAATATGATTACTCTTCTTAATTTAACAAAAAATCTGATGCCAAGCCTTTTCAAACTAAAATAAGAAAATATAGCCTATAGTATACAGGAAATCATAATGTGGAAAAGCTATATTTATATTTATTCCAATATTATGCTCTGACACTAAAATTACTAAAAAGGAAACAGAATAAAACAGAAATATAAATCTGCTAGCATATATATTGAAGATAATTTTAATATTTGATAATTATATGTGTCATCATATTCAGTACAGAGAATGACTAGGGTTAAAGGCATTAACAGTTGGTAGAATCTCTCTTATTTTCCCACACATCCACTATAATTATTCTTGACCATATGCTGATAGCTCATCTCCTGACATATCCTTGTGCCCCTGAGTTGTCACCAAGCTCTCCTATGCAATATGTTAGAAATCTTTCCTGTATACATTTTCTTAGCATTCTGTGTCTCTACAACATCAAGATGATCAGATGGAATAGCACTCAGACAAGAATTTGAAGCGGGTTACCATATTACCATTCCAATGGAACAAAAAACTTTTCCGTCTCACTCTGTGGCATGATCTCAGCTCACTGTAACCTCCACCTCCCAAGTTCAAGTAATTCTCATGCCTCAGCCTCCAGAGTAACCGGGATTTGCTGGAGTGTGCCACCGCGACCGGCTAATTTTTGCATCTTTAGTAGAGACTGGGTTTTGTCATGTTGGTCAGGCTGGTCTTGAACTCCTGGGCTCAAGCCATCCACCTGCCTCAGCCTCCCAAAGTGTTGGGACTATGCATGTGAGCCACCACGCCAGGCCAACAAAAACCTTTTCAAAGGGAACAGCAACTTTGCAAAAACTTCCATGGCATGGATAATGCTGAACTGATATTAATTAAACAAATATTTATTAAACTCTTGGGAAATCAAAGATGAAGAGACATGGTTTTACTGTTCATGAGAATAAATTCTCTTCTTGCCTCTAACGATGGCTAGATTATCCACAGAAGGAAGTATGTCTGCAGGAGAAGAAACAGGGTAAATGGAAATCTGAGACAAAGGATGCCTAAGAGAAATGTAATTGATTAATATTTATTACTAACAGAACAGGATTCACTTGGGGAGGGTTGTGCTAGGTAGAGGAAGGAAATACTATTTGGGGTAGCTAAAGCTGGAAGTGAGGTCTATTCAGCAATTATTTATTGAGCTCTGAAAAATTCAGAGATGAAGGGATACAATTTCAGTGTTCATGGTAGAATTGCTAGATGGGAGTAACTGCTAGATGATCCTCAAACCTGCTTTACTTCTTTCGGAAACAGAAGTAGACTACATCAATCAAATTGGCTTCAATCAATGGTATGTAAGTAGAAAAGATATTCAGTGTTTCCAAAATGCACTTCCAACAGGTTCCTTGATGGTCTTTCCCTTTCTAAGGTGGTTTGCCATGGCATAAAGATGGTAGAGCCATGAGATGGAAATAACTTGGATTGCCAATCACTTCTTGAAAGATATCGAACTTACAAGTTAAAAAAAAAAATGATTAGGGCCGGGCGCAGTGGCTCACGCCTGTAATCCCAGCACTTTGGCAGGCCGAGGCGGGTGGATCGCGAGGTCAGGAGATCAAGACCATCCTGGCCAACAGGGTGAAACCCCGTCTCTACTAAAAATACAGAAATTAGCCGGGCGTGGTGGTGGGCCCCTGTAATCTCAGCTGCTAGGGAGGCTGAGGCAGGAGAATCGCCTGAACCTGGGAGGCGGAGGTTGCAGTGAACCGAGGTCGCGCCATTGCACTCCAGCCTGGACATCAAAGTGAGACTTTGCCAAAAATAAAAAAAGAAAAAAAAAATTGGTATTATTTTAAGCCACTGAGATTTCAATTATTTATTCATCGGTTAGCTTTACCTTAATGAACACAATGCAGCAATGCATGGCATTCATTGCCAAATAAGAAAAACTAGATGTGTATATCATTTAAAGTGAGAATGTAAACAAGCCTAAACCTAGAAGTCTAAAAATAAATAAAACTAAATTAGAAACAGGCGGGATAGACTTAGACTAGTGCTAGATTTAGACTGGAAGAAAGGGTGAAATGTTTCATTTTTCCGTGGAATAACCGGGTCCTGAACTGAAGTACAGGCACTCCTCGCTGTCCCCATCCTCCCTTCTCGCCAGGGCGCCTTCGGCCTCTCTTTGAGGCCTTCCCCAGGGACTCAGAGCCTCGAGGGACTGCGGGCTCCCTTGTGGGTGGGGGAGGAGTGGGAACCTCTTGGGGAAAGTGAAGAGCTCGGTGGCTGTACCTCCACAGGAGGCTGCAGCAGATTGTGGCGGCAGCTTTGCTCCAAGTCTTACATAAACGAACATTGCCACAGTATTTTTTTTTTTTTAAGTTAGTGAAGGAGTTTGGGTGCGATTGATCAGTGAACCAAGAGCTGGCGGTCCACTAAGAAACTAGTGTTTCTTTGCGGTTCCTACCTCCCCATTTGTGGTAAAAAACACAACAACAACAACAACAAAACGGGTTATGTAACAAACCTGCACCTTCAGCACATGTATCCCAGAACTTAAACTAAAATTTGAAAAAAAACCCAAAAAGGCCAGGGGAGGTGGCTCACGCCTGTAATCCCAGCACTTTGGGAGGCTGAGGAGGGCGGATCACCAGGTCAGGAGCTCGAGACCAGCTTGGTCAAAATGGTGGAACCCCATCTCTACTAAAAAAATACAAAAAATAGCCAGGCGTGGTGGTGCATGCCTGTAATCCCATCTACTCGGGAGGCTGAGGAAGGAGAATTGCTTTGAACCTGGGAGGCGGAGGTTGCAGTGAGCCGAGATTACACCACTGCACTCCAGCCTGGGCAATAGAGAAAGACCCCATCTCGGAATGGGGGAAATTGGATAAAAACCAATTCATCCCCCCTTTCCTCCCCACCTCAGTCCCCCTTTCCCTCATGGTGAAACCCCGTCTCTACTAAAAATACAAAAAAAATAGCCGGGCGTGGTGGCGGGTGCCTGTAGTCCCAGTTACTCGGTAGGTTGCAGCAGGAGAATGGCAGGAACCTGGGAGGCGGAGCTTGCAGTGAGCCGAGATGGCGCCACTGCACTCCAGCCTGGGCAACAGAGCGAGACTCCGTCTCAAAAAAAAAAAAAAAAGGAAATGGACCTAAAGGCTCATGCTGTTTGTCTTTTTTCCCCAAAGCAAGATGAGAAGAGTAAAAGATCAGGCATGTACGTGCGTGTGTGTGTGTGTCTGTGTGTCTGTGTAAAAAAAAAAGACTGAAAGAGAGTAAAAACAGGAGTCACGGAGGAAGAATCAAAATCTAATAAAATAAATTTTCCTGGAAATCCAAGGAATATAGTATCAAGAAGAAGGACAGCTAGTATATGTGTTTCTAGGTGTATCTTACCAGAATATATATTAAGCAGACCTGTAATCAACAGTCATTTGTTATTTGATTTTTACAGAGTGATAAAAGATGGTTGAGGAAACATATTCTACCCATCAATTGTTACTGTCAAGATGTAAACTTTATTTAAGGTACAGATTAACTTAGAAATAAAGCCCATGTTTTATTATTTTACAAGACACTCTGACCAATAAAAACATTGGCAGAGGCAGCGTTTAAAGTGAAGATGTTTAGGAATGATAATACTCATCCTTTCATTTGTAAAGGACTTCAAAGCTCTAAAACTTTTGTCATATAATATTTAATTTAAATATTTCTGGAAAATCTGGTGAGTATTCCATTTATCTATTATGTAACTACCCTCTCCAAAACTTAGTTGCTTAAAGAAAGAGCAACTGTTTGTTCTGCTCACAAATCTACAATCTGAGAAGGGCCCACAGAGGACAGCTCGGCTCAGTTTTATGAGGCATCAACTGGAGTGACCAGGAACACTTTAGGGGTTGGAATCTTGTAAAGGATCACTCACTCAATGACAGACAGTTGATGCTGGATGATAGCTGAGACTTTAGCTAAAGCCATCAGCTAGAACACACATACAAGCTTTTCACATAGCTCTTTGGCTTCCTCATAGAATGGATGCTGAGTTACGAGAGCAAGAATCCCAACAGAGAGATCTATGTGGATGCTCTGTTAAGTCTGCTGACATAGCCTCAGAAATCACATGCCACCTTCTCTACTTGTACTAGGTTTGTCCAGGCAGTCTCAAAGGCCTGTTCAGTTTCAAGGGATGAGAAGGCAGAGTCAGTCCCTTTTGAAATGAGAGTGACAAAGCTCTGGAAGAGCAGGTGAGATGGGAAATGTTGTTGCAGCTATTTTGGAAAATATCATCTGCCAAATACACATTATCATTTTTATTTTTGAAAAGGAACATTCAGTCTTAGATGATTTAAATGACTAACCCAGTGTTTCAGGGCAAATGGGAATGCAGAGGTTTAAATGAAGTCTTTTTGCTCCAAGGAGAGTATGATTTCTTTTGTATCAAAGCCATCAGACTGCAACGGCCATTATATCTATATAAATATCCAGAGTTAAATATATTCCTAGTGTGCCAGTAGTATGTAGCATTAGCTCCAACATTGTACTAAATACACATACATAAAATAAAATTCAGTGCAAAATTAGGCAAATAATTTTAAAGGTAGTAATAATAAGCATAATTATTTTATAGTCGTATTTTATTTGTCATCTTACACAAATTATATGTTGTCAACTATACAACTGAACTTACATTATTGTAACACTTTATGGTATTAATGCAATTTCTGGGAAGATTTCAATTTTAGTTTTCCAAATTTGAAAATTTTCCACATCTGTAGCATATGTGGACACATGTTTTACACATTCCGAATGAAGCTTTGTACCTTGACTCCCAGTGTGGCTACTCTTCTAGCATTTTCTTCACGGGTGAATGATCCCATCATCCACCAGGTCCTTTAAAGCAGATTGCACATATTCATTGACCTTCTTTCCTGAACTTTTCTACTCCTCCACATAAACATATTTAGTCAAAAAGTTGGTTTATTCCACCTGTTACATACTATTTAAGTTGTTCAACACTTCTCTCTTTCTCATGCAATTGTTGAAAATCAATTTGTTTTCTTTGTGTACCTGGAATATTTCAGCTTTTTCCTATTCTAGCTTTCACACTTTCATTGCATTCTCCAAACTACTGCCAATGTGATACTGATCTTAAAACGCAAATATGACTCCTCCATTTTTGTAACTCATCACAAAGAAGATAAAGGCTCAAGTACACGGAATTGTAAAGTAATGACGATCACACCCTCAGCAACACCACAATGACAATTCCATGGGTTTTCATCTTGTGCCAAGCATGAAAACAACAAACTACACAGATTCTGTCATATAGTTCTGATTCCAATTGTAGTTATATTATTCTGGTTTTACAGCAACTGGCATTTATTAAGGACCTGTGGAAATAGAGACTCAGATGAGCAAACCTACATTCCAAGTTCGTATTTTGCCACTCCAACTAAATCACTACATGTTTTAGCCACAGTAAATCTTCTTGTATCATTAAGATTATTATACTTTTTACATGCTGTGTCTTTTTCTGGAATGCAAGACAAATTTTCAGTGGAAGATTTTCATGATCTTTCAGTAGCTAGATGGAATATCACTCTCTTATAGAAGGTTTTCCCAACATAAAAAAAAACTATTAAAATTTTTTCTAATAATAGCTTGACTTTTTGATGATTTATTAGATACGCAGAACAGTTTTATAGAAGTTTATTTAATCCTATCTACAACTCTGTGATGGAAATGTGATTATTAAACTTAAGTTTACAGGTGAGAAAACTCAGTGGTAGAGGTTGACTTGCCCAAAGTCTCAAAGCTAGAATGGCTTTGATTCCATCATTCTTAACTTGCTTAATTTTTATGAGGGTTTATGAGCTATTCTTTGTGCAAGAATCCATGAGTACTTAACAACAGATATTTCATAAATGTTCATTTTCTACTATTGTATAATATTGGATAGATAGATAAATGTATTTCAACTAATCTGCATCTACACAGAATTTCTATTTCCATATCAATAGCAATATAATACTTTAGTATGGAACCGGGAATATAGACTTTGTTCTTCCAAAAATGTTTGTTGAAGTATATCAGTCTCTTTTTCCCCTAACGCAGTTTTAACTTTCTCCAAAAATATGAAAAGGAACATAATATTTTCTTGATTTTTATATATTTCATTCAAGTTCTGAGTATGTATTGAGTTTTCCACATTCTTTTATAATCAGGAACTAATTAAAATATTTTAATAAGCAATAGTGAAAAATAAATCTGGTAAATTTATAATAGCTACTAGAATGCTATGTACAGTATTTCTACAAAAGACTAATTTCAATAAGTAAATGAATGCATTACTAAAATAAAAGAAGTCTTCACAAATAATTCTTTTTATTTATTTATTTATTTATTTTTTGGAGACGGAGTCTCGCTCAGTCGCCCAGGCGGGAGTGCAGTGGCGCTATCTCGGCTCACTGTAAGCTCCACCTCCTGGGTTCACGCCCTTCTCCTGCCTCAGCCTCCTGAGTACCTGGGACTACAGGCGCCCGCCACTACGCCCGGCTATTTTTTTTTTTTTTTTGTATTTTTGTATTTTTAGTAGAGACGGGGTTTCACCGTGTTAGCCAGGATGGTCTCGATCTCCTGACCTCGTGATCTGCCCGACTCAGCCTCCCAAAGTGCTGGGATTACAGGCATGAGCCACCGCACCTGGCCACAAATAATTCTTAATGTCAGATAGCTCAGTGCTTACAATGATCAAAATTTCAGGGTCAGTAAACAATGGTTTTTAGATTTAGAAAAAGTTTTGGAAGGAATTGTATATACACATCGTGTTTGATAGAAAGAAGCAAGTGTCAAGACATCCTTATGTGAGAGATTGATATTACAAAATCCTCAGATAATATTGAGGGCAGTTCTGAGACTCCTTTTCTTCCTATTTTCACTACCAAGGAAAGAAAAATAAAATGAGATTCTTCCTCAGGCTCCCAACATAACTAAGTTTAGAAGTATTTTTTATCTTAAATTATTCAGGACACCTTTCACCCTTTCCCCCCCATTTTTCACACAAGGGACCACAGAAACCATTTTTTTACAGTGTTTCCTTTTGTATAATCTCAAAGCTCTAGGGCTTGCGGAAAGGAGAGCTAAATCTGTCAGCTAAAATAGAAGCCCCAGCCTTTCCCTACCCCCATATTCCAGTACAATCCCTGTTGCTGGCAATGCATAAATTATTTAAGATGAGGAGACTTAATTTATGCACTAGGTAATACTGCATTCAAATTCCACCTGGATAATTGTATTCTTTGTCTACAGTGATAAGCCTGCCTGTGAACCAAAGATCAGGACAGCCTTCTGACAGGATCCCATAGAACCCTGTTCTTGACTTATAATTATGTGCATCACATTGTAGCTAAGTATATTAATTTTGTTGCTCTTACCAGACTATAATAATCATGAAGAGAGGGACATTGTGAATCAATTTATTGGGCGATTGCAGACACTCAGCATTCTGCTTTGAAAATACTGGTGAATAAAATGTTTTCATGAATGGATGGCTGAGTGGTTGATATTTTTTCTAGTTCTATACATGTGAATATCTTATGTTAGTAAAAAGCAACATTTGCATGTATATGCATTTGCATATACACATATTTATCTGTTTGCAAGTATAAAGTGAGTTAAAAAATATCTGCAGTACATAGAAGAGTGTCCTCCAAGTAGAATATGATGAATACATGTTTTCTGTTGTTATAAGATTGTTGTATGTCATCACAGGAAAAAGGATAGCTACAGGCCCATTGGCAAAGCAGATTCTCTCAGGATGAAAGAGAAACTTAAACTTTATCCCAGAGGGGATGATATTGTAGAAAATGGCAAAATTCACTAGAATATGTAGCAAATAGCCTCCTGTTATATACCTAAGAAATCAATACAGTTTACATCTTACTTTGAATTTTACATCTTTAAACAAAAACTAGCTGCCTTAAAAAAAAGTAGCTAACATGGCTGGATAAGTCACCTATCCTAATGCTAAGAAAATCGACTTAGGAGAAACAAAATGGAAACATTGACACAAGTGGAAGCCATGAGAAGCAAAAACTTTATATTCTTGAATTTATGAAATAACTGTTTATTATGAGTTACTATTTATGCTAAAGGTTAATAGGTGGTTCACGCCTGTAATCCCAGCACTTTGGGAGGCCAAGGTGGGCGGATCACGAGGTCAGGAGATCGAGACCATCCTGGCTAACACGGTGAAACCCCATCTCTACTAAAAATACAAAAAAAAAAAAAACAAATTAGCCTGGTGCGGTGGCGGGCGCCTGTAGTCCCAGCTACTCGGGAAGCTGAGGCAGGAGAATGGCGTGAACCCAGGAGGCGGAGCTTACAGTGAGCCCAGATTGCGCCACTGCACTCCAGCCTGGGTGACAGAGAGAGACTCCGTCTCAAAAATAAAAAATAAAAATAAAATGAAAAAAAAACACTGACATGTGAACTTTCAATGATTTTCAGTGAAATGAGATACTTAAGAAAAATACAATGAGTTGAGTATTTTGTCCTTCCAACTTTGGGGGAACGTCAAATATATTCAATAAAATTATGATGATAAGCACATGGTAGTTTGGCTTAATGTCATTACTTGGCGAAAAAAGGAAAAAAAAGGGAAGAAAAAGGACTCTAACATAAATGTCTATCTTTAAAATATATATATGTACTTGTCCAAGAAGGTCAGAGATACAAAAACCTTTTAGCACTGGTATTTCATGTAGAAATAAATTTGGGAAGTACAATAGAAGGCCTGACATTAAGATGCAATATTAAGAGCTTCCTTGATAAATTTGAGCCTCACAGATCCCCAAAGGGCAACCGACCAGCTCCCCTGCTCTCAAAAAATATGCCATCCACACAATAGAAAAGACTTCTCGCCCACACCTGGCTAGTTCTATCGCCTAGATGAGCTACTCCAGCTGATTCCAAACCTAACTTCCCTGCCAGACTACAGAAGTATTCAAACAAGCCAATTACATCCTCTCACAGGAACCAGGAGTCACCCAATTGCTTCTTACTTGAAGCTTGCCACTCGTAGCTTCTGCCTGTTCACTCTGCTCTGGAATGCAAGCCCTTTTGGCCCTGCATGGTGTATAGCATTCTTCTCCCCCAGGCTGTGAGTTTATGTGACTAATAAACTGCTGTCAAAGTGATCCGTCCAGGGTCAAGTGTCATGTGTTTGGCCATCTCTAAAACCCTTGGATGGGACTCAAGGCCTCACAATGGGTGAAGAGAAGGCAAATAAAACCAAAAGATATTTTATGCTACTTTCATTATTTCATCAACTAACTTAATGTTGTTATTATCATGTAGTGAAAAATAGAAATCACCTCTTACTCCCTAACTTCCTTCACCCATTCATCAGCAGGTTTTTTCAGACTTTTATTATTGCCAAGTAATAAAGACATAAGCATTCTTATACATTGCATCAGTTTTCTCTTGTGGCATAATAAATAATCACAAACTTCGTGGCTTAAAATAGCCTTAGTACATAGTTCTGTAGGTTAGAATCTACTGCATGATTGGATTCTCTGCTCAGGGTCTCACCAGGCTGAAATCAATGCTGTGTTGGCCAGGCTGTGTTCCCATCTGAAGCTTAGGATCCTCTTTCAAGGTTACTGATTGTTGGCAGAGTTCATTCCCTTCAGGTCGTAGGACCAAAATCCTCATTGATCTGCTAGTCGTTGTCTGGGGACCACTCAGTCCTAGAGAACACCTGCAGTTCCTTGCCATGTGGTCCTTCTAGGCAGTGTGCAGAATGAATGTTTGCTTTGGTCAGGCAAGCCAGATCACAGCTCTTTGACTTCCTTTTCCTGCCATTATCCAGAACCATCTCTCTGCTTGTAAAGGGCTCATGTGATTCAATCAAGCCCAGCCAAGTAATTTCGCTACTTGAAGGTCATCTAAATTATAACTTTAATTACATCTGTAAATCACTTCACAGTAGTGCCCAGATTAGTGTTTAATTGAATGACTGTAAGAAATGTATGAACACTAGGGATTAGGAATCTTCGAGGCCATGTGAAAACTCTACCTACCACATACATCAAATGGTGCATACTCATATAAGGTTTTCTGTAGTTTAATATTGAGATATGACCCCGTTTGGTCAAAATGTGCTTTTCACTTTTCATAACTACAACCAATTCATCTTTCAGAAAAGCCATCTCAGTTTTCAGTTGTAAAGACTGTTTTCCCTATACGCTTACATGCTTTGAGTGTTGTCAACGTTCTTAATTTGTGCCAATCTTTTAGGTGAGATGGCTTCACATAACTCATTCTGTTTTATATTTCATTAATGAGAGTGATTTTTAAGAATATAATCTTGGCTATTTCCTTTACTGTGAACTATTTTGCCTACTTTGTCTTTTACTCTTTTACCTATTTATTTGCCTATTTTCTTTGCCCATATTATTATTCGTAAGAGCTCTGATATAATAAGGAAGTTGTTCTTTTATCTGTCAAGATTGTAATAGACATATAGATAAAGATACAAATATCTGTTTAATTAGTACATCATTATATCGGCCTTTTACTTTTATGCCTTAAATAATTGGGAAATAATATTTATATAACTATTTTAAAATATTTGATGCTAATAAACAGTGAAAAATCCCTTAATATTTTAAATGTGTTCTGAGGCTTAGATTTCTTTAAAAAATTGTTATTATAAATTATAATATCTATTAAAAGCTACTACATTTGCAATTGGACTACCACTCTATACTCCTGATCCTCCTCTTCCCTGGTCTAACCATAGCACTTGTCCTCTTTATCACACTACATCAATTACTTATTCTAATGTTTATTAATATGGTCAATATCCTCCATCTAGGTTATAAATTTTATAAAGGCGTGGGTTTTACTTTTATTCAGTAATGTATCCCAAGCACCTAGAATATATGTCTGATACATATAAATTCTCAATAAATAATTATAAATTAAGTTCATAAATAAGTAATAGTGTGTCTCAAATATAATTTTTAAAATAGTAATAACATCTTTTGTGGTTTTCTTTTAGGCAAATGGCTAGTGGGTACTTTTCTTCCCCCCAAAAGACAAAAATAAGATACTAAACTATGAAATCAAATACCTGACTTGAAGTTCTAGTTCTACCAGGTGGTAACTTTGTGAGCTTATACACACTGAGTAACTTACTGAGCTTCATTCTCCTAATGAGCAAAATGAGGATATTGATATCCACCTTGACTTTATTCAAAGTTTTCTTAAAGTTCAAATGAGCTAAAGTTTTTGAAAACATTTTGTAATGTGTTAAACATGCTATAAATATAGTACTACTAATGATGCATTTTACTTATGTAATGGCTACCGTAAATTATATAATATTGTGAGCCCTTCAAAATAATTATTGCATTTTGTCTTTACATTATCTCTATTATACCCACTTTTTAAGTTCGGAAATTGAGGCACAGATGGAGCCAAAGTTTAAAACTAACCATGGTGGCCCCACTGACCACATTACTAGCAACTTTTTATTGTTGCCACGTTGTTGCCAATACGTTTTTATTTGATTTGATTTTTGTCTTATTTTTCTTATTTCTTCCTAATCTATCATTCACATTTTATTCTTTAGTAAATATCACACAATCTTTTTGCCTCTCGTTTCTGAATAATTTACTGCCTCTTTTTTTCCTATCTGGTATTTTGCTTCAATGTGCATCAAACTCTATTTTCCCTTGATTATCTTTTCTTTTTTTACATGATGCTTTTTCTTTCTGCTCTCTTATGCTTATCTGCAGGAAAAAAAAAGTAATGAAAACTATGCATTCTATTTATGCACGTGTTGTCTTTTTCAGTAACATTACTCTGGGTGAAAATTGCCATCAGTCATGTTGTTATAAGGAAAAATAAAGTAGAATATGCCTTTGCTGTTTTAAACTTACCAACTCTCAATTTGTAACAAGCAAAGCATTTAATATACTGTGAGATATCCTGAGATATTGAGCAAGTACATTTATTCAGAGAGAACACTAAGTCCTTGCCTTAGTGAATTAAAAAAAAAAAAAAAGGATCCAACTTTTGCTTTTTAGTTGTGTTTGCACTCCATTTAATTTTCTTTTAATAGATTTACTGAGGGGCAAGGGGAATTTTTAAGCATGTTAATCCCAATTATAGCATTCTCTTTGAATTTCTTTCTTTATCTCATCTTTAATAGGGGAATTACCAAACCACTGTTCAGGACCAATTATTGGCTTGTTGTTTGCTTGTTTATATTTTGTTTGTTTTGGTAAAATTTCACGCAATTAATGAAAGCTGGAAGTTCTTTTTAAATTGAACTGGATTCCACTCCTGGATACCCATGAGATAAGGGTCTGAAAAATTTGCTGAAACCTCTTGTATAAACATAGTTTTAGAGTTGAGATGGCCTAAGAAATTCGTCTCAAAGTAGTTTTGGTAAAGCTGTGTGGGATTAAACAAGGAAATGAAGTTGTAACTAGGTTTTGACTTTTTGGCCATATTTTGAAAGAAATTTGGGATATAGAGAAAATTAACCATGTTTTGTTTTAATCCTCTTCAAGTAGTAGTAAAATCGACCAAGTACAGTGCAGTAAGTTCTATACGCAATAATTCCAACATGCACAGCAAGAGACACCAGACACGCAAGACATGTACTAGCTGATCATGGTTGTGAAAAACTGAATTAGAGTTTGTTTTACAGTAAATATGCGCCTGGGACCAAAGTTAGAATTCTTTTTTTTTATTTGTTACTTCTATTAAGTAATTTTATGCATAGTGAAGACTCTCTTGACAAGAATTAGATTTTCTCTTTCTTTCCATTCATTTCCTTGTTCCTTTGTATGACTTTGTGTTCAATCTTAGGAAAGAAATACAAAATTAATTATTTTCTCTAGTACTTTTGGTACCATTTTTCCAAAAATTGAGCTCTATAACAATAATTACAATAAAAATAGATATTTCTGATAAAATTATAAGACTGCATGACTCCATTTATCATGACATAATTATGAAAGCATATTTTAAAACTATAAAATACCATTACAATAAACAGTTTTGTGCCATTATATATTTTAAAAATGAGATTGTACACCAAGAATTATAATTAAATGTTTTCTTCTCATCTGAAAAAATACAAGGAAGAAAAAAATTGCAATTACGCAAAATTGTAAATGATTATGCCCCAAGGTGATAACAACTTTTAACAGTTAAGGATTCCTGTATGTTTAATATCATTGGCAAATTTAAATCTCTGAGGAAATCAGTGTAAGCTTTTCTCACAGTTTCATCATTGTCCTTAAACAAAGTATCATAGAAAAGCAGTGTATTTTCATCTGATTATATCTAACACATATGAAAGATTGTTTAAAATACTTAATTTTGAATTAAAACTATACATACTCATGGTATTTGGAAATAGCTCTATTTAAAAGAGATTTTTAAACAATGATATATTGTGAGGCAATTTATTTGTTCATGCTTTGATATATTGATTCATAGACTCAACAAACATTAGCACCAACTGTGAACCAGGTGTTATGTGCTGTGGGATTTAGAGATAAACGAATAACTTGTCTTCTCAATGAGTTCACAGTTTTTGAGTTTGATGGGGAAGTAGATATTTACATTAATTTTTTGACACATATGACATACAGACTATGCCTTTTTTCTATGAATTCACAAATATAATTTCCATGATAAAAATGAAGTATATTTTAATGAAATATTTGTGAATTTTATAAAAAAATAATTATTTTAAAAATAAACAGCATCTCATGCTTTCATTTGAAGTAAAAAATAAATTTTCAGAGTCTTTATCTTTATACTTACAAAAAAAATATCAGTTAAATGTCTTTTAAAAAAATCTGTACAGATTTATTTTGTACTGGAGATAGAGAGGAAAACTACATGAAATAATACTGGGGAGGGTAGTAGACTAAGGGCACCTGCTCTCTCTGTTAACACCCACACATTATATAAGCAATATTTTTCTATTTCAGTGGGATTGATTTACTTTTTTTTTCTGTGTCTAATATTTTACACATTCCAACTAATCTTGAGAAGACTTCCCTACTCTTCAATATATTTTGAAAAACCATGGCACAAACAAGGTTAAGAACTCTTAAAGGAGTGTGGGGCTGGTAAAAAAAAGTTGAAAGCTTTAAGGTCATAAGATATGTTGATGAAAAAACATTTCTGGGCTAGGAAAGAAAAGTAATGAAGAAACATCATTTTAGGAAATAGCATACGCTAAAACATAGATGATCGTAATTATTAAGTTGTCACAATTATAGTCTACTAGGGTTATTTCTTGTCCTTTAAAAAAAATATCCATTGTTATCCTTGGTTCACTGATAAGCTATACCAAATTTCAGCATAAATTATCAAGTCATGTGTAAATTCTATTGTTATATTAATTGGAATTTCATCAAAGAAGCTTATTTAGAAAAAAACACTTTATGATATTGACCTTTCACATTCATGAAAGTGCTTTGTCTGGTATTTTGAGGATAAACTTTATATTGTTAAAAGCTTTATTGTTTTTCCTGTGCCTCCATCTTAATTGCAGATTAATTGGTAAGTTTCTATTTTATTGTCAACATTATAATTGTAAAATACTTTTTTATTCAGAATTTCATTTTCTAATTGCTGATGCTTTTTTATAGAAATGATATTTGAAGAATGATCTTATCTTTGATAAAATTTGTTTGTTGTTAGTTTTAAGAATCTCATCAATACAGTTATTACCTTTAGTGTTCTTCTTTCTTTCTAACTCATACTTACACCCTTTTCTTTCTTTGATTCTTCTCTCTCTCTTTCCCTTTACCTCTATATTTCAACCCCTGTCTAATTTCTTATTATGCACGGCTAGGAACTCCAGCATAATCTTCATTAGAAGCAGTGGTAGTAAGTATATTGTCTTTTCCATGATATTAAAAAGGTATATTTTATATTACATTTCTGATAGAGATTCTGGTGAAGAAGATCTTCTACTAGTAGTTTCCTGAGCAGTGAAACAAATAAATGAAGAATTTATCAATTTCTTTTTCTAAAACCATTGAAAGTATAATGTTTTTTCTTTCTCCTTTGTTCTTTTAATCCAGAAGGTTAGTTTAAAAAATTTGTAATACTGAAACTTCCTTCCAATTCTGAGGGAAACTCTAACTAAGATTTCTTTTCAATCTATTCATAAATAAGATAGTAATTACAATTTTGATGAAAGTGAGAGTACTAATATTTTAAAATTTTATAAAGAAAAAACTTGTTTTCAGAAGCTATTAAAAACTGAAATTAAAAATATCACACATGTTGAATAAAAGCTAGTTGACACATATGATTAATACGGCTAATTTTTCTGGCTGTGCTACTTTCTTTATTTGTTACCCTTGAGGATTTGACAGCAAGACTTGAAATAGCTTGTAAGTTGGGTTTCCTTCAATATCTTTCTATCATATCAGCTCTACACATGAGTTTACAAGAATTAGACATTTGGCCAGTGTTTCTTGGCCTTAGATCTCTCTCCTTTTAGAAATGCAGTGATTCATTGGCTTCAGTAGTTTCTGTTACCTGGAAATGTTCATTTCCAGCATTTTGGGAGGAAGTCGATTCAGTAGAATTAAGAGTTAGTATGTACAAGGTGCTAGAGTGTGCACTTCTCATACATAGTAAGTTCTCAGTATGTTATAATTATTATTATTTTAATAGTGGAGCTGGATATGACTTGTACAAAGAAAAATGGAAATTTCCTTTTCCCCTTTGCACTGGGGTTTATAATTGTCCTTGTACATATTTGATATTTTAGCTATATATATTAAAGGGTTTGGTTTGGGTTAATATTTCCCAAATTGCTGTGTTCCGAAAAGTGTCAACAGATTTTCTGGTGTAAAACAAAAAACAACAACATTTTGTTTGTTCACTTTTTCTTTTTAGAAGAAATAAAGACAAAACAAAAAAAAATTTTGTTATCAACCCCTTTTAGGAAACTATAGTTAAACACACTTCTTTACCGAAGGGATTCTCCAAACAATTAATGAATACTGTACAAGATCAAATGAGATGAGATGGCATAAAACATGCTCCATTCTTGTTTAACTACTGAACTCATTTTCACTGAACACATATTTTCTAGTTAATAAACACTGCTGGTTCTGATATTATGTAATGGTAAAAAAATAGCATGATAATTACAAGATACTGTTCATTTAAAATAAAGGCCAAATTTTTAGTTGTTACCTTGTTAATTGCATGCTTCTTTTTCACTAACTTTGGTTCACTTTTAAAATAAATCGCTATACTTAAAAACTAAGCACCATCCCTAAAAACCTTTCCAGGCTAAATTAGACCTTTTAAGGAAATACTTTTGTTGGAAATGGAACTTCTTCTCTTAAGTCTATTTAAAAAGGCTTTTCAAAAAAGTTATCTAAGGATTTAAAATAAATTATAATGTGAATCAAATTAATGTACTAAGTCAATAGCTTGATTCAAACAGTCTAAAAATCAAGGATACCTTTAAATCCATTATCTTTATCCAGCTTTATCTGGCATTCCAAATTTCAGACTTTGAGTTCATATTCTAAAAAATAAAAATGCAAATACAACTTGAGGAAAGCATAGATAGTTGTTGTATTTCAAATTTTCAGTTGGTAAACAAGCCCGATGCGGAACAGATGCACTAGTTTCTGTTGAAAACCCTTCAGTTTTCTAGATTACTGCCAGTGATGTTTAGGAAAAAATGTAGTTGTGCTTCTTTTTTGTTTTGTTTAATTTTTTTAAAAACCCACATTATCCTTGGTTATTGAAGCTAAAATTAACATACCATGGTTCTTTACTGTGTTGGCATGTTACATATCTTCTTGAGCTGTATTGCTCAGTCAATTCTCCTGACAAAACTTAACAACTTATGACTACTTTTTGGATACATAAAAACTTTGAATCAAGAAAGAGTTAAGACATTGTCCCTGACCTGAGAGTAGGAATTAACACATGGTGGACTTAGGCTCAATTATAGACTGTACAGCCTTGCATATTGGATGGCTCAGCCACTTAGTGTTTCTAATCCCCTTATCTCTCACTTTCAACCACACTAGGATTGCTTTGTCATTACATGTGTGTATTTCTTGGAATGAATGTAGACTTACTTTGTTGGAACCTAGCATAGTAATCATATTGAGATATTCATTTGAATAGGCCTTCACTCTGAATCATTCTCTTGGCAAAAGTTTTCACTAATAAGCAGAAAAAGAAGTATCGCCAGAGGTGAGAGGTGAAGCCAGCTGAACGTCCTGGGACAAGTGGGGACTTGGAGAACTTTTCTGTCTAGCTAGAGGATTGTAAATGCACCAATCACCATTCTGTAAAAATGGACCAATCAGCACTCTGTAAAATGGACCAGTCAGCACCCTGTAAAATGGACCAATCAGCACTCTGTAAAATGGACCAATCAGCACTCTTTGAAATAGACCAATCAGCAGGACATAGGCGGGGCCAAATAAGGGAATAAAAACTGGCCACCAGGGCAGGCAGCTAACTTGCGGGTCCACTTCCACGATTTGAAAGTGTTTTCTTTTGTTCTTTACAGTGAATTTTGGTGTTGTGCACTATTTAGGTGCATGTCACCTTTCAAAGATGTAACACTCACTGGGAGGTTCTGAGGCCTCATTCCTGAAGTCAGCAAGACCATGAACCCATGGGAGGAGCAGACAATTCTGGACGCAGCACTTTTAAGAGCTGTAACACTCACTGCCAGGTCCGCGGCTTCATTCTTTAAGTCAACGAGACCAAGAACCCAGCAGAAGGAATAAATTCTAGACACAGCGGGATTTCCGTTTGGTGGTTTAAAATTACATCAGATTCGGACGTCCTAGGAGCTAGTGAGGAAGGTATTACCAAATAGACATTGAGTGAGACAAACTATATTTACAAGACAGATTGTCTAGTGTTCGGAATTCTTGTCCTATATTTTCTCTCTTCTATCAATTATTTTATTCATAAAAATGATATTTCATGTATTTATATTGAGGCTATGCTATTTGATACATAACAGTTTAGAATTACACATGGAAAGATTGCTCTTACTCATCTCTTTGGAATGTAAATGTGGCTATCTGAATTTTTTTTGGCCCACTAATATAAACAGCAGTGATGGTCATCCCTTCAGGTCAGAAGTTCTGAAAGTATATGATTTACCATGTTCTTTTTCCAACTATGTGTTGACAGTAGAAGCAATTTTTGAGATGATTCCTACTTCAACCTGGCTGTGACTATAATGGTCCACACTCTCTATTTAACTAATGGGACATAAAGCATAAGTGAGAATTTTTTTAAAGTTTTTCTTTAATGTTGCTGAGCTTTTAAAATAGGTAATCTAGCTGCTGCTTCTAGTCTATTTTTACTAGGTTAATATAGCTACAAGTTTTTCCCAATATTTGTTTATTCTAATGTTTTAGATGTCTCTTAAGTAGAGACCATAAAGTTAGGGCTAAAAAAAAAAACCCGGTCTGACAACTTTTGTATCAGCTTGATACTAATATTTAATGTCATTATAGATATAGTAAAAGATATACTATTATAATATGCTTTTTCTAAAAAAAACTATTCTACCTGTTTTTGGTTCCTTACTCTTTGACTTTAAACACATACACACACACCCCTCAGTCAATCGTATTCTCTAATATTTAGGAATATAATCATTTTTAAATTATTTTGTGTTTATTGTAAGTATTTGTAAAGATGCATCATCACATGATCAAATGGTATGTTATTTACAATTATTTACAATTTTATCCTACTTACAGGTAACAGAAAGACATCAAAATACAAGCAATGTTTTCTCTACATTTATATTCTATTATGTACTACACACACACCACACACACACACAGACACACACACACAGAGCCATAAAACATTCTTCCACTTATTTTGAGTTCATTTTGATTATGTAAAATTTTACTCTTTTTTGTCCTTAATTTTTTTGTCTCTTTTAATTCCTATTCGGAATCATTTTTGTTCTGCCTTGGGAACTCTCTCTAGAATTTTAGTGTGGGTCCTCTCTTGTCATTTTTCAAGTATAGGGATATGTGTGTGGTGTGTGTGTGGTGTGTGTATGTGTATGGGTGTGTATGAAAATGGCTTTAGTTTTACTTAATTCTGAATAATTTTTTTTCTAGTGTTGGCAATAATTTTCCTTCAGGAAATTAATAATCTCTCCTAGTATTCCTGACATCCAATTTGTTAAGAAGTCATTTGTCAGTCTAAACACTGTTTCTTTGATGATCATCTGTACTTTTCTCTGATTGCTTTTAAAAATTTCCTTTTTCTCTGATTTTACTATGATATGTCTGTGTTTATATTACTTTAATTTTTCTCCTTGGAATTATTTGATTTCTTCAATCTGTGTGTTGCTGTCTGTTTTGAATACTATCTCATCCAATATTGCCTCTGCTCCATTTTACCTTTCTACAGGTCTGGGACTTCAGTTACACCAAAATTTGGCCTTATCATGTTGTTCTCTATGTCACTCATATTCTCTTCATTCTCTTTTATAATTTTGAAATATTTTGCCCCATCTTATAGAGTTATTTGGGCCATATTTTCTGCTTTATTCTCTTTTTTGCTGCAAGTATTTATTAAAGTCATCTTTTTTATTTTCATTATTTTAATATAATTTTATTGTATTATATCCAAGTTACTTTTGTAGTTTCTAATTAGCTGACAAATTATTTGGTCAGCTTTAATTTCTAGTTGTACCTTCTGCATCTAATAATTCCAATATATCTAGGCATGTAATTATTTCTGTTTATATTCTATCTAAAGACTTTCATTCATTGTGTCTTATATTCCACTGCCTCTTTATCACTGCATTATGGAAAAATGAATTGTACATGTAATACAAAGCCTCAGATGATGGTATTGCCTTCTAGAGAGGATTTTTGTTTACTTCTTCAGAGCAATTCCAGTATAGTCAGTGGAATACCTTCTTAATCTACATTCAATGCTTTCAGTTCTCTACACAACCAAGATTATAGGAAGCCAAGCCCAAGTTCATTCAAAGGCTATTTTATCTTCCTTGGACTCTTATCACTTGGGTTTTTCCTTTGAGAATTCCAACTTTATTAAAAGTTGTTTAATGGGTACTTGACTTTGGATTGTCCCTTCATAATTTGATGCCTTTAAAGTCAGTTTAGTTTTAAAGTCTTTTTTTGTTGTTTGATTTTTGTTTCAGTGAGCAGATATTTTCAGGGCAAAAGACATTCTGACGTTAATGTTATTTTTCTGAATTCTAGTCTGGTGTACTAAGTTTGTTTTACTGATGCCTCAATATCTTGTTAATGGTTTTGTGCTTTTGAGATGACTATAAATATATTTTGTTTAGACGCTTTAGCTCTATTCAGCAAGACATTTGTCCCAAATTACCAATTAACATTAGCAAATATCTTGTGAGTTTTTATTCATGATTTTCTATTACCTTTTTCAAACTAATGAAGTCCAGCTTAGCTGTATTGAATATTTTGAAAATATCACTTATCACAATAAGATGTTTATGATGCAAGGGCGGTGAAAATTATTGAGAGGATTTCATGAGGATATCAAGAAATAAAGTGAATAATTTAAAGGTCCTTCTGATTTTTCTCTTGTAGAGATGAGCTGTATATTGGATGCATTGGATAACCATTACTTTAAATGTACTAGGAAAGGTAGTTTAAGTCTTCAGTAACTTCACAGCATTTTTCTCCCCACTGTTTCCATGAGTCACTTAATTTCTTTCTTTCTTCTATGTCTCAACATACATTCCTTAAAGCTTAGGGAAAAACCTGAAAATGTGTTTGTCCTCACATAAATATTTGAGAAGTGTATTTTAAACCAGATAAATGTCAAACTCAGAACCTTGTATCACAAGATTCTGTGATTTTGAAATACTTTTATCAACTGAAATTTGTTGATTCTATATTTTGAGTACATTTTAGATTATGAGTATAAAAAAGAGAAATTAAAGTAAGTGTGGAGTGATACTATAGCCTACATTATTTTAAAGATAAGTTCATTTTGTAAAGGCCTGCTTGCATACATTTAGGTTGTTATATTTATAATTCCTAGAATAGTTTTTATTCCATTAGGAAGAAGTTATAGTGGCAGTATGAAAATAAAATTAGTTTACTATTATAAATATGGTTTACTTCTAAAATTATGGTGGAAAATGCTTCAAGAGAGCGGAATAGGGTTGACAGAGACAGAACTTTATGGTTGTAAAACTTTTAATGAACTTTCAGACCCTGATTATAATTTTTTAAAAATATAGCTGATCTGGAGATTTTGTAGAAATGTAATCTGTCAGTTTTTAATCTTTCCCATACTCCCAATTTTTTCTTCAGAATTGACAGATCTTTTCTGATTAATGTGCAGAACAGAGAGTTAAAATTCAAGCAATCTATATTTTAAGACTGTATTGGAAGTTGGATGAATAAAAATGACAATGGAAAACAGAACCTAAAGTTTTTCAATTTTCCTATGAGAAAAAAATGTAAAATTAAGATTGCATTTAGGAAAAAAATATATAACATATATGGAACTTTAAAAGTTGAGAAAGGATGCTACTCTGTAAATGTTGCCCCTAGAATTGTTCAGTATCCAAACGCACACCTTATATGGCAGTTGTGATCATGGGAAACATGGCTTAAATTCCTACAAAAAATTAATCATTCTTATTAAAATTGAATCTTTTATAGTAATTGCCTTGGTAGACTTAGCACTTAATATAATGTAAAAAAGATAGTCTTACAAAACAAATTTCTCAGTAGAAATTCCTTTAAGAATCAGTTGATAGAGGGTGGAGCCAAAATGGCTGACTAGAAGCAGTAGTGTTCGGAGGCTTCCATTGAAAAAAACCCACAATAATCATGTGAATCCTTCACTGGCAACCAGGGTATCCAGGTTCTCTCATCAAAATTGACTGGAAGGCTGGCATGACACACAGAAAGAAGGAAGAACAGTGTAGTGCAGTGGCCTACTTGAGAATCATATGGGGGTAGGGGAACCCCCTCCCCTAAGACAAGGGAGGCAGTGAGTGAGTGTGCTATACAGCTAGGGAAACTGCTTTTTTCACGGAACTGTGCAACCCATGGATAGGAAGATCCCACTTGCGAACCCATGCCACTGGGGCCTAGAGTCCCAACCCTGGAATATGTATATTCTTACAGCCTTTCTGTGGGAATCTGCTGAAGCCTACCGAACCCCTTGCGGGAGGGGTGACCAGCACGGTGGCTGCGGCTGCCTGCTGTCTAAGCCCTTTGAGCTCCTTAGGGGAAGGGCAGCAGCCAGCACTGCGACTTGCAACTGCCTAACACACTAAGCTCCCAGGGCAGGGGAAGAGTGGCACCCATCTGTGTAGCTCCAGGCTGCACTTTTACCTGCTGGAGCCAGGGAGGTTGGACGGCTTGGTCCCAAGACTTGTCCCCACAGCCCAACACACCTGCTGTAGTAGTCTGCAGCCAGAGTGCCTCTTCAGGCCTGACCTTGACCTATCTTTTGTCATTGGGCAGGGCTTCCCTATAGGAACTCCTATAACTCCAGCCAGAGGCTCAGGGATAGAATCTGGATCTCCCTGGGCCTGAGCCCCTAGGAAGGAGGGGTGGCCACAGTCTCTGTGGACCAACAGACTTAGCATCTCCTCATGGTAGTTCTGAGGAATCCAGGCAGCCCAAATGAGTGAGTTTCCCCCCCAGCGAAGCACATTCCCTCTGCCAAGGGACAAAGTGCTTCATTATGTGGGTCCTGTTCCCCATGCCACCCAACTGGATGAGACCCTCCAACAGGGGTTGTCAGACACTGGAAAGTACATACATTGCTATTTGTTTTTTGTAAACTATCGCTGTCTCATGTAGAAAGCTATCTTATTAACTATGTGTTGTATTCTATGAACACTGGATCTTGATACCATTATGTCCAAGATAACTTCTTTGGCAATCATGAAAGTCTTCCTTCATGTAAGAAGGGAAAATAAGTCCTAAAGGATGACTAACTGCCTATAATTTATTGAGAATTATATACACCATATTTAACAGCTAAGTTAATACAATTTCTAAAACACATAAAATATACCTGGGGATATGTTATGAACCTAAAACTAATTTTTCAATCTTTCCTAACTAGATTCTGTCATATTACAGGCTCATCGTGGTATTTTTGTTTTCATTAATTAGTTATTATAAATGGACAAATAAAAATCATACATCTTCTTATGCACAGCATGATGTTTCGATATCTATGTATACATTGTGGAATGGTTAACAAGGTAATTAATACATGCATGACATCATATATTTATCCTTAGTGATTTTCAAGAACATAATACATTGTTATTAGCTATAGTAACTATGTTTTATACTAGATCTCTTGAACTTATTTCTTTTAACTGAAATGTTTTATATATATGTAACGTATATATTTTAAAAATAGATTTTCTATATATATGATTGTATTTGTTAGTCTTCATACTGCTGTAAAGAATTATCTGAGACTGGTAATTTTTTATTTTTTTTTATTTTTTGAGATAGGGTCTCACTCTGTCACCCAGGCTGGAGTGCAGTGGTGTGATCTCGGCTCACTTCAACCTCTGCCTCCCCGGTTTAAGTGATTCTCCTGCCTCAGCCTCCTGAGTAGCTGTGACTACCGGTGTGTGCCACGATGCCCGGCTAATTTTTTTGTAATTTTTGTAGAGATGGGGTTTTGTCATGTTTCCCAGGCTGGTCTCAAACTCCTGAGCACAATAGATCCTCCTGCCTCAGCCTCCCAAAGTGCTGGGATTACAGGTGTGAACCACTGTGCCCGGCCTGAAACTGGGTAATTTATAAAGAAAGGAGGTTTAATTGACTCACAGTTCTGCATGGCTGTGGAGGCCTAAGGAAACTTACAATCACAGCAGAAGGTGAAGGAGAAGCCAGCAACTTCTTCAAAAGGCAGCAAGAAAGACAGAGAATGAGGGGGAAACTGCTAAACACTGTTAAATCATCAGATTTCATGAGAACTCACTCACTGTAATGAGAAGAGCATGAGGGAAGCTGCCCACTTGATCCAATCCCCTCCCACCAGTTTCTTCCCTCAACACGTGGGGATTACAATTCAAGATGAGATTTGGGTGGCGACACACAGCCAAACCATGTCAATGATCATGTCATCTGCAGAGAGAAACAATTTAACTTTCCCGATTTGGAATGACTTTTTTTTTTATCTTAATAAAGATGTCTTAATTGCTCCGATGAGGATTTTCAGTAAGATGTTGAAAAGAAGTGACAAGAGTGGACATTCTTGCCTTGTTCTTGATCTTAGAAGAAAAGTTTTCAATTTTTCATCATTGAGTATGATAGCTGTAGGTTTGTCATATATGAGCTTCATTGTGTTGAGGTACATTTATTCTATACCTAATTTGTTGAGACCTTTTATCATGAAAGAATGTTAAATTTTGTCTAATGCTTTCCATATTAAGATGATTATATGGTGTTTCTTCTTCATTCTGCTAAAGTGGTTTTTCGCATTTATAGATTTACTTATGTTGAACCATGCTTGTATGCCTGGAATAAACCCTACTTAATCGTGGTGAATGGTCTTTTAATATGTTGTTGAATTCAGTTTGCTGTATTTTATTAGAGATTTCTGCATCTATGTTCTTCAGGTATATTGGCCTGTAATTTTCTTTTCTTGTAATGTCCTTGTCTGACTTTGGTATTAGAGTAATGCTGGTCTCATATAGTGAGTTTGTAAATATTTGATAATCTATAATTTTTTTGGAAGAGAAGGATTGGTATTAGATCTTCTTTACATGTTGGAAGATTTCAGAAATAAAGCTATCGGGTACTGAGTTTCCTTTGATGGGAGACTTTTTATTACTAATTCATTCTCTTTAGTTATTATTGATTTATTCAGATTTTTCTTTTCTCATTCAGTCTCGGCAGCTTGTATGTGCTTCAGGATTTTTTCTAGGTTATCCAATTTGTCCATGTATAATTGTTCATAGTAGTTTCATAATCTTTTGTATTTCTGCGTTATGAGGGGTGGTATCTCCTCTATCATTTTAGATTTTATTTATTTGAGTCTTCTCTTTTTTTTCTTAGTCTAGCTAAAGTTTTTCAATGGTGTTTATCTTTTCAAAAACCCATCTCGGGCCGGGTGTGGTGGCTCACGCCTGTAATCCCAGCACTTTGGGAGGCCAAGGCGGGCAGATCACGAGGTCAGGAGATCCAGACCATCCTGGCTAACATGGTGAAATCCCGTCTCTACTAAAAATACAAAAAATTAGCCGGGCGTGGTGGCGGGCGCCTGTAGTCCCAGCTACTCAGGAGGCTGAGGCAGGAGAATGGCGTGAACCTGGGAGGCGGAGGTTGCGGTGAGCCGAGATCGTGCCACTGCACTCCAGCTCCGTCTCAAAAAACAAAACAAAACAAAAAACCATCTTGTAGTTTCATTGATTTCTTTCTGTTGTTTTTCTAATCTCTATTTCAATTCTTTTATTCAGATCTTTACTATTTCCTTCCTTCTACTAATTTTGGGTTTAGTTTGTTCTTCTTTTTCCAGTTTCTTGAGGGATAACCATTAGGTTATTTATTTGAGATGCTTCTTTCTTTTATGTAGACATTTATTGCTATAGGCTTTCCTGAAATAACTGCCTTTGCTGTATCCCATAAGTTTGGATATGTTTAGTTTTCCATTTAATTTCTTATTTGACTCTTTGGGCGATTGGAGAATGTTCTTTAATTTCCATGTATTTGTGAATGTTTAAAAATTTGTCCTGTTACTGATTTTTAGTTTCATACCATTGTGATCAGAAAAGATATTTGATATGATTTTGATCTTTTTAAATTTGTTAAGACAAGTTTTGTGGCCTAACATATGGTCTATTCTGGAGAATGTGCTGTGTGCACTTGTAAAGAATGTGTACACTACTGCTGTTGGAAGAAATGTTCTATATATGTCTGTTAGGTCTATTTTGTCTGAAGTGTAGTGTATCTCCAATATTTCCTTACTGATTTTCTTTCTGCATGATCCATCCATTGCTGAAATGAAGTATTGAAATTTCTTGTTTTATTGTATTGCCATCTGTTTCTCCCTACAGATCTATTAATATTTACTTTAAGTATTTAAGTGCTCCAATGTCAGGTGCATATATATATATATATATAATCTTTATATTTTCTGATGAATTGACATCATTATCAGTATATATTGACCTACTTTGTCTCTTTTTGTAGATTTTGACTTAAAAATTGATTTTCTCTAATATACATATAGCTATATCTGCCATCTGCTTTTTTGGGGAGTTCCATTTGCATGGAATATCTTTTTCTATTTCTTCTTTTTGTGAGACAGAGTCCCACTCTGTCACCCAGGCTGGAGTGCAGTGGCATGATCTCAGCTCACTGAAACCTCCACATTCTGGGTTCAAGCAATTCTCCTGCCTCAGCATCCTGGGTAGCTGAGAATAGAGGTGCGCATCACTATGCCTGGCTAATTTTTTTGTTGTTGTTGTATTTTTAGTAGGGATTGGGTTTCACCACGTTGGCCAGGCTGGTCTCAAACTCCTGGCCTCAAGCAATCCACTGGCCTCAGCCTCCAAAACTGCTGGGATTACAGGCATGAGCCACTGTGCCCGGCCTCTTTTTATATTTCTTCCCTCTCAATTTCTATATTTCCCTAAAGGTAAATGAGTCTCTTATAGGCAGCACATAGTTAGTCTTGTGTTTTTCCTTTTTTATCTGCTTAGCCACTCTGTGACTTTTGATTGGAGAATTTAATCCATTTATATTAACAGTAACTATGGTCACATACTGCACAATGACATTTTCATCAACAACAAGCCATATATACAATGGTGATCTCATAAAATTGTAATATATTTATACTGTACCTTTCCTATGTTTAGGTATGTTTAGATACACAAATACTTACTATTGTGTCACAATTGCCTATAGTGTTTAGTATGTTAACATGCTGCACAGGTTTGTAGCCTATGAGACATAGTTGTACTGTATAGCTTAGGTGTGTGGTAGGCTAAACCATCTAGGTTTGTGTAAGTACACTCTATGATGTTTGCACAACAACAAAATCACCTAAGGATATATTTCTTTGAATGTATCTCCATTGTTAAGCATTATATGATTGTATTAAAATTCTGACCGATAAAGAGTTATTATTGCCATTTTGTTGATTGATTTCTGGTTGTTTTGTAGATATTTATTTTTCCCCCTTTCTTGTTGTCTTCCATTTTTACTGATGATTTTCTCTAGTGGTGCTTTGAATCATTATATTTTAATATTTTTAGATATCTTTCGTGTATCTGTGGATTTTTGCTTTGTGGTTACCATAAAGATCACACAAAACATTTTAGTTATAATGAGCTATTGTAAGCTGATAATAACATAACTTTGAATGCATTAAAAACAACACTTTCACTCCATTCCACTCCTATATTTTATATTTTGATGTCACAGTTTACATCTTTTTATACTGTGTATTTCTTAACAAATTATTATAGCTATTATTATTTTAAATAGTTTTATCTTTTCACCTTGATACTCATCATACCATTTAATGTCCAGCCATTGCGAAATATTATTTCAACACACCAAAGCTTAGAGTAACATTCATAAACAATTCTTTGTCCTTTGGCAAAGAAATACACAAAGTTCATCTTCACCAAATACTTAAATGTCTTATCCTCAGAGCATGCCATTCTTCTAATTACTGGGCATAGACTGGAAAGCAATAAACTGACAAAATACCTACCATTGAGAGTGAGTTTTTTTGCAAACACAGACAACAAGTTGTGGGCATGCTTTCTTCACTGTCTTTCCTCCTTTCATGAATAGGATGTAAGAGGATTCTAAGGCTGTAGGTCACAGTGGAACCACAAATGGATTCCACAAGAAGGAATACAGTCTTTCAATTAACATACAGATGAAACCTACCTGCCAACAGAAGGTGCCCATCATGGATAGTTTATAAAGGAGAAATAAATTTCTATTGCTTTAGGACCACTAAATTCAGTGTGCATTTGTTTTAGCAAGCTAGTGATGCATTTTATCCTTCTCCAATGTTGATATTCCAATATAAACTTAGATAAAAATTTGACATCTTTTTTTATTCCTGATGAGAGAGTTCAAATTCGTACTTTGTCTTGCTAGTTTGAATACTTCTAATCCTATAGAAGTAAAGCTACATAAAGAAAAACTGTCAAAATTTCTACATTTCAGTTTCTCTTGTATATCACCTTCATTCATACTCTCAAGGGAGATGCTTAATATTCTACTCTTCACCATTGACTGAAAAGGGATTCTCTCACTTATCTCCACTCTAACAGAATATTGTTAAGAAAAGGGCATTTTTAGACTCAATTTAATGATTTGTGAACAATTAAATGAAAAGTAATGGAAAGATTGAAGCAGCAAATGTTATGTTCTGAGAAGCAGATCAGCTTACTGAGAAACAATTTTTCTGTATCCTCAGTAGTTATAAATATTGGGCAACTTTCTTAACTTTGGTTCTTATTTTTTTTCCTTTTTATAGTGAAGTTTTAAGTATAGATTAGTGATTTTCAACATTATTTCTATGCCTTATTTTGCATGTATATATTATACATATATTAGCTATGTAGATATCTATTAGAATATGTCTCAACACATTTATATTTCTTATGTATCTGGAGTATACAAATACTCTATGTCTGTTTATGAATATTGGGGATCACATAGGGAAGAAGTTGGTGAAAGAGAAAGTGATATGTATTTTATAACCCCGCTTTCTCTTTTCCTGAAATGTTTAAACTCCCTCCACGACTAAATTATAATCTTGAAAAAGAGAACATGTTAAAATGCATTGTATTTGTAAAATCTTAATCTTGCATGGAGAAAAATTCTGAAGGTAAGTGGAAATGCATCAGATTCTGTCCTTCATCTGTTTGCACTAGGGATTAAACAATTACAGCAAAATAGGTTAGGGATTCATAAATCTTCCTACAGACTTTTTTTCTTTTTCTATCTTTCATGAGTTACTCCCTTTGTTTTCTTCTGGCCTACATACTTTTTAAGGCTTTGGTAAGTACTGGATTTCCCTTTTGGTACTTAAAATTTCAGCAACTCGAATTCTCAAAAGCACTGTACCAGTCAGTCTTGGCTTTATAAATTCTGTCAAGATGGTGCAATGATCAGAACTGTTTGCTAACAATTTCATTAAGAACAGATGACTCAGAAGCACAGATGTAAAAACATTTTCTCCAACTTTATATCATGAAAAAATAGGTTATTTGATGGGTTCCAAAACTGGGTTCAGATAACACTCCTTTGAAATGAGTTTGGAATGTCACAATGGAATCTGCAGGCTTCTCCCAACAAAAGAGTTTTCTAAGTTATCCCAAAGTAACTCCATCCTTTACTTTTTCTAGGAGAAAGGATTCCCGTCCCTTCTGTCTCCAAAATTCTTTTCTTAAACAGGTTATAGTAGAGTAATTATATCAGAAAATGCTATCCCATAAAAATCAATTTTGTAAACATTTTTACAAAAGTCCTCTAAAGGGTAAACAAATAATAAGCCTCCTCCACTTTACAGATGCTAATAATCTAAATTCATATTTAAGTACAGTAAATTGAGGCCCCAAATTGAGGCTTTTGTACTGATATGCTGACACAATCTTAAACCATTTCAATGAGAATTATCTAATCCTATCTTTAAGTTATCAAAGCAATCAAGGTAATGATAAAAATAATGTATATTGCTTAAAATCTAATAATATGTAATAGAAAAATCATAATTATTTTTCTTATAAAAATTCAAAGTAGGTGATGATTTTTTTCTCAACCATTATCTATTTATGTAACTATTATATACTTTGAATTACTAACAAATTATTAGTAGATGTTTGTGAACCCGAACATTCACTGGACTCTCATAAATTTAAAAGTCACTTATAACAGGGAAGATATATGCAAATAATTTGTTATGCTTTTTATAATATCAATTAAATATAAGAATTTGTTCTAGTGATTCTTATAAGAATAATTCATTATTTAGTATAATTGTTTTAGGATAGAGTATGAAGAGAAGAAAACACTCCTTTGGAAATACATAACAGAATTATCTTTCTTCCCTGGTCTTTTTACAACCAAGCCCTAACATGGTAAAGTCTGGTGTAATGATTAGCATCCCAGAAGAGATTTAAATCTCAACTTTATTTTTATCCTCATTATCTCTGAGTTCTACTACTGTTTGGGGACATGCTCTGTAATGAGCATGAGCATATTTTACTCAAAGGAGTATACATCCTCTCTTCTTTCTAGAGGATTTGAAATTGTTCTTATCAATTGGGGCTCAGGGATTCTTCCTTTAAGTACCCCCTCCGCCATGCAAAAAAATGGAAGAATGTACTACATCAATGCTTTAAACTATTTGCAGAGAAGAAAAGGGTAGGAAACTCATGGTCCTGAGGTTGTTGGGAATCACTCTAACTCACCTGAATGACTTTTCTATTCTTTATTGTTTCCTTTGCCCTTCCCTAACTTCCACTGTCTTTTCTTCTGTTTCCGTGTTTGTAGCATGAATAAAAAGCACGTATCTTTCTTTTTTCTCAGTCTGGACATTTCTCAATTTAATGTTTTGTATGTTTTGAATGATCTAGCTTCCCTGAATGACTGTAACCCCCACAAAGGCAGAGAACACACAAGCCTATGTAGCTTATAGCATGTGGTAGAAACTCAATAGATGTGTTCAATGAATTATTGAGGTAGGCAGTTATCAAGTTGTAATTACAAACTATACCTGGGTAAGAGTTTGGTTCCCTCTTATTACACATGTCTGACATTACATCCAAGGTTTTAGTTCATTTGGATTAGAATGTGTTCCCGTCTTTCAGATGCTATTTTATCAGAAAAATTTCTCAGGGAATTGTTTAGACATTTAGGTAAAATTTCTGACATTGACTGTATTGAACAGCCACTTGAGGACAAAAGGTGTGAAATCCAATGTAAGTGCTCATTATTGATGAGGAAATTGAAAAAAAGGTAGAAGTAGGTACCAGGAGAAAAGGACATTGCTCCAGCAGAACAAGAAAAGCAACAAGCATCAAAGTAAACATACCTACTGCTCACTTCTTCAATAGACTGCCACAGGTCTTCCAGAAGATCTGGATACATGATTTGGCTACTCTATGATTCATTCAAATCTAAAGAAGCAATTAAAATAATTCATCAGTTATTTTCCAAGGTCATTTATAGACCCTAGAAAATCTGTTAAAACTACATATGAGTTTTCTTTATTCCTCTTCCAAAATAGAATACTTTCCATTCCAGCAGTATGACTTTTTTTAGCAAATTGATTAACTTTTCTGAATCTCAGCTGTAAAATGAGCAAATATGTTTAATAATATGAAGTATCTCAAAAGTTATTATAATGAGTAAGTTAGATAATAATTTAAAGTACCTGAACATGGCTATACTAGGAACCAGATAAATGTCAGTTATTATTATGATTAATATTAATTTTATCAACATTATGTTTGTTAAAAAATTATATTATAACCATAAATTAAAGAGAAATTTCGAGTTTAAAAAGTCTCCCTTTATATGACCTAAATGGTAGGTTAATACAGTATAAATGATTTGTCTAGTAGGGTGGCTGAGTCATTCAGAATATGAAGAACATAGTTCAGGGTCAAAGTCAAGGGACTTATTGAGAAGAGAGAGAATGCAATTGAAAGTATTAAAGACATTATTTTCCTATTTTATAACTGAGCCCTGCCTGGCCTTACCATCAGGAAAAGACTCTGGAATAAAACCCACTAACTATCATGCTAGTAAAATGTACAATGGAGGTAGTTCATTCAAGGCAAAGAAAATGAAGACAAATTTATTTAAGCCTTTAGAATTTAATATTTTTATCAAAACTTTTCAAAAGCTTGAGGTATGACGTCTGTGTTGGCTGTCATTCCAGTTTCTTGCTAAGTAGGCCTATACGAACAGTAGATACTGTGAAAATCACAATATTTTGAAAAGAAAATGGAATGAGTGAATCAGAAAACATATTTGGGAGGCAGAGTATGGGGAATACAGCACAATTATGATGAAATGTATTTTTAATTTCAAAATAGTTGCTAAGGGTGAAAAAGCTCTCAGAGATGTGGGAAGCTACTTTGAAAAGCATGAGTTTAAGAAGAAATTTGTGTGAATATCAGGGCAAAAAAAATCTTTAATACCATGTCAAATAGTGAGAAGAATTGACTGGGTAATATACAACAGATTAAGGAGATACAAGAAATGAAATATTCATTGACATATACTAGACAATGATCATGAAATTATCCCATCTCGAATTTGGAGTAGTTATATTCCAGAATAATTGCTAATCCATAAGACTGCTGTTGGGATTTATGATCTGTCAGTCAGAGTATTGACATAACTTTCTTCAGAAAACTTAATGTAAACTTGAGGGGGAAAAGGGTATTGAATTTTCTGACAAATAAGTGATGATTTACATTGTTTTAAGGCTCTCTAGTTCATTATAAAATGATTGTGCTCAGGGAGTAAAAGAAGGCAAACATGAAGGAATTCAGGCATTAACTACAGTAAAACAAATACAATGTTCTTGGTATCTATGCTGTCTTTAAAAATGAGTTTCTCCTTTTCTATCTACTCCTGTAAAGGCAGATCTTCTACATATTTGAAAACCCATTGTCATGGCGTAATTCTTCCATTATTTAACCTTCAAAAATGTGTGTACTGTCATTTCTAAAACCAGTATTAAAATGCCTAACCCAGAGGGGTACAATGGGAATTAAATGCTATAATTTGTTTCAAGATCTTAAATAGCACGTTCTTCCAGCACTTAGTTTCTAATCTTTTCATCATGAACTTATATAATTATATACAATTTTATTCTCCTATTATTTTATATATGCAAGTTGCTTGTTAAATCTTATCTTGTTGAGGTTCTGATTTTTGTCTTTTATTTATCTATTATGACATAGAAGGCTTGTTAGCTTGTTATCCCATTTATTTTGTGAGGGAATTCTGGTACTCTTTTGTTTATACTGTTTATTCAGCAGATTATTCAAAACTATCGAGTGCTGTTAGAGAAAAAAGTATACAGATCTCGAAAATTAGGCTAAAAGATCAATTGGGTATTTTTTCAGGTTCTAAGGAGACAAACCCAGTTAAGGATAACCTAAGGGGATATGCTTTGCTCTCATTATTCTTTACAGTTGCCTAAAAGTACATTTAGAAAAATTATATTTTAACACATAGATTTTTGTCTATAATGATGCTAGTACTTTCTGTACAGTAGAAAATATAACTACAAAGGTTTCATTTTATTGCCCCAGAGGAGATTAACCAGTTTTCGGTTTTTCTTTTTAATCTCGCCTGGTAATTTTGTTACAAAATTTATTTGTAAATTCCCTATAAATATCTAGATCTTCAAATACTTTTTGAACCAGGATAAACATTTTATTGCTTCACTTATTAATTAGTGAAATGAATAAAATATTTAATATAGATTTTGCTTATTTTTATGAAAGTCATTAGTATTTGACTCTTTGTAAGTTGTACTTTTCCAGTGTTGTGGGCCCAAGGTTGGGGTAGGTATAGGTTTTTTGTGAGCTGATATCACCATATATGAATAAATGTAGAATATTATTCTACTAGGATTAAAACCATCAAGGGGTTCAGCATTTCTACAAGCATTTTCTTTTAATACCATTTACAATAATAGCAAAGAAGGGTTAACTAAACTGTACTCTATTTCTTCTGTCCCAGGTTCTCTGTCTGATCTTTTCATGCTATTTAAAAGTCGTCTACACATAGATTCAATATTAAGTCATTTTTTTGTGAATTTCAGGAAGATTGATATAATCTTGTAATAACACATTTACATTGATAAAACATAGCAGAGTTTATTTTCCTCACAAAACGTATTGCCACTTTAATTTACTTTCCACAAGGTAAGTTTATTTTTATCCTTAGGAAAAAACCATATTTTTAACTCAGAGAATTCTAGTACTCAACCAGAAACAATTATTCCTGATTAACTACCTTCCCATACTTTGACTTCCATAACTAAGTGTATTACTTACATTCACATTCAAAGATTATTGAGTTTTCTCCATTTGTAAAAATTATGTTTTTTTAAAAAAGGTTAACCACTTTTATAATACTATTGAGACATTTAACCCCTTGAGCTATTAAATTCCATTGTACAGTGAATAAAATATTTTGGATAGACAAATGGCTAAACCGGTTAATTTCCGAATGTCCCTTTCAGAGTTGGTAATGTCATCCGTTAAGTCAGCCACTGCAATATAACACAAGTGCTCATCTTAACTCTATTTTCTGAATTGTTTATTGATAAAACAATTATTTGAGACCATTTTTAATATACCTTCTTCTAATCCCTCCATATTAAATAAAAGCATCAAATATACATTATTATATTTAACATAGATCTAAAATACAGACCCAGTAAAACTGTTCTTAGTTTCCTAGTAAATGGAGACCTCTAAGGGACTTATTTTCTATGGCTATAATTTCACAGATGTGATGGATTGCCTTTGTTCATAATAAACATAATTTAATAGTGCTAATTATATGTTTGCAGTTGTAACAGAGAGATATTTAAATTGGGATGAGAGAGAAAAGGGGAAGAGTTGAGTGAAGTGTAAACCTAGTGGCAGATAGTCGTGATATGTTGTTTGATAATTTCTTGGGAGGACATTGGGGCCTCTTGAACCTGTTCCAGTATGTTTTAACCAAATAGAGTTAATATGAGCAATTGTGCGGTACTGCGGCGGCTGACTCAAAGTATGACATTACCAAATCTGAAAGGGGTTAATCGTGAAATTAAACGGCTTAGTTATTTGTGTCTGTGTGCATTTTTGGAGAGAAAAAATAAACAGGTATGTGATGAACAGCTATGTGATAAGTAGTGATTATAATTATTTAGTAATTATAAATCTACTAGGACCAATGCAACATGCACATTAGAAAAGTGATTTGATATAATAGAAGAGTAGGTAATAACACCTCAATATCCATTCCCCCATTCAACAAAAGAGTTACATACATATGTCAACACTCATTCATTCATTAAGTAAACACGTACTAAGTGAATATAATGTAGTAGGCATTGCTTACTGATAAGAAACTGAGTTGCTTATTAAGCTGACACATTAGTAGAAAGGATAGATAATCACACATGAAACTATAGTGAAATATAAAGATTGTCATAATAAGAGCAAATCATGGGAACATGAAGCTGTACTGGGGGATCTTAACACAATAATGAAGTCCAGGGAAGACCAGACCTCCATGGTGAGAAGAGTTACCCTGGTAGTTGAAGCACATAAAGGATGAATTCAGGAAAAGAGAAGGAAATATATTCTAGAAAGAAAGAAAACAGAAAGTGAAATTGTGCAGAAACGTTTTTACTCACTATTACAGTGAACATTTGGAATAGACAATAGAGATAGAGGTAGAAAACAGCAAGTGAAATTGTTCAGAAATTGTTTTTTTTTTCTCATTAGTACAGTGGACATTTGAAACACAGGCTAGAGAGAAAATCAAGACTAGATTGTTAGGAAATCTTGAAGGTCATATTCATGTATTAGGATTTTATCTACTATCATTGGAAGGTGTTAATCATGCAGTAATATGTTCATATTCATGTCAGAAAGGCCTTTCTCCTAAAATTACGGAGAATGAACTCAGTGGAAGCAAGAATAAAGGTGAAAATTAGAAAATTAGGAGGTTATCGCAGCAGTACATAAAAGAAACAGTAAGGGTAAAAGTGAAATTAATAGAGTGGGAGGGGGGATTTGAGATATAATTGCATGCCAAAATGACAAGACTTAGTTGTTCACTGAATGTGGATGATAAAGGAGAAGAAGGAGATAAGGATTATATTCAGATTTTTTAGTTTGATAACTGAAAGGAAGGTTGTATTATTGAAAATGCAAGCAGGTTCAGTGGGACTAATGAAAAGTAAGTTCAGTACTATAGGTATTGAACTTGAGCTATTACAAGATATCCACTTGATATGAGCAGGAAAAAAATAAATAAAATAAATATTTTATTTCTTTTAAGAAAAATTCTGGGCAAGAGAGTGATTTTGGAGACAACCTGTAATTTAAACTATGGAAGTGAATTAAATTGACCAGATGGAGTATACAGGCCTGAAGAATATTCTGATTTAATTACAAGTAAGAAAATAATGAGATAATGTAAAATGAGAAGGAGAACATAAGTAGTGTGGTTTCATGAAAGTGAAAGAGGATTCAAGGGAAGTTTTCTAGAGTGTCAAATGTTGCCTAAGGGAAACATTGTAGTGATGAGAACTGTCCATGGTAATGGTGTATGGTTGAAATGATAAGAGGAATTTAGCGTATGGTAATGTAAAAATAAAAGTCATAGTGAATTTAGTAATGAATAGGAAGTTGAGAAAGCAAAAACAGTAAGTATAAACAACATACCTTAAAACAATTTGGCTGTAAAAAATAAGAAGTGGCACTATGGTGTCCAGAAGACACAAAGAAACTGAGTTTTAAAAACTGCTTAAAATTCATGCAAATGGGTGGCATAACCAGGTCTGTTTAATAACCAAGTCCTTCCATGAATTCACTTAGTCCATGCTATCACCCTTGTGATAGTTAATAATATAATTACCCTCAGATTAGAAATCTAGCTATTCAGAGGGAACCCCACACAGGATGATATTTTTGTCTTTGATTAACTAAAAATATCTTGAGAATTTGGCACATAGTAGGTATTTATAAATGTTTCTTGAATTAATTAAATAAATTGGCCAAGATCTTGCATCCAACAAGCAACGAGACCAGATTGCTTCCTCACATCCTTTTGCTTTGCTATGACTATCTACCAGTCCCACAATGGAAATTCTTGAAAAATGTTAATTTTTAAAAAATATGAATAATGATAAAAAGAAGAGGAATATAAATTGAGAAAATTATACTATCTAGGCAAGTCAGAGAAAATGACACATCTCATATATGCAGGGCAGGGAACCCTAAGCATTTGTATGGGGGAACATTGATGTCTTGATGTCTTTATTAATCTAGCAATTACTCATCTTGCTGGAAACAAGGCTCCCAGATGAATTATCTGAAAGCAAGTGGAACTTGCATAATCAAGAATTTTTGACTTTAAATTGAAGAAATTGTGATCTGGAAATAAGTCAGAAAAAATAAAAACATAAAGTTTTACTGGCACTCTCTTTCCTTAATAGTCCTAGAGACTCAAGTTTGTCTTATCTCTTTGACAAGTCATAATTGTAATAAATGAGAAAATGTAACAGTCAACTGTCACAGCTAAATTTTCCTTAGTCAACTTTTATGTGTCAAAGATTATTCTCTGAAATCTGTCAGGGTCTGGCAAATATTGTATCTTCTCTCTAAATGTCCGTGTGTGTGAGTGTGTGTGTGTGTTTTTTAGTTGTCAAATGTGAACAGTGTTCTAACATTACGTAATGCGTAAATGTTCATGCTTAAGGCTATGTCTGAAATACAGTGTTCTATCCTTTTGATAACATACCCATACACGTTGTAGGTATTCTCAAATGCCTCCCTCACCAAATTATCTAAAACTGTATTTCTTGGCAATCTCTGTCTCCCCAAATGCTGAGGAGATCCCTATACTTAACTACATTAATTGTGTTTCAAGGTACCAAAAAGCAGTTAAGCCCATTGTTTGCACAGTATTTGGATGATCTCATTAGTAAGAGGGGAGGGTTAGAATGGAGGGAACAGAACTTTCATTTTGTTCTTTAAGTAATTTTTGGTTTGACTTTATGTATTATATATTTACTTGTTTGTTTATCGTTAGTGTTCCAATTAGACTGCAAATCCTTGAGAAGTAGGCACGTTTCCTCTTTCTTATGCACTTCTAGGTGTTTCACTAATCTTTTCAAGCCAATTTTTGTCATTATTATGTTAATTGTGATCCAAGGTGAGAATCAGGAACACCAGGATTGAAAAGTAAATTTAGGATCTAGTCAAAATTTACTTCTACTTAAATGAGAATTTAGTATCCATACCTTCAGCTAAAATGTACTAATCCCTCCATTCCAGCCCTCCCCTGTTACTAATGAGATCATCCAAATGCTCTGCAAACAGTGGACTTACTGCTTTTTGGCACTTGAAACACACTCAGTGTAGTTATATATAGGGTTCTACTCAGTCATATTAATGTCCCTTGTGCTTATTCGGAGACAACTGAGGATCAAGCCCAGGTATTATACATCACTGGCTGGGAGTACATAGTATAGTGTTGGGCATGTTATGTGTAGTTAAGAAATATTGCTTGAACTAATGAGCTCTGGCTGGTTTGTGATTATCAAACTATGAAGATATAGTAAATAATAATGACCCATCACCTACTGAGGACCCATTATGTTTGAGGCACACAAGTGTTTAAAATGGATTTTATGATTTTCTGCTCATAATAACCATACAAGAGTGAAAATATTGTCATCATTTGTAAACTAGAAATGTTATTTTGAGAAGTTAAGTACCCACTGTGTAAAATAATTTGGTAGCATCAGGTCAAATTAAACATATACCTATCTCTTAGACTATAAATTCCATTCTTAAGTAAATACCAAACAATCATGTGCAACCCAAGATATATATATATATATATATATATATGACTATTCACATCACCATTGTTATCAAGAACCCTCAAATGGAAACAATTCAAATATACATTATTGGTAGAATAGAAAAAAGCTCCTGATCTATTCAGGCAATGGAATAGTAAATATAACAATGAGAATAAATACATTGCAACTACACACAACAACATGGATGACTCACAAAAGTTGATGTTGAGCAGCAGAAACCAGAAGCAAATGCACATTTGGTGAGTCCATTCAAATAAAGTACAAGACAGGCAAAATTAATCTAGATAGTTACAAGTTAACACAATGGCTACTCATGAAAGGTATAGTGACTCCCCATAGTCACTAACTACATAAGCATATTTTTTGAGTAACAGTTATTGACCAAATGGTAAAATCAGAGTGGCCATGTATTTTATACAAGTGTGGTAGGCTGAATAATGGCTTCTCAAGGTATCCAAATTCTACCTTCAAACTTCGTTAAGTGGATGGGACCATGGGGAGAAGGGTGCTCCCGAAATGCTCATTTGCTGGATGAGCTGGATGATGCTGTTCTTGTATGATTCCAGGTTAAGATTGGACAAAAGAGAAACTTGAGCTCAATAAGTAGTCATTATTTTTGGAAAATTACCACAGTTAATATGGTGATAGACAGGCATAGTAGTGCCCTAAGGTCTAGATAATCTTTTCTCTCATCTCCTCTACATCCAGCTCACCTTTCTAATTACTAGCTCTAATGACCAACAGAGACCCCAGGCCTACCACTAGATACATGGCTACACATCACAGCAGATGTTGCATTGGAGCAACAGCATATCATAAACCTCTTTATAAGTCCCCGATTCCATATTTTGCTTTGGCAGTAGAAGGTTTTGGAACTTCTTATTTCCCAGCAAACCCTGAGTTGTCTATTCTCACTAGAAACTCTATGATCACCTGACTTTTCACTACATATTTTCACTTCCCAAACTCTTCCCATGTACCTGTGAAGTATACTCTCAGAATAAATTCTTTTTACATAGTTATTATACTGAGTCTACTTCCTTGACTGATACCTGACTGATTCATTGATAACATTCTATTTATTGACTTGAGCGTTTGTTCCAAAATGTGTCCCTTTTTGAGAGAAATCATTAAGCCCTATATTTATGATTTTTGTTCTTTTTGAATTATGTCATACACTGGAGTTAAATGCTTACTTATAAAAGTCCTTTTAGGAATGATCATGAATGATTATGTTATATCAGACCAAATTCAATTTATTCTTACAACAGATATGCACAAACTATATATTCTTTCAGAGGAATAGTTCTGTTTGCCTTTTTATCTATGATAGCTATGTATCATCTATCAAAAATTCTAAAAAGAAAAATTACTGTGTTGTACTGTCTAATGTTGTTATCTCAAACTTCATTAAATGCTTTCTGCAATGCCACCTGTAGAAGGTTCCCTTCAATTTGAAATGATTTATTACCTGACAGTATTAGATGCCTTAAAGAATCAGCTGTTTTCCTGGGTTATCATCTGAAAATAAGAATTGAGCTGACTGGTTATGAGATACAATAAGGAATCCCAGACTCTTTACCCACTAATTTTGCTCAACACCAAGAAAATATAAAGATAATGCAAGACATATTTTTTGAGTAATAGTTATTGACCAATTAGTAAAATTAGAGTGGACATGTATTCTATGCAAGTGTGGTAGACTGAATAATGGCTTCTTAAGGTGTCCAAATTCTAATCCATGGAGCCCGTGAACATGGTATTATACAGCAAAATAGACTTTGCAGATGGGATTAAATTAAGGATCTTGCAGTGGGGATATTTTCCTGCATTACTAGAATGGGTCCTAGATGTACTCACAGCTATTATTATAAGAAGAATGCAAAGGGAGATTTGGAAGACAGGAAGAAAAGGAAAAAGGTGATGTGATTATGCAAGCAAGAGAAGACTAGGTGATGTCACATGGGGCCATGAGCCAATGCAATGAGACCAGCCTCCAAAAACTGCAAAAGGTGCAGAAATTGATTCTCTCCTAGAATCTCCGGAGGAGGTGCAACTTTTCCAACACCTTGATTTTGGCCCAGTGAAACCCACTATAGACTTCTGGCCTTCAGTTTGTAAGAGAATAAATTTTTATTGTTCTAAGTCACCCGGCTTGTGGTAATTTGCTGAAGTTGTCATAGGAAACTACTCTAAAAGAAAGAAACTGCTTCAAGAAGTTAAATCACTACATGCAAGAGTAATAAGCTGTACATTCTAAACAAAAAGAAAAAGGAGAAAATAAACCCAAACATGCAGAAATAATGGTAGAACAGTTTGCATTCCTTTAACTAAAAGAGAGATGAAATCCAAAAACAAGGTGAGAATCTAACCACATAGAATTAAAGGTCTCAGTCCTGATCATATTTCCCACCAAAGCCTCCAAGTAGCCTTGGCTGTAGGATACTTCTCTTACCAATGACAACAATGTTAGAACAAAGACTTCAAATTCAATTTAATTAAGCCATAATTAGAGGAAAGTTCACACTTGGCATAATAATTTTTTCATGATAAAAGTCAAAGGTGGGGCTGGGTGCGGTGGCTCAAGCCTGTAATCCCAGCACTTTGGGAGGCCGAGGCGGGTGGATCATGAGGTCAGGAGATCGAGACCATCCTGGCTAACACAGTGAAACCCCGTCTCTACTAAAAATACAAAAAATCAGCTGGGTGTAGTGGTGGGCGCCTGTAGTCCCAGCTACTCGGGAGGCTGAGGCAGGAGAATGGCATGGACCCAGGAGGTGGAGCTTGCAGTGAGCCGAGATTGCGCCACTGCACTCCAGCCTGGGTGAGAGAACGAGACTCCGTCTCAAAAAATAAAATAAAATGAAATAAAATAAAAAGTCTAAGGTGAAGTTAGCTAATTGTTTGAGTCACCAAACAAGAATGAAGTCAATGTGAGATATATTTTGAGGTAATAATGCGTATCGATATCTCTTTACCTATGCACACATACAGAAAAACGTTTAAGCCTATGCACTCTAACTTGGAAATATTGCTATAAGGCACTAGAGGTTTGTTCTGAAAATTATTCTCATTTATCTGTAAGCCATTTCGCACATTCCTGATTTAATTTAAGTGTTATCTGGTAACAATGATATCTATTCCTTCCTCATTTTTCTAGCCCTTCATTCAGAATTACTTCCCTGAATCTTGCCAGGCTGTCAGATTTTCTAGCTTCTGACTTTATTCTTTCTTATTTGTAAACTTAATTCAATCTTCAAAATGATTCATCTTACTTATTTTTCCTGTTTTATACTGGGTTATTACTAGGAATAGCACTCGTACTCACTATCTGTAATATGGACCCAGCCCCTGCTGGTAAAATACTGTAAGCTGGGACTTGCCCATGTACAGGAGAAAGTTAATTGAGTGCACTATGTTGTTCTACCCCTGCCCATTCTCAAGAAAGGCCTTTTCTAATGGCCTTAGCTGAGCTCTTGGGCTATTGTGTCTCATAGCTTGTTTGTGTATGCCTGTGGCCTTGTGAAATGCTGTACCATTTTTGTCCAGATAGTTTATCCTAGTAATGTTATTTATGGTAAACACCTGCTTTGAATCTAGGAAGCTAGAGCGCCAGTAACCGAGGTCAATTACCTAGGCACTGTAAGACTACCTGACTGTGACTGCCAACAATAAAAAGACCTAGACAACCAGGCACAGTTAAACTTCCTTGGATAGCAACATTCCACACATGTGGTGACAGATCATTGTTGGAGGAATCAAACTCATGCTGTGCTACTCCACTGGAAGGGATACTTAGAATTGGGCTGGACTTATCCCATGAGCTTTTTCCTTTTGCTGATTTTCTCTTTATCTTTTGACTATAATAAACTATCACTGTGAATATAATAGCATCTGCAACCTGTAAGTCCTCATAGCAAATCATCAAGCTTGAAGATAGCCTTTAGAGCCCCCATACAGCCTTATTTCCCAGATCTGGGTCAGCAAAGAGTTTTTTCTCACATACTGTCATGGATAGTGCTACCACTTAAGTCTTGCTTATTTCTCCAGCAAAGTACTAAAGAGAGCATAGTTAGAACAATGATTGGAAGAAGTAATTTAACAGAACGCTATTTTAATAACAGGAGAAAGAAATCCTGTGAGTTATCCTTGAAATACTCTTAATGTCTCTCATTGTTTTTGCCTCATTATGTGGCTAAGTAAAAGCTTATACCAGAATGGGATGGGTTAAATCTTGCATTTTCTTGTGTCTAATAAAGCTTACATTATAGCCTTATTTTTGTTTCATGGTTTCTTTGCATTTATTGCTATAAAGTACTTTCATTTTTAAAGAGATACGGTAAAATAAGGTAATATAGTTTGTAAATGCGTTTTGTAAATAGATCTTAATAGCTAGAATGTGCATAATTGAATGAACCCTTAAACTTTGGTTATGGGATAAATTGTGTACTCCCAAAACTTTTAAGTTGAAATCCTAAACTCTAGTACCTCAGAATGTGACTATTTGCAGATAAAGCCTTTAAAAAGGTATTTAAGGTTAAAACAGGTCAATGGGGTGAACCTTACAGTGACATGGTTTGGCTGTGTCCCCACCCATACCTCAACTTGAATTGTATCTCCCAGAATTCCCATGTGTTGTGGGAGGGACCCAGGGGGAGGTAATTGAATAATGGGGGCAGGTCCTTCCAATGCTATTCTCATGATAGTGAATAATACTCATGAGATCTGATGGATTTAACAGGGGTTTCCACTTTTGCTTCTTCCTCATTTTTCTCTTGCTGCCTCCAAGTAAGAAATATCTTTCACCTCCCACCATGATTCTGAGGCCTCCCCAGCCATGTGGAACTCTAAGTCCAATTAAACCTCTTTTTCTTCCCAGTCTTGGGTATGCCTTTATTGGTAGTGTGAAAATGGACTAAAACAGTAAATTAGTACCAATAGAGAGGGGAGTTGCTGAAAAGATACCCAAAAATGTGGAAGCAACTTTGGAACTGGGTAACAGGCAGAGGTTGGCACAGTTTGGAGGGCTCAGAATAAGACAGGAAAATGTGGGAAAGTTTGGAACCTCCTAGAGACTTGTTGAATGGCTTTGACAAAAATGCTGATAGTGATATGAACAATAAGGTCCAAGCTGAGGTGGTCTCAGATGGAGATGAGGAACTTGTTTGGAACTGGAGCCAAAGTGACTCTTGTTATGTTTTAGCAAAGAGACTGGTGGCATTTTTCCCCTTCCTAGAAATTTATGGAACTTTGAACTTGAGAGAAATAATTTACGGTATCTGGAAGAATAAATTTCTAAGTAGCCAAGCATTCAAAATGCGACTTGCGTGATGTTAAAAACATTCTGTTGTAAAAGGGAAACAGAGCAAGAAAGTTCAGAAAATTTGCAGCCTGATGATGCAGTAGAAAAGAAAAACTCATTTTTCAAGGAGAAATTTAAGCCAGTTGCAGATATTTGCATAAGTAGAAGGCAGCCTAATGTTAATCCTCAAGACTATGGGGAAAATGTCTCTAGGGCATGTTAGAGGTCTTCACCTGAAGCTCCTCCCATCACAGGCCAGCAGGCCAAGGAGGAAAAAATGGTTTCATGGGCCAGGCCCAGAGTCCCTGAGCTGTGTGCAGCCTAGGGATGTGGTACCTTGTGTCCAGCTGCTTTAGCAGTGGCTGCAAGGGGCCAATGTAGGGCTCAGGCTGTGGCTTCAGAAGGTGGAAGCCCCAAGCCTTGGCAGCTTCCACATGATATTGAGCCTGTGGGTACACAGAAGTCAAGAATTGAGGTTTGGAAACCTCCAATGTAAGAAGTGCCTTTTGCTTCACACCATGATTCTGAGGCCTCCCCAGCCATGTGGAAATGGAAGTCCAATTAAACCTCTTTTTCTTGCCAGTCTTGGGTATGTCTTTATCAGCAGCATGAAAATGGACTCATACAACTGGTCTTCTTCTAAAAAGAGGAGACTGAGACACACACAGAAGAAAGACCATAAATATGTGGCAACAGTAAGAAGGTGGCCATTTACAAGTCATGGAGAGAGACCTCAGAAGAAACCAGGCCTACTGAAACCTAGATTTCAAACTTCCAGCCTCCAGAATTCTGAGGAAATATACTTCTATTGTTTAAGCCACCCAGTCTGTGCTACTTTGTCATGGCAGCCCTAGCAAACTAACACAGCCTCCAAACTGTAAAACTACTAATTTCCCTTTAGCATACATTGTAAACTATATGTAATGATCTGATAAACATACCTAGTGAGTGCACAGTTATCAATTTGATAATATTAAATATTTCAAAAACTTAATTTCCTTCTTAGTGCTTTAAAAAAAATAATACATCTGCTCTAGAGTTTCTTATAACCCTGATTTCTAAATTTATGGTTTCTAGTGTGTAACTCATGGAACAGGTAGCTGAAGATTAAATACATTTTGATATCACACAATAACTCTAGACTAAATAAATAATGCCTTGTACATGCCAATATTCCAAACTTTCAAATATATGTAAATGATATTCCTGTTATCAAGATACAAAATTTCTTGCAAGTATTTCTAAATGCATTGTAGTGCTTTGCCATTGATTAATGAATTTTAAGGGAAAAGTTGTCATATAGTAATCCAGGTGGTTTTTGTGTTATAAAAAAGTAATCATACCAGGTGTATAGAATCTTCAAAAGAATATCTTCTTCAATTTTAAATAAGGATGGGAAACGTGTCCTTTTCTTTGAAAAAAATAGCATAGTATGTGGTTAAAATCATAGAAGGAAAAGATAAATTCTATAATACTGATTTTAAAATTTTTATTTGCTAACATTGTTGATAGTTTCTTTTGCTGTGCAGAAGCTCTTTAGCACAACTAGGTGCATCTTGTCAATTTTTTCTGTTACAATTGCTTTTGAGAAGTTAGCCATAAATTCTTTGCCAAGACCAATGTTGAGAAGTGTGTTTCCTTTGTTGAACCCCAAAAGGGTGTTTTCTTCTTGACGTTCATTTTATTCTGGGATTTTTATAGTTTGAAGTTTAAATTTAAGTCTTTAATTAATCTTTGGTTAATTTTTATATATGGTGAAGGGTAGGGGTTCATTTCATTCTTCTGCATTTGGATAGCTAATTATCTCAGTATCATTTACTAAATAGGAAGTCCTTTCACCAATGTTTATTTTTTGTTGAGTTTGTCGAAGATCAGATGGTTGTAGGTATATGGCTTTATTCTTGGGTTCTCTGTTCTGATCCATTGGTCTGTGTTTCTGTTTTTGTACCACTACCATGTTTATTTTTTTTTTTCTTTTGTTACTGTAGCCTTGTAGTGTAGTTTGAAGTCATGTAATGTGATGTTTCCAGCGTTGGTCTTTTTGTTTGCAATTGCTTTGGTTGCTTAGTCTCTTTTTGGTTCCCTATAAATTTTAGAATAGCTCTTTTCTAATTCTGTGAAAAATGATACTGGCATTTTGATAGGCATAATCTTGAATATGTAGGTTGGTTTGCAGAATGGCCATGTTGACGATATTGATTCTTCCAATTCATGAGAATGAAATATGTTTTCATTTGTTTGTGTCCATTATGATTTCTTTCAACAGTGTTTTGCAGTTCTCCTTGTAGAGGTCTCCCATCTTCCTGGCCACATGTATTCCTAGGTATTTTATTTTTTTGTGTGGCTATTACAAAGGGGATTGCATTCTTGATTTTGCTCTCAGCTTGAACATTATTGGTGTATACAAATGTTACTGAATTTTTTTGCATTGATTTTGTATCCTGAAATTTTACTGAAATTATCAGTTCTAGGAGCCAATTTGTATAGTCTTTAGAATTTTCTAGGTATAGAATCACATCATCAATGAAGACAGATAATTTAACTTATTATTTTCCTGTTAAGGCATCTTTATTTCTTTCCCTTGCCTGATTGCTGTGGCTAGAACTTGCAGTGGTATGTTGAATAGGAGTGGTGAAAGTGGGCATCCCTGTTTATTCCAGTTTTTAAGGGGAATGCTTCCAGCTTTTGCCTACATTATGGGAGAAAATATTTACAAACTGTGCATCCAACAAAGAGGTCTAATATCCAGACTCTGTAAGGAACTTAAGTCAACAAGTAAAAAACAAATAACCTCATTAAAAAGTGGACAAAGAATGTGAACAGACACTTCTCAAGAGAAGACATAAAGGCAGCCCACAAACATAAAAACATGCTCATCATCACTAATTATCAGAGAAATGCAAATCAAAACTACAATGAGATAACATCTTACAGTAGTCAGAATGGCTACTATTAAAAAGTCAGACTATAACAGATTTTGGCGAGGCTGCAGAGAAAAGAGAACACTTATACGCTGTTAGTGGGAAAGTAAATTAGTTGAGCCACTGTGAAAAGCACTTTGGAGGTTTCTCAAAGAACTAAAAATAGAACTACCATTCAACTCAGCAATCCCATTACTAGGTACATACCCAAACGGAAATAAATTGTTCTACCAAAAAGACAAATGCACTTGTATATTCATTGCAGTACTATTCACAATAGCAAAGATACAGAATCAACCTAGGTGCCCATCAACAGTTGACTGGATAATGAAAATGAGGTACATATACACCATGAAATACTACACAGCCATAGAAAGAACAAAATCATGCCCTTTGCAGCAACATGGATATAGCTGGAAACCATTATCCTAAGCAAACTAACACAAAAACAGAAAACCAAATACCATATGTTTCACTTATAAATAAAACATGGACATAAAGATAAGAGAAAACAGACATCGGGGACTACAAAAGGGAGTAAGGAGGAACTGGGGCAAGGATTTAAAAACTTCCTTTGGAAGCTATGCTCATTGCCTGGGTAACAGGGGTTCAATTGTACTCCAAACTTTAGTATCATGCAATACTCCCCTGTGGCAAACCTGCACATCTACCCACTGAATCTAAAATAAAACTTGAAAAAAATAAATTGCTATTTTGCACATAGCAAAAAAAAGAAGCCAAGAGATTTTCATTGATTTGACAAAGACTTATTTATATAACCTGAGTCATTCAATTTTGTAAAGGAAATATAACAAGGTTGTTTGTGCTCCCTGAAGCTGGCCTAAATGTGTTCAATTTCCTGCACCACAACTTACTACCTGTGTGATATTGGAATAATTTAATATCTAAGCCTCAGTTTTCATAACTATAAAATGGAGCAAATCAATTTTCCTTACAGGACAGTTGTGAGAGTGAAAAGAGAAAAAGCATGCAAAGCACTTGACACAAGATCTACTAAAAAAAAGCACTGAACAATGGGACATCTCCTTTAGCCTTAAGCTTACTCTTCTTTATATGCCCTGTTACACTGTATGGACCTACACAGTCACCTACCTTCACTGTCTGGGGAACAGCGATATTGAGAATGTTACAGAAAAGAAAAAATCATAGATATTCAGCAGGAAGCAAAACAACTTAAACTCTGCTAATTTCCCTGAAACCAAGTAATTTAATTTATAGCTACATGATACCTTCCTTCCCTGATGAATTGGAATGGCTCTTGTGATAATCAGTGGCTTATTCCGGTCTGATGTAAGCTTATGCAATGGAGAATGTCTTCATGTTACTTATATTAACATTATTGCTTCTATTAAGTAATATATTAGTCCAATGTAATGTTAGGAGTTCAACAGAGTGATTAGGATTTAAAATAATTCAATAGAGTGATTAGGATTTAAAATAATTGGACATTGAGCTTGAACGTTTTCTTAATTGGTGGCTGCCTTTGGACCAACTATGGTGGTAATATTTTTTACTCTCTGTAGGAAGGCTGTTTCCTAGGGTGTAAAGAGCTGTCTCTCTTTAGACTAACAGTTAAACTAACAGGGAGATTAAGAATTCTGTGGGTAAGTTTAAAGTTAACTAAGATTCCCTCTTGGACAACCAGCTATCACCAGGCCTGGTAGGCTTGTCACCGCTGTTCATGAATCTTCTCACTATTTTGCCACCAGGTAGGTGTGCTCTTTCTGCTGTTCTTGGGTAGCTCATCTGGTTTTGGGGGACTTGGCTATAGTTCTCCATGTAAAGTTATTTCTAGTTAATAGATTATGTAGAAGGTATAAAAGTTTCTCTTTGCTTTTTAATGCTTGATTCAGTTCTTTCATCTTTCCCTTACAGTACCATGTCTATTGAGCCAGGATGAAACTTCTATAGCCTATACTTTTGTCTAAGGTAAATTGATAGTATTTTTAGTGAGGTTTGGGGCTAGAGTTGGCTCAAAGTGATCAGGTCATGATGAAATTTTCCAGGTGTAAGCCGGATGCCTTGGGTTAAGCTACACTTTACTTTTCCCAAATGTACTTTCCAGTATGCTTACCGTGTTACGACTTATCTCCTCTCAACGTGTGTAGAAAGTATTTAGTAATAGTAATCTCTAGAATAGTACTGGAGGAGGGTGATGAGCAGTGGGTGCATGCTTCATGGCCAAGCACTCTGCTCTGGGTTTACTGCTACATCCTCCTTGAGCCATTAGATTTCATAAAGGTAGTCATGATATTTTCTGGATATAGAAAATGTAGCCCAATTCTTGCCACCTCATGAGCTACACAAACCAGATTTTTATGTGTACACTTGTGCTTACTCTACAACCTTTTTAGGGTTTGCTGAAGATGGCGGTAATAGGCTGGGGGCAAGAGGTGGTGAGGTGTATCGGGTTTATCGCTTATAGAACAGGCTTCTCTAGAGGGATATAAAGAACTGCCAGGTCCTTTGAGTTTTAAGCTGTTGCTCGTAGTATTCTGACGAATGGTTTTGTTAATGTAACTACTAGAGTTTAGGGCTAAGCACAGTGGGGTATCTAATCCCAGTTTGAGTCTTAGCTATTGTGTCTTCAAGATACTAAAGCCACTTTCGTAGTATATTTTATTTCAGCTAAAGTTTTTTTACAACTTAGATGGAGTTTAGGTTTATTGAGGGCAGACCTTAAACACGCTTTAGGCCGAGTTCTATTAGCTTGCGTTAATCATATGGCTGTGGTGGCTGGCATGAAATTGACTAACCCTAGATATCAGCATAGCTTAGTTAAACTTTCATTTATTACTAAAGATTTATCACTGCTGTTTCCCGTTGGGGTGTGGTTGAGCAAAGTGTTTTGAGCTGCATTTGTGGGCCCTTGATACTTGCTCCTTTTGATGCGGGTGATCTAGAGGGCATTTTCACTCGGGCGGGGATGTTTGCATGTGTAAGCTTACTAAGAGTTAATAGAAAGGCTAGGATCGAGCCTATCCGTTTATGGAATTGTGTAAACCCATCTAGACATTTTCAGTGTCTTGCTTTGAATAATTAAGCTACATTAACTGCGTAAATACTTCAATGTAAAACTAAAATATGAGAAGGAAAGAAGTAAGTATAAGCAATCGTTTACAGTTCCGGGAATTCACGGTCTTTACAGTTGAATTGGCAGAGGTTTGGCTGAGAAGGTTACTCATAATTAGGATATAATTGATTTAGGGTATGATATATGGGGTAGTGCTTTCAGAGGAATATGTTCAAGATATATTAGTATAATGGTGGAAGTATTGTGTTTATTATATAGAACGGAGGCTTAATTTAGTTAGGGGTCTTAAGATTTTTAGGAAAATTGCATCAATTGAAGGGTAGCTGTTGGGATATTCACTGTTAAACTATGATTTCTGGGCTCTGACTGGGTGGCATGTTAGTCTCTTGTTTTTGGGGTTTGGCAAGGGTACTTTACCTGGACTGATGGAAAGTCAGAGATCAGGGGAGAGAGGGTTTGCGGATCTAATCGGAAATAGTTCTTGAAATTGAGTGTACGTGCGTTGAGCGTTAGGTGTGTTGGGCGTACGTATCTATTAAATAATTGTTATGTCCTTTAAGCATGAATTATTTCACACCTTAAGGTAGTTATGCCAGGTTGGAATATTCAATATAAGCTCAGCTTCTACAACGGATTTGGTAGGAATCAAATCCGAGTACGGCTACAGCAGATTCAGAGGGGACCAGGCCTTCCGTGATGGTGAGTGATAGCATCCTGGTCTAATTTTTTACTAAACCCAACGGCCTTTTATAAAGGCATTTTAAAATATGACAATTGAAAAATATTTTGGGCCTGGCGCGGTGGCTCACGCCAGTAATTCCAGCACTTTGGGAGGCCGAGGCGGGTGGATCATGAGGTCAGGAGATCGAGACCATCCTGACTAACACGGTGAAACCCCGTCTCTACTAAAAACACAAAAACTTAGCCGAGCGTGGTGGAGGGCACCTCTAGTCCCAGCTACTTGGAAGGCTGAGGCAGGAAAATGGCGTGAACCCGGGAGGCGGAGCTTGCAGTGAGCCGAGATCACGCCACTGCACTCCAGCCTGGGCGACAGAGCAAGACTCCGTCTCAAAAATAAATAAATAAATAAATAAATAAATAAATAAATAAATAAATAAAATACAAAAAAAAAAAAAGAAAAACATTTTGGCATTGACTTCAAGTATCTGTACTTTCATGTCAACAATGCTTTGTGATCATTTTTATTTTTAAAACAAGTGCTAAATATCAAAGACAAAGAATTAATGTGTATAAAACTTTTTAAAAAATTAGTATATTTTCCATTTGTAAATGAGACATAACAATGTTTAAAGTGAGAATAATTTCACTTGGTTAACAATTTAGTATATGGGAAGACACAAACAATTGTATATTGTAAAGGAGGTTGAGCTTGCACAAATCTTGAGATAAAGCAATGCAGAATGATATAGAAATCAGCCCTTTAAAAACTACCAGGAAAATGATTCACCAATTCATCAAACATAGGACATTTCTTTATTAACTCTCTTTCTGAAAATCCATTACTTATTCGTATATTTGTAATTTTTTTTCATTTTACATTAGAGTATTTTGTCTTACGTGATTGTTTTTGCCTTTCCCTCACCCTAAGCAAATTATTATAGATTAAAAAAAAAAAAGACAAACTTATTTTCTATGGTCTCCTGACATTTCCAGTTGCCAAGGATCCTCATTCAGAGAACATCGGCTGGTAAATTTATAAAATATGATGGAAGCCTATATTGAATAAGATATTTACGGAACATATTTCTACTGTGTAGCACAGAATTAATGGCATAATGTTGGAGCTCAGAAAACAATGCCCCAGCGTAAAGGCCTCAGAAGCAACAGTTTCGCTCTGCTCTGCTCTTCTCCTGCCCTCCTGTCTCTGGCCCCTCATTTCCCTGCAATGCTAGCCATAGAAGATACAATCCCCCTTCCCCATGGCGGGTCAGAGAAACCCAAACCCCTTTTTCAAAACCAGATATAAAACTTAAAAATTTCCCCCCACCTTTCTGTGTAAAGCCACAGAGAAATGAATCCGACCCACCTTACTTGATTGTTGGTCATAAGAATTCATTCCAGAGAAGGACCTTTGCAATATGCAGAAGAAAGGAATGCATGCTCAGGGAAGCCAAGAAGAATCTAAATGGATAGGCTTTGATGGGTTCCCCTACTCTGTCTATTAGCATTAGATCATACACTTTTTATTCAATCATATGTATATACATATATATATTTTTTTTTGTTTTGTTTTGTTTTTTGTTTGTTTTTTTGAGACAGAGTCTCATGCTGTCACCCAGGCTAGAGTGCAGTGAATCCATCTCGGCTCACTGCAAGCTCTGTCTCCCGGGTTCACACCATTCTCCTGCCACAGCCTCCCTAGTAGCTGGGACTACAGGTGCCCGCCACCATGTCCAGCTAATTTTTTTGTATTTTTAGTAGAGACGGGGTTTCACCGTGTTACCCAGGATGGTCTTGATCTCCTGATCTCGTGATCCACCTACCTCGGCCTCCCAAAGTGCTGGGATTACATGTGTGAGGTAACGTGCCCGGCCCTTGTTCAATCATATTTTTACATGGCTTGTCCATACTTCGTTGAAACTAAGCATACAAATGGACAGTTCTCTCGTACTTTTGAGTCTTCATTCTGAATACTTCCTTGTCATGTAAAACTATGATCAAATAAATTGATATTCCTTTTCTTCTATTAATCTGCCTTTTGCCATTTGATTCTCAGTGAACCTTCAGAAAGTGAAAAGGAGGTTTTCTTTTGACCCTTAAAACAACTAAAAGACTACTGAGTACAGGGACAATTAGTATATCTTCAAAAGAATACAATGCAAAGAACAATATAGTAAATATTCTTCCCTCCCTCCTTCTTTCCCTCCCTCCCTCCCTCCCTCCCATCCTTCCTTCCTTCCTTCCTTCCTTCCTTCCTTCCTTCCTTCCTTCCTTCCTTCCTTCCTCTCCTTCTATTCTTCTTTTGGTTACTTTCTATGAAGAGTGAGTTGTATTTTAACAGTAATGCAGGCATTAAGGAAAATGATCTAAACCTTAAAAATAAGGCAAAGCAGCCGGGTGCGGTGGCTCACATCTGTAATCCCAGCACTTTGGGAGGCAAAGGCAGGTGGATCACCTGAGGTCAGGAGTTAGAGACCAGCCTGGCCAACATGCTGAACCCGTCTCTACTAAAAATACCAAAACTAGCCGAGCGTGGTGGTGTGCACCTGTAATCCCAGCTACTCGGGGGGCTGAGGTAGGAGAATCGCTTGAACCTGGGAGGTGGAGGTTGCAGTGAGCTGAGATCGCACCATCGCACTCCAGCCTGGGCGGCAAGAGGGAGACTTCATCTCAATAAATACATAAATAAATAAATAAATAAATAAATAAATAGAAGGCATGCTTATAATTTTTTTGTGGTGAGAACATTTAAAATTTACTTTTAGCAATTCTGAAATCTGCAATATGTTATTATTAACTGTGGTCATCACGCTGTGCAATGGATCTAAATACTTATTCCTGTTGTCTAACTTAAATTTTCTACCCTTTGATCAACATCTGCCATCCCCCAACAACTCTTAGCCTCTAGTAATCACCATTCTACTCCCTAGTTCTATGAGTTCAACTTTTTCAGATTCCACATATAAGTGAGATCATACAGTATTTATCTTTCTGTAGCTGGCTTATTTCATTTAGTGTAATGTCTTCCAGTTTCATCCATGTTGTTAAAAATGACAGGATTTCCTTCCTTTAAAAGGCTGAATAGATTTCCATTGTATAATATGATATATATATATATCTCACACGTTTTTTATCCGTTCATTCATCAAGGAATATTCAGGTGAACTCCACACCTTGGCTATTGTAAATAATGCTGCAAAAGACGGGAGTGCAGATATCTCTTTAAAATAGTGGTTTCATTTCCTTTAGATATATATCTATCTAGAAGTGCCATTGCTGGATCATATGATAGTTCTATTTTTTACTTTTCCAAAGAACCTCTATATAATTTTCAATAATGGCTGTACTAATTACTAATTTACATATCTATCAACAGTGTATAAAGTTTCTTCTTCTCTGTGGATGCAAATTGTTTTAGATACCAAAAGGTTATGGCTTTCTTGTTCCTTAAGACCTCAAACCATTTTATATCTAATTTAGTGCCCACTTAGTCTTTAGTTTTCACTCTCTTATCATTCTACTGTTTCCTTCATTAATGAGTTAAATCTTCAACATATGCTCATTTTATAATAGAATAATAGAAATTATTATTAGCTCTTAGAAAATTATACTTTTATTAAGAAAAGTAACAATTTATAAAATAAGGTCATCCCAATCACTAATGAAGAAAATCAGTAAAAAGAGAGCAAGAGTTACTTACATCAAAGGAATTCATTGAATGTAAAACATACTATGCTTCTTAGCAACTATATATTTTCAAACACTAAGCATTCTACTCTCTTCCTAAAAGAAATTCATAGGCTTTACCTAAATCCCTTTTGGAAAGTGTTTATTTTTTTGTCAATTTAATCTATTTTCTCTCTATTAAAATTAGAAATATATTCTTAGTATCTCATTGGTGTGAATTTATTTTCCAGATCCTTGCTGAAGTGACAAATAAGTGATGGAGCTTCTAAAGGGGCATAAAAGGGAAAAAAGAAACCTGGGACATAGATCCCTTGGGAACTCTGACTCTTCTGAGGAATGGTTCACAGAAGTGTATGCGAGTGTATGTCATTGACAAATAACTGGAAGGTAGTTTGGAGTGTGATCAAGACCATCACTGCTGGTTCAATTTTGCTTAGAGACCTCCCTGCCTTCTTTAGTTTCCTTCATCATGTGGAGATTAGCTGGGCTAAATGGGGCACCTAACCACAAAAGTATCCTTTATCTGAATGTTCTCTGTTTTTAGTGGGAGAGCTTTAGATGAAGGAAGCTCCACCCCTTGTTAGAATGTTGGGTCAAGTTTAAGTTACCACTCTTTGGGAAAGGACACTATTGCCAGGTCTGAGGGAAAGAAAATGAATCTACAAAAAAGTTACAAAGTGTGTTGTTTTTCTTTTTGTTTTGCTTTTTTGGGGTTTTTTGGTTTGCTTTTAGCTTATTGGAGAGAAGCCTCGGAAATAATTTAATTACTGTTAGCAACTAAATAATAAAAAGTCATTTCATACTGATAGTGACAGGAGACAGACAAATTCCTAGGCAGACAGGGACGGAGTGAAACCTGACCTTCAATCCAAGGACCATTTAAAACCTAAAAACCGAGCTGCCAGTTCTGGACAGAGTCCATAATCAGAGTGAAAACTTCTATCCCCATCTTACCCCCTCTCTCTTGATTGGCTTCTTCCGAATGTTGGCTTTTAACCACTCAAATGACGATTTTTCCAAGACCATCCATGGGCCAATCATCATGCACTCACCCCATTCTAAGCCCATGAAAACTCCCCGGACTTGGCCTGATGCAGTGGCTAACGCCTGTAATCCCAGCGCTTTCGGAGGCCAAGACGGGCAGATTGCTTGAGGTCAGGAGTTCAAGACCAGCCTGCCTAACATGGTGAAACCCCATCTCCACACAAAATACAAAAAATTAGCCAGGCGTGTTGCCACACCCTTGTAATCCCAGCTACCCGGGAGGCTGAGACACGAGAATTGCTTGAGCCTAGGAGACTGAGGTTGCAGTGAGCCGAGATCACACCACTGCACTCCAAGATAGGTGACAGAGCGAGACTCCATCTCAAAAAACAAAAACAAACAAAAAAACAAAACAACAGAATTCAGCCTCACAGATGGCTACCTGCTTTCAGGCTCTCCTCCCACACCTGAGAGCTTTTCTTCTGTCACTCAGTAAAATTCCTCTCTACCTTACTCACCTTCCAGTGTTTATGTACCTTATTTCTCTTGGTCATGGGACAAGAACCCGGGACTCGCAGACCTGCGGGTGGCGGGAGTAAAAGAGCTGTTACCCTCCCTCCTGCTCACCTAACAAAGGGAGACAGGAAGCCATTGAGAGCCACCCCCTGTCGCTTGCTGAACTGTGAGGGTTAAAGAGTTGAGATGTTCCTGGCTGACTGCGGTTGGCGGGAGTAAAAAGTTGTAACACTCTCTCGCGCTCATTGAACGACGAAAGTGAAAAAGCTGCTGAACACTACTCCCTCCCGCTTGCTGAATTAACGGGAGCAAAAAAGCTACTGGGCCCCACTCCCTACAACTCAGAATTACTGAAGCAAACAAAGCTGCAACAATACAATGTTATTTTTTCCTATACCAACAAAGGAGTACTCAAAAGTTTAGGTTGCAAGAGGAATTCTTATGATTTAAAGTCATTCAAACCTGAATGGTATTTGATATCTGAAGGCAATCAATCTCACCTCATATTTCTTTAAAGAAAGTAACATGGATTCACTTTGTACAGGTCTTATATGAGGCCACATAGTTAGAAAGAGATGGGGAAGGAGCAGAATATTAAAAATAAAGGAGCGCTTTACTGAAATGGAAGACACTTAAACTCCCAGGCTCATTTTGCCCTCAAAATTTGTTTTCTCAAATCTTAGGAATGGCATTGAGACAACTGTTTAAACTGTATTTACTCCACAAAGAAGATCTGGCCTAAGGTTATCTTTCAATCTTGGTACCAAGCAATTTCAAATTCAAATATTCTGAAGGAGGAAAAAGGTATTTTCAAGGATCATAATTATGATTGCCTTTGAAATAGACTGTGAATATATTTATTATGTTTATGTGTCTCACAGCTCTTGGTTTGAGGTTCAGTTGAGGTTTACATTAGTAACTGAAATTTACTTCCACATTCTACTCTGTGACAGCAATTTTGAAATACTATAAATGTCAAGACATGTTAGTCAACTGTAAGTAATTACTAATAAATGATGAGCGAATATTTTATTTTGTGTCTCTAGCTAACAATTACAAAGTAATACATTTAGAATGATAAAAACAAAGTTTAAATTATTTTAAAATTGGTTTTTGTTTCCAATGAAAATTCTAAATAAAAATTGAAAAATTATAGAATGCAATACAATTAAATAGATGTTTCCAGGAATAATGTCATTTTAATTGAATACAAGATAACTCAACATGTATTCAATTTTAGCAAACCACTCCATACTACCACATCCCTCAGAAGAGTTCAGTATTTTTCTGTTTTAATATTGCATTACATTTTTTAAAAATCCAAGTAATCACAATCTTGTTTTGAAAACAAACCATTTATTACTTGGTATGTGGCTATTTATTACTTCTCAGTTATATTTTGCAGTCATGTAATAGAAATGGCAGTTAACAGAGCATTTATCTAGCAATCTGGGAATGAATTATAATGCCATTAAAAATAGAGTGGCAGAATGCACAATTAATGGTTTCCAAAAGTATGCTAGTAAATCTGCTCTGGAAATAGGGACATATCTATTACTATATTTGCATTTGATCACTCTATTTCCCCTGAAGGACATCTGCCAAGCAAACAAGAGTCCAGGAATGTGGGGAGAAGTATAAGTGTGCCAATTTTCTCATCTTTCATAGAAATACATCAATATTCAAGTTTAATTTGAAAAAAAAAACAACTGAAAGTATAGTTATATTATGGAAATCACGATGAGCAGTAACAGAACTCATAATAATATAATAGTAAATAGGAGAAGCAAGAATAAGGAAGAAAGTCTGGTGCTCAATGATATACATGGAAAGTCAAGGCTAGATTGTTACTTTTGATAATAGAAAGCCTTGATGTTGAATCCGGATTCCATCCTTAAAGAAATTGCTTTACTTATTTGGTCCCCAGTGTCTCATTTGTAAAGTGAAGGAAGTAACTGTTTTGAAGTAAAATGTTTGGGATTAAGGAGCCAAGGAATATAAAGTGCCTGACACAAGGTGCAGCACATTTTAAGCGGAAACATACTAGTTAATAGTTTTATTATAATTACTGTTCTTTTAATTTTAAGGTCTGCCCCCCAAAATATTCCTATCTATTTTCTAGCTAGGTTTTATATACCTACCTGAATTTTAAGACTTACTTAATTTGCACTACATATCAGAACTTCCTTAAATGTGGGATTCTGTAATGTACGGGGGATCTGAAATGATGATGTAATTGATTGGTATGTTCTGATAGACAAGTCTGATGACGAGACAGTTGGAGCAGATGCTGTCCGTGTCAGCAAGTCCCACATTTCTGAGACCTTCCTCAATAAACTCATTCCTCTCAAATTCTTGTCTCATGATCTGCTTTTGAAAGAACTCAAACACCACAATGTTTTAGGTATGCTTTCTCAGAAACTTTTGTAATCTCGCAGGAAGTATACAAGTCGAGATCCGAACCATGTGTTTGATGGATAATGTGCAGATTCCTTGAAGTAAGGTTCATTCATTTATTCATCTGTTCACTCAGTAATATTTATTGAACACTGAATATGTGCTACACACTGTGGCAGGATTTCTTTTTCCTGCCCCAAACTTTCTTCATGGTGCTTGTACAAGATAGAGACACAAAATAAAAATACTTTATGAACAAATATCCAAAATAATATAATGTAACAGTATATGATAAGAAGCTGAATGAAGAAGATAGAGACTGTGGTGGGGTCAGTGGTGGTAAAGACAGTCTGTTTTAAATGGAATGAATATCAAGGATATCTTCGAGATCATATTTGAACAGAAGCATAAATTCAGTGATGAAGTATATCACGTTCAACCAAGTTAAAATTTAGAGGAAGAGCCTTTTATGCAGAGAGAAATGCAAATGCAAATGCACATTGAGAGGTTAATGTTTTTATATTTTCATATGAATAATGCTGTATTTTATTCCATTGTATTCCATTAGGTATATTTGAAAGCATTATGTAACACTTCTATTTGTATAAAAAGTTTTGATATTTAAAATATGTTGATGGAGGTAGAGGGTGGAGAAATAGATAACAGACTGGGCAGGGTGAGTAGGGGCTAGTGGGGAGAATAAAGAGAAGTGGGTTAAAGGATACAAACATTCAGTTAGGTAGAAGCAATAAATTCAACATTTCATAGCAGAGTATAATGACTATACTTAATAAAAATATGCTATACTTAGGTAATGGATATCCTAAATACTGTGACTTGATCACTACGTACTGTATACATATCACAAAATTTCTCCTGCACCCCATAAATTTGCAGAAATAGAAAAGTTAAAAAATAAAATGTGCTAAAAGTAGTTCCTTTCAATCATTTGATTGTAACAATTTTTATATATCAACTTAAATATGTGTGAAGAAGTGCAGTTTATTCATATTTTTGGACTGCATGAACAAAGTGTTAGAAAATCAATAGCGTATTTGACTTCCCAATAGGCTATTTGCATAATTTTATTTCACTCATTTTTAATTATTTTTTATTGAGGTGATATTCATGTAACATAAATTTAACCTTTAGAAAAACCCAGAGGTTATGTCTTTAATGAAACAGAATTCATTAAAAAGAGTGCTCGAGCTATTCTTTTTAATTAAGAGACTTTGCTTTTTAGGGTAGCTTTAGGTTTACAAAAAAATTTAAGTGAATATTCAAAACGTTCCCATATACTCTCTCACTTCCTCCCAACCCCACTATACACAGGTATACCAGTTTTCCCTATTATTATCATCTTACATTAGTGGCATACATTTGTTACAATCGATGAGTCAATATTTATACATCATTGTTAACTAAAGTCCATAGTTTACATTAGAATTTATTCTTAGTATTTTATATACTGTGGGTTTTGGAAAATATATAATGAAATATATCCACATGTAGAATAGCATACAGAATAGTTCCACTGCCCTAAAATTATTTTGTGCTCTGCCTATTCATCTTTCTCTCCCCTGCAACCTCTGGCAATCACTGCTTATTTTATGATCTCTGTAGTTTTGTGTTTTCCAGAATGCCATAGAGTTGTAATAATACATATATTGCCTTTCAGATTAGTTCTGTAATTTAACAATATACATTTAACTTTCCTTCTTTTCTTTTTCTGGCTTGAAAACTTATTTTTTTAAATCATTGAATGATATTCCATTCTATGGATGTAACCCAGGCTGCTTATCCATTCACCTATTGAAGAAAATTTTGGTTGCTTATGAGTTTTGGCAGTTATAAATAAAGTTATTATAAACGTGTGTAGGTCATTGTGTAGACTTAAGTTTTCAACTCATTTTGGTAAATAGCATACAAAATTGCTGGCAATAAACCATTTTAAGGTGAAAAACTCAATGGCATTTAGTACATTAACAATGCCATGTAGCCATCTCTGCTATCCAGTTCTAAAATATTTTCATCACTTCATAAGGAAACCATGTACCTGCAAAGCAGTCACTCCCCGTTCATACCTCTGCTAGCTCCTGGACACCACCAATCTACTTTGTCTCTATCAATTTTCCTATTCTGGATATTTTATATAAATGGAATCCAAAATATGTGGCCATTTATGTCTGGTCTGTTTCACTAAGCATAATGTTGTCAAAGGTCATTTTAGTATATATCAGTATGATATTCTTTTTTATGGCTGAATAACATTCTGTTTTATGTATATATGACAATTTGTTCATCTATTCATAGATTGATGGACATTTGGGTTTTCTCCACTTTTTGACTCTTATGAATAGTGCTGCTATACGAACATGCATGTGCATGTATTTCTTTGAGTACCTGTTTCCAATTCTTTTGTGCATGCATATAGGATTCATATGGTAATTCTAACTTGGTGAGGAGACGAGGAACCACCAAACTGTTTTCCACAAAGAGTACAACGTTTTGCATTGCCATCAGCAATGTACAAAAGTTCCAATTTCTCCACAACCTTCCGATATTTATTATTTTCCATTAAATAATATTATAACCATCATAGCAGACATGAAGTGGTATCTCATGGCTTTGATTTGAATGTCTCTAATTACTAATTGTGTTCCATATCTTTTCATGTGCTTTTTGGGCATTCACGTATCTTTGGAGAAAGGTCTATTCAAGTTTTTGGCCATTTTTTAAATTTGGCTGTTTGTCTTTTGTTATTAAGTTTTAGGAATTTTTTTCTATATTCTAGATATGAAATCATTAACAGATATAGGATTTGCAAACCCAGTCATCCGTTGGCACACAGGGTATTAGTATGAGGACCCTCCAAGGCTTAATATTTGCAGATGCTCATGTCCTGCAATTGGTCCTGCGAAACCCACTGATACAAAAAGTAGTCCTTCCTTATTGGCCCATTCCATATTCCTGGAATCCTGTATTTCTTATTAACGCTTTGTTGAATCCATGAATGCAGAAACCATGGATACAGAGCAACGACTGGATTCTCTCCCATCCTGTAGGTTGTATTTTTTCCTTATTGATAATGTCCTTTGATACACAAAAGCTTTTAATTTTGATTAAGTCTAGTGTGTATCTATTGTTTGTTGTTGATTGTGTTTTAGTTGTCATATCTAAAAATCATTTGCAAAACCACAAAGTAATGAAGATTTAAATCCATATTTTCTTCTTTAAGTTTTATGAGTCTAGCTTATATTTATGTTGTTGATCCAATTTTATTTTTATTATTTTAGGTGCAAATTAAAGTTTCAATTTCTTTCTTTTGCATGAGAATATTCACTTTTACAACCACTGATGGTTGAACAGGCTATTTTTACCCATTGATTCATCTTGGCACCTTGTTGAAAATCCATTGTCATATACGTACATGCTTATTTATAAACTTTCAAATCTATTTCATTAGTCTATTATATCTACTATGATGCCAGTACTACACTGTTTTTCTTACTGTAGTTTTGCAATAATTTTGATATTTGGAAGTATATTCCTTTAACTTTTTTCTATATTGTTTTGACTATTCAGGGCATCTTTATAATTCATATGATTTTGAAGATCAGTTTTTCCATTTTTGAAAAAAAAAACAAAAGGCCATTGAAGTTTTGATAAAAACAACATTGAATCTGTACAAGTCTTCCATTTTAGCAATATTAAGTCTCCCAGTTCATATACACAGGAAATCATTTAGGTCTTCTTTAATTTATTTCAGCAATGCTTTGAAGTTTTCAGTATATCCCTCATTTTTATATCTTTCCTTTTCAATTTCATCAATTTATTTGTGTATTTCATTATTCTTTTCTGCAATTTTATGCCAATCACCTGCTTGTTCTGCCTCTCATTCAGCTCAGTCAAATCCGTTTACCTTCTCAGTTTTTCTTCCTATTTAAGCAAAGGATTTTTTTACAGTATCATATGAAAATATTTAAAATTTTATGGTATATTTTTAATTTTAGCCTTTACAAATTATATTTTTTAAAAATAAGAAAATTACCCATAATGTCAAGTGCAAACACACTTGGAATTAAGCAACTATTCCATAAATATTTTTGAAAAAATAAATGATTAAATGGTTTAGTGAAGTGTTATATCCTAATACAATGTTTTTATGGTTAAATTTCTGTATAGCATTCTTCAATGTACTTACTTAAATTAAGTAGTTCTAGTTATAGAGTGAGGAATGTATTTTGTTATAATGTTCTCATTTTAAAAATTATTTTCTCATATTTATACATATTATTCATTTTTATATTTTTGAAGTATAGCATCATATCATGTTTTATCAAGACTAATTTATTCAGGCTTCATTAATTTTAGGATTTGGGGATTATGCAGTGAGACAGAACTGTGTGGTTGAAATAATCTAACACATCACTAGATTCTGTTTACAATATTAAGACACTATCTGATTTCAGACTTTCCTTAAAGAAATTTTTAGTGAATATTTCATAAACTCCAATCTCCTCCCAGGAAAAATTTTCTCACATCACTTTGCTGAGGAAAGTAATAATTACAACCAGAGAGATTTGTAATGCAATCCGGTTTGCCCAGGGCTTTGTGGTTGATTTGAAAATTCTAAGTTACAAAAGCATCTCACGTTTTCAAAACTGATTCTTATTAAAGCATTGCAGAAAATCATATTAATATTCTATGTCAATTATTTGACATATACAGAAAAAAACATAAACAAGAAATCCAGTATCAAAAGATTTGGCCTGCCTGAGGTATTCTCCCATGAAGAAATAATGTCATATGAAGAAATAATGTCATATAATGAAATAAGAAGATGGAAATACTTTCTGCTCCCTTGAATTTATTTGTTTGTTTGTTTGTTTAAAGTTCAAGGATACGTGTGCAGAACGTTCAGGTTTCTTACACAAGAAAATGTGGGCCATGGTGGTTGGCTGCACCTATCAAACCATCACCTAGGTATTAAGCTCTGCATGCATTAGCTATTTTTCCTGATGCCCTCCCTCCCCACAACCCACACTCAAACAGGCCCCAGTGTGTGTTGTTACCTTTCCTGTGTCCATGTGTTCTCATTGTTCAGCTCCCTCTTATAAGTGAGAACCTGTGGTGTTTGGTTTTCTATTCCTGTGTTAGTTAGTTTGCTGAGGATAATGGCTTGGAGCTATATACATGTCCCCGCAAAGGACATGATCTTGTTCCTCTTTATAGCTACCTAATATTCCATGGTGTATATGTACCACATTTTCTTTATCCAGTCTATTATTGACAGGCATTTGGGTTGATTTCAAGTCTTTGCTATTGTGACTAGTGCTGCAGTGAGCATACGTGTGCATGTATCTTCATAATAGAATGATTTATATTATTCTGGGCATATACCCAGTAATGAGATTTCTAGGTCAAATGGTATTTCTGGTTCTGGGCCTTTAAGCAATCACCATACTATCTTCCACAATGGTTGAACTAATTTACATTCCCAACAACAATGTAAAAGCATTTCTATTTCTCTACAGCCTTGTCAGCATCTATTGTTTCTTGACTTTTTAATAATCACCATTCTGATTGGCATGGGATGGTAACTCAATGTGATTTTGATTTGCATTTCCCTAATGATCAGTAATGTTTCGATTTTTTTGTATGATTGTTGGCAGCATAAATGTCTTCTTTTGAGAAGTGTCTGTTCACATCCTTTTCCCACTTTTTAATGGGGTTGTTTTCTGTAAATTTAAGTTCCTTGGAGATTCTGGATATTAGACCTTTGTCAGATAAATAGATTGCAAAAATGTTTTCCCTTTCTTTAGGTTGTCTATTTACTCTGATGTAGTTTATTTTGCTGGGTGGATGCTCTTTAGTTTATTTAGATCCTATTTATCAATTTTTGCTTTTGTTACAATTGTTTTTGATGTTTTGGTTATGAAATCTTTGCCCATGCCTATGTCCTGAATTGTATTGCCTAGATTTTCTTCTAGGGTTTTTATAGTTTTGAGTTTTACACTTAAGACATTAATCCATTTTGAGTTAGTTTGTGCGTAAGGTATAAGAAAGTCATACAGTTTCAAATTTTTGCATATGGCTACCCAGTTCTTCCAGCATGATTTATTAATTAGGGAATCCTTTCCCCATTGGTTGGTTTTGTCAGGTTTGTTGAAGAGCAGATGGTTGTAGATGTACGGTCTTATTTCTGAGATCCCTAATCTGTTCCATTGTTTTATATGTATGCTTTTGTACCAGTACCACACTGTTTTGGTTACTGTAGCCTTGTAGGATAGTTTGAAGTCACATAGCATGATGCCTCCAGCTTTATTATTTTTGTTTAGGATTGTCTTGGCTATATGAGCTCTTTTTTAGTTCCATATAAATTTTAAAGAAATTTGCTTTTCTAATTTTGGTAAGAATATCAATGGCAGTTTAATAGGAATAGCATTGCATCTACAAATTGCTTTGGGCAGTAGGGCAATTTTCACAATGTTGATTCTTCCCATCCATGATCATGAAATGTTTCTCCATTTGTTTATGTTCTATCTGAATTCCTTGAGCAGTGGCTTGTAGTTCTCCTTGAAGAGGTCCTTCACTTCCCTTGTTAGCTGTATTCCTAGATATTTTATTATTTTCTTAGCAATTGTGAATGGGAGTTCATTCATGATTTGGCTCTCTGCTTGTCTATTGTTGATGTATAGGAATGTCTGTGATTTTTGCACATTGATTTTGTATGCTGAGACTTTGCTGAAGTTGCTTATCAGCTTAAGAAGCTTTTGGACTGAGACAATAAGGTTTTCTAGATATAGGATTGTGTCTTCTGAAAACAGAAACAATTTGACTTCCTCCCTTCCTATTTGAATACCCTTTATTTCTTTCTCTTTCCTTCTTGCCCTGGCCAGAAGTATGTTGAATGGGAGTGGTGAGAAAGTGCATTCTTGTCTTGTGCCAATTTTCAAGAGGAATGTTTCCAGCTTTTGCCCATTCAGTATGATATTGACTGTGGGTTTGTCATATATGGCTTTCATCAATTTGAGGTATGTTCCATCAGTACATAATTTATCAAGAGTTTTTTACATAAAGGGATGCTGAACTTTATTGAACGTCTTTTCAGCATCTATTGAGATAATCGTGTGATCTTTGTCTTTAGTTCTGTTTATGTGATGGATTATGTTTATTGATTTGTGTATGTTGACCCAGTCTTGCATCCTAGGGATGAAGCCAAGTTGACTGTGGTGAATGAAGTTTTTGGTTGCTGCTGGATTCGATTTGCTAGTATTTTATTGAGGATTTTTTCATCAGTGTTCATCTGGGATATTGGTATGAAGTTTTCCATTTTTGTTGTATCTCTGGCAAGTTTTGGTATCAGGATGATGCTGGTCTCATAAAATGAGTTAGGGAGGAGTTGCTCCTTTTCAATTGTTTGTAATAGTTTCAGAAGAAATGGTATCAGCTCCACTTTGTATCTCTGGAAGAATTCAACTGTAAATCCATGTGGTTCTGGGCTTTTTTTGGTTGGTAGCCTATTACTGCCTCAATTTTAGAACTTGTTATTAGTCTATTCAGGGATTAAACGTCTTTCTGGTTCAGTGTTTAGAGGGTGTATGTGTGCAGGAATTTATCCATTTCTTCTAGATTTTCTATTTTATTTGCACAGAGTTGTTTATAGTATTCTCTGATAGTTATTCGTATTCCTGTGGGGTCAGCGGTGATATTCCCTTTATAATTTTCTATTGTGTCTATTTGATTCTTCTCTCTTTTCTGCTTTATTAGTCTAGCCAGTGGTCTATCTATTTTATTAATTAAAAAGAAAAACACCTCCAGGATTTGTTGTTTTTTAAGGCTTTTTTGGGTCTCTATCTCCTTCAGTTTCACTCTGATCTTCGTTATTTCTTATCTTCTTCTAGCTTTGGGGTTTGTGTGCTCTTGGTTCTTCTTCCAATTGTGATGTTAGAGTGTCAATTTGAGTTCTTTCTACCTTTTTGATGTGGGTTATACGTTTCCCTTTTAACACTGATTCAGCTGTTTTCCAGAGATTCTGGTACGTTGTCTCTTTGTTCTCATTGGTTTCAAAGGACATCTTAATTTCTGCCTTAATTTCATTATTTACCCAGGAGTCATTCAGGAGCAGGTTGTTCAATTTCCATGTAGTTGTGTGGTTTTGAGTGAGTTTCTTAATCTTGAGTTTTAATTTGATTGCATTGTGGTCTGAGAAACTGTTATGACTTCAGTTATTTTGCATTTGCTGAGGACTGTGTCATGTGTCATGTGGTGCGGAGAAGAATGCGTATTCTGTTGTTTTTGGGTGGAGAGCTCTGTAGATATCTATTAGGTCCACTTGATCCAGAGCTGAGTTCAAGTCCTGAATGCTCTTGTTAATTTTCTGTTTCAATGATCTTTCTAATATTGACAGTGGGTAATTAAAGTCTCCCACTATTATTATGTAGGAGTCTAAGAACTTGTTTTATGAATCTGGGTACTTCTGTATTGGGTGCATATATATTTGGGATAGTTAGCTCCTCTTGTTGAATTGAACCCTTTATCATTATGTAATGTTCTTCTTTGTCTTTTTTGATTTTTGTTTGTTTAAAGTCTGTTTTGTCAGAAACTAAAATTGCCACCCCTGTTTTTTTCTGCTTTCCATTTGCTTCATAAATTTTCCTCCATCCCTTTTTTTGAGCCTATGTGTGTCTTTGCACATGAGATGGGTCTCTTGAATACAGTACATCAATGGGTCTTGACTCTTCATTTAGCTAGCCATTCTGTGTTTTTTAATTGGGGCATTTAGCCCATTTACAATTAAGGTTAATATTGTTTGTGTGAATTTGATCCTGTCATCATGATACTAGCTGGTTATTTTATAGACTTGTTGATGTAGTTTCTTCATAGTGTCATTGGTATTTGTACTTCAGTGTGTTTTTGTAGTGGCTAGTAACAGTTTTTTCATTCCATTCCATCCTTAGTGCTTCCTTCAGAAGTTTTTGCAAGGCAGGCCTGGTAGTGACGAATTCCCTCAGTATTTGCTCATCTGAAAAGAGTTTGATTTCTCCTTCACTTATAAAGCTTAGTTTGGCTAGATATGAAATTCTGGCTGGGAATTGTTTTCTTTAAGAATGTTGAATATTGGCCCCCAATCTCTTCTAACCTGTAGGGTTTCTGCTGCGAAGTCCACTGGTAGTCTGATGGGCTTTCCTTTGTAGGTCACCTGGCCTTCCTCTCTGGCTCCCTTTAACATTTTTTCCTTCACATCTGACGATTATGTGTCTTAAGGTTGATCTTCTCATGGAATATTTTACTGGGGTTCTCTGGGTTTCCTGAATTTGAATGTTAGCCTGCCTTGCTAAGTTGGGGAAGTTCTCCTGGATGATATCCTGAAGTATGTTTTCCAACTTGATTCCATCCTCCCCATCTCTTTCAACTACCACAATCAGTCATAGGTTCTGTCTTTTTACATAATCCCGTAGTTCTTGGAGGTTTTGTTAGTTCTCTTCATTCTTTTTTCTCTAATCTTATCTGCCTGTCCTATTTCAGCAAGATAGTCTTCAAGCTTTGAAATTCTTTCCTCTGCTTGGTCTACTCAGTTACTGACGCTTATGCTTGCATTGTGAAGTTTTTGTGTTGTGTTTTTCAGCTCCATCAGGTCATTTATGCTTCTTTCTAAGCTGGTTATTCTGGTTAAGAGCTTATATGGTTCCTAGCTTCTTTTCATAGGGTTAGAACATGCTCCTTTAGTTCAGCAAAGTTCATTATTACCCACCTTCTGAAGCCTACTTCTGTTAATTCATCCATGTCAGCCTCCACCCAGTTCTGTGTTCTTGCTGGAAAGGTGTTGCAATCATTTGGAGGAGAAGGAGGCACTCTGGCTTTTTGAGTTTTCAGCGTTTTCTTGTTGCTTCTTTCTCATCTTCATACGTTTATCTAACTTCAATCTTTGAGTCTGCTGACTTTTGGATGGAATTTTTGTGGGGACTTTTTGTTGATGCTGTGGTTGTTGTTGCTTTCTGTTTGTTTGTTTTTCTTTTAATGATCAGGCCTCTCTCCTGTAGGGCTGCTGCGGTTTGCTGGGGGCCCACTCCAGACCCTATTTGCCTGGGCTTCTCCTGCACCTGGAAGGTCATTAGTGGAGGTTGCAGAACAGCAAAGATGGCTGCCTGCTCCTTCCTCTGGGAGCTCTGTACCAGAGGAGCACCAATCTCATGCCAGCAGGAATGCTCCTGTGTAAGGTGTCAGGCGACCCCTGTTGGGCTTCACCCAGTCAGGAGGCACAGGATCCGGGGCCCACTTAGCAAAGCACTCTGGCTGCCTCTTGGCAGAGGGGTTGTGGTGCACTGTGGGGAATCCCGCCAATCTGGACTGCCCTGATTCCCCAGAGCCAGCCGGAGGAAAGACTCAGTCAGCTGATCTGTGGAGACCTCGGCTGCCCCTCCCCGCCAGGCACTCCGTCCCAGGGAGATCAGAGTTCTGTCCATAAACCCCTTGCTGGAGTTGCTGAAATTCCCTTCAGGGAGGCTCCACCCAGTGAGGAGGGATGGGTCAGGGTGTGGTCTAAAGAGGCAGTCGGGGCGCCATCTGCCACAGCCACTGTGCTGCACTGTGGAGAATTCCTCCTGGGTCCAAAACACCCAGTCTCCAGGGCACCGGCAGGGGAAAAACAGCAGACTGCAGCTGCAGTGATGGTGGCCACCCCTCCCCACAGAAACTCGGTAGTCTTAGGCAGTCTGCAAGCCGAGTGGCCACAGAGAATCTGCACAGCTCTGGGCTTGGAATCCAAGACCCTGGTGGCAGGGGCTCAAGAAGGAGATCTCCTGATCCGCAGGTTGCACAGATCTGTGGAAAAAAGTGTCGTTTCCTGAGCAGGGTAGCATAATCACTCACTGCCTCCCTTGGCTGGGGTGGAAGCTCGTTTTTCCTTGAGTGGCTCCCAGGTGGGCCCTGGCTCCACTCTGCTTTTCCTCTCTTTCCATCAGTCACCACATTTATTTTTACATTTGCTTTTTATTACAAATAGAGATATTGTTTATTATAAACCACGACAATTTTGTTCATTTAATGTACATATTAATCTAGATAAATGTAATTTTTAATGACAATAGGAATTTTAAAATAATTAAATATTTTACATAATGCTGAAATTAATATTTTTGTTCATATAATTTTGTTCTGCTTTATTTTCTGGAGAAACTTGTAAAAAACAATCAGTGGGTTGAAGGGTTTGAAAACTTCTAAACTGTCTTTTCTGTCTACCTAACCCACTTTTATAGAGTGTGGGTAATACTGAATATCAAAGTTTTCAATGACTTATGAATTTCAGGGTAAATGATACGGCAATGTTGTTTTAAAATGACTATTATTTATGTTTTAATGTCTTTATTTACCATTCTAATTTCATTTCAAGTGTATTGCTCATTAATAACCTATATCCTTCTCTTTGCTTGGATCATAGATTTTTAAAAAATTTTGAATGATAAAAATTTCAAAATTCTTATAAATAAATAAGAATTTTAAGCCCATTACTATTAACTTTACAAGATCAATCTCAATCATTTCAACATTTTTACAGATATGGAAAATCACTAATTTAGTGAGTCTATTCAACTCTATAAACATCTTCCATTCTCAATGCATGTTTATTCTCCTTTTAGGGCAAAAATAATAATAAAGGAATGAAATAATATGTAAAGATTGCAAGTGATGACAAATGTCTTTATTTGCCATAGTTAGTGTTCATGATCTATTGCTATGTAAATAAAGAAATTTATAGATAATGTGTAGATGGGAATCATTTTTGTAATATATTACACAGATATATGATATGTACATTGTGATAAATTATACATTTTTTCTTGTTTTGGGATTATGGTAATTAAAATTGCTATAGTTTCCATCAGGTTCTAATATTTTTTATTTATCAGTAATAATACAAACAGTGTATATATAAAAAGAGGAAGCTAACACAGTCTTTTTTTCTCTAGACTGCCTATGAGTAGACCAGTGTGTTTCATTATGCAATAATGAAGTTGTAGTATTTGGACACATTCAAGAAGCTAAAAAGCATATTAGTAGTACATAACAGTTGCAGATAGAAAATAAAATGTTAAAATAACAAGAATTTTAAGCAAAAGTGAGTTAATCGTATAATTTTAGGTTAGACAGAGTATCTATCAGGAGTATAACTTCCACTCTGAGTAATGTCCTGTGATGCTTAATGACCATAGGTCACCAGAAACCTGTACAGAGTAATCGAGAAATGTGTTTCTAAGGAGATTCTGGTAGGCATTCAATTTTTCACTGAAATCCTTCTGCTTGTAATTAGCCATAGGGGCAGAAATTAGCCTGCAAGTAATTGCACTTGTAATGGGTTCACTGAGTAATACCTTTGTTACCTTTTAACTAAAATGAAGGAACTTCTTTCCAATTGTATGTGCAATTGCCTCATTATGAAGTTCATTACTTTCAGCCTCAATTTGACAAGTGAAAATAATTTTTGGGTCATATTGTGAATGTGTGTAGGGCAAATTCTAAAAATGTACCTATCCCAGTTACCTATTGCTGCTGCATTACAACTTATCTAAATTTAGAGCCTTAAGTAACAACTATTTACTACGTGTTAATTGTTCTGTGATTCAGAAATTCATCAGGACTCGAAATCTGATTCTTCTACTCCACATGACATTGACAGTGGTACTTAGTGGTGTCTGGCATGTGAATGTGCTGACCATGTTTTAATTGAGTTCTTGTATTAAAGGAGATGGCTGGAGAGTGGCATTCACCAGGGCACCAGCATGGTGGCTTCAAAGTAGTTGAAAATTTTGCCTGGAGACTCACAATGTAAGAAGAAGAGTTCCAGAGAAAAAGGCAGGAGTTGCATATATACTTTTGGCTTGGTTTTGAAAGTCACTTAGCATTATTTCATGTGTATTCTTTTGGTTGAAGCTGTTACAAGCTCCTCCAGACTTAAAAGGAGGGAAGTAGTACCAAATAATTGATAGTTAGTCATCTCTTTAAAGTGGCATGATAGCCTAAGAAAGAAAGATGAGAAAAACAATAGAGAAAACATGTATTTATAAACAAGCCTTAATCAGGAAGTAAACTGACTGATCAAAGATTGGTTGCCAAAATTGAAAATAGCATATCTACTTGTTACAAATGCATGCATAAAATCTTTATCACCTAGAAAAATAGAGGGAGAAACAACAAACTGCAGGGAAGCAAAATATCCTCTTGTTTAAACTGACCAAAATGTTTCTCCAAGTTTTCAAGTTTTTATTAAGTATCATAATGACAATGTATAGATTGGGCTCTATAGTAGGTAAAGTATTAGTTAGGAACCCATTATCACATTTAATTCTTGAAACAATGCTGTAAAGTTACTATTATTATCTCCACTTTCTATTTTAGAAAACTGATGTTTGAAGAGGTAACATAATATTCCAAAGACCACACAACTTATTAATAGAAACAACCACAGCATAATACCAGGTCATCAGATTACTAAACACATTGTTTTAACTAATATTTTACTATCTGTTGCCATTTAATTTTCAAATATGGTTAGTGAAGTCTCAGGAAAAAAACCTGGACTTTTGTGAAACAAAAATTATTTTGAAACCTAATTCAATGACCAAACCTAGCTCAGAGTTATAGAAGAAATTCACATTATTCTCTCCATTCATTTATGCTCATATTTACCAAGACTTCTTGTAAAGTAGCAACTATTTTGGAAAAATTGAATCGTAGATCCATAGTAATGAAAGAGAATGTAGAGGCAATGCAGTGAAGTATGCTAATTTTATAGTCTGTTCACAGTAATGGAATTATGAAAAAGTATTAAAATGGTACCTTGTGTGCCATAATTTAGAGCACTGACGTTTTCAATAGAAATTGTAACTTTCGAATCTTATCTATCTCCTTACATTTCCAAAATATTTGTAAACTTGGAAGTTTTTTTCAGTTTTTGTCCTAAAGAGAAAAAAAAATCATCAATACCTGACAAATACTCCTGGTGAAAGCTGATATTTTCCAAGAACTCAGAAGATGTGTTGATCCACTTCCTTAATAAACCCTAAAACCCTTTTAGTCATAAAATTATGAATAAATAAGGTATCAATTATGACTGCACTCTAAGATATGAGGCACACTCAGAAGTAATTTGAACCGAGCGTGACAAATCTAGGTGATTTTTCTGAAGAAAAGACAATGAAAATTTGGCTTGAAAAGGGAAAATTCCAGTCTGTCATCTGAAGTTGTTGAAAACTAAAATCATTTAAGCAGGGCAGAAAGATTTTCCATAATAAACACAGCATGACGATGCTTTGTTTTCATAGCTCTGTAGAAACACAAATCCATTGAGGAATAAAAATAGACCTGGAAAACCGGTTTAGAGTTTCCATTTTGCAGTATTGTTTCTATAAATAATTTATAGCTCCATAATGTATATATATAAAGATTTACATATCTACATTTATTTATGTTATATCCTGATGATATAAAAATAGTGTCTAAATTTCTCAACACACCACTCCAGGCTGTTGCTAGACTAGCATTTCGTTTATACTCTCAGTGCAGGGACCCTATCCTAACCACATGGGATCACAAAATGTTATCTTCATTAAATTCAATGGGAATTTTCAAATATTGGCTCAATCCAGTAGAACCTTAAATCTCTTTGCCTGTGAGTGTCCTGCTTTTCTTTAAAGGCTCATCTCAAAATCTCTTCCTCTTGGATGCCTTCCTTCCCCTGAGGGGATAATTACTTTTTTACTAGAATTACTTCTTTCTTCTTATACATACATTGCCACTTAGCAGAGCCTTCAGCACAGCCTTAAACTCACTGAAGACAGGCATGCTTAGCATTATGTATTGCTCATCCTTGATTCTCAGTGAGTACAGCCCAAGGCAGATTATTGAATGCTAGCTCTATGCCCAGCACAATGCAAACATTTGGATTTTAAAAAAGCAAGAAAGGAAGTGATAAAAAGAAAAAAAAGAAAGTGTAAACACAAAATGAAGGATGAAAAATCTCCAAAATCAGGCTATGAGATGAAATAACACTAGTATCAAACATCATTTATATTAATATGCATTACTGGACATCTTTGAAGTTCCCAGACTGTAAGCACAGGAGGGCAGGCACATGTCTGTCTTGCTCGGCAAGTTTTCAAAGTGCCTGGCAGATTATATATGGTCCTGATTTATTTATATAGAAATAAATGCTCTATTAATATTGCTGCTCTTCACTTTATCTGACCCTGGATCTGTGACACCAAAGGCTCTTGGCAAACATGTATTGATGCAGAGATGAATGAATGAAACAGTAGCAGTGTTTGTAGAATTTTAAGCAGAGGTACCTATTGTAATCAATAATTAAGTTATTGCTTCTACTATAGTCAGAATCTGAAAGTGAGGTTACTAAAAACATAAGGATGCAAATACTAGCTATTACTTTTAAGAAGTTTGAGATTCCATTAACTTGGACACTTAGACTGGTGCTGATACCCGGATAGCCTTTTGTAATGAGAGCTGCTGATTTAAGACTTGGAGTAAGTGACAGTAGCTGGACAAATGTCAAAATTTCACACTTGACTTTCTGGCCCCAAGACAGGAGCCACATCAGGGATTAGACTAACCTTATGGTTAAACTCAAGCCTAGAACAATCAAAGGCAGGCACAGCAAGGAAAAAGGCAGAAGAACAAATAAGCAGAAGAAAATATCTAGAAGAGGTCATCTCTGGAAACTTGCAACACCAAACTCAACCCTCTGAGATCTTACAGGACTGTTGTTCAGAAGAAAAAACATGGAAAGATCAGGAATACACACTGACTGGTCTCCTATTTCTGTATTTTATGATTTTATTTTTATAATGTGTTTAACTTTTTATAAATAAGCACACACGACATAGATCAGAAAGTTACTAATCTATATCTATTTCTGATTCCAAAGCTAATTTATTTTCTCTACCTTAGATCATTAAAATGCAGAGCAAACAATTAGGCTGAAGGAGGGACCTAATGTTTTTACTTTATTCACATTATGTTTCTAATTTATCACTGAACTGGCAGTGCAAAAATAGGCTCAAAGCAAACAGTCATATTCACTTGTGCTCTAGAATTTGGCTATGATTTTTCTAGAGCAAGAGAAAAGCAAAACAAGTGTGTACAGTTTGTATGTGTGGGTGTATGTACACATGTATATTTCTGTGTATATGTATAAGTGGTGGTCCAGAATTATTCTCCTGTATTTTTGCATTTGAATATAAAATTTTTAAAACAAAGAGATGGTTTTACCCTTGAGAAATAGCAAATATTGTGTGGCACCTGCAGCCCCTTCTTCAAGAGCTGGGATATTTTACAAACCAGGCACATTTCTCCATGGGTTGAAGTCCAGAAAATGAATTGGGAGCAACCTTGAGGGACAAGCGCCTATTTGCTCCTGACTGCAGCTTGATTAATCTTTGGCTGCATTATCTGATGAGGTGTCAGTAGGCGTAAGAGGCAAGACAAAAAGGAAGAAACAATGTTCATCGCATGGCACAGACAGGGAGTCATCAAAACTTCAACTCAGAAAGAAAAAAACCCTGGGTAGCCTACAATTCTTTAGTGGAGAAGAACATATTTTTCATGGCGGGTTTTCTCAACCTCTGCACCATTGACATCTTGAGCTGGATAAGTCTTTGTTGCTGTGGCTGCCGAGTGTATGGTACGATGTTTAGCAATATCCTTGGTAGGTCCTTGAAGGATACTTATTAGATAGTAATTGCTCTTCCTCAGTTGTGACAGGCATATATCTCTGTAGATTGCCAAATTATTTCTAGGGGCCAAAATCACCCCTATCAATGATTACTTAGGAGTTTTTTTGTTTGTTTGTTGTTTTTTGAGACGGAGTCCCGCTCTGTCTCCCAGGCTGGAGTGCAGTGGCCTGATCTCGGCTCACTGCAAGCTCTGCCTCCCGGGTTCACGCCATTCTCCTGCCTCAGCCTCCCGAGTAGCTGGGACAGGCGCCTGCCACCAAGTCCGGCTAATTTTTTTGTATTTTTAGTAGAGACGCGGTTTCACCGTGTTAGCCAGGATGGTCTCGATCTTCTGACCTCGTGATCCGCCCGCTTCGGCCTCCCAAAGCGCTGGGATTACAGGCGTGAGCTGCGCCCGGCAGATTATTTAGGAGTTTTAAGAGAATAAATAAAAAGTAGTGAACTCAACAGAGCCATAAAGAAAGTTTGTTTCCTCACATAAACAAAATTTTTACTGTACAATATGGTGTATAAGAAACACCAGATAGCAGTTTAGTCTGTCAAAAAGTTGACATTGGCAATTCATTCATTTACTTATTCAATTAGTATGCATTGAATGCTAACTCTATGCCCAAGACAATGCAAAGACTTGGAAAAGTTGATCTGTTGGGAGACAGAGTAAATAATGGGACAATTTGCAAGCAATGTCTATACAAGGAATTACAGCAACTCTCTGCTGAGGGGGTTAACCGGTATGAATAGAAGGATCTTTCTAATTATTTCATTCTATTTAACATACCTTAAATATTTCCTCCCCAGACATGGCAAACTTTTTCTAATAACCCATTAATTAATCATCTATTTTCATTCCACAACCACCTTTAAAAAATTATTTTCCTCATGTAATGTAGTTTTAAGACCGAATTGGTTTTTCTCCTTGTCAGGAGCAGCACAAGTCCCCATGGGGCAACAGCTTGAGACTCTTGGAACCCTCTCTCCCTGCGAACAGCAGCACACGACCAACCAGTTTTTCTAAACAGAATCCTATTTGCATATGGCCAGCAGGTTGGAACGTGATAACAGTCAACAGACACTTGACATGGATTTTCTCAGCCAAATCTGGAAAGCTTCTGTCATATGCCATTGTAAAATGAACAATCAAAGTTGGTCTTGGGGGAGGGTCGTCTCCCATTGCCACCAGGCCTATTTGCTGGACTAGCTCAAAGGGATAGGGGTTGGTGGGAAGCCATTTGGATCCAAGGAGAAAGAAGAGATTAATTTGAAGGACAGATTGCAAATTTTTCATATATTTCTCAAAAATAGATGCGTTTAGATTATACTGCCCTTATCTACTTTTTTTTTTTTTATTTCTTTTTAACCTAGCTCCTGTCTTTTTAGTATGCCTAAGAGATTTACTTTAAAAGGAATGGCTTGGCAACATTCTTATTCAGCTTTTTGTGGGACTCTGTTTTATCTTTTCTATTTCGAATGTCGCTTAGGCAAGGGGTGATTGTGTCTGTGCTAAATTCTTAGAATTGGTTTTTTACTTATGAAATGAATTCCAGTGTTTTAAAATATAAAAATGATGATATTTAAATAGCATTTACTTGTTTAATAGTCTCATTTATTTCCCTGGATCCCGAATGTTAGAGAGTTTCTCCAAGTTATAATATCGCAGAATGGCTTAACATGCTAAATTTAATGACATAAATAATTTATTTAGATTATGATATACAACCTTAAGATATCCATTGTATAAAGCCAGACCATCTCAACAAAATGATCTGGCAAAGACTGTGCATGATTTTTTGGACAGCGTGGGGAAGCCCTAGGAAAAGAAGCCCAACTTAGGGCTATCAGAGTCAACAATCGGTTCTATTCAAAAAGTGTATGTTAACACAGTAATTTTAAATTGTTACTTTTTTTAAAAAAAAGAGGTTTTTATATGAGTGTTTCAGAACCTGTTATCACTATTGAAAAAACTGTAGACCAAACTGAAGAAAAATATTTATTTCTGAAGTGTGAATTAGAACCAAGGAATTTTTCAAATCATGTTTTTCTAATGATGTGTCTACCTGTGCTTCTGATAAAATAAATATTTTTAGTAGAAACAAAATGGCATGAATGTAATTTACTTTTCTGACATTTATGTGTTTGTTTTCTTTTCCCATTTAACTTTACGAAAATCATAAAACTGAATTAGACAACTGCCCTATGTTTAAAAATATTTTTGTGTAATTCACATATATTCTACTGATCAGAAAGCACCACCAATAATAATATTAGTAGATTTATACCAGCATTTATATTTAAATGATAGCCCATTAACAAAGTATAATCAGACAATTATAATTTTGTAATGGAATAAATTTTATAAAACTATGATTATACTTCTTAGGAGTGTACTTGAGAGGGAGAATTAAAGCTTCCTCACAAGATCATGTCTAAAGGAGACAGGACATGACTAGAGCTTTTCAAATGAAGATTGCCCTTTTTTATTAAAAGTTCATTAAATGAATATTTAATAAATTTGTTAATAGCGTCATCAAATGTGTTAATGTGAAAAATATTCTTCTCAACAATAGCTTAATCTCCCATTTAAAAAATACTTTGAGTAATTACTGCATCTGATCCTCAAGAAAATGAGATAGGCAGGGCCTACAGTGAAAGTTCTTTTATAGTGATAAGGAAAATTTACATCTTAGCAATCATGGATCTCACCATATTTCAGGATATGAGCTACAATAAGATCCAATTTTTATATAGTATAACAATGTATCATGGTTGACTGGCCCGGGAATGACAGTTATATATCATTTTTTAAATTTAAAAATTAAAATTTCAACAAATATATTATTTTTCAAATTTAATGATAGCTGCATATCAAATGATAGTTCCATATCTTTTTTCAAATTTAAAAATTTGAAAAAATATATGACAAATATTATGCATCACAGACCTTAGAAACTGATAAAAATAACTTTCAGAGAAAAATCACTCCTTATATTTAGATTATCTCATCAAGTTTCCCAATCTAACCAACCTTTCAAAAACTATTTATTGAAAGCCTACAATATAGTGTTCAATTCTATAATACTAAAACATACAAACAAAACAACCTATGGTATTAAGGAAGGCAGAAAACCTTTATTTACAGCTGATGTTATTGAGAGACTTGTTGGTCTTTGTTCTGTAGGATGAGCCAAACAAATGTTATATACATACAAGTACACACACACAACAAGCATAGAAGGAGGTTGATATTTGTTTAATAGAAGCCTACTGAGGGGCCATTTTGGTTGTGGATGGTTGGCTCTCCATACACAAATGGAATGAGTTAGACCAGAAAGAGCAAGGGTTAATTTGGTGTACAAAATAAAGTGTAAAATAATTAAAGAAATGTCAATGAGAAAGGGAAGGATTAAACAACGGGCTAATTTATAAAGAGAGAGGTTTAATTGGCTTATGGTTCCACAGGCTGTATGGGAAGCATAGCAGCTTCTGTTTCTGGGGAGGCCTCAGAAAACTTACAACCATGGAAGAAGGTGAAGGGGAAGCAGGCACGTCTTACATGGATGGAGCAGGAGGAAGGGGGCTGGGGAGGTGCCACACACTTTTAAAACAACCAAATCTCATGGTAATTCACTATCACAAGAACAGCACTGAGAGGATTGTGCTAAACCATTCATGAGAACTCTATCCCTATGATCTAATCACCTCCCACCAGGCCTCACATCCAATATTGGTGATTACAACTTGGCACGAGATTTGGGTGGGGACAGACATTCAAACAGTATCAAAGGAGCACCATAGTGGGAGGTAGATGGAATTTAGGTGGAAAATCTGCCCATTTTCCATCATGTATTGAGTGTGTACCGTGTGATAGGCACAACTGTAAACCTTAAGAAAGCAGAGTTAAACAAAATTATCTCCTGATGAGAAATTCCCTGTGAGGGTCATACTTAAGGATCTAGTATGAAAATGGATGTCTGAAGATTGTGTGATGAAACATCCTTTCCACTTGATGGTGTCTCTTCCTTACTCAGCATCTCTTCTCTGTGTTGTACCAGGCTGTTGCTATTAGACCTAAGACTTCAGCAACATCTGATACTGCTATTTGTGTAAGTGGCATTAAGGAAAAAGAAATTCAAGAGAATTCACTACATTGTAATTTTAGATCTCATAAGGAAGTAAAGAAAAAAAAAAAAAAAGAGATGAGGCCAAATTCAAATGAGACCAAGCATTTGGCACAAAGAAAATCATTGCAAATGTGATCATGAGAATATTAGCCCTTAATAGTCACAGATACATCAGATAAAAAATTAGAATTCTGTTAGTTGGAATATGAGCTTTTTATCCTAAAGAACAGGTAACTTTGAATGGTACCTGGGTTTATATCCTTCAGAGGGTTCTTCTGAAGATAAAATAATAAAACATATTTAAACCACTGAACACAATGCCTGACTCTGGAGGTCACCAAAAACGCAATGCCTCTTTCACCTATGTATTTTTTTAAGTGACTGATAATGGGCCATAGTAATGATAGTCACCCAGACATAATAGGCCTAATGTCCAAAGTAAATGGATATAATTACTTACTTGTAACAAATTCTGCCATAATCATGCAGATTCAACAGAATTGTCTGCAAGAGTACTAGGAAAAAAATAAAAGAAAGAAAAGCTAATATGAGATTTTTGGAGGAAAATAAAGACTATTATTTTATATTTCTTTAAAATATTTTTCAGTCTATGTTTTCATAATTGTGAGTCTTGAAAGCATACAAATAAAATATTTTATAATCTCCATAAAGACAAGTGCTTATGAACCTATCTACAGTGGTCTCACATATACTTTTATGTCTAGTTGTGCAATGTTACTAAAATACATGCAGAGAGTAGTCATCAGAACTGAAAAACGACAAGTGTTAAAATATTTTCAAAGTTGCTTTGTTTGGTATTGAGGCTTCATATGAAGGCATTGCTCAACTTTAAGGTTGTATAAATCATGACATAAAATACATTCCAAGAAAGTTCCCAATGTTAATGCATAAAGCTAATACACATACACAAACACACAGACACACACACAATGTAAAACTCTAATGTATAGAAATGAGATTATATAGATATACTGAATGTCTGGGAACTTTTCATTTGTCTTGTGACTTGGGATTTAGGGTTTTGCCTAGAGAAATAAAACAAAACCCCAAATGCTAAAATCAGAATAAAGAAGATTACAAAAAGCCAAAGGAAATAGATTATTTCTGGAGTGGTAGGTACTTGACAGCGAGTTGAAAAAAAAAAAAAAGATGAAAGTAGACCATGAATCTAGTTATATTCTCGCAAATGGAAAGGACTTTCCTAAAGCTCTATAAATTATATCATTTTAAGAAAAAGGGAATTATATTTGGCCTAGTTCAATATCTCCAAGTGGGTCATTGTTAGAGTATTACAATCAAAATAATAAAATCTGATGGTGTGATTCGTGTAACTTCAATAAGTTCAGATTTGTTTCTGTTACCTGTTTACTTTTAAACTTTTATTCTACCAATTATATTTTCATACATTTTGATTAAGATGCTTTGTGCCGGGCGCGGTGGCTTACGCCTGTAATCCCAGCACTTTGGGAGGCCGAGGCGGGCGGATCACGAGGTCAGGAGATCGAGACCATCGTGGCTAACACAGTGAAACCCCGTTTCTACTAAAAATACAAAAAATTAGCCAGGCTTGGTGGCGTGCGCCTGTAGTCCCAGCTGCTCAGGAAGCTGAGGCAGAAGAATGGCGTGAACCCGGGAGGCGGAGCTTGCAGTGAGCCGAGATCACACCACTACACTCCAGCCTGGGTGACAGAGCAAGACTGTCTCAAAAAAAAAAAAAAGGGATGCTTTGTTTAGGACCTACCATCAGGTATTTATTGATAGTCAAAGGAAACACAATGTTTCTCCTAATCATCTTTTGGCACTGCAACCAGTCTACATATCAAAAAAACACTTGACAGCCGGGCGTGGTGGCTCACGCCTATAATCCCATCACTTTGGGAGGCCGAGGCGGATGGATCACCTGAGGTTGGGAGTTTGAGACCAGCCTGACCCCCATGGAGAAACTCCGTCTCTACTAAAAATACAAAAACAGCCAGGCGTGGTGGCACATGCTTTTAATCCTAGCTACTTGGGAGGCTGAGGTAGGAGAATCGCTTGAACTCTGGAGGCGGAGGTTGTAGTGAGCCGAGACTGCGCCATTGCACTGCAGCTTGGGCAACAAGAGCGAAACTACATCTCAAAACAAACAAACAAACAGAACAGCAACAACAAAAACACTTGTGTCGTATTTTCCTTCCAAGGACTTTTAAGATGATTTAAATACATTGAAAATATTAGTAGATTTAGATATTTAAAAATTAACATTATCTCTCAGAGTAATTGAATCTTCAAGTAGCCAGAACAAAGCTATCCTGCGTAATATCAGTTTGAAGAGCATTCTAAGGCTGATATTTTTTTTCCCAAATGGTATAGCTAATATTGTACACTGTTTAAATATTTTTCAGTCAAGTGTATATTATCATAAGTAGCTAATTAACATAAAAATTATGCAAACAAACATTTTCTTTAAATATGAGGTAAATTCCAGACTTTCATGTTTAAAACTTGGGGACACCACTCACATTGCTATCTATCGACACAGTCTCTTCTAGAGCTGGGCACTGTGCAGTATCATGGCCATGTAACACAGGTCCATGCAGAATTCTAATAGTCAGATTTTAAATATAAATATTGTAGCTGGTAGATAACAAAAAATACACCCTAATATGGAAAAACAGGTTTAATGTCCAATAGAAACTACACTAAGAACTCAATATACATAATCTATTCAACGCTTTAATATTTAATGATCAGCAAAATATCTGGCTTATGATAAGCAGTCAATATATACTCATTGAAAAAAAGAATATATTTGGAGTAGCAAACATGTTTGGAAACTTAAAGAACTTATTTATGGGATTCAAACCTATTTTATTCTGATTCTAAATTCAGATCTTCTAACCACTGAGAATTATAGTTAGCAGAGTTTCTACCCATATCTTAAAATAATATTTGGATTGCTGAGATTGTTTTTCCTTCTAGGTCTGAGCATCCCTGATTTAATAGACAGATGGTTCTTACTCACAACCGGTCCAGATTTGCCTTAGTTAGGCTAATCCACTGAAAGCCTGTACCTGTGCTATTCATGATAAAAGTGGGGGCAATTGCTAAATATTTGCAAATTAGATCTAAATAATGTGACTCACTTTTAAAATATTCATTGCACCAATACTCTTAGAAACAGACAGTTAATTTTTCAGACACTTTATAGATAAACAGTCCTAAAATAAATGAATAAGTGAACTAATTAAATTCTTATTTTTTCTGATACCAAAATAAATGCAGGTCTGAATTTTAGCTCTGAGGGACTGACTATCCTATAAAACTTCGTCAATTTAGTTTTACGTTTTTACAAACATACTTATTTTTGCAGGCCCCCGAGACCATTCTCAGGAGCAATAATTTGCTAGAACGGTTCAAAGAATCCTGAGAAGTTGTTATAAGTATGGTTTATTAGAGAAAAGATATACATAGATTAAAATGAGTAGAATTAAGAAGTGAATAAAGCAGAGTTCAAAAAAAGACCAGATATTTGATTTTATTGTCCTGTCCCAGTGGGGGCTTATAAACAGTTTTTAATTCTCCCAGCAATGATGTGTGACAATACACATAAGTATGGCCAACCAGAGAAGCTACTTGACACTCAGTGCTCAGTGTTTTTATTGGGGTTGGTCACAGAGGCATGGCTGACCATGGATGAGGCTGAAGGACATCTTAGTTAAACAATCTGTAGTCCCTCTAAAAGTCAAACTAATGCCATGTGGCCCAAGGCTCCCAATATAAATCACATTGTTATTACAGTATAAACAGTGTGGCATTGTCCAACTCCCCAGATAAACAGACACACATTTATCAGACAGGATAATGATAGGGCCTAGAAGTTGTCTCTGCGAGATGGACGAGGACAGACTTTTCCACAGAGTGTGCAAGTTGCAGACACCCAGATCTGCCAAATTAATTCTTTAGTACATAGGGATAGAATAACAGGAAAAGAAAAACTGACCAGTGTTAAACTTATATATAATATGCATAATTATATCCAAATTAAATATAAGGTGAAATCAATATGCACACCATGCAGATCATCTACTGTCCTACCTGCCATATATCCATTCATATATATTTCACACAAAGTCTGAAGTTTCTTTCACACATGATTGGGAGAACTATGATACACCTCTCAGGCGAAAGGAAAAGAGGTAAATAAAAAAGTGTTCAGGGGAAAATATGATGACTTGGAGGTGTCAGCAAAAAGCCAATGTGGAAATGTATAATAGGAAAAGTAAAACATAGTTCTAGAATTTATGACTTAAGTCACGGATATTTGAACAATTAGCATAAAGGAAACCAACCTACAATTACAAAATAGTTTGTCTAAAAGAGAAAAGTGGCTAGAAATTGTTGTTATTTTTTTCTTAGTGTATTTCTTATACTTTATTTGAGTTAGAGTATAAGATGAAATCTTTCCAACTTGTTTCCTATTAAATGTTGGCCTTCTAGAGAGTTCTGTAAACATATGTTGCCATCTGCCCCTACAGGATTACACCTGCCCTAAGTTGAGCGAATGTTTCTCTCAAGCTTGGTTGTTTCCAGCTGGGAACTATTCCTATAGTTATGACAATATTTAGCTTGATTGAGTGCCCAAATCTATAGTGCAAAAATAGAATATACATTTGCATACATGCATAAACATATGTACAAATATATGTTCTCACTCATTTATCTTTAATTGTGATGTGCATTTTAATTTCTCTGCTATATTCATGGTTCAGTATCCTACCTAGTTTTCCAAATATTGGTTTCTTACAGGAGCTTTTTAAAAACAACAACTGTATCATTAACTTAATAGCCATAATTTGTGGAGAATTAACTTTGTGGCAAGCACTGGTTTAAGAGCATAACCTCTTTTCTCACACCATGCTAAGAAGCATGCTATGAAATAGGTAATATCAGTTGCCTTTTTTGCATGTTAGGAAACTGGGCTCCAGACAGATTAAGGTAATAACTGAATTCCCAAGCTAATGAGAGGCTGAACTAGAACTCAGAACCATGGTTTCTGAAATCAGAGTCCTTCATGTCAACACCTATGTTGTGTTCAAGGCTGTTTCTTTGGCCACTGCCTCCAGTGGAGGACTGTACTGCCCTTCTATTGGCCAAGATAGACATTGATGTCTCTGTAGCCAAGAAGAATGGGTCAGAAGGAGGTCCTTATGAACAGATGTGCTTGGTTTGGCTAATACATATAAAAGTGCCTGAGATAGAGCAATTCTGATTATTAACATTTACCTATTTACTTATTCTAACAATATCAACAAATCATAGTTTGCATGTTGATACATGCCAGTGTTCTTCCTAATAATTTATGTATCTACATATATAATATTTTTATATTTACATTTTTTTTCATTTAGGTTTACTTTGGTGCCCACTATGGAAAGAACAGAATTTAGTAAATATGTAGTTGAAGATATATATGATATATAACAAAACGTATATGAAACATAACAAGAGATAACACCTGAGTATGAAACAAATTTAAATTTCCGAAAATATCTTGAAGCAAAGTATGAGATAAACTTAGTTATCATGAATATTTGGAAAGGTTACTAAGTAACATCTGAACTCAGTCTTCAGAAGATTTGGAAATATAACTTATGCCTCATAGGTAAGTACCAATATAGGTCTAATTCACCTACAGGCAAGGAATTTGAGACTTAAGGAACCTCTTATCAAAAATTTATTAAAATCTCCTTTCTTAAAAATTGTCATTTTTAGGAAGAAATTAACATTTCTTTCAAAAAATTGCTGCAATTTTAATGCAATGGCTTAAAATGTATTAACTGAATAATAGAGCTTCATTAATTTTTTCAGTGAAGTCTTTCTGATCATTTACTACAGGCCAAGTCTCATGCTAGGTTGGGAGAATAAAATATGTACAAGATATAATCCCTGATATCAGAAAGCTAATAGCAAATTCAAGAAGGCATGCAGGTTCCTAGAAAAATCTCAGCTGAATATGATGAGTACTGGAAATATAAGCAAGGTGTTGAAGTAGCTCCAAGAAGGGGCACCCAAATCAGCAAGTGATTTCAAGTAACCAATTTAGTATTTGTTGTATATGTATGGAGTTTTAAAAATTACTTCATATCTAATTTGTCTTTCTTCATATTCAGAATTATTTCATTACTTTTTTTCTGCAGAATTGTATCAAAAAGAGAAAAGTTAATAATTTACATGAATCACATCTGATATTGTAAAGTAAGCATCATTCTCTCATAGATCCCCAAAAGCTGGGTTAGAAATTATAGATAGGTATATGGTCAGAAGAGTTTTTTATTTGTTTCTATAGCTACAACATGAACACACACACACACACACACACACACACACACAAACCAAGTCCTTGTTATCTGCCATTTAGCAAGAATCCAATTACTGAGCATGAGCTTACTGCCTCATAAATAGTATCCTCTTAGCTTTCCAATCACACCATTCCAATTCTGTATTTTGTCAGCAAAAGTCCTGTTTTTAAAAATAATACTTTGGCCATCTGCTTACCCATATGTGTTACACATCACTGAACGTTAGATTCTCTGCAAGTTTTATAGACAGTACCACAAACCTTGAATGTGTTTTCTCTCATAATTAGCATTTTACAACCACATTAAATTGATCACAGGTAAACTGTTTCATTTTGGTGTGTTATTTTGATTGTAATCAGACTACTTGCTGGAAAGTGATTTTCTAGCCAATCTATTTGAGTTATAAAGAGTTTTCTTTCCCGTTTTTCATAGCAAATACATTAGTTTAAAGGTCACACTTGTCAGACCTATAAACTAAATCCCAGACTTGCAATGTAAGACATCCCTCGAAGGAGCCATCAATGTTTACTCTGGGGTGAAGAATGTTATATTAGCAGTTCCATCAGTTTCAATGACTAATGACGTCATTTGCAATCGTTGCAGGCTCCTCCCAAAGAAAGAGGGAAAACTGCTTGGTCAGGGATTCAGTTTTCAGTTTGCATATTCTAAATCGTGCGTGTGTGTGTGTGTGTGTGTGTGTGTGTGTGTGTGTGTGTTGACTGTTCCCTTTTTCTACAAAACAAGATAAACTGATGATATCTAGGGTGGGGATCTGAAGTTATTTTAGCCCTTCAGCTGAGGAACTATTTTGTTTATAGATGAATTAGAGAAATTTTAAATCCCCTGGGAAACCTGCCAAACTGAGACTTCAATGTTTTTGTAACACAATCATGAGAAATAAAACCTTTCAACTGTCCTTTTTTTAATACGTCCTGTTTTCATGGTTAAAATGTAAGCTGAGAAGTAACACATGAAATATTCACAACGTTTTCTCATTTTTAAATATATTGATTAGAGAACCCTGAAATTCTGTTAAACCATGGATATTCCATTTTTTTAAGTTTTAAAATATATTTCCGTTGAAAAATTTATATTCGAATCTGCTGAGAAAAGAAGCAAGTATATCTTTTACTCCCCTACTTCCTTCCTATATCCATCTTGACGTTGTTTTCCTATAATACCTAATGTATCTTTAAAAATATGAGTCATATAAAATATGTTCACAAATTAAGGATATAAACCAATAGGCAAAGAGATATGTAAGAATTCATTATACTATAGATAAGACAGAAATCAGTGGGAGAATAAAAGTTCTAAAATAGAAGTGCTAAACTGAGGTGGAAGAAGAGGGAAGAAAAGTAGGTAACAGCTTGATTACAAAATTGGGTGTATTTATGATGTATGATTGGCAAACTTGATAAGAGGGTTGCAGTGAGGCAGTGGGGTCAACAGCCTATATCAAAAGAGCAGTGGGGCAGTTGGAATGGGAGAAATCTTGAGAGATATTTCTATAAAGGGGGTGAATAGATGCATGTGAAAATTATACTGCACAGGTTAATATTTAAAGGACTCCAGATTCTGATAACAATTGGGTAACTAGAACATCCTATTTGAATGAGAAAATTTATATGTACTGTAAAATGTGTGTATATGTGTACAAAATAAACACACATGCACACACACACATGCATCCATGGAATAAAGGAAATCCAAACTTTGAAGTCCAGCACCTTTGCGTCCCCTTTTCTCCTGATGGAATCTGAAATTTCGGAAAAGGCTGCTGTGAGACTAAAATCCTGAGTATCACGTTTTTGGCAGTCTTGTGTGGCAAGAGAAATAAATAGAGCGGCCAAGGAAGGAAAAAGGGAAGATGACAAACAACCAGATTCAGTGCAAAGAGCCAAAGAGGTAGACAGCAAGAGTAAGACACGAACTGTCCTCAACCAGACTGAAGTCTGGATACACATCCCCTCAATACCTAAAAAATACAGGAAGATGATCTCATTTTACAAGTTACTATGGGCACCTTGGAGGAGTAAAACTACATTTTCTCTGTAAGAAGTAATTTCTTAATAATCTTAAGGGACTTCTACTCTACTTCATGTGTTGCGCGTGCATGCACACACACACACACACTTCACACACATACCCAATATGTTTATAATATGTTTACAGTGTGTGACACAGGATGAAAGAAGACAATGTGAATCAAAAACTAACACAACTACAAGAAATAAAATCAACCTTTTTGGCTATAGATGTTGGTGTTATCAGACACAAAGTTTAACCATGATCCAAATTTCAATGTTAATTTCAGTACAACTAAAGCAAGGCATATATTTGTAAAATAATAGGATAAAAATGCTAAGGGTAAAAACTACAATTACTGAAAGTTAACGATGATACAAAAGTACTTAGCAAATTAAGCATTAATTCCACTTTAACTGAAATCTTAAAAAGAAAGAAGACTAGACAGATGTGGCATTTGCTCCCCATTGTGAATGTACTAAAGGTTACTGAATTTATCGCTTTAAATGGTTAATTTTAGGTTAGCGAATTTTATTTCAATGAAAAAAATGATTTGGGAGAGACAGCAAAACAGCATTTCCAGGAGAGAAGCTGTGGTCTTCTTACAACCTACTTTCTAAAGCAATACCCCATCATTCACATCACTTCTTTCATATCCTGTTCTCCAGATGTAAGTCTCTAGAGCCGGAGTCTCGCTCTGTCGCCCAGGCTGGAGTGCAGTGGCGCGATCTCGGCTCACTGCAAGCTCCACCTCCCGGGTTCACGCCATTCTCCTGCCTCAGCCTCCCGAGTAGCTGGGACTACAGGCGCCCGCCACCGCGCCCGGCTAATTTTTTGTATTTTTAGTACAGACGGGGTTTCATCATGTTAGCCAGAATGGTCTCGATCTTCTGACCTCGTGATCCGCCCGCCTCGGCCTCCCAACGTGCTGGGATTACAGGCGTGAGTCACTGCGCCCGGCTGTCCAGCCCACTTTCAATAAAAGTGAGTGTGGGTAAGCTCCAGCTCTTTAAGGGAAAAGTAATAAAGAATCTGGAGAAATTTATTTCAAAAGTGCCACCATCAATGAGTATATCTTTCAACACTGAAGGTAAATTTTTCAATGAGAAATAAAATGATCCCTGAGAGAAATATGAAGATCAAAAAAGGAATGAATATCAGTAGAAAGAGTGACTGTGTGAATATAAGTCAATCCAATTGAATATTGATTGTATAGAACAAAATGTGGTTTTGGTCTGTGTGTGTGTGTGTATGTGTATGTGTATGTGTGTACACATGAAGGGCAGAGACCAAGAGAAAGAATGAGAGAGACAGACAGAGGGAAAGGCAGATAGATTTACAGTATGTGAAGACAATAAAAATAGGTGAGGCTGAATTAAGCTAATACTCTAACTTACTTGGAATGAGTATTACTAACCTACACTTTACTAATGAATATTGCATGTCTATAACTAGGGTCATCAATAATAAGACAATGATACATTTTTTTAAATTAAGTTCTGGGGTACATGTGCAGAACATGCAGGTTTGTTACATAGATATACACGTACCGTGGTGGTTTGCTGCACCCATCAACCCATCATCTACATTAAGTATTTCTCCTAATGCTATCCCTCCCCCAGCACCCCCACCCCACAACAGGCCCCAGTGTGTGATGCCTCCACCCCGTGTCCATGTGTTCTCATTGTTCAACTCCCACTTATGAGTGAGAACATGTGGTGTTTGGTTTTCTGTTCTTGTGTTAGTTTGCTGAGAATGATGGTTTCCAGCTTCATCTATGTCCCTGCAAAGGGCATGAATTCATCCTTTTTCATGGCTGCATAGTATTCCATGGTGTGTATGTGCCACATTTTCTTTATCCAGTCTATCACTGATGGGCATTTGGGTTGCTTCCAAGTCTTTGCTATTGTGAACAGTGCCGCAAAAAACATACGTGTGCATGCGTCCTTATAGTAGAATGACTTACAATCCTTTGGGTATATACCCAGTAATGGGATTGCTGGGTCAAATGTTATTTCTACTTCTAGATCCTTGAGGAATCATCACACTGTCTTCTACAATGGTTGAACTAATTTACACTCCCACCAACGTGTAAAAGTGTTCCTATTTCTCCACATCCTCTCCAGCATCTGTTGTTTCCTGACTTTTTAATGATCGTCATTTTAACTGGCATGAGATAATATCTCATTGTGGTTTTGATTTGCATTTCTCTAATGACCAGAGATAATGAGCTTCTTTTCATATGTTTGTTGGCGGCATAAATGTTTTCTTTTGAGAAGTATGTGTTCATATCCTTCACTCACTTTTTGATGGTGTTGTTTTTTTCTTGTAAATTTGTTTAAGTTCTTTGTAGTTTCTGGATATTGGCCCTTTGTCAGATGGATAGATTGCAAAAATTTTCTCCCATTCTGTAGGTTGCCTGTTCACTCTGATGATAGTTTCTTTTGCTGTGCAGAAGCTCTTTAGTTTAATTAGATCCCATTTATCAATTTTGGCTTTTGTTGCCATTGCTTTTGGTGTTTTAGTCATGAAGTCTTTGCCCATGCCTGTGTCCTGAATGGTACTGCCTAGGTTTTCTTCTAGGGTTTTTTTTGTTTTGTTTTGTTTTGTTTTGTTTTGTTTTGAGACGGAGTCTCGCTCTGTCGCCCAGGCTGGAGTGCAGTGGCGCGATCTCCGCTCACTGCAAGCTCCGCCTCCCGGGTTCACGCCATTCTCCTGCCTCAGCCTCCCGAGTAGCTGGGACTACAGGCACCTGCCACCACGCCTAGCTAATTTTTTGTATTTTTAGTAGAGACGGGGTTTCACCGTGTTAGCCAGGATGGTCTCCATCTCCTGACCTCGTGATCCACCCGCCTCAGCCTCCCAAAGTGCTGGGATTACAGGCGTGAGCCACTATACGCGGCCTCTTCAAGGGTTTTGATGTTAAATCACATCGTATATTTAATTTGGTATCTTACATTTTGTACTTCACATTATTATATAAGAATTTCCCTCAACTCTTATAATTATACTCTAAAAACATGATTTTAATGATTATATATGATTAGTTTGATATTTCATTATTCTCTTGTTTGATTTTTAGTTTTTTCTCAAATTTTCTACATTATTTAAGTTTTATATTAAGCATCCTTAAATTATAGAAGTCATTTAGTACATTAATTACAGGGTCAAAAGATAGAAAATATTTTGAAGCTCCCTGTAGATATATTTATAAAATGTTATATATATATTAATCTTGCTAAATCTTTCAGAAACTTTGTGCCAGTTTACTTTTTTGCTAGTAATGCAAGTACCACTGTTTCTGCACTTTTGCACCCAAATATATCAACTTTAAATCTTGCTAAAATAATAATAATAAGATAATGAAAGTTTATATAAGGGATAAGCATGGACAAAGAATGGACAAAGCATACTTTTAATTAATCTGAATGAAAGAGGGATATACAGTAGGTAAAACAGGAGCAAAGCCATATATATTAACAAGAACACTAAAAGTAAATGGATTAAATATTCCAATTAAGAAATGAGTTAAGCAGACTGGACAAAAAAGAAAAACCACATACATTGAACATACAAGAGGTGCAGCTTAAATAAAATTTACAGACAACTTGAAAATAAATAATATTGGATCTGATTCAATTTTTGTATTCTCTGGAAGAGTGTGTGTTTTGGAACAATCTGTTCTGTAATGCTTAGTAGAACTTTCCTGAAAAGTCATCTTTACTGCAACTTCGTGGAAAGATTATTCAACATTTGAAAGTCTATTACAGTTTTTTAAAAAATTTTCTTGTTTTAATTTTGTCATTGTTGTTTATAATATCATAGTAATTTGTTTATAATATCATCTTATTTTCCCTGTAATCTAAATAGCACAATGATTACGTTTTGTTTTTCATGCCAGTTAATTTTAATTTGAGCTCTCTCTTTTTGATTATTCTTGCAATATTCTTAAATTTTATCAGTCTTTCACAATAACTCACTTTCAGATTTGCTATTATTCTTCAGTAAGTTAGTTTACTAATGCATCCAAATTTTTATCTTTACTTTTTATTATTTAGTTTATTTTACTTGTTTTAGAATTTTTATTTTTTTAAATTCTTAAATTGATTGCTTTCCTCTTCAATTTTGCATTTTGAGGACTATGTATTTTCCTCTAAATACTTCTTTAGTTGCAGTCCACAATTTTTGATGCACAGTTTTTTAGCCATCATTCAGTTATAATAAGTAAATTCCCCTTTGGTTAATGTTTTGATGCATGAGTATATGAGTGCTGTATTAGTTCGTTTTCACACCGCTGATAAAGACATACCTGAGAGTGAGTAATTTATAAAGAAAAAGAGGTTTAATGGATTCACAGCTCTGCATGGCTGGGGAGGCCTCACAAACATGGCAGAAGGTGAAAGGCACATCTTACATGGTGGTAGGAAAGACTGAAATGAGAGCCAAGCAAAAGGCTAAACCCCTTATAAAACCATCAGATCTTGTGAGACTTATTCACTACCATAGGAATAGTATAGGGGAACTGCCTCCATGATTCAATTATCTCCAACCGAATCCCTCCTACAACACTTGGGAATTATGGGAGCTACAACTCAAGGTGAGATTTGGGTGGTGATACAGACAAACCATATGAAGAGTAAACTTCTGGTCACCAGTTTGAAAGACTGAATTTTTCCTATCCTTCCTGAGATTTGTTTTTTAGTTGACTCCTCTTGCCTGTTCGATTGAAATTTTATACTCACAAAGTTGAGAACTGTACTTTTCTATTTTTTATTGGGTTTTTTTTTTTTACCTGGAGCTACCCTAGGCTTAATATCCTGCTCTCTTGTCTACTGCAAAAAGGAAGAAAAATTTCAAAACTTCCAAGCTTTGTTAAAACCCTTTTTGGCACAGTTTTGCTTGGTTGCTCATTAACTGCCCAGGATTTCTGATTCCACTTGAAAGTTGTCCTTTATCAATTTCTTATTATCATTACTGATCAATGAAGGGTACCTTTCAAATGGTGCCCCTGACTCTAGTTTTTATTATTTCAATGATTTTTATTGGGATGGCTGTTTAGAGCTCTTATTATTAATATTGCCTGACTCAAGAAAGCTGAGTAGCTGAGTACAGCCTTGAAAGTAATTTCTTATAATTTATTATAAGATTACAATTTACTCATTCTTGACAGCGTTTTATAAGCAAATTAATAAAAATTTCTTGTTATATTACATTTTTAAATGTGAATTTAAAAGGAGAGTCTAATAGAAAGGCTTCTACTCTTAACGTTAGTCATATTAGCTATGAAGAATTCTTAATAAATCTAATCATAGCAATATCTTAATAAAATTAAGAAGTTTTAGAGCCTGAATGTATTTTTGTGCCACATGTAGGATAACTGAAGCAAATATTGTAATGAGATTTTTCTAAGGTCATAAATCTAAGCTAATGAGAGTGAAGAGACTCTAATTCAGGACATTTGATTTCCATTTATCATTCTTTGTATTAATATTAGCCTAAATACTATTTTCTTAAATTTATCACATAAGTACTGCACTATGGACTTTGCAAACATTATTTTAGTTAATCTTGAAAATAAAATAGTGGGTGCTGATAACGGGGGAGTCTATGCCACATGTGGGGTAGGAGGTATATGGGAAATCTCTACTTTTCTCTAAATTTTTCTGTGAACCTAAAACTGCTCTGAAAACAATCTTAAAATAGCAGTAGCTGTAAAGAAGCAACTGTTTTATTCTGATCTTGCAGAAGGAAATTAAGTTGTGTAGATGTTAATATCTTTTTCTCAAAGTCATGTAATGAGAGAGTGACACAAATAGCACTAGTATCCATTGCTTAATTCTCCAAAAGTAAGTGAGTGAGTGTGTGTGTGTGTGTGTGTGTGTGTAGGGAGAGGGTGGGTCTGTGTGTGTTAATGGCTATATTTACACTCTGTTCTATTGCATGCCCAAAGGCTCTTAAGAACCACATAATTAAAAAGTCAGTTTGTGGTGGGGAGGTTTTGGCTTACAAAAGAGTTTTAAGGAAGTCTGGGTTTATTCTAATTAAGTGAACTACCAGGGTGCTAAATGAGATTCTGTGCTTGGCATACTCTCTTTGCTTTTGCATGGTGTTATATTTGTGGATGAAATATTCTGGGGATGAATGTTAAAAGCCCTTGTGCCACCTAGACCCTCTCCAGAATTATTTTCTGAAAACACTCTTCACTTTGGCAGCTGCTTTGCAACCTAGGAGTGCATTTTAATTGGCATCACATACCTTTATGGCTGAAGGATTTATTCTTCTCTCTACAAATTCCCTCCCCTCTTTAACCTGTTAGTTGAAATATTTGAATTAATATCACAGAACTTTCCCATTATAAATTCTTTGGGATCATAGCGCAAAGGGATGGCAGCTTTTCTTTCAGCAAAAAAAGAGTGAGAATTAGCCTCTGCTAAAAAATGAAGTTTTGTTAATTTCTGCATTTCATTTTTCCCTTTCATCTTATTGTTTTGATCTCTGCCAACTGCTATTTGTTCAATATGCCTCAATAAAGGTGAAAAAAAAGTATTTTCTATACATACTTTGTCAATATTATGTTAGTAACATTTTCAGGGGAGAAATGTTTTCTGTATTACAGTCCACAGCATTTGTCTCAATAGCTCAGACAATTTGAGGCATTCAGCTAATTTTAAGTAGGCATTTCTGCTTATTTCCCAGAAAATGTAGCTCACATAGTCAGCAATTTGCTTCTGTTTCTTAAAATGCTAAGCAGCTCTTCCATTACTCCCTGCATTTACCTTTAATAAAGTACAAGATGTGAAGTGGAATTCTGGTGGCTAGGAACCCGGCTTTGAAGTCAGATGTGTCTGCTTTTGAATCTCAACTCGGCTTTTTTTGGCTCTATGTCTTTGGACCAATTACTTGTTTTCTCTAAGAGTTAGTCCCCGAGTTGATAAGTTTGGGATAAGAATACTGAGGGTGAATAAAGAAATACAAGTAAAAAGCTTAGCAGACCACTTGACAGACATTTATATTGCAGAAAATAACAGTAATTAACTATTGCAATACAATTACCTAATAAAAGTATTAATAACATTGTAAGCCACAAGCTGACAAGAAATGAACTTTAGAGAAATTGTCCCACTTTGGGAGAATTAAGAAAAGAATCATAGATTTGTGACATCTTGAATGTGACATTTAGCTATTAAATAATAATTAAAGAAATTTACAGGTAAAGATAAATTTGAAGAACAATTGTAGTTAATTAGTAGTTACAGATAAATCACAATATTATCTTAAATCTTTAAAATGCATGGGTCATTTTATGAATGCAAAATAGAGAAGCATTGCATTTAACTCATTGAATTTTCTGAATAATTTTATTGCATTTTAATTATATCATTTGATACCCAAGTAAATATGAGACAAAAAGTTAAGGTGCTTTTCTGTTAGTGAACTGACATATTAGTTAGATCAAATGCAAAATATAATAAAATCATGATTAGTGAAAATGCTTTACACCTCTGGTGTTTTCACTGTAAAGCACAATGGCTCATAAGTTCAAGGTTAACTATAAAAGCATTTTCTCTCTGTGCTTATACTATGTCTGTTATTTTCAGCTTTCTATTAATTAGGTAAAATCTAATAATTTGATACAGTATGCTATCTCTAAATAGTATACAAGGTTTTGCAGTATGATAGAGGTTGAATTGAAAGTATATAAACTCTTGGAAATCTTCTGGATGATATACTCCATGGCTTTTTAAAACTTCTCTAATGAAAGACAAATTGTATAAAGCAGAAAATATTATATTAAATAAAAAATACTCGGTTTTGATCTGTTAATCTGCAGCTCACCCTTGAACAACATGAGGGCTGGGAGCCCAAACCACTCTCTCAGTCCAAAATCCACATGTAATTTTGACTGAGCCTAACTACTATTAGCCTACTGTTGACCGGTAGCCTTATTGATATCATAAACAGTCGATTAACACATATTTCATATTTTATATGTGTTATGTACTGGATGTTGTAATAAAGTAAGCTGGAGGAAAGAAAATGTTATTGAGAAAATCATGAGGAAGAGAAAATATATTTACTATTCATTAAGCAGAAGTGGATCATTATAAAGATCTTCATCTTCTGAGGAGGATGAAGAAGGGGAGGGGTTGGTCTTGCTCTCTCTGGGGTGGTAAAGGTGGCAGAAATGGTGGAGGAACTGGAAGAGGAAGCAGGAGAGACAGGCACAGTCAATGTAACTTTTATCCAAGAAAATCCACATATAAGTAGATTCAAACCTATGTTGTTCAAGCGTCAACTGTAGTTATTTTCAACTTATATGTATATGTACTCTATCTGCATGTATGTATATGTTAATTACATATATGTGTTTATGTATGTATATATGTGCATATATACATGTGTGTGGGTGTATACTTATATATGTGTTTTATATATGTGCATATTTTAGTATGTGTCTGTGTGGATCAATATACAGTTGATATGCTGATCAATATACAGTTGATGACAACTCTATATTGTATTACAATATAATAATTGAAAAAGCTATTAGCAATTTTAACTATGTAAAATTATTTAAAATTTTCTAATAATACTTTAATTTGGAAAATAGTCACTTCAGTTTACATTACAATATTATGGCAAAAGATATATAAAATGCTTTTCATTTTTACTTAGATATCCCACCAATTCTTATCATCACAATGTAAATCAGAATGTATCAGTTATCTTTTATGTGCCTACCATTGTTCTACAAAATATGAAATTAAGAAATAAGATACAGTTCCTACCATTTAAATCTTTACCTTCTTGTTGGAACATATTACATATATGGAAACATACACTTTCCTAGTGAATAGTTAATGATGAGAGTGAAATTGTGTTGCATAAATGGAATATATGCATTGGGAAGGATTTGCATCAGGCAATGATAAACAAGATTTAAAAACGCATACATAATAAAAGAAGCAACAGAAAAAGAGAGCAATTGAGTTGAGAAGGATACATCAGCATTTTAATGAAAAAGGGTAAACGAGAGTGTTTTAGGAACAGAAAATGAAAAGAAAATTTTTTGTGCTTAAAAAAAAATATGTTAGAGAAAGAAATGACCATGGCTTATTTGGGGAACAGCTAGAAACTGATCCTGATTGCCTAATTAGAGGCATTATGTGAGTGAGGAATAAGATGACATAGTATTCCTAAAAATTGTTCCAAAATCCCACTAGTATTATACCACATGCCAGAGTTGTTAACAATGAAAATTTCTGGGCCCTACCCCAAAGCTACTGAAAAATTTCTTAGCATTTAGAACCATTTTCCATATACTGTCAACACTACCCTAGGGATTCTTCTCTACTCTAAAATTTGAGATCTTATTATGAGACATCTTCAAAGTCCAGTTTACAAATTTAAACTTCAAGTGGTAGGAACTATAATACTTTTAATACTGTCCACCAGGCTGGGGTGCAGTGGTGGGATCTCGGCTCAGGGCAACCTCCGCCTCCTTGGTTCAAACAATTCTCCTGTCTCAGCCTCCTGAATAGCTGGGATTACAGGCATGCACTGCCACACCTGACTAATTTTTGTATTTTTAGTAGAGACGGGGTTTCACCATGTTGGCCAAGCTGGTCTTCAATGCCTGACCTCAGGCGAAGAGTGAGCCACCGCACCGGACCCATTTCAATACTTATTTGCCTATACATTTGAAATTGAATAAATCAGACTCGATCTATATTGGTAAACATAGGAGATCACAACAAAAGAAACTATAATATTACTGTATTTTGTGTTTATAACTATTTTTAAAGAGTTACACTGAGTTTAGCACAATATTTTATAAGTATTAGGAAACTAACACATACCTAAAAGACATTGACTATAATGAAAATTCCTGCCTTTATTTAATGAATGTTTAGGAACGCCTGAATTCCTAAAACTCCTGAATACTGTTATTATTACATGATTACAAAATATAAAGTGCTTAGAAGACTTACTGTATTGATGAATGAAAGCATAGATTTTTGTAGAAATAAGCCATGTCAAGCTCATAAGACAGGAATCCTTAAGTAAAAACATTCATCTCCTTCTGTGTTAGGAATTACTAACAACATATTTTGAAAAATAAACAAATTAAGTTAGTTATAAAAATATTCATCTAAGAATCCACTTTATGTACCAAATGCAAATCTTTGAAGTCCTACATTATTTCTCCCTGCACACATCACCTTCTCCTTCTCAGATCTCATACCCTGTATTAGAATGACAGTATCAATTTTGTGTTGATATACATATTAGGATATTCAACAGTTAATATTCACAAGGGCAATTATGCATATATTAAATACCAGATTTTTTTCTCTGAATCATTTATGGTTTTTGTTCACTTTTCAATATTTCCATATTTTTGCCTCTTCATGTTTAAGTATGGATATTTTCTTATGAGTTATCTTCCTGTTAATTATGTTTATCTTCAACTGTGTCACAAATATTTTTAAAATAAACTTATGCATTTATTTTCTAGTTGTATATACTCTATCTTTAAGTTCCAATAATTCTATTTTCTTCTTTCTTATGGTTTCCAGTTCTTGACTAAATTTCTCAATTTTTCTTTTATCTCTTTAAACTTAATAAAAGCACCTATTCAAAAGTCTTGGTCTACAGTTTGCTACTTATCTTAACTTCTGTTTTTCATTACTCAGTCTTTTCTTCATATACTCTTGGTTATCAAGTTTTTATCTTGCAAAGAAAAATTATCTTAAAGTTCAAGACAGATTAGTAGTTTTATATTTTGAAACAATTTAAAGCTAGTCTTTAGTCCTTAAATTCTGCATATTTCTGGTTTACTCTTACTCTCAAGTAAAATCTTTTGGAATCCTAATTCCTAGAGTGTAATTATTTGGAATCCTAATTCAATACATGAGAGGTTGGCTGGGGCCTCGAAATCCAGGGCTCTTGATCCAGGGGTCTTTGCACAGTTGACCCTACCAGGTTGTCAAAAGCAATACATAGTTTCTCAGCCTCTCAGCTACTCCTCTACAAATGACAAATCCTTCTAGCAGAAAATCAGTCTCCAATACTGACCTCAGTTTTTCCTATTTTCTTTTGTTGAATCTAGCCATCACTCATTAACCATAACTCCTTTCTGCCTTATAGGCTCTCTAATAATTTTATGTTTTTTAAAAATATTTTGTTCATTGAGAGAATGACATTGATCTTTTTCCTTCCTCACTGTTAAATCCCCAGGCCTAGCACAATTTAAATAACCAACATTCATTACATGCTAATATTTTATTAACAATGTTGTAACTTATTTCTAGTAAAACCGCAGTGATATATTACTATCATCGCTCTTTTTTCTGCATCAAAACTGAGCTTTAGAAAGCTTAAATGCCTTGCTTATAGTTGCATAGCTAGCAAGTGGCACAGTCAAGATTTGGACATGGAGCTCTTGACACCAGAAACCAAAATCTGAGCCATTGCAATATAAATTAAAAAGCATAGTGATGTTGAACAATATTTCTTGAATAAACTGATTTCAGATTTAATTTCATTTTTTTATTTTCCCCATGTTGACAAAGTTTCTAAACTCTGTGTTTTTACATTGTGAGATTACTTTATAAATTAAGTTACAATGAAATTCTTGCAAATATTTTGCCTTTATCTTGAATGTGAGTCAAAGCTATGTTTTGTTGTCATTGTTGGAATAGGAGTTTAAAAATGATTACTACACCAAAAGCATAACCTTCCAGTTCTTTTTGGAATAAAACATTGGTAATACTTGTGTTCTTATCGTTTTGTTTATTTGGCTAAAATTAATATATAGCCTCTAAAAGTCTCATTTGATTAGGGATTTCTGTTAGTTAAATTCTGCTTTATAAAACTGCTTTGCTTATGTGTTTCTCATTTTCTAGGACTTTGTTTCTGCAAAGCCAAAATATAACTGCTTAAAGCAAAAGTTATTTAATAATGTTTAGATATCTAATGATTTATAATTACTATTATCGTTGCCAGTAAATATTTATTGTGTTTCAATGGGTTATATTCCACTGTACTAAATATTTTCTTGACTTCAAGGTGTATTCTTTTGCATTTAATGTTGTATATGTAGTCAACATAAGGGAGAATAACATATGCAGATGCAAAGTGTATTGGGCGTTAGAAACCGATATGGTCTTGGTCTGTGTCTATACCCAAATCTCACGTTGAATTGTAATTCCCAATGTTGGAAGAGGGAACTGATGGGAGGTGATTGGATCACGGGGGCAGATTTCCCCTACGCTCTTCTTGTGATAGTGAGTGAGTTCTCACCAGAGCTGATGGTTTAAAAGTGTATGGCACTTCCCCCCTTGCTCTCCCTCTCTCTCTCTCTCCTGCTGCCTTCTGAAGAAGGAGCTTGCTGCTTCTTTTCCTTCTGCCATGATTGTCAGTTTCCTGAGATCTCCAGTCATGCTTTCTGTTAAGCTCGTGAAACTGTAAGTCAATTAAAACTCTTTTCTTCATGAATTACTCAGTCTCAGGTAGTTCTTTATAGAAGTATGAGAATGGACTAATAAAGAAACTTATTTTATGCACACATACACATGCAAAAATTACCATACTATTTTAATAAATGTATCTTATTCTCTATTTATATATATCTAGAGAAAAGCCAAGGATTTCTTACTTAAAATTTTGTGCTCTTCATGTCAGGGGAGGAGCCAAGATGGCCGAATAGGAACAGCTCCGGTCTACAGCTCCCAGCGTGAGCGACTCAGAAGATGGGTGATTTCTGCATTTCCATCTGAGGTACCGGGTTCATCTCACTAGGGAATGCCAGACAGTGGGCGCAGGTCAGTGGGTGCACGCACCATGCACGAGCCGAAGCAGGGCGAGGCATTGCCTCACTCGGGAAGCGCAAGGGGTCAGGCAGTTCCCTTTCCTAGTCAAAGAAAGGGGTGACGGTCGGCACCTGGAAAATCGGGTCACTCCCACCCGAATACTGCGCTTTTCCGACGGGCTTAAAAAACGGTGCACCACAAGATTATATCCCACACCTGGCTCGGGGGTGGGGAGCGGGGGTCCTACGCCCACGGAGTCTCGCTGATTGCTAGCACAGCAGTCTGAGATCAAACTGCAAAGCGGCAGTGAGGCTGGGGGAGGGGCGCCCGCCATTGCCCAGGCGTGCTGAGGTAAACAGAGCAGCCGGGAAGCTGGAACTGGGTGGAGCCCACCACAGCTCAAGGAGGCCTGCCTGCCTCTGTAGGCTCCACCTCTGGGGGCAGGGCACAGACAAAGGAAAAGACAGCAGTAACCTCTGCAGACTTAAATGTCCCTGTCTGACAGCTTTGAAGAGAGCAGTGGTTCTCCCAGTAAGCAGCTGGAGATCTGAGAACGGGCAGACTGCCTCCTCAAGTGGGTCCCTGACCCCTGACCCCCAAGCAGCCTAACTGGGAGGCACCCCCCAGCAGGGGCACACTGACACCTCACATGGCAGGGTACTCCAACAGACCTGCAGCTGAGGGTCCTGTCTGTTAGAAGGAAAACTAACAAAGAGAAAGGACATCCACACCAAAAACCCATCTGTACATCACCATCATCAAAGACCAAAAGTAAAACCACAAAGATGGGGAAAAAACAGAACAGAAAAACTGGAAACTCTAAAAAGCAGAGTGCCTCTCCTCCTCCAAAGGAATGCAGTTCCTCACCAGCAACGGAACAAAGCTGGACGGAGAATGACTTTGACGAGCTGAGAGAAGAAGGCTTCAGACGATCAAATTACTCTGAGCTACGGGAGGACATTCAAACCAAAGGCAAAGAAGTTGAAAACTTTGAAAAAAATTTAGAAGAATGTATAACTAGAATAACCAATACAGAGAAGTGCTTAAAGGAGCTGATGGAGCTGAAAACCAAGGCTCAAGAACTACGTGAAGAATGCCAAAGCCTCAGGAGCTGATGCAATCAACTGGAAGAAAGTGTATCAGCAATGGAAGATGAAATGAATGAAATGAAGCGAGAAGGGAAGTTTACAGAAAAAAGAATAAAAAGAAACGAGCAAGGCCTCCAAGAAATATGGGACTATGTGAAAAGACCAAATCTACGTCTGATTGGTGTACCTGAAAGTGATGGGGAGAATGGAACCAAGTTGGAAAACACTCTGCAGGATATTATCCAGGAGAACTTCCCCAATCTAGCAAGGAAGGCCAACGTTCAGATTCAGGAAATACAGAGAACACCACAAAGATACTCCTCGAGAAGAGCAACTCCAAGACACATAATTGTTAGATTCACCAAAGTTGAAATGAAGGAAAAAATGTTAAGGGCAGCCAGAGAGAAAGGTCGGGTTACCCTCAAAGGGAAGCCCATCAGACTAACAGTGGATCTCTCGGCAGAAACCCTACAAGCCAGAAGAGAGTGGGGGCCAATATTCAACATTCTTCAAGAAAAGAATTTTCAACCCAGAATTTCATGTCCAGCCAAACTAAGCTTCATAAGTGAAGGAGAAATAAAATACTTTACAGATAAGCAAATGCTGAGAGATTTTGTCACCACCAGGCCTGCCCTAAAAGAGCTCCTGAAGGAAGCGCTAAACATGGAAAGGAACAACTGGTACCAGCTGCTGCAAACTCATGCCAAAATGTAAAGACCATCGAGACTAGGAAGAAACTGCATCAACTAACGAGCAAAATCACCAGCTAACATCATCATGACAGGATCAAATTCACACATAACAATATTAACTTTAAATGTAAATGGACTAAATGCTCCAATTAAAAGACACAGACTGGCAAATTGGATAAAGAGTCAAGACCCATCAGTGTGCTGTATTCAGGAAACCCATCTCACGTGCAGAGACACACATAGGCTCAAAATAAAAGGATGGAGGAAGATCTACCAAGCCAATGGAAAACAAAAAAGGCAGGGGTTGCAATCCTAGTCTCTGATAAAACAGACTTTAAACCAACAAAGATCAAAACAGACAAAGAAGGCCATTACATAATGGTAAAGGGATCAATTCAACAAGAAGAGCTAACTATCCTAAATATATATGCACCCAATACAGGAGCACCCAGATTCATAAAGCAAGTCCTGAGTGACCTACAAAGAGACTTAGACTCCCACACATTAATAATGGGAGACTTTAACACCCACTGTCAACATTAGACAGATCAATGAGACAGAAAGTCAACAAGGATACCCAGGAATTGAACTCAGCTCTGCATCAAGCCGACCTAATAGACATCTACAGAACTCTCCACGCCAAATCAACAGAATATACATTTTTTTCAGCACCACACCACACCTATTCCAAAATTGACCACATAGTGGGAAGTAAAGCTCTCCTCAGCAAATGTAAAAGAACAGAAATTATAACAAACTATCTCTCAGACCACAGTGCAATCAAACTAGAACTCAGGATTAAGAATCTCACTCAAAACCGCTCAACTACATGGAAACTGAACAACCTGCTCCTGAATGACTACTGGGTACATAACGAAATCAAGGCAGAAATAAAGATGTTCTTTGCAACCAACAAGAACAAAGACACAACATACCAGAATCTCTGGGACACATTCAAAGCAGTGTGTAGAAGGAAATTTACAGCACTAAATGCCCACAAGAGAAAGCAGGAAAGATCCAAAATTGACACCCTAACATCACAATTAAAAGAACTAGAAAAGCAAGAGCAAACACATTCAAAAGCTAGCAGAAGGCAAGAAATAACTAAAATCAGAGCAGAACTGAAGGAAATAGAGACACAAAAAACACTTCAAAAAATTAATGAATCCAGGAACTGCTTTTTTGAAAGGATCAACAAAATAGATAGACCGCTAGCAAGACGAATAAAGAAAAAAAGAGAGAAGAATCAAATAGACACAATAAAAAATGATAAAGGGGATATCACCATCGATCCCACAGAAATACAAACTACCATCAGAGAATACTACAAACAACTCTATGCAAATAAACCAGAAAATCTAGAAGAAATGGATAAATTCCTTGACACATACACTCTCCCAAGACTAAACCAGGAAGAAGTTGAATCTCTGAGTAGACCAATAACAGGATCTGAAATTGTGGCAATAATCAATAGCTTACCAACCAAAAAGAGTCCAGGACCAGATGGATTCACAGCCGAATTCTACCAGAGGTACAAGGAGGAACTGGTACCATTCCTTCTGAAACTATTCCAATCAATAGAAAAAGAGGGAATCCTCCCTAACTCATTTTATGAGGCCAGTATCATTCTGATACCAAAGCCGGGCAGAGACACAACCAAAAAAGAGAATTTTAGACCAATATCCTTGATGAACATTGATGCAAAAATCCTCAATAAAATACTGGCAAAACGAATCCAGCAGCACATCAAAAAGCTTATCCACCATGATCAAGTGGGCTTCATCCCTGGGATGCAAGGCTGGTTCAATATATGCAAATCAATAAATGTAATCCAGCATATAAACAGAGCCAAAGACAAAAACCACACGATTATCTCAATAGATGCAGAAAAGGCCTTTGACAAAATTCAACCACCCTTCATGCTAAAAACTCTCAATAAATTAGGTATTGATGGGATGTATTTCAAAATAATAAGAGCTATCTATGACAAACCCACAGCCAATATCATACTGAATGGGCAAAAACTGGTAGCATTCCCTTTGAAAACTGGCACAAGACAGGGATGCCCTCTCTCATCACTCCTATTCAACATAGTGTTGGAAGTTCTGGCCAGGGCAATCAGGCAGGAGAAGGAAATAAAGGGTATTCAATTAGGAAAAGAGGAAGTCAAATTGTCCCTGTTTGCAGATGACATGATTGTATATCTAGAAAACCCCATTGTCTCAGCCCAAAATCTGCTTAAGCTGATAAGCAACTTCAGCAAAGTCTCAGGATACAAAATCAATGTACAAAAATCACAAGCATTCTTATACACCAACAACAGACAAACAGAGAGCCAAATCATGAGTGAACTCCCATTCACAATTGCTTCAAAGAGAAAAAAATACCTAGGAATCCTACTTACAAGGGACGCATGAAGGACCTCTTCAAGGAGAACTACAAACCACTGCTCAAGGAAATAAAAGAGGATACAAACAAATGGAAGAACATTCCATGCTCATGGGTAGGAAAAATCAATATCGTGAAAATGGCCATACTGCCCAAGGTAATTTACAGATTCAATGCCATCCCCATCAAGCTACCAATGCCTTTCTTCACAGAATTAGAAAAAACTACTTTAAAGTTCATATGGAACCAAAACAGAGCCCGCATCACCAAGTCAATCATAAGCCAAAAGAACAAAGCTGGAGGCATCACACTACCAGACTTCAAACTATACTACAAGGCTACAGTAACCAAAACAGCATGGTACTTGTACCAAAACAGAGATATAGATCAATGGAACAGAACAGAGCCCTCAGAAATAATGCTGCATATCTACAACTATCTGATCTTTGACAAACCTGAGAAAAACAAGCAATGGGAAAAGGATACCCTATTTAATAAATGGTGCTGGGAAAACTGGCTAGCCATATGTAGAAAGCTGAAACTGGATCCTTTCCTTACACCTTATACAAAAATCAATTCGAGATGGATTAAAGACTTAAACGTTAGACCTAAAACCATAAAACCCTAGAAGAAAACCTAGGCATTACCATTCAGGACATAGGCATGGGCAAGGACTTCATGTCTAAAACACCAAAAGCAATGGCAACAAAAGACAAAATTGACAAATGGGATCTAATTAAACTAAAGAGCTTCTGCACAGCAAAAGAAACTACCATCAGAGTGAACAGGCAACCTACAAAATGGGAGAAAATTTTTGCAACCTACTCATCTGACAAAGGGCTAATATCCAGAATCTACAATGAACTCAAACAAATTTACAAGAAAAAAACAACCCCATCAAAAAGTGGGCGAAGGACATGAACAGACACTTTTCAAAAGAAGACATTTATGCAGCCAAAAAACATGAAAAAATGCTCATCATCACTGGCCATCAGAGAAATGCAAATCAAAACCACAATGAGATACCATCTCACACCAGTTAGAATGGCAATCATTAAAAAGTCAGGAAACAACAGGTGCTGGAGAGGATGTGGAGAAATAGGAAGACTTTTACACTGTTGGTGGGACTGTAAACTAGTTCAACCATTGTGGAAGTCAGTGTGGCGATTCCTCAGGGATCTAGAACTAGAAATACCATTTGACCCAGCCATCCCATTACTGGGTATATACCCAAAGGACTATAAATCATGCTGCTATAAAGACACATGCACACGTATGTTTATTGCGGCATTATTCACAATAGCAAAGACTTGGAACCAACCCAAATGTCCAACAATGATAGACTGGATTAAGAAAATGTGGCACATATACACCATGGAATACTATGCAGCCATAAAAAAGGATGAGTTCATGTCCTTTGCAGGGACATGGATGAAATTGGAAATCATCATTCTCAGTAAACTATCGCAAGAACAAAAAACTAAACACCGCATATTCTCACTCATAGGTGGGAATTGAACAATGAGATCACATGGACACAGGAAGGGGAACATCACACTCTGGGGACTGTTGTGGGGTGGGGGGATGGGGGAGGAATAGCATTGGGAGATATACCTAATGCTAGATGACGAGTTAGTGGGTGCAGCGCACCAGCATGGCACATGTATACGTATGTAACTAACCTGCACAATGTGCACATGTACCCTAAAACTCAAAGTATAATAATAAAAAAAAAGAAAATTAAAAAAAAAATTTTGTGATCGATTTTGGTCTTTACAATGATTTCTGTGTAATTATACGTTTACATAACATTACTGTTGTATACATTTGGTTTTTATTCTATATGTTTTACTTTATATCATTTTTTGTGTAAATTTTATAAATATAATAGATAGAACATTTATCATGAAATTATATAATGTTCCAGTACAGCAAATCAAATTTCTATTAAGTTGGCACAAAAGTAATTGCAGTTTATGCATTTGAAGAATAATGGCAAAACTGCAATTACTTTTGCACCAACCTAACACATAACATATATGTTTATTATTTTTACAGTGGCAATGTAATACATCAAAACACAATGTACCAATAATTTGCCTAACCTTTACCTTTATCATAAACTTTTTCAGATATTTCTAAAACTCTACAATTATAAATAGTATGCAATGTATAATTTAAGTTTACTTAATATTATTTTCCTAGGATAGATTAAAAAGTATATGATTACTGAACCTAAAGAGACAAGACGTTTTGAGGGTTTTTGATAAGGCATAAAGCTACTTCCCAAAATTTGTTTTATCAATTTGCAGATAAAGAAACAGCAATTGTTTTATTGTTCTCCTCCCATCTGTGGGCATTCACAGTTCATTATTTTTCTTACTTTATATATTAGCATCTGATAATTTTTATTGATATTTGTAAACCAGCCATTTTTTAAAGAAGCAAACTTTTTCTTTGACGATATGTTTAGGTTTTGTCACGATGTTTAGATTTTGCCACAAAATATGTTTAGAGCCCCATACTAGAGATTTCAGAAATAAATTATCTTCAATATTCTAGTGAATTTACTTGTGACTCAAGTAGAAAGATTCCATACCATGTCACAACCTTTCATTCACAGACGTGGGAAAAATTAACGGCATTAGAAATTAAACAAACAGTTAACTTGGTCCCAACTAGGAAATAGCATGGTAGTGACAGTTGATGATCAGTGTAATGTTGATCTTTGACCCTTGAGCCCCATAAAATTTCATCCTCTTGTCTCTCAGCTGCCTTATAATTACAGTGAATGTTTCCAGTTTTCACAGCTCTTGCTTGGTAACTAACTGTGTGTCTAGGCCTGATTTATTTTAATTCCCATGTCAGTTGCTCAGTTGCAGTTCATTCCAAAGGGGACTTAAATCACCATTTTTTTTGTTGTTGTTGGTTTTTTTTTCTTTTGTTAGCTACAAGCAAGAAGATCCTGGATCATGCCAGAGGTTTAAAAGAAGAAGTGAAGTTCAACAAGTTCATGTCATATTTTAACATGTTCCAGAATTTCTCACAGGTCTACCAAAGTAAGTGGTTGGTGCATTAACTCCTTTTGGTCCTGCTTTTGATTTTGGATAATTTTTTTTCCCTAGACACATAGGCATTTCAGCATTTCGGCTGTGAGTACAAACAATAAAGTGAACTTAGTATTTTCTTCAAGTCTTAATGTTAACAGAAATGTTTTAGCCAATACTATGTAGAGCTTCTAGAGGAACAAACTCTTTAAATGCTGTGTAACTTGACAGATGCTAGCAGCTATTTTCCCCAAGGGTAGAGGAGGGAACCTGGGTGATTGGAGGTTGAAGGTAAAAGGTACACTGAAGATTATTCTGACATTAGTTTACTCTGAACTAATCACATCCAGGTGGCTCTGAATTATTGCTCACAGCCCAAATGTCACCAAAGTTATGGCTCTAGCACTCACTTTGATGTTAAAGGGTAGAGTTGATCCATTCCAGTACTCTTGCTTTAGCCCCTTAGACCCAGAATAAATTATCTGTATTTGTCTTAGAAAAGTAAACATTAAAAAAATTCTGAATCTGCACATGTCATTGACACTAGAATACCTATAAATCAGTCTCTGGTGAAATCATGATAAAATGGTTTCAGCTCTCTGTGCTCCATTTGTCATTTGGCCAGATGCCTAGGCTAAAATATTTTTCTCCTACACACTTTTTTCTTTCAAGTATTAAAGGTTGGTCATTTTAATAATGTGTAGAAACTTACGAAATGCAGAGACAAGTGAAATGTTCTTTTTTATATGAGGTTTTAGATACATATTTAGTCAGGGAGTTATTACACATTGCATTTAAAAAAAAAAAGCTCTTAAGAGAAATTCAGGTTGTCTTCTGAGAACACTGCTTGATAATGGCATGAAGGTAAATACATTAGAATGCAATCTGTAAAAGTGAGTTAATGACTATTGATAGGAAAGATGTTGATATGTCAGGTGTGACAATAACACTTAATAACAAAAGAAACATGATTAAACTATTGTTTATCTGAGCATTTAGTCTCCGATGAGATTGATTTATGTCTAAAAACGTTTCAGTATTGTAAAGTAGTAAGTAATAAGAAGGGAGGATTAATGACAGAGGAGAGGAAGATACATCCTAGGGAATATCGTCTGTTTAAGTATTTCGTAAATGTGTCACTGAAATGCTAATGATCAGCCCTACTCAGGATAAAGTCTCAACATCTTTTCATAAAAAGGTAGATATATTTTAAGGGACTGTCAATAAATAGGTCAAAATTATTTCCTTGAATGAAAGCTGAGATCATCTTTCTTCCTCTAAGTTACTGTCTAGAGCTAGAAAGAGAGGAGCAAAGACCAGAAAGCAGGTGAAGAGGAAGCATGCTGGAGTCAAACTGCTGTGGTTTGAAATTTGCCTCCTCTGATTTCTGGTTCTGCTACTGTGGTCTTGTTGTTTTGCCTCTCAAGATTCTGTTTTCTCATCTAGAAAAAAGGCAAGCTAATCATTGTGTACAATAAGTGCTATTTATGAGAAACTATGGATCAATGAATTGAATATATTTATACTTTAAAAAGTCACCCTCAGGTTACAAACAAGGCTTCAGTTGAAGGAAAATATAATCCTATTTTTGCTCCAAAAGTAGAGGACTCTAAATAGTTATCAAAAAGCTTTGGTTCCAGATAAGTTTCAGAAATAAACAGGGAAAGCCCTCTAGAGTTAAGGTTTTTGAAGTGTGTAGATTTTCACACTAAGTGGGTCAATGAAGATGACAAATAGGCTCACAGCAGCTCTGATCACGTTTCACATCAAATGAGTTTGTTAAAAATCAAGCAAAACTGTGGCTTTTAGAAGTTGATGGATTTCCAAATTTTCCATAAAAAATTGTAGACATATATGTTATGGGGAGAGTATGGAGTCAGAAGAGTCAAGCCAGCAAAGAGAAAAGTTATTTAGTTATCCCAAATAAACCAATCCATGCACAATTAGTTCATAATGCTTGAAAACTTATGAAGTGCAGGGACAAGTGAAATGTTCTTTTTATATTAGGTTTTAGAGATATACTTTAGTCAGGAAATCAATCCACATTTCATTTTTATGAAATGTGTACAAATTGCATACATTATGTTAGTTTAAGCTTCATGATAGTCTACTTAAATTATTTTGGAGAATTCTTAGAAATGATGACAGTCCACATTACTGAGTAATTATCGAGTCAAGGCAATAATCTTTGCTCTGAATGAACAAAGTTAACTTGCTGAGGTTTTGCTTGAGCTTGATTTATTGGATAACTCTCCCATCTTCTGTCATTTCTTATTAGTTAGAGAGAATTGTCACAAGAAATGTTACCGGCCGCTTTAGAAAATCATCGTGGGGTATATGTCTCAGTAAGCAGAGAATGATGGCTGAGCACTAGTTTCTGGTCATTGTCAAATCTTAAACTAAGGAGATGGTAAAATCAAAATTCATTTTTTGAGATTGTCCCTTGCCAGTGTTACACTATGACAGTGTAAGATAAGTATGGTATGGTATGATATGTATTGACAACTGTATCATTTGCTCTATATTCAAAGATTTGAGTATAATTATATGACTAACAGAATCCATTTTGGCAGAATGATATAATAGTATAATTAAACTTCAGAAACCAAACCTAATCCTCAAATAGGAGAAGCTTGTCTTCTCTGAAGTTTCCTGGCATACATTTTAAAATAAAAGCCCACATTGGAGAAGACATTCAAGTAGAAGACACTGATAAACTATAAATATTTGTTAGTTACAACTGATAGTCAATAAAAAATTAATGATTATTTTATTCGAAATATTTAGCTTCAATTCTACATTCTTTGCTGAAAGCCTGAACTAACTTGGGTTACTGTTCAAGGGTTTTCACAGTATTCAAGTACTCTGATGAGCTATCTATTCTCGCATATTGCTTACAAATTCCTACTTTTAATCCTCAATTCTTTCACTCACTCTATGTCTGCTCTTTTAATCCTCTTCTTGCCACTTACAAGTTGGTAAAGTTCTCCTTTCCATTAAGTTTCATCTAAACAGGCTGGGCACAGTGGCTCATGCCTGTAATCTCAGCCGTAGGGATGCCGATGCTGGCTGATCAGCTGAGCTCAGCAGTTCGAGGCCAGCCTGGGCAACATGGTGAAACCCTGTCTCTACAAAAAATTAGCCAGGCATGGTGGTGCATGCCTGTAGTCCCAACTGCTTTGGGAGGCTGATATGGAAGGATCACCTGGGCCTGGGAGGTTGAGGCTGCAATGAGCTGAGATCGTGCCACTGCACTCTAGCCTGGATGACAAAGTGAGACTCTGTCTCAAAAAAAAAAAAAAAAAAAAAAAAAAAAAAGTTTCATTTAAAAAATGAAAAAAAAAAAAGGCGGCTTAGAAAACATTTTAGGAAATAGAAAATAGAGATAATCTTTAAATGAAACTTTTTTTTTGAGACACTATTGCTTTGTTACCAGGCTGGAGTGCAGTGGCATGATCTCAGCTCACTGCAACCTCTGCCTCCTGGGTTCAAGCAATTCTCCTGTCTCAGCCTCCCAAGCAGCTGGGACTACAGGCATGCGCCACCACGCCCAGCTAATTTTTGTATTTTTAATAGAGGCAGGGTTTCACCATGTTGGCTAGGATGCTCTTGATCTCTTGACCTCGTGATCGGCCCTCCTTGGCCTCCCAAAGTGCTGGGATTACAGGCGTGAGCCACCATGCCCGGCCTTTCTAAGCTTTCTCTCTCTCTTGCAAAGTCTTGGAATTAATCTTACCCTAGAAGTTATTCACTACAAATGAGGATTTCATAGCTTGTATGTGAAAATACCTTATATACGTTTCCATATCTATTTGTGCTTGTCTATATTTCTCAGTAGATTGTGTTATCCTTATCCTTATCCTCAAAAGTTTTTATTTGGTACCGGGATTGTTATAGTGTTGGCAAACACCTATAATAGACTGCTCAGAGGTGCAAACAATTGTTCGTTAAATCTGTTGTTCAATTGTTATATTAGATCAATTTCTAAAAAACTGTTAAGAGATTCTGTAGCCCATGTGAATAAGATGAAACCTCAGATGAGAAAAGTCAGAAGAGTGTTGTAAAAATATATATTATAGAAAACAAAGAGCCTTTTGATAATGGAGGAGATCTCCTATTCAGCTGTTGGCAATATCACATTTGTGCTACACATCATGTTGAGTTCCCGTTATAGAAGTCAGAAAATGGAATTAAGGGATTTCATGAAAGAAGCAGCTAAGCCGGGCACAAGAGAGTAAGAGGCTGCCTCTAAACTGACACTTGTGAAGTGAGGAGTAAAAAGAGGAAACAGAGATTAGGGCTGGTGTGTCTGTACGGAATATCTCTGTCCTGTTATTGCTTCGTCATAGTCTCATGTAACCTACCCAGTTTCTAGCTTAGCCAGTGATATTTTGTGAAGTACCTATTCAAATTAGTTTTGGTTGTAAATGAGATAATATATGTATTGAATTATCCTTCCCACCACTTTTCTGACATGTAAATCCTAACCTCAAATCAATAAGATTACATGTATAATATATAATAAGTATTATCTCTCTATATATACTTTTTTTTCTTTTTTTTCTCTCTATTGCCCAGGCTGCAGTGCAGTGGCATGATCTTGGCTCACTGCAACCCCCGCCTCCTAAGTTCAAGCGATTTTCTTGCCTCAGCCTTCCAAGTAGCTGGGATTACAGGCATGCACCACCACACCTGGCTAATTTTTGTATTTTTAGTACAGACAGGGTTTCACCATGTTGGCCAGGCTGGTCTCAAACTCCTGACCTCAAGTGATCCACCAGCCTCCACCTCCCAAAGTGCTGCGATTACAGACGTGAGCCACTGGGTGAGTGAAGAGACATAGTTACATGTAATGTAATATGTAATACTTTAAGAGATTTATACATTCCTGAAAATTTTGTTTCACTTTGGTTTTGCCTAATGCCATGAGTTAAACACTCAGCCTTCTTAAACTTTGAAAGGGGAACAATTTATTCTCCCCTTTCCTTATCCTCAAAAGTTTGTATTTGGTACTGGGCTTGTTATAGTGTTGGCAAACAAATAGCAGAAAACTAAAGTGATATTTACTATTAGAGTCCAGAATAAGAATCGTCGTAATGTTATCTTCCTATCTAAGCGTATGGTTTTTATGGTGCTAGAGAGGCATCATTTCTAAGTAGGGAATTCCTCCCATAGTGTTTTCACTGCTGCAGGCTGGTGGAGAAGAATGAGGACCCAGAAAAACTTGGATTCATCTTATTGCAAGGATGTTGGATCCTTTGCATATCTTTCATATCCTTTGCATATATGTTTACTCTAATGGACTTAGGGAATGGGGTAATGAAAGTGTTTAGCTTATGGGGTCAGTTTATTGGATTAAATGTGATAATGGATGTAAGGTGGTTATCACAAGGGCTTGCATATATCAAGTGTCCAGGATACTAGCCATTGCTCCTACAAATGCACAAATGCGTCATCCTGTCTTTTTTCTTACTTTCATTTTTTTTTTACTGAGAATATTTTGCTTCAGAGTAAAAGTACAGAATAAATTTAAAAAGTGGGAGAAAGAACTTGAACGGTCTAATGCTTTGAGAATTGCTAACTATCATTATGTACATGATGGGATAGGTGAAGCAGGTTATAAAACATTTGAACTCATTCCAGCACTGGTGACCCTTTCTCAAAGCCAGATGTTTAAATGATGCTCAATGGGGATATGTGGGATTATAAATATGTCCCATCTGCTTCTACCGTCTGCCTGCTCTTGAAAGGTATAAAATCACCTACTGCATGTGGCGGCAGCAGCAGTCTCCATTCCAAACCACAGAAATATTAAAAGATAACCAGAGACCTTTCTATTGGCAAAGCCTTTCAACATGCACCTAAAGGGAATAAATGAAGGTCAAGGCAATTTGTTGTTAAGGTGTTGGATAGAAGTACTATGGGAAATATTTTATTATTTAATTGAGACATGTAAATCTGGATAATCATAAAGAAAAGTGAGGATTCATTTAAATATTCAACTCTAGACACACGAAGGCATTTTGTAATGCTGAATGGACCACATAATTATTTTCATTAAATACGCTGTTAGCTGCAAGTATTTTACTGTGTTAGGGAAGTACAATCATAGAGTTTCATTACGCAAAACTAATAGTAGTATTAATAGCAATTTTCTATGTATGTTTTGCAGTTCGTCTGATTTCCCTTATTCTGTATTTTAGCACCCAAGTTTTTATGGTTATTTCTTTCACATACTTTGCACTGTGTAATGACTTTATTATGTATTTACTTGTCATCCGCCTTCTGCTTCATTAGACAATGTTCTCTAGGAAGGCAGGGACATTATTTCTTTTATCTCTTTACACGCAGTACCCAGAAAAATGATTGGCATACAGTAGACACTCAATAAATAGTGCAGAACAATGTGTTAAAAATTAATAAAGATCATTTATATTGTCTAAAATCATTCCATGTGATATATTGGATACACTTCACCAAATATCAGCAGGAAAATAATTCCAGACTTCCAGGTAGTTTAATGTCCTGGTTTCTTCTTCAGCATAAGGCCATATTGAATATATTTACACATACATCCTTGGGCTAAAATAAAAGAAAGACACCAGGGAAGTAGCACATATGGAGTATATACTGCAGACTTAAATAAGTGCTAGATATTCTCTTAATTTAAGGAGAATATACATTGAGGTAAATCTACGAACATCAGAAAGCAATCACCAGAGATAGGTAGGTAGATAGATGGATAGATAGATAATGAAAAGATCCTTCCAACTTAAAATCTGAACTTCTTTTAATAGGGGACATGATGTGGATTTAGATGAACTAATCCTTAATGTTATGCTATCAGTTACAAGCTACTTGATTTTAAGTAAGCTGTTTGGCCTCAGTTAACATCAACTTTTCATCTATCAATTAAAATAAAATGGCACTTGAATTTTGTTAGCATCAAATGACACATGAAATGTGAAAGCAATTTGTAAACTGTAAAGTAGTAGCCCATTTGTAAACTAAGTTTGTAAACTAAAGTAGTAGTAGTAGATGGGTTTTGTGCTCTTAATTGTTAGACTTGCTAAAAGACTTTTGATGACTTAATTTTCAGAAATATAATAATGATTTGATGGAAAAATAGAAAAGTTAAATATTGACAGAAGGGAAGAGATGAAATAATCTAATGTATGAGGCCAAAAATGGAAATGGAAATGTAACTACTTATATTACTTCATAATTATATGTTTCATTTATAGACATGTGGATGAACCATAACAGCTAATATGTGTCTCTTAATATTGATGTTTCTTTTATCAGTTTAATATTTTTATTGAATTAAAAGATAACTTCTTATTCCCTAGTATAATTAGATAACTGTCTTACCCATTCTTCCTTTCTTAATATCCAATATTTACAATACTTCTCTAACTAAACTATACTAACTATACATAAGAGTCACCTGTAGAAGTGATTTTGCCACAGATTTCTGGGTCCTATGTCTATAGATTTTAATGCAGTGGGGGCTGCGATGGGGAGCCTGAGTCTTTGCACTTCTAACAAGCTCCCAGATGATACAGGTGCTAATGGCTCATTAAAGCATTGTTCTATACCTGAACCAGTATAAGTGATTTCCTCACTAATTAACAGGAAAGAAAGGTATTTAAAATGGGTTATAACCATGTTTTTATTGAGACTTCCAAAATTTTCAAGAAAACATTTTTAGCATGAAAATAGGAAAATTCTATTTTGAGGTGCAGTTCCTCAGAAATAAAACCTTGAGACAGAGATTTGCATACAGGGATATTAATGGAGAGTATTCTTATGAATGACACCGTTAAGAGTTTGAGAGAAACAGGATTGGTCAGAGTGAGAATGAAGAAGTGTGGTGCAGTTGATAGCACACAGCCAATTTCACAGGCAACGCTGGAGGAACTACACCTTTGGGGAGTTGTTGCTATTTGAAGACAGGCTTTTTTCTCCTCACATTAACCAATAATTTGTTGAAGGCAATTATTAATTGAAGAGGGAATGTAATATCAGGTGAAACATTATCCTTTGGGGGAGGAGATGAGGGCAATTCTTGGAGGGGGATTCAGCTGTGAGCCCTCAGAAGTCAACACTTCTGGCAGTTTGGGATATGACTGCTTCGTAGGCAAGAGGGGAAATTGGTATTCATGATTCAATCCACTAAAGATTGTCCATTTAATATGTTGAATTAGTTCAGTTTCACTGAGAATGAGATACTGAAGTTTATCCTTCAATTGTAGATTACTTAGATAAAAACATATATTATTTTCAATCTGAAATATTTACAATTCTTGAGTCAGCAAAAGTAAACCAGAGGCTGGGTGCAGTGGCTTATGCCTGTAATCCCAGCACTTTGGGAGGCCGAGGCAGGCAGATCACGAGGTCAAGAGATCAAGACCATCCCATCCTGGCCAGCATGGTGAAACCCTGTCTCTACAAAAAATACAAAAATGAGCTGCGTGTGGTGGTGCATGCCTGTAGACCCAGCTACTCGGGAGGCTGAGGCAGGAGAATCACTTGAACCCAGAGGCAGAGGTTGCAGTGAGCTGAGATCATGCCACTGCACTCTAGCCTGAGCAACAGAGCAAGATTCTGTCTCAAAAAAAATAATAAAATAAATGTAAACCAGAAACTGCTATAAGTGTGTACTACCCACATTGCAATTTTTTTTTGTTTCCTGCTTTTGAATGAACTAGCAATAGTGTTTCAGAACTTGGGTTTCAAAACTGTCAATATAAATGTTGTGAAATGAAAATGCTGTGGATAAAATGCACTGAACTATTTCACCTTTTCATAGAAGCAATTTAGTAATTGATTTGGCCTGGAATTATAACATTTGCTCTAACCTACTCCACTAACCCAACAAATACATTTATTAACTATCAATCGAGTAAGATTCTTTAGACAATTAATTTGAGTGAAATAATTAGACTTGCCAAATTATGTTATTCAAGTATACTATAATATTCTTATTGACATCAGAGTAGTTTGTGTAAATTGTCTAGCCCACACCTTTATTTGATAGATTAATCAACTAGGGTTTAGGTGTTCATTATCATTCACTCTTTCAACAAGTATTGATGGAGCCTCTGCAATGTACCAGGCAGGTAACTGGATGCAAATAATAAAACAGAGAATAAAATAAAGCTTGTTTTATGTTCATGCAGTTTAAAGTTTTAAGGGGTGTCTAATTAAATCAAAGAACCAAATCAAATAAAGAAAATAATTCAAAATAATCACAATGGAATCAGGAAATTATGATTATGAGAACAAGAATGTGGACTCATTTTTGGAGGTCTCTTTAAGACCTGCAAAAGAAGCAGGGAAATCCACAAATGAGCAGAGGAGTATTCCTGGCAGAGACCAGCTACCCGTTTAAACAAAGTGAAGAACAGACAGTCCATTGAGTTATATGGAGAGTTGAATGTTACGACGTTGTAAGGGTAGCAGGAACTAGTCCCTGGGACTAGTATTGCCCGGTATGTTAGGAGACTGGATTTAGATATTATTCTAATTGTGATGGGAAGTCATTTAAAATGCTGTAACTTAGAAGTGGGCAGGAAAAAAATAACTTGGCTCAAAGGAAGCAAAGCTTTTTGGAAGCTGGATATCCACTTGATTATTGGGAGTGTGGGTGAATGTTGAGGGTCACATTGGGGAAAAGCAGGTAGGGCCATGCTGCAGTTGCCTATGTGTTTATTTAGGTACCAAACCTCAAAAGACATTTTCATTTGTGTTGTAAACATATTAGAGTTTATTACACACTTCAGTACACCTTATACTTTTCAAGGTTTTATGCTTCCAAAAGTGACAAAGTTTCTTCCATTTGTAGAACTCCTTTTAGTCTGCATTTTTAAACTGGTAGTCTGCTAAGGATTCTATTTTTCTGTAAATATATATGTCATCTTCATTTTTGGATATTTTTACTAGAATTTTATAATTCTATATTTTCACTTTTGCTCTTTTCATATTCTAAATAAGTTATTCCATCATCTTCTGGCTTTCAACTATTTTGTTTATAAATAACCTTAATATCATTATTGCTCTTTTGAAGGTAATCACTTTTTCTCTGACTGATTTTAAGATTTTTGGATTTTTACAGTTTGATTATGATGTACTACTGAGTCCAATGTTGTTCTTTCTTGAATATGTGGGTTAATATATTTCATTACTTTGAGAAATTTATCAGCCACTATTCTTTCAAATATTGCTTCTGTTTCATTTCTTTCTTCTCTCCTCTGGGACTCTATGCATCTGTTATGCCTCTTATAATCTGATGTGATTTTTTTTTCCTTTTCATCCTTTTTATTTCATCCTCTCTACTTCAGTTTATTTTTTATTAAACTATCTACAAGTATACCAATCTTAGTTTTTGTTCTGTCCAGACAATGACAAAATCATCAAATGAACATAAAAGTTAAGATTTTGTATTTTTAAATTATAGGATATGTATTTCATTTTTTCTACAGTTTTCAAATTGATTGAAATGCTCCCTAACATCTATTTCCCTGTCTTTTTTTTTCTGTGTATATGTATTTATGGTAGACTCATCTGGATTACGGGAAAGTACTTAGACCATAAATGTTAATTGGGGAAAGAGACTAACTCAGGAAGCAGTTCATGTCTCTCTTGGTTACACTCACTCAGTAATATCTTAGTAATATATCCTCATTTAATAGGATAGTAGGGGGAGGGGTGGGAGGAAGCCAATACGATCAGTGTTTCTTAATTCTATCAGACAATTAGAATCATCTAGGGTGGGAAAGGAGAAGAAGACTTTAAACAAGTCACAGTGCTTGGCTATCGCTGCATATTAATTACATCATATCTTCGTAGGTGAGGAATGGTCATTAGAATTTTTAAAGTTCTCCAGGTGATTGTGATATCTACCCAGGGTTGGCCTGGTTAATACTCATTGACTTAACTGTTTTACTTCATTGTACTCCCCTTCCTGAGCATTTTCCCTTAATTGCACTGAGATCCCTGAGGAGAATTTGAAAAAAAAAGAAAAAAGAAGTTAAATGAACAGAGAAACTTAATTGTACAATTTTTAGAAAATTGCCATAGGCATGAAATGTATGTTTTCCAAAAGTAAAGCATACATTCATGCAAGTATTAAGGAGATTACTGTTACCATGCTTCACCACTAAAAAAGTACTACGTAAACAAATATTTTTAGAAGATCTTATAAAGAAAGACAAAAAGGAATCAAAATTAAGTAAAATTAATCCTTGTGGTGTTAGAATTATATTAAATGAAGTTATTTTACAGTATTTTGAAAGCAGCACTAAATAAAATGAGAAACATTATAATTTGTAATGTTCATTCCATATACTGAGATTGTTTGCTTTTAAATTTGGTCACATTGTCATGAGTTAATGACCTTTATGCTATGAAATCAAGTGGATAATATTTTAGGTATCAGCATTTTTTATCTATCATTGGCATTCAATCTTATTATATAATAATACTTCCTTGAAATAGTCAACTGTGACTCTGTGATTGTATACATCTTGGTTTTCATTCTATTTCTCTATTCTCTATTCGATTTTCATTTTTTGCTCAACTCTACCATTAGGACTTAAAATATTTAAATTTTGTAGGTACTATTTTTATGTTGTTGCTGTTTTTGTCACATGGCCTCATTTACCCTCTGCAGCCTGTAATTTACAAATGTATTTCTCCACTCCAAGTATTCTCTCTGAATTTTCAACCCATGTATCCACTTGCTTGCTTAAAACCCTTTTTTGGATGTTTCCATGCAGCTCAAATGCAACATTTCCAAATCACCGTTAATGGTCTTCGCCTCAAATCTGTGAATGGTATCCTATGAAGTTGTGCAATATGATATCTTCAGATCCCCCATCTCTGAATGTTCCCACCTGTGTGTGCAGCAAAGAGCCAAAGTTTAATCTTTGACATTTTCTTTCTTTCTCCCACATTCCATTAGTTATTGTTCTGTCCCTGTATCGTATGTTTTCGTTGCCCTCTATACCTACCTTACATAAAACTTAATAGAGCATATAACTAATTATGTATTTTCTTGATGATCTAATCAACAATAAACTTTCTCAGTAGTCTAAATTCTTCATGAAATCATAGACTATATTTTACTCACTATTATAGCCCTAGTATATAGCAATATTGTTATATGTGAGGTGCTTAATATATAATTTTCCAAGGTATTAATTAACTAATTATATAAATAAATTAAAAACATTTTATGAGAAAGTTTCTCAAATCCTTTTAAGATTATTTGAATATATTCATGTCTGAATATTTCAAGGTTTTTAAAAAATACTACAACACTTATTTGAGTAATCACTAATAAACAAATATTCAGTTTAATGAGTTCAAATCTATTCCACGTAAGTGAGAAATAGACCAATTAAATAATAAAGCTCCTCATTTTAAATATTTTAATGTAGCAACAAATACTGAGTGGTGCTTAGAGACAATGCACATAGTCTTAGAAATTAAACACATTTAATAAATACCTGTTAAACAAAGACACAAATAAAATAACGAATAGCATTTTTTCATATAGATCAAAGAAAATGTGAACCCAATTTCTGATCTGATCATTTTATGTAACACATTATCTATGAATATTTCCAATACATTATCTTGACCAATAAGATTAGGGAAGTCGGAAAGAATTCTACCACATTCTTTCCTTGTTCATATTATTCTGCTTAAGTTTTTAAAACTCTAAATAACATAGCATGTAAATAGCATTCTAATGTTGAACATAATCTGCCATAGCATGTTTTGAGCACATTGAAGCTTTATTTGGACAACTTTGATGAAAGCAGTTCTGAATTCATCTAAGCAATATAAGTATTAGAACATAGTACAACATATTTTTTTCTCAATCTTTCTTTCACTTCCATTTAGCTCAACAACCCATAAGCAGAGAGCAAATTTATAGATTATTGTATTTGTAACAAAATGATAATCATATGCTAAAGGAAATGTCATTTATTAAAAGACAAGTACAGATACCTGCTCAGCTCTTTGTATGAATATCAGAAGACTCTTTGACATCTTCCGTCCTGGTTGACGGGGAATATGTTTGCATTTAAATCACTATGTAAGTTTTGACTTGCAATATGAAGAGAAGCTGTGATACACTGGAAAGGCATTTTATACAACCATTTTTATCACAGATTTTCTAACCATGTCTGACACATTGTAGGCATGTTTTATATCAAATCTCTATATTTATATGTATATATCTCTATTTATGTCAATATTTATATTCATATGTATTTAATGAGCAAATATATTCTTACTGAAATGATATTTAAAACATAACTATAACTTCTAGTAAATTACAAACAGATTATAATTAAATCCTTTCCAACATTATAACTGGATTTAAAGCAAATGAACACCAAAAATACTACAATATCAGAAGGAAAAAGTTCTGCATTATTTCAAGAGAGCAAATCCTACAAAATGTTTTATTTTAAGGTATTGTGATTATAGTCTTGGACAAAAGTGTTGTAATTAGGCATATAAAATAAGCAACTCTTTATGTAAGCGTATGCAATGTACCAGCAGGAGAAATAACTCTAGCTGAATAACAAATACCAAGAGCTGGTTTTCAATCATCAGCCAGGTCTCTTTTGTGCTCTCTGCAATTAACAGAATAAATTTCTGAGCTTAGAATCATGGGACCACTGCCCAGAATTGAAAGTGCAACTGTGATCATGAATGTTACTTATTTCATAAAGAAATCAAATTTCCTACCTCACTCTTATTAACAACCAGCTGTAGGCATTTAGACTCCAGGAGCTGGCATAATATTCTTAGAAACAAATTGAAAACAAAATGCTCCATTTTATTAACGTAAAGGACATCAAACCTATTAATATGTGTATAACCAAATGAGCATTTCAACAAGTATGTCAACAATTTGGTTTTGCTTTTATATTAAAAGTGCCAGTATGGCACAATGATATATAACCTGGCATAAGATGATTTGCCCCTGGGAAATAAAGTTCATAAAAGATAATTAGGCTCATTCTGTTTACTTCCAAATTAGCCTATGCTATAATGAGGCCAGTAGAAATTAGCAAATCTGTGACCTTAGATTCACTCCTAGTCGGGTCACCAACTTTGGGTGACTTTGGATATGTCACTAAAGACTTTGGACTTCTGTGTCATTATTGATAGATGGAAATAGGTTTCAAAACCCTCTCTAGTTTACAGAATAATTTGAGAGAGGATCAAATAGTTTAATAAAGGGCTTTCAGGTTAATGTGGTTAGCCACTGCATCTGATTAATTTTCTACCATTTTACAATTGAAGTGTACATTATAATACTTAACTGTTTTCTAAGATAGCCGTGAGCATTTCAGATCATTACTCACCTGAATTTCCAATGGTTGCCATTTGTGTCAATGTGCATTTAAAGGCTACACATCTAATAATGCAATATATCCCAGACAGAAATAGACCAATTACAGTGAATTGCAATTTGAGCTGTGAACCAAGTAATTAGAAGTGGTGGTGACAGGAAGGCAATGGGTCTGGGGTATCTATGTAACGACGAAGGAATTCCCAGGAAAATCAGCCAAAAAGATTTAATTAATGAAGGCGCATGCCTACTATGGAGAACTTACCTGTATGTAGCATATGTATGTGTGTGTGCATGTGTGTAAAATTTTTGAGAATTAGGATTGAATTTTTAAAAGAATGCACAAGGTGGAATGAAATAATACAAAATTATCCAGAATTTAATATCTGTATGTGAAAATTGATGTTTATCGGGCTCAACGGAATTTGAATAGACAAATTCTTAAATATAAGTTCTGTTAAATATTTAAGTTTCAAGAAAAAGAAAAAAAATGCCCTGATTATTTCAGTTCTGAAAATTATCCTGAGGAAATATTTGATGGTATACATAGAAATTTACATATGTATATGATTATCTCAGAATGTGTGTAATAATTAAAAAGAAACCAAAAGCACCACAACAGAAAAGATAAAGATTTAATTATCTTATACTATAAAAATACATACATGCAGACACACATACACACTCATTATGCTTCCACAGAATATATTCACCATATAGCTGAAAAAAATTACTAGTAGTAAGTATGTTAATAGGTATATATATATATCAGAAAAATTAAATTATCAATTTTTTCTTTGTACAGTTTATATTTTTAACTTGATATATATTGCTCTGGTGATATCAACATAAAACTTCTAGTGGTGAAATATTTTATAAAGTATTTGCATTAAAATAATTTTTTTTGTTTAATTCAGTGGGGATTGTATATGTTTAAAGGAATTATTAAATAAATCTAGATAGCAGGTAAAAATGGAAAAAATAAAATAAAGAAAATGCAGATAAATATACTGTTGGCCTTAAGAGAAAAGACTTTGCTTATAATATTGGTAAATAAAAATTTTATAAGTCAATGTTGTTATAGGATGATCTCCCTTTTATACTGTTGGTGGAACTATTAGCATTTCTGGAAAGTGATTTGTATATAAACACTAAAAAGTCATTACATTTGGCCTAGTCGTTCTATCTCTAGAGATTTAAGGTAAGAATATGATCATAGATTTGCATAAATATTTATATATAAGAAGGTTCACTATGGAAACAGTAAAACATTTCAATATACAGAAATGGTTGTATTAATTTCTCTCTATTCATAACAGAAAATGTTACAGAAATTAAATTATTGTTGATATTTCTTTCAAAGAGTGACATATAAAATATTTGTTATATAATGAAAGTATAGGGCGAAAATCTGAATAAACCACACGGTCAAATCCCAATTTTTTTCTTTAATATTTCATGTGACATTTCATCAGAGAAACAGAACCACCTTGTGTAAAATAAATAAGGAATTTGCCATAGGGGTCAATCCTTATACAGTTGTGGAAGCTGGCAGAGAAGTCTAAGCGAAACCATTGACCCTGAGTCTGATGATGAGCCCAAAGTCATTATTACAGGTCAGCGGGACTGGCAGTCAGAAAAAAAAAACAACAAAACTGTATGCAAATTGAGGGAGAATTAGGACAAATGAAACAAAATGGACGAACTGGAACTTAGGAAAACAAATAGAAACCTATACCTGTCTCTTAGGCGTGACACAGATGACATGCAGGAGAATGTGGAATCTTTTGCTATGATGATGCACACACTCTTGGCCCAGGGACTCAACAAGCTGAAGGAGAAAATCTGGTGGGATCAGCGGGCAGATCAGCAGCAAAGTGTGAGCCCTCATTGTGCTGTGGGCCCTTGCCCTTCCTCCAGATAATCCTTTATCTGCCTTGTCACTTATGCCTTCCAGTTTTGCTGCAATCTCTCTGTGGTCAAACCTAATTTGGAATCGTGCAAAGAAAGAAATTCCGGAACAGGTAGTTCCAGCTAGGTGGAGTGAGCATGGTATGAAGTGTTCAGAGCTGCATATGTATGCATTTAAATGCACATGATAATGAGATTAAGTAACAGGCAAAAATAAATCAATAGGTATTTCTTCTGGTGGGATGATAGATAGTAGTTTTATAGTTTGTATATAGTTTCCTACTTTTAGAGCATGTATTTTCTTCTAATCAGAATGAAATAATCTTTGAAAGAAGTTGAATATGTGAATCTATGAATAACTAGATGATGGTAATTCATAAACGTATTAAACAAAACTAGAGCTAAAAGAATTTCTGTGAGATAAAAAATACCAAAACAAATTAAAAGTGAAAACTCTGGATATCAACAATTGTGACATAGAGGTGATATTCTAATAAATAAACTCATAAATAAACAATATATGAATGGCTCAGTGATAAAGACAAGTAAAAATAGAAAATACATTGAAGACATACAAATAAACAAGTATTAAATTAGGCTCAATACTAATCAAAATAATTAAAACAAGATTTTGAAAAATGAATCAAATTATAAACTCTCTAAAAAAAATGGTTCCCATTAATGAGAATTTGATTAAATGAAACACATTCTCAGTCACTGCTGGTAAAAGCAAATTTGCTGTAATTGTTTAAAGAAATACAAGAAGTTATGTACAGTCAGATGTAAGACAGTTTTATATTATTGACAAAATCTCTTCCAAGGATCTCTGTTAAGGAAATTTTCAGAATTTCAGATATTTTCCTAACTTGCCAGGGAAAAAAATAATTTCTTTATTGACTTTCATAAGTATAGTAAAAGAAAGAAAACCTTCAGCTTAAGGTAATCTGAGATGCATTTTTAGCTAAGCTACTGGGAAATTTGATGTAATCAATAATGTGGAAGGACACTTAGATGCTTCATAATCCAATTAACTCATTTTAAAGTGGCAAATTGGGACCGAACTCTCTATAAATTTATATTTAAAGCACTGTCCAAATAGAGAGTTCAAGATCAACCCAAGAAAAGAGTCACCACGTTACCTCCGACACTTTGAAACCTAAATGTATTATTATAAACAACAACAGTCTGTAATCTTGTTTCATAGAATTACCAGCAACGCCGTAAAAATGTGAACACAGTAAGACATTATAAACAACAGTACAATGACACCACAGAAATTCATACACACACACACACACACACACACACACAGGTTTTTAAAAAAATACTGCAGGTCTTCATGTGAAATAAAATAATAAAGAATAAAACCCATGTATATTACTCTTTGTTGTCAACACAGGAGGCAAAGTGATTACATCAGAATATTTTCACTGAATATTTTTCATGTGTCTTGTTTTGATGGTGAGGTGAGGGCTCTTGTTCTGATATCACTATCAGAACAGAGAGTGATCTGTTATCACTATCTGTTATCTGATATCACTAACAGATAGTGAAATCAGAACAAGAGCCCTCACCTCACCATCAAAACAAGACATGTGAAAAAAGGATCTAACTTTAGTACATCCTTCCATGACAAAGCAGTTCAGTATCTTGCTTAATTTACATCCTTCCATGACAAAGCAATTCAATATCTTGCTTAATTTCATCCCATTACCTAAGTGCCAATCTTTTCTCAGCTCCTTACAAATAGGTGCTACCTAGTTGTGAAGCAAATTTGGTGCTGGCAATCAGATTCTCTTCACATTAAGTTCCTATTGAGGTACTGCACAAATGGCTTCACTCCTCTGAGCAAACACGCTCCAGCAAGATGGATTTCAGGACTTGCTTTGGTTAGCATTGATGGGTTGCCCACAAACTCCAGTAGTCCATACGTTGTTGTAGCAGCAGTAGGGGCAAGTATCTTGTGAGCAAGGTGAGGTAGATGATGAGCACAGAATATTCTACTTTACTCACATAAAACTGGAAGTATCCCCATTTCAGGATCTGTGATCTTTTAATCTAGTTTTGTGTGACAAATATTTGATCTGTTCTGCTTGCCATGGATTAATACCTCAATCAGCAACCTCTGCAGAAAAGATAATGAATCAATATCTCCAGTTATTAGCTGTACATTATTATCTTAAGAAGAAAAAGAAAGAAGAAAGAAAACAGGACAAATCAGACGAGATTATTTTTATTTTGTATTTCCAAGTTGACGGTTCTCTCCTGCAGATTTTTCGCTGAGTTGCACCTGCTTACCAATTACAGCTTAATCATGTCCTTTGGAGCTTGCAGTGCTCATTAGCATTCTACATTTCCCCCGAACTTTGATGTCAAAACAAAGCTGCATCCCTCATACCTGGAGGTCTAGTAAATGTCTAAGTGGGCTCAGACAGGGATCTAAATATCAAAGGCAAAACAAGAGACGAACCAAATCCCTGGCTCATTTTACTTGAACTTAAAAGATTTCCTTTAATTTTTAGGCTTTCATGGATTATCCACTACTAGAGGATGCTATTTTCAGGAGAAGATTAATCTTGTACATTGCATACACTCTTGTTCAAAAATCTGGCTGGCTGAGTGAAAACAGCAAGGAGTAGAACAAGAGTGCCTCAAGCCCTTTGGAGGAAGTCTATAGCAATTAGGCCAGAGGGAAATCTAATTTGGATTATGATATTTTACCCAGTGGAAAAATGCAGAGGGCGAATAAGGAATTTTGCTGAGTTTTGTGCCTTTCCTGGCCTTTAGTTTTGCTAAGGTTTTAGAGGTTGAACATCTGTACCTACATTTGCTCTTTGGAATTGGAGACTACCAATGAACATATATACTACAAATACTGGGGTATCACGTTAGAAGAACTACTACAAGTAAAATAAGACACCTACCTAAAAGGTGTTTTGCTTAAATGTTCAGTTTTTTCTGCATTACCGGTAAGTACCTAGTGTGTGAAACTGCTCCATGGAATCCTTTGGGAGAAGATGCTGATGAAAAGGAGAGCATTAGTTGTATTGTTAATACAACTATACAGCAGACAACACTAACTGCCCTAGTGACAAGCTTACAGGTCTTCCTAACAGTGAACGAATCACTACATACTATAGTGTACTTAAGCACTGCTTGTCTACTTTCTAATGGAAAATATTTGTTTCTGCTTTCAGGTATATGTTCATTAAGTCAGGAATTTAGAAAAAGCAGAAATAAGCTCTCCACCAAGGAAAAACCACTGCAAACAATTTGGTATATGACATTCAATTCTTTCTTCTCTCCATGTATTTCATGTGTTATGTGAAGATATACCTGAGTGTATTTAAAGTCATATGTCCTTACTAGTTCCAATTTTTTTACTTATATCATTTCAGCAATATTTAAATATTCATCTAGAAAAAATAGAGTTACATTATATTATACCAAATAGCTTAGGAATTATTTATATTGTGTAGGTTTAACCAAGTATTTAATATATGATGTTTTTTCCCCAATTTTCTACTTAAATAAACATTATTTTTCATGAGGAAGAAATGCCCAGTAAGGAGATTATCAGATATACTAGCATTTTTAACATTTATGTACCTCAGTTGCCCTTCAGGGTTTATAATTTACAATTATAAGAATTATTTTTTAAAAAATGCTTAATTACAGTAATTTTTATTAGTCTGGTTGTTTAATATATTTGTTACAAATTTCCAACTTTTCTATATACATTTAATTTCAACTTTTCTGGTTAGTTCTCTTACTCTACATGTGATTTGTTTTAAATTTTTTTAATTATATTTTAAGTTCTGGGATACATGTGCAGAATGTGCAGGTTTGTTACATAGGTATACATGTGCCACGGTGATTTCCTGCACCCATCAACCCGTCATCTATATTAGGTGTTTCTCCTAATGCTATCCCTCCCATTATCCCCCACTCCCTCACAAGCCCCAGTGTGTGATGTTCCCCTCCCTGTGCCCACATGTTCTGATTGTTCAACTCCCACTTATGAGTGAGAACATGCGGTGTTTGTTTTTCTGTTCCTGTGTTAGTTTGCTGAGAATGATAATTTCTAGCTTCATCTATGTCCCTGCAAAGGACAAAAACTCATTCTTTTTTATGGCTACATAGTATTCCATGGTATATATGTCCCACATTTTCTTCATCCAGTCTGATATCGATGGGCATTTGGGTTGGTTCCAAGTCTTTGCTATTGTGAATAGTGCTGCAATAAACATACATGTGTATGTGTCTTTATAGTAGAATGATTTATAATCCTTTGGATATATACCCAGAAATGGGATTGCTGGGTCAAATGCTATTTCTACTTCTAGATGCTTGAAGAATCACCACACTGTTTTTCACAATGGTTGAACTAATTTACACTCCCACCAACAGTGTAAAAGCATTCCTATTTCTCCACATCCTCTCCGGGATCTGTTGTTTCCTGACTTTAATGATTGCCATTCTAACTGGTATGAGATAGTATCTCATTGTGGTTTTTTTTTGCGTTTCTCTAATGACCACAACGACCAAGTCAGTTTCATCCCTGGGATGTAAGGCTGGCTCAACATATGCAAATCAGTAAACGTAGTCCATCACATAAACAGAATCAATGACAAAAATCACATGATTATCTCAATAGGTGCAGAAACGGCCTTCGATAAAATTCAACACCCCTTCATGCTAAAAACACTCAATAAACTGGGTATTGATGGAAAATATCTCAAAATAATAAGAGCTATTTTTGACAAACCCACAGCCAATATCATACTGAATGGGCAAAAGCTGGAAGCATTCCCTTTGAAAAACGGCACAAGATAAGGATGCCTTCTCTCACCACTCATATTTAACATAGTATAGGAAGTTCTGGCCAGGGCAATCAAGCAAGAGAAAGAAATAAAGTGTATTCAAATAGGAAGAGAGGAAGTCAAATTATCTCTGTTTGCAGACGACATGATTGTATATTTAGAAAACCCCATCGTCCCCACCCAAAAATTCCTTAAGCTGATAAGCTACATCAGCAAATCTCAGGATACAAAATCAATGTGCAAAAATCACAAACATTCCTATACACCAATAATAGAGTCAAATCATGGGCAAACTCCCATTCACAACTGCTACAAAGAGAATAAAATACCTAGGAATACAACTTACAAGAGATGTGAAGGACCTTTTCAAGGAGAACTACAAACCTCTGCTAAGGAAATAAGAGAGGACACAATCAAATGGAAAAACATCCCATGCTCACGGATAGGAAGAATCAATATTGTAAAAATGGCCATACTGCCCATAATAATTTATAGATTCAATGCTATTCCCATCAGGCTATCCTTAAGCCTCTTCACAGAATTAGAAAAAAAATACTTTAAATTTCATGTAGAACCAAAAAAGAGCACGTATAGCCAAGACAATCCTAAGCAAAAAGAACAAAGCTGGAGGTATCACTCTACCTGACTTCAAACTATACAACAAGGCTACAGTAACCAAAACAGCATGGTACTGGTACCAAAACAGATATATATATATACCAGTGGAACAGAACAAGAACCTCAGAAACAACACCATACATCTACAACCATCTGATTTTTGGCCAACCTGACGAAAACAAGCAATGGGGAAAGGGTTTCCTACTTAATAAATGGTGCTGGGAAAACTGGCTAACCATATGCAGAAAACTAAAACTGGACCCCTTCGTTAAACCTTATATAAAAGTTAACTCAAGATGGATTAAATATGTAAACATAAAATCTAAAACCATAAAAAAAACCCTAGAAGAAAACCTAGGCAATAGCATTCAGGACATAGGCATGGGCAAAGACTTTATGACTAAAACACAAAAAGCAATTGCAACAGAAGCCAAAATTGACAGATGGGATCCAATCAAACTAAGTAGCTTCTGCACAGCAAAAGAAACTATCATCAGAGTGAAGAAGCAACCTACAGAATGGGAGAAAATTTTTGCAATCTATCCATCTGACAAAGGACTAATATCCAGAATCTATAAGGAACTTAAACAAATGTACAAGAAAAAAATCAAACAACTCCATCAAAAAGTGGGTGAAGTATAGGAACACTTTTCAAAAGAAGACATTTATGTGGCCAACAAACATATTAAAATTGTAAGAACACTTATTTCTTCTCTCTTGAAATAATTTTGGACCGTGTTTTGTGTGACATAAGACAAGTAAGTAGCCTCTTGGTGCCTTAGTTTTCTCATTTTTAAAATAGAGAATAATAATACCTGTTAGTGTTGGGTCTTTGATGCTATTCAGGATAAATTTATGTGAAGACAAGGTTATCTGAGTATTATTTTGATTTGTATACAAATTTTCTAAATGCCTACTCTTCTTAAAACTTTTATATTCAAGCTCTGATTTTTATTATTCTACTTAAAAGTCTAAGATATTTTAAGGATATTTCTAAATGGCCTTTGAATAATGTTCAGCATCATTAATATACAAAGTTAATTAAGCCCATATATTTTAAATTAAATGTATGATATTTGATTTCATTTTAAATATATAATTACCTAAATTAAAACATTTACAGATAAGTAATTACTGAAAGTACAATAAGACAATAAATATGGTAAATCATGTTATTAGAAGCATTATAATACTGTGTATCAACAATAACATTTTAAATAAAAATTAAAAGTAAATAGAATAGCAAACAACATATTTTATAAGGCTATTACATTAAATTTATAGGTTAAGTTCTTTAAAAATAACTATTTGGATCTAATTTATCTAATTGCATAGATTTATGTCTTTCAGGATGCTAATAAATTTTTTTTAGATATCTCTATACTTAATTCTAAATTTTTCTGACTTTCAATTTGCTCTTTCATAAAGTATATAATTATATTTGGGGGCATACCTTGTCAGTGTAATATATTTAGTCTCTTATTTTAAAAAGTTACTCCACTTCAATATTAAAATACCATAAAATTGACTCTTGTGACCTATAGTCCTGTGAGTTTTTATACAGGAATAGAATCATGTAACACCACCACAATCAGGTTAGAGAATATTTTCATCAGTGCTTACCCCAAAATTCCCTCATGCTGATCTTTTTAGTAATACATTTCCTCCATACTCAACCCCTGGAAACCAGCCATCTGTTCTGTCACTATAATTTTGCTTTTTCTAGAATATCATTTATAAGAATTCTTATATTAAAATATTTATTTGTTAAGACTGGTTTATTTCTTTAGCATCATATCTTTGAGATTCATCCCTGTCGTTGTTTATCAATAGTTCTTTCCTTTTCATTCTTGATTAATATTCCATTGTATGGACCTCTCACAGTTTCTTTATTCCTTTGCCATTGAAGGACTTTTGGGTTGTTCCCAAATGTGGATGATTATGAATAAAACCACGATGAATATTTTGTGTGTGGATTTTCCATGAAGATAAGTGTTTATTTACCTAAGGTGGATAACCAGCAGTGGGATTACTCCATCCCTGGGAAACCGTAGGTGTAGCATTAATAGAACTTTTCAGTGAAACTATCCAGTTTTAAAGGAAGTTTTTCTTATAGATCTATTAAGTGAAGCCTGTGAGACTAATGCTTCTCATTACCTTATTTTTAGGTCAAATTAGTGTTAGTATCATCAATCCAGATAGCTCTACCATTTTATAGAATTCAACTAATATATTTACTGGTTGTGATTCTGAATTTGGTTCTTAATTTTTCTATATATTAGGACCATTACTACCAAAGACATTTCAAGGATATCTGATTGGAACCTGTCAACTACGAAGCTACAATGGTCTCTTTGGTCACACATTATAATATGCACATTTCTGCTTAAGGGTATGATGAATGAATGTAATCACTGTGCTTAGAACAATGTCTAACAAATCAGAATTTCGAACTATATTGGCTATTATGATTGACGTATTAGTCTGTTCTCACACTGCTAATAAAGACATACCTGAGACTAGGTAACTTACAAAGGAAAGAGGTTTAATTTTCTCACAGTTCCACGTGGCTGGGGAGGCCTCAAGAAAACTTAGAATCATGGCGGAAGTCTCCTTTTCACAGGGCGGCAGGAGAGGGAATGAGTGCCAGCAGGGGAAATGCCAGACGCTTATAAAACCATCAGATCTCTTGGGACTTACTCACTTATCATGAGAACAGCATGGGGGAAATGACCCCCATGATCCAATTACCTCCACCTGATCCCACCCTTGACACGTGGGGATTATAGGGATTACAATATGAGGTGAGATTTGGGTGGGGACACAGAACCAAACCATATCAACTAGCTATAACTTTATTTTTTTATCTGAAGTATAATCTTGACTTCTAAGACTTAACAATCTGTTTCTATAAAAGGACAATTTGACTTTATAGAACAAATTGTAGCAGCTCTAGCCTCCACTAACCAATTAGAGCAGAAAATTGGCTCTTAAGAAAGGACATCCAGTTATTTGCTTGATTTATGAAGGGCTTTCCTCACATATGCCCACCAACTAACTTTTTATTCTTTCTTTCCTATTCCTACTCCTAGTAAGGCACTTGACATAAAATCATGGCATTGACCACTGGCCAGTCTAATGACTGTAATGTGTCTGTGTGCCAAGGGTACTGACTTTGGCTTTGCCAAAATCTTCCCACTCTCAGAGGGCTGCTAGAGGCAGGTCAGAGAGGCCTTTTTCCCACTCTGTCACCTATAGCTTAAGGACACTTTACTGTGTCCACAGTGTCAAAGTCCATTTTGAACAACTTTGTCTGTTTTGAGTACTTTCTTTTGTTCTCATAGCAGACCAAAAAATTGTCTAGGATCAGCAAATGATGAGATATAATTCCTTAAACTCCATTTTGTTTGAGTTTCCTTCTCCTCTGCTGTTTCCTTGTCTTCTCCTTCCTTCCCAAGCCAAATTACCCCATCTTTCTCTGATTAAAAACAAACAACCTTTTTTTTAATGACACAAACGATCAAAACCTTTTAATGGCTATAAACACATTCTGGGAAAGTAAATTGACCCTCCATTAGTATAACCTACTTAAATATTTTTAAAAGATTCATAGCTATACCCTTTCACATTTCTTTGCTCATAAAGTCTTATTCATTTTCTCAACAATTTTATTAAATGGTCTTTTTAATTTACCATTCAATAAAATTATTTCTGTAGTGTTTATATAATTTGCCATTATGTAACAAGCATACACCTGAATTCAGTGAGAGAAATATTGACTATTGAATAAATGATGTTGAGACTAATACTAACCCATTTTAAAAATATATTGTTGGATTGGATTTCTATATAAAAACATGTTGCAAAGTAGTTTGCAGCTCAATCAGAAAAGTTAAATACATAAATCTAAAATAAAAATGAAAAAATCTGTGAATAATTATTTTTATCTTAGTTTGATGACTGCTTTTCTACCTATAAAAGTAAAAGAAGAAATAGCAAGATTAAGACTGATGGCTCTGTGTATGTGAAAATTTGCAAAGGAAATAAGAATAATTAATTGCTCACAGAACATTTGTGTTAAAAATAAGCAAAATTAAATAGCAAGCAAACATATGTGATACGCAGATATATCTCTGATCAGTCATTTCATTATATGCCATCATTTTATTTATTTCTATTTTACTATTAAGATTTTCATTAAATTATAGTATAAATTTAAAGATTTGGGGTTTAAGCCTTATACCCTTGTTTCTTTTCAAATAGCTGTGCTATTCTTAATTCTAAATCTTTTGAACTATCACCTTCCCTTTAAAAAAAAAAATAAAACCAATGCCTTACAAAGTTTTCATTGAAAGAAGAACATTTATACAGACAAGAGCATTTAGAACTTTTAGGGAAGCCTGTCCCATGATTGGTTTTTCCATAGGATACTTCTCATTTATTCTTGGAACAATAATAATTGGTGTCAGGTAAGTTAGGTGATAAATAACTGAATGTCAAACCTTAGATGATTTGTGGCTCATGTTTTATGTTAGGAATATATATATATCTATGCATCTAACTATCTCTCCATATGTGTAAATTATTCTTTCAGCGCTAACCTTAGAAGGAGTGGCATTTATTTAGTTTGTGTATTTAGTTTATTACATTTTTTCAAGGAGGCATATAATTAAAAATTCAGGTCAAGTAAGGTTTTATCCTCAAAGTCTGTCTCAGTTTTCCCAAACAGAATTGAATCCTGTGTTTTCATAGAATGCTTTTTTATCTCTGTCATAACTAATAACTCTCCACTGTATAGTTAGATCTGTAATTGTCTGGGTTACACAGACGACCATGATAAACTGGAAAATAGATTCTAGTTTGTTTACTTTTGTATGTTATACTACTTATAAACTATTTTGCAGATGATAGGCCCTTGATACACAATTGTTTAGTTGAAATAAGTTTTTAAGAATCTCATTGGCTATTGTCTAATTTTCAACCTTGGTTTAGAAAATTAAATTATGAACACTTGAGACCTAAGTTTGAATTTCAATTTTAATATTTTCAAATTGACACCACTCTGGGCATTATATTTGGTCCCGGTGAAAACATAACATAAAAGAGATCTATACCTTTATTTCATGATCTCGTGTTCTAGATGGGTAAGAAAATCAATAAATATAATAAATATATAAGACATGGTATTTTAGAAGAGGATAAATGTTCTGGAAAATAAAGAACTAGAATAAAGTAAGGCATTTTCAATCATGCTGAGTCCTACTTCACAAAATTATTATTGCTACGTTGTTTACTACATTTGGTAGGTGCCATATGTACTGCAGCTTTCCGGAATGGCCTTTTCTCCAATTCTCTCTCTCTGAAAATATGACATATTAATTCATTCATGTATCCTTTTTTTGATCCATTATCTTTTATTTTTTAAGTTTTTAAATTTTTTATTTCCATAGGTTTTTGGGGAACAGGTGGTATTTTGTTACATGAGTAAGTTCTTTAGTGATGACTTGTGAGATTTTGGTGTACCCATCACCTGAGCAGTGTACACTGAACCCAATTTGTAGTTTTTTTATCCCTCATCCCCCTCCCACACTTTGCCCTGAGTTCCCAAAGTCCATTGTATCTGTCTTTTGCCTTTGCATCCTCATAGCTTAGCTCCCACTTATGAGTGAGAACATACAATGTTTGATTTCCCATTCCTGGGTTATTTTGCTTAGAATAATAGTCTCCATTTCCATCCAAGTTGCTGCAAATGCCATTAATCTATTTGTTTTTATAGCTTAGTAGTATTACACCATATGTATATATAAATACGTACCACATTTTCTCATTTTCTTTATCCACTTGTTGATTGATGGGCATTTGGGCTGGTTCCATATTTTTGCAATTGCAAATGTATCCTTTCAAATATTAGCACAGGCATTGTGTAATATACTGTTGTCAGGGATGTCAGTGTGGTGAGACAGACTGACATTGAAACTGGAATTATAATACAATATGTGCTGATGTGCTAAAATAATAACATTGAATTTGGTCTGTGATCTATCTGGAGGATCTGAGAAGTCACAGTAAGGGAAGCAACTAAAATATAGGCTGTTGGCTGGAAGAAGTGGAGTAACAAGAGAGAAAGAAGACAGTATGCACAAGCTTCATTTCTTCCAATCTTATTTCAAGAATATCCTTCTTTGCCAGGCTTTCAGTGAACCCAGCACTCTTCATTCACTCCCTTTGTGGTTACAAAACTTTTGAGTAATACTTTCTACAATAGTACATATCAAAATCTATTATAGTTATCAATATATATTACTGTCTCATCTGATAGTATATTCTAAGAGCTAAGAAGAATCATAGCATATTGACCTTAGTAAGTATTCCATTTGTTCTGCACTAGAATGAAAACCTGGTAGTCACTTAAATGTCGGAGTGATGTAATGCCAGTAATTCCAGTCTGTCACAAACATTGATGCCAGTAATTAGTAACCATCTATAGGCAACAAACTAAATGTATTAAGATCTAGAAATATAGGGACATAAATTTACATTTATTATTTTAAACTATAAAGTGTTTAAAAAATTAGTTTCATGTTTATAAAACTTATCATTTTGAATCATAGAGCTTTTGGTGAACTGGCATATTTGATATTCTGTATTGTGAACATGATGGAAAACATATCATAAATATAATTCTGTATGTGTCAAAACTAACAACTTTTGTTTCTTCAACTAACAACATGGACCAAAAAAAATCAGAAAGTGAAATAAATTTGTATTTTTAGGGAATATAAATTGGATCAAGGCTAAAACATTCCTAATGTATCAAAAATCAATTACATGAGCTTAAGTACATTGATGCATAGTATTTTAAATATGCTATTGTCTTGAAACTCATCACTCTTTAAAGCTTAAATTCAAAGATTCAACAAAATTATTTTAGAAGTAGAAAATAGATGAATTAATTTAGAAACTTTATTTATCAAAAGATGAAATCTCTTTCTGTTCCAATCAAAGATACTTAAAATTCACTTTTCTAGGAACAGTAAAAATAGGTTTTACTTCTTTCAAGGGAAAATCTATTACAAGCATCTTGTTTACCCTTCTCTTTATGACTTCACTTGCTCCATTCTCTCTCAGTTATCAGTTAAGAGAGACTGAATTTAGCATAATTAGTCTTTCTTTATGTGTTGCTTATAAAGCCTTACCAAATATATATTTATTAAGTCATACTTTAAGAAAAATGTAGAATATTGTCTAGAGTTGGAGGAAAAAATATTATTTCTCCCCACCCCATCCACAACTAGGGAAAAAATTGCTTTCAAGTATCTAGGCTGCAGAACAATTCAGAACAAACGATTCTCTGCTCAGAAATGTCTCTTCTTAGCTATCAACATGATTTTCAATCAGGACAACAGAGACAAAGGAAACAGCATTTTACAATTTGTAATAGGTATTCAGTGACTTTTTCTGAACTAGCCGTACCAAATTCTGTCTGAAAATGGCCTGAAGAAGCAATCCTTTGAAAGCTTCTAATCATTGATTGCTGGGACCTTTTTCAACTTATTCCTTGTGTCAGATCATCAGTCTATCCAGTATGGTGGCTTGTCTCTATCATATCAGTGCCATTATACCTCCGTAGAAAACAGAAAGCTCTAAATATGCATCAAGTTTCTTATTTGCTGCTTTGTATGTGGTTTTTCTTAATGAGGCAGTTATATCCTATGAGATTTTTTTTTTTTTTTTTTTTTTGAGACGGTATCTTGCTCTGTCTCCCAGGCTGGAGTGTGGTGGCATGATCTTGGCCTCCCAGGTCATGCGATTCTCGAACTGCCTCAGCCTCCCGAGTAGCTGGGATTACAGGCGCCTGCTGCCATGCCCAGCTAATTTTTGTATTTTGGGTAGAGACGGGTTTCACTATGTTGGCCAGGCTGGTCCTGAACTTTTGACCTCGTGATCCACCTGCCTCAGCCTCCCAAAATGCTGGGATTACAGGCGTGAGCCACCACGCCAGGCCGAGAATATTTTATATAGTAAAGTTTTGCTCGTCTAGAAAACCTGTGAGATGAAAAGCCATTAATCAATTGAGACTATCACAAGCACTCCTGCTCTTCCTTCTTCCTCCAAAAAGTACACATAAAAGTGCAACTGCATCAGTATATACACATTCACTAATAATATCATAATTTTTCACTTTATTTGAAAAATTATTTTAATATTTTGAAATACTTCAAATTCTTAATTTTTGCTTTTATCTAGCTCATTTACATACCATTTTGGTGTTTGTTTGTTTAGTTATTTTCTTTCTCCTTAAGAGAATCTCAAAACACATTCTCGATTCTCCAGGTTGCCATAACAATAAATTGTGTTGGGGGTGCCAATAATCCACTTTTCTTTTTCTCCAGGTTTGGAAATAGAGGAACATTCAGTAGCTTCTTTAGTGAATCACCTCCTAAATATGGAGCTGAATCTCCAACTGTGACTGCTGTTTACCATCTAATGGATGTTTTATCAAAAGTCTATCACTTGGGGCACTTCTGTTCCTATTCTTTTTTCTTTTTCTGGGTTCAAATTGTAATTACAAAAATATGTAGTTAGGAGGAAGGAGAAGAATGAGTCAAAATATAAGTGGGATTCAAAAGTTCCCTTTCAAAAAATGATAAAATGTTTCCACAAGAAGTACATTTGTTCCAGCCTTTGGTCGTTGATAATCCATCGTTTGAGGTTCTTTCTTCCTCTTCTGAATTATTTTATGAATGCAAAAATTTCACTGGGGGAAGCCAGCATGTATGTTAAACAGGGTCATCACAAACAAGCTGTGCTAAGGGCAGTCAGACAGGGATAAAGTAAAACTTAGACTGCAAAAATGTTATTAGGAAGTCAGAGACACCTGATACACATTCATATAGAAATATATATATATTGAAAAATATAGTATCTCTAGAATTCTAATCCTGATTATCAATACTTTATTCTGATTATGTTATTTTGACATAAATGAGATGACCTAAGAAAAACAGCAGCATCAATTTTCCAAACCATACGACTATAAGCCTTTTTGGTTAACACAACAAAGCAGTCTCTGTACTGTCCTGGCTTTCTTTCTTATCCACCTGAAAATCTTGACAGAAAAACCTCACAGTGGTAATCTAAATGAAGAATTTGTTTATAATCAACATGTTAATTCAGTTTGCATCTTGGTACAGGTGGTCAAGTTACTTGGTAGAATTTCCTCTATTAGGTTATAATATGCTTTTGAAATTACTTTTCATGTAAGATAAATGAGTTATTTTAAAATATATTTTCTTCAGTGAAACTCGTGTCTAGAACAAAAATCAAAGGATATTTTTTCCCTCAAATTATCCTAGAGTAAAATAATAAATTTGCTTCAGTGTTATGTCAACACCTAGAGATCATTTACATCAATTAAAATTGTTAAATATTTGTGCAGTGACTTCTATGTTTCCCTTAACCTTAGTTTCCCATTTATGATTGAGTTAAAATAAATTAAATAGTAAATACACAAAGTATTCAATGAGTAAAAGGCAGTTCCTGTGTTGCTCTCCTTTGTATTGTTTTATCTAACCAGAACTGTACACTGAATTGATGACCATACAAAGTCAGTTGATAAAAATACCAATGTCAGCCAGGTGCGGTGGCTCAAACCTGTGATCCCAGCACTTTGGGAGTCCGAGGAGGGCGGATCATGAGGTCAAGAGATAGAGACCATCTTGGCCAACAAGGTGTAACCCCGTCTCTACTAAAAACACACAGATTAGCTGGGCGTGGTGGTGCGTGCCTGTAGTCCCAGCCACTCGGGAGGCTGAGGCAGGAGAATCACTTACCCAGCAGGCAGAGGTTGCAGTGAGCTGAGATGGCACCACTGCACTCCAGCCTGGCGACAGAGGGAGACTCTGTCTCAAAACAAACAAACTACAGCAACAACAACAACAACAAAACACCAATGTCTTAATTTAACTTCTTTTTCCTCTTCGACAACTGTATTAGTTCATTTTCACACTGCCATAAAGATTACCAGACTGGGTAATTAAAAAAAAAAAAAAGGTTTAATTGACTCACAGTTCTGCATGACTGTGGAGGTCTCAGGAAACTTCTAATCATGGCAGAAGACAAATGGGAAACAAGGCATGTCTTACATTGTGGCAGGAGAGAGAGAGAGCAAGGAAGTGCTACACTTCAAAACCATCTGCTTTTGTGAGAGCTCACTATCACGAGAACAGCATGGAGAAAATCCATCTGGGGATCCAATCACCTCCCACCAGGTCCCTTTCCTGACACATGGGGATTACAATTGGAGATGAGATTTGGATGGGGCCACAGAGCCAGACCATATCAACAACCTTGGGGTATTTTTGACTTATCAATCTATTCACATGACCTCAGTAACTATAGTTGTCTTCACCAGAAAGCTGGAAAAAATGTCAAGCTATGGATTTATATATTTATTTCATATCTTACCCACCAGCTAAATGTAAATCTATTTGAATCTGTGTCTCATTTCCAGAGGAATTTTTGCTCAATTTAACATACTTGAAAATAATCCCAAGCACCTAATATGTGTCATATTATAACAGTAAGTGCTCAATTAAAATGTGTTAAATTGCATAAAGTAATTAATCTAAAATTTGTTATTAAATAATATTTAATAGTAACTCATAGTGGTAACATCCCTAATGTTTCTGGAGAATAATAAGAAATTTTAAGTTAGTAATAACTTTAATGCTGCCCAAGTCATAGCTCTAAAGTTGTAAAGTGGGACTTTAACAATAGCTTGGCAGAGGAAATAGTTGTAGTTTTGCATACTTCTCAAAGTGGACGATATACATGAGTGTCTGCTTTAAAACTAGATGTTTCAATATACACGAAGAATCGAGAATATGCAATGTTCAGAATGAACCAGATTATAGGTAATTTGTTTCTATTTAAAGACACAACTTTATGGTAATTTTTTACATCTAAGAAGCGCAAAAATATATTTTAAATTAGATATATTCTTATATGAAAATATTGCAGATTTTTCAGTTATTAGCACATGACATAATAAAAAAATTTACATCTACTGAATATAGCTAAAGCCATCATTATCAACACAGGATGCCAAATAACCAGAGGCATTCTAATAAAGTTGCTAGTCTGTTACTCTATTTCAATGACTTCTATTAAATAAATCACCTGTTTATCAGGATCTGAAATGTAATCAGAGATTTTTGTTTACATATAAAACCTTAAAAAAGAGAAAAAGATAAAAACAAAATTCGATCAATAACAAAATAACAAATGAATTCATCTTGCATTCTACATTAGTGATAACATAAATGTTTCAAAGTCAGTACGTAGGCTTACCTTCAGATAAAGTAGACCTCTTCATTTTATTATTATGAATCTAAGACATCATTAAGCTGGGGTGTTTTTTAACATTTTTTTGAGAAGCACAAATATTTTTAAACCAATATTTTATTTTCACTTTACAGATAAACATAGTGAGTGAACACATTGTAATTTTCTACAAATATTATGACAAATGACTTATGAGACAGATATACATTAACACATGGGCTACAGAACTTATTTCAAATAAAGAAGGAAAACTATAGAATAAATGAGAACAGCAAAAATGTCAACAATAACAACAAATGTAAATTTTTTAATATATACCTTCTTAATTCTACTAATCATAGGCCTTATATTATTTAAAGATGAAATCACCATATAATACCAGCTTCTGCTATGTTAGTAATTAATCTCTTGTAAATCAGTTTATAATAAAATCTATCTTTATGCCAAATTTGTTATCTAATAGTTTTGTATTTATGTAAAATGGATATAAATCCAAATGATGTTATGCTAGGATGTCACCTAAAAATAGCCCCCACTCTAAATTGTCCATTTCCCTATTTTCTCACTGTTAAGACATTACTTCATATAGAGTTTTGGTTGTTGAACCCCTCATTAACTATTAAAAGACTCATAAATTATCAGTTAATATCTTAGTAGGTTTTATCACTTTTTAAATTATAACCACAATATTTGGGAAAGAGAGTTGGCAAAAGATGGCTAAGTTACTATGAAATATGAAGTCCGTAATGGAAAAGTAAAGTGTATTAAAAATATTATTTGCTAACTTCTCAATGAAGAAAACATGTAGAAACATTCAGTTCTTGATTAATTAAAAAGGCAGAAGCCAAATTAAATTATATAATAATGATTTTTGAAACATATATATGAAATGTGTTCATATAAATGAAGTGGCTTCACAGGTGGAAATTTGGGAAGATGGTGGAGTAGAAAACACCAGGAATACATTTCCCTAAATAGAAAACAATTACATAACAGAATCTATATAATGTAACAGTTTTGGAATTCTGTAGTCTATTTGAAGGTTTGTAACTGTCGGGGAATGTCTGAATGTTAAATTTTAAATAATTTTAGTCAGTTTAAGCTCTTAGCTATCTTTCTAGCTACCTATTTTCTACTTCACCAGCCCCATGGCAGGGAACTCTACATGTACTCCAGAGACTGCTTTCATGCAGCCTGTGGGAGCCAGGTTGGGCAATAAGGGCCCTATCCTCTAAATATCAGGGACCTGTGTTCTAATCACGGATTGCTGTTTTATATCTTGGAGATGCAGGCATAGTGGTGGACAGCCACTGTTGCCCTCCTACTCACACTGTTGCAGGCCCCGCCCCCCCATAGCTGAAATAACTCTCAGGGAATTTAAAGGGCTCGTGCCTTTTAAAATTTCTCTCATTGTGCCCCTTAGTTTTTCCTCTTCTTTCTCTTTTGGGAGCCAAAATTTAAGGTCTAGGAACTTTAAAATCAACCTTATATATGTAGAAATTCAGAGAGCCACCACATATGCCCCAAAAAACGCACACACTCAAAAAGTCTTGAGAAGATCTTACGTTTACCTTAGGCTGACCCCCAGCACAGAAACAACCTACAACAATCAAAATACACAACAAAATTATTTTTTAAAATCTGTAAATCCTGAGGAAGAGAGAGAATCTGATATCCCAAGGTACTGAATTATTAAATTGAATTATCCAGTTAAAAAAACCACAAATGATATAAAGAAATGAGAAAGTGTGGCCCATATGGAAAAAATACCAACAGAAACCATCCCTGAAAAGACATGAGGGCAAAGCTAATTGAAAAAGATGTTAAAACAACAGTATTAAAAATGCTGTAAGAATTTAAAGAAGACAATGGAGAAAATCAAGAAAATGATATATAAATAAAATGGAAATGTAAGTAAATAAATACAAAACCTGAGATGAAATAAAAAAGAAATCCTGGAGTTCAAAAGTACAGTAAAAGGAATGGAAATTTTACCAGAAGAATTCAAAGGCAGATGTGAGCAGGCAGAAGATTCAGTAAATTTGAAGATAGTTTAAATTAAAATTATTAAGTCTGAGGAGCAGAAAGGGAAAAAAAGATTAAAGACAAGTGGAAAGAGTCCAAAGGAACTGTGAAACATCATCAACCTGACAAATGTACACATTGTGGTACTTGTAACAGAAGAAGATAGATGGAAAGATTATTCAAAGAACAATGGCCAAATATTCTTAATTTTGATGAAAGACATGAACATAAATATCTAAGAAGCCCACTGAAACCCAAGTGAGATGAACTCAAAGAGACCCACACTGAGACATATTATAATCAAACTATTGAAAGACAAAGGCAAAGTGATAATCTTATAAGAAACAAGAGAGAATCAACTCATCACATACAAGGAATCTTCAATAAGATTATCATCATATTTCTTATCAGAAACTTTGCAGGTCATAAGTCAGTGGGCTGATATTGTCAAAGTGGTGAAAGAAAGAAACTATCAACCAAGAATCTTATATTCAACAAAAGTATCCTTCAAAGTGAGGGAGGGATTAAGATATTTTCAGATAGACAAAAGTTTGTAATTATTAGACTAGACCCACGAGAAATACTAAAAGGAATTTTGCAGGTTGAAATGAAAGAACATTGGGCTGCAACACTAAGCCCTATGAAGAACATAGTCTCAGCAAAAGTAAATACATGGGTAATTACATAAGCTACTGTCATTGTAGCCTTGGTTTGTAACTGCACATTTTGTTTTCTGCATGATTTAAGAAACATACATTTACCAAAATGGTTGTACAAATAAAAGTTAATATTGTTGTAACTTTGGTTTGTAACTTAACATTTGTTTTCTACATAATTCAAGAGACTAATCCATTAAAAACAATTATTAGTTTTTGCTTTAGGGCACACATATATAAAAATGTAATTTTGTGACAATATCTGAATGTGCATAGGGACAAAGTTATTTAGAAGCAGAATTTTTGTATTTTGTTGCATTTAAGATACAATAAATTCAAATTAGAATATTATTACTTTAGGATGTTAAATGTAATCCATATGGTAAATGCAAAAGAATAGCTATAACATAGACACACACACACACAAACACAAACACACACACACACAACCACACACACAAGAGAGAGAATGAAATTGAATTTAGATGTTTTCATACAAAAAAATCAGCTAAACCCAAAAAAGACAATAATGTAGGAAATAAAGGACAAAAAAGCTATAACATACAGAAAACAAATGACAAAATGACAGAAGTAAGTATTCTTATCTTTAATCATTTTAAACTTGTCTTATCAGAAAATCATTTAAATGTAAGTAGACTAAAATCTCCAGTCAAAATACAGAGATTGGCAGAGTAAATAATTTATAAATCTTAGCCAACTATATGTTGTGTATATATAGACTCACTTTAAATCCAAACACCCAAATAGGTTAAAAATGAAATAATAAAGAAATATAATTTATGTAAATGGTAACTGAAGAATAATGGATGTCTAAACTAATATCAGACCAAATTGACATTTAACCAAAAAAGATTACAATAATAAAGGACATTACATATAATAAAATATAATATTCAATTCAATGAGAAGATATACAATTATAAATACTTACACATCTCATAACAGACCATTATATATGAAACAGAAACTAACAATATTGAAGAGAGAAATAGATAGTTGTTTAATAATGGTTTTAGACTTTAATATGTCATTCCCAGTAATGAATAGAACAACCAAATTGAAGATAAGTAAGAATATAGAGAATTTGAACAACACAATAAGCCAACTAGATTTTACAGAAATATGCAGAACACTTTACCCAACAAGAGCAACATACTCATTCTTCTTAAGTGCACACATGAGGCATTCTCTGAGATAAGTCATATATCAGGACACAAATTAAGTGTCAAGAGATTTTAAAATATAAATATTATAGAAAGTATCTTCTTCAAACATAGTGGGAACAAGTTAGAAATCCATAACAAAAACAGAACTTGCAAATTTTTGTAAATTAAATGAATTAATATTAAACAAACAATGAATCAAAAAGAAATCACAACAGAAATTAGAAAATACTTGAGTAGAAATAAAAACAAAAACACAACACACCAAAACATATGTGAGGCAGTGGACATGGTACTAACGGAGAAATTTATATAAACGCATTATAAAATAAAAAAATCTCTAATCAACAACTATATTTTACAACTTAAAGAATAAGAAAATCAAAAATAAACTAAACCCAAAGTTAGCTGAAAAATAAATAATAAAAATTAGAGCAGAGATAAATGAATTAAAGAATTAAAAATAGAGAAAAACATTTAAATCATAAGCTGGTCAATGTGTCATGTAGATCAACCAAGAAAATGAAGACAGGATATTAAAATTACTAAAATCAGAAATAAAAGTGGGGATGTTACTACTGTTACTACTAAAATTTAAAAAGAGATGCTAAGAGAATACTATGAACAATTACACACAAACACATTGAATAACCTAGATGAAATGAACAAATTTCTAGAGATGCTAACCTTACCAAGACTGAATCACAAAGAAATAAAAAACCTGAATAGGATGAAAACTAGTAAGGTGATTGAATCTGTAATCAAAAATTTACCAAAAAAGAAAACCATACACTTGATGAATTTATATACTGGTAAATTTTAACCAAACACTTAAAGAACTAACACCAATCTATCTCAAAGTTTTCAAAAAAATTAAAGAGAAAGAAACACTTTCTAACTTGTCCTATGAAACCAGCTTTGCTGTGATGCCAAAGCTGACAAGGCACTGAAAGAAAAGGAAACTAAAGACTAATATCTCTTATAAACATTGATGTAAAAATCTCAACAAAATGCTGGTGAGCTTAATTTAGCAACACACCAAATATATTATGCAAAATGACCAAGTGGGTTTTATTACTGGAATGCAAGAATGGTTCAACATATGAAAATAGATCAGTGTAATACACCACATTAACTGAATGAAGGACATAAAACATGTGATCATCTCAGTTGATTCAGAAAAAAATAAGTTGGACAAAATTCAACACTCTTTCATGATAAAAATATTCGGTAAGCTAGGAATCCACAGAAACTACTTCAACATAATACAATCCATTGTATTAGTCCATTCTCACACTGCTATGAATTAATACCTGAGACTGGGTAATTTATAAAGGAAAGCGATTTAATTGACTCAACAGTTCTGCATTGCTAGGGAGGCCTCAGGAAACTTACAATCATGTCTGAAGGCAAGGAAGAAACAGGCACCTTCTTCACAGGGCAGCAGGAAGGAGAAGTGTCAAGCAAACAGGGAAGAGTCCCTTGTAAAACCATCAGATCTCATGAGAACTCACTCACTATCATGAGAACAGCATGGGGAAAACTGCCCCCATAATCCAATTACATCCACCTAATCCCACCCCTGACACTTGGGGATTCCGGGGATTAAAATTCAAGATGAGATTTTGGGTGGGGACATAGCCAAACCATATTAGCCATGTATTAAAAACCCACAGCAACTATCTTACTCAATGGTAAAAGACTGAAAGCTTTTCCCGTAAGATCAGAAACAAGGCAAATGTTTTTAGATGACTTTTATTATTATTTTTTATATCTGTTTGCAGATGATATGATCTTATATAGAAAAAGATTTTACAAAAATTAAAAACAAAAACTGTTTGAAGTAATAAATTCATCAGCATAGCAAGATACAAAATCAACACTCCCAAATCAGTTGCATTAGTATTCACTAACAATAAACAATCTGAAAAGGAAATTCAGAAAATAATTTTATTTGTGATAGCATCAAAAAAATAAAACATGTGGGAATTAACTTAACCAAAGAGATAAAAGACATTTACAATAAAAAATTATAAAATATTGCTGAAGAAGACATAAATAAATGTAAAGAAATCCTATGTTTATCAATTGGAAGACTTAGCATTGTTAAGTTATCAATATTACCCAAAGCAATCTACAAATTCAGTGAAATCTCTAGCAAAATCTCAGTGACTTTTTGCAGAAATAGAAAAACCCATCATAAAATTTGTATGGAATTTCAAGGGACCCTTAATAATTAAAACAATGTTGAAAAAGAAAAACAAAGCTGGAGGGCTCCAACTTACTGATTTTAAAACTTACTACAAAGCTACAGTAATGAAAACAGTACGGTATTGGCATAATTTCAAATAAGTAGTCTAAGGAAGCATCACAGATAACCCAGAAATAAGCTCTTCCATATATGGTAAATTGGTTTTTGACAAGGGTGCCAACATAATCAATGAGGGAAGGATAGACTTTTAAACAAATGGCTCTGGGAAAACTGGATATCCACATGTAAACGAATGGATTTAGACTCTTACCTAACACCATGTACAACAATTAACACAATATTTATCCAAGACCTATACGTAAGTGCATAAAAACTATAAAATTCTATGAAAAAATAGAGCAAAATTTAATCACATTGGTTTCCTGGATTTGGTTCCAAAGACACAGGCAACTAAAGAAAGAAAGACAAATTGTACTTCCTGAAAAATAAAATATCTTCTTGTATCAAAAGACAATATCAATAAATTTAAAAAACCCACAGAATGGGAGAATATATTTACAAAACATATATCTAATAAGGAAATAGTGTCTGGAAATATGTATAAAACTCTGATAACTCTACAACAAAAACAACAACAACAACATAAACCCAGATTTAAAAATGGACAAAGGTCTTGAATAGACATTTCTCCAAAAAACATATGAATAGATAATAAGCACATGAAAAGATGCTCAATACAACTAATTATTATAAAAATGTAAATCAAAACTGCAATGAAATATCACCACATACCCATTAAGATGACTACTATAAAGTAACAAAACAGAAAAATACCTACCTTTGATGAGGGTACAGAGAAATGGAAACCCTGTGTACTGCTTGTAGGAATGTAAAATGATACAGTCAATATGGAAAATATATGTTGGTTTCTCAAAAAATTAAATATAACATTATCATATGATACACTTTTTGATATATGCCCAAAAGAACTGAAAGCAAGATATTGAAAATATATTTGCATAACCATATTCACAGGAGTATTATTTACATTGTTTAAAACATGGAAGCAACCAATGTGTCCATTGACCTTAAAATGAGGTATATAGATAAAACGGAATATTACTCGGCCTTAGAAATGAAGAGAATTCTGACATATGCTACACTGATAAACAGTGGGGGATTATACTAAGTGGAATAAGCCACTCACAAAAAGACAAGTATATAATTCCACTTATCTGAGGTACCTGAAATAGATAAATTTATAAAGACAGAAAGTAGAACGATGGTTGTTCAGAAATAAGATGGAAGGAGGAATGCAAACTTATTGTTTAATGGACATAGAGTTTCAGTGCATTTTACCACAATTTAATAGTATGTTTTGTTGAAAAAGAAGTAGGTTTCCTAGACTCATAATATGGTGTCACTTTTGTTTTTGTTGTTACTAAGCACTTTTAATATTTCCTTTTTAGATGTACCCTATGTCTTTTGTAGTAAGCCATTTCAAAAATTGGATCAATCTTCAGAATGAAGGAATTAAACTTTTATCCTTAACCATTGTAAAAGTCTGTGAAAAGACGTGATTTTATTGCACTGCAAAATAATTTTGAACTTGCAGTGACAAAGAAGGATTCTATTAATTTTGCTTGTTCAATCATGAGTTCTTTCGGAACCATGGATTTATCTAAAGGACTACTATTTATGGTTATTCCTTTATAAAGATCTTTCAAATATTCAAATTCTCCTGTAAAAAGGGTGAGTAAATAAGTAAAAAATGAAAGTGCCTGGAGGTTTGTTGGCCTCTGGGCAGACACAATGAATTTAAGAAGAAAAAATGATACACATTCTTACTCAAAATTACCACATTTCTTATTCAAAATAGTCTACAATTTTTGTCCTAATGCATTTTTTGTACTAATTCATCTTTTGAAAACGGTCTCAAATGTTACACATTAATAAGTTCTTTCATGTGAAAGTATTGGCAGAGTTTATATTATATAGATAGAAAATTATTTGACTTAGTTAAAATACTCAAAGTTGAGGTAAAATGTGATGTAATTAAGTTAAAATTTTCTGTGTATAAATCAAACTGACTTGTATTCTTCCTTATTTCTTAAAATAATTATTTTTTATCTAGATATGTGTGAAAGAAGTGTTTTTACTTTTTAATGATAATTAAACAGATTATTTAAAGAAAAATCTACAATGTTTGTCCTAGAATACCACACAATGAAGGTGATACATGTTCAAGCCATGATTAAGGCTTTGTTCATATTATGTCTCTATTTTTTAGCACCGTCCAAGAGTGACATGATTGTGGAGGACAGCTCAAATAAAAGTGAAAGTAATAACATTTTTTAAAACACTACAATTTTACTGCCAGTGGGAACTGCCACAATGGCTATATAATTTTCATCTTTTGAAAATAACAGGATTCAAAGCAATAGCTGATTAAAGTTATATAAGCAGCCCATTTTATCATAGACTATTGATGAATTAGTTTTATTAGCAATGGACACGGTTAATGCAGATACCTTAGCAAAGAGTTATATCAGGGTTTAAAATTGCAATCATTTATCTAAAAAGTAAAGCATGCAAAATAATTTTCATTCTGTACGTGGCAACACTTGTAAGGAAGCTCAAAACCATTATAAATCATATGGGAAAAATAACCTTTACCTTTTGAGGTAGAAATACTAATGGGTGCATTTTATCTATTTAGATTATAATGACAAACTAAGATTATTTTGGTTGCGAATTAGAAAAAAAGTCAATCAAACTGGCTTAGGTCAAAGAATAAAATTTATTGGTTTATGTCATTGTAAGGTCCAGTGGTGAATAACATTCAGGTAAAGTTTGATCAAATGACTGAAATGGTTTTTCTCAAGGCTTAGATCTTCCCATTTCTGTCTCTCTGTTGACTTCATTCATTCTGTTGAGTAAAACTGGCTAGAGCAAACATTTTTGTACTGTTCCTGACCTTAGGGGAAAATAGCTTTTACTTGGTGGCATCAATGCTCTAGGCCTGTATCATTTTTATGGCCAGCCACCCCTGAAGAAAGAGGTATAATTCTTCCTCTAGAACAGTGGTTCTAGATTGGGGACAATTTTGCTCTGTAAGAGACATTTGGCAATGTCTGCACGTATGATATTTGTCACAACTGAGACATGAAGCTACCTGAATGAGTAGTGTATTCAAATCCTCTGCTCATTTTAAAAACTTGATTATTTGCCTGTTAATTGGATTGTTCATGTCAAGTTGCAGGAATACTTTACTAGGATATTTTGGATATGAGAACTTTATATGATTTGCAAATATTTTATCACATTTTATAGGTTATCTTTTGATACAGAACATTTTTAAATGTTGATAAATAATTTATCTATTTGTTCCTACTTAATCTAAGGTCACAAGGATTTATAGCTATGCTTCCTCCTAAGTGTTTTATAATTCTAGAGGATCCATTTAGGTTATCGTCCCATTTTGAGTTAATTTTTGATGGATACACTACAAGCCCTGAGTTTGCTACTACACAATATGTAACAAAATTTACCTGTATTCTATAAATATATACAAATAAAGTTTAAAGGGTATGACATAAAAAATGTGGGGTAGGAATACAAATTTATGCTTTGGCATATGAATATTCAATAGTCTAATTAGCATTTGCTGACATGACTAATTCTTTCCCTATTTAATTTTCTTAATTCTCCTGTTGATCTAAAGATTCATGGGTTTATATGACTGTACTCTCCACTCTATTCATTAATCTATATATCTATCTTTATGTCAGTACCACACTACTTTAATTACTGTAGCTTTGTAGTATGTTTTGAAATTAAGAATTGTGAGTCAACTTTATTCTTTTGTTTGGAATGTTTTGACTTCTTGCATTTATACAGGAATTTTAAGATCATTGTATCTATTTCTGCAAACAGGTAGTTAGAATGTTGATGCTGATTAAATTCATTAAATAAATTTAGGGAATACTGATACTTTAATAATACTAAACCTTCCAATCAATAAATCTAGACATATTTCTATTTATTTAGCTCCTCTTAAATTCTATTAGCACTACCTGATAGTTTTCAGTGTACCATGCTTGCACTTCCTTGGTTAAATTCATTACTAAGTATTTTATTCTTTTTGCTGCTACTGTAAATGAAATCATTTTGTTAATTTCAACTTTGGCTTGTTCACTTTTAGTGTATAGCTATAGAATGGATTTTGATGTATTGACCTTGTATCTCACAACTCTGCTGACTGATTTTTTTAACATGTGGATTTGTTAGAATTTTCTATGTGTATAATTATGTTAGCTACAAGTAGAGATGGTTTTATTTCTTCCTTTCCAATTTAGATTCCTTTTTTCATTTTCCTGATTTAATTGCTTCTGGTTAGAATTTCTGATATGATGTTGAATAAAAGTGGCTAGAGCAAACATCCTTGTACTGTTCCTCATCTTAAGGGGGAAGCTTTGGGTCTTTCACAATTAAGTATGAGGGAGTCTTTTACAATTAGGCATCATACCATTATCAAGTTGAGGAAATTTCCTGCTATTCATAGTGTGTTGAGTGTTTTTATCATGAAAAGGTATCACACTTTATCAAAATCTTTTCTGCATTTATTGAGTTGACATGTATATGTGTGTGTTTCCTTTATTCTAGTGATATGGAATTATACTGATCAATTTTCCAATTTTGAATTTCTGTGATAAATTTCACTTGGTCATGGTGTATAATCCTTTCATATGTTGCTGAATTAGGTATTCTATTGAGGATTCTGTTCTATTCTATTAGGGATCATTGCATCTATATTTATATGGGATATCAGATTGTATTTTTCTTTTCTTGGGATATCTTTGCCTGGCTTTGGTATCAGAGTGATGTCGACCTCACAGATTGAGTTAGCAAGTATACCCTTCTGTTCTATTTTATTTTTTGAAGAGTTTGTACACGATCGGTGTGAGTTTCTCCTTAACATTTGGTGGAATTGACCATTGAAACCTTCTGGTTCTAGGCATTGTTTTGTTACTGTTTTGGTTAAAAGTTTTTTGATTACTGAGTCATTCTTTTGATTGTTATGTGTCTATTCTATTTTCTGTTTTTCAGTCAGTTTCAGTTGAGTGTATGTTTATAGGAATTTTTCTTGTACTGGAACTAATGAGGTTGGCTGTTACTTTTAAGTCTACCACTGAGCTGGGAAGTGAGGAATAGGACAATGGATAATTGAAACAGCATAAAGCTTATTATTTTTTCTGCACTTCAGTAATTTTTATTAAGTGTTTTCAAGTTGCTTTTACTAAATTTCAGAGTCTCAAAGAGTCAATTCTGATGGATTTTCCAGAATTTTAGTTGCTGTTACGAAAGGGTAGATTTTGGAATTCCATACCTCACAATATTTACTGATGGCACTCTGTAATATTTTATTAAATCTATACTTTATTTCATTTCAGTTATGAGTTTTATTTTTAATTTTTTTGAGGCAGGGTCTCACTCTGTCACCCAGGCTTGTGTGCAGTGGTGTAATCTCTGCTTACTACAGCCTCGACCTCCTGGGCTCAAGCAATCCTCCAACCTCAGCTTCCCAAGTAGCTGGGACTACAGGTGCACACCACCATATCTGGCTAATTTTTATTCTTTTTGTAGAGACAGGATTTTCCATATTGCCCAGGCTGGTCTTGAACTGAGATCAAGCAATTCTCCCACCTCAGTCTCCCAACATACTGGGGTTACAGGTGTGAGCCACTGCATTTCACCTCAATGACCTTTAAAACATGCCAAATCTCCTTGTTTATCAGACAAAATTACTTTTTACTTCTTCCACAAATTTCTTTTAACATATTTGTGATATACCTTTAAAATTGGCCCTATTTTAATTATATCTATAATATAAACTGAGTAATTAAGGTATGTTTAATCTCACTTTGAGTTACAGAAAGCAAAATAACAGAAACCGTGACAGACATAAAAGAGAGTTTTTGGAAATATTTTAAATTTCTGGACATGGGGGACCTGATTTAGTCAATGGAAAAAGCCACACAACTACAGTATAGATTTGCTTGCAATTATTTTTACATGTATGTTTCAATAGCTATGTGGCTTAAATTAAAATTTGGTTTTCTCCTAAGATTTATTGTTATATAATTGTTTTTTCCCACATCATCCACAAATACTTAAGGAGTAGCATTGTGTATCATTTCACTTCTTTTTTCCTTCTGGATGTTCTTATCAAATGTAAATGAAACATAGCAGGAACAAAGAGGTAGGTGTACATTAGAAAATTGTAAGATTTACTTCTCCTTTCTTCTGGAATAACAATTCAAAACTGTGTTTTATTGGAAGGTGAGGGAGAGGATGGTTAATCACGAATTGAAACAGTATAGATATTTCTCATTCCTTTTAAATAATTTGATAGTATGTAATTGTTTGAATGTATTAGAGTGTATGCAACAATCTCGTGTGGATGAATATTTGTGTTATTCCCAAAATTTCACGTTTACAAATAACTTTTTACATGGGTTGTTCATATTTTTGCCATAATATTTTCATGATAAAGTCCGAGAACTGGGGGTTTCATTTGCCATTCCCATTAGCAATTTTGAGAACACCCATTTTTCTAGCATTTCTTTAAAGAGCATGCTGACAAGCTTTTAGATTTTGCCAATCTTAAATGTGAAGAATTACATCTCTGTAAAGATTTAATTGCATCTCAACATATGTTCATATCATTAAGTGTACTTTTAACATTGTCAGTCTCTGAATATTTTATTATTTTGGACAATATTCTTCCAAGGGTCTTTTTAAATCTTAATTGTTATTAGTTATTTATCTCAGATAAAAGTTACAGATATCTTCTTCCAGTTTGTTATTGTCTTTTGATTTTGCCTATGATGTTTCTGTCATGCAAAGCATTTTTCTTTTGTTTTTATGTAGGCACATTATCAGTATTTTATTTTTTAAAAATTTGTTTGAGACAAATTTAGAAAAGCCGAAATTTGACAAATTTAGAAAATGCCAGGTAACAAATACATTTACTCACGTTTACTTCTCATGCTTGTGCGATTTTATTTTTACATTTACATCACTGAAAGAGTTGGGGATTATTCTGTTACATGATTATAGATATAGATTCAATTTTTCTTTTTCCAAGTGGCTATACAGTTACCCAGTACCATTTATTAAAAAGTTTATATATTTTGAAGAATTTTGAAATGCGAATCTTATCATATGTTACGTTTTAAACTATTCTTTAATTTTTTTCTGAGTGTTTTACTCCATTTCATTCATGTGGTCATATGGTTCCATACTCCTTTAATTTTAGAGGATTTACAGAGTGTATAAATATCTGGTAAAACTAATCTCCCCATCATTACTTTATTTTTCATGACCTGTCTGCCAAATACTAATCTTTGAATTACAGCAGGTAGTAAAAATAGAAAAATTTCTGTGATTTGAAGTTTACTACAATAAGCATTTACTTACCAGAGTTTACAGATGACTTTATTGTTCTGCCACTGGAACTTACCACACACATAGTGAATTACTAATTTATTATCACAGCATATTTGTTAAGACCACAGCATCCACAGTCACATTCCCTGGTGTATCCAAGCTCCAACTATTACCAACAGTGAAATTATGGGCAGGTTACACTATCTAAGCCTCAGTTCCACTTATGTTAAAAGAGAAAAAAAGTAAAACTACAGCCTAATGCTGGAGTGAATGTTAAAATAGAAAATGTATGGTAATAGCTAGTAGAGTCACTGGTAAATCAAGAACTCTCAATAAAATTAATAACTCGTAGACTTGGCATACAACATTTTTCTCTTTAAAATATTGTGAGAATAGAATTTAGTTACTTTTATAACAGCTTATTTATATACACCAAATCTCCAAAAATTATTGACAACATTCTCCAAAATTAGGGACTCTCAAATCATCTTATCTAATAACAAATTTACAGAAAACAAAACTGAAGTCTGGAGAGATGTGTGATTTGCCAAGCTCCTACAGAAAAGTAATGACAACATCAGAGAGAAAATCCAGTTTTTTTCAGTTTTCCCTTCTTCCTTTCATAAGTTGTGAGAAGGACCAGATGGTACATAAATTATTTTTTCAATCTCATAATTTAATTAAAATGCAGCTATGTTTGTCTTCTCATAAAGAAGCTGACCTTTGTAATACTTCAGTTTTAAACTCTTATTTTCACATTCCCCATGGTTGTTTTTTTTCCCCACTTTATTCTACTTCATGATTAATATGAAGCTGGAGGGTTTAGCTAAAATGGTTAGAATTTATCCACTCAAACTGTATCACCGGTAATAAAACCTGGATCCTTTCCTAGCGTTTATTGAAGTTTCAGCTTTGCACTAACAGTTTAAACACTCTTCAGCTGGACACATGCTAGTTCAATACAGTTTATCTTGATGTTGGCTGATGAAGTATAAAAAAATTCATTAATTCATTACATCACATATTCTAGCCTATCTTTGTTCTGTCCAGAACATCTGGAGTGATAAACTTTGAACACCAAAAGCCAGATTGGCTTAATCAAACGAGCTGTGTCATTGTTCCTGCAATAGACACTGGTCCATGTAAAGCTGGATATACAACATGGCACATTTCAGAGTACACTGAGTATGGTTTTACATATAATAAGTGTTTACCTCTAAATACAAATTAGTGTCTCCCTGGACAATTAGGAATCGCCAGTGGAGGATTCCTTTCTCATTGACACTTTGTATAGATTCTCAAGTAGTGAAAGTAGAAGGGAAACCTAAAATTGGTACCCAACCTCAAGTCTCTTTCATCATGAGTATAAAAATCAATTGTTAAAGGGGTTTCTGTATTAGACTGTTCTTGCATTGCTATAAAAAATACCTGAGTCTACGTAATTTATAAATAAAAGAAGTTTAATTGGCTCATAGTTCTGAAGGCTATACAATCAGCATAGAAACTTCTGTTTCTGGGGAGGCCTCTGGAAACTTACAGTCATGATGTAAGGTGAAGGGGAAACAAACACATCTTACATGGCTGAAGCGGGAGGAAGGGCTGTTGTGGGAGGAGGTGTTACACACTTTTAAACAACCAGATCTTGTGAGAACTCTATTGCAAAACAGCACCAAAGGAATGCTGCTAAACCATTTATGAAGGATCCACCCTCACGATCCAATCACCTCCTACCAGGCCCCACCTCCAACACTGGTGATTGCAATTGAAAATGAGATTTGAGCGGGGACACAAATCCAAACGATATCGGATTCTTAGTCCATTTTCTGTTGCTTATAACAGAACAGCTGACTCTGGGCAATTTATAAAGAAACAAAATTTATTTCTTACAGAATGAGGCTGGAGAGTCCAAGGTTGAGGTTGCATATCTGGTGAGAACCTTCTTCCTCGTAGGGACCTTCTGTAGTGTCCAGAGGCAGCACAGGGCATGACGTGGTGAGGAGGCTGATGCAAGCTCAGGTCTTGCTTCTTACTCAGCCACAAATCCCATTCCTATAATAACTCATTAATCCATTAATCCATTACCCCATTAATCCATTCACTAGGTCAGAGCCCTCAGGATCCAATCATCTCTTAAAGCCCGTTCTCTCAATATTGCCACATTGGGGATTGAAATTCACCATGAGGTTTTGAAGAGGGCAAATATTCAAATCACAGCAAAGGGTAAGTCACTGGAAGATAAAATTAAAAGGTAAATAGTATTTGGGAGGTTTTTCATATTAAGCATCCATCCTTCAGTAACACCTTACCTTGATTGTGATATACAGATTAGATCAGATAAAATGCATGGCTAAGACATTGCTGGTGATTTCACTGAAAAAGAGAATGACAAGCAGCTGGACTTGCTTAAAATACAGATTCCCAGGCTCTCTCTAATCATTTAAAATTATTAGATTGTGGAAGTATCTTGGGAATTCAAATCTTTATAACCACTCTTAAGTGACTCTAACACATTTGGTCCACACAGCACACTCTTGGGGGAGGGAGGCATTTTATGAACATCATGATGGTGAAAGACTGGATACAATATATGGACACAGAACTATGCAGAGACTTCATGGTTTGCTCAGGATCCATCGAGAATTATTTTAGCAGTGAAGTGACACCCTTCCTATAAGGCTGTGGTTACCAACCCCAACTGCATATGAAAATGATCTGTAAGAATTAATATAAAGCAATCTTTTTTTAGCACTGTTAGAAAACAAAATCCTACCTAGGGTGCACCCCTGGAGATTCTGTTGTAGTGGGCTCTGATGAACATCTAGACTTGAAAAGGACCAAAGACCAGAACAAGTCTGAGACTTTTTCTGTTTCCATTTAAAAATATAAATCACTGTAAGTCTCCATCCAATATGAATATATGGAAAAATATAATGGAATGAAACAACTATTAGTCAAAGTGATCATCTTGAGAAATATAATACTAAAGTCCTTATTACCGGTTTGGATTTAGGACAAATCAGAAGAGAAAAAAATTTTACTGTAAAATTTACTTTATTTGAATATTAGGGTAGTGTTAATAATGTCAATGTTATAGTAACACTCAATGAAGATTTAATGATGTGGGTTATCTCCTCTTTCTAATACAGTTACTCTTTTTTTCATATGGAAATCTGTGTTGCTGGAAGCAGCTTCATGGCAAGAAGCCTTTCTTTTTTTTTTTTGAGACGGAGTCTCACTCTGTCACCCAGGCTGGAGTGTGGTGACACAATCTCAGTTCACCACAACCTCCGCCTCCCGGGTTCAACCATTCTCCTGCCTCAGACTCCTGAGTAGTTGGGATTACAGGTGCCCACCACCATGCCCGGCTAATTTTTGTATTTTTAGAGAGATGAGGTTTCACCATGTTGGCTAGGCTGGTCTTGAACTTCTCACCTCAGGTGATCCACCTGCCTTGGCCTCCCAAAGGGCTAGGATTACAGGCATGAGCCACTGTGCCCAGCCCATGGCAAGAAGCCTTTCAATTCACTGTTTAGCCATAAAGTCAGTGCTAAACAATGTGGCAGACTTTTACTCTAAGTAGCACATGGAAGAAAATTTGATATTGGCAATTTTTTGTATATATCCTATATTGTTTTGTATATAACCTAAATTATCGTATATTTTCAAAATCCCTTAATATACATTGATCTTACCATTTTGTTACAGAGCTAGGTCTGACTTTACCAAAACATTGTTTAAAGCTTAATCATGGGAAGATGTAAATAGAAAAAACAGTGACAGAAAACAGTCTTATAATGTATGCAATGCTTCCTATCAAGTGAGATAAGTGAATTTTAGTTGAAACTTTGTTTTTCTCCTTTCATCTTTGTATTATTTATGTGTTGTTTCATAACACATGATCATAAAATGCAAGGGCTTAAAATAAAAACAATTTATGATTTTTCATGACTTGATTGGTCTTTTTCATGGCTGACTGGCCTCAGCTGGGCAATTCTTATGTTGATCTCTCTTGTGCTCACTTGTGCAGTTGCAGATGGGAGCAGCTGGCCTTGATGATTTCATGATGACCTTCTTTATATCCCTACATGCCTGGCATTGATGCTGGCTATTGGCTGGGGCTTCTTAATTTCTTCCTTGTAGCTTGTCATCCTCCAGGGGTCTAGACAAACATTCTGACAGATGCAATCTGGGTTCCAAGTGAGGAAAAGTAAGGCCATCCATTCTCTTAAGACCTGGTTTCTGGAACTCACACTTCATCACTTCTGCTGTATTCTGATGGTCAAAGCAAATCATAAAGCCAGTTCAGATTCAACTGGAGAGGAAATAATCTCCAAGTTTTGAATGAAGAATATGCAAACAAGTACAAAAATGAAAAGAATTTTTCTTTCCAATTATGACATATATATTTAAGATCCATTCAATAACTCTAAAAAACAAGTAATTTTAGCTTTAACATAATTAGTGGGAAAAACAATAACAGTGCAGCATTCAAATTCTCTAAATTAATATCCACCTATCTATCTATTTTTGTTTCCACCCACGATGGTGATTCTCTGAAGAGAATTAAACAAACACAAGATGTATATCATCTTTACCTACATTTTTCCCATTTCTTTTTATTTTACTGTATTATTTGTGGGAAAGTAGTAAACACTGTGTTCTGGAAAGTGTTTTTTTCAATATATTATTTGCATTCAGGGAATGCAAAGAACTCCTGTACTCGGAATGGAGGCTAGCATGATGGCTGGGTTGGAGCTTCCTTGCTGCTTTCAACCCCTGTGCACGACAAAGAAGTCTCTGCTTGAATAACTTTAAACTACTTAGCATGAGCTAATAGCAACCCTTGCAAGTGATATTAATGGCATAACATGGAATAAAGTAACTCAAAGGGGAATATGTTCTTGGAATACAGAATTACATAGAAAATGACAAAGGAAGAAAAAACAAAATTATTTTTGTAATATGGCTTAGAAGGTTGTCCTTTTAAAATCTTTTTGAAAATAATTCCTTTTATGTTTAAGAGTTCCTAGTATTGTTAAAAAAAATCACAAAGAGAACATCTATATCTTTTTTCATGAACAGAGACAAACATTCTGACCTCAGGTATGTATTTTTAGTAGGCATTCAGTGACTATCATTTTCATCAGCCTTGATTGTGCTCAACGATTTCCACGATTTAGCAGTTAAAAATAAACACTTCTTTAACTAATATTTGCTGAAAAGATCTATGTGCCAGATACTATGCAAAATTCTGGACTTTCAATAATGGCACATTTAAAGTTAAGAAACTTAGAATCAAGTTTCCTAGGAGAAAAGTTAATTGATCATTACAATTGAGTGCATAATTAAGTTATGTAATAGAAGAAAGCAAGCTAGAAAAAAAAGTCCTAGGATGTAGTAGTAGGACCAACTACTTAGCTTTGTTGTAATTATAGCAAATGTATTAGTGAAATGAATTGTAGCATTATCATAATGGATAGGAAGGAGGAATTAAGAATACTCTTTATAAGGCTTTGTACTACATAACTACATGTGGAGTGGTATAGTATTATTTCAAGGTAGACTTAGTTAAAAATATATATGGTATGTTCTAGGAAAAGCACTATTTTAAAATTTTATGTTAAAAAAACATGAAATTCAATCATATAAAATTTAAACCAGAGAATGCAGAAAAGAGGGTAGGTAGGGTAACAAATGCCATAAATAGAAAAGAGTTACATACTTGGGAGATATTTATCTATATCAATAATCACTTCAAATATGAAATGTCTAAATAAAACAAAAGACATTTTTCAGAGAGAACAAAATAAAAAACAAAAATTGCCTATAGGCTGCCTATAAGAAACCAACTTTAAATATAAAGATTCAGATAGGTTAAAAATAAAAGATACAGAAGTATGTATCATGATAATGCCAATCAAAATAAATTGGAATTTTTGATATTAATTGCAGAGAAATCTGACTTCAGACCAACAAAAATTATTAGGGATAAAAAGGAGCATTAGTGAAGTCAGCCCAAACATCACTATCAAACAAATTGATCTAATTGACTATTACAAAATATTATATTAAACAACAGCAGAGAAAATATTCTTCTCTAGTTCATATGGAACGTTCTTTAAAGTAGATCACATTCTGGGTCATTAACAAATCTTAGAAAATTTAAGGAAAGCAAAATCTAATATCAATAAGCTGAGCTTCCACCATAAGAAACTAGAGAAAGAGGAGCAATTGACAAAAAAACTAAAGAAAAGTGAAGAAGAGAAATAATTTTTAAAATTGAGCAGAATTAGTTAAATTGAAAATACGAACACAATAGAGAAAATCAACAAAAGCAAAAGAGGGTTCTTTGAAAACGTCAATAAACCTGAGAAGCAACTAGGCTAAAATAAAAAGAAGACACAAATAGCCAATATTAGAAATGAAAGAGAGGTTATCATTAGTGATCTCTCACATATTAAAAGTATAATAAACAAATACTCTGATTAACTCTATGCCCAAAGTTTTGATAGCTTCAATAAGATAGTTTAATTTCTTTTAAGATACAGACTATCTAAACAAAAGGCAATAAGTATTTAAGAAAGAAATGATGCCAGTTCTCCACAATCTTTTCTAGGAAATAGAAGCAGAGAGAACACTTTCTAACACATACTAGAAATTTAATCATTATCCTTACACCAAAACCAAATAAAAACTTAAGAAAACTATAGATGAACGTATCTCATAAACATAGACACAAAAACTCTCCAAAATATTAGCAAATCAAACTTGAACAATGTAAAAAAAAAAAAAAAGACTTATATGGCCAAGTGGCGTTATTCCAAGTGTGCAAGTTTGAGTCAACATTTGAAAATCAATGTAATCTACCACATCAACTGCCTAAGAAGAAAAGTATATAATTATATCAATTGATGCAGAAAAGGCCTTTGAAAAGATACAGTACTCCTTCCTGATAAAAACTCTCAGCAAAGTAGGAAGAGAGGAAAACTTCCAAATACCATAAGGTTCCCACATTTATGCACCATCAAAAAAAGGTGGATTCATGGAAATAGAGTAAAATGGTGATTACCAGAGGCTGGGGGTCCTGGGGGTGGAGTGAAAAGAGAGAGATATTGGTCAAAGGACACAAAGTTTTAGTTAGACAGGAGGAATAAGTTTAAAAGATCTGTAGTACACCATGGTCACTATACTGAATACAATATATTGTGTACTTCAAAATTGCTAGGAGAAGATTTTAGGTGTTCTGAACACAAAAATAGTATGCGAAATAATGTATGTTGATTTAGCCATTGCATAATGTATACATATATCAAAATGTCATGTTGTATGACATAAATACATATAATTTTTACTTGTTAATTAAAAAATAAAAGTTTAAAAAATTGTAGCTGTGCCTAACATCATACCCAGTGTTGAGAGACCGGATATTTTACCTCTAAGATTGAGAACGTGGGAAAAATAACCTTTTTAACAATCTTATTTAACATCATATTGGAAGTTCTAGCAGGTACAATAAGACAAGAAAACAAAATAAAAGATATACAGATTGAAAAGGAAGAAATAAAATGTTATTTTATCACTGAGTGTATGGCAGTCTATGAAAAAATTCCAAAAACTCAACATAAAAATCTTTGGAAATAATAACTAAGTATAACAATGTGGCAGAATGCAAATTTAATATACAAAAGCAAATTACTTTCCTATATATAAGAAATTGGAATTTGAAATTTTAAAAAGAAATACATTAGGAACGATAAAAGATAATATACCTAGGTATAAATCTAAAGAGCTATTTACAGAATTTGCATGCAGAAAAGTACAAAACTCTGATGAAAGAAATCAAAAGAAGATCCAAATAAATGGAGAGATATTCTGTATTCATAAATTGGAAAAGTTAATATTGTGAAGATGTTAATTCTTCCAGCTTGATCTAAAGATTCAGTGCAATTCCTGTCAGAATCCCAGCAAGCTACTTTGTAGATATCCACAAAGAGATAATGTTTATACGGAAATAAAAAAAATAAAAAAAAAGGAAAAACAACAACAAAAAAACAACGAAATAGCCAACATGATACTGAATAAGTACAACAAAGTGGGAAGACCTTACCCAACTATAAGACTTACTATATTTCAATTTGTCAGTGGAACAGAACAGAAAGCCCAGAAGTAGACCCACACAGATATTATGAACTGATCTTTGATCTTTGACAAAGAAGCAAGCCAAAAGGTGCTGGAAAAATTGGATATCCATATGAGAAAAAAAAAAGAATCTAGACACAGAGCTTTCATATTTCACAAAAATTAACTCAAAAGAAACTAGAGAAAAAAATGTAAAATGCAAAACCGTAACATTTCTAGAAGATAATATAGGAGAAAATCTAGGTAATTCTGAGTTTGGCAATGAATTTTTTATATATAGCATGAAAAGTATAATCTATGAAAGAAATATTGACATGTTGGACTTTATTATAATTAAAAGTTTTACTATGTGGAAGACTGTTACCAAATGTAAAGCAAAGGACAGACTAGGACAAAATTTGCACAACACATATCTAATAAGTGTTTAGTATTCAAAATTTGCAAACAGCTCCTAAATGTCATCAATAAGAGAATAAACAATGTAATTTTAAGGAAAATGATCTGAACAGACAATTCACCAAAGAACATTATACTAATGAAAAAAATGATATAAGACAAGATGATCAGCACACGATTTCATTATGGAGTACCAAATCAAAACAGCAATGAAATAGCACTACTAGAATACATAAAATTAAAAAAAAACTGACGTTCACAAATTCTGACAAAGATGCAGAACAGGAACATTTATTAAAAATACAAAATTATACACTGATTTTGGAAGACCATAGCAGTTTCTAACAAAGGTAAATACAGTCTTACCGTATGACCAACAATTGGACTCCTAAGTATTTACCAACTAATTTAGAAATATATGTTCACACAAAAACTTACATATGAATGTTTATAACAGCTTTATTCATTCATAATCACCCCAAGTAGAAGCAACTAAGCTGTGCTTCCTTAAGTGAATGCATAATCAACTGATATTTTCATACAACAGAATATTATTCAGCTATTTTTAAAAGTTAGCTATTAAGTCACAAAAAGACATGGATGAATCTTAAATTCATATTGCTTTGGGTAAGAAGTCACTCTGAAAAGTTTACATAATATATGGTTACAATTATAAAACATTCTGGAAGAGACAAACTATAGCTATAGTAAGAATATCAGTGGTTGCCAGAGGTTCCTAGTGATAGAGTAGTATTTAATGAATAAAGCATAAGGGACTTTTTCAGGATGGTGAAACTATTAAATATGATACTATAGTGGTAGATATATGACACTATACATTTATCAAAATGCATAGAATTTTACAACACATAGAGTAAATTTAAATCTGTGTAATTAAAAAAATCATTTAGGAGGTTGGCAGGGTGTCCTGGGATAGAATACAGAATGTGATAAAACAATCTACAAATGTATACAGTTAACAAATGTATAAAACAAATTCACTGACAGTTGTGGGTGGTTCTAAATTTGCTGACCTAAGTAACTCTGAAAATGATTAGAACTGGAAATAAAAGTAAAGGCAAAAGAGATTGCTCATAAAGATTACGTTCTAGTTGATAAAATTAGTTCTCATGAGTATTGACTGAGTTAACAATTCTGATATTGTTATGCACATATACCAGAAATTAACAAGTAAGTAAATGAATGGTAGATGGTGGGAACCAAGTTTCTTGCTGCTGTATTGGAAGGTTACAGACAAGCAAGAGAAGGAGACTACAATGATGTATGTGATAATGCATTACAGTTGGAAGCATCAGTATATACTCATGTTTAGCTTAATATATACACAGATATTTACACAGAAACATATTTGTAAGTATGTGCATATGCACATATTTAAGCATACACATATTTTTTAGCATACACATATTTTTTCTTACTCTTTCAGATGAGGAGTCCTAAAAACAAGGACATCCAAGTAGCAATAAGCTCATTTAGAATGTAGATGTAGGTTTTTGATACCATTAGCCTTAAAAGAAACAAATTCTCCTAGAATAAATGACCAATTCTGGGATTGGAGAGTAAATATACAAGATGAGCCTGCAGCATCTTGTAGTGCCATAGGTAAGGAAATCCTAGAAACTCACATGTACAAGGACAGAATTAGATGATCGAATAAAGAAAGAAATGGAGAAGAGACAACTCTTTTGTGCAAAATAATTTGAAATAACTTGTGTGGATACTTTGCCCTCAAGAAAAGTGAGCATAACTCTTTACTCCTTAAATGTGTGTCACACACAGTGACTTCCTTCCAATGAGTACAATATGGAAAGGACAATGAAAGAGTGACTTTACGGTGGAGAAACCTGACAAAGCCTACCTCATTCAGGTGATCAAATTCAACATTAATGGCTTAAAGTACCCTTTGCCTGATGTGATAAAATGGCATTTGAATTTTGTGTTCTCCCTCCCCAAAACCCATATCCACAGTCTAATTATGGGCAAACATCAGGTGTATTTCACTGGAGGGCTATTCTGTAAAACTCCTGACCAGTACTCCTGAAAACTGTCAAGGTTTTAAAACACAAGGTTTGTCTAAGAAACTGTCATGGCCATAAAGAGCCTAAAGAAATATGTCGATTAAATGAAATGTGGTTTCCTAAATGAGATCTTGGAATAGAAAAAGGACATAAGGTAAAAATGAAATGAATCTAAATAAAGTATAAGCTTAATGACAATCTGTCAATGTTGGTTTACTCTATGTGACAAATGAGCCATACTAACATAAAACGTTAATAGGAGAAACTGGGTTCAATGTACATGGGAACACTCTACCTTCCTTACAATTTCTATCGATCTAGAAACTGTTCTAAAAAATAAATTTTATTAGAAACTACAGGAGGCTTAAGGGAAAATGATATTAAGAGTACAACATTAAAAAACTTTGACAGTAACACATAAAAATGATAGGAAACAAATAAGAATAACAGTACAATTCAGCATATGTTAGTGGCTAAGAAGTGTCTAACTATTATATTAGATGACTTTTTAACTAGGAAAAGGCCTAAAATTTCCTTGTGCAAATGGACACCCGTGATCTTGTGGTCTGTTTGCCTGACTGCCTTTTCTGCTACACTGTGAGAAGAAAGAGACAAAAGCGAAATAGAAATAGAGTGAGAAAAAGAGTGGGACGTGGTGGCTCACACCTTTAATCCTAGCACGTTGGGAGGCTGAGGAGGGAGGATCACTTGAGGTTGGGTGTTCGAGACCAGCCTGGCCAACATGGTGAAACCCCGTCTCTACAAAAAATACAAAAATTAGCTGGGTGTGGTGGCAGGCACCTGGAATCCCAACTACTTCGGACACTGAAGTGGGAGAATTGCTTGAGCCTGGGAGGTGGAGGTTGCAGTGAGCCAAGATCGCGCCATTGCACTCCAGCCTGGGTGACAGAGCGAGACTCTGACTCAAAAAAAAAAAAAGAAAGAAAGAAGAAAGAAAGAAAGAAAGAAAGAAAGAAAGAAAGAAAGAAAGAAAGAAAGAAAGAAAGAAAGAAAGAGAAAGAAAGAAAGAGAAAGGAAGGAAGGAAAAAGAAAAAGAAAGAAAGGAAGAGAAAGAGAAAGAAAGAGAAAGAAAGAAAGAGAAAGAATCAGTTAAAAGAGATTAAAAAATCTAGGCTGAGAAAATATTAGGGAAAATTAAAGAGCAGGGAGGGCATAAGGTTATGTCTGATGGGTTGTATGTTGTGCCTGCCTTATCATACTTAGTGGAAAATGGGTTCTCTGAAAATAGATTCAGAGATCTAACACCAAAAGGAGAACTGAAGTAGCTGGTAGTTGTCTGACGTGAAGTGATATGTGTGTGCACACTAGGCTATGTGCATGCACATTTTATGTATTGCTACTGAGCTGAGTTCAGTTGGATGCAATGTTCTGGCATTTTCTGAGTTTTTCTTGTAGATATAATTGTGCATAAGCAAATGTGAAATTCATGTTATGCATAAATTGTTCCCTAATATATTAAACATATTGAAACAAATTTACATTTTCAAAACAAGTAACACAACTCACTGTACAAACAAATATGAATATAAGTATACATCCTAATCCTCCTCATTCTTACAGAAAAGTAACTTATTTGCTACATATAATCTGCTTCTTGTTTATTCCATATGAGTGTCAAAGGTATCTGAGAATGACCAAGGTTAAAACCTGATATTTCAGTGATAAAATATCTATATTAGATTTGATGCTGTACAATCTAGACATCTTTGCCAAACCTTAACTGTAAGTCAGATATTTATAAGCCTCACTTCAGATCTGAAATACTTGTGTGGATTTTAAATAAAAAGATCTCCAAGACTTACTCTAAACCAGTGTTCCTTAAACTTTACTGGCATAAAAAAATCTTGAAATAATTATTAAAATGGTACATTATCAGGTCTTTCTCCAGAGCTGGTGAATCAGAATCATGGAAGATGTAGGTAAGGTCCTGAGCCTATGCATTTAATAAATAATCCAATTGATTTTTATTCAAAGTAAGTTTTAGAAACATTGTTTTAGACACTGAATCAGAAACTATGTTGCAGGGGCTCTGGTATCTGCATATTTAAAAACCACAACTGGTGATTACCATGAGCATCCTAATTTGAGAATTATTTCTTTGCATAGTGAATTTAGCTCGGGGCATTCTTACAGCTCAGAAGCCCATAACCATGATCTCTCTGATCAATGATTTTACACAGATTGCCATGTAGTGGAATGTTGCTTAAGATTCCCACAGGAGCTGGAGTGACTTAGAACAACAGGGTAGAAGTATATTTTAAAACTATGAAGCATAAATGACCTTCCTAAAGTTGGTGAAAATCCAGGGTAGAAAAAAATACAATTTTCTGTTTTGTTCTGTTTTGTTTTTGAGATGAGGTTTGCTCTGTTGCCTGGGCTGGCATGCAGTGGCATGATCGTAGCTCACTGCAGCCTTGAACTCCCGGGCTCAAGCAATTGGGAAAAAAAATGTAAATTATAGAATCTCTGGAGAGTGAAATGAATTGTGTCGCCATCTTCTTTCCCTCATCTGGAAGCTTATTCTTTCCCATCCTGGATTGCTTGGCTGTCTCTAAGTGTGATTCTGTTCCATTCACTGTTGGCCAGGTCTGCTAAATGGTTTGCTGATACTGAACTCATACCAGCTGCTCAGATTTCCTTGTCATCTTTTTAATGCTTCTCTGTCTTTCTCTTTTCCTCTGTATTTCTAGTTCCCTCTCTCTTTCACTCTTTTTTTTTCCTTCTTTTTATAAGTCATCCACCTATAAAGAATGTGAACTCCCATCTGCTCAGACCAAGCAGAGGCTAGACCAGATGTGAGCTGCAATTTGCTAAATGGGAAACAAACACAAGGAATGCAGCCCGTCTGCCATCTGTTGATGCAGAAAGCAGCAGGGCATGCCTGGCATTTCAACAGGGCTCCCCCACTGGGAAATTGAAAGAGAAAAAGCATTTGTTTCCTTTTTCCCCTTTTCTGACCTGACAGCTCCTTTGAGCAAGCTGGGGAGGAGAGGAGGACATCTTGCCATGAAGAAATGACAGCTGACATAGAAATGTTTGAGCCTAATAAATAAGCTCTATTTTTGCATTAAAAGCTCTGCCCTTGCCACAGGTGCTTCTTCTCAGTGGTATTGAGCGTCTAATCTCTGTAGTCATCAGGAATGCAGCAGAGTGACAGAGTCCTCTCTTCCAAATTTCTAATCAGATTTTCTCTGAATGCCACATAGAATGCTCTTGGGAAGGTTAAAGTTAATAAGGCAGGTGAAACAAAAGAGACAGATTTCTCCTGGTTGCCGAGTGCTGGTGTTACCTGGTCAAGGAACACCTGGTTTACATTTTCAGAAAGAGATGAATATAATAGAACAAGTGGCCTGGGTGACATAGACATGTTAACTTGAACCTCTCTGACCCTGATTGTGTGAATAGCGTCATTCCATCAATTTCCTTCCTACATGCATATCCTTAGGAAAGACCTCTGTTGCTCACTGGGGTGAATCATGATGAATAAAGTGCAGTGCCTGTTTACATGAGGCCCCATTATCTAATAAAGTATGTAATTTTTAAAAACATGTACTTTAAAGAAAATGAACTTAGTTTTGACAATGTCCTTATTTACTAATGGAGGTAACCCTGGATTTTAATAAGTGTTTTCTTCGAAGAAGGACACACGGGTCTTCCTGATTTTTGCAAGCTCTTTATTTTCTAAATAAAATGTTAGATTACTTCAAAAATTGCCCGTTTTGTACACAAAATTATCATTTGAATGATTACCAAATAAATGCAAAATTGTTACTAACATCTACAACTTGTAAAAATACTAACTCCTATTTTCAATGTAGATGCTGTTCGAAATAATCAAATTCTGCACATGGTAACTCTAGAACCTATGAGTTCTCCTCACAATACCGTACTATACAATACGTTTTTGCAGTAGAAAAGAGCTATTTTTTTTCTTTTTTTTTTCCAAACAGCCTATACATTTCAAATAAAAACCTACTAAGTGCCAACTTCCATAAAATGTATTTGGTATGCAGAAATGTGAGTGGTTATCTTCCTCTAACAAATTCATAGTCCATTGAGAGAGAGAGGGCTATAGGCTATAAAAAATACAACCATGTATGCATAATGATATTACTGATATCTGTAAATGCAGTAAGAGCACAAATTCTATACAAAGGCTCAGGACATTCTCAAAAAGTAAAAGAATAATAATTGGAAGTAACCTCATAAGATGAATCCTGAGGAATGTTTTATTTGCTTTAACACTTTTGTTAAGTTAAAGAATAAACCATTCAGATAAAGAAAGGCTGTAAAACAATCCTTTTTAAAATAAATATTCTTTAGTTATGGAATATAATTCTGAAACAAATTTTTACAAAAGGCTGTTTTCTTAAATAATGACCTAAACATATGTTGCTAAGAAAGAAAGGGGGTGATTTTCCAATGAATCCAGGCAATTGGAAAATTAACTGGACTTTAATAGGAATGACACCACCAAAGGTAGAGTGCCAGCCCGTCTCTGGGGAGATGTTCCTATCAGAAGAACAAGTGAAAACATCACGTGTTCTCAACTAAGGTCTTTAGAATTACTTAAAAGATTACTTTATTGAGATTGTATAATATGTACACCACTAACAAGCCCATCTTCCCATGTCTATAAAATAAGAACATGCTCACTGCTTGTTCCCAGACTCTGGAATGGCCCCCCATAGGCAGTATTGTTGAAGACTATCTACCCCTCAAAAGGTCCCTAGTTGTTTCTGAGACTTCCAAAATAGTTTCCCAAGTGCTAACATCAGTGTTAAACTAAGTAGCTAGACACACATGAGCAGGGCAGGAGAGGGCCTCCCCACTCCAGGAATGTCAGACGACCATCATGTGATGGTCAGATGGTTGTTAAACTGTCTTTCTAAAATAATAATTGGTCACAGCTGGCACCAGGGAAAGGCAGTCTCTCAATAGATAGAAAATACCTGAAGCTGGTGATCAGTAGCTTCCCCATAAGATCTTAGAAGTTGGCCAAGTGGGCTCAAGCATACACACTAAGAGGCAAAATGGTAAAGCTTAAGTGGTATATGACCTTCTTCTAGGAACACTCAACTGGTAAGGGAAAAATGCCTCAAATGAGCATATGCACAGCTTCAGTAAACACACTGCACATACAGTCCGTCCTAAGTACTGGCCAGCCTCTGCATGCAGACAGATCACCCTAAGAGAAGAATCAGAGAAGAAGACACAAAAACCCTGGAATCATTCCAATATATAAAACCCCAAGTCAAGGACTAAATGGCAAACTTGAATCTCTTAAGTTGCCCACTTGGCCCTCTTCCAAGTGTACTTTACTTCCTTCCATTCCTGCTCTAAAACTTTTTAATAAACATTCACTCCTGCTCTAAAACTTGCCTCAGTCTCTTCCTCTGCCTTATGCCCCTTGGACAAATTCTTTCCTTTGAGGAGGCAAGAATCAAGTTGCTGCAGGCCCATACAGATTCACCACTGCTAACAGCAGCTTGTCTTTTGCAGGCCACACATACTGTTTTCTCATTTTTTTTCTTTCTTGCTGAGTCATATTCTCTGCTCTTAAATGTAAATTATAAAAGTTCATTATGATCCCTGACAATCAAAAATGTCATTTTCAAAGCAGTCCTGGTTCTTAGGATTGCTAGATGAATGTGATCTAAAGAAGAGTTAGGAAAAGGGCCTTCTCAAATATGTGTCACATGTTGACACTTGAATTCTGTAATACCTTGAGTCTGTTGTACTTAGAGTTTAACAATTAAATTGAAAAATTCTGTTTTTCTTTTCTCTTTCCATGAGACTCCAAATCAGGACAGGGATTGGGTGAAAGGAAAATAATACTTCTATTTATGCATTCAACCATTCAATAACATTTATTGAGTATCTACCGTGAACCAAGCACTATTCTAGATGGGACTGGGGGTCAGAGAGAAAGATACAGAGGCAAACAAAAGAGACTAAAATGCCTTCTCTTATGAAATTTAGATGTTAATGTATGAGACGTGAAAAAAGAAACTAAAAATAAAAAAGTAATAAAACTTGTATTAGATCAGGATGGGAGCATGCGTACTATGCAGACACATCAGGAACTGTGCTATGACTATCAGGAGTCTACTTTTACATACGGGATAGTGGAAATATTTAGTAGAAAGTGCTTTTGGCATAAAGACTTGGAGACCACGAAGATATAAGTGATGTAACTATTTAGGGGAAGAGTATTTCAGGCAAAGAGGATGGCAAGTGCAATGGCCTTGAGGCTGTAACATACCTGGTGTGTTCAAAGAAGAGTGCACTTGGAAGTGCATGAGTCAGAGAGGAACAGAGGTCAAGCCCTGGGAGACTTTATGTGTCATTATTATAAGGGCTTCAGTTTTCTCTTTGGATAAGATGGAGAGCAATTGGAAGGTGTTCAGGAGAGAGGCAATGGGATCTGACCTAGTCTTAATAGGACAAATCTAGCTACAATGTTGACACTAGACTAAAGCCACTCAAAGGTGAAAGCACAGTCATCATTTTGGAAGCTATTATAGAAATATTTGAGCAAAAGAACATAGTTCATTGGGACAGGGCAATAGTCTTGGAGATAGTAAACAATGGTAGGATTTTTGATATGCAGTATTTGGAGTATAAATCCCACAGGATATGCTAATTGATTCAATGCAGAGTATAAAATAAAAGAAAGCAAGGAAGGATTCTTGCCTTTTTTTTTTTTTTTTTTTTTTACCTTGGCAATTGGAAGAAAGGATTTGCCACTAACTAAGACAGTAGAGATTATGGAAATAACATATTTAGGAGGAAGGAGTAGATTTGGGCTTTTTATTGATAAAAATTGAGATCATTAGATAGGTGGAGATAAGCATCATGTAAAAGTTGGGTATCGAACTTGAGTTCAAGGTAAGACTGAACTTTGAGTATATATTTGTTAGTTGTCAGCACACAGATAGTATCCAAACCAAAGTTTAGAAGAGATTGACAGGGCAGTTTATGAAGTTAGAAAAAGTATAAAATTCGAAAACTGATCCCTGGCACATATGAATGAAAAAAGTTTAAGAAGCTGAGGAGAAACTAAGTAAAGAATTTTCTTTTCGGTAATGTTGCCCTAAAAGGAAGAAGAAAATTGAGCAGTAGCTGAAGAAGAAGATAAATTTAAGGGATTTTTAAAGATGAGAGAAACATAAGCAATGTTATGTTGATGGGAAAATTTAGTTTAAAGGAATCAAATTAATGACGCAAGTGAAAATAAAATGCCTGTGTATAAGAGGGGAAAGAATCGAGTGCACAAGTAGTAGGGTTAAATTTTACTAGAAACACAGACATGTCTTTTCTAGAAACCAGAGAGAAGGAGCAGCATTTGGAAATGAATACATCTAAATGGATAAATGTGAGTTGGAAGCTTATTTAGATTGCTTTCCATCTGTTCTTATCTTCTCAGTGAAACAGAAAACAAAATAGCCAACTAAGAGTGAGAATGTGGGAAAGCTATTAAAATAATTTAAAGAGGTTTACATATGAGGAAAAATTATAAAACATTATTAAGGAGACTTACAAATTGAAGAGATCACAGAAATATAGTGCCAGGAGGTACCAATGGGACTCATATGCAATAAGTGATTATGGACTTAGAGTGAGCACATCGAGCATAATTGTGTTGTTTTTCAGTCTTGCTTGCTTGCTACTAACACAAGGATGATATAGGAGAACAATTGGGTTTCACTAGGTTTTGTGTCTTTGGCAAAAGGGCATAAAAATAAAAAGAGAACAAGGAATTTGAAGATGTGAAATAAAAGTGTTTAGTATAATTGACAGTTGAATTTATGTTGAGTAACGAGGGAAGCAGCAGATGATGAGAACCAGGGACAGTAAAATACCAGCAGGACAAATGAATTGATGTTATAGAAAGGCTGGTTGTTGCAAAGATTGTTGGACTGAAGGAAGTCGATGGAATAAGCTAGAAATTGTTGATTGGAGAGTGGGGCTTTTGAAATTTAATTTAAGGAAAGCTGAAGTTATGAAGAGATAGAGTCTACCAGGGTATCACCATAAGATTGAGTAGTTTTGATGAGATGAGAGATAAGATCACTAAACTTAGAGGCCAATTTGCTAGAAGCTTCATCCATGTGCATGTTGAAATCACCAAGTAGTCTGGAAGAACCAGTGTGTATAAATGGAACAGTAAGCTAGAAGATAAAATATACAAGACAGATGGAGAAGAATGCCCTGGTGAATGACTGCTATAAATAAGGGTGGCGTATATTACAGTCTAATGCCACTAAAATAAAATACTCTATCTTTTTATGGGAGAGGAAGTGAATGGTCACAAGAAGTAAGAAAAGCTGCTATTTCTCCTTCAGGCTGATTAGCAAGAGTAAAGAAAAAAGTTACCTTTTTAGAGGGGAAGATGTACCTCAGAGGAGAACCAATTTTCCATTGAGAAAGTAGATAAAGCAAACTTTCACATGAATTTTCTAGTATGTAAAGGATTTTGCGGATGGCTGAAAATGACTTCCAGAGAGCACACAGGAATTAATTCAGAATTAGGCATAGGTGGAAGATGGAATGTTAAAAGTTATAGAGTCCAGTGGTTGACATCATTTTTAGAATGCCCCTGGTTTTTTATGGTGACTGATGTAACCATGGATAAAAGAAAGAAATAATTGTCTTGATGATCCTCAGGCAGTGAGTGATGATGACTCTGAAGTGCAGTATGAAATTTGTGCTGTCAGGAAGCCACAGTTCAGTGGTCCCCCCGCTGATAGAGATATAGCAGCTGCGGGTAGCAATGCTTCTCAGAGTGCAAAGACTCTCCTCTTATTCTCTGCCTACACAGGCTCACAGGGAAGCAGAAGAGTAATCATATTTCAAACCAGAGAGTTCTTGTAGATTCCCTTTATCTCCCCATCACACCTGCCAGTATTGTTCCCAATCAAATAATAGACCAAAGCTTAACAGAAAAGGGTAAGTGTATGTTATATTTACACTAGCAGAATAGATTTGGGAGCCATAAACTTCTTTCCTGAACCCCTGTTTGATATCTTTCCCAAGAAAACAAATACTGTACTGTGTTACTAAGAAATGTTTATATATCCACCCAAGTGTGTTTAAAATTAGCCCCAGAAAAAATATCAGTTTCCTTCTGTAACTCATGTTTTGGATTACAGAATCTAGGATATTTTATTATTTTCCTTTTCTTGGAAAAGCTTACAATTGCTAACAAGATCTGCTGTCAAGAACTTAAGATTGTACATACTCTTGGATAGAGATCTGTGTTCCTTACTTTAAGAATTTATCAAAATGATTTTTAAAATTTCATTTATTTGAAAACGTTAAACAAACATGAGCTGCATGACACCATATGGTGAATGAAAGCACCATAATAAATATCACTAAACATATCATTCCAAGTCCCACTGGAAATAGGTCAAGTCAATATCTTGTACACCAGCTTATGATGTTGTTCATCCTTTCCTTTATTATGTACTCAGTTTCCCAATCTCTGGCTTGGAACCATCTCTTGGTTCATTTACACATCAAAGATTAAGATGATAAATTGCTTGTAAGAAGTTATTTTTTGTATTTTGTGGTATATTATTTTCTTTGTCTTTGCTCAATCGAAGCTCTTTCTGAAGATACTATTTGTGTTTACTAGGGAACTCTCTTTTTTTCCTCTAATACTGCAGCATTTTCTGAAATATTACTCTTTAAATCTCATCTATAACTGATTCACCCCATCCTTCTATCAATCTCTTTTTCATGGAACACTAGTATTAGAAAACACAAATTATGGTAGAGGTCTATGGGTAGTAAAAACTCTTATATTTATCTTTCTACTAGTACATTTTATTACCTGAATTGGAGAGAAATTAGGACAGTCAACAATGGGAATGGGGTATGCTTTAATGAGAAGGAGGGCTTGTGTTAGCTCTGATCAGATTCCTACTGATCCCAATGCGAAATCCTGGGTTTGAGAGAGGTAGCATGTTGATGGATTTTCCTGACACACATTAAAATGTCAACTGTCAGGAGGTGGAAAACAGAAGTTAACAGGATCCCTTTATCATGGAGACAGTGCCAGTTCTGAAGCTGAGCCAAATGCCACTCTCCCCACCATCCTCTGCCTTCACTGAGATGTCTGTAGAATCTCAGGATATTGGCAAAGTCAGTCATTTTTGACTTGCTATTTTTAGAGAGTAGTATGGTACGGCAGTTGGAGATAACCCAATACACTTTGTTATTTCATTAGGAATTTACTGAAAGATAAATCTTGCTGCTTATGCCCTATTTCTGCAATGAGAAGGAGTGATCAGTCATCAGTGAATGTGCTGCCACAAAGTTTTGTAAAGTCAGGAGCTATTCCAAGTGGGAATTAATGGGGAGCAAAAATGATCTTTTCATGTTCTCAGCTTTCATAATGTATGGCAATCTGTCTAGGTGGGGCTGCAAATAAATTAAGCATGAATGATATATATGGTGCAGAATGTGACCTTAACAAGTTGTCTTGTCTGTGACTTGATGTTTCCATCTGGTTTGTGCAAGGAATGTTCAGATAATACAGTAAAGAGGAAGATTATGATTTCCAGGGGAACAGCCATAATGGGTCACTATCTTCCTGGGCCTGATAAGTTTAATCCAAGTTGCCTGGGAGGAAAGAACTCATAAAATACTTTATCTGAAGTAAGTGCAAAAGTACTCATAAACTCAAAGGTTAATCACTGCACCAGAAGAACAGATGAAGGAGACAGGACAATTTTATGTTTCTTTACTGTGCTACCCTTATTAATCATGTTGTGGGTTGCTTTAAAATATGTGCCTGCTCTTTATTTTTAAAGTGTAATGGATAGACAGACAGACACTGAAAATGAAGTTGGAATGATAATAACAGGATCTGCTCAATTTTTTCTCCACCAGCCAGTATTTACAGGAGTTACAATCAAGGTTAAGAAACACATTTATTTTTCTTTTTAATCTATTTTCTTTACATGCCATATTTTCTTCTTATTATGTGTTTTACTTGATTTAAAATTCAAAACTTGTATTTATACTGAGCTACAGAATGAATAATGAAGAAAACTTCATTCATCTTTCTATACAAGTAGTTTTATTTTATGATGACAAGGTAGATAGCAAGATCATCTGTGTAATGATGCCTCCAGATTTCACTAAACAATACGTAAGTGGATTCGAGAATTATGCTAATAGTTACTGTTGAGAAATCCTCATATAGGCTCAATTTCTGCCTCTAGATTCATGCAGAACATCTTTGGACAAGTGACAGCATAAAAGATTTCTGCAGGCATAAGACAAAGTACAAAGGAAGTTTTCTGTATATTGTGTATATGGACGTGATAGGATCTATACATAATTAAACAACCTTAGTCTAAATTGTACTTTTATTTTGATTCTTGAAAGGACAAGATAAAATATTTTCAGCTTGCAGGTCACATGCTTGGTGCCATTTTACGGTGATAGCAATCATTGATAAATGCAAATGATTGTACATCTATGTGTCTCAATACAATTATATTTTAAAAAACAGGTGGCAGGCACAATTTGTCCCTTGGGTCATATGGTTTGTTGATCCCTGATTTAGACTATCTATAAGAATAAAATAAATAAAGAAGATGCTTTAAAATATGTCTTTAACTTAGTTTACTGTATGTAGAGGTTGCATTTAAAAGGTTTCTGTTCTTTTTTCCTTTCAGCTTCTCAGGGGCTATAAACCCAGGTACTCACAGTAGCCTGAAAGTAAATTAAATATATAAAGCTAAAATGTTATAATACAGTAAAGTATGGTGTGTCTTTTGATTAATTAGAGAAGATATACTCCAATTCTTAAAAATAAGAGAGAGAGAGAGAGAGAGAGAGAGAGAGAGAGAGAGAGAGAAAAGAAACTACAGAAAGGTTTGGCCCAAAGACCACCAGTTTATAACTTCTACTCCATGTGGCAGATTTAATTGAATTGAATACTCTCTTCTTGGTATGTCCATATGGTATTCTGCCTGAAAAGTATCTGCTCAGTCTTTCAAGCATCTATCTAATTATTGCCTTCCTTAGGGAACTTCCATTGCTATTGGTATATACAATTCATTGTTACTTTATAGGTGCTCTCAAAATGTAAACTTTTAAAAATATTTCTTTATGATACAGTTGTTTTTCCCAAAAGACTGTAATCCTAAATTATTACATGCAATCATATAGTGTTCATTTCAATGAAAATCACATTTTCTCTAAAGACATCTCTTTCTTCATGAAAAGTCTTATGTCTAATTTAGATTCAGATATTCCTTCTCATCCAAAATTTGGTTATTTAAAATCTCACTATTTGAACTCATGAATCAACATGTTTGGATATGTTTCCACATAAAATAACTCACTACTTGCTATTTCAAGTTCAGGGTAAATTTTTTAAAAGTGTAAACGATATCCTACACCTCTTTATTCAAATTTACTATCTAAACTTGTGCTGTCCAAATTCAGGAAGTAGGTAGTTGTGGGTAGCAAGGAATACTTAAAGTGGATTGTAGCTCAAGTCATACAATAGCAGCATTTGTTTTCACGATCCATTAATATCATCTCTAGTTTACAACCATCAGGAGCCTTTTCATAGCAATGAACTTTCCTGTGATAACTTTGAAAAACAAAATCTAAATTTGTCATGGCCTACAATGCAATATATGAAATAGGCTCTGCACTCCAACTTGACTTTTGTCATCACTCCCATTGATGACTCTGCTCAAGCTACCTAAGCCCTTTAGTTTTGCTAACATCCTTTATACCATTGGAGGTATCTTAGCAAAAACTTCTATCTGCTTTTGCTCAAATATTTTCTCCTATTTTGCTCAAACATTCTCTCCCATTCTTCAGATGGTGGACTTTTCCTTATTGCTCTCAGAAAGGATATCTATTGCCACTCTAGAAAAATAAAAATATGTCATCTATCCATTCACCCATCCATTCAATTCCCAAATATTAACTGTGTGTTACTAAGGACCAGATATTTTACAAGGCACTACAATGTGATAGTATACCAGAGAGAGAGAGCCTTTACATTCATGGGCTTTACATTCTAATAAAATCTAAAGTTTCCTGGGGTTATTCTCTACCACTACATGAAGGCTTATTTTTACTTGAGCAGTTAGGGTAATTTGTAGTTTTTCATTAGCTTATTGTCTGCAATCAAACTACAATGGTCCATAGTATAATAAGCTCCAGGAACTATGTCTGTTCCATGCAACACAGAATCTCTGGCATCGAGCACTGGGCCTGGCATGCAGCAAGCATTTTTACTTAGGGATGTAATGAATGAGTGCAATAAAAAGTCCAATTGTGCATTCATATGCTTTAATTTGATTCAAATTTTCAATGGAACTTTTCTCAGAGGTAATGCACTCAGGTGGGTAAACAAAAATTAAGCAATATTATTGCAAACACATATACTAGGGTATATGGCAAATATTCATAAAATTAAAGTGATTTTCCATTTCCCAACTCTATACCCAAATGAATATACAACCACTGGGAAGAGAAAAACATCAGTTAGTATGTTTTTATTCTTTTGTCCTGGTTTTCATCAACACAATAGGTAATTCTTATATGGAAGTAGATCATATTCAATTTAAATATAAATATGTTGAGATGAATTTTCTTCCAATGGTTATGATAACTTTGGACTGAACATGGTGTAGCCATTTGGATATTTCATTTATAAACTCATATCAGTTACTTGAAGACCTTGATCAACACCTTACTGGACAATTTACATGGATCCTATTGTTCATAAAAATAAGAAAATAAATGTTAAGATAGATGCAAAAAATTTTTCAAAAGTCAACTCAAAACTTAATTTGGATCATAAGTATCTTTGTATACTACATTTTCTATTACATAAAAATGTTTTAAACTTTAAACCTTTTCTCCCATAGCATGCAGATAATTCAGCACTGTAATATATTTGTACTATGAGCAAAATGACAACTTTTTAGGTTAGATGAAAGGAATTTAGTATCATTTGCAGATAAAGTATGATCCAATTATTCTTATTTTGCTGATATAAGAAGGTCTACAAGGCATAGATCTCATTTATATTAGTGACTTGAAGTAAAGTTTGAGTTACAATGGCTAATAAATAATTCCATTTATATTTTATATCACCATATTGAATGTCTCTAAGATGTTCTCCTAGGAAAAATGAGAATAATACTAAGTGTATTGCCAAATTTTTAAACAGATTAATGTTATAGCCCAATCCTCTATCAAATATGGGCTCTATAATCAAACCTGTCCATAATGGTTTTAAGGAAGTGCTCCTCACCGTCTTGGTTTTTCAAAAAGCTCAAAGACATGTTGAACAAAATGCATGTTGGTAATAATTTTCTCAGGAATGAAATTCAAAAGTAGAATTGTATAAAATGGAAACAAAGAAAGCCCTTCAACCCCCATCACTTACTTCAATTAATCTCTCTGGATGTGCACAACTTTGACATAATGATTTCAGCAAAACATACAAAATATTCAGAGGTTTCAAAATATTAAACATATATGGGTATGAATGAAGGCAGCATTCCCCCAAAAGCTGGAATAATAGGTGACCTCAGTGCCTGATGAAGCAGTGGCGCAGGAGCAATGGCCTCTCTCTTTGGCCCACCTTGCCTCACTCGCAGAGTGGACCAGCAACTTGGATAAGCCTAAATTAGGAGCGATTTTCAGGAACTAACAGTACAAAGGGAAAGTTAGGTTTAGACATGGGGAAATCATTGTTACTTGATTCATTTTCCTAGTTCTCTACATAGCTGTACCGATAGCAACCAATCGATGGTCAAAAAATGCAAAAAGTTGTGTCACTGGAAACTCTACCCAGTTTTGATGGACAAAGAACACAGTTTTAGAACCTTGGTTACGCAGGGCAATATAAGGGAAATATTTACAGCCTTTCCAAAAACGATCAAATTCCAGGAATTTGGTGCCAATCCAATCTCTATCAAAGACCATAATGATGACTGTAACTACTATGTATCTTGTCAGGCAACTATGATACTTAGCAAAGCATTCAATCTGCCTTTCAGGATGGAGAGAGAGGTGGCCTCAGTACCTGATAAAGCAGCAGCATTGGAACAAAGGGCTTCTCGTTGTTTCCCCTGTGTTTTTTATTCAGTGTGCAGAGTGGGCTAGCACTTCATGAAGGCAACAATGTTGGAGTTTAGCAGCAGCTGCTCCACTGATGAAGCACTTGACGTCCAGTTTACAAAATTCCTTTCATAGTCTATTCAGGCGTCTATTAAAAAACATACCTAGCCTGGATAATTTCTAAACAACAGAAATTTACTGCTTATAGTTCTGAATGCTGGGAAGTCTAAGATCAAGGCACCAGCAGATTCTATGTCCGGTGAGGGCTTACTCTCTCCTTCGAAGATGGGCCTTCTGTGTCCTTACAAGGAGAAAGGGTGAACAAGCTCCCTGGGTCCCTTTTAATCAGGGCAGAACCCTCATAACCCAATTGCCTCCCAAAGACCCTACTTCTTTTTTTTTTTTTTTTTTTTTTTTTTTTGAGATCGGAGTCTCACTCTGTCACCAGGCTAGAGTGCAGTGGGGCGATCTTGGCTTACCGCAATTACCGCAACCTCTGCCTCCCTGGTTCAAGTGATTCTACTGCCTCAGCCTCCCCAGTAGCTGGGACTACAGGCACGCACCACCATGCTCAGCTAATTTTTGTATTTTTAGTAGAGACGGGCTTTCACCATGTTGGCCAGGATGGTCTCGATCTCTTCACCTCGTGATCCGCCTGCCTTGGCCTTTCAAAGTGCTGGAATTACAGGCGCGAGCCACCGTGCCCGGCCTGGCCCTACCTGTTAACACCATCTTAGAGGTTAGAGAACAACAAATAAATTTGAGGGAATACAAACAATCAAACTTAGCAATTCTCTTTCCTCAAATCTTCAATATATTTCCACTCATTCGTTTGCTGTCCCTTTATGTATCCTCACTGTACATAATTTTGTGGTTCCTAAATTTTATCTTTATTGATTTATTGTCCAAATATGTAAATTTCCAGCTAAACTTGCATATTTTTCCATTTTTTCTCTATAACTTTTGTTTCTTCTATTTTCACTCTTTTGTTTCTGGATAAAAATAAATTATTTCTGACTTTTTTGATAACAAGTTTATATTACCTTTATTATAACAGGCAGTCTATATATTTCAACATTTGTAGTCAAAAGTACATTTTAGGCTGGATGTGGTGGCTCATGCCTGTAATCCCAACACTTTGGGAGGCCGAGGAGGGTGGATCACTTGCGACCAAGAGTTTGAGACCAGCCTGGCCAACATGGTGAAACTCCATCCCTACTAAAAATACAAAAAATTAGCAGGGAGTGGTGGCATATACCTGTAATCCCAGTTATTCAGGAGGCTGAGGCATGATAATCACTTGAACCTGGGAGGCAGAGGTTGCAGTGAGCTGAGATCCTGTTACTACACTCCAGCCTGGGCGACAGAATGAGACTGTCAAAAAAAAAAAAAGAAAGAAAAAGAAAGAAAGAAAGAAAGAAAACCAAAGGAAGGACGGACGGAAGGAAGGAAGGAATGAAGGAAGGTTGCATTTTAATATCAACATGATTATTTAGTATGATGTTCTAATTTTTTACTACAAAGCTTTGGAATACTCATTGGTACATCTCAAAATTTTTGATTTCACAGAATTTAGGAAACCTGATAGCAATCTTTTGACTCTCTCTAAGGCTATTTTGTTTGGGTTTTGGTTCATTTATAGTTACTAAACCTTATTTATATATCAAATTGGTTCATCCTTTGTGGGTTTTTTTTTGTCATTTTGTATATAATCAAAACAATTGCTTGAAACATGATACAACTAAGAGCATACAATTAAGTCATATAAAGTTGAATTTCATTAATTGGTTTCTGTCCATAGGAAAATAAATGAAAACCCCCAGTTGTACATTGCATGAACAGACACATGCCTACATGCCCATCCCTGTAAATATTTGTTCTGAATTCACTTGCTTAGTAATACAAAGCAAATAAGTAATGTCTAAAAATGTATTCATGGCTTTCAATTGCATTTATTTTACTTGACATTAACTCTAAATTTTGAAAGAAAAATGCTGGATATTGACAGTTGTTAGAAATCTGGTATCAAATAGTACTACCCATTCTCTAAGGGCTACTATCAGATCATTGCTTATTTGACTAGATGCTGTGATAATCTGTTTTGACTTAGGTATTGAATATACGCCTAATGTCTCCATTAAAGTGGTTTTTAATGTCATATATCTATAATCTCAGCGAGCAATGATGAGAACACAGGAAACTCCTCAGGGAGTTTCAAATGAACTATTGTTTATAGATTGCAGATTGTTCTGATTTTGTTTTCAAGGAAGATTTAGCTGGGGAATAGAGTGTCAGCATAAAGAATATGCAAAGTAATACAATAGTATGATTTATGCAAATTAAACTGTGCAATATAATGAGTAAAGTCACTTTAGGTGATATTAAAAATTAAAGGCAAGGCAGACAGTCCTAAATTAGGCACTATGCTATATTATAAAAGTAGTTGTATAATTATTTTTAAAACTGAAAATGGCAGAGAAATGGAAAAATATACTAACAAATTTCTGAAGAAGCAGAACTGATTATGCAGGATGATGGCAAGTGATTCCTGGCTATTACATTAAGAAAAATATATGCTTTAATTTATGAAATGTTCTTCACCTATAATTCTGAACTAGCTTTAATCAGTCAAATAAGATGAGGCATTGAAAGGAAAATTTCCAAGATAAATCCTCAAATGATTATAAATTGGGAGATTTGATGTTTTCTCCAGGGAATGCATCAATTAATGCTACTTTAGTGACTGAAACAGCTCTTTTTCAATTTATTTCATTTTTTCTTCATGACCAGATTTATTGCTATGTAGTTTATCACATGGCTCTTAAAATCAGTCTAATTTACTTAATACAATGATTTATGCAACAATTTATCTTATCTGGATGTTTCTGAATTATATATTTATTCTCTCGCTCCTTCTCTCTAAGTTTTTATACAAGACTGATAAAAACATTTCTGTAATATATATAGATTTTTTTTCTGGTGTTTTTTGCATTTGGAAACATCTAGGGTTATGTTTGCATGTATATTTTATTAATGAGTAAGCTTAAACAAATGACTTTAATTTAAAATTATGGGATTTTATTTCATAGCTTGTGAATGTTTTAATATTTTACCAGTGGCTTTGCAGTTGTAAAGTCACAGCCTGTAACTTTAAATCATACCAAGTATTAAAAGAAATTAACCATAGAGAGTAACAAAAACCAATCTTCCAGCTCAAAACTCTACCAGTTCATGGAATTGCTGTTGTCTCATAGTTAGTGCATGGTAGTGTTAACACTTAAACACAGGTCTCTTGCTCTCACATCAATGCTCTGTATCCCCTACTAAAGAAGCATTCTGTGTAAGCTGCCTAAGTATTTCTCCTTTAATATTACAATATGTGGGATACAGAGCCATATTGCCTTGTGATTTTTATTTTGAATGTCCTTACTCTATTGAGCTTTATAATTTCAAATACAAATATTTCACCTTATTATCTCAATTTGAAAATTTAATCTTTACCTAATTCACTCTCTTAAAGGTGAGCCATACTTAGGGTTTTTTACTACATTAAGGATTCACTTCCACATCACTAAGATCTTCCGCCTGCCCCAAGCTCTAGTCATCTCTGCCAGTAAGACTAATGATCAGAATCTCTCTTTTAAGAGTTATTTAAAATTTATTTTGATTTCTTATAAAAACATATAATAAATGTAAGTTATGTGAATAATACTTCTGAAAACACCTACCCCATGTAAATATAAGAAAAAGGACATAGTATCTCTCATCAAGATCTATGTGTGAACCTCCCAACTGCATCTCTTCCTCCATCCCTCATTGATAACTATGATCCTGAATTTGGTTTTATTTTAATCTTCAATTTTCTTGTAGTTTTACAACATGCTTGTATGCATAAATGATATTTTGGTTTGGCATAGTCTTTTTTAAGTTATACAAAAACAATAACTAAGTATATTTTCTTCTGTCTATAACTTTTTTGTTCAATATTATAGTACCAAAAGTTATCTATGTTACTATACAGAGTTATAATTGTTTTTGGCCATTGCTATACACAATTTCATTGTATGAGTACAAAATATTTTTATACATTGAATTGTTGATTAATATTTACATCGCTTTCAAATATATTTTCTACTTCCAAAAATGTTTCTTTTTATATTCTTAGATATTCATATTTCATACTTGTTTTTGCCATAACTTTTTCAGTTTTCTACTAAGATATCTTCCTTGGAGTAGAATTGCTGAGACATAGGTATACAAATCTATAAAAATAATGTCTTTTATTTTTCCCACAGGATGATTGTGGCATTTGCCATGCTTAAAACATTCAGTTGACAATATCCTTAATAATTTTACACTTTAAAAATTTTCCATGCCCGTGGTTTTTAAATAATATTTCAATATTATTTATAATTGTTATAATGATAGCATCTTTATATTAATATAAACTTATTGGCTCTTCTGTGAAGTGCTTATTCAAATTACCCAAATCAAAAATGATAGAAAATACAAAATTACCAATTCTATAGATATAAAAAAGATAAGAAAAACTTAATGCTAATACATTTGACTACTAAGAAAATAAAAATATTACTTGACAAACACAACTTACCAAAATTTTTGAACTGAAATACAAGTAAATTACCTTTTCACAAAGAATATGTCATACACTTAAAACAGGACAGAGAAAAATTTAAACATTCAAGATGTATATTACAAGAGCAGAAGTCCAGCAACTTAGTGGACTAAATATTTATTTTAAGCAAATAGAAGTTTAATACCAAATAAACCTCAAGAAATTTAAAAATAATCAGAAATTATAACCACTAGAACAGAAGCTAACAAGATGAACTGTAAAAATAAAAAAATAGAAATTCCCCCCAAAATGTTGGTTCTTCCAAAAGATTGATAACTGGTAATTTTTGATGACACTAATTAAGAACACAGAGTAGAAATTGCACACACACAAAAAAACACATCAGGGATTAAAGGGGACATCACTCTTAATATACTGAAGTTATAAAAAATATAAGATTATAAACAACTTTACAAATATTTTGAAAAGTGTTAAAGTGGACAAAATATTATCAATATAAAATTGCTGAAAATAAATAAAAATAGAACTGCAAAGTAAGCATTAGAATCAATAATTTAAAATTTTTTTCACAGAAATTTCCAGATAGTTTCAACGTAGGTTCTATCAAACATATAAGGAATAAATAATTGTAATCTTGTATCAGCTCTTCCAAGTAAATAAAGCAAACATGTTCACTAACTCATTTTACCAGGTTCTCATCAGTTTAATAACAAACCTCAACAATGACAATAAAAGAGATTATTGACCAATAAAAATTATAGTCCAAGTTCTATTGTAAAAATGTATAAAAATATTCTTATAACGCGTAAGTAAACTCAATTAAGCATCATGTTAAAAGTATAGAACATTATGGCCAAGTGAACTTTAGAAAGTGAGTAAATATATTAACATATTAAAGAAGAAAAATCTGACACTTCATCAGATGCAGAAATGTTGAAAAATTCAACATTTATCTATGAATAAAACGTCTTTCACAAAAAATACAATAACAAACATTATACTTGATGAAACATCATCGTCATTATTTTTGAAATCAAGAATGAAGCATTCATGCACGCAACAATCATCACTGAAATTAAACAGTATCACAGCAAGTTTGGTAAAGCAAAAATTAAAGCAAAAATTATTAGTAAAAGATAAAAAATACACACTTTTCCTTGTTTAACTAGTATTGTTGTACATGAAAAAAACAAAAATGAAAGGGAAATAATTATATTCTCAAAAGAGTTTATGAGTATTTCTGAATATACAAGCAATTATACTGTATACATTAAGCAAAAAGGAATTAATAGTAAAAATACTCAACATATAATAACATAGTCCCTATTTTCCCCCTACATTAAACAAGACAATCAAAAGACAGAATTCCCCAGTAATTACTTAATGGCTAGTAATTCTCATGTTGGATGTTGCTTGTTGCAAGGAGAATTTTGATACTATATACAAGGTTATGCAAAGTCACTTAATTTTCTGGTCTAATTATGATTAATCTTCATAAAATATAACTTGTCTTAGTTTGAACTGCTATAGCAAAATACATATATGCTATATACCATAGAGTGTGTGATTTAAACAACAAAAAATTATTTATTGCCTTTTTGGATGCCAGAAAGTCCAAAATCAAGGTGCTGGCCAGTTCAGTTCTTTTAGGCTCCCCTGTGGTTAGGTTTCTCTTCCTGGTTTTCAGGTGGACACCTTCTTGCTGTATCTTCACATGGAAGGGAGAGAGGGAGAGACAGAGATAGATAAAGTAAGTTTTCTACCGTCTCTTCTTATAAGGGTACTAATCCCGAACAAAGCCTCCACACTCATGACTTAATTATCTCTCAAAGTTCCTGCCTCCAAATATTATCACATTGGGATTAGGATGTCAGCATATGCATTTTGAAAAGAAACAAACATCCAGTCTATATTATTTTGCCTTTGGCCTCCCCAAATTCATATTCTCCTCCTATGCCAGATGCATTCATTTCATCACAACAGCCCCCAAAATCTTAGCTCATTTCAGCATCAATCTTAAAATCTAACATCAATACTCTCATTTAACCATCATCTAAACCAGGTACATGTGAGACTTGAGGTATGATTCATCCTGAGGCAAAAATTTCTCTCCAGCTGTTCATCTGTTCCATCACTATATTTTGGAAGCACAGAATTATGTGACAAGTTATGTGCTTCCAAAATAAAATGGTAACAAAGGGTAGTAGAAATATTTTCATTCTGAAAGGAAAGAAAGAATGAGTGGTGGGTCTCACTTGACACCAAGAACAAAACCTCACAAAGTAAACTGCATGGGATCTAAAACTTTGAGAATAATCCTCATCGGCTCAATGCTTTACTTTCCATGAACACTGGGGTGGCAGTGTCACCCCCATGGCTCTGCAGTGGTTGCACCCAAGCTGTGGCAATGCCAGGTAGGATTTTTTCCCTCATGGCTTTGGGCAGACCCATCCACATGATTTGTGTTGAACGCAGTTCCACACAAATGTAGATTTTCTCTGTTGAAATCTCTGAATCACCTTTGGGGACATTATTTTCCTGTCTTGTAGAACAGTGACAATAGCAGCCAAGTAATTCTGTGTTCACATCTTGTAAAACCCAAGAAGTCCGAGAACCTTTCTTTACTCTGCCCCATCTCCATTCCCTGTAGTTCAAACACAGCTTTCACTTTGGGGTGTCTGATTAAATCAACAGTCCATACTTGGCTATGGTCTGAATGTGTCCTTCAAAGCTCATATGTTGTATACTTAATCTGCAATAAAACAGTGTTGGGATGTGAACCATTGGGAGGTGTTTAAGTCATGAGGGCTCTGCCCTCATGAATAAATTAATGCTGCTATGAAAAAGCCCTGCAGGAGTAAGTTCTCTCTCTTCTGCTCTTCTACCATGTGAGGACACAGCTTTTGTATCCTCTTGCCCTTCCATCTCCTTCCATGTGGGACACAGTAGTCCTCCCCTCTGAAGGACGCAGCCCTCACTTGACACCAAATGCCAGTGCCTTGATCTTGGATTTCTAGGTTCCAGAATGGTGAGAAATTTTTGTTCTTTATAAATTACACATCTGTGGTATTTTGTTATAGGAGCCCAAACAGAATAAGACAATACTTACATAATTTTATAAGCCACATCTTCAGTGCTTTCTTTGAAGCAGACTTTCTCATGTTTTACAGTATGAATAGGAAGAGAATTTTCCAAAATTAAAGTTCTGGTTTATTATTGCTTAACAATTTCTTCTTCAAACATTTCTCTTTTCTCATATTGTATTATAAGCAGTTGCGAAGAACCAAGCAGCTAATTCAATGCCTTGCTTAGAAACCTACTCAGCCATATATACAATTTCATTGCTTATTATTTCTGCCTTCCACAAATACTGGAATATAAACACAATTCAGCCAAGTTTATTGCCACTTTATAACAAGGGTTACCTTTTCTCCATTGTCTGATAACATGTTCCTTCTTTCAGTCTGAAAAATCATCAGAACAGGTTTTACTGTCTATAGTTCTAGCAACATTCTATGCATACTTATTTATGTATTATCTGAAAAGATGAAGGTTTTCTCTTCAGCTGTCCTCTTCTTTCTGAGCCCTCATAAAAATCTTCTTTAAAAGTCCTTTTATGGCAGTATTTGCTTTTTGTAGCACACATCTCAAAAACTCTTGAAGGCTCTATCCATTACCCAGTGGTAAAGTTGTTTCCATATTTTCAAGCATTTGTTAGAGCAGCAACACACCTCTCAGTAAAACATAATGCCAAGTTCTTTATTAAATTATTTCCCCAAACTTTTTAAAGTCTCCGTTAAAGGGTACATTCATTTATCTGGAATTTCTGATAACTTTCATATAGAGGAATTGGTTAACTTTTATAGAAGCATGAGAAGGTAATAGAGGCTTCACATTTTGATTTTAATTTCTCTGCTAATAGGAAAAAATACATTTTCTTTGCTTTTTACATATGTTTTGTTTATTTTCATGTATGTTTGTGGTTTTTGTAGATTTTCAAAATTATTTTTCCTCAGGATTTTCTAGTGAACTATATTCTAGTTCATTAATCCTGTCGTCTGCTATGACTAATATGCTTCTAACTCAATTTATTTTATTCATATTATTTCAGTTATAAACTTGATCTTTTTTATTAATTTAATTTCACTGGGAAATAAATATATAGGTTCTCAATTTTCAGAACATATTAATCACATATATTGTAAAGTCCTAGTTTTATAATTCTAATATCTGAATTAACTGCAGATATTCACATTGCCTATTATCTTCTGGCTTTTCCAGTTTGCCCATACTATTAGGGTGTAGTTTTGCCTGGTTTCACCTGAAAATCTGAGTTGCTTATAGAGTTGCTTTTTTTTTTTTTTCTCAACAAGCTCTAAGTTCCATTAAGAAAAAATAAAAATCTCCAACAACAGGAAACAGGAAAATACTCCACTTACCTACTGCTCTTGAATACTACCTCCTGGTTCTCTTCCAAATTTCTTGCCCTTTTGTCCTCTCACAGCTTAAGAACCAGCAAATTGTTCTAGAGAAAAAGCAGCATAAAATATTGGATTTATCGGCATTGTTCTTTCTCTTAAGTCTTAGTGTCCTAAAGTCATCCTTCCTTTATATCTCTGAAACTTAGTTCTTTCACCATACCAATTAGATTTCTGTCTACTTATTGCCTAGTACAATTTACTGTTATCAGTCAGTACCATAAAGGGAAAGGAATCAAAAATACTGGACTCTCATCATTGCATTTTCTTTGTTCAAAAATGTTAGCTAATAAACTTCTGACCACGTTGGTTACTTTCTGATGCCTTCACTGTTGGTGAGGGTGAGGGTAGTTGTATTGGTGATGATTTCTGCATTTTCTCTAATGGCTCTTATGGTAGAATCAATCTGATGCAAGTTAAGCCATCAAGGCCCAAAGTGAAAGTGTCTGTACTATTCTGTTCTCACACTGCTATAAAGAACTATCTGAGACTAGGTAATTTATAAAGAAAAGAGGTTTAATCAACTCACAGTTCCATAGGCTGTACAGGAAGCATGGCCAGGAGCCCTCAGGAAACTTACAATCGTGGCAGAAGGAAAAGGGAAGCAAGCACATCTTACCAGGATAGAGTAGGAGAGAGCATGAGAAGGGGAAGTATTACATAATTTTAAACAAGCTGATCTCATGAGAATCCCGTCATGGGGACGGCACTAGAAGGATGGTGCTAAACCATTAGAAACCACCCCTATGATCCAATAACCTCCCACCAGGCTTGGCCTCCAGCACTTGGGATCACAATTCAATATGACATTTGGGTGGGGACACAGAGCCAAAACATATCATAATGCTCCTGGCCCTGCCCAAATATCATGTCCTCACATTTCAAAACACAATCATGCACTTTCAACAGTCCTCCAAAGTCATAACTCATTCCAGCATTAACTTAAATTCCAAGTCCAAAGTCTCATCTGAAAGATAGCAAATCCCTTCCACCCGTGAGCCTGTAAAGTCAAAAACAAGTTTGTTACTTCCAAGATACAATGCAAGTACAGGAATTGGGCAAATGCTCCCATTCCAAATGGAAGAAATAGGCCAAAACAAAGGGACTACAGGCCCCATGAAAGTCTGAAACCCAGCAGGACAGTCATTAAATCCTAAAGCTGCAAAATAATCTCCATTGACTACATGTCTCACATCCAGGGCCCACTGATGCAAGTGATGAAGTCCCAAGGCCTTCTGCAGCTCTGCCTCTGTGGCTCTGCAGGTACAGCCCCCACTGCTGCTTTCACAGGATGGCATTGAGTGCCTGCAGCTTTTCTAGGCTCATACTGCAAGCTGTTGGATCAACCATTCTGGGTTCTGGAGGATGGCAGCCCCTTTCTCACAACTCCACTGGGCAGTGCCCCAGTGAAGACTCCATGTGGGGGCTCCAATCCCACATTTCCCCTCTGCATTGCCCTACTAGAGGGTCTTCATGAAGGCTCTTCCCCTGCAGCTGACTTCTGCCTGGACATCCAGGTGTTTGCATACATTCTCTAAAATTTAGGCAGAGGTTTCCAAACCTCAGCTCCCATCTTCTGCACACCCACAGGCCCAACACCACTTGAAAACCAACAAGGTTTGGGGCTTGCACCCTCTGAAGCCACAGTCCAAGCTCTATCTAAGCCCTTTAGCCACAGCTGGAGCTTGAGTGGCTGGAATGCAAAGAGCAGTGTACCAAGGTTGCACAGAGCAGCAGGGCCCTGGGTTTGGCTGATGAAGCCATTTTTCCCTTTTTTTTTTTTTTTTTTTTTTTTTAGATAGAGTCTTTTCCTGTCACCAGGATGGAGTGCAGTGGTGCAATCTTGGCTCACTGCAACCTCCACCTCCTGGATTCAAGTGATTCTCCTGCCTCAGTCTCCCCAGTAGCTGGGACTACAGGTGCATGCCACCACACCAAGCTAATTTTCGTATTTTTAGTAGAGACGGGGTTTCACCATGTTGACCAGGATGGTCTCAATCTCTTGATCTCATGATCTGCCCACTTCCACCTCCCAAAGTGCTGGGATTACAGGTGTGAGCCACCGAGCCTGGCACCATTTTTCCCTTCTAGGCCTCCAGGTCTGTGATTGGAGGGGTTGTTAGGAAGGTCCCCGAAATGTCCTGGAGACATTTGCCCCATTGTGTTGGCTATTAACATTTGACTCCTCTTTACTTATGCAAATTACTGCTGGCAGATTGAATTTCCTCCCGGAAAATGGCCTTTTCTTTTCTTCCACATGGCCAAGCTGCAAATTTTCCAAACTTTTATGACTGCTTCCCTTTTAATTATAAGTTCCATTTTCTGATAATCTCTCTGTTTATGCATATAAGCATACAATTTTAGAACCATCCAGGTCACCTCTTAGATTCTTTACTACTTAAAGATGTCTTCTGTCAAATACCCTAAATAATCTCTCTCAAGTTCAAAGTTCTACAGACCTCTAGGGCAGGGGCAAAATGCTGCCAGTCTCTTTGCTAAAGCATAGCATGAGTGACCTTCACTCCAGTTCCCAATAAGTTCCAAATTTTCATCTGAGACCACCTTATTGTGGACTTCATAGTCCAAATCACTATCAGCATTTTTGTCAAAACCATTCAACAAATCTCTAGGAAGTTCAAAACTTTCCCTCATCTTCCTGTCTTTTTCTGAGCCCTCCAAAATATTTCAACCTCTGCCCATTACCCTATTCCAAAGTCGCTTCCACATTTTCAGATATTTTTATAACAATACCGCACTTCTGGTACCAATTTTCTCTGTTAGTCCTTTCTCACACTGCTATACAGAACTACTTAAAACTAGGTAATTTATGAAGAAAAGAGGTTTAATTGACTCATAATTCCACAGGCTTATCAGGAAGCATGACTGGGAGGCCCCAGTAAACTAATGATCATGGCAGAGGGTGAAGAGGATTTAAGCCCCTTCTTCACATGGTGGCAGGAGAGAAACAGTAAGGGGGAAAGTGTCATTCACTTTTAAAACATCAGATCTCATTAGAACTCAATGACTATCATGAGAACAGCATAGGGAAATCCATCTCCATAATCCAATCACCTCCCACCAGGTCCCTCCCCCAACATTGAGAATTACAATTCAACATGAAATTTTGGTGGGAACACAGAGCCAAGCCTTATCAGTGTCTCCAAGTGACTTTTGGTAGATTGCAATCTAAGTGGAAAGAATGGGATCAGGGGTATTGGTGGTTCTAGCCTACCAATATTGGGCACTAAATTTTGTTTTGGGAATATATATTGCTGTTTATTTCTCAGGATTTTAAGAGTGAGAATCTCTTAAGCAGATATTAAATGAAGAAGAGTTGCTTCTTTTTTTGAAGTAAAACTTTTATTTAAAGATTTAAATAAAGAGCATTTTATGAACCAATTAAAAATGTGACTAGGTATTAAATAATTGTCAAATTAAATTTGCAGATAATACTTGTGTCATGATTTTAGCAAATGTTAAAATATTATGTCTTCACAGATCTATAGAGGATAGAAAAATCCTGAAGATTTCATTTACTGGAAAGTTCATAATTTCATTATGTTTGTGCCTTAATGTGTAAGCTGAAGAAATATTTGAGTAAACAGTCCAGAATTTAATTTGACACTGAACTTTCTGATATTATAAGAGACCACAGTTTTTTTAAAGAGGAATTTTTTTTGAATGTGGAAAGAAGAAAATAGTGTTCTATAAAACATGACAACCAAGGAATCCTAGCATATATTTTTGTTATCCATGTTACATCTATGTAGTAACAAACTGCTTATCCTGAAAATGATGGCATAGAAAGAAGGAAAGAGAGGGGTATATGACAACCTATAGTTTTTTTTTTCAATCTTCCTTACTCAGTCAGTAAGCCAACAGTAGTGAGTGTTACTAGAATATGCATGCATAAATAAATCAAATAAAGAGTTAAGTCAGTATGATGCAGTGTTTTCACCGTTCTGGAATATGTATGTATGAGCTGTGATATATGAATTATGCAATTTCAGTGATTCTGCATACAATTTAAACACTTTTATATTTGCATTTAAAACAAACATGCAATATCAAAATTAATAGTAAAAGTACATATATGCTGTGGAATATTAGGCAGCCATAAAAAAAGAACAAGATCATGTATTTTGTGGGAGCATAGATGGAGTTGGAGGCTATCATCCTTAGCAAACTAACTCAGGAACAGAAAACCAAATACCACATATTCTGTCTTATATGTGGGAGCTAAATGATAAGAACTTATGAACACAAAGAAGGAATCAACAGACTGGGGTCTACTTGAGGAGGGAGGATGGGAGAAGGGAGATGAGCAGAAGAGGTAACTATTGGGTACTGGGCTTAATACCTGGATGATGTATTTATATGTACAACAAATCCCCATGGCACATGTTTATCTATGTAAGAAAACTTCACATGTAACATCAAACCTAAAATAAAATTGGAAAATAATGTAAAATTTTTTAAATAAGAATGATGTTAAATAGTAAACACAAAACACTATGTCAAGTTGACAGACAGAGACCATAGAATAATAAAGAAAGCATTATATTCTGCTTCCTTTAATGACACTTCTTTCTATCATTTAACTAGGACCATTTACTTTTTGTACTGGGTTCCATAGATCCAACCTTTGTTTAGAGTGCTTATAAAATGAGTCCTACTGCATAAAATCTCCCAGCTAAATTATCTGGCTGTACGTTGCCTCATTAGGTCTCCAACATCTTATTATTACTAGAGATGAAATTGTGTTGTGCAGTAGAGAGATGCAACAGCATTGACTACTTTGGTGGACTTCTATCATACAATGTGAAGTTTAGTGACATGGTTTGGCTGTGTCCTCACCAAAATCTCTTCTTACATTGTAGTTCCCATAATTTCCATGTGTCATTGCAGGGACCTGGTGGGAAGCAACTGAATTATGGGGGGTGGTTACCCCCATACTGCTGTTCTCGTGATAGTGAGTGAGTTCTCACAAGATCTGATAGTTTCATAAGGAGCTTTTCCCTCTTTTGTGTGGGAGTTCTGCTTGCTGCCACCATGTGAAGAAGGACATTTTTGTTTCCCTTTCCACCATGATTCCAAGTTTCCTGGGGCCTCCCCAGCCCTGTGGAACTGTCATTCAATTAAACCTCTTTCATTTGTAAATTCCCCAGTCTCAAGTATGTCCTTATAGCAGAATGAGAATGGACTAATACAGTAAATTCATACTGGGAGTAGTGGGACGCTTCTATAAACATACCCAAAAATGTGGAAGTGACTTTGAAACTGGGTAACAAGCAGAGACTGGAACAGCTGAGATGGCTCAGAAGGAGACAGGAAAATGTGAGAAAGTTTGGAAATTCCTAGAGACTTGGAGGGCTCAGAAGACAGGAAGATGTGGGAAAGTTTGGAGCTTCCGGGAGACTTGTTGAATAGCTTTGACCAAAATGCTGATAGTGATGTGGACAATGAAGTCCAGGCTGAGGTGGTGTCAGATGGAGATGAGAAACATGGTAGAAAATGGAGGAAAGGCAACTCTTGTTATGCTTTAGCAAGAGACTGTTGGCATTTTGACCTGCCCTAGAGATCGGTGGAACTTTGAACTTGAGAGAGATAATTTAGCGTATCTGGTGAAAGAAATTTCTAAGTGGCAAAGAATTCAAGAGGAAGCAGAGCATAAATTTGGAAAATTTGCAGCTTGAAAATGTTACAGAAAAGAAAAACCTATTTTCTAAGGAGAAATTCAGGCTGGCTACAGAAATTTGCATAAGTAATGAGGAGCCAGATGCTAATCATCAAGACAATGGGGAAAATGTTCCCAGGGCGTGTCAGAGACCTTCATGGCAGCCCCTCTCATAACAAGCTCCTAGGCTTAGGAGGGAAATATGGTTTCCTAGGCCCAGGGCCCACCTGCTGTGTGCAGCCTAGGGACTTGGTGCCCTGCATCTCAGCATAAAGTGTATAAAGTGTTTTCATGTGACATGAAAAACTGAAAAGGTAAGGGACCAAACTGTTAAAGAGCAGGGGTTTGCATGTTTAAATTAAAGTTAAGCTGGTGTAAATTCAAATTAGAATGTTATAATGTAAAATGTTAAATATAATCCCCATGGTAAATACAAAGAAAATAGTTATAGAATATACAATAAAGGATATGAGAAAGAAATTTAAATGTTTCACCACAAAAATTCAACTAAACACAAAAGAAGATAGCAATGAAGAAAATGAGCGAAAAAATTCTGTAAGGTATATAAAAAACTAACAGCAAAATGACATAAGTAAGTTCCTACTCAACAGTAATTACTTTCAATGTGAGTAAATTAAACTGTCACATCACAAGACAAAGATTGGCAGAATTAATATAAAAATATGATCCAATTATACAGTATATACTAGAGACTCACTTTAGATCCAAAGACACAAATAGGCTGAAATGGAGAAGATGGTAATACGGTCTGGCTGTGTTCCTACCCAAAATCTCATCTTGAATTGTAATCTCCATAATCCTCACATGTCAAGAGCAGGATCAGGTGGAGGCAATCGGATCACAGGGGTGGTTTTCCCCATACTGTTCTTGTGATAGTGATTCAGTCTCATGAGATCTGATGGTTTTATAAGTGTCTGGCGTTTCCCCCGCTTGCACTCACTCCGTCCTGCCACCTGTGAAGAAAGTGCTTTGCTTCCCCTTCGCCTTCTGCCATGATTGTAAGTTTCCTGAGAACTGCCCAGCAATACGGAACTGTGAGCCAATTAATCCCCTTTCCTTTATAAGTTATCCAGTCTTGGGTATTTCTTCACAGCAGCATGAGAACAGACTAATACAGATAGAAAAATACATTCCATGCAAATAGTAACCAAAAGAAGACAGGAAAGGCTGTATGAATATCAGACAAAACAACTTTATGTAAAAAAAAAAAAGAATAAAGAAAGAAAAAATATTGCACTAAGTGAAGTAAGCCAGTCACAAAAAAGTAAATACTATATGATTTCACTTGTACAAGGTACTTAAAGTAGTCAAATTGATAGAGACAATGCAGAATGGTGGTTGTCAGGGTCTGGGAGTGAAGGAGATGGGGAGTTATTGTTTTAAAGAACTTGTTATTAAAGTATAATAAATATACATAAAACATCACGTCTTAAATAAATATATGGCTTAATTATCACCAAATAAACACATCCTACATAACTAGCACCCTCATCAAGAAACAGAACATTAACAGAGCTGGCACAGCCCTTGGGCTGCCCCTTCCACTCACTTCCCAGTCTCCCTCCCACAAGGCAATCCATTATCTTGACTGCTAACACATAGACTAATTCTGCTGATTTTTGAGCTTTATGCATATGAAATCGTACAATATGTACAATTTTGTGTTTGGCTTCTTTCACTGGAGATTCTGTGTGTGAGATTCATCTATGTTGTGTACAGTTGCCCTTTATTCATTCTCAGTGCTGCATATTCCAGGCTGTGTATGCAGCACACTTTACCTTTCCTCCTGATCATCGTAGTCTTCAGTTTGGGCTATTATGGATAATGCTGCTGTAAATATAATTTTAATTTCATTTTTTATTTGTTGTTGCACACCTAAGTGCACTAAAAGACATGGAGTAGAATATACCATAAGGTCCAGTCAGTGAAGTTGTTAAGTCAAGAAAAAAAAGAGACTCATAAGGATCTGAAAGGAAAAAATAAAACTGACACAATTCACAAAAGGCATAAGGATGTACATAGAAAAGAAGGAATTACAATTAATAAGACAATCCAGCAAGACCACTGGATTCAAGGTCAATATACAAAAACAAATTGCTTTTTAAGAGACCAGCAACAAATAGAGACTGGGAATTATTTAATGGGCATAAAGTTTTAGCTTTGTAAGTGTAAAAGTGCTCTGGACATAGATGGTAATGACGGCTGTGCAACAATATGAATGTACTTCATATCACTGAAATGTTCTCTTAAAAGTGGTTATAATAGTAAATTTTAGGTTATATATATTTTACCATATCATAAAATTATATATATGTATATACGCTGATGTTAAGCAGATTTGTAATATGTAATATTTGGGGAGGATTCATTGGCTTCCTCTCAAATTACCTTGTGAACAGCATAGGCTTTTATAAATCACTCTGGATCTTGAGAAAACCAACTCAAGTAAGAATCTTAAATATTTTATTAAAATAACACTTCCCATATCTAGAATTATACTACATGTTCACCTCAACTATTCAGAAAGCAGATGAGCATCAGAAACTAAGCAGACAAATACATGAAATTTAAATAAAGAAATGACTTCTAAGAAACTTTCTTTTTTATACAGTATAGTGAAAAAGATAATTAGAAAAAAAACTCCTGGTATCTACAGCACATTTAAACATTTTAAGTAGAAAAAAGAATATTAAAGTATTTTATCACATAACTAAGCTGAAGAGAAAGGAGAAACATTCTTCAGAGAGAAAAAATTAGCAAATTTGTCCTCAGAGAATACATAGAATAGTGTTGGAGTTTTCTTTAGGGCATCTGGAAAAGTTAGGACCTGTGTTATTTAAATGAATTTATTTTGAAACTTGTTAAGTTTGGTATAATGTTAGATTTACAGACATATGCAAATTGTTAAATATAAAATATGGAAAACATATCTAATACTACATAATTATATGTGTATTTATTAAGCTATAATGAAAAGACTATCAAAATTGACTATCATATAAAAAGTAAAATAGAACTATAAACACAAAACTATAATAATTGAAATTTTAAATTCAATGTTAAAGAAAAAAGGAATTTCAATTGAACCAAGAACTAGTGAAGAGAGAGCTATAATTTCAGATATTTATAGCAAATGGAGCCCAGAGTTGTAAGAGACAAGGGAAAAGTGTGAGAAATTCCACATGCCTCGGTAGGAGTTTCATGAGACAATGAAAATAATGAAGGAGACATAATATTTAATAAAATATTTTACCAAGGTGGTTAAAAAATCAATCTTTTCATAGAACCCAAATAAATACAGAGAAAAAGAAATTAAATGACATTTACACCAGACACATAAAGTGAAATAGCAAGATTACAAAGACAAAGTGACTCAGTGATTGGCATAAAATTTTAATTAAATACCGATGTTAATGTTTAAAAATTAATCCATAAACAAGAAGACTAACGTGTATATTTGTCAAGCTATTTGAGGAAAAAGGAAAAAAAACTGAGGTAAGCAAAACATATTTCAATCCAATGGGTCCATTTAATCCAATCAATCCAACTCAAGAGAGGAACAAAGTGTTATAGTAAAAGTAAGACAAAGAAATAAATAAGATGAGGAAAGCAAATTCAAAATAATAATAGCAATCCATATATATGAACCAACAAGTCAAATTAAAAGACAAAGCTTTTCATATTGGATGAAGAAAATAATTCTACATCTTTGATTTTTACAGCAGACATGCCTAAATGATCAGGACTCAGAAAGAGTGAAATTAAAATTCTAGAAAATATAAATAATTAAATACTAATCTGAAGAAAGGTTATATAATTAGTTTTGCATTAGACAAAATATATTTTAAGGCGAATAGTGTTAACCAATGAAAATAAGTCTTTAAATATATTCACTCTTTCTAGGGCACATTACAGCATGCCTATTGCTGTAAATTGGAAAACTTAATAAGAATAAAATAATTAGATAGTGCAAACTATTTTTAAAGTGAAATGTATAGAACATTGCAACAAACAACATATGAATGAACGCACATTCTTTCAGGGATATATGGAATATTTTCAAATGTAGAGCTTTTACGTGGCAAAAAAAATATGAAATCCAATTTCAATATTATAGAGCCCACATTCTCTGAACATGACACAATTAAGTTAGAAATAAGTACTTTAAAAATTCAATATCTATGTTTAAATAACTCATGAGACAAATGAAAAAAACAATGGAAGTGAGAAATGCTTAGACATGATTAAAATTTAAACTACCTAAAAATATAAGTACAGGTGAGTATAAGAAGTATTTAGAGGAAAATATATATCCTTAAAGTATGGTATTTAAAAAGGTTATGTCTAAAAAAGACCCAAACATTCAACTTAAAAATCACATAAATAAATCAATAAGTAAATACACTGAGGAAGTAAAGAAACAGTAAAGAAGAGAGTAGCAATTAATAAAATTGCAAACAAAGTGATAATGAAGTTTAGCAAAGACAAAAGTTGATTGTTGGAACAGAGAAAAATAGCAAATTCTGACAAGATGAGTCAAGAAGGTAAAATAAAGTAAAAAATGTATGAATATTAAGGATTTAAAAATCGAACATAATTCAACAGAAATTAAAATAATGTAATATTATTTTTTAGTGAAAAGGACAACTTTGTAGTCCAACCATTTGAAAACTTAGCTGAACTCTACGTAGTAACAATGACTGTAAAAATCCCCCAAAGAACCAAACAATAAACTCACCAAAATTAAATCAAGAGAAAATAATAAACCTGCTGTATTGTCTATAAAGTATATAAAATTGAATATATATTTAAAATATTCACGCAAAATAAACTGTAATTCAAGATGATTTAAGAGACTTGTTTTAAAGTTATTGAAGAACTGGCTATCCATAATCTTACACAAATCCTTTTGTGAGAAAAAAAGAAAAAGAAGATAGAATGTACTCCAGGTTATTTATAAGGTTATAACTTGACAATAAAATGAGGAAAGCAAAGCACATAAAATAATTTATGTAAACATATATATATGTGTTTCCAGTAAAACATTAAATAAAAATAGTTGTAATGAGAAACCAACTCCAGCATTCTGTAAGCAAAATAAAATATCACAACCAAGATGGGTTTGTTCTAACAATGTAAAGTTATTTCACCAATAGAATAATGGATTAAAGAACTGCATTACTTAAACAGAATAAAGAAGAAAAATAGGAATCTGAAAACATTCAGAATAAAACATTCAGCACAAATTTTAAGAATTATGTAAGATAAAATCTTACAGTATAATGAGAATAGAAGAGAATTTTCCTAAATTGGGAAAAAACCTGTAGAAAACATCATGGTCAACATTGAAATCTTATGATTACTTTTAAATTTACATGTATATGTGTTATAAACATCAACCAATAATCAAGACAGTTATGAATAAATATAATCAGGTAAACAAATGTGCTCTACTAAATACCATTACACATCCTGAATTCTCCTATTTGGTTGGATCACAATATTATATCAGAATAATTGTTATTTCATTGATAATGAATTTCAGTAGTGTTAAGAGAGAAATGGCAATTTTGAAAGAAGAAAAGTTTGTGGTTGCAATATTAAAGCAACTGATATTCTGTTTTTCAAAATCTGATGTGTTTATAAACCTTGTCTACAAAAATCACATTGGAATACGTTCTTAGCCTATCAGGATCCCATTTGAGGTATGGATGTCTGAGACATATACAGAAGAATTCAATCCAGCTGGATTTGTGCCCATCTCTGATTCCTATAGTCATTCTAGAGCTCAGCGAAGAGCAGAAGGGACTCTTGAGTACTTAACTGATCCTTGAAGTTTTCTTCAATTTCCCTTCCCCATTCACTTCTTGGGGAAATACAATAAATTTAAGATATAGTCACCTATGTTAGATTATTACATATAAATTTTACCTATTATCTTCTATAATTAGATGGTCTGCACCATGAACATCTAATTATATCTAGCCAAAGTTCACACAAATCATAGGACAGACCTTACTCACCATTTAATAATATTGAAAAAGTAACTAAACAGCAAATTACATTATTATAAGTAATTTATTTTAGATTTATGGTGAGTTTGACAGCAGCGATGAATAGGAAAGTTTGTACTCAAATATTATGCCTTACTGAGATATTCCTCATTTTAAATTGTTATTAACTTATGGTCCAAATAAAGAGAATGGAGTCAAGTGCAGTAGCTCATGCCAGTAATTCCGGTACTTTGAGGGGAAAAGGTAGGAAGATCCCTTGAGCCCAGGAGTTCGAGCAACATAGAGAGACCCTGTCTCCATGGGAAAAAAAATTATCCGGGCATGGTGGCATGCACCTGTGGTCCTAGCTACTTGGGAGAGTGAGGCATGGGAATGTATTGAGCCCCAGAATTTAAGGCTGCAGTGAGCTGTGGTCACACCAATGCACTCCAGCCTGGGTAACCGAATGAAAGCCTTTAAAAACAAACAAACAAACAAACAAACAAAAAACACATATTTCTGTCTCTTTCTCCGAATTAACACCTCACCTAGTTGACCCCTAAAAAGTAGTAACTTGTGTGTTTAGTAAAAAACAACATGGTTTTTAAAAATCTAAATAGATAAGAGACATAGCTGGAAAGGAATAATGACAACTTCTCAATCTTTTCTTCCAAATCAATAATGGGAGATTTCTAGTTGGGGTGAGATGTTTGAAGGAGTGGAAGGAAATTTTCTATTCTAATAGCCGCAAAATTCTTCTATTGCAAATGTCAGATAAATATAAAAAAGGACTAATACTGTTTGCTAGCAGAAAATTATACATTTTTAAATATAATTTTTTACTGGTTTCTGGATGTTGCAAAAAAAAAAAAGATTTTTGAAAAGTAAACACAGGGGAACACTTTCTTCACCCTAGTAACACACACAATAAATTGGTAGCAATCTCATCGGGTATGATGAATGCTAACTCATCCTAAAAAATGTCTTGTTGCATAAATCTAAGAACCGTGAAGGCAAAGATGGTGGCTGTCCATTTGTAAAACTTCCTCCAGGGTATGCAGGCATGTCTCTGTGATAACGGTGTTTCTCACCAGTGATTAATGCTATAAAAGATTTTTTGTTGGCATACATCCCAAGAAATATGGTTGATAAACTGGCAAGATCAGCAGATTGCGGCCCAAAATCTCCCTTTACTTTTTTTGAAAGCTCTCTTTACTCTTTTGAAATTCCTATCACTTTTCTTGTATGTAAACCAAAGTTTGTTTCTCAACTAACTTCTGAAATCTTAACTTAATCTCATTCACTTCCTTGCATTGTGTTATAGACCACTTAGAAGTACTTTTATTATTTAACCTTAGATATATTATATTTTCTAATTCCTTCTTTCAAAGATTATTAAAGTAAGAAGGCCCAACCATCCAGATCAACTTATTGATCCAAAACCAGAGTGTTTATAATTAACTGACTTGCCTAAGACAAAATTGCCAAATCTGAGCCCTAAACTGGAATTTTGTAACATTGTCGCCTCGCTCTGTTTATTTCACATTTTGACACATTTTATTTTGCCCAGTTTGCTTGTAAACATGTAATGGAAACAGCTAAAATAATGAGCTCCTCAATCCTTCCTTATATCGAATGCTGGTCTAGTTCCTCACACATAATGGGATTCCGTGTATCTATCTATTTATTCAGCAGATATTTGTGAAACACCTACTATGATTTAGTCACTGAATAAATGCTAACAGTGCAAAAAGTTATTTCCCATCCATGCTAGCATTAAAAGTTCTTATCCAGTTCCACAGTTTTAAGTACTGTTTATATGTCAATTGTTCCCAAACGCCTACCTCCAGCCCTGACTTACTTTCTGACTTCAGATTCATAAATCTGTCTATTTGGCATATCCATATGGTTATCTAATAAAGATGTCAAATTTTACATTTGATTTCATTGGGTCCAAAACTTACTCTCTCAGTTGTCCCCGTCTTAGTAAGTCTATCCAGTTACTGAAGCTAAAACTGTCAGGGTACTTTTGAGTCTTGTGTGACCTACAGCTTCTACTAATAATCCATCACTAAGTCCTGAAAGCTTTATATTTAGAGATAAAGTACATGTCATCTGGAGTCAGGATGACTCAGTTGAAGTCTTGGCTCCACCACTTGTTAGCTATATGATATTTTTCAGGTAATTAACTTCTCTGCAATTCTTTTTTTTTCTACCTAAAATAGAATTGATAATATTGATGTCATATGATTGTTACAAGATTTGGAATAATACATGTAAAGTATTTGGTATAGCTTTTGAATTATTTTCGGGAGGCAGTGATTTCTTTTTGTAAAGAGACAATGTCAAAAGGAGTTGATTAGATATGAAGATAAGTGTAAAGACCAAGCCCAGAAATACCTCTGCTTTGGGCAAGTCTCTGCTTCAGGCAAGTTGGAAATGGCTGGTCACCCATTTACCAAGTTAAGCATCATGAGAAGTAAGATATATCTGAGGATAATTATGTTGAGCTTAGTATGGTACATGCTGAGTTGCTTGTGGTATATTTAGGTGGAGAAGTCCGATAAACAGTGGTGAATATTTAGGGCTACCATATTGCACAACCTCAGGAAGAACCACTTCCGGCACAATCTATGTTAGTGATGCTTCTATGCTCGGGGATACTGTCTGGTAACAGAGAATTTTCGTTTTTCACTTTTTAATAGTTTTCTGCTAATTGAAGCATGGACAATACATTTGGACACCTAGGGAACATGTTTACTATAAGGTGATAGAGAGTTGTAAATAAAATTCAGAGGAGTTTCTCTATGGAAAAGACAAACTGAGAAGCATTAACCCAAGAGAGAGACTAAGCAGCAGTTAAAGTGATAATACCACATGCTCTAACCAAACCAATGGGATGACTGACTGTATCAATACTAAATGTCAGTCCTAGAAAAATGGGAACCTATATTTCAGTAGTCTAATAGGTAGTAACAATTTAGTGTTTATAGATGAAATAGTATGCTTTTGAGGGTCAAGTTACTTTGTGTTCAAATCTCAGATTACTGCATGTCCTTTAACGGAGGGAGACAGGGATGACAATGATGATAAGAATGATGATTGTAGTTAGTATGTAAACAGGCAGGCATGAAAATATTTATCCTAAGTATGCCATGTGCGTGTGCAGGTGTGATTTCTAGTTCCTAAGTTGAGAAATTGTGCTTAGAAAATTAAATGACTTTGTAAAGTACCTGCACCTAAAAAGGAGGAAAACCGAGATTTCACCCTGGCAAGTTGAATCCAGAGCCTCTTCTTTTTACCAGTGCTATTACTGGTTACAACTTAACCACTAGGCTTCCCTGTGTTCCCAGCTGAGAAACATGATTTCAAATACCTACTTCAAGTCATTGCTGTGATCATTAAACTTAATTTAACGAGGTGATATATGTGAATTCCTACCAAAGTAGTTAGAACTTAGATGACACCCAACAGATACTAATTTGCTTTCTTCTGTTTCCAAATCTAGTTACATGGGATAGGATAAATTAATGACTTTTAAAATAGACTTTCAATTTTTTTCTGTATTTGGAATTGTGAAAAGTCATTTTAAGATATATATAAAAGTTTATGTCACATATTAAAAGATTAGCTGCTTTATACATAATACTATCTATAAAAATGTCAACAAAAAGAAAAGCTTAATCTTTAATCCATTTGATAACACCTACTGTGAGTTTATTATCACTACACATCTGAGTTTTGTTTCAGAATTTTGTATATTCCCTTTGATTCAGCAGCCAGGCATTCTAAGGACCTTATCGACTTGTTTACTTTCAGAATTATGACTATGTACAGAGTTAAAAAGGCAACAACAAGCGGTCAGTTTAACAATTGCTGAACTAGAAGTAACTAGAATATCACTAGTAGCAAATTATGAGATTGAGCATATAACAAAGTCTAATAAATTTAAAACATATCTGCCTTATTAAAATGTAAATTTGGCAGTATAATTTTTTTGAGTTTCAGGGAGGAAATGAGCCTGTTGATTAACTCCTTGAGATAGAACCTCCATCCTTAGGCACATGGTGGCATGTAAGGTTTAGCATTGCCACTGCTTCTTGAGTCTTCTCTTTTGCATAATGTACACTAAACACCCTTCAGATGGTATGTTCATGAAGATCTCTTTGCCATTCTTGTCTCATTTGTAGTATGGAGAAGATGCTCCAGATAAATTGGAAGACTATATCAGAAATCTCTTCATGGAGAACTCCTAGTACAAAGCCTGGACTACTGTAAATGCTTCATGATTACAGCCAGTTTAATTTCACTTAAATCCTACTTAAAGCATTATTTGTATTATTCTACCCAGATAAATCTATATTTTAAGATACATTAGAAGTGAAAAATATATTATTTACATCACTAGATAATTCTATATTTGCAACTGATTTTCAAGCTAATAGTGAGAGCCTAGCATGTCTTGAAAATGACTCTTCACTACTAAACTCTGGGCACAAAAGGTACTGGATAATAGTCAATGCCAATGATCACATATTTGTTCACTTATGTGAATTCATAGCCTTCACATTGTCCTCTTTTCACTCTACAACCACCTTTGAACTTCTGAGATGTGTAGCATAGTTCTTGCAATTGGAAATAATTGGAATATGGGGTAGATAAATGCACATGTATCAGCAGAGTGAGAAATGGTCATGAGCAGTATAAAAATAGCACTTATCACTAATGGAACATAAAAATGTCATTCCCTGGGTAGCAACTTTTCTGCTAAAATTGCTCTGGGGAGGTAGAAGCAACTGCAATTTCCTCTGACCTCCACGGTGGTCCAAATTTCTCTGGTTGAAATAATCCATTGCAAATGACTGATCATGAAATCTGAAAAAATAACTTGTGTAGCAGTTAATATTCCTCCTCAATAGGATAAATTGATCAATTGTAAATGTACATGTATTTCAGGAACTTACTTGACAATAGCTCATGGGTTTTGATGTTAATTATATTTATTCTTGCTCACAACTCATTTATTTTCTCTTATTTAGAAAGATATAAATACATGGTGATATTTAGAAAGGTACAATCATTTCTGCTAATAGAAAAAATGAATTTTATATTTTAGATTCAGTCTAATCTACTACAAGATTCCTTTTTTTTATCCCCTCTGCAGTCTCAGGTGAAAGCCAGCTCACATCCTTGAAAAAAATATTTACATGATTTCTTTAGAATTTATTTTACTGTATTTAATGTAACATCATCCTGAATTCCACTAATCGCTAAGTAATCTCTGGTTCAGACATTTTCTAAATTTTGCCTTTTTTTTGCTAAGCAGCCAAGCATTTTACACTGGCTTTGAATTCTCACATGGATCCATTTCCAGGAAGATGAATCAGAGTTAACAACAAGGAAACCTGCTTATTCAGAAAAAATGTACTCCATTCTTATTCATTGAATTTCACTTTGTAAGAGACAGGATTGGACCAGTAATCAAACATAATCATGATTCTAACTTTTTTTTTTCTTATGGGAGTTGAATATTCAAGTACCGAAAATCCCTATCACATGAAACTGGGGGACTCAGGGTACTGTTAGGGGTGTTCTTTCTTCTCTATTATTCTCTATGAGCCATATTGTTTCAGCAGATCACTGATGACCTCAGATAATTAGAATGGCAGATTGAAATGACAAACTTCTAACCATAAGAAAGTATTATAAAAATTATATTTATTATTCTAATAAAATAGTTGAAGTTTTCTATAATGTTATGTCAAATACCCCTTTTCAAACAGATTGGGGAAGACAGAAACTATTATTTACCATCGAGATTACAAAAGCAAATTTTGGCTTTTGTTGAAAATAGAAAATAGTAATTATTTTTGGAGAAAAAACCAACTTCACCTTTTTTGGCTCTGTCTGGCCTATCCTTGCTCAGCTCATCTTTTAATACAATTTAAAATAATAAGAGTTTATTTATGAGTAAAGTAAATCTGACATGGCAAAGCTCTACCTAATTGGAAATAAATTAAATAGACACTTACTCTTATCAAAGTTATCAGATTCTCATCTCCTGTAGATCTGTTTTAATATGTACTTGTTTTAGAGCAGTTTAGATTGAGGTACAGTAATGATGCCTGCATTACAGTCAACCTTTTTTCAAAGAGATTTACCAGTCAGGTTGATTTTAAATGACCTCACTAGCTAATAGACACATTTATTCTTATCAACTGTCCAATACAGGAAAAGGAATTCACTGTTGACCTTCTATTTAGAAAAATATATATATTTTAAAGAGGATTTGAACAAAATAAATATATACTCCACATTCACAACAAAAGTAAACAGACTGTCTTTTCACAGGATGTGAAACTGTCAAGAAAATAGTCTTTTATCATCCTCTATTTTCTTGTTTTGTTTTTACTAGCAATGTTTTTTAAATTTATTCTCCATGTTTTTTAAATTTATTCTCTGAGATAATCCAAAACCCTATGCACAAAATGAATTAAAAGTGTATAAGAGCAAATGACATATTTTTCTACTCGGCTCAACTGAGCAAGATACTGCCTGATAGGCCATCAAGATTTAACAGAGTTTTCATGACCTGCCCAGAGTCAGACAATGAGCTTCTATGATGTACTCTAAGATTTAGCTGTGACGCAAACTTCCTATCCTGTGGATAGTGTGAGCAGGGGTTTTAGTTTTTTAGTTTGAACCATCTTGAATATTTGTCACTAGCTAGAGTATTTAAGAGAAAGAGATCTTAGGCTTTTCCTGCAATTGGCCTTTTATAATGCCAGCAAAGAATGTGAATGTTGAGTCTATGATTACTTCTCAGCATGCCATCTGTTTTAAAAGTAAGCTGAATATTGTTGCCATGTTTCCAAAGTCTGCTATAGATCATTCACTGAAATGGTGGCAAGAGGAGAGGTACCTCTTGTTTTTTCCTAGGTGCAGCTGGGTTTTACAGACGGATCACTCATATTATCCAGGAGTTCGCTAATTGTACCTGTCAGTTTCCCTTGCATTAACATCATTTAAAATTATTTAGCCTTGAATAATTACATGAAATAGATACATTGCTCTATTTCCTAGTAAACAGACGAACAAATTGGAGAGGAGGATACTCTTAATTGGATGTGATTTTCCTTTTTAGACATAGTCTTTTCCACATCTTTGACAATGATTCACAAAGAGAGTTGTACACTTATTTTTTCCTGAAATAAACAATTAAGAAACTCAAAATTCTGTTCTCTTCCTCATTCAGGTAAGGGAAAGCTATTATCCCTGTTATTTATTTGTCGGAAATCTAAATGCTTCTTAGACAAGCACACAAACACCCACATACACAAACAAAACATTTATTTGCTGTTTAATTTGAATTGTATCACATGGTTGTGGAGTTAAGGCAAGAGGCAAGGGAAATTATAATGTACTCTCTGCTCTATTTATCCAGTTTTTCAAAATAATGAAGTTTTCATCTGTGTCCAGTAGAGAGCTTGTTTTAAAAATTGCATAATATACCATGATTATTCCTTAAGGGAATTGGAGACATATTAAAGGTAATACAATACTATTGAACTGTCTTTTCCTCAAGGAGTACTCTATAGAACTGGGTAATAATGTTGTACAAACTATGGATCTGAAACACATATGCTTTCATCATCACCATCTGTACTGAATTTATAACTGAGAGAAGGGGGTGTGTCAGAAAATTTAGATTAACAATATATTTGCCCTTTTATATACTAGCACTTTAAGTAAAATTGTTTAAAAAGCTACTTTCTCACTAAATTATCACATCATGTCAATAGTAGCTTTTTATTGTATCCCGATGGAAAAGCTAAAACTCAGTATAAGAGCAGTGAGGCTTAGTGAGGCTGTCAAAAACAGGATGGTTCAATTTTGTCATCCAAGGACATGAGATAACACTGTGTCATAGGTTGAATAGATCACAAAAGTTATATATTATGTAAAAAAAATCCCAGAACACCTGCCCAAGGTAAATTGTTGTGAAACAAATGATGATAACAATATGACATTATTCTTTAGTGTGCGTGCACTTGTTAACAACACACAGAAGGGTCATTCAGGGATAATCCTGAAGCTTTTGCCAGCTTCCTGCTGGGATGAGAGAGGCAGATTTCATGGAAGTCCCCAGAAATGCCAATGTGAGGGTTCATTTTACGTTTCAATTTGACTGGGCCATCAGGTGCCCAAACTTGGTCAAATATCATTCTGGGTGTTTCTGTGAGAGTGTTTCTAAATGATATTATAATATTTAAATTGGTAGACTGGGTGAAGCATGTCGCCCTCTCTAGTGTGGGTGGGCCTCCTCTAATCAGTTGAAGGCCTGAAAGGAATGAAAAAGCTGTCCCTCCTCAAGTAAAAAATACTCTCCGTGAGTGACTGGATGAGTGACTGGCTTTCTATGGGGACATTGGCTTTTTCCTGCCTTCTAACTCAAATGGAATCATTGGCTCTTCCTGGGCCTTGAACATGCTGGCCTTCAGACTGAAACTGTACTATTGGTCTCCTAGGTCTCCAGCTCCCTGACTCACCCATTTGAAATCTGTCAATCTCCATAATCACGTGAACCAAATTCTTATTATAAGTCTTTTATTTTTGGTTTTTATATTTAAAACATTTTTTGAGACAGGGTCTCACTTTGTCATCCAGGGCAGAATGCAGTGGCATGAACATGAATCACTGCAGCTTCAACCCAAGCGATCCTCCCACCTCAGTCCCAAAAGTAGTAGTGAGACTTATTCACTATCATGAGAACAGCATGAGAAAGACCAGCCCCCTGCCCCAGGATTCAATTACTTCTCACTGGGTCCCTTCCACAATACGTGGGAATTGTGGGAGTTACAATTCAAGATGAGATTTGGGTGGGGACACAGCCAAGCCATATCACCTTCCTTCCAGCTCTTCCTACAGCCACTCCCTCATTCCCAGGAACCACTGATCTGCTTTCTGCCACTGCAGATTCATTACATCTTTTTCAGTTTCAAATACATTGAATTATACAGTATATACAATTGCTTTGTAGGATTTCTTTTGTTCAGTATAATTATTACATGCTTCTACCACAATGTGTTAACCCATGTACCTTTTGATGGTTATTTCCTGTTTGAGGCTATTAAAATTTAAGCTTCTATGAACTTTCATGTACAAGTCTTTGTGTAGATACACACTGTCATTTTATTGGAATGAATGAGATGATAATATTTGTTTACCTATTTAAGAAATTGTCTCTTTTAAGTTTTTAATTGGACACCACTTTTCCCTATTGTACACTCATCATCACTCCCTCCCCACCACCAGCTTTGAGGCTTTATACAGTTGTTGAGACAAAGGACACATAGGACCAATGGGTATGAAATATAGTTCATTACTCATATAGAAAACGGCAAACATTTCCCCCAAGGAAAATAAGGCAGTATCAGTCCATCGTGATACAAGACAAATGAATTTAAACTTTCTGCATGCTCCAAGGAAGGGAGAAATCTGACTTTCTTATTGGCTTCCCAAGAGGTGGAGCAAAGGGGAGAAGGAAAGGGTGAGATTTGAAAGCTGTCTTTGATCAAACAAAAAATAGAGTATTTGACTTTTATACTGCCAAACTCTTTTGCAAAGTGGTTTTACAATTTTATGTTCTAACAGTATAAATATTTCAGTTCCTCCATTTCCTTGCCAACATTTGGCATGCTCAATCTTTGAAAATTTAGACATTTTAATAGGCATATAGTAGTGTCTCTGTGCAGTTTTGGTTGGCATTTCTCTACCAACTAATGATGTTGAACATTTTCTCACTGCTCATTTTCCTTTCCTGTATCTTACTTAGTTATCTGTCTGTTCAAATCATCTGACAATTTGTTATTGAGTTTTTTGTTGTCTTATTTTTGAATATTGGCTGCTTTTTATGGATTCTGAATCACATATTCTTTACCAGATATGTGGTTTACAAATGTTTTCCCCATATGTAGATTGTCATTTCATTCCATTACCAGTGTAATTCAAAATCCAGAAATCTCCAAATTTGAGAAATTCAATTTATGATTTATTTGTTATACATCATACTATCATATATAAGAACCCAAGGCCCAAAATATTTTTTTCTTCTAAAAGTTTTATAGTTATAAACTTTACATATTGATGTGATCATTTTGAGTTCATTTCAAAAAATGATATGAGACCTGGATCAAAGTTTATATTATATCATATCCACAGCAAATTATTACACCTGTGTTGGTCAATTAACCATATATGTGTAGGTCTATTTTTGAGCTCTATTTTGTTTCATTGATCTATTTGTCTAAACTGATGCCAGTACCAAACCTCTTGAATACAGTAAGTTTATGATAAGACTTAAATTCAGGAGTGTAAGTTCAGCAAAGTTGTCCTTCATTTTCAAAGTACTTTGAAATGAATTTTAGAGTCAATTTGTCATTTTTACCAAACAAAAAACTTGTACTAGAATTATAATTAAAGTTCTGTTGAATCTATTGATCAATTTAAAGAGAATTTTCAAGTTAACAATATTGAGCCTTCTGGCCCATAAACACAGTACAGGTATTTCTCTCCACTTATTTATATCTTCTTAAGTTCTCTCAGCAAATTTTAAAGTTTTCAGTGCAGAGCTCTTGTTCATTCATTGTCAGATTTGTGTCTTAAAATTTCACAGCACTCCCCTTGACAAGGATGGAAGAGGCCCTTGGGCCTGACAACATGCATACGGTAAAGGCATTGCCACCTACTTCGTGGCATCTAACCATCGTTTTAGGTTGGACATGGTGGCTCACGCCTGTAATCCCAGCACTTTGGGAGGCCGAGGCGGGCGGATCACCCAAGGTCAGGAGTTTGAGACAAGCCTGGCCAACATGATGAAACCCCGTCTCCACTAAAAATACAAAAAATTAGTCTGGCGTAGTGGTGCATACTTGTAATCCCAGCTACTTGGGAGGCTGAGGCAGGAGAAACTCTTGAACCTGGGAGGCAGAAGTTGCAGTGAGCCAAGATCACCCCACTGCACTCTAGCCTGAGTGACAGAGCAAGACTCCATTAAAAAAAAAAAAACAACTCATACTCTGATTCAGTTCTACATGGTATTTTTTAATTTCAACTTCCAGTGGTCTGTTGCAAGTATATACACATAGGATTGATTTGTTTGTATAATAGCCTTGTATTCTGATAAACACAGTTATTAGCTTAAGTTGCTTTTCTTAGATTCCACAAAATTTTCTAAACAGAAAATTAATGACAATGCTGTTTCTTCTTTTGCAAATAGGAATTTATTTTATTTACCTTTTTCTTATTTTGATGCCTAGAAATACTAATAATATGACAGACATAGTGAGAAAAAATATTGTATTTTTTCCCAAATTGTAAAAGGAAACAACCATTCAGTCTTTTATCATCAAGTATGATGTTAATGTAGATTTTTTTATGGCTGTAATTATCAAATTTAGGAACTTTACTTTGATTTCTAGTTTAATGAAATGTTTGTTTGTTTGTTTTTTTTTGTTAGCATGTATGTGTGTCTATCAGAAATGGACACTGGATATTAACAAATGCTGTTTTGTGCATGCGTGGAAATGATCTCTTTCTGTTTTTACTCTCTTACTGTGCTGAAATGCATTGATTTTCAAATATTAAACTAACCAGTTATGTCTTTAAAAATAAGCTCCTTATAAAGTGCATGAAGGAGAAAAGAGAAATATTCCCATTAGAATAAGGTAGAGCAGTTTAACCCAGTTTTTACTTTCATGTTCGAGATAAAGTAAAATTAACTTGAAATCATACAGTTAAGAATAGACATAGTTATATTTCGCTACTACATCAAAAGAGTTTCAGTTTCCGGGTCCAGGTCACTTAATTTATAATCATAGCAAATCAGAAGTGGTGGTGATTTTAGGTAGAGCTTTCTTTGAAGCATACACTAAGACTGAGAATAACATTCAGGGATTAATTAGGGAGTGCTTTTAAGATTAGTACCTGCTGTGGAAGGAAAGAAGGCTTAGCTGGGTAGAGGGAGTAGCTGGTCCTCCGAAAGCCACAGAAGATATTTCAGCTATGAAGATGAGGTATCGTCCTTCCAAGTTGAGCCCATTTGGGTTTAAGTGTCCAGAAATTTAGGCTTCTATATACCCACATCAACTAGTTATTAGAAACATGCTGCCCCTGGAAATGGGGGCATGACTTTGGACTAGTTTCTCCTCTTCAGCTAAGGGCAATTCTCAAAGAAAAGCTGAAAACTGCAACTATCATCTCATAACACTACTGACCATGGTAGAATTATGTTTTTTCTTCCCAAAGGGGGATTGTGGGCATTTCAACAGTTTTTACTACACTGGCAGACCAGAAGTGACTCCCCCTTCAACTACAGAACACTGTAATTCAATGAACATAAAGCTGGGCAAGATTATGAAATGGACCATGGACTAATATTTTATGATGGCTTAGAATTAAAGTTCAATTTCTTGGAGTTGTTATTGATTCATTTTTTAAAAAGCCAAATTAACCAAATTTTTATTGAAAAATTGTTTTATTAGAAGAATGACAAATATAGCTCATGTTCATTTCAGCAAGGTATCTTATAAAGTAAATCATTACCAAATATTGAATCAGCAGGATTAATCTAGGGTGAATGATAGTCCAGTTGTAAAAAGTTAGTTATTTGACTGATTAGACTCGATGCATGCTGACAAATGAATCTTGGCAACCTTGACTCTCTTCATTTCTCATGTCAATCCATTTTGCACAGAAATGAAATGAGAAAGGATTCCTAGAATACTTGACAACAGAACCAAAATCATAATAATTCCCAGCCAACAATGACTTTTGTAGGTAATGAAGATTCTGCAATGTGTATTAAATAACTAGAATTGTGTTTATTTTGATTGGAAAGCAATGCAAAAACCAATTTGCTTGAAATAAAAATATATATGTTCATGTGTATATACATATATATGTATGTGTGTATATATATAGCTGAGAGAAAATATCATATATATATCTAAGAAAATCTTTGTACTATTATATAACAGTCAGCACTTATAGTCAGCAGGTTAACTACAACAAAACTGTTGGGAAAATAATCTTCTATCACAAATACTGTTCCAACTTTAAATGAATATGAAAAGTTTTTCATAGAAATATCCTAAGACATTTAATATTCTAAAATATATTTCAATTGATAAATCAATAACCTTTGAAATTATTTAAATACATTTTTTATTTTTATAGGAAAGACATTGCACATTTAAGAAACCATCTAGAAACTCATGTTTACAATAAAAATATAAGAAAAGTATAGGCTTAGTATACATTATATAATAACTAAAATGTAAGTATTGTGTAAGCTTCTCTAAGTAAAACTAACGAAGAATGTAGTGCTTCGACTTCTCAAAAATTATTTCTGAGAGCTGCTTCACTTAGTTTCTCAATAAGTATCTCATAAAATTAAATTATATGTTTTCATTACAACTTTTCAAGAAGATCTGCATCAAAAATATTTAGGACACACACACACACACACACACACACACACATTTTCACATTGTAGAGACTACTCATTGATACCAAAATATCTACTCTGTTTTTCCTCATCGGCAGCAGAACATTGATCAATAGCTGGTATATTGCTCTTGGACTGAAACATGACACTCATCAGGTGTCCTTGTAGCTAAAAGATTTGGTAGATATGATCTACGAAATTTCTTTGAATTTTCCATTTTAATAAAACATACCTTTCTTCTGGTACTTCCATCTTGTTGCCAGGTATGCAGATTATGATATCCAGGAGAATATTTTGGGGCCAGGAGGCTATGCTTCTGATGAATGTGCATTGATCACACTATTCCTGTACCAGCAACTTCTGGAATTCATTTACTAGAAACAAAAATACATTTTATGTTAGTCGTTTTTACTTTCTTTTGATGATTATTTTCTATAAAGATGGCTAAATTATGATATAGAATAAATATAAATTCTGACTTCTAGGTTAAATCATCATATACTTTAAAATCCACCAAAAATTAAATAAAAAAGACTAGAGTTTTAGTTGATTAAAACTTCTCTGTGAGTTAATAACAAAACAAGCATGCACTCTTAGCATATTTGAATAGAAGTTCATTGATGTGCACAGCATGCATGTATGCTTTCTTCCCACCACATGCTTACTCTGGAGGTCCTTTTTTCAAATTTGTTTCCTGGGCTTTATTTATTAATTTAATTATTCCTTGGTTTTGAATGGAGGCTCTGAAAGTAGCACAGCTTTCTGACTATAACACGTGTCATGAAAGTCAGGCAAGTTGAAGCCTATCCAAATGATACTTTGAAACTCAATAGCCAAAAGAATCCTTGCTATCACTTTCTCTAGTTGAGTATCTGGGAAAATATAAACCCTAAGGACTACTGTGAACCATACCAGGGGTGTAGCTTTCTCCAAAATTCTGGGATATGAGGATGAAGTTCATCTACACAGAGAAGTACAGGCCAGAGAAAGAGTGCTGGTGGTGCCCAATTCCTGCTCCCACAACCCCCTAATCTTGGCACCTCTGCCCTACCTGGGTTTGTGTGAGTCAATGTATATTCATTTTTTAAAATTTTCTTTTTGCCAAGGTTAGTTAAATCTGTCTCATAGAGGTATACTAACTCAAATATGTAAGGGTCTATGAGATGTGATCGAACCATAGTTTATACACAAATGAGAAAACTAAGGTCAATGGCTGAAAGTTATAAAGTGGTATGAATACCTATGCTCTAAGTCCTGTTTAACTAGGATACTATGGCTATTCCTTCTCTATCCTTAATGCCAAGCACAGAATTGAAGAACTCAGTAAACGTTTACTACAGGGAAATAAATGAATACATGTTCTATTCAAACTTTCAATTATGCCTAAATAGCTCAGCATATTAGAATATATTGTATACGAGACACCTTGATATTCAGAAGGTAGAAGAAACTTCCATGACATCATAATCAAACTGGTTATCTGTTAATGTTACAATTTACATCTTTTATATTGTGTATCCATTAAAAAACTGTTGTAGTTATAGTTATTTTAACAAGTTTATATTTTAACTTTTATACCAGAAAACTGCTAATTTACCATGTGTTGATCCTTTCTAGGGACAGAATCCATGGATGTTACAAAAACAGAAAAAAAAGTAATGCCTGATCTATTTTCAGTCAGTCAGGATCATGGTGTGTGGTATTATCATCCATGGTTTACTTCCTTTAGGCTGCTATCACAAAAAATACTATAGACTTGGTAATTCATAAAGAATAAAAATATATTTCTCATAGTTCTAGAGGCTGGGCAGTTCAAAGTAAAGGTGCCAGCAGATTCGGTGTCTTGTGAAGGTTTACTCTCTGCTTCATACATGACATACTCTTGCCACATTTTCAAGGGCAGAGGATGAAAACAACCTCCCTTGGGCCTCTTTTATAAAGGCAGTAATCCCATTTATGAGGGCAGAACCTTCATGATCTAATCACTTCCCAAAGACTCTTATTACCGCCTTGGGGGACACACACTTTCTAGACCGTAACAATGGACATATAAAAACATTATATATGGCATCTATATTTATAATAGAGCCTAGCCAAGATCAATTATTAGTAAAGGAGTTTTTAATAATTTTCCTTTTTTATGCCTATTCATCTTTAGTATATAAGAATAAAAAGAAAAATATAGTAACATTTGGTAATGTAAACAACGTTGGTGCCACCTGCCTGCATTTTTCCTGCTCACATGGACATTATTTTTTTATTTTCTTAAATAATTAACAAGAAGTGATCAACTTTGTATATGCAAAGCAACTAGCTTTTATAGGAATCCACTTTCACAAAAGAAAAGGAGATTTATGCTGTGTTTAGGCACGCTGAGAGAAGGAACATTTTCTCAATAGTAAACTGCCAGCAGCAAAAGGCACTTCATAGTAGCCACAATGACCAGCCTACGAAAAGAAATTAATAGTCACACATTTTTCTCATCTCATACTCAGTGTCAATTGAAGAAATTATCTTGTGTCTTGAGAAAATCATTTTCAGCTGGAAACATACTTGATAAAGTCTGTATTTTGCTAATATTCCGTATTTCTCTTCCTGCTTTTCTCAATGCAAGATAAGAAAAGCTCACCTAAATCAAATCCTGAGAAACGTTATTTTCTGCACAAGGCAATCTTCTTGAAAAATGACTTTTTTGGGATAAATATTTGCTACTGGCAGAAAAAAGTGCAATGTTGTCTATTTTATTTATTTGAAACCACCACTTAAAATGTAAAATCTTATTTGGATCTGGAGTTATGTCTGCTTAATTGCTATGCTGTTTTTTTTTAAGATGCAGTTTTCATTGAGTTCATCTCAGGTAAAGAATGGCATTAAGTTCAGCAAGAAATAAAATTCTAACAGCTCATTGACTGCCAACTCCTACTTAACGTGTTCTGTTAATTTAATATAATACAAAGTGGCTGATTTTAATAGGCCTTATTTTATTTTTACTATTTAAGATATCAGGATGCATTTTGTGTGTTTTTATATTATTTTTTCCCCAAACACAAGATCAGCTTATTGGAAGAAAAGTAAGTGCTCAGAATATAGAAATATAATTGAATGTCATCATTGTTCAGTACTGTTTAAATTGGTAACTGTAATATTTAGTTGAGCTTTTCAGAGTGACATGATGTTTAAAGAGTGAGTCATTTGCCTTAGAGTAATTAATAGCCATTTAAAAGATTGTAAGATGTTTAAAAGAATTAAGTTTCAAAGGCCATCTTCTTCCTTGGAATACATTCATTGCTTGAAACTGACAGCTAGACATTTGATACTTGGTTGTTTGTTTAGTGTATTTTCAAAGATACCAGCTGGCTTTCACTAGGCTTTAAGCTCTTCTAAATGACTACTAAACTATAATTCATAGTTTATTCTCCAATCTTAAGTTTAAAACAATTCAAAATGAAACAATGATGACAAACCACTACAGTCCAAACATTTTGGCAGTGGAAAATCCACTATATATTTTAAAACATCACAGTAAAATTTATAGGTGAGTAAAGGAATACATAGATAATGTGAGAAAAGAAATCTTCCAGGTTTGAGGATTATATGTGTTGAGTATAATCCATCAACAGGATGTGACGGCATCACGAGATAATCAATAGGAAGTTACTATAATAATTAATATACCTAGCAAAAAGCTGTTAAATGAATATAAAAGAATTTGTAGGAATAAATTAAGATTTTATGAGTCAGAGATTGTTTCGAAAACATCAGCTTTGTCCTCTATATTCAGAAAAATGTGCATGTATAACATGATCGTGGCAATCCTGTATACAACACAAGGACTCATTTACCCATTTTATCAAGTCCCTAATGTCAGCTTTCAGTTGCACCCCTGTGGGTATGAATCTACCATATATTATTAAACTAAGAAAGAGACTGTCTACACAGACAAATCAAAATAACAGATTTGGACAACTAACAAGATTAGCAAGGAAATTATTTAAGGTATTTCCAATAGAGGAATAAATATTTTAAAAGAGCAAGCTTAAACTAAATTATTTAGATAACCCTTCCATATCAGCTTCACCATTTACATGCACATGACCTAATGAATGAAGCAAGTAGCTTAGTTAAGTTGACATTCCAGAGACACAACCAAATTGGCAAATGTAAGTGGGATCTGATGCTACATGACATGCAAGGAGAATTTCTTGCATATATTTAACAGTCCAAGGTGTATAAAAGCTTATCAAATAAATGTAATTTATGTAATTGAGTCTAAGTATTTCTTAGCAATTAATTCACATCAAATATATGAATTTTGGATAATATGGAAACATTTGAAAGAATAACTCAACTTTCCAGTGATAATCAATCTTCTGTATCAAAAGCAATTATTAGTTATGAGAGGAAGCAATTGAATGTTACCCATAATATTAAACTTTTTCCATCTTTATCAGCTTCTCAAAAGTAAGTAATAAAGTTGATGACATATCACAAACAGAAGAGCTGTAACTTGTATCTTTCCCAATGAGTTAATTTACCTGAAACTAAATTACCTCAGGTTGGCTCCCAACTATCAAAACAAAATCAAAATAAATAAAAATGGACACACAGATGTGTCAGTCTCTTTAATATGTCTGTATAGCTTATATTTTGCATATTATTGTGTTAATTCAGCTATAGTTTATTCTTCCATTCTTGTTCTCTCCTAAAAGAATAGAATAAAGAGAAATGAGTAGATGTATTTTGTTTTGTTGAGGGGCCGTGGTTAACGGTATGCAAAAGATAAGTGCTTCTGTTGTTTTTCATGTAGTGACATCTTGCATGCAGCTGTGAACAATTGTGCTTATGCCAAATAGTCTGTTGAGTTATCATTCAAGAATGGCTTTATTAGCCAGCACATATTTAGTAACATAAATCTTGAAATTAGCAGTAAAATCACATGGAGGCCTTTGGAAGCATTTAACTCAGAATGATAACACTCTATTTCACAAACTCGCATTTTTGGAACCCAGAGAAATACATTGTCATAAAGTGTCTTTTCTGATGACAGAAGTAGGTAAGAAATGCAGGATCAGGTTCAAATAAATGCCTAAATTCAAAAGATTACAGAAGAAATATGGAGAATACACATGTTTGAACTTTCAGTTATTTAATAAAATATGACATTCAATAACACTCTTTTTAAATGACCACCCTAAAAAACCTAAAAATAAAAGCAATGATCTTTGATTTAGATTTCACTGGGCTTAGTCATAAAGGTAAATCACAAAAGGATGGATTCGTTACATAATAGCAATAACAGTAACAATAATAATAAAGACGTGTCTTGGAGAAGCAGAATATTTATAAGCCTAATTACTTCTTACTTATTTGTTTGAAATGCCGTATGAGATTTATTTGTGAACAGCATGGATGAGCTTACAACAAATTATCTTTCCATGTATGAGAGGATGCTCATTGCAAATACCCTTGTTTAAACAGTTTAGACAAGGTTAGATATAGAAAATAAGGAATTTATTATTGGTAGATTTTATTACCTTGCCCATTGTTTGTTTTTGAATAAATCTCAAAGGCAAGTATAACAATTGCCATACTTTTACACAGTTTGAGAACTGGTTCTTCATTGTGGGGTCTTGACTCAGGATTCACTCAGAAAAACAAACCCTCTAGGTATTTTTGATCAAGAATTTTTGCCAGATTTTCAGAAACGCTCTCACCAGGGATGCCAACCTACAGCATCAAAGGGGCAGAGCTGTTCTTAAGAGCTCACACAGAAACTCCTCTGATCACCCACCCCCAAAATCTCTAGGAAGCCACTAGACCGTCAGCTTGCAGCACCAGTAGGTCTCATTCTTAGATGCTCATCAGCAAATCACTTTGAACTTTGTCTTTGTCATTGGTCCACTTAGTTTTTGGCTTTTGCCTTTCCTTTCCTTACAACTTCCAAATGTAGCAGGAAGTTAGTTCAAAGTCAGAGGAAAAGGATTCTGGAAAGTGTAGTTCCCGGGTTCTCTTCTGAGAGAAGCAAGGAAGTGTTTAATTTAGGAGGCGGAAGTGGAGGTGATGTTGAGGGACACAAAGAATGGTCCAGCTCATGACCAGGTGCATGAGTTGATCGCGACTCTCTGAGATGCCTGAAAGAATATGTATGTTTAGTTGTATATGTGATGGACAGCAGTTAAAAACTCATTCATATAGGTCTACAATTTTTATCCATCTTTCCCAAATCCAAAAATCTCAGAAAATACAGGTTTTTAAAATAACCCATGTTGTTGGGCAAACTTGACTGGAGCTGTACTTATAGTGAGAAACTTGTGCTGCTCCGATAGAAGCTATACATATTCTTCATGTATGACTTTTAGATGGAATATTCTCATTTTTGCTGGAGAAATTTCGGAGTGTCTGGTTGTGGAGTTCTGTAACATATTGGTTTTCTCAAATCAGAAAAAATCTAAATCCTGAAACATATTAGGACTGAGATCCACAATTGGATCGTGAACTAGTATTTTGTCAATTTCCTCATCTGTTAAGTTTTATTCTAATGAAATGATACTTTATGAAAATAATTTCTCAAATCATTGCCTCAATTGGCACATTCAACATTCATGCCAACCATCAATCTAAATAATCTGTCTCCTCCAGAATAAAAGTGAGGTGTACCTAAATTACATTAATTGCTAATTATCTAACTACCACTCTGTGAGATTATGAAAAAAAAAACCCAAAACTAAAAATAAATGTCAATTTAATGGAACTCTGCCTGACAAAACAGTTAAATGTTTTATCAAACCAGCATGTGCAGATTTAGTCTAATGATTCTGCCTTTAATGGATGTCATTATTGTTTAGCATAAGTACAAATTCATGAACATAACCCTAAATAGTATGCCATTCCTAAGAATTAATGAATATATTGCATGCATAACACAGCCGCTAATGTGATCATTTTCTTTTTAATGCATAAAGTTTAATTGTTAAAGACCATTGTATTTTCCTTTAGTTTTCAAGCACAGTACTTGAGATACAGATGAAGTTTTTATTGCCTTATTTAAAATAGTAAAAATCCTTGATGTGACCACATTTTTAGCAATGTGATATGGAATAGTTAGATGTGTCCTCCTTTATAAAATGCTATTATCATGCTGCAGCATTAATCATTGAATTGCATATGTAATTATAATTGATGGGAATTTTTATCACTTTACCTACTATGGCTATGTTTTGACATAATGGAACCAAAAATTGTCTAGTTGCTACAAAGGGAACAGCTGCCCCAAAGAGAAGTCCAAATCTATGACAGTCCTTGCATAAGTGATACATTTACATTTAAAAACATAGATTCAGTAGTTATTTGTTACAACACTATAGTCTATTTTAATTCTACCAATGTTCTTCTGTATATTTGTTGCAGATGATAGAATAACCAATATGAGATAAATGTGCAGACTGTAATTATTAGAAAAATGAGACACAATTATCAATTTTCTGAAATGCTTGAGAGTCTAAAACTTTATTAGCATCAGGTTAGATATCTTACAGACCTGGAGGTTAGATTAAAACCTATGTGTGTTTGGGGCAGTTTTTTTATTATACTTCTTTGAACAATAATTCTACTTTGTAGAATATCAACAGTTGGTCAACAGCCTTAATTAAAGTATCTTTTCTAGCTTTACAGGGATGGTGATAATGGCATGGAGTTTTGGCTTACATTTTTTTTTAAGAATAAGTGTTTTGTAAACTGCACAAAACAGAAGCAATAAGAATTCATTATCTCTCATTCACACAAAATATAATTTTAAAAAATTGTCATTGATAAGGGAAGTACAGTAGATACTTTAAATTTTTTCAGTTTAATATATTGATTGTATTTGCAATTATGTATTATAAATTACTGGAAGCTGGGTGTCTTAAATTTCTTTTATACACTCTTTCTCCCATGCACAAAACTGAACTAAATAGAATAATGTATACATAGTAGACATTTAGTAATAAACAATTACAATATATTTTATCTGGAGGAGCAATTAGAAGTCTTCTCACTCAACATTTCATCCAGTGCAGAAATCTCTCTTCTAGATTTTTAATTAAAATACTACCAGTGCTAGGAAGATTCTGAGCTGCAAGAGAGCTGTTTCTTTCTTTTTTTTCTTTTTTCTGCAGAATGGCTGTTCCATGAAGTGTAGATTTTTTACCAACATGGAGACAAAAACTAGCACCTTAAAACTCTTATCAGTTAGTCCTCAATTCTTGGAGTCCTGTAGTATGTGTCTTCTGCATCTCACTGATAAAGCTTCAAATTTTTGAAATCACTTAGTGTGACTTCCCTTAGTCTTTTATTGATGATTTCAGATACAATGTAACTAATTGTTCAAGAGTACAGGCTGTGGACTCACATAGAAAAGACTCTAGCATTGATTAGTGGAGAAACTTTGGGTACTCAAGTTTCTCACAAGATAAAAAGGGCTAATGACAACCTGACTTCCTGGGCTACTTTGAAAATTAAGAGAAAAATTTATGTATACTAAGAACTAACCTGACACAAAGTAGGTGCCTAAAAATGTTAACATTATTTTAAATCCTTCTTAATTTGTTAATACCTGATATGATATGATCTCCAGATATTTTCCTCAATTAAGGTCTTTTGTGACAAGTAAGTTCAGCTATAATGATTTGGTCTGTCCTCTAGGATGGAATTTCCATACTGTTTCTGATTGTTAGGGATTTAACTTTTGTCCAATCATGTTGAAATAAAACAGAACATTGAGCTCAGAGACCGAGCATGTAAAATAAGTAGGGACAATCTCTTATTAATTTATCAAATTTTTCCACTTAATTATGCAGCTTAAAATGCTTCTGCATAGCACTGTGTTTTGAATTTTTTTTTAAAGCAAGTTAAGAGAATTTCTCTTTGAGAGACTGTAATTTAATTTACAGTATGTTTATAAAATAGGACGGAGAGCAATTTCAATTGATTTCAACTTTATTTATGACAAAGTTGGTACAACAGAGCAGTGTGCCAAGGATGGCCTTTCACTAAATAATGCTGGTCAATTTGACATCCATAAGAAAACATTAAAACTTGACCTTAACTTTACACTGTGTGCCTCATACACAAATTACAGACCAAAATGAAAATTGATTGATGGATTTAACTACAATAAAACTAAAAATTTTACTTCATTTATAACACCCTTAAGAGAGTGAAAAGCAAAACCTCAGAATGGGGACAGACCCCTGTAATGATAATAATTAACACAATAAATGTTTACATAATTTTAACAAATTAAAAAGAAAAAAATAATTTAAACCAAGGAGGAAAAAAATTGGCTAAAAACTTTAATAGAAACCTTGCATACTTGTTGATTTGCATGGCCAGGTGGGCATCCGAAAAGGTGTCAACCTCATTAATTGTCAAACCTCAGGCATACAATATACATCTCCAGAATTGGAAAGACTGAAAACTGATAATGCCAATTGTTATAAACTTAATTTTGTTCTCCTCAAATTCAATATGTTGAAGCCCCAATCCCCAATGAGACTGTATTTGGCAATAGGGCCTTTAAAGAAAAATTAAGGTTATGTGAGGTCAGAGGATGGGGCTCTAATCTGCTAGGATTTGTGTCCTTAGAAGAAGATGAAGTAAAACCAGGAACTGGTGTGCACAGAGGAAAATCCATGCGAAGTCACAGCAAGAAGACGGCCATCTTCAAGCCAAGAAAAGAGGCCTTAGGAGAAACTAAACCTGCCAACCCCTTTATCATGGACTTACAGATTCCAGAACCCGAAAAAAAAAATCTGTTATTTAACCCATTAGTCAATGGTATTTTTTTATGATGGCTCTAGCAAACTAATACACCAAGTGTTGCTGAGAATGTTGAGTAATGGAAAGTCTCCAGTGTAAATGAAAATTATAAGTTCTGCTTTGAAAAATGTTTGCCACTATTTACAGAATTCAGAAATATTCCTAGGTCAGTGTTTCTCAACCACGGGCAGTTGACACTTTTCCCCCTGAGACACTTGGCAATAATTGTTCATGACTGTGAGGGCAGCGTGTGGACAGCATAGTGATACTGGCATCCTGTCAGTAGAGACCAGAGATGTAGCTAATCATCTTACAATTCACAGGACAGACCACAAGAGCAAGAAATTAGAGGGCTCAAAATATCCCAATGTGCCTATGTTAAGAAAATCTGTCTTAGGTATAAAACTTACAAAATTGCTTGTAAACACACTCCAGGAGACATGTAGGAGAATACTGAATGTTTATGATAGTCTAAATTTGAAAATGACCCAAATGTTTAATGACAATAGAAGAGATAAATAAAATGTGATATATTCTCTGTATAGTACTTTATACAACCAGAAAAATGAATAAACAGCAGCTACACACAACACGTGGATTTTATCTTGCAAACATAAAGTTGATCAAAAGAAGAGAGGCACAAAACAATAAGTACTGTTATTGTTCAGTCATGCATACTCATTGGCAAAAGTATTGAGAAAAATGAGAGGGGGAAATAGAATTTAAAAATTGGTAGGGAGGGAAGGGTTATGATGTGGAAGGATAGGTAAAGCTTTGAGGATGCCAACAATATTCTATTTCTTCTCAAGGGAGATTGTTATTCAAGCATTCAGTCTTAAATGATTCGTTAAAGTCTACATTTATATTTTATGCACATTGCTATGTGTGTATTATACTTCCCAATTTTGAAAAATACATTAAACAGACACATACATACACATTTATAAGACAATTTCAAGTTTTTAATTAAAATTTGTCTTCCATTCTTGTGAAAACTCAGTAAACTTATTCATGTCTCTTGGGTCACAAAAATCTCAAAATAAGAAATAATTATCATATAATAAATATTTATTAATAGCTTTTTGGATGAGAATTTTCCCTTTCTCTGTATTTAATGTTCCTCCACCATATAACCATTATATATTAAATACTAAATACTCTGCAAATCTCAGACCTGTTGGATTGAAAATACATATAATTCACTTTCTCTAAAATGGAATGACTTGTGATGGTATACTAGAAACAATAATTTATCCCATCAAGTCCTTAGGGAAAAATTAGATGCCATGCTGTGTGGCACTGAATCTAAGTGTATTCAAAGTTTAGATATGAGAGAGATCAGAAAGCTCTGACAGTGTCATTAAAAAGATAAAAGAAAGCCTCATGGGGAAGTAGAATTTCAGCTGGACCTGAGAGAAAGACTAGAGAAAATCACAAAATCAAACAAATTATGATAAATTATCTTCAGGCAACTCCATAAAGGTTGGGGATCACTGTTCAAGAGAATCATTTATTAACCAACGATTCTTTGTGCTTTGAAATGGTACATGACTTTCCCAAGTGATAGTCTTACACTCAGTTACTAAAGAAAGCAGTTTAATGAAAAATCCTTTCTTCTCCTTATACTAGTTAATCATCAAAGAAAAACCAATGTATTTCTATAATGTGTCTCCTACTAGCACAGGCTAATTCCTAACTATGGAGCAATGTGTTTCCTTAATGATTGCTTGTATTTATTTGAAAAGTACATCTGGTTTCATTATTTTAATTGGGTGCTCTTAACTTGGGACATTATACTTAGAGCTTTTTCTAAGCTAGGAAACCTATTATATGAGCGACTTTGAAATTCCAGTTCCTGCCAGCAATGAGAAGATACGTTTTTGCTTTTACCATTTCCATTAGAAAAAAATTTCTGTCTTGAACTGACTAATCCCAGAAAAATCTCAACAGAAAGTAATTAATATAAGGAGTAATGGACTGGGAAAAAAAAAGTACCTAGTTTCTGATCTGCCAACAACTAGATTTGCGGCTTTAGCAAGTCATTTTATTTTTCCGTATCCCTAATTCCTTTTCTCATCTGTAATGTGACATGTTTAGATGATCACTGACATCTTGTTTATCCCTCTGACCTGGACTACATTACACGGTACAATGCACAAAGAATTTGCGAATTGAGCATTTCTTTCATGAATTAAAGGTGCTTTGGTTTCTACAAGTGAGCATGGTCAAATTGAGAGACGAGATAGTAAGGAACCAGTTAGGCAGATAGTTAGGAGAAGGCTCTCAATAGGAGTCCTTCCAACAAAAAAGCAGCCTGGAAGAAATCAAGCTGCAAGAGCAGATAAGGAAGCAAGGCCCACCGCCTTTGTCTCTTGTGCAACCAGTGAGTTCTGCCTGTACACAGTGGGCTTCAGTGAGCACATTCCTTTCCTTTTCAGGCATACACAGATAATAGTACTTGCACAGGGGGTCTTGCCTAAGTCTGACCTGCAGCTATATAGATAAGAAAATCTATGCAGAATCAGACATGTCTGCAGTGGAAGAATCCATCTCCTGACACATGAACAGTAAGGGAAATACAACAACATGGAGTAACTCATGCTAAGGGCCCACATGCACACTAGAGAGACAGGGTGGAGCTTATAAGAATTCACACTTTATGCAAATAAGACACCAGCCTTAACCAGTTTTTCTTACCTTATGCAAATGAAACACCCCATCCCATTAGCTTGTTTATAAAAGCCTTTGCATTCAACTGTGAAAGCATAACCCTCCCAGGTCCTTTCTCCATTGTGGAAAGATTACCTCTTTTTCTTATTACACTGTCACTCCAACCTCTCTGTTGGTGTCCACACTCCTTAATTTTCTTGGTTGTGAGACAAAGAACTCTAGGTAATACCTCAGACAATGAGACTGCTGCAGTGACACTAGGCTGCTTCAAAATAGTGTATGTCGTGTTAAATGGTGACTATTGTAGAAATATTTTTATTGTATTCATACTCTCCTCCCTCCTAACAATTCAAATTTCCATTGCAGGCCTCATGTGGTTCTAGAGGAGACAATCCTAACCCACCAATTCCAATAGGGAGGAAGGAATTTAGGACAAAAGTAATCAATACACTCCATTACACTGGCTGATGATTGTGTTGATACTGCACAGAACAAGCTCATTCTATACCAGTCAATCATAGGATTGTTGAAGGCAATGTGAAGACAAATATTTTTCTCTGTCCTTCTGGATATGAATGCGAAAGCATGTACCACTGAATTTAATAAAAGCCACCTTGAGTCTATGTAGGGACACACAGAGCAGAATGAATGTAGGTTTAAAGTAGCACGATGGAGTCACTTTATCACGTCTTTACTGAAGCCAAACCTTTGCTTTACATTGTATATCTGTTCATGTTGATTTTTATTTGTTTAGTATTTACAACTTAAAACTAAAAACAGACCCATCATACAGCTATTTAGCTGATTTCTCTGGAGGTTTAGATGTGGTATCTCAGTGGAAATATATAAAGCCTCTTTGAATCTTACTTTGTAATAAATATATAGGGTCATAGCCACCAAAATCTGTAATTGGACTTCCTAATTCCTTATTCATCCTAAGTTTTCTACTTCCAGAAGCTAAAAGTCGATTTCTATTGAATGAGAAAGAATAGTTTTGTTTTATAATTGCTTTATTATTTTTTTTTCTATCTGAGGCATAACCATATATGAGGGAGTTTGCTATAGAGAATGCATATGAAATAATGATATTATTACCAAGGAATCATTATCTCTGTGGCTTATGTATAAAACCAGATTGAACAGTAAATGTGCTGCAGAACAGAGGAAGGTTCTTCTCTTTGGGGGTGAGAAGTCCTGGAGTAGATGACAGGGTCAAAGAGGACAAGAAAAAATACACATGACTGAATAACTCTTAAAATGTTTTAAATAATTTTAAATAACATATAAATAGATGATATATATGAAAATATGTAGAGTGTATATGATTATACCATTTTGGCTGTGACACATTTATAAGTAATGTTATCATTTGGTTAGTCCTATTACAGTCAGTAAATTTATTCTACTAAACCTGTATGTGTAAAAAAGATTAGAATATTTCATTACTCATTACACATAATTCAGAAGAAATCTGATACATCCTTAATATTTAAAACCACTACAAAAATGTCAAAGACATCAAACTATGATTTTGTGTAATTTGTAAGATGACAAATGTATTCTAGTAGATTATTAGTGAAGAAAAATGAAGGAAGGAAAATGTGGAGGTGATGAACTAAGAATATAAATTAAAAGGTCATAGGCAGAACACAAATTAAACAGCAGAAAACTCAACTTCTTTCCCTCCTGGCAAATCAGGAAACTATATACCGGTTTCTATGAACAAAATTAAAAATAAAATGTAATTATGGCTTTCATGGTGTGTCTTCTATTACATTATTTGTGCTGCTTAATTATATTAGCTGGTGAAAACAGGCTCACCAACCTTTCTGTGAATTTTGTGCTCAGGGAGTAGCAAATTTTACACTTGAGGCTCAATCATCATCATTCACATTTACATATGATGACTGATTAGAAGAATATTGCCTTTTAGAACTTTGCATTATGGTAATTTTTGTTTAAATCCAATACATTAGCCTGCAACCAGAATCATTAATGATTTCTGACATCTCCAAATTAGGTCATGCTTTGTGGGACAGCATTGGGAATTGCAAGCACAAGTAGACAGCTTTGACGCTGGCCACTTCATATGAACTGAACCCATTCACACTGGTCATCATGGCCTGCAGTCTCAGGGGCTGTATCAAGCTCTATTTAGGCATAGTCATGCTTATTCTTTACCCAAATGTTCAGTGATGTCACTACTATAGTCAACAAAGATCACCTTATTCTATCAGCATTATTAGCTTCTTTTTTTTTTTTTGCTTTGGTTTTATCTTCACAATTTATTGGGAAGCATTAATAAATTGCCTCAGATTTATGTCTCCTCTCTCCAATTAAAGAATTATGAGGCACAAACTTAAAAAAAACACTTATCAATACAATCCCTCCTCCAAATAATATATTCTCAAGTATTTGGTGAAGGAGTTGAACAGGATGTTCTTGATCATGAGCCAGGCTTTTGTTACAAAGTAGGGTATAAAAAGGGCAAAATCCTGATGTGTATATATATATATATATATATATATATATATATATACACTTTTTTGAGAAAGAATTTCACTCTTGTCGCCCTGGCTGGAGTACAATGGCATGATCTTGGCTCACTGCAACCTCCGCCTCCCGGATTCAAGCATTTATCCTGCCTCAGCCTCCCAAGTAGCTGGGATTACAAGCATGCGCTACCAAGCCCGGCTAATTTTCTGTATTTTTGGTAGAGACAGGGTTTCACCATGTTGGCCAGGCTGGTCTCAAACTCCTGACCTTAAATGATCCACCCACCTTGTCTTCCCTACGTGCTGGGATTACAGGTGTGAGCCACCGTGTCTGGCCCAATAGATATTTTCAAATGAGTAAATGGCTGAATGAAAATGAATTATTTTGATCTGAGTTTATCTAACACAACCCTCATTTAATACTGTCTAAAACATGCTTAACTCCCATTATGATATTAAATTTTAAATTTAAAGTGATCTGAACTGTGCAAATACTAAGTTTCTCACCCAAATTTTCCCCTAGACTAAGCATCCATTTATGATTCCTTTGTGATCCAAACTTTACTATCATGGTTGCGGTAAAAGTTAGTTTTAGTTCAATTGAAACATTTAAATATAAGAGGCAGATGTAATAATTGTATGCAAACCATTGAGGCTCCAACTCCAGTACTCAGCATCCTACTATAATGCAATAATTCTTTTTTCTCTTCTATTAACTTATTACCTTATCAGTATAGACTTAACTTCATAATTTTTATTGACTTACAATTGATTATTGTACTCAATTATTTTGGTGCTCAAGTTTTTCCAGATTTGACCATGGTAATCCCCTTCAAACTGACTCCTGCAATACTACATTTTCAATGAAATAGTTCAGCTGCTTTGTTGGATCTAAGTTTATATGCAAATGTGATTATGGCATTGACTGAGATTGTCAAACAAACTCAAAGTTTAATATGCCAATTTTGGCTTATGCTTTGTGACACTCAATTCTCCTAGCACATATTTTTTTCCTTCAAACTTTCAAAAGTATCTTGGTGCAATTCAAACTTTATGAAATCACTTAGGCAATCTTCAGCTCATATACATACAGTGTTTACCCTTTCTTTATATTATTAGGCTCTGCCAATAAAATTAGTACTACTTATATCCAACACAAGCAAAACCAAAGATATACATATAACCAGCATAATTAAATGAGCATGTATGGGAGTTATTTGGATGATCCAGAATGTACTTGTATTATTATTAAATTTTGGTCTAAATTTGTGTAGAAATAAAAGAAGAAAACATTAGCAGATTCTTGGGGTCTAGAAAGCCTGTTTAAGAAGTGCTAACTTATAAACTTCTGAGGTACATAAATCATGTTGAATTCTAAAGTATTATGTGGCATAATGTTGCATTTTGTCACAGTTTTTTTCTGCTTTGTTGTTTGCTTATAAACAGTATTAGCTCACATTGAACTTATAGATACAGCTGACTGCTCATGAACAAGGCACTGAAGAAACATCACAACATTTTGTATAGTCAATATCATTCTCATTTTCAGAAAAGCAATAGATGCTGAATTAGTTGCCACAGGTAACCCCGATGGTTAGTCATTTGAATTCCATATCCAGTCAGTCGCTTTCTTCTCTATCTTTATCCCTTATGTCTCAGGCAACTCTTCCTACTAGGGGAAAAAATGGATGCTAATTGCCAACCAATGCTGACTCTAGCACATTTTCATATTTTGAGTAAACATGTCATGTTACAGATTCAGATACCATCATAGTATTTTGCCTAAAATAAGATAATAGCACGCACACACACACACACAGACTCACACACACAAATTGTTACTGGTCAGTAGCCACATGCTGGGATAATGGTAGAACAATGTATTATAGGTAAATATTGAATCATTTTTTAAAAAGAACCTCAGAATATAAAGCAGAGTACACAAATGTCAGCACTCATAAGCATAGCAGCAAATCTTACAAAAAAATAAATTCAATCATCACCATTATCCCAGATTCAAGCTAATACACCATCTGTATTTGGAAATTTGCTGCTCCTGCATGCATCATTGCTTTTTCATTCAGTTTAATCAGATTGATGCTTCTGCTACAAAATATTAATCTGAAGCCCACAATAATAAAAACATAGATCATGTTTCATGGGAGGATAATCTGACTTTTTTCTAATGGGTTAAAATGAATATTTGAGAACTAGATATTACCATTAAATAAATCCCAGCGCTCCCTGGCCAGCACCATACTATTATCTTTTTCTTAATAAAAGGTAGATCTAAAGTGCTGTTATATGAATTGAAGAGTAACAGCCTGAATGAATTTCACATCCAACTGCGTGTTGACTTTTTCTTTCACAAAAAAATTAAGAAGAATGACAAAGGGACATTTGCTAAAGAAAATGATGCATTGATAAATGTTAACCAGATTTTGATGAATACACTCATTTCAATGGTAGCTAAATGGAATTAAAATTTTAAAATATCAATAATAAACAAGAATACTCACATGCGAGATTAAGCAACACTTAAAAATGTGATGATGATGGTAAGTTCTGTCAAAAATGCAATGTCACTCATTTATATGTTGCTCAAGGAAGAGTAAGCTTGTTGAAGTATTTTGGAAATTTGTTTATACTTAGTAAATTGCAAGATAGCTATACTCTATGGTTTAGGACTTATACCTGTTGGCATATACATTTAAAACATTCTAGAATATTGCACTAGTTCACATGTACATGATTGTTCATAGCAACATGATTTGATAAAATGAGAGCTTATAAACAATATGAATGGCCACAACAGAAAAATAGAAAATAAGTTTGTTTATAAAATGGAATATACTATACAGAAATACAAATAAATTAGAACTATACTTAACATTAATAACATGTATAAATACCATAAACATAGTACTGAGTAATAAAATTTTAGTTTCTATGAAAACACACATATGCGCCCAAAATAGAATGACATGCATGGGGATGAAAACCACCACAGTGTTTACGTCTATTAGGAAGGATTCTATATATCAGCAAGGGCTACACAGTAACATTAATTGTGTATGTATTAATCTGCTTTCTAAAATTAAATGTGTTGAATATTTATTCATAATATCATGTATATGTCTGAAATAATTCATAATAAGTTCTATTCCCATGCACCTGTACACAAAATTAGAACTTTCTTCTCTGTTGCAGTTTGTGATTAATCAGTATCTGAAAAGACCATAGAACTTCCAGATCAGAGACGCCCTGACTGATCACATAGACAAGCCACAGCAAACTGCAGGGTTTTCTGTTCCCAACCAATATATTTGACCACCTAATGTGTTTATCTTGTTGCAAATAGGCTATTTTTAAAGACCCTTTGACACTTCATTACCTCCAGGTTTGCATGTCCAAACTCTCTCACCAGAATCACATTTCTAAAATTAAAACTGATCACTTTATTTCACTACCCCACACCCTTCATTCACATCCCATAATCTACAGAATTAAATAAAAAATCTTTGTGTGCTATCTATGGCTAGCCATCCTTTGTACTTGCTGACTTCTCTAGCCCATCTCTCTACCAGGGTTTAATCCTTGGTCCACCCTCTGCCTCTCAACTATACTTGAGCGCAATCCCTTAGCATCCTAAATTACTTAATTTATACCCAGTGTCCCAGGTCTCTGGGTGAACTGTTCTCTTTGTTGCTTTTCTCACATTGTATCATTTACAAATGTTTTATTTGACAAGATGAACCTCAAATATTACTCTTTCCCCTGATCATTATATTTACCTTAGATTTTTGACTGTTTTTTGTCCATAACATTGTGTTCATTTCTTATCATTTTCCTTACTACACGGCATATTGATTATAAGTCTCATGAGTCATATTGTTACAATTCACATTTCTGCCAGGCACAGTTTAAAATACAAATAATTTGCTTAGAAAATATTTATTGTAACAGTAATTGAGTCAAAGATGTGATTTCAAGGTAGAGATACATCTGGTTGATGTTTCCCTTATTCACTCTGCCCTCCAGCTCAGTGAACAGAGAAAGCAGAAGTAGTCTAGAAAAATGAAAAGTTTATGTTCCCCGTCTCAACTTCATAAATGAGAGAATTGCTGACCTCTCTGCTCCTCCAGCAAAAAGTCCCACATGCAAGAACAAAGCTGATGAAAATATAATTAAATATCAGCTATATCAAGAGACTGATGGGGTTGCATTTATTATAAACATGGGGAGCAGTTGAGAGCATTTAGAAAAGGGTACCAATTCTATATCTACCATTAATTTAATGTAGGACAATTGTCAGATGTCAATTTAGCCAAATTTTCTAGGTAGTCATTTTTTCATTAGGAAAATGGCGATAGAAATAGCAAATACAAAGCCATGTTTTATGTGAATTAATTAATTCATATTTGCATAGCACTTAATAAACTACCCAGCACATTGCAAGGACTCAATTAACATTGGGCTGAATTGTTTTCATTAGCGTAATTATTAATATCTAGTGCAGTGGTGCCAGAGAAGGAAAAGTGCCTTTGGTGTCTATTCTTTCTGAGTTTTGTAGCAGCAAAAATTTATTTCAGAAAGAGTTCTGGATATTCTAAAAAGTATTAATTTTATGTTCATAATAAAAACTCTAAGAAATGAGGTTGTAAGTATCCTCACTTTACTCATGAGGAAATGATTTGCTAAGAATCATACAGCTAGTGTGTGCTTTAAAACTAAGCCACTGCATTCTATGGCCATGTTCCTATTGTTTTGCCTTCACTCCTATTAGTCAGCAACATTTTACTTTTTCTCTAGTGTTGGGAATTCATATATGAATAGTAGCTCTAAAAATACAGCAAACATCCTTTCATGTGTCCTTTGCTCCCTCAGCTAAAAGAAAAATAATTTGGCAAAATTATGTAATCTGTTATAAGAAAAAGTGAAATACATAAAATAACAAACAGGAATGTGCTGAGAGTATGCAATGCATTAATGGTCTCCTTGAAAATATACACATTTTCTTTTGTCATCTACTAGATGTTAATACCTATGGAAACAGGTATAAGCTGAGTAAGGAGCCATAACATTTTCAACAAAATAAATGCAGGTGTCTGAGCTATTGAGGCACTCTTATTTATATGATAGAAACACTTCTATCATTATTACTTGGTTAACCTCCTTGGCAGCATTAAAGGAATTTAATATAACACAGATACTTCCCATCACAGTTTAGATAACATGTTAATTTACATTTTTGCAAATACGGAACTTTGGGTCTCATTATGGGGCCACTGTTACAATTTCTAACCCAGTTCTTTTTGTTTTAATGGCATAAAAGAAGAATCTGCTTGTTAAGAACCATGGCACTACAAATAACTGTTTTATCCAGCATAAAAGCCAATGCTATTGCTTGACTTTTCACTTGGGTCTGAAGTGAACAGATCCTTACTATACATTAAATGATTTGTGTCTTTCTTCAAAAGCTGCAGCTGGATGAATTAAAGCAAAAGCAGACTCACCTATAGCATGAATTAACAAGAAACCTGATCATTGTTAAAACTGTGAGTTACTCACCCTAGAGATAAGGTGTGGGTAAAGCAAAGGCACTTTATGTTCTTGCTCTCAAAGGGGCCTCCCTGTCTCTCTTTCCCTCAGAGCAAACCATGTATTTCTATTTTATTTAATTTTCCAATTTCTCAGTCATAGCTTCCTATGAAGTTATTAAAGTTAAACATCAATTCTTCATCATATAGAGATTTTGGAAACTACATAGAAGCAGGTGTTCCAGAAAGGCCAGACTTAAATAGCAGTTATAAATTGTATATAATCTGAAAATTCAATGAGACCCTGTCAACCAAAAGCCTTTGTCTTTCAGGTGATGTTTCATTGGTTCATTTTAGTTTAGTATACAGTTCAAAAAAGATGGGAATGCAAATAATACCAGGTGGTTTTCATTTTATTGTTTTTGCTATTGTTTATTTCTGCACTAAGTTTAATTACCTGAGGAGTAAGTACTCCAACATCTCCCATTTTACAAGTGAGAAAACTGGGGAAGAGAGGAAATAGATAATTCTAGAAAAATCACATAGCTAATTTGTGGTAGGGCTGGCATTCAAACCTAGGCAGTTTAACTTCAAATTTTATGCTCAATCACTATGCTGTATCTTTTTTATTAAGTACAAAAATGAATGCAAAATATTTCCTTTTCTTCTTATTGCTTACCTTCATGACCAGTTGTATAAAAGAAGGGGTTATGGCTACTAAATACAATATTAATAAATAAGATCCCAGAAAAAAGTTGCAGAAGGGCCGAGGAGCAAATGACAGGATATAGTGATAAGAATGGTTTGTAAAAATATCCATGCAAACAGATTCAAATGCTTAACTCCATTTTTATTTTTATGAATCTGTTTGTCCATATTGTATAAATTTAATCAAATTATGCAATTGCTTTCATCCAGAATTTAATTCAATATTCATTTATTTACTTATTTATATAGTAAATACTTTATATATATTTATACATATTTAAGCATTTATATAGAACAGAAATATTCCCAAGTTTCAATGATAAACATGAGAAAATAGATCCAAAATAGGATTTGAGCCAGGCATGGTGGCTCATACCTGTAATCCCAGTATTTTGGGAGGCAAAGGAAGGTGGACCACTTGAGGTCAGAAGTTCAAGGCCAGCCTGGCAAACATGGTAAAACCCCTTCTCTACTAAAAATACAAAAAATTAGCTGGGCATGGTGGTGCACATCTGTAATCCCAGGCTTGGGGAGGCTGAGGCAGGAGAATCACTTGAACCAAGGAGACAGAGGTTGCAGTGAGCCGAGATCACACCACTGCACTCTAGTCTGGATGACAGAGCGAGACTTTATCTCAAACAAACAACAAAAAAAGCAAAATAGGACTTGATAATCTTAATGTTCATAGTAATACGGTATGTGTGGGTAACCACAACCAGTTGTTTGTTACTTAGAAGAAAAAAAATAAAAATAAAAACTAAATAGGGCTTCTCAGGATTCAGAAAGAGAAAAGCTTAGAAAGACTGTGACTCACAAGGTTAGGGAGGGCCTCATATTCCACAGTAAAGAATTTGCTCTATTCCTAATTTGAGATTAAGGAGGGAAATTATCAACTGAAAATAAACTGAACCAGGGTTGAGGGACTGAAAGGTGTCAATCCCTAAAATATATAGTATTCCTTTTTTTAAATAGCTGTCAGAAAATTTCTGAACTCTAGGAAAGGCCTTAAAGAAATTCAGCAATGCCAAGTTACTTCATTTCATTTGATGGCCAAATGGCTCCAAAGAGTGTTTGTGTCACAGGGTATTTTTGAACAGTTGGAGCAATGTGCTTATTGACTTAGTTAAATATGGAACATATTTGATTTAGCTAATCAGACTAGTTCGACAGTCATTTCAGGAAGGGATGGGGCCAGGAGCTAGATTGCAGAGGCTTGAAAATTGAATGGTTTTGATTAAAAGGAAATCACATGTATGGATTGATCTTCTGTTTGTCTGTGAAAGGCATACATAGAGTGTGGGGGATGCAGTAGCAACATGGATGAGTTTATAAAGAATTTTTTCCACTTTAATATGAGTCATTTGAGTATTGTAAACAGCCATCGGAAAGATCTATTACCAAGGTGAGGGTGAATAGACAAGGAAGAAGGAGATAACCAAAATTACTAGTGTATGCAAGAAAAGCCAAGAGGGATCAACGTCAGATAGGTTTACCCACAGCACCTTCGCCATAGCAAAATATAAGAATGATGCCGCCATAAAAAATGATGAGTTCATGTCCTTTGTAGGGACACGGATGAAGCTGGAAAACACCATTCTCAGCAAACTATCGCAAGGACAAAAACCCAAACACCGCATGTTCTCATTCACAGGTGGGAATTGAACAATGAGAACACATGGACACAGGAAGGGGAACATCACACACTGGGGCCTGTTGTGGGGTGGGGGGAGGGGGGAGGGATAGCATTAGGAGATATACCTAATGCTAAATGACGAGTTAATGGGTGCAGCACACAAACATGGCGCATGTTTATATATGTAACAAACCTGCATGTTGTGCACATGTACCCTAAAACTTAAAGTATAATATAAATAAATAAATAAATAAATAAATAAATAAATAAAAAAAGAATGATAAGCAGGGTGCCCATACATATTCAGTACTAAGGTAATGGAAGAGTCCAATTTGCAATAAGGTGATCTATGGAAAACGTACAGGTGAGAAAAAATATGTGAGGGCCAGGTATTTGAAGAGAATGAAGAAAGTTTGAAACAGTCATAGTAAAGGATAAGAGATTAACCTGATCAAATAAATATATTAGTATCCCCTGCCATCTAAAATTAGTATTTAAAAATTGTTGACTAAAAACAAATGCTAACATTTTAAGTAAAAGGCAATTTGACAAATTATATCTAATATTATGATTGATGAGTCTCCATTATATCAGTATGCTCATTAACTGCCCAAAGGACCACAAGAGAAGCCAAAAAGGAAATATAACAGCATGTTGACATTGACTGACTGAAAGATAAAAATATTGACAATTACTTTCCCTCATATATTTTCTGAATTTTCCAAATTTTGTTCAATGAGTATGAATTAAATTTAAAAAAATTGAAATTTAAAATTAAAATTCATTTCATACTCATTGAGCAATTTTTGAAATTTAATTTATACCATCGAACAAAATTTAACTTTAAAAACTTAAATTCTAAAATTAATTAAAGTTTTTTAAAATTTAATTTATGCTCATTAAAAAAATTTAGAAAATTCAAAAATATAAAAATTAAGTTTTTATATTTTTCTGTGTTTATTGCATGCACTATGATGTAAACATTTATTCGCTGTTGGACTTTTTGTTTTTGTTTTTTCAATTTTATATCCATTAAAAACAATTGGCCCCCTTTGTAAAGGTTTTATACACATGCACAGGTTTGTTACAAGTAATACCTTTGAAGTAAATATTTGTCATAAGATATACACAAGCTTGTTTTCAATATATTTTGAAAATTAAAAAACTCCCAGATCTTTAGAGGTAGTGTGACATGCGTATATGTATTCATTAATTCTGCACTAGAAAATTATATTAAAGGTGTTATTGAACCCCTGTATATAATCAATATGCAATTTAGAGACTGTTATCATACATTGACATGGGAAGAGAAGAATAAACACACAAATCTCATATATATGTTTTGCTAATCTAAAGACACTAGCTTGTAGTTTTAAAATATGTAGATAAAGAGATTGTTCTTTATTACTCAATTTCCCTTGAATGATTTCCATTTTTGCCTTGAGGAAGGAACTGGTATTAACTATTGCCAGAATTATGCTCTATTTATACATCATGCATTGAATTGCTCTGCTCTAAGCTGCAGGCTGGCTGGATGGCTATGCTTCATGGTTTTCTGGAACCAGTAATGAAGTAGCTCCTATGTGGGGTATGTTCTCATAATAGTCATGGAAGCACAAGCAGGCAATCCCAAACACTTCTCCTGTGGTTTCCTAACATACCATTGAACAGAGCATATCACAAAGCTGAGGCCAATGTCAAGTATACAGAGAAGTATATTCTGCCTACCAAGAGGCCGTGGAAACCATATGGATGTATCATTCTATAAAAGAGTGCAAAATCAAGCTCAATAATTCAATACACTGCAGAGCTCACCTTCCTGCTTGAATTGCAGAGCTAAAAGAAAATATTGGTTCTGCTGAGCTTATTATGGACTTGCAGGCTATCTATTGTCAGAAAAGACAAACATTGTAAACCAACAGGTTTCCCTGGTTAAGACAAAAAGATTTTCTTATTTGCTGGAAAACTGAGTGTACATCCAGGATCCATGTACATTATTCTTTTCATCACAGAAATCTAGCAATTCCTAAGTACTTTTTCTTTTTTAAATAGAGGAGTTCTATTTTATTCCTACTTGTCTGGTTCTGAATACTGTTTTAAATTACGAGTTATTTCAAGTTCTCTTGGAAGTAGGCAGGACGTCTGAAACAAATACATTTTGATGTGTTGGTGAGAGAAATTGCTGAGCATTTTAATATGTAGCAAAGTAGCAAATCAAATATATATCAATTTCAAAAAATTCCTATAGGCAAATGTTAGGATGAGAGAGTCATGGATATGCAGCTTTTCCTAGAGAACTACAACAGTATCTCTGTTTTATCTGAGTGTAATGCATTATATTTTTTCTCATTTCCCCAGAAGTGTCATGAAAACTGCCTTAATTTTTGTGGGGATAAAAAGAGAAAGAAGAAGAAAATGTTGCTTAATTATCTATTCATTTTTACCAGAAAGCGTTTGGTTTTGTCTCATCCCAAGGTATCCAGAGATGATAGGTCAGTTTGATCCTACCAATATTATTAGGAAATGTGTATTGTTCTGTTTTCCCTAATAAACAGAAATAATGGCGTTACAACATAGTTTTGTTCTAACATAAAAAGGCTTGTGTAAACTCTAGCAGCTTTCCAATATTAATTGATAATGAGATTTTTTCCCTTCTACCTCAAAATCAAATTCAGGATAGAAGTAAAAAGGACACTATATTGAAATTCAGATTTATGAATTAATTTCTTTGGTGAAATCTCTTGATGAATCACCCCAAGTTGAGTACTAGGATTTTTAATGTATTTATTTATTTAACAAACATTTACTGAGAGCCTATCGTATGCCAGATACTGTTCTGGCAGCTGAGATACAACTGAGATAAAAAATTAACCAAGACATATAAAGTTCTTACTCTCCTTTTTTGTGTGACACATTCTCCTTTATTGTGAGATTATCGGGTATTCAGAAGCACTATGATAAAAATGAAATATTGAAATATAATACATTAAAAAAACATAGTGATACAATATGATAAAAAGTAAAATATAGTAACACAATTGGGATTGACTGAGACTCTAATTAAGTACTATGGAGAGTACTTAATTACTCTCCATCAACAGAGAAACTAGAATCTGAAGAAAGAATTCCAGGTAGAACAATGGCTACTACAATGCCCCCAAGGCAGTACAGTGAACCGTCATGCTGAAGGAAAAGAAAACCACCAAAATGGGTGGGATGTAGAGAGCAAGATACAAAATGGTAGGCAGGAGCCAGTTATGGGTTCTTACAAGCCAGGTTAGGATTCCGGATTTGGCATATATACAATGAGGATGCACTGAAGATGCCTGAGCCAGGGTGCAACTGGATCTAATATGCATTCTTGAAAGATTACTCAGGCTGCTGTGTATGAAGTGGACCCAGGGTAAGGTCAAATGTGGAAGTTATGGCCCTGATTAGTCAGCCAGGAAAGATTATGAGGCTTAGGTTTGTAGCACACTCGGTTAGATTCAAAGAATTTAAATAATCCACTCTAGGATTTGAAAGTGGCAAACAAATGATAAGACTGGGTATCACAGGCAAGTAAAATAAGGGAGATGATCTCTATTACATTTTTTCACATCTAAGTAAAATATGCCTTTCCCAAAAATTGTTTTAAAAGTAAATATTTTAACATACAATGGCATTTACATTTCATACTATACAATGCATATGAGCATTAAGAGAGGAAACTCAGTCTAGAGAATAGTAAAAATGTGGACTAAGGAAAAGGTCTTTCCTTACTTTCTTCTCATTTTACTTCAATTTACTCTTAATGCTAGAAAACTTCCCTTCTCGAGCTAAAGAAACACACTAGCTATTGTAAGTATCAAAGTTAAATGAACTTTTTTATTCATATAATCCATTTGAGATAGTACTAATCATATCTAATCTAGTGTAGTAACTTCCAGTTTTCCTGGGAGTTATTCCTGCTTATTTCATTTCATGAGAGTTCAAAATGTACTCTAGTGAATCAAGTTATTGTTAATCAAACCTTGGTTTAATAATAGCAATGTGTCATCATTAAGAGCTGGTGGATTCCAGTTAATCCTTCCCAAGGAAATGAAGAAATAATGAATTACAGTGCATTCTTCCCAAGAAAAAATATTACTGTTCATGTTAACTCTATCTCTGTTGCTCTTAAAGTATAAGAATTGAATGGAAATCTTTCTCCACTGTCGTCTTTAGGGACTATGTGAGATTTTCCTGTGTGTGGTCATATAAAATATTTTCTGCTACTACATAGAGAATGAAGTAAAAAATATTTCCACCAAGAACTGTGAAAGAGAAACAATGAGTGTGAACAAACAAGAAATTTACGAGAAATTCAAGTAGTGAATGTAGCCATGAATCTGCATTCAAATAGGATCCTGTCATTAGAGTTGAGTGGTCAGCTGTTTCATGCCTGAGCCCTTTTGTGGTGAATCTGTTTCTCTTCCTCCTCCTACTCTGCTTTGTTTTGTAGGAAGGTTGAGTTCCACGGGCCTGTCAACGTGCTTTCAAGTAGATTGGTCAATAAAAGGTACCAATGGGAGGCTGGAATTTGGGAGAATAGGGAAACCTGGCATTTCTTCCTCTCCTGTGGGCATTTTCAAGAGCATGGACAACACTGTCATAGTTCTAGATTCTGCCACGGCATATCCTGCCACGGCTGCAGCCCTGCCAGGTAAGCTGAGGCCCAGAACCCCACCAATGCTGCCTATGATTTTTTGTTCCTCCAGTCTGGTGCTGCTGATTTCTGAGCTACCTACTGTCTTCTCGTTGTTTCCCCCTCCCCGCTTTTCTGTTATATATACACAGAATCACTGCTGGTTGGTTTGTTAGAACTTGGCCAATACATGACTCGTTATCTTAGTTGGTTTGGATTCTTCCTCTCTCTCTCTCTCTGTTCAGAATGGAAATCTTTTTCCACTGTTGTCTTTAGGGACTATGTAGGGGATATAAATATTAATCTGGTATTGATAAACTAGGGTTGTGCTTAATCCATGTTCTGCCTCTGACTGCACTGTCATCTCTCTAAGAAAAATAGAAATATCTGATGTAGTTTGTTTAAATTTGTGTCGGGGTATACTTTTCAAATTATATAACCTGAATGACAGAAAGTTTATCAGATTACAGACAAAAAGAACTTTTCTCTTCCCTAACATGATGACTACCCCTGGTAGGAACTCAATTTAAATTGGTGTTACCTGGATCTAGTTTTGCCAGTTTTATCTGTGGTACTCCAACTCTTCAGCTCATTCATTCATTCACCTGAGATTTCTTCAGCCCAACGCAATGCTATAGGTGTAATGGTGATTAAAAGCTGACGATCTTTGCTCTCTGAGGCCTGCTTTCCAGTTGTGGTAATCGACCAATAAAATAACTGCCTGGTAAATGTACATTGACAACTTCTCAAAGTGCTGGGAAGGAGAGTGAATGATTACATGGCAATATAATGTGGAGATTCAAATTTTTAAGTTTCAATTTAACAATATCTCCTTCCTGAGGTTCTAACCCTGATATCTCATCTGTAGAATGGACAGAAGCTAAGCATATGAAGAAGTCAAGAGAATATTTCATTCAAAACAAACAAACACCTCTGTGGCTAAGAGGAGAATGACAGAAAGATGACTGGAGTGGCTCTAGAAGAGAGAGGGAAGAGGTCAAGGGTGCTGTAAGGGCCAGACTTTTCTTCTAATTACAGGATGCCCTATCAGTCTCTCCTGCTACAGAACAAACTAGCATATATTTAGCAACTTTAAACAGTGACTATTTATTAGCTCACAGACTTTTAAGTCAGAAGTCTGGTGGGCTTAGCTGGGTGCTCTGCTTAGAGTCTCACTAAGTAGGAATCAGTGTCAGATAGTCTACATTTCTTACCAGGGGCTCTGGAAGATAATCTGCTTCCAGGATCATTAAGGTTCCCAGCAGAATTCAGTTCCTTACAGCTAAAGGATGGAGGTCCCATTTCTTGTTGGCTGTCAGCTGGATGTTGGTCTTTGCTCCTAGAGGTCATCTGCAACTCTTCTCATTTTTTCCACCCCACCTTTCAGAAACCATGGGTTAAGGCCCTGTCATGCTTTGAAACTCCCCAGCTTTTCTCTGAGCTCCATCTCTCTGAGGTTTCTGCCATCTTCTTTTGCTTTTAAGGGCTCATGTGGTAACAGTGGGCCCACCTGGATAATCCACGCTACTGTTTCTATCTTAAAGTCAGCTGATGAGCAACATTAACTACATCTGCAAAGTCCCCTGCAGAGGTGCCTAGTCAATGTTCCACTGAGAATCAGAAGATGGAAACTTGTGAGGTAAAGGGGAGGGGATGTTTAAAACTCTGTCTAGTATGATCATATTAAGAAAGACTTACTTCGTTGTAAGATGTTTGTTGTGCCATTGAAGAATTTTAAACACAGTAGTGGTAATATATGTCTTGGTAGTGTGTCACTAAAATATTTTTTGCTACTACTTAGAGAATGAAATAAAAAAAAGTATTTCTATCAAGAACTGTGAAAGAGAAACAATGTGTGTGAACAATCAAAAAATTTATGAGAAATTCAAGTAGTGAATCCAGCTGTGGACCTACATCCAAAAAGAATGGATTTGAAAGAAAACAAATGTTCTTGCCCCAGGGAAATTAGCTATAACAGAGAAAGTTGAATAAGCAAGAAAAATAAAACAGTGAGGAGGTTGAAGCAACATCTATTGTCAACATTGTTTACTAAGGAGTTCACTAAGGAGATGAAAGATATTCTACGAATGAAAGGGTCAAATATGTAGGAAGTTAAAATGTGGAAACTTTGAAATCAATGTATCTATTTCTAAATAAATATTAGACCTATACATTACAAAAGTTTTGTTTTACATTAAGATTATGTTTCTAATGTAGGACGTAGTGGAATTAGCATCCCAGTAGGAACTGAACTTATCTGTAGCCCCTGAAAATATGTCAAAAATCAAGCCCAGAGAATTGTACTATGCAACAGCTTTTCAGGAGACACATTGTAGGTCGACTGTCTCTATGAGGCATATTATATGAAACTGTGTGTAACTTATACACCCCAAGGTCTAGCTGGCAAATCCAAATCATGCCAGTATATAATGCTGAGCAGGAGTGGACATCACTGCACATTTTGTACATGGGGTAAAAATAAAGATAAGCACAGAGAATTTCCTCTGTCTTGTATATGAGATCTTCGGTAACTAAGAATTCAGGTTAGAAATCAGTACTCATAATAAGTGCTCACATAATACCTTTTTATTTACTATGAGTGCTAGGCACTTGAAATAACTATCACTGCTCTCCTCCAGGTTTCTTGTAGAATAGGTCAAACACAAGTTCAAAGAAGATGTAGAAGGAAATGTGATAGCATATATAGCTGGGAATATTATATCTTATACATATATATTATATATATATATATATACGCACACACACATGGCTGGGGATTATGTATTTTATATATATTCTAACTCTGTTTAGCCCTCTCTAGCACAGTTATTAGTTTTTTTATGACACAGTTTATTTCTCACAGTGGTCAAACCATTTTTAAGACTTCCAAAATGAAGATAGTTTTATCAGGAATAGCCAGTTTAATTTAATCTCCAATGCAAGTTCAGAGCACAATTCCAGTAAGTCTTTACTCAGAAAGATCACCAAATTTCAGTCTTTATGAAAACGAATTTACTATCTAAAAAGGTATTTGTGTCCTAAATCAAAATAATTTTTGTGGCCTTTTCTGGGGTAATTTTCCAGAATACCTACAGAGACCTTATAACTTTGACTACTTAGAATTGCGTTCCATTTTTAATGACCAAGCAATTCTTTTTTTTCTTTTTTTTTTTTTGTATGTGAATGACCTTGTCCCTTCTACCTGTGAAAGGCAATTTCACTTCCACATCAGAAGATAAAGTTGCCATATTATTCTTCTTTCTTACCTCAGGAGGGCAGGGAGGTGGATGTGACTTAAACTTGACCATAATGATGCTCTTGGCCAGCATTTGGATACTAATTGTTTCTAATTATATCCTTATTGAAGTGAAGTGCTTCAATAACATATAACTCTGTGAATACTTACCAATTTATACTTACCAATTTATACACACATGTACACTATCACCCAGATGAAGGTATATAAAATTGCTGGAACCGGCTGGGCACAGTGGCTCACGCCTGTAATCCCAGCACGTTGGGAGGCCAAGGCAGGTGGATCACGAGGTCTGGAGTTCGAGACCATCCTGGCCAATGTGGTGAAACCCTGTCTCTAATAAATACAAAAAAAAAAAAAAAAAAGAGCCAGGCATAGTGTCATGCACCTGTATTCCCAGCTACTTGGAGGCTGAGGCAGGAGAATCACTTGAACCCGGGAGGCGGAGGTTGCAGTGAGCCAAGATCGCACCACTGCACTCCAGCCTGGCGACAGAGCAAGACTCCGTCTCAAAAAAAAAAAAAAGAAAGAAAAAGAAAAAAGAAAATTGCCACAACCCCAGAGGTTCCCTTCAGGTCTCTTCGAAGTCAATATTCCTGTCTCAGAAGTAATCACTATTTTAACTTCTTTTACTCCAGACTAGTTTTGCCTGCTCTTAAACTTCATGTGAAAGAAATCATAAACTATGACTGTTTATGTCTCTCACTCATTTTACTTAATATTTTTTGAAATCCATTTATGTAACTTAACTTTGTTTTTGTTTTATCTTTATGTAATATTCTGGTCTATGAATACAACATAGATTGTTTATCCATTTTCCTATTGATAAATATCTGGGCTATTTCTAGATTTTTGACAGTAATGAATGAAGTTGCTATATATATATATATTCTTGTGATTGGATTTTGCAACTAAATAGACCCATTTCCTTTAGGTTTATACCTAGAAGTGGATAGTTTTGTCATAGAGGAGACACATGCTTAGGTTTAGCCCACATGTCAGGTACTTTTTCAAAGTCCTTAAAGTAATGATCACTCCCACCAGCAGTGAATGAAGATTCCAGTTGTTCCACATCCTCAACAATTGAATTTTCGCTGTTCTGTTGGATATGTAATGGCATCTCATTGTTTGAAATCGCATTCGGTTTGCACCAGTAATAATGTTAAGTCTATTTTACATGCTTATTAGCTATTTAAAAAATTTCACCATTTATAAATTGATTTTTCTTATTACTGATTTTTTATAATTCTGTATATAAATCAATGTGTATATTGCACATATCTTATTCTAGCCTCTGGCTTTCTAATTCACTGTGTTAACAAACTTTTTCTAAACATATATTCATGATATTAATAAAATCAAATGTATTACTTTTTTTAGGATTCATGCTATATAAATTCTCTATTCTGTGTTTTCTCCTTGCATTTAATTATATTTACTTTTAAATCTATGATCCAAACCAAAATTATTATTTTATTTATTTTCATGAAAAGGTCAGTGTTCTTCCTTTAAACATGAAATTCCAATTGCCCCAACATCACTTACTAAGAAAAAAAGCAAAATACAAAATTTTCTTAAGTTTCAGGGTTGTCTGTTATAAATGAAATTATTTTACTTGTGCTATTATAATTCTAGGTTCTATATTTCATTTCACTTTCTCTATATATTTATATGCATACAGACAAATATTAAGACTGTGGGGTATATATATGTATATGCATATATATATTCACTTTCATATATATGTATACACACATACACACATGTGTATATAAATAACACTAATATATAATATATATGTACACACAACCCAATCTTAATAACCCAAAGTATAAAATATACCCATGAGCCTTTCCTGATATAGGTGATTGAAGAAATTCATACTTGAGGAAGAGACAAGTCTTGTAGGCAGAAGCAGAGGTCTTAATACTCTATTGCAGAGATAAGGAAATGAACTAAAAGAGGCTGAGAAACTGATTCAATCAGGTAACAACAGAGGCATGGCGAGGACCTTGGTCTCCAGACTCTTTGTTACAGCCCATCTACAGTAAAGTATGTGTTGGTAAACAGTGACCCAGGAACCTGCAGCGGTGACGCTCACACCTTTTGAAAGCTGCTGCCTTCTGCGAATAGGAGTGCCCACTCCGCATCTACGTATTCTCTTCCTTCGCAGTCAGGATTGTTTTTAAATGTTTCTCCAGCTATTCTTCATTTTGAGTCTGTGGTTCCAGCCAGATGGAGCACTCTACTTTGTGGTGATTTCATTGTCCCTGAGTTGTCAAATAAAGGAAGATTTTCTATGCAGTAGAAGCTGTGATGGACCTTCCAGGCCACATCCCTTCAGGAATGAAATACTTGCTACCCCAGAAACTGGAATTGTCATGAGCAGACTTCCTTCATCTCTTAGACCCTTTCATAGTGACCTCAGCTAAACAGAACTTCTTAGTCAAAGTCGTTCCACCATTCCAGGCCAATGGCATTCGAGGATTATTCAATCAAGGCTTATAAAGGCCTGGCCTTCTCCTTAGGACATCTATGAATGATTATCTGTCTTCAGAGACTCCTCTAGTGTTTGCTGAGACTGCCATTGAGAGAGCATTGAAGCTTGACTTCTCCCACTGCCCATGTTCTGCCTTCTCTTCTCTAGTTATTGCTCTCAAAAGTCTCCCTAATAAACTTCTTACACTTTAATCTCTGCCTGAGTTTGCCCTCCTTGGGACCCAACCTATTTCGGTACAGTGAAAAGCAATGGGTAGTGAGTGAAAGCAGATGATCCATACACATATTTTGTTAGTTTCACAACAAAGTATTTTTATGCTATGTAAATGTTATTATGATTTAATTATGAATTTTAGTTGTTCATTGTTGGTATAAAAAAAAAAGCAATTGACCTGGCTGTGATCACTAATTCCAACTGATTTTTGTCAATTCCTTGGAATTATCTATATAGACAATCACAATATCTGTGATGAAGGTAGTCTTTTAATTGGTCTATTGAGACCATGCACATGTTGTATAGATTGATTGACAGTCATGTTTTAAGGCAGGACACAGGAAATGTAAATACTCTGTTATAAGATACTTGCATTACCTGTGAAGTGGTATAGTGTTATTTGAAAGTAGATTTTAATTAGCTGTAAATATATATTGCAAACTACACAACCATTAAAATTTTTATAAATTATTATTGACATGCTAAGAATATGGACTCATATAAAATGATTGGTTAAACTCAGAAAAGACAAAACAAAGGAGAAGATAAGAAATAAAGAACTAGTGAAATGAATAGAAAACAGTATGAACATGGCAGATATTAATCCAACTACATATAAATATTCGCTTCTAATTCCATTAAGTTGCTTTTGAGCAGGTCGTATGTGCTGAAGATATTTGCTTCTTTGGTGAAAGCTTGTGTCCCTATTTACACTTTTGCTTTAAATAACTTTGTTTCGTGCATGTGTGTTTTTTCTTCTTTCTAATATGTTCTTCACAATGCTAGTTGTGGCTGTGTGATGCTGGGATTCTCTATCTTTTTAACATGCACATTCAGGCTGCATTTTTTCTCTAGTACTGCATTTTTCAAAGGAACTGAGATTTTTCTGCTATAGAGTTTCACTCATGATCTATCGTTTTGTTACTGAAATGATTTCCATATTATGTTCTCTTATTCTTTCTCTTATCCACACAATGTTCTGTCTTTTTTTCCCCCTCAGCTTCTTGCAATGCACCAGGCAGACAATGGGGGAATTTTTCTCAGTTATTGTACAGAAAATATATATCTATCCCTAGCCAGTAGTTGCAACATAATAAAAAAGCTTAACATTTATGCTCCCTAGTTCCAGCCTGTGTAATTATGCAAAATCAGGCTTTCTTGAGGATGGAGTCTGGATTAAGCTCAAGATTATACTTCCCACTCCTGAAACTGACATGGTGAACAATTTTTGATTATCAGCTCCTGTGGTGTACTCAATATTTCTAACTGAAGATTAGTCTGTTTTTTATTTAAGGGACAAAGGCTTTGCTCAAACTAATGGATACACCTAGGTCAGTACTGACAGAGAATTCTCTTCCTTTCATTTTCTAAGAGAAGAAATAAGATTATCAGCAATATATTTGCAGCGACTGCTCATACTCTACAAATGTCCCCATATTTCTAGCCATCATTTTCTTATCTATAGCAGAGATAGGACATACAGAAAGAGAATTTTTTGCTCTCTCTAAATTTAGCATCGCCTTTGACCTGAAGTCACAGAAATGCCAACTTAGGCCTGTATGAAGTAACATCTCTACTGTGTTGATTAAAGATACTGACCGACATTTTCAGCAGATCAAAGTAAGAAATTTATTGTCTGTTTTAGCAGCTTCCTTGGCCAAAACCCTCCCTGCAAAATGAAGCTACATTTATCTACTTTATCTCTAACTCTAAATGTATCTGGTCCTTATATTACAATACATTGGATTTCTGGCACTGTTAGTTGAATGTAACTATACTGTTTTGACTATTGATGTATTTTGTATTTGAGCTACAACTTTAGAGATTTTTTTCTTCTCCATACGTAGTTCTCTCAGGCATGTACTTGTATTTTACCCTCTTTTTTTGGCACTGTAAGCTTATGTTGGTCCCAGGTATGCAGTAAACCACACATATTGCAACATTACTTATTTTTTCAAATGACACTGTGCCTGAAATTTTACCAATAAAGATGAAAGGCATTTTTTCAGGTACCAGTTTCTAATCAATCCCATGTAAAATAGCTGTCTGGTTAAAAGCAGAAATGGATGAAGCTTGTACCAGTCATTTACATTTTGTTATGAAATATTACCCCCTTAATGTGACTAAATTAACTATAAACAATGGACTGAAGAGAAAAGAACTCCAAACAGTTAACCTGACTATAGGAATACTCCCTGGGAGGGGCAAAGCCAGCTATCCAAATCGTAGAATGACCAGGACTAAATCTAGGTAGGTCTGAGCTGGTAGGTACACGTAATGTGATTGTTTGTATTCAAAGATGAGACTCAGAATCAGATCCATGGTTTAAAATAGTCTTCATAATTTCAATGAATCTATAAAAAGCTAACTAATATTATATACTAATACAATTCAATGGGGTGAGAAAGAGCAGAAATCATCTCCCTAGTGAAGAGTACTTCTGGGTATGGTTATCATGGCTCCTGACAGCTAAACCAGAATGAGTAAAGCTTCTTTTCTGGAGGGAGAAGGAGATATGCATCATAGAAACAAAAGAGAAAATCAGGAACATGGGCGCTGGAGACAGAGTAAGAAGAAAGTATGAAAGGGAATAGGTTACCCAGACTCATTGTATGTACATCCCTTCCCCAGTCTAACCCCAAATCAAGACTAGAGTAACCAATACAACACCAGGTTTGTTCTTAAAGATTTTTTAACTGGAAGGGACGGAGTCTGCGCTGGTCTCCAGGGCTGGTGGCTAAGCGCAATTAAGAAAGCCAAAGACCATGGTTGGCAGAGACCCAGGTGGGAGCACAATGTGAATGGAAATAAAAATTAAGAGACAACTGTTCAAACTGGGCAGACTTGGAGAATACCAGGGAGAGGAAGCGGAAAGGAAAATAAAATATAGAGGATCCTACTGCCCCATTCTCTGGCCCAAATAAAACATGAGACCTGTATATTTTTCAGTTTTGCTAATGATTGGTCTTGCTCATAGTGCAGAACAGAACAAACATTTATAGTTTTTCTGAACCATAGAAAATTAGCACTCATATGATATAATGAGTATATTAATGAATAAGAAAATGTAGACTCAGAGAAATCAAGTGAATTGCAGCAGATCCTCATGTATGAATCATCTGCTTTCAATCACTGCCCATTGCTTTTCACTGTACTGAAATAGGTTGGGTCCCAAGGAGAGCAAACTCGGGCAGAGATTAAAGTGTAAGAAATTTATTAGGGAGACTCTTGAGAGCAATAACTAGGGAAGGGAAGGCAGAACAGTGGGCAGTGGGAGAAGTCAAGCTTCAATGCTCTCTCAATGGCAGTCTCAGCAAACACTAGAGGAGTCTCTGAAGACAGATAATCATTCATAGATGTCCTAAGGAGAAGGCCAGGCCTTTATAAGCCTTGATTGAATAATCCTCGAATGCCATTGGCCTGGAATGGTGGAACAACTTTGACTAAGAAGTTCTGTTTAGCTGAGGTCACTATGAAAGGGTCTAAGAGATGAAGGAAGTCTGCTCATGACAATTCCAGTTTCTGGGGTAGCAGGTATTTCATTCCTGAAGAGATGTGGCCTGGAAGGTCCATCACAGCTTCCACTGCATAGAAAATCTTCCTTTATTTGACAACTCAGGGACAATGAAATCACCACAAAGTAGAGTGCTCCATCTGGCTGGAACCACAGACTCAAAATGAAGAATAGCTGGAGAAACATTTAAAAAACAATTCTGACTTTGAAGGAAGAGAATGTGTAGATGCGGAGTGGGCACTCCTATTCACAGAAGGCAGCAGCTTTCAGAAGGTGTGAGCGTCACTGCTGCAGGTTCCTGGGTCACCATTTACCAACAGTCTGGAGACCAAGGTCCTCACCATGCCTCTGTCGTTACCTGATTGAATCATTTTCTCAGCCTCTTTTAGTTCATTTCCTCATCTCTACAATACAGTATTCAGATCTCTGCCTCTGCCTCATAGAAACTATGAGGATAAAATAAACGCTTATATAAAAATGCTTTGTAACCTGAAAAAGGTTGCATTAATGTGTTCATGAAACCCTTTGGGATAATACAGTGTGGATCAATTAAAAGCTCACAATGAGAGCTTACTTTGGATTTTCGTTTTACTGTTTTGTTTGTATTAACTTGATAGATTTTTTACTTATCAATAATCAAAGTAGGGATAGTTTCTAAAATGGGGTTTAAAAATATTTAGTTATTCGTAGCAGTACATAAGTCTCTCTTATCCACTCCATCTGAAAACATAAAAATAACTAAAATATGATCTTTTGTTTTGCCTATCTCTCTCCTACAGAACAGCTTCTGTTTGCCCTTACAAAAGGAGCATATACTTCCAACTTTATTAGATCGTTAATTTTAAGCCTGAGCGAAGTTATTGTGCCCTGATAAAACCTTCTATTGTCATAAATACCAGAAAAGTAGAAGTTGGATTTATGGATCTAACTCTTAATTTTGCGACCTCCAAAAAACTTTGAACTTCTTTTGATCCAATTTGAGTTTTTCCAAAATGGGAATTTACACGCACATACACAAACACACACACATATATATGTGTATATATGTGTGTATATATATAAATATATATATATACACACACACGGATGAAATATAATTAGTAGTGAAAACTATGAAAAATAAAAATAGGTCTTTTCTCTAATGTTGACCATAATAATAATAATAGGGTACTTGTGAAAATGTCTCTCACAGAAATCAGAAGTTAAATTTGCTCTCTGTAGTCAAAGGGCAGATGAGACATTATTTCTGGATATGCTTTTTCAAGCAGCAGCTATCACTCAACCCAATGTTTTCAAATCCTGCCTAACAATACCTTTTTGTTGTTGTTTTTGAGACCGAGTTTCGCTATTGTCACCCAGGCTGGAGCGCATTGGTGCAATCTTGGCTCACTGCAACCTCCGCCTCCTAGGTTCAAGTGATTCTCCAGCCTCAGCCTCCCAAGTAGCTGGGATTACAGGCACCCACCACCACACCTGGCTAATTTTTGTATTTTTAGTAGAGACGGGTTTCACCATGTTGGCCAGGATGGTTGGTCTTGAACTCCTGACCTCAAGTGATCTGCCCACCTCGGCCTCCAAAAGTGCTGAGATTACAGGCATAAGCCACCATGCCCAGCCTAACAATGCCTTTTATTGGTGGTTTAAGTTCTTACTAATATTCTTTTAGGACTTAGGATGTTTAAATTCACAGATAAAGCAAAACTGTTTAATGCTGATAGTAGCCAATTATTTACTCTCTGAAAGAACAAGAAATAAGGCAGATGAGTTTTTATTGAAAGAAAGTGGGATGGTCAAATTTGGGGCCGTTACCTTGAGCAGTTGTGCCTGAAAAGGGATTGAGGTAATTTTTTTTTTGAGTACAGTCATGTATTTATTGCTAAAAGATGACTATCAACCTCACACAAAAGGTATTGTTTGGGGCCCAATTTGGAAATACATGCTATTGTTGTAAAGGTACATTTTCATCTAAACAACAAGATATATATGTTAGTTTTGTCACAACCATTACACCTTTCCTATTTGCTTGCATAGTTCCTCTGCTCTCAGGAGACTTACACTCCAGCTGAGGAAATCATGTTTATATTTTCTTTTTTTTTTTATTATACTTTAAGTTTTAGGGTACATGTGCACAACGTGCAGGTTTGTTACATATAATTTTGAAACAAATCCTGAAGACTTGCCTCAAGCAATAGACCTTTCTTTCTTCCTTCCTTCCTTCCTTCCTTTCTTTCTTTCTTTTCTTTCTTTCTTTCTTTCTTTCTTTCTTTCTTTCTTTCTTTCTGTCTGTCTTTCTTTCTTTCTGTCTTTCTTTCTTTCTTTCTTTCTTTCAGATTGGTACTCCCTGTTTTGAGTAGATGGACATTTTAAACGTTTCTTTTTTTTCTAAAAACTTGGCCAGGTTAGGCAGGCAAGCAAGTGATCAAATTACAAAATCTGCATATTTCTGACATCTTCATATGCTCTTGTCATACTTTTAAAATCAGCAATAAACCATGAAGGCTATATAAAGTGACTTTATAATTGTTGTGAGTTACACTGACCTTTTATCTGATCTATAAACTGCTCTGCATAATCAATCAGGCCTCCTATCTACCCACCTCCAAATCAGCGATTGCACCATAGCAATCCTGATGGATGAACGAGAATTGAGAACTTTGTTCTGGGAAGGACAAAACGACAAGTTGCTGCAGTGTCCAGAGATCCTGATGTGGACTCAGCTATTGATAATAATTAGGGTAATTTCTCACTGATTAACCTGAGAGTTCCTCTGGGCAGAAGATGTGTTTTATTTGTACTTACATTCTGAGTGTGTTAATTAGCCTCTGTCAGGATGCATGTCTTAAAATCATCCAGTTTCTTTGGTTAAAGGAACAGACAGTATCAGGACAGGTGGAGAAGTAAAAGATTAGGAAGAACTGTGTGTCCTGAACTCATGGAACACTTTCCCTGGATTTCATCTCAGGATACAAACTCGTTCTTATGCTGCGTCATACATGACCCAGTTCCCCACTCCTTCCCTGCTTCTCTCTCTGCCATGTTTCCTTCCTATCGCAATTAACTCTTATTCCTTTTCTTTTTTTTCCACCCTCATGGTTTTTTCTTTCTCTTGGCTTCATTACTTTTTCACTTACTTCCTCCCATTCCTTGCTTCAACGTACTGCTTTCTCCTTGTGTAGCTCTACATAGAGGGCCCCACTTTTTTTGTATCTATGTTCAGCCTTCTGAAAAATGAGGATGTGATCGGTCATCATCTCCTTCCGAAATAAAGCATCCTTTTTGGGAAGGGCATTCATTTTAGGCTAACCATGGGCTCCCCTGAACATATACAGTAGATTCTTATTGTGGCACCAGGTATATTACCTCTGGTTCCAGTATCTGCTGCCAGGATGGTAAGGTCACATGTTTCAAAGTATGTTTGCTTCCTTCAGAAGGCTGTTGGGGTATTTCAAAGACAAGAAAAGCCAGGTATTAAAGTGGTGAGAACAGACTTTATTCAGTGAAATATTTGAACTCCATTCCAATTTTCACGGAGGTGATAGGGCATTTGAAAGGGAGAAAAGAGGATTGGGAAGAGAGAAGCAGGAGCTGAATTAGCTTTAAAAAAGTGAACATGCACAAAGGGCTATTCAGTGTAAGCGTGGTTAGGCCAACCATGTCTGTTAGCTGGTAATCCTGTCTTCTCACAGATGCTGGAAGACAGAGACCCCATCTTTCCTTATGATTACACTTAAAATAGTTTTTCAAGTCCTTGAGAAAGACACTCCTGAGGGGTAGGAGATATATAGACATCTGAACGAGATGGGGGAAGAGTTCATAATTGTAAGACCTTTATAGTAAGTGCTCTGAGCAAGGGAAATAAGGGGCCTATCATCAGGTGTTGGCTGGAACAAACAGAAAAGTTTTTTTGACAGCCTTGAGGTTTTTTGTTGTTCTGTCGTTTGTTTGTTTGTTTGTTTGTTTTAGACAGGAGCTCTGACAGCATTAGGATATTTGGATCATGGGAAAAATCCCTCATGGCTTGGTGCTGTCTTTGCAATAGTGAATGAGTTCTATAGAGATGTAGTCATTTAAAAGTGTGTGACATCTCCTCCTCTTCTTCCTTCTCTCTCTCTTTCTCTTTCTCTCTCTCTCTCTCATGCTCACTTGCTCCTACTTTTGCCATGTGACGCGTCTGTTCCCCCTTTAGCTTCCACCATGATTATAAGCTTCCTAAGACTTCCCTAGAAGCCAAGCAGATGCCAGCTCCATACTCCTATAAAGTATGTAGAATCATGAGCCAATTAAACCTCTTTTCTTTAAAAATTACCTAGTCTCAGTTACTTTATAGCAATGAAAGAATGGTCTAGTACAAACTCAAAAGAAGGCTGGGTGGATAGCCTTTGGCTACTAGAAACCATGTTAAAGTTTGGTCAAGTCTCTTGGTGCAGGAGTTGGATGAAGTCATTATGTGCCTAGAGTTATTTTGTAATTCTCAGGTGTGCAGTCTCTCCAATATTTCTCACAAGATTTAGAGTCACATACGTTTAATTCAGCATCTAGGACAGTACTTGTTGAAGGAATGTATGTAGATATGAATGCAGGAATAAGTATGGTTGCAATAGTTATGCTTTGTTTTAAAAAATTGACCAAAGTGCCTAGCAAATTATTAGTTACTTTGGCAATGACCACTGTTATTTATCCTCTATGTGAAAAACACTTTTCCTCAGTAAAGTTACAGAAATGAGGGTACCATGTTGGATTATAATTGGGACAGTTGAGTTCTCATTTTTCTTCTGCTTAGGAATACCCAGCTAGCTGGGTAGGTTGTGTCACAGGCAAGAATACAAATGCACCCCTGCACTGGGAGGTGTGCTTGATGACTGGTGTGTATACTAGGTTTCAGCTCCACCCATCCTTTTGCCTGTAACTCTTAGGAAGCAGGATGCCTTTTCCTAATTCATTCAAAGGTGGCATATTGGCTAGCAGTGGGCCTGGTTCTGCTGATACATATCTTTTACAACCTTGTGGAACTCACTTCAGTCATAGTGGACTTTAATTCTCAACTGTAAATAATAAAATCTAGCTCTACAAATATGAAAATAATTTTAAGACTTTGTAATGAAACAGAAGTGTGTACAAGTAAGTAGACTTAGTTCATCATAACCTTGTAGATTTCTATACTAATGTAAAAATAAAGCAATAAAAACAGCTTCTACCATGTATTTCTAGATGTAAAATGCAAAATATATATGACATTTATTTACTCCATCATGTATTTTCCAAACATTTCTGTTCATTTTTAACTCACATATATGTGAAATCTCAAAACGTCTAACTCATAGAAACAGATTAGTAGGGCAATTTCCAGGGGTCACAGGGTGGGGAAAATGGGGAGATATTGATTAAACGGTACAAACTTGCAATTCTAAGGTAAGTAAGTTCTAGAGATCTGATGTTCACCATGGTGACTACAGTTAATAATGTATACTTGAAATAGCTAGTAGACCTTAAGTATTTTTAACACACACACACAAAGAAAACTATGTAAGGAGACGGCTATGTTAATTGCTTGATTGTGATAATCCACTTGATACAGTGAACCTTTATCAAAGCATTGTGTTGTACACCTTGAATACATATATGTGTTTATATATGTATATGTGAGTGTGTGTGTGTGTGTGTGTATGTATATATATCTTTTTTGTCAATTATACATCAAAGCTTAAAAATAAAGAAAACATTGCTGGCAATGATTGGTAGTTGCGCTAGAAATGTTTATTAAAATTTAATCGAAGGATATTAAAAAATATATAGGATACACTGAAGGAAACATTCCAGGTTTAGCATAATGGAAGTTTATATGTAACACAAAGTATTATAATTTGTGATTTAATGTTACATTTAAAGAGGCCTGCATTGTGTCATAATAACTCATATACTACCATTTTCGTAAGAGTTAATTACAGGTTCCTGTATCATTATCATTATCAACTATCAGCCAGATAGTGGCTTGAGTAGGTGACACTTCAGCCTTCTTAGGCTCTGAATGTTCTCCATAATCCTGCCTCTTCACCCTTCCTCGGCTCACCCAAACTTCCTTTGCCTCCAATAACTTTCTTTGAGTTCATCTAGTGTGGCATATTCCTTCTCATTGTGAAGATTTTGCACATTATTCCCACAGTGTATGCTCTTTTCCCTGTTTAGTCACAATTTGTAGGTGTACATCTCTTTTTTTTAAAAAAAAGATCTCTACTGTCTTGCACAATTAGATTGGAAGTTTCATGAGAGACTCTATTGCTTCCAGTAAGTATTATTCAAAGATAAATTTTGAAGAAGTGAATGAAAACATGAATAAGCTAATACATTATTCTTTTCATGTACAAAAAATACAATTTTGAAGCTTTGCGGATCAGATTTTCTTTCCACAATGCAATTTGTTTATCCACAGAAGTTTAGTTTCAGTCTTTGTTCTGATTTTAGAAACATTTTAGAATAAAATGGAAGAGCTGTTTAAAGGCTATTTATGTACAACTGTATGTATAACTAAAAGTAAAAATATACAGGAAATGGAAAAGTTGAGATGGATTGTCTGTGAACTCTGTATGAATTTCAAGTATAAATGTGAATAGCCCACTATTGTGGGTTTAACTGTGTCCAATCCCCTATCCTAAGGATGTTGAAGTCCTAACCCCAGTGTCTGTGAATGTGGCTTTATTAGGAAATAGGGTTTTTGCAGATGTAATCAAGTTATAACAATACTGGATTAGGGTGAACCCTGTCCCAATGACTGGCATATTAATAAGAAGAGGAGAATTTAGACACAACAGAAAAAGTGTCATGTGATGACAGAGACATGTCTTAGTCCCTTTGTGCTGCTACAGTAGAACACCTTAAACTTCATGGTTTATAAACAACAGAAATGTATTTCTTACAGTTCTGGAGGCTGGGAAGTCCGCGATCAAGATACTGGGCAATTTAGTGATGGCCTACTTCCTCATAGATGGTGCCTTCTCTCTGTCTTTGTATAATTAAAAAAAGAACTCTAGCCCCTTCAGCTTGTATAGGTACTTGTATAGGTACTAATTCTATTTATGAGGACTCCACCTTCATGGCCTCATTATCACCCAAAGGCACACCCCCTAATACCATCACATTGGGGATTAGGTTTCAACAAATGAATTTTGAGGGAACACAAACTTTCAGCCCACAGGAAGGCAGATACTGGAGTGATGTATCTATAAGACAAGAATTACTAGCAAACACTCGAAGCAAGAAGGAGGTAAGAAAGGATCTTCTCCTAGGGACATTACAGAAATCATGACCCTGCCAGTACCTTGAACTTGAGCTTGCGGCCTCTAAAAGAAAACACAAGGTGTAAACGAAGATCATTGTCAATTTCAGAGAGTTTTTTTCCTCTCCCTTTTATTATTCTCAATGAAAGGAAATTGAATGAAGATGAAAATGACTGCAAAAAGTCTTAATAATTAAAATATCACCTAGAAACTTTATGAAGTGTTGGCATAAATCTTAGTATTTTATTTGAAAATAAGGATTTCACTATCTAGTGTTCACAGGTGGGACTTGCCAGCAGGATTGCACAGCTGTGTCTACATTGAGCCAAAACACCATGATGAAGAGTTACATTCAACACAGAATTTACAGAGTCCCAAGTAGCCAGATGTGAGGTACTTGACAAGCTTTCAGATGCTCACTAAATGTTTCATTGTATTCATTGTTATGTCATTATATTGGCGATGGCTGAATTAGTTTGGAAATGTTTTTGACATTTTAAATAAGCAGTTGATGAATAAATACTGGTAGAGATAGCATGCTAACTTTTAATATTTTATTTAATATTTTCTTAATCTATTGTATTTACTGAAAAATCTCCATGACACCTTCATTACCCATTCATTCATTTATTACACATTAATTGTACAGCTATCCTGTACCAGACCCTTCAGCTGTTGAATTTTTCAGAGTCATCTCATCTGCAGAAAGATGCCTTAATAAGGGTCAAAATCTAACAGCTGAAAGCCCATATCTAACAGCTGTTGGAGGTAGAGTTATTTAGTTCCAGTGGGGGACAACTTTGACAGGACCTGTTTTGCTCTAGAGCTCCCTGTGAGGCTGGCTAAATGTAACATAGGTTAGAGAGGCCCTGACGTCCATGAGAATTTCAGTGGTAGCTCTCTGCATTAGGGCCGATTTGTAAAAGCGGCCATTATGGAATTGGCCTCATGATAGCAATTGGGAGGATAAGATCTGAAACAATAAAGACCAGATAGTGGTGCTTAACAACCATCAGACAGGAGGCTGCAATTTTTATAGTGAGTGGCAAGGTTGGAGTAACAGACAAGGGGCCTGACTCATGTAAAGTTATGGAGCTGGTTAATAGAACACATCAAACCCAGGGATGCGTAGCTAACAAGGGTATTGCCAAGCTCTGAGAGCTCTAAAAGTCAGAAAGACCTATGACTCTGTCTCAGCTCAATTACTTACCATCTGTGTGGCATTAGTCAACTCACCTAACCTCTCTGAATTTTTATTTTTCTATAAATCCAGAATAATAAATTCTGCCTTCCTAGATTACTGCTAGATTTAAATCAGTTTTTATATACCAGGAAAATTGTGGCTCACAGTAGAACCTGAATGAGTAGAATCAATTATTATTCTGTCTATGATATTGACAGGTAAAAAAATCAATGAACTCTTCAGAACATTTAATAAAAGGAGCTCTATAAGCAATGGGTTAGGTAAAGTTTGGGAAGAAAAAATGTCAGATATCCAAATTGAGTTTTCAGTGTCAGAAAAATCAGAAATGTTATAGGTATATCTAAATTATTCCTAAGATAAAACAATGGAGATGTGGCAGAGCCCTTTTGAAGAATCAATACTCACTAATAAGCTGAAAGAAGAAAATTAAAACCAATTTTTACTCCATATTATGAAACTTAGATTTTTAAGTAAAATTATTGGAGAAAAACATTATAACTTTGAGGAAATTCTCAAAGGGAGAGCAAAAATACCTTTTCAAGGACTGGTGATCTAGAAAGATAATTTAATTAAAGTGATTATGGCAAAAGGCAATTTTATATTTTGCATCTAGAGTTTTATCAAGTAAAAAGATATTTCTTTAAATCTCAATGTAAATGGATGGCAGAAAAGAGAAGACAGAAACAGCTTGTCAACATGTGACAGCCAACTGCCAAATGATAAGTGAACAATGATAGTAAATGGAGACATATGACATAAAATCTGTTCTTAGACCAAGGAATGATTACTTTTGGCAAGATGATGCATTTTTCATGGAAATCAAAAACAAAAGTGAAGCTAAGCATATCTGAAAATATATGGTCTCTCTCTGTTTTCTGAAATTAAGACACTTCATCCCCCAGCTTCTGAAAACATTTAACTCTCCAAACCTCAAAGTTAATTTTATCGTTATATCTCTAGAAAGTAGCTGTACTGATTGTAGAAAAAAATGTGACCACTTATTAGAAGTCCGTTGTCCACTTTTATCTTCCCTAAACCCTTCTATCTGATTCTTTTTGCTTCTCAGATTATTTTCTTCTAGAGGATCCATGAATAATGCAAGTGTGAGTTTGGTATAGTAATTTGTCTAATAAGAAAGTTGTTCCAGTAAGAGAGACTACTTGAAAAACAGAATCAATGTATTTGAATTCAGTTTCAGTTATACTACATACTAACTATGCAGTTTTGGGTGGGGCAGATTTTCTCTTCAAGCATTTTTCATCATCTGTAAATTGGAGATTAATAATATTTTCCCTGTTTGGATAACTAGTTTATTTTTATATTTTAATTTAGTTGTATATTTGATAATAAAATGACATATACATGAAATAATTTTCAATGTTAAAAGATATTCTGACACACATATTTTTATTATCCTCATGAACTGCTTGTTGACAGAAGAGTTAAATTAGGTATAAATCTATTTTTATGCCATTTCAAACTTTTTGTGACATAGAGGACTATCCAGATAACTCTAACATATTGCTAACCAGCATCTCATTATGGCCTTGAGGGGTTCCTTCAGAGGGAAATTTCATACTGCTTCTCATTACTGTTACTTTTGCTCTGTCACAATTCATAAACTAACCAAAAGATAGAAAGTAAAAAATCTGAAGAAGAAAGAAAGATAATGTCAACTATTAATCATTTTTATTGGAGTATAATTTACATAAAATTAAATACAAAGATTTCAAGTGTGCAATTCAATGGAGAAGACAAATCTATATGTTCTTGCCACCCTTATCAAGTTATAGAACATTGCTTTCACCAGAAAGTTCTCTTCTTTCTCTTCTCCTTCTCCTCTCTTCTTCTCCTCTCCTTCTCTTCTCCCTCCCCTTCTCCTCTCCCCTTACCCTCCCCTCCCCTCCCCTCCCCTCCTCTCCTGTCCTCTCCTCTCTCTCCCTTCTCTTTTATTTCAAACAGCATAAAGAAATCTAGTCATTATATTAGTTTTCTAAAATTGTTATAGAAAAGAACCACAGACTGGGTGGCTTAAACAACAGAGATGTATTTTTTTCACAGTTCTGAAGGCTGGAAGTCCAACATCAAAGTACCAGCTGGGCTGATTTTTTCTAGGCCTCTCTCCTGGCTTGTAGATAGCCACCTTCTCCCTGTGATGTTTTCTTTCTAAATTAAAACTTAATAATGGTTATATATTAGGTCTATGGTCCACCTTTTTGTGTTAGAAATGGTATAGTGCTTGAAACTCACGCTATTTTCCATGTAAATATCTAGTTTTTCCAGCATCATTTTCTAAAAACCCATTCTTTTGCCCCATTGATTTCCTTTAATGCAATGTAAACATTAAATTAACTCAACATGTATGAGTGTATTTCAAGACTGTATTCATTTACATTGATTTATTTGGCTATGCTTACACAACTGCCATGTTGTATTGGCCATAAAACTTTAAGGTGTTGATATAAAATAATGCATCTTCTAAATTATTTTTTCTGTTTCAAGATTGATTTGGCTATTCTCAGATTCAACATATAAATAAATTTCAAACCCAATTTGTTAATTTTTATTCAAAAAATCGTACTAGTATTTGATCGAAGTGTCGTTGAATCAATAGACCATTTGAGAGGATTAATATGTCAAAAACAGTCTTTCAATCAGTAAGCATGATTCATGTAGCAATCTATTAAACGTTTGTTTAATTTTTCTCTACAATATTTTTTATTTTTTCAATTTAGAATTGTCACATATATTTTATAGTTGGCTTTGGGTTTTGATGTTATAAATTTAATTTTCAATTTTAATTTGCTAGTGTATAGAAATACATTTGTGTGTGTTTGTGTGTGTGCATATGTGTATATATATATGTATGCTTATGTGTGTATATGTGTATACTATGTATCCTGGTGGCCATGGTTAATTTGCATAGTAGTTCTAATGGTTTTATAAAGATTTATTAGGATTTTCTTGCTAAACAAACACACCATCTATAAATAAAGACAGTTTTATATCATTACAATCTGTGTGTGTGTGTGTGTGGTTTTGTTGTTGTTGTTGTTGTTGTTTTTGAGATGGAGTCTCGCTCTGTCACCCAGGCTGGAGTGCAGTGGCTCAATCTTGGCTCACTGCAAGCTCCGCCTCCTGGGTTCATGCCATTCTCCTGCCTCAGCCTCTCCAGTAGCTGGGACTACAGGTGCCCACCACCACGCCCAGCTAATTTTTTTGTATGTTTAGTACAGACGGGGTTTCACCGTGATAGGCAGGATGGTCTTGATCTCCTGACCTCGCAATCTGCCTGCCTCGGCCTCGCAAAGTGCTGGGATTATGTGTGTGGTTTTTAAAAAAAATTCTTCTCATATTGCAGTGGTAGAACGTCTAGCATAATATTGAATAAAATTGGAAAGCATAAGCATTATTGCTTCATTCAAATATTAGCATAATAACTTTCAATATTTCATCCTAATACGATGTTAGCTCTAGACTTTTTCTTCTTCATCTCTATTTCTCTACTTTTTTTTTACATTGGGTATTGAATTTTGTTAAATCATTTTTCTGTTTCTATTAAACTATTTATAACAGTCTTCTACGTTATTCTTTTACTGTGTGAATTGAATGATGACTTAATCTTGCATTACTGAGATAAAACCTTCTTGGCCATAATGCACTATTCTTTTATATCTAGCTACATTTGTTAAGCCAATATTTTGTAACATTTTTATCCCTGTGTTCATGATTAATATTTTTCTGTATGTTTCTTTTTATAATGTCCTGGTCAGATTCTGGTATCAGAATTTTGCTGGTTTCAATACAATATTTTAAACTATTTATTGTTTTTCTTTCTGTCTGTCTTTTGATGGTCACTGCATTTCGTTTCATTCAAATAACTGTGAAAATTAAGAGGAGAGTAAATGCAGTTGTCTTGATGTTAAACTGAAAAGGAAACTGGATGTGAATTAAGGCTGTTTTGTGGATTCAATTTGCTACTTTGTTAAGTTGTTTGACAGTGAGCTTGCCTATTTCTTTGCTTTGCTTTGATTGGTTCTCTTATTTAGACTCTCTGCCTTCAAACACAAGTAGTATGGGGCATGAGTGTGGATCTCTTGCAGCTTTATAACAAAACTTCCTGGAGAAAGTGGATGCAGGCAGTGGTCCATCATCACTGTCAGTACAGGAAATGGGAAGCCTGGGGAACACATTAATTTATACCATTTAAGCAAACCTTGGTGAATTATTTTTGAAGCCAAACAAGATGAATGACATTGATATCATGAACAAATTTCAGCTAAGCATATTTAAAAGTTGTTTTTATAAAAAGAAAAGTGTATTGAATGAACAAAAACAAGGGTTTTGGGGAGGGCACATAAAAGCTTGAGTCAAAATGAAGAAAAATTCTGAGTCATCACAGTTAGTAGTCATTTCAACTGCAAAACAACTATTAAATTTATATGTACTTTTACTTCTGAAATAGGGCTTTATGGAAAAATATGGCTTTGTTTTTCATCTTAATTATTCACAAAAATATAGAATTACATTTTTACTATAATACTCTAATTTCTAGAAAATATGACTTGATAAATATAGATAATTTTTAAGTGATAAGGCCTGCTTTTATAGAAGACAAGCTGAAGACACAATATATATATAAAATGAGGCACCCTATCTTACACCTAGAACTCCTTGGCTTTTTAATTAATCTAAGACTACAAACATTAGTAATAACTGCTTCATTCAGAAACTTTAAGTGATGTCTTAAAGTGAGACATGTTTAGTTTTTTTTTTACTTTTTATGTTCTCTGTTGTTAAATGGTATATGATCATAAATAATTCTCTTTAAGATTATTTTCAGCCGATTATCCACAGATAGGAATTGCAAATTTACAGGTGAAAGACTGTTTCAAAATTAACTTGTGACATTTCTCCTGGAGGGAACTCAATTTGGGTCAACTCTGTCTCTGAAAACAACTATACACTCTGGAGAAAGCATATAAATCAACTACTTTAAAGCACTGTAAATTTAGCAAAAGTAGGCAGACTGTTTGGGAAGGTTACAGATGACAGAAAGTGAGATGTAATCACGAGCAGAGGTATCCAGAAGGAGAATGCCCCAATTTGTGTGTATAAATTCTGTTCTGGTCTCTGGCTGGCACTTTCATGGAGGATATTCAAGGCAGCTCAGTAAAGGCTGAAATAATTGACCACATTCCAGCTGCCATTAATAGTACGAGAGATAGGGCTTAGAGTTTGATTTCATCTAAGTTAAATTGTTACCAGAAAGAAAAGGGGGAAAAAAGCAAAAAATAAATAAATAAATAAAAACAAAAATAAACAAAACAAAACAAAAAAACACAGAATCTGTAATGTGTTGCTATTTGAATGCTGAAACATAATTCCCAACACTATAGAATTAAGAGGCTTGGCCTATGGTAGGTAATTAGGTCACAAGGTCTCCACCCTCATGAATAGAATTAGTGTCCTTGCAGAAGTGGCATTAAGGAGCTTGTCCCTTCCTTCAGGCATGTGAGGACACAGATAGAAGACACCATCTTTGAAGCAAACAGAACCAGTCCTCAACAGACACTGAATTTCTAGTGCCTTGATCTTGGACTTTTTAGCCTCTGAAATGACATTTCTATTGTTTATAAATTACCAGTCAAGGTTCTTTGTTATAACAGCCTGAACAGACTAAGACATGTATCATCACAATAACTAAAATACAATCTTAAATTACTGTACGAACAATGCAATAGGTACTTTTGACTCATACTCAAATACTGGAGGACACAGATAGAATTAGAGAATCTGACAAAGAAAACAAAGACAATAAAATTACTTTGTTTTACTTCTTTTTGCTTTTCAAGTATAATTAAACACTCCTAGTTCTACAGCTGATTCTTCTGCTTGTGATCTGGCTGGTTTCCTCTACTCCTCTCTCTAGTGCCATCCCCTTTCCATTATTTTTCTCTACTTTTTCTTGTATATCATGTTCTGTCACTGGACTTTTTTTTATTCTTAGAATCTGAGACTGTTTAGGTATAATTATTTTAAAACAAAAATAAAATTATCAATCAATATTGATCCTGTGTCTTATCATCTAGCACTTTATTTCTTCCTTATAATTTATGACCAAGCTACCTAAAAAATATTTTGATGTTTTCCAGCACACTTTTTTCTCCTAAACTAATTTCAATCTGATTTTAAACAGCACTAGGACACTGCAACTCTTCTATGCACGATCACAATTACCTCCTAATAGAGAAACTCAAAGACCATCTCTCAATATTTTCCTGTGTATTCTTTATTCATCATTTGAAACGGCAATTTTCTCTTTCTTCAAACTTTCCTTATCTGGTGTCCAGAATACCATGTGCTATATTTTTTTTTCTCTTATTGGCTACATAATTTTTTCTCAGTCTTCTTTGTGTATGTTCTTATTTCCGAATTATAAGTACTGATATACCCAAGGTGCTCCCTTTTGCCATCTCCTATTACTCAGTCTATACATTTTGTTCCAGAAGAAGCTTATAACTAAGATCTATGTGCTGATAACTTCTTAATCCATTTATCCACCCTGGCACTTAGTCATCAACTTCAAACCGATATATCTGATTTAGAAAAATTTCTACTTTTATAACCCAAAGTTACCTCCACTTGTTATGCAAAATACAGCTTTTAATATTTGTCCTCAAATCTGACTTTTTGTGTAGCCCATACCCTGATGAAAGATACCATTGTCCACTTAGTATCTTGATTTAAGTTCCCCTAATCCTCAGCTTCTCCAAATAGGTTAAAAGATGCTACTTCAAATTAAAGGTTTTTTCACATTGACTGCATCCATAGGGTTTTACTCCAGCGTGCACTCGCTGATGTACAATGAGCTGTGACTTGAACGTAAAGGCTTTTCCACATTCATTACAACCATAGGGTTTCTCTCCTGTATGTTGATAATCATATGAAACTCTGAAAAGTGAATTCACAGGAGATACCAACAAAATCATATATAAAGAGAAACTCTAAGTGGAATCATCTTGTCATCCTCCGGGAAACTCATACTCAATAGAAACTTTATGAATACACAGCATATGGAAAGGCATCCACAGAAAGCTGTTCTTTACATGCGAAAAGATAGTAGAACATACACAGGAAAACTATGAATTTAGTAACTCCTCTGAAAATTTTCAGCCACAAGTCATACCTTTTTTAAAAAGTTCATACAAGTGAGGAACCATGTTAAACGAATGTTGTAAAGTTGTTTTATTAATCTAACATTCACAAAGAGGAAACTTTATGAACCAAATGAATGCAGAATAGACTTCTTTGAAATTCATAGTTTACAGGGCGTTAATGAAAGAAATTATTGAGCTAATGAATGGCAGAATTAACAAAATTACAAACATTTTACGTATCAGAAGCATATACCTTGGAGAAACAATGTTATAAGGCAAATTTTAAATCTAGAAATGACAAACCCCTAGGGAAAAAATATATGGGAATGAACATCTATGAATGTATCAAATAAGCCACAGTGGGACTGTTAACCTCACTTTATATCACAAGCTTCATTCTTAAAAAAAGAAAACCTATTATCATATTTTCATTAATATGATTAATTTTGAAGAATGATTTTCTCTAGGAATCATTTTAAGAGAAATTATATTCCACATGTTCCAAAATTTGAGGAAAAGATTCGAGAAAATTCTTAATTATAAATAATAACAAGATACAGATTATTTCAATAAACAAATGAATCTAGTAATGAGGTTAACAATAAGAAATACATCCCAGAGCCTACAGGGATCTTTAGATATCTTCCTGTGTGTACTACATAATATGAATTTCACACTTTGGCATTTTACTTGTGAATGCCATATGTGAGACGAAAGTAAATACAGTATCATCTTCCAGAGATTTCTATTCTGCATACCAACATTGTTTCATTGTGTCTTACCAAATGCAACTTATTACTAGAATAATATGGCTTATTAAAAATGCATTTCCACACTCCAGAAAAAAGATGCTACTGGTTCTAAATATTTTATACCTTTACTCAAGGTTTTTTTGTCCATCCCTATTGCTACAACTTGATGTTACACTCTCATTATTTCTCACTACATTATCTATGTCTGGCTCTTGCTGGTCTCTTAGCTTCCACTTTTTTACGCTCCTTAATGTATCTTTCACAGTGCTAATAAAATGTCTTCATAATATCAGTCTACTCTTCAGTTATTCAGTTCCCTAAAATTTATACTTGGCTCTCAATTGCCTTTGGTCTATTATAATTTCTCTGACATGTTATTCAAGACTCCAGGTTTCCTGCCCTTTCCCTCTTATATTATTATATTCGAAGCCCTTAGACATGGTATAATCTAATCTTTCACATCTTAGTGCTTCCACACATATGCAAATACATTGATTGATCAGTTTTTCTAAAATAATGCTGTACAACAATCTTTGAACTCAGTGGCTTACACTAACAATAAAAGAGTTCTTACTCCCAGTTCTGCAGATCAACTGAGACACCATTAACCTAAATATGGATTCACATCATAGATTTGATTGGAGCTGGCTTCAAATTTCTTCTCAGTCTGGAACTAACATCTAACTAGGCATAACCTTCTGAATGGAAAGCAGAATTATGAGAGAGTGAGTGGTAACACATGTTGCATGTTAAGGTCTTAGTTCAGAAATAAAAAATTGTTCATTCTGCTGATACGCCATCAATCACAGCAAGTCACATAATCAAACTTTAAGTGACTAGAGCAGATAATATACTCTTGTCTACACTACTAGGGAATACTACGAAGTTACATGGTGAAGTTATGACTGTTACTCCTATAACAAGCTGGGAAATAACTGGGAATAAATGATGCAAACTACGCCACCTGGAATACTTCCCTACCTTTATTTAACTGCTTAGTATTTTTTTTTTTTTTTTTTTGAGATGAAATTTTGCTCTTGTTGCCCAGGCTGGAGTGCAATGGCACAATCTTGGCTCACCGCAACCTCCACCTCCTGGGTTCAAGCGATTCTCCTGCCTCAGCCTCATGAGTAGCTGGAATTACAGGCATGTGCCACCACACCCGGCTAATCTTGTATTTTTAGTAGAAATGGAGTTTCTCCATGTTGGTCAGGCTGGTCTTGAACTCCTGACCTCAGGTAATCCACCTGCCTTGGCCTCCCAAAGTGCTGGGATTACAGGTGCAAGCCACTGTGCCTGGCTTAACTGCTTAGTATTAATTTTATTTTTGAATGGGCTTAGCCATGATTTCTTTGATAAAATGTCTTTTCTCTATCTCAAACCCAGCGGGAGATGAAGACTCAATTCTAAGCGTGTTTACATCCTCCTATGTTTAATCTATTGTAACACTCTTAACTGCATCATTGATTTTTTTCCCCACTTTTCTTCATAATTGCAGTGAAAATCTCCTTAGGTCATTCTGTGAGTCTTCACCTCAGCAGTCAGATACGTTTTAGAATCTGGCCTCTGACCAACCACAGGATTTGTATTCAGAAAAGTTAAATAAATCACTGACTGAATGAATAGATTTTCTGCACTTATTCTTATCTACACATAATTCGTTTCACTTCAAATTTAGCTGCAAAATAACAAGCAAAAGTTGGTATAGTTCCTAGGAAAATCTAATGTACTCTCCACAGAGTGACTACATATATGTCCAAGAAAAATGAGAAAGAAAAAAGAAAACTTAAAATAAAATGTTAGACCAGAGGTTCAAAACCTGGAAAAGGAATAAGAGATCAAATAGGGCTGGGCACGTTACCTTAAGCCTGTAATTCCGGCACTTTGGGAGGCCAAGGTCGAAGGATCATTTGAGCTCAGAAGTTTGAGACCAGCCTGGGGAACTCAGGGAGACCCTGTCTCCACAAAAAATTTAAAAAAAAAAAAAGTAGGCCTGGAGTGTTGGCTCACACCTGTAATCCCAGCACTTTGGGAGGCTGAGGTGGGTGAATTACCTGGGGTCAGGAGCTCAAGACCATCCTGACCAACATGGTGAAACCCCATCTCTATCAAAAATACAAAATTAGCCGGGCGTGGTGGCAAGTACCTGTAATCCCAGCTACTTGTGGGGCTGAGACAGTAGAATCGTCTGGACCCGGGAGGTGGAGGTTGCAGTGAGCCGATATTGCGCCACTGCACTCCAGCTGGGCAGCAAGAACGAAATTCCGTCTCAAAAAAAAAAAAAAGAAAAGAAAAAGAAAATTTAGTCTGGCATGGTGGCACATGCCTGTAGTCTCAGCTCTTTGGGAGGCTGAGGCAACAGGATTACTTAAGCCTGGGAGTTCAAAGCTGCAGTGAACTATCACGGCCCCACTCACTCCAGTCTGGTCAACAAAGACCTTGTCTCTTTAAAAAACAAAGATATCAAATGCATATTGAGGCAATGAGCTAAATGAAGAATATACCTACATATAGTATATGTAAAATATAGTCAATTATTATAACTCATTTTTCTTTTGATTTACATGGAAACTACTTTGCTTTAAACACTTCACTGAGTCCCTCCCCGACCCCACATACATTTATGGTAGAATACAAGAATTTGAGGATATTATACAAAATTTTAGGTAACAACATTATAATTTTGTAAATAACTGAGAATTATCTTTGTTTGTGTTTTGTATATATTACAAATGTTAAAATTTAAAACAACCCTGGAAGGGAGGTCTGTTTCTCTTTCTAACTTACAGATAAGGATATAAATTTTAGAAAGCTAACTCTCTTTCTGAATGACATTCAACGATTTATGACAGAGCCAGCAGAATTTAACATATTTAATTTTACATAAGTAGTGTGTATACATTTTTAAAAAATCAAGGAATGCTGAATCAAAACAAATGCTCAGGAGAAACACAGAGGTAAAGTGTATAAAATGCCTTATCGTGTCTCCTGGAATTATTTTCTTCTCTCCGGAACTCATGAATATTTTTACAACTCCAATGCTGATAGTCAAAGTAAAGAGGCGAAGTGAGACTTTTTCTTCGTTTAATTCTTGTGAAGACGATAACTGCTTCCATCCTGTTATTCGTTTTTAGCCTTTGAAACTGGGCCTCAGCATGAGCATATTCTTGGCAATCACTGTCATCTGGAATAACGTTTAATCTTTCTGTTCCAATGGGCCTTTTACCTGGTCCTCATTACTCACCACCAAACAAGACGTCTTCCTCTTGTTAACACTTTTTACCTCTATTTTTTTTTTCAACTGTGATTTCTGAACAGCATGTGCTATATATTTTAGCAAAACAGTTTCTTCTTTGAATTGTCTGATCAAATCAAGTCATGAGGTATAAAAGAAAGACTTTCCAAAAGGCAGCCCTACATTTCTGGAGTTAGTTCCCAAAGACTAAAACATGTACAATACCTATTAATTGACAAATATGTAATGAGTATCTTCTTTGTTTAAGGTATAGAAGTGCTGTTTGCAGTGAGATTCTATGAAGATTAAATCCAGTCTCTGCCTTTTAAGAAAAGTCCATCCGGGGAGACTTGAATATGCACGTAAAAAGATAGCATATTATCATAATAAAATATGGGTATGGTCTTTGTTATAGACTCTGTATTGGTCACTGAGCATCCAGCAATATACAAAAACAAAAAACAGAAAAACCTGCCCTTGCCTTTCTTATATTTGAATAGAAAACACAAAGAAGAAGTGATATATATATATAGATATATATATAATAAGTAATAACACATTTAGGAAGTTATCAGTGCTGTAAAAAATATACATGCTAAGGTTGTATGAAAAGTGCCGAGTGTAATATAGAGCTGCAATTTTATTATTTATTTACTTTTGACATAAAACAGCACAAATTTATTATTTTATGGTTATGGAGATAGGATATCAGAAATACATCTTATTAGGCTAAAATCAAGGTGTTGGGAAGGCTGTATTGTTTCTGGAGGTTGTAGGGCTGATTCTGATTCTTTTCCCAGCTTTTAGAAGCCACCTGCATTTCTTAGGTTATAGCCCCTAATTCCATCTTCAAAGCCAGCAGCATAGCATCAGCATCTTCCAATCTCTCTCTGACTCTAACCTCCTCTTCTGCTTACTTTTTCTACTTCAAACGACTCTTGTAATTATGTTGGGGCCACTTGAATAATCCAAGATAATCTCTTTATTTTAAAGTCAGCAGATTAGCAACCTTAATTCCAACTTCCACTTTAATTTCCTCTTGCTGTGTAACATAACACAGTCACGGGTTCCAGGGATTAAGATGTGGATATCTTTAGCAGGGTCATTCTTCTTCCTACCATAGCATACATAGTTAAAAAAAATTATGGAGTACATTAGTGAAGACATTTAAGGACAACTGTTCTACCTGTCCTCTCTTTGTTAGTTGACATTTCTGATCACTTTCTTCTTCTGGACTCTTGATATCCACAGTATCACTCCTGTTACTCCTCCTTCCATTCAGATCGTGTCCTTCGTGTACTCCTCTGGGTTATAATTTTAGCTGAGTGGACAAGACAGGGTGTACTGAGAAAGCAGGTGTGAACAATGCGGCTGTCTTGCTGATGAGCGTCCTTAGCAATGGAGCAGACACAGCAAAGACCTTGAGATGGGAGCAGCTGTTATGTTTGTATTCAAGAAATAAGGAGTACACAAAGTTGGCTGCAGCAAAATGCGCAACAGGGGACTGAGAAGAAAAAAAAGTAAAAAATTATCAGTTGACAGTTTTTATAAGGTCTTTTAAGTCATTGTGACTTCACTGGCTTTTGTTCTGAGGGAATTGGGAAGGTACTGGCAGAAGAATAGCATTATCTAAATCTATGGGGGCAAAGGTGTCCATTTGGAGAACACAGCAATAACGCAGTTCAGTAATGATGGAATCTCAGCCTAGGGTGACATGGGTAGCTGTATGGCAAGCTGGTCACAGCAAAGGTAGTGAGAAGTTCTGGGTACGTTTTGAAGGAAGAGCCAACAACTTTTAATGATAAATAGATAGACATGAAGATTTTTGGTCCAAAAAAATCTAAGACAAGAAAGTTCTAAAATAATACTCATTTCTGGAATGGTGGTGATTTGATAATAATAATAATAATAACAATATTTTCTGCATTTGTGAGGTTGCTCAAAAATAAAAAAAAACTTATAGATGATACTGGTTTAAAATTGAGGTTTTAGTAACAGGTAGGATACATATATATATATAAATATATATATGCATGTGTGTATACATAAATATGTATATGTATTTTATATATACAAATATACATAAAAGCATATATGTGTAAAGCTGGTAAGCTTGTTCTGATCCAAAAATCTGGGAAACTAAAAACAAATAAAAAAACCACCCCCACCAAACCTCCAGAAATTAGTTAGGAATTGTGTCAAATGTTAGACTTAAAGAAGATGGCCCTCACCAACGTGACTGGGCATCATCTCATTCGTTTAGGGCCTAAATAGAACCCAAAACACCGAGAAAGGGCAAATTTGCTCTCTCTACTTGGTGTGGGACATCCACATTTTCCTGCCATTAGAGATGGATGCTCCTGGTTCTCTGGCTTTAAGTCTTGGACTTGGACTTGCCTTATTGTCTTCCCTGGTTCTCAGGCCTTTGGGATGGTACTAGAACTGTACCACCAGCTTTCCTGGGCCTCTGGCTTAGAGACAGCAGATTGCAGAACTCTCAGCCTTCACAGTCATGTGAGCTAATCTCTTATCATAAATCTCTTTCTATATATCTATATATATGGTATTTGTTCTTTGCCTCTGGAGAACCCTGAGCAATACAGGATTTAAATTAGAGACTTTTAGACATCAGATAAACTTGAGTAAGATAAGTAAGTAGGAAATGTGTATGATAATCTAAAATGTATCTGGAGATAATAAAAGGGAACAAAATAATAATCTTTAATCAGAACTTATTTTCATTCTAGTACAAAATTTAGTACCTGTGCTAAGATATGCAGTGCTTGGGTTGGGTCTGTAATGAATGGTTTTCATTCATTTATCCACCTAGATCTTCATGATTTTCTTCATTTAAAAAACAATCTTTAGATGTTGGTGATTTTCAAGTACAATACAAAATGGACAAAAAAGTAACTTGGCCAATTTTTTCACCATTTCAAAAATGCACCTATTATCAAACTCTTAATACATTAAGCATGTTTTATTGCATTTAATTGAGAGTGATTCTGCTGTTTCTAATTTACTTAAAAGTAAACTATCAGGTATCATCTAGTGAGAATATTGGTAGTTATAAAGTGGATGAACAATGTATTACAAGAACTATTTTATTGTTTACTTTCCACTATTCAGTAACTTCATGGAAAGTGCTCTGAAAATAATATTTAATGTATTCTCATCTCAATAGATACAACATTGCATAAGGGCTTTGTTCGGTCAAATGCCTGTGATTTTTTTTCTAACAGAAGACCTGTGGTAATGCATACACATATTTCTTAACAGAGCTATGTTGTAGGTCTATTTATGATCATTGACAGGAAAATCAAAAGAAAATGGGGAAGCAAAGGGCTTCATTTCTACAATATTGTGTTACTTCTACAGGAAAAAATGCAATACTTGATCTTAGTCAAAAGGCAGAGAAGCAATACCAGAAGAAAAATACTAAAAGCAGTATAATGTAATTTGTATACATATGAAAACGTCAATGTAAAGTCAAATTGGCCTACATATACAATTTTATACACACATTTTGAAAGGGTGACTCCTTCCAATATTAAATAACATTTTCAAAGACTATCACTGGAGAACTACCGCTTGAATAATTCGTAGGAGATTTTCTAAAAGGTATTTTCTCAAATTAACTTTCACACTAGCATCTTTTAAATGAACTAAATGACCAAAATGATTTAATCTAGTCATTAATTCAGAAGAAATTTATTACAATTCTCCAGCAAGTGGATATAGGTACTTATCCTTGGCATGAGTTTCACTGCTGCATGTTGCTGACTTCTGTGTACCATCTAATAAATGTTGGAGAGCTCTGTCAACCTGTCACCAAACTTGTGTGGCCCTAGAGTTTGACGAATAATGCAATTATTCACTCACAGCAACTGCCTCCAAACAGGGAGGCATGTACCTGCAGAATAAGTCAACTTATTAGTTCTATCCATCACATTACTCTTTCCTAACTAAAGTATTCTGAAATAGTATTTCTCAAATTTAAGTTATCCACGTATTACCTATACTGTTTCACCACCTGTAGCATTTCATTCATATTTTCATTAAGTCAACTAATGCTAAAAAACATGTGCTGATAATGCTTGTTTCACACTAATGTAATCACATAAATATTAAAACAAAATAATTTTATATTTGCACTGTTGGAAATAATCTTTCATGCTTTCTATCATGTTTTGAAATATACAGGCCCCAAATTATAATTGGCAATAAAGTAAGATTATTCTCAAATCCATGTTGAGGTCACACTCAGCTGTATGCCTGTGTCGTTGTTTGTGAAAATCATTTAACAAATGTACTCAAAAGAAGTGTGTTGAGTCCCTGAACTGGAAGGGAGTATTCCCACGGTAGAGTCGCAGGAGGACATGGCTTAGTGCCCAATTTCACATAGCTTACAAAACATCAAATTACTATGTGACAAGAAACTAGGAAAGCATAGATAAAGTTATAAAGAAATACAGAATAAGGAAACATACTTCTCATTGGAGAATAAGAAAAGAATTCAGGAGTAGTTTCTCCAGGGCCTTTAAATGACAGAGTAAACATTTAGTCTTATAAATATGATGAGAATGAGGTAGTGAAGGGGGATGATGTTTCTGAAAGATATTTCTGATGGTAGAAAAAGCATTCATAAAGAAAGTGACAAAAAACTTGCTAGGCAGGATCAGGAGACTGCAAATATCTCTTAGAGTACATGGTACAAGAGTCTGGCTTAGTGGGGAAGAAAGTATATGTGGTGTTGGTGTTGAAAAAGAAATACTTTAAATGGCAGTATAGGGGATTTGGAATTCTGCAGTAAGGGATTGTGAGCATGTAACTGTTGCATACATATATATTAACTTAGTGTAATGCATAATGTGTTGTCATTATAAAATATTTATCATCATTTATCACTGCTATTATAATAGAATGTATTATTATATTTGTAGTATTACTGATGTGATCTATTATGTTACTAATATCTGTATAGTATTTCATACATCTGTGCATATATGTATGTATATGTCTATACAAACATATGCACATATCATCGCCATTTTGCAAAAGATGCATAATGTGAACCAAAAAGAGAAAGCACACTGCGATATGTACTTTGTTATGATAAGTTACAAACCTGAAAACTGACCATCAGAAACATCATCACTTTCTAATGTCACAGAACTACAATTCATACTCTTGTCTATGATGACTCAACCTATGCTTCTGAGCAATACAATTTTTCATGGCATAAATTGAATAGGTAAACAACTTTCTATTTAGATTCCTCAGGTGGCTTAATCCTCTTTTCATGGGTTAGAAATATATTATCTCAGAACAAACACACTGTCTCTCTAACTCCAGAGTCATAAAATTGCCATTGATAACCAGTATAAAAAAAATCTATTACACTAAGGGTTGCTGCCAGAACCAGAACTAGTACATATAGCCTCTAGCTAGCTGGGTGCTTTACTAAAGGCACAGTTTTACTGAACCTCAGTTTCTTCATTTCTAATATCAGCATCTTTGAACTCAATCACTTTAAGAATCTTTGCCAAATCTATAAAATTATGATGATGTATTTAGCACCAGCAGGAAATGTGGACCTTAGTCATTTTATCATGTTCTTGACATCAGGGTTTAGTAGTACCATTTAAAAAATAAAATTAAATAATTAGATTATTTTATAGACCATTATTATTTTTGAGAAATCATCTTTGTTGTGTTTAAATTTTGACGTACTAAAAAGTGAAAATAAAAAAATTCATTGGTTCAGACCACAGATCACTTCCTGCCATTGTGATCTTGATTAAGGTATCTACAGATTGCTTGAATTCCAGCTTCTGCATCTGTGAATGTGGAATAATAAGAATTAAAAATAATGTATTTGAGACACTAGCCATATATCTGGCACTCAGCATAAAAGGAAAAATATAGCATGCTGTTTAAGAGCACAGGTTTAGGCATCAAACAGACCTGGTTCTATAACCTTGAAGGCATATTACTTAACCTCTCTAAGACTTTAAAACAGGGACTATAATAATACTTCATAGTGTGATAATGGAAAATGGAGAAAATATTACATTAAAAACTACTTGGCACAGTGCTTCATACATAATATACATATATATTTATAATATATAAATAAATTTATTTTATTTATTTATAATCTATATATTTATTTATAATGTATAATTCTATTTATATAATTTATATACCATTTATATAATAAATAACTATTTAAGAATAATTAATAATTTAAACTAATTTTAAATAATTGGTAACAACTATAATTGTTAATAACTCTAATAATAATAAATAATTGTTACTCTTACTATTGTTCCATTAGAGGCACATATGACTATGATATTAATATGTTTGCTATTTGAAATATGTAATTTTAAATACTAGTTGATTTTCAATTTTGAAATGGGTATGCATTTATGGTAACAAAACCCACGGAGTACTTTTTCCCGTAATGCACTAACACTGGCCACTGAAAGTCAGGTACCAAGTACAGAGTTTCCCCAGACAGTAAGGAGTCATTGAAATTTCTTTTCACTTTTCATTTAAGAGGTAAATAGACTTACTAAAGTCACCAAACTAAGCCATTACCAAGAAACATTTATTATAAGATGCGATTAAACAGTATGACACAGAGAGAGAGAGAAAGCAATAATTTTTTTTAGTTTTATTTTTAAACGGCCTGGGAAAAACAATATCACAAACCCATAATTTAGTCATTATTTATGAAAGCTAAGAAAAGAGACCTATTCTGTCTTCCAATTGTAAAAACACGAGCACACATTCCTTTACATAAAGTTACAGTGTCTAAACACAAAATGTTAAAATACGCATTAGAATTCATTTATAATGATTAGTAGTTTGAGTAGGGAGCAAAGTCTTTCTGGTATCATTTTTCTTAAAATACCGGTCTATTTCATTATTTAATCAGAACCACAAGCGTATTCATTTTCAGGGTAAGATAGCTGGTATTTTCTCCCTGTGTGACTATTCCCCAAGTTTATTTATTCTTGTCCTAATGAATGTCTTATCTGTTCTTTCCTAATCCTGCTGCACAGGAATGGTAAGGGATATCCGGCATGAGCGCCTTTTGACCTTAATTTTAAGTGCATTGCAGCATTCCTGAATGTCAAACCAGCGTGCCTTTCCACTTCTGTTCCTGAAATCCCATACCTAAAGTGTATCATGTTTGTCTGCTTTATTTGCCTCGGGACATAAATCCTGACCTTGTGAGCTACTGACTCTGCCATGCCCCTCTGCAGTTCCTAAAAGCTATTTCACCATAGGGAAAATGAGATAGAGTAAGAAAAATAAAGATTAAGATTACTTTTTAAATGAAGAAAAGGCAGATTAATAAGAAGCAATCATTCAGTCTTAGAATTATTTCTTTTATATGTGTGTATACACACACACACACACCTATGCACTTATTTAAATCACTGGGGTGTGTGTGTGTGTATATATATTTATATATAAATACGTACGATCCTCCCACAGCCCACAGTATCCATGGGGGATTGAACCAGGACCTCCCACAGATACCAAAATTTCAATTTCTTTATATAAAATAGCATGATATTTGCATATGATCTATGCACATCCTCCTGTATATTTTAAATCACCTCTAGATTACCTACAATACCTAATACAATGTAAGTGTCATGTAAGTAGTTGTTATCCTGTCTAAGGAATAATAACAAGAAAATAAGTCTGTACATGTTCATCCATGAGTTGAGCAGACGTGAAACCCACAGATAGCATTTTTTGAAATAAAAAAAAAAACCTCCATCAGAAGTAAGGGAAGAGATTGCATTTTAGCACAAAGCTATTACAAATTCCTGATCATTCTTCAAGTATTTTTTAGTGCTTGCTATTTGTATAATTAGTGCTCACCAGATTTTGGAGACACAGAGGTAATTAAAAGTGAGTCCTGCCTGCAAGACTCTTACAATCTAGTGGGGAATAGAACAATAAAATATAGGAAAATAAATAAATTTAATACGGAAATTACTCTAATAAAAGCATATTGCATATGGAAATATGGGAATTCAGCACTTAGAAATGCACACGAGTAAGCTTGAATGCATCAAAAACATTTCACAAAGCTGATATTTCAGTTGTTTACTGGAAGTCTGAGTTAGTCAAACAGGCAAAGGCAAAAGGATGCTGTAGAGAACCCCTAAGGATCTTTTTGATAGCTGGTGACAGAGATCCAAATATGATCCCCAGAATGCATTATTCAACATTTTCTCAGTTGGTCTCCAGAAGGGCTACTAAATAAGCCTTTTGAAACATAAGGCAAAAAAAAAAAAAAATTGTGTGACTTCTAAGCGTCCCAATCCATGGTGCCTTGGAGAACGGGCATGAGTATGAAACAAAGAGATAAATAACCGCCCAATGGAGGGATTTTGAAGGTGATTTATTTTTGCTCTGAGGAAACATACGATAGCTTCTGTAGGATGGAATGTTAATAAAGGGGTGTGGAGGTTTAAGCATGGAGCTTCTTTGGAGTTATTTTTCTCCTTTTTTGTAGTTCAGTCATGAAGTTTCCAGCATTAATATCAACATCACCACTAGTTTACAGGTATCTTGATTCACCATCCATGTATGTATAACATAAAACTAGCTCAGAAGCTATAAGTCACTGAGACAACAGGAATCTTAAAGCATAGTACTTAAAATTAAGAATATTAACTTCTCAATCTTGACTATTGACCATATTAGGATTAGTGTGGTTCCTTAATAGGGTTTCAGGAAATAGTCTCAAAGCACATTTGTCTCTTCTTCTTCAGGTAAAATACAAAGAAGAAGACAGATGTGAATATTTGTGGTGAGGAAAAAAGTTAAAAGCAAAAAACCAAAAACAAAATAACTTTTCTTGAATAGAAACAATTTTCAAAACTATTTAGTCTTCTGCTAGGACGTCAACATGTAGCACAAAGCTATTATTAAACACATTGTGTTTAAGTAAAGTCCCCCAAAATTATCATTGAAAGCATGAGTTTTCTTGAGAGTTTAATGGCTAAAGTATTACTTGAATGAATTGAACACCAAATGTAAGGAAAATATTTTAATTAATTTTAAACTTTATCTTAGAATTATATCATATTGCAAATATACTAGCTCCTACATAAAAGTCTTCCTTTATCTGTATAACAAAATCAAAATTCTTTATTATGCAAAAAACTCTTTATTGGCTGGATCCTGACTACATTCCCAGTCCCTCTTTTTTCTATTTCCCCACATTCATATAATATGTCTCTAATATGATGACCACCTTGAAATTCCCAAATTAACTGTGCATTTTCACATTTCCACATCTTTTTCTTTCTTTCTTTTTTTTTTTTTTTTTTTGGAGATGGAGTCTCGCTCTGTGACCAGGCTGCAATGCGGTGGCGCAATCTTGGTTCACTGGAATCTCCACCTCCCGAGTTCAAGCGATTCTCCTGCCTCAGCCTCCCAAGTTGCTGGGACTGCAGGCACGCACCACCACGCCCTGCTAATTTTTTGTATTTTAGTAAAGATGGGGTTTCACCATGTTGGCTAGGATGGTCTTGATCTCTTGACCTCGTGATCCTCCCGCCTTGGCCTCCCAAAGTGCCGGGATTACAGGCGTGAGACACCGCATCCGGCCACTTCCACATCTTTAAACTTACCCTTTGCTTAACTGAGAATGACTATCCCACCAGAAATAATACATCCCAACACCTTCACACAATGCCAAAAAAATGGGAAACTTTTCAAAATTATTTGTGAATTGGGAAAGTGAGGGAGCATTAGATTTGTATGCGTGTGTGCACGTGTGTGTGTGTGTGAGACAGAGACAGAGAGACAATTTCCAGATATTGTTCTAGTTTATGAAGAATGGCAAATTTAAATAATCGCTGAATTTGCAAGTGATGACTTAGATCTGAAATCTTGGAACTATGTCTTATATCTTCATCAGACTTATCTCTGTTATCCTCACTGGGTTGAGAGGATGTTTCAGTAGAGGAGAACTGAGGTAAAATGCAGTAGTCCTGCTAACAGTTTGAGACAGAATTTACATTTGGAATGAAGTAGAAGCTTTTGTTTACTTGCTTTGTTTTCCAAACCTAGAACTTGATGTTGTAAAGTTCTCATTCTCTTGTGTTTATTCCAATATCACTGTTGATTTGTAAAATTGTCTTGACTCTAAGAATACTAACAGGTCACAGTTGTTAGAGGTTTATAGTACACCAGGCACTGGAATATATTCATTATCACATGTAATATTCTTTAAAAATCCACCAGATTCAAAGTAGATACACAATTTATAAATGAGGTATGTAAGGCACAGAGATTCTAGATATGATGCACAAAGACACACAGCTGATAAGAGACAAAGCCAGAATTTTTTTTTTTCTTTGAGATGGAGTCTCGCTCTGTCACCCAGGCTGGAGTACAGTGGCATAATCTTGGCTCACTGCAACCTCCACTTCCTGGGTTCAAGCGATCCTCCTGCCTCAGCCTCCCGAGTAGCTGGGACTACAGGTGCGTGCCACCACACCCGGCTAATTTTTGTATTTGTACTAGCGATGGGGTTTTGCCATGTTGGCCAGGCTGGTCTCAAACTCCTGACCTCAGGCGGTCCGTCCACCTTGGCCTCCCAAAGTGCTGGGATTACAGACGTGAACCACCGTGCCCTGCCAAAGCCAGGATTTTAAAACATGAAGATCTCGGAGTCCTTGTTCTTCATTATTATACTACAATGTTCCTGTGTTTCTACTGTACTAACACAGTTTCCACTATGTTTTAGGCACATAACACAGAAACTTTATTAATATTATCTAATTTGATATTTACTACAATTTTGTTTACTATGTACAAGTCAAAATATAACTCACATAAATAAAGGCTCTTACCATAAGTCATGAGATTATTTATTAATTATCAAAATTAACTTTAGGTTTCTTTAACTTAGAAAACATATATATATATATATATATATATATATATATATATATATATATACATATAAATGAAAATATTGCGTTTTGGAAGAAAGATCAAATTATACATAAATGTTTTCCAATATTATGATAGCATGAAAATACAAAAATAACAACAAAAAAAGGTAAAGAAACACAGAAGTGAAAGAAGCATCTCAAAGGAATCATGATGACAGGCAGGGACCCTGAATAATTCTATGCACTTTTCCCAAACTAAGGCTTTACCAAAAGTCATGTGCAAAGAAAACTGTGGAGCTAGGATGTTTTCAACTGTTCTTGATGCAATTATAGAAGAAAGTTTACATGTTGCCTTCCCTCCTCCAGTATGATTCTTCCATTTTATGCCTAAAATATTTCTGTTATCTTCCACCTCTACCTTGTGATATTCCCTCTCCTCATGGACCACGCTTATTTAGAACATTGTATGAGAATGTAGAATTATGGCTCAAAACAACACCCAGTTAGTGGTGTTGCCAACATAAGGACCCAGATCTTTCCATTATTTTCACTGAATGCCAATACATGCAATTTAGTGTCTACTATTTTATTCTCAAGGTCAAGGGCAAAACCACTTCTACAAAAAAAGGCAGTTAAAAGTTCACAAATAGAAGAAAGAAAATTGAAAATTTTTATAATATACAAAATAAATTTAATAATGTGGATATGAAGCTCTTTGTCAGTTCACAATAATTGATTAATAATTTAGCCCAAGGAAGTCAAGAAGGACTTTGCAGCCTTAACGTTGTCACTAGTGCCCTCCTGTAAGTTTAAGGTAGAGAACCTGTGCCTGATGACTCTGGATACCTAACTTTTAAAAGGAAATTTTCCTTGCAAGTGTTTGGTTCACTGTTACCCATAATATATATGTGTTTAATTTGGGGTATAAAGTTATCTAAATCTTTGAGTAAAATTAAAAGACCAGTAAGAAGCTCTCTGTCACACATGCACCCAGGTTGAGAATGAGAGCATAAATAGAAGGTTTCACTTGGGTAAGTGGAGGAGATCCCACACACATGGCTGAATGTGTGCAAGGATTCAAGTCATCCAAACCCAAGAGAGTTCCCACAGTTGGTGAACAATGGGAAATTGAGGAAGGTCAGATTTCCGGGAAAGCAAACGGGAAATTCCACTAGAAATATGAGTTACTGGCTTTCTGGGAATTGGATTAAAAAAGTAATAATAATTAAACATTTCTATTAAACATTTTTAAAATGTTTATCAGACATTTTTAACATATGTTTCATACCTGGATAGCTTTCACAGCAGGCTATCTTCTTTTGCTTTGGGATATCTTTTGTTATTGGGAAGGAGAAGAGAGAGTTATGCTTTAAGTTCTTACAGTAGCATCATCCTCAGTTTCTACTTTCTTCATTCATCAAGCCACAGAAAAGCAGAAAGTAATCCCTGAAATTCCATTTTCAAATACAAATCTTAAAACACTGTTAGAATATGAAATACGAGGTTTCTGTGAGAACTTTATTATTGATATTTGTGGTTTTTTAAACTATAATGAACAATTTTATTTATTGTTAGAGCTTTTTAAAAAGAGAATTTATTCTACCTTCCCCATCTAAAACCAATTTTTATTTTGTCTTGCTTCTTTTAAACATTTATTTTATTTTTAAATTTCTTTTCCCCAACCATAATGGTAAATTATTCCCTTGCTTCTTTATAATGATTTTTGTCATTGAAAACTCAAAGCGCTGCATCTGGAAAAATGCTCCCCTTTTGTTTGATGCAGTAAGTTAAACTCCTCCTTTCACCCCTCCCTGAGAAACAAATACCTCCTCCACACATTGACGCGCACATAAACTTCAGGTCTTCAGCTTGTTCTCTTCACTTAAAGTCATTGCTCTTGTGTATTGCAAGCTATAATTGCTTCTAGCAATATAATGCCTTACCACACTAACATAATCCTAATGCAGTTACTAAATATTTTTTACATGGCAGTATCTCTCTTTGGATAACTATTACGTCGGGTATTATTATAATTCTCTTTGTACCATTGTAGTTTGAAAACGTATAGAAGAGAACCGGCTTATATCTGCCTAGCAATTAAATGGAATATTATAAACGGGATAGTCTATCAGTAAAACCTGACTGTTTACTTGCTGAAGTAGTTTTCAGCAGAGAAACAGCTGCAGCCCAGATTGCTCTAGGAAAGAATACATTTCATCTAAAATAATGTAGGCAGCATGCTTCCATTATGAAGTTGGATATTCACTTCCTCTGTTATTAGAAGGTGATAATAGAGTGGGCAATCCAGAAAGGTTTGACAGCATAAGAAGACAACGAAGAAGATGAAAAGATCCCATCTTCTGCTCACATTGAGAAATTCTGCTGATCGAATACAATGATCATAAAAACTGGCACTTGCATGATGAGTTTCTTGCAAGGATCTCAGCCCATACAGACATCATTTCTCCCTTTTTACAGTGTGATCACCATCACCGGGGTAGGAACCAATCACTTTTAAAGAGCCTAGTTATCTATCCAAGTATCTTTATATTCTCATTCATACAATATATTTAGGAGTAATCGATAAAGTGAGATTAATTATTCCAATATCTGAGGTTACTATTCATTTTATTTTTAGAAAACTTGTATTGGCTGAAAGTACTATGAGACCTATTTTCACATTTTAACTAATTATAATCCCATATGGGTCACTAGGTTCATCGGGCCTAAAAATTTATTATGGAGAAATGTCAGCAAGTTTCTCTACTGTATTTCCTTACCCATCTTAGCACAACCTAAGTAAATTTTTTCTCATTCGGAATTCTTATAGCATTTGCATTAATTTTTTGCTTTATACTTTGTCTTGAACATAACTTCAGTTTTATCTGCGATTAAAAACGGAAACTCTCTGAGATATAACATTGAACCCTCTTCCTCTTCTCACCAGAGTTTAGAGTTTAATAGGTTTTCAATTGATGATCAACAATTAATAAGTTACATGGTCTAAACAAGAGTTACATACCAGATGGCTTTCTTATTTCTTTGAAATATGTTATTTAATTTATTCATTTCAAGGCATAGTAAAGTAGTTGTTTAAAAAATAAGAATGTGTTTTTTTGGAAGTGAGAGGCTCTTCAGATTAAATCATATCTGTAGGACACTTAAATTCGGGAGTTCTAGATAATTCTAGTTTATTTCATACTGCAGTTTCTTTATGCCTAGTAAGCAAACTTTAATTCAAGGAACTGCCAGACCAAATTCATTTATTTTAAGAATACAGCCAATTGTAAAATTAAGAGTATTAAAACTAGATAAATCTGTAGAGTTAACCAGAGGATTATCTACAGCAAAAGGATATGTTTGTTCCATCAATCACTTTGCTGTCATAGAGTAAACCTAATCTTTGTCACACAGATAGAACTGCAATTCTCATACCCAGACTGTTTTAGAGGGGAGAAGGGAGGAAAGGGAGAGAGGGTGAATCATTAGGTGCATTTGTTAAATTTGAAGCAGAGTAATCCTGCAAACTTCGGCCAAAAAATAAATAAGGATCTGCAAAAAGGGTAAATACTCCCTAAATTATTTAAGCCTGTACTATAATTAATATACAAAACTATTGATTTAATTAAACTAAGCTGCCTCCATATCAAGGAAGGCCCAAAGTTAATTAGCACCATAGCCCTAAGCATTTCAGATACGCTGAGAAAGTAATTTAGTGGTAAAATGCATGTTTATCTATTATAATTTCAAAGACCTTAGCTACATGAACAATTTCTTATCATTAATGGTTTTTAACCCATGATATCTCTCTATTATGTAGCTATATTGTTAGAGCATATTACTTATTAAATACTGTATTAGTCTGTTCTCATGCTGCTAATAAAGACATACCTGACGCTGGGTAATTTATAAAAGAAAAAGGTTTAATTGACTCACAGTCCCACACGGCTGGGAAGCCCTCACAATCATGGTGGAAGGCAAAGGAGGAACAAAGTCATGTCTTACATGGCGGCAGGCAAGAGAGCATGGTCAGAGGAACTCCCCTTTATAAAACCATCATATCTCCTGAGACTTATTCACTATCACAAGAACAGCCTGGGAAAGACCTCCCTCCATGATTCAATTACACATGGGAATTATGGAGGCTACAATTCAAGGTGAGATTTGGGTGGGGCCACAGGCAAATCATATCAAATATTAACTATACTGAGGGTGCTAATTCTACAAATATGCCTATTTAGTAAAGGCTCAGACACAGAGATCTATGGAGAATTGGAAGAACCCTGGAGTCAACATCCCCAAGGATGAAAAGAACTTGTCTGCCCATTTTCCTCCTTTTTTTCTTTAGCATTCATTGAATACTTACAAAACGAGGAACTCGAAACACAAAAAACAACCTAAGTGGGAGGCCTGGGAATCATCTGTGGGTCTTCTTCATCCTCCTACATCTAAGAAATAATCACCTGCTATAGTCTAAATGTTTGTGTCCCCACAAACTTTGTGTGTCGAAATCCTAACCCCCAAGTGATGGTATTAGGGGATGGGGCTTTTGGGAAGTGATTAGCGTCTTTATATCTGTAACGTCTAGTACATTGCCTTATTCATCATATGACTTTAAGAGCTGCATTGTCCGCATACTTAATGGCAAATGATCTATTCAAGGTATGTTATAATAATATCCTCTTACTATAGATTCTCTAAATGATGAGCACTTTGCATATATTAACTTATATAATTTTTCCAAATCACTAAAAATATTTCTGTTACATGAAGCCTGAGGAAATTGAAACTCAGAGAGTTTCTGGAACTTAGCCATGTGTTTTAGAGCAGAAGTGTGTTCTGGAGCACTCAGTGGCTCCGAGTCAATGCTCTTCACCACTCTACAGAAAGTGATAACCTGAACTATATAACTGAATAATCTTGGCTATAATTGGCATGCTTCACATAAATACAATTAATATTCAAGAGGTCAAAGCAATACTACAGCCTGGAGTTGCAGGTGAAGTTTTAAGAGAGTTCAGTCTTGAGTCTGATTTTCTCTTCGTTCCCCCAAGCTGACTGCATCTATCCTTTCCCAGGCTGTGCTAACTTACAGTTTTACAGCTTCAGCATGGATATTATCATAAGCAGAGAATTTCTGGGTTTTTTTCTTTCTACATCTCTTTGTCTTTAATATCTGAAGATAGAATTGCTTGATCTTCAAAGACGCTGAAAAATTTCATGCCCTTGACCTCATGCTGAGAGTGTGCATTATCTTTCAGAGAAAATTAACCGGATAAACATATGTTCTCATAAAATCAATAGCTGACATATCACATCTTATAGTGACCTGTCAAAAGGAAGAGCTACCATAAATCCAAGCATCTGTAAAATGTAAATTTAGAGGGCATAAAAAGCCTGTGCAATAATGCAAAGCAGAATCTCGTTAGAGAAATATAAGGAAGATGGCAAGGATTTATGCTCTAACTATAAAGTTGAATACACTAAAAGTAAAGCACCTGATTAAAGTATATGTTCCTCTCTTTTTTGTTTACTGTCTAGTACATTTTCTAAAGAGAAGTGGAAGAAAATGAACTATGTTTGTTAGATAATGGAAAAGCCCTTCAAATTTTGCCTACATGGGAAATGCAAGCGCAAAATGTACTCTTCTACTCTCAGAACCCAAAAAACCCTCAACTCGTTTCTTCTCCTTGCCAAGACTCAGTGCCTTCCTTCCCATTGTAACTTACTGGAGAAAAATCTTACAATGATCTATACCTTAGTGTTGATTGAGAAGTGTTTTATTGCCTAGATGGGTGTTTGAATTTTCAGGCTACTTTTGCAGCTGAGTATGAAAATGAATTTCCATTTACTTCTCAGATCCCCAGAGTCGAGCTTCTCCACATGTATCATTCTATCAACACTGCTGTCAAGATCAGAGATGTCTCATTGCCAAATCCGATTTTCAAGTATTTATTTTTATACTGAAATCCTATAGACTTAAAAAGTCTTTAAGTCTTTTACTTTTAAAAAGTACTTTTAATTGCTTTCCTTTTAAAAAGTACTCTTCTAGGTTTTGAAAATTTGCCTTCCGATTTCTTCCTGTGATTCTCTTTCTCTACTCACCCCTTAAATGCCAGGATTACTCAGGCTCCTTTCTCCGTCCTTTTCTCATTCTCATGCATTTTTATGGATGACATCATCTAATGCATGCCTTCTATTCCCAGCTGTGTAATCAGTGACCCTAAAATACAAATCGAAACCTAAACTCCTCTTCTGAACCGCAAAATCCATGTCCTGCCACCTCCTGGGCATTGCTAGTTAAATGCTCTTTAGACGTTTCCAAATGAACATCACCCGGAGTCTAATACAAGATCCCCCTCCCTCCATTCCTCCTCATTTTCCTGTATTCCTCCACCCTGTAGGTGAATCATTCTTCTCCAGCTTTTTAAAGAAAACTATTCTATAAATATGTAACAAACTTTATGTTGAAGTCCCCCAAAGTTTAGAGCTTGCGCAGAGAAGCAGAACCAAGCTGTGCTTCAATCAGCACTGCAGATACATGGGAAGGGTGAAAAAGATTTCTCTGATAAAACACACAACTGCTCAAACCTTCCATCCACTTGACCTTTATGTGAAGGCTGTCAAAATCAACTTGGCAGCCCTTTTGCTCGAATCACTCCACGTGAGGAGGTCATTGTGAGAGAATTTCCTAATAAGAATTCTTGGAGAGCCAAGAGATGTTTACTCTTCAGGGCAAGTGGGAGGATATCCTTGGGGGTTCAAACTTGCACTTCCCTGCAGAGTCTAGATGCATTTAACTGGAGGCCTTCAGGTAGCCTGAATACCATAGAGACAGAACGATTGACAAAGAAGCAAAGGAGGATGTACTTGCCATTCTCAAGGAAATCTACTTACCCAGCTAGCACCAAGGGGATTTCTTTGCATTTTTGAATGTGTTCCAAGACTTCCAAATGGCATTTCCTGAATCTAAAATGCCAGGTGCCTTATAAACCATTTTGTTTGTCGGAGTTTAACAGCCTCCCTCTGTGTGAAGGTAAGGTAAAGGGAATGAGTTCGTCTGAACTTGATAGCTCATTTAGAGTTGGCTGTCTTTTCTATGGCCTTGCCCTTTCTGAAACACCTGCCCTGACAGCTCCACGGCCCCCCACATGCAGAAGCAATGCCAGGGATTTATAATGCACTCTCTTTCGGTTGTAGCTCCAGGGACTGGAAGCCAAGCAATGAAGAAATAGAATAAAGGCAATTTTCTAGGATCCCACATTTGGTTGTTTGTTCTCAAGTTGAAACAGAAGTTATAGAAAATGGCTCTTTCCCTACATTACAGTAGCCCTAATTCCTGCCTTGGACGAGCTATGGATTACTTAATTTTATGTTACAAAACCCACAGCTCTGTTAAATACCATACCTAAGCAGAACTAAAAGTTTTCTTATTGCCTTTAATTAAAATTCAGATTTATAAATTACTGATCAGGAATGGTATTTACAAAGTTTAATAAGAGATTTTCATCTTCAAATAGTAGCCTCCTATTAAGGTGATTCATTGCCTAACATTTAAAGGATTGCAGTATTATTTGCCTTATCACCAGACTGTATCATTCTTCATCAGCCCCAAAATAACAGCTAAGAGAAATAATACTTTAAAAAAGTATTTTCATAATGGTTTCATGTGGAAACAAGTAGAATGCTTCAGCTCTGCTACAAGCTATTCAACATCTAGGCCACAGAAGGAACTGCCAGAGATTTTTCAGCATGGAAGGCTTTTTTCCCACTTGTAATGGTACAAATATTGTCAGGTCCAGTATCTTACATGCATTCCAGCATGTCACTTGATTTTTCATTTCGATGACTGTATGGTTCTCATAGCATTTGTTTCCCAATACTGCATTCAGAGTATTTGAGGTTAGGGGTTTGAATTTCACTGTCTTCTTCTTTCAGAAGTCGTTTTATTAGGGACTTTACTTCTATTACCACTTCTAAACACTTGTCTGTACTTATTTTATCTACTCATTCGGCTATACTCCTCTTACTGGAGTGGGGAAGGAGAAAACCCAAATGTGATACTTAATTAGTTCTGCATTCCTTCCAGTGTTATTCCTAACTTTAAATACCATAAAAAGTAATTTCTTGTCAGAATGCATTTTTATTGAATTTCCTCCTGTGCTTAACTTCGGTGGCATTGCCTGGTTTCAGAGTCTTGTTTCAATGTCTACTCGGTGGCACAAATTATTTGTATTGCATTTCAGGAAACTATCAGTGGAGCTCTCTTGTTTCCTTTGATTAGAGAATCAAATCTTTGGTCCAGATCTTAAGTGCTAGGGCTGTACAAATAGATGTGTGCCGTCCTGGTAATTGAAAAACACATTTCTTGTAGCAGAAGTAGTCCTCATTTTATTCCTTTACTTCAGTTTTAAAGAATTGCAGAAAATTGTGTTTCTGTGTTTCTGGAAGGTAACCTTTCTAGGGCTTTGACGATATATTCTTTTGAAATAAAGACCTCTATAGACCGTTCATAAACATCTGATGTGCCATAATTACTACCAGAGAAGGGAAAACAAGATTTTGTTTATGTAGTAGATAAAATAAATATTTAGGGCTTCTAAGGCTGATATTAAGTTGTTTACAATTCATCTGTCAGAACATTCACATCTTATGTCAATAGATCAATTCTGCTATTAAATAACCCATTAAATTATATTTAAGTTCCTGCATTTTCTAAATATCTCAAAATCATCTTCTGAAACCAGACTACCACTAACTAATTGAGGCCTCATAGTAGGAGGCTGACTTAGGTCTGATTTGCACCAATCAAACCTTTCCTGTTTTTAAGGCACACTTAGTCGTGAATACAAAAAGCAAAGCCACTGTATGTTGTCAAAGATCATTAACAAATTCTCCCATCCTGGTTACTTAAGAATGAATGTATAGTATATTAAACAGGGTGTTTAGATTATCTGTTATTTACAGTTAATTTAATTAATGAAATATTTCGATAAACTTTTATGATTTAAGAGTCTGAGAAAGTTTAAATACTCTGATGATGTCAGTGGAAAGTACAATTATGAAAGCAAGTAAAAGCAGGAATACATACCTAATTTAATCAAATAAATGTGCCAGGTATATGCTACAAACTAGGAGAACTCTGAAGGAAATAAAAGTCAGGGTCTTGCTTACCCACATGGTGGCTGGCATATTTTAAACTAGTGGATGTAAATGCACCAAAAAATGATTGCATAGCTTGGATTAATAACACCCAAAATAAGGAAAGACATTTGATATCCCAACAGATGAAAACTCTTGTAGATAAAACAGCGGCCCCACTGACATTTTTCCAGAATGAGGTTTAATTCTTAGGTAATCAGAGTATTTTGCAGATCTATAATCATCAGCTTGTTATGCATATTAAGATTATTGTTCTAGATTCAGTTTTAAAGATGGTGGAATAATATTATGAAACTAAAATAGTCCATTGTGGATTCTCTGATGTTTAATGGGAAAAATATTTCACAGTAATGACTTTTCTACATCTATTGCATCCATGGGCTCTGTCTTCAGTAAGGACTCTTTCATTTTGGAAAAGCTGCTTCTTTTGATTGAGGGCTTACCCATATTCACTGCATTCGCAGAATTTATCTCCCATGTGAATCCTCTGATGTTGCAAAGGATGAGTACTCAGTGAGGGATTTCCCACATTCATTATATTCATGGAACTTTGCCTACATAGATGCTCTGATGTTTAGTTTGACATGAAATATGTTTAATGTACTTTTCCATGTGTCTCACATATGTGAGATTTCTTGCAGCAACTGTCTGCTTTGTAATAGGAATTGATCTGACTCTGAAATCGATCTCATATTTCCATGGAGTTTTTCCTTCAGGAGAATTGCAATTTGCTTCAACTTTAAGAGCAACAAACATATCTCCAGCATTCTTCTTACCTGAAAAACTGCTTTATGAATATTTTCCTAATGCTCATTTCCCAGAAATGCCCTACTTTGATGGCAGTCTCTCAGTTTCAGATAATCTCTCACTATGGAATATAATGGTTGCATGTAAATTTCAACTGAGATCTGAGGATGCAGTAGATGTGGATACCAAAATTAGGTGCCGAAACAGAATACAGATACTCAAAGCAAACAATTTTTAAATGGCTCAACATTTGTTAATGGCTCCCAAAAGCAAAAGAAATATACAAAAGTGCCTCAGATATAATTTTGTCAGCAGAATTTCTTTGAAGAAAACTATTCTGTGAACCTCCAAGGAGAGTAGGGAGAGTAGGGAGTATCTACTTTACCAACGTAAGCTTATTGAAGGAGACTTTCAATCTATTAGGAAAAATTAATATCTGACTCCTGCACCTGAGAACACATAGGTCACTTTAATTATTGCAAGGGACTAGGCATTCTAATTGAATGGGACTAGTCTAATTGCATGGGACTGAGCATTCTTATTGAGACTTTAATTGCGATTTAAAATCCACAAAGGCTTTCCTGGAGAATGAGCTCAATTGTGAGCCTCTGGTGTTTTCATCCAAAAATGTGAAAAGAGTAATCTTACTCAGAGAAAATTCCAAAGAGATAGTAGGGAACAACATAACATTTCATATTGATCACCCTTTTTGCCTTTTTCGTGACCAACACACAGGTTCTATGAATGTTAAGTATGCTTCTTTTTATCATTTACAAAAATTCTTTGATCTGAATTCATGATAAATCCATTATCAGGAAAATGTACAGTCTTTGAGCAGGCTCGAATTGACCCTTCTTCTTCAGTAAATTTCACAGACTTTAATTTGATATAGATTTTAATGATATTAATGATACTGAGTTTCAGAAATTGCCTGCATGACTCTTTGTGTGTGTGTGTGTGCCGGGTCTTTAGTTTTTGTTTTAATAAGGAAAAGAAATTCCCAAGGCAACCAAGAGAAATACATCAGCCCAAAATGCTTTCTTGCTCTTTTATATTTTAAAATGAAAATTAAGAGTTATGGTTATGGTTTCTAGACTCTGTCTGAAAGTGGAAATCTTTATTGATCTTGTGCAGACTGTTTCCCTTGAACTTAGTGTGTATTTAGTTCTTTGCTTTTGGGGGACAATGTGCAGAATGGTTGCCCACTATCTGACTATCTACATCTAGGGTCCATAGGCCAAGATGGCAAAATCCACCTACGTGTTATTTCATTGTAGACATAAAGAAAATTTTTTAAATCTCATATATCATAGAAACAAAGGAAATAAGCCATACAATTTTCTAACCAAATAGAAACTTTAACAAGACACGTTTTTCTCTGTTAACTAGAACTATGAAAATTCTCTTCCCAGAAAAGACCAACAAAACATTGTAGTGCATTATTTAAAAAGAATGAGATAGTCACAGTATGTTAATCCTTCCATTTCCACTGAGAAAGGAATTTATGAAGATATGTTGCTACCAGAGAATTTTCAGATCTAGTGACCATTTTCTCCTTCTATTTTCTGCGTAGGAAAGCTGACTTCCTGAGAAGATCTCCATCTTCAGGTATGGTAGTTAAAACTTGTTCTCAGGGCTGGGAGCCATGGCTCACGCTCCCAGCACATTAGGAGACCCAGGCAGGAGGACCTCTTGAGCCCAGGAGTTTGAGATTAACCTGGGCAATGTAGTGAGATCCTGTCTCTACAAAAATTTTTTTAAATAGCCAGCTTTGGTGGCAAATGCCTTTAGTCCCAGCTACTTGGGAAGCTGAGTTGGGAGGATCTCTTGAGCCCAGGATGTTGAGGCTGAAGTGAGGCATAATTGTGCAACTGCACTCCAGCCTGGGTGACAGGCCGAGAACCTGTCTCAAAGTCGTCCTTGTTCTTTGAATGTTTTAACTTTACTCAATTCTGGATAGCCCTGCCCTGTGTGGTCAAAACCTATGGTATAAAATGATTTTGAAGAAATTTTCCGAATTTAAGAACTAAGGGTATGATATAGTATCCCAAATCTCAGTGTCTGTTTGTTGAAATGGAATGACATTTGTGAGAACTCATCTCAGTGATACATAGCATGAATATTGGGTGGACTCATTGAAAGCAAAACCACTAAAGTCAGTTCACATTTTCAAAGACTAAACAACTACTTCCAAAGCTTGAAAAGTTACCCAAGTATATTAAAATAGTGCTCTTAGACAAATCTGTATTTAAGAGGGATTTCTGGCTCTCTGGGTCTCAGTCCTACAGCTTGGTCAAGCCGTCTATTTTGCTCAGGCTTGAGTCTAAGGAGATACAGAGATGTTCAAAGGCAGATTCTGAAAATAAGGATTTTCTTTGAACATGAAAAGATGATCTTCATCAGGAAGCTCATAACCTTAACTTAAATGAGATATCTTTGTTTAAATCTATCTATATTGTTAAGAAGTTCCATAAACTCACTATATTAGCTAAGATTCTCTAGAAAAATAGCACTATATATATATACACACACACAGACATATACACATAGGTACATATACACACATTTCATTTTATTGTGCTTTGCCTTGCAGATATGACATGATTTATTATTGCATTATTTATTTTGCCTTGCAGATATTGCATTATCTGCAAATTAAAAGTGTGTGGAAACCCTGTGTCAAAGATGTGTCTCAGCACCATTTTTCCAACAGCACATGCTTCCTTTGAGTCTCTGTGTCAGTATTTTTTAAGCAATAAAGCTTTTTATTTTTTATTTTTTCTCTTTTTTGAGACAGAGTCTTGCTCTGTTGCCCAGGCTAGAGTGCAGTGGCACTATCTCTGCTCACTGCAACTTCCACCTCCCCGGTTCAAGCACGTCTCCTGCCTCAGCCTCCTGAGTAGCTGGGATTAGAGGCTCCCACCACCACACCTGGCTAATTTTTGTAATTTCAGTAGAGACGGGGTTTCACCATCTTGGACAGGCTGGTCTCAAACTCCTGACCTCGTGATCCACTGCCTCAGCCTCCCCAAATGCTGGGATTACAGGTGGGAGCCACCGCGCCTGGCCACAATGAAATGTTCTTGAATTAATATTTCAACATTGCATTTTTAGACATAATGCTATCACACACTTAATAGACGACAGTGTCATATAACATAACCTTTATATGCTATGGGAAACAAAAAAGTTGGCATGACAACATGCTTCATTGGGATATTTACTTTATTATGATAGTCTGAAACTAAACATGCAGTATCTCCAAGGTAAATATATATCTATATCTATAGATATAGAGGTCTCTCTCTATATATATACACGTCTTTACATTAAAAGCATATATATAGGCAGCTACATGCCTATATATACATATATAGAACAAATCTATCTATATATCTATAACAATTGTTATAAGAAATTAGCTCACATTATTATGGAGGTTGGCCAGTTCAAATCTGCAACGGGGTTGTCAGGCTACAGCAGAACAAGGAAAGCCAATGTTCCAGTTCCAGTTTGAAGGCTGGCAGGCTGTAGAATTCTCTCTTGCTCAGCAAGACTGGACTTTTTGTGCTATGCAGGGCTTCAATGATTGGATGAGATCCACTCACATTTTTGGAGAGTGATGTTTCACCAAATGTTCACAGATGTAATTGTTAATCTCATCCAAAAGCATCTCCCCCCAAAAAATGTCATGCACAAGATCTGAGGTTGCTGTTGTTAATTTTATTTTTAATGATGTGTTAGTACATACAGGATGCTATTTTAAAAATACCACAAAATGGGTAGCTTATAAACAAAAAATATATATATATGTGTCTCACTGTACTAGAGGCTGGAAAGGCCAAGATCGAGGATCCGCAGATTCAATGTCTGGTAAGGCCCCTCTTCCTTCTTCATGGATAGCTGGCTTTTTGCTGTGTCTCGCATGGCAGAAAGGGAAAATGTGCTCTTTTGGGTTTATTTTACAAGGACACTCATCCCATTCAGGAGGGTTCTCCCCTCATGAGCAAATTCTCTCCCAAATTTCCCATTTCCTGACACCATTGCCTTGTGGGTTAGGATTTCATCATAAGAATTTTGAGAGGACACAAACTTTCAGATCATAACATCAGGAGAAGCTTGAACTGAACTTGAACTGAGTTCACTAGCTATAATTAATATAAAAGTAGAAAAATATAAAGGATAATTTTCATATGTTCGACACTGACTTGTTTACAAATTAGTGCTTCAATTTTCAAATAATCCCAAATGCTTCTTTCATCTTTCATCCACATTCTGTCTTTAAGCTAAGGTACTGTTTTCTTGCTGATAGCCCCTACCTATAAGTAATAATAGTAATAATACTCTGAGAGATAAAATTATACTACTGATGAAATTTTTTACATTATCCATAGATTTCAATTACACAATTCTGAGTTCCACATTATCATAGACAGTCAGTGGTTTATATAATCTATAGGGAGTGCAGAAAATGTTGAATTCTAGAAATTACATGAAAATCAAAGAACCTAATGCTACCTGGTGATTCATGCTACCTAGTCATTCAAATATGTTACATAACAAATCTAATTTTTATAAGGCTTAGATGATTGGCAAAGAAAAAAAAGAGGCTCTTGAACATTCCATTTCCAGCAATATTTGTTCATTTGCCGTATAAAATGTTTTTACGAACCATATTAGTATCATAATAGGATATTAGATAGCCTAAAGGAGACAATTTTGATTTACACCTGAGTACTCACTTTGACTAATGGGTCTTCTTGAAACATTTGAGTAAATCTTGAAAGAGATACTAATGCAGAAAGAGGCCATAAACAATTTTTTTCCTACATTTTGGAAGTTTCTCTGTGCTGAATAAATCTTAAAAGTGATAGAATGTGTAGCTTGCTCCTCCTTAAAAGATAGAATTTTCAAATTGTGTCCATTTTATTATTTTATCATTATTTTTCAAGTTATAGAAAATATATTTCAATAGAACAGAGATATTTATTTCATTAATACACTAAAATAAAACAACAATAACAATAATGACGACTGATCTGGTATACCCTGATAATTAAAATAGATAAAGCCTAAAAGTAAATTATAAATGATTCTTTTTAAATATGTATTTTTATGCTGGTTTGTAGGTAATATCAGCAAGTTGGACAAGATTTGGAGGAGGAGGAGTGTGATTCATTAATATCATGAAATATACAAAGTTCTCAGTGAATATTGAGAAGTTTAGGTACTAAGAGACATTTAAAAATCTTTCAAAATTTATTGTCAAAATATTAACTAAATAAATGAAGGCACAAATCCCAACCACAATTCATGATTTTAGTAAACCCTTTCTTAGTAACTGATAAGGCAAGTTGACTAAAAAGGCCAAAATTAGTAAGGATATAAGATATTGACCAACTATCAAACACCTTGACCTATTAAACATTTAAAGATATCCAACAACTACAGAATACACATTCTATCCAAGTAGACATGGAGTATTTCCTATATGTGACTATACGTGGGACTGCAAAATAAGTCTGAAAATCAATTTAGATATCGACGACAACATGATATTTAGAAGACACACAGATAATTAGATATTCAACTGCTAAATAACCGATCACCCAAAGACATCACAAGGGAAATTTTCATTTGAAGGATAATGTATATATAAAACACGCAAGTATATAGGTGCAGGTCAAACAGTGCTTAAGGCGACAATTATCACCTAAAATGCCTCAGAAAAAAAAACAAAAAGCATTAAAGCCAACCATTTAAATTTCTACACTAAAAAGCTAAAGAACTTAAAGCCCAAATAACTAAAAGAAAATAAATAATCATATAAAAGCAGAATTTAATAAAATCAATAATAAAAAATAGAAAAAATTAGCAAAACCCAAAGTTCATTCTTTGAAAAGTTTTTAAAAATTAGTAAATCTCAGCAGACTGAATGAACAGGGTAAAACAGGAAGGAAGGAAGTGAAGTTGAAAGAAGGGAGGGAAGGAACATGTTATTAATATCAGGAGAAAGAAGGGGATATCATTATAGTAACTGCAGAAATTTTAAGGAAGAAAAATAAGTGAATATTATGAACAACTTCAAAAATACTAATAAAATTGACATTAAAAAAAGTTACCAAAATTAGCTCAAGAGAAAAAAGACAATCTAAATAGCCCCTATGTATTAAAGAGATATTTTGTCTCAATAGCCATCTGATGAAAAATTTCAGGTCCAGATGCTTTTATTTGTAAATTCTATTAAACATTAAAAAATTAAATAATAATTATCTTAAAAAAAAAGTAGAAAACATTTTACAATTTATTTGCTGACCTAACTCTAACACCAAAACCTGATAGAGACATTGCAAGTTAACTACAAGCTAATAAACATGGATGTGAAAAGCTTTGAAAAAATATTAGACTACAATAAATTTCTGCTCTTTTTGGAATAACATGAAAAACATTGTCATCTGCTTTGATGATAAGAAAGCCTATCAAGGTCATGCTCTGTATCAGATTAACTGTGAATCTCAACAACTAATTAGCAGCCTTCAACATCATAATGGATCAGCATGGAATTAATCTGTACTGACTCAGCCCTTTAACCCAATGGTACCCCCTTGATTGTATTGCTTTTATTTCTTTGTTTACCCAACATGTCAACCTTCTTTATTGAAATTGCATAATAAAAATCTGCTGGAATTTCCCAACTCTCAAGATCCCAGAGAGATAGAAAATACTATTAATTTTAACCAGAAATGATTCTGATAAGTAACGGAGCTCTTATTTTCCAGTTGAAATTATAATCATCCTTTGTGTTTCTCTCACTAAACTGTAGATCCACTTCCATGGGTTCGAATCAATATTAAGTTTGACTAAGGAGTGAATGTCAATCATATTTAAATAAACTTCTATAAGTGATTGTTAAAAAGGCACTCAACTCTCTAGATCCCTTGGGACTCACATTTCTTATAGGAGAGAACAAAAATGTTGAGAATGATATATTTTATTTTACTGTGTATTATTTTTGTTTGGGTTAAAAATCAGAGAGGTTTTAAGAAAAATATTTAGAAAATTATTTTCAATTTTGAAAAGAGCTTATAATCACTATTTGCGGATTTAGAAACACTCAGAAGATTTGAAGAGTTATGGACACCTCCTTTATATAATGCACATTTGAACACAGATGAAACAAAATGCAAACAATTTTAGGCCTCCTGAAGTTCAACCATGGAAGAGACCAGAACCTCAAATTAAGATGTACTAATCAAGGACTTTCTGATTTAAGTTTCCACATTTTTGAAACATTAATCTATATAGGACTTTTAAGAGGAATAAACAGTCAACAGATTACATTATATAAAAGATTATATTTTCAAGAACTACTCCGACCCAGTAACTTAGAGCCAAATACTCAGTTTAATTAGGCAATAGATAGAATAATTAGCCTGGAAAATAACATTTTGATAGTAGGCTTACCCCATCTACAAGCTCACTGTTTGACCTTGAACAAGGTGTTCAACCTCTGCAAGACTGTTTCTGCATAGTTAGTTCAGAAAATAACTCCTGAAAATGTGACTGGCACATTGACTGATTCCATAAACATTTGCCAAACTCACGTAAAGCAGATCACAGGGCTTTAGTCGCAAGCATCAACAAATCTCCGGAAGAGCTGCCTGTAAGTTCACAACTCCTCTCTCAGAGTAGTCCCTCATGAAACTTCTCTGGGAGGTGCTGATGCATTGCATCACTGAAACAGCAAGAAGTGCAACAGTGTAAACAAACAAAGCTAGGCCCTTGAAATTTAAGGAACCCAGTGGATTTCTTTAACCAATTTCAAATCCTACTCACACCCAAAACACAAATTCTTTGTTCACATAATGAAAACATTTGGGAACAGAATATAAGGATCAACAGTGTAAAATGGAGCTGGGAAAATGAGTGCCCGGGATTGTGGTGCCCACCCCCATCAGACAATTAAGGATTTGAAGCGAAAACATGGCCGAGGTTCCCAGAATATCATTTTGATAGCTCTGCCGTTGCCAGTTGCTTCTTTTTCACGTGGTAGTAGTCAAAATTCAGGAGGCATGCCTGCTGAAAACCACATCAAACATGCTGGACTCAGTCAGTATTACATCCTAGTTCCTTCCATTCTTTATCCCATGAACCACATTGCTCATCCCTTCGCAGTTATTTTACATTTTCTAGGCAGGAAAGCAAAAGTGACAGATGATTTTAAAAGTGCAGTGATCTGCCTTCCTTTTATTTATATAAAGTGATTTATGCCAGATCAATTCTTTGCTACTGCCTGTTACCATATTTCCATTTTTCTTATGATTCTGCTATATTCATGCTAACACATGCTGACAAATTATAAGTCCTTAACCCCCACTCCCATCTAAACATATATACACAAGTACACACTTCATTCTTCTTCTCCAGTCTGATTTCCATTAGAAGGCAACAGGCACTATACTAAACATTCAACAAACATTAACCATTTTGTTTTCCTTAGGCATTATCCACTTTTTTTTTTTTTTGAGACTAAGTATCACACTGTCACCCAGGCTAGAATGCAATGGCGCGATCTCAGCTCACTGCAACCTCCGCCTCCCAGGTTCATGGGATTCTCCTGCCTCAGCCTCCCGAGTAGCTGGGATTACAGGTGCACACCACCACACTTGGCTAATTTTTTGTATTTTTAGTAGAGACGGGGTTTCACCATGTTGGCCAGACTGGTCTTGAACTCCTGACCTCGTGATCCACCCGCCTTGGCTTCTCAAAGTGCTGGGATTACAGGCGTGAGCCACTGCACCCAGCCGGCATTATTCACATTTTCCTGATGAAGAAACCAAGTCTTAGTTTCTTTCCCAATACCACAGCCTTTAAAGTGGCAGAGCCACATTTTTTTTCAGATATCAAAGCCCAGAACTTTTAATCATTAAGTTGTACACTTACCTACATATATAAACTACATATATAAACTACAGGTGTTTCCCTAACCTGAAATATTGTACAATTTGGGAGTGCATGGGCTTATAAAGAAAAAACAAGAGCTTCAACAAAAGCAGCCTTAAATTTACTGGAGGAAACAAGGTTATCTATCTGTTTTTTCAAAACTTTGGTGCAAGTCTGAGCTGGGTGATAGCAAAGTAAGAGAGAAAGGCCTGAGGAAGGATAGAGCTAAATATTTAAATATAATCAAGGACCAGGAGAGTCCAAATTATTTTGTGCAGCCAGTCATACCTCACCTTCCCCAATGTTCTAAGGAGATTAAATGCAAAGTTCAATAAAAAAATGGGAAAGCGAGAGCTGCTTAGGTACTAGCTGTAATGCTTAACACTGTGGCTGGGATTCAGGCCTAAGTAGGGTCTTATTCTTAGCTTGTCTCTCAGCCCCAGTCAAGTTACTGTTAAGTCTTAGAGCCAGTGGAGTGACCTAAGGTTAGTGCTTAAGTCTACTCACCTTCATAATCACACAATATTACCAAAGACAAGACATGAGAAGATCCAAAGACCCTGAATTTCTCTGGCCTATTGGAGTCTTAAATGCAGGAAGAAGTGAGAAAAAGCGGAACGTACTTCCCCAATAATAACTGTTCTATTTAATATGCCAAGCTCTGGCCAATCACAATATCAAGACTTTGGCCATGTGAAGAGGTATCTGGCAGAGGCGGTATAAAATCTTTTAAAAGGGGAGAGAAGGCTGCAAATAACCCCCTTCATACACACACATGTGCGTGCACACACACGCACATTCTACCGTTCATTCATTGATTGTACAAATGTTTAGATGGCAAGAACTGTTTTCTGTCCTAGAGATATTTTAATAAACGACAAGTGGATGTGCAATCATCAACATTATAGCTTAGTGCAGATATAATATTGCACAAAGGACAAAGACAACAGAAATTATTACGTAAAAAGTAATTTCAGAGAGTGATAATTGCTATTAAGATGAAAATGAATCAGTGACATTCAAATGAATTTCACCCAGTGAGGGAAAAAACACAGAATTTGGAGTCAAAAAGCCTGGGTTCTTCAGGAACACGCTATCACTCAATGTGCTGTTGTATAGTTAATCTTCCAGGTATCATTGTATTGTCATCTGTAAAATGGAAAGATCAGCGTTATTTAAATGCATAATACTTTCAGGAAACCAATATAAATCATAGCTAATGTTGGCTAAAATTTTGTTTTGTCAGGCAGTGCACTAAATATATTACTTATACTAATTTTTATTCTTAAAACAACCGCAGATGGTAGATGCCACATCTATTATGGCTGCCTTACAAATAATAAAATCCAGGCAGGTAAAAGTTAGTGATATAGTTTGGATATTTGTTTCCACCCAAATCTCATGTTGAATTGTAATTCCTAGTGCTGGAATTAGGGCCTGGTGGAAGGTGTTTTTATCACGAGGGTGGATCTCCCATGGTTTGGTGCTATCTTTGTGATTGCGAGTTCTTGCAAAATCTGGTCATTTAAAAGCATGTGTCACCTGCCTCTACCCCTACTCGCTCTCTTGCATTTTCGCTATGTGATGCTACTCCTCTTGTCATGAGTAAAAGCTTACTGAGCCCCCCCCCCAAAAGCAGGTACTGGCACCATGCTTCCTGTAGAGCAGAACCGTGAGCCAATTAAACCTTTTTTCTTTATAAACTTCCCAGGATTGGATACTTCTTTATAGCAATGCAAGAACAGCCTAACACAATTAATGTACTCAAGATCATGCATCTAGAAGGAGAAGTATAAAAAAAATTGAACCAAGGTAATCTGCTAAGTTGAAGCATAACACTATACCATAGTTGCTTATAAAAAGAATCTATCCATACACAGATGCTTATTGAAATTCATGTATATGATTAATTTTTTCTGGCAATCATTTTTATTCTGAGCTGAGGAAACCCAGGTGGAGATTCATGTGGTCTCAGGGTAGAGTTATGCCTCCTTTTTTTCTCTTCGCTGAGATTCTCTTACCCAGGAGAATTGAGAATGAGTCCTTAAATATGTAAATGTATTTTCTTTAGGGCACAAATCCTACTGAAAGAGGGAGGATGGTAAGTAAAATGAATAAATTTCATTTTGTTGTCATTGTTGTTTATCTTTTGTCCTTAAATTTTCCTCCAGTCAAAATATGCTTTTAATGACATGGAATTTGAAAAATTATTGTGTGCTCTAGAGAAGTGATTTGCAGACATGAAGGGATATTAGGAGACAGAAAAAAAAAAGGCACTGCCTCATAAGGTTGGCCTAACGTTTGCCCAATTCCCAGGCATACAAAGAGTGGGGTGAGAATATGAAAGTCAGGTAAGGCATTCACTGCTTCTCAGAGATTCAGTCTTGCTGCTGGGACCAAGCAGGAGTAAGAAATCAATAGTTCTTTCAAAAGTAGAGAATATTATGGGGTTAAATACACAAAGAGTGCAAAGCATTCTAGAATTTAGAGGACAGAGATAACTGAGTTGAGGTTTCCAGTTTTCACGTGCCTCTTCTTTTAGCCCTCTCAGTGACCCATTTAGGTTAACATTCTGAATCTGGCATGGTGGATATAGAGCAGGGGGAATGATAGCCAAGGAACTCCACAAGGTCATAGTGTTAGAAATAATTTTCAAGATGATCTAACCAAACTTATACTGACTTCAAGAATATAGATGGGAGCAGCATGAATGAAAGAGGCATGAATGTGAGATGCAAGAATGAGAAAATGTGAGGGGGAAGAAATAACAATATAGTTACATGGAGAAAAGCTGTTTGATGAGAGTGGCACAATGTGAAGCTGAATGGATTATACAAGTCTTTAAATACCAGACAAGGTAAGTTGAACCCTAGTCTCATTATCCAGGACCATTGCCTTGGGCAAAATAATTATCTTCCTAAGAGGTGAGCTCAGCATCTGGGTACAGTAAGACAGTGTTGCTTTGCCTTGCCTTAGATGTTCCCAGCCCTGGACTAAGACAAGTCAAAAGGCTTACAGCCTAGTTTTTATAGGCAGTGCCATCATTAAGAGACAAAGCATCACAGAGATTTGAAAGGAACAAATTAAATATGCCTGTCACTCAGCCCGGCTGTGCGTGGTGGCTAATGCAGCCGGCTCTGCTCTATTTGAGCCAGGTCTCTTGGGAACAATTTAAAAAGTGTGACTTAAATGGAGGCACTGTAAATGAGTCTGTACAGTGCAGCACTGAATATGCCATGTGGGAATCAGGCTGTTTGTGTCAGAGAATAGATGACAACCTGTGGGTTGGAGGGAGGGTTGCATTTTAAGAGGACAGCATTTAGTCTTCAAAACTTTTAACATGATTCTCAACATTACTTCAGAGGTAAAACCATCCACTGCTATCAAGATTGAAGATATTTGTATAATAAATACATGTTCTAATTTCTGACATTTAGCATGGATTTCATTTAGAAATAACAAAGAAAACTTCCAAAGCCATGTCAGTAATAAATGGAAAGGTAAATCTTCTAGATCTAGGTTCTCAAGTAATCTTTATATATGGTGTATGCACACAGTAATGAACTTTCAAAAAGTGAACTCCCCAGAATATTTATACATGTAAATGAGCTCTCTTTACATCTTAAACAGCAATTATTGTTTTTTTTTAAAAAACAATTTTTTGTTTTTTAATTTAAAAAAAAAATTTTTTAAAAAAAGAATTCATGATTTGGAATCAGACAGGCCTGAATTCCAAAACTAGGGCTGTCATTGACTATAACTTTCAACAAGCCATTTCACTTGCTAAACCTCAGTGTATTGTCAAGTAATCATAATAATGCATACCTGCAATGTGACAGAGAGGAATAAATAAAAAAGCATGTCACTGGTGCATAATAGGCACCCATCAAATAATGCAGTATGTCTACTTATTCTAAAAAGTGCTCATTGCTTTAACCATGTTTTGAAATTTTTCTTATCTAAGTCTTTTCCAAAGAAAGTACATTAGTATAATAAATGAGCAAATGACTTATAGAACTTATTTTCTAAAAGTAATATTCTTCCTCGTAATCCATAGTCAGATTACATGTTTGAAACAAAATTTACCATTAGGTTACTCAAGTCAGTTAATCATTTTGGCACATTTTTTCTGAGTCCTTGTTATATACCTGTCAATGTTCTTCAAATAGATTGCTCACCTTATTCCACAGGCTTATTCCTAATGGTTTTTGACCACTTCCTAAATTCAAATCTCAGACACAAATCGCAGACAGGCAGGTTGTGACATCTGTCACCCCATTTATTGCCCGGCTTGACTCAAATGATCCATCCACTAAGTGAATATTACCTTCCTACATCAACACTCAACAGGCATTCCCTCATAAAGATGCATGATCAAAAATGACAATCTTTATGGTTGGTTCAGAAAGAGAAGGTGGTATTTTTCCATCAATACTTTGCTGCAAGTAGTTGACCTCTGCCAGAGTCTCCAAATCCTTAGGAAGGACTATTTATAGGAGAAAATGAACTTCATCTTAAAGGACAGAGATCACACATGATGACAGGTATCCAAATAAGTGTATATCCCTCATGAATTGGAGGAAAATATCAAAAACGGAATCCAGAAATATTTCGGGCAGTGACAGCATCCATTCCTGGGAAAATCATTAGGCTCACATATGCTTTTAGAAATATTTTATCTGATTCACTCATTTTTGAATCCCACACTCTTAATACCTGCCTGGTCTATTGCAGGGACCAATGCAAGGAATCAAAAAATATTTCAGTGAAAGAATTAGGATGAATAACTTTTAAAATTTCAATGTCTTTTCTTTGAAAACATACATTCTCTAGTATTCTTTTGAAACCTGGTATATTCCACAAACATTCCCGCCTAGACTTTGTTTCCAAAGTCTCTGACAGGAATATATTACACTCAAGATTATTATAGTTTAACTTCAACCATCTAAGGTTTAAATGCAGCAAGAGTACTACCATAAATTTTAGTAAAAATTCACTATTGTCACATCTGAGCTAGAATGCTAGGCTTCACTGATAGTTTGGTTGATACAATATGTAGTTCAGGTCTCCAGATTTTTACATTTTAGGAAAACAAAATGTATTCTATTACTTAAAAGTATGTAATTATAAGACTCTCTTTGGCCTTGTTTCTAAGCAGCTAGTTCAAAATAAACTTGACTTTACTCTTAATACTGTAAGAACCACCACTGAGCATGGATGTTGCATGAATGGAAGTGACAGTGAATGGAAAGAACACAGGTGTGGTGTCAGGAATCACAATCCCATCTGTATTCATGGTTACTTTTGGACCTTGTCCAGGACACTTAACATCTATAGACTTCAGTTGCCTTGTATCAAAATATAGATAATAATTTCTACCTTCTTGGATTGTTGCAATGATTCCATGAAACAAAATAAATGACTACATATTATAGGTCTTGGTACATAGTAGGTGCTCAAATCAATGTGCATTCACAAAGGTTACATAAGTGGCTAAGTGGTTGCATAGCCTCCTGCTCTAGTTTAAGGGAGGTGGGCAGAAAGCCTCATATCTCATCAGAATATTGGAGACAATGAGAAAGCATGTCATAACAGCCTCCCAGGAGAGACAGGGAGGCAAGTGAGTGGGAGATAGCCTCCTAGCAGGTCCTCACAGGCCTCTTCTCCTTTCAAGTTCTGGAATTATCACAGAGTTCCTCCAAGACTCAGATAAGTGGCTGTTCAAGCCGTGGCTTGTGTGGTCTGTGTAAATGTGCATGAGTTCGACATTCCCCTACAATTGTACTTGTGTCATTTTTTCCATTAAGAAAAATACATTACTTTGCATTTGCCACCAGAATTTTTTCAAATGTAAACAATATCATGATAAAGCTAAAATCATAGAGTTTTCACAAAAAGTTTCTAACCTATACTTTGACTAAAATGGACTAGGAATGACATTTTAATTGCTTGGGTAACCTAAATTAATCTTCAGTTGCATTTTTAAGGATATAGTAAAATCGTTTTTTAAATAAATCAATAAAAAACCTTGTTATTTCCTTTTAAAATCATGCCTCCTGACCCTCCTCATAATTCACCTTGAAATCCAACAGAAAGAATTTGGAGGATAATAAAACGACCAAATTTCTCAAGAAAGGTTGACTTGGAACCTCAAGACACAAAGAAAAATAGGCCATGTGGGATTCTAGTAGGGATGAGTTTTAGGGTTTAATCTATCTGAATAGTAGCCACTTTCCATCACCTTGCTTGTCCAGCTACTGCTTGGCATGGTAAAGGAAGAGAAAATAACATAGCTATAACGCACATCTCACTGAGTCCTGTTCAACATTTATTTATACCACATAACCTGTGATGAAAAGCAACCTCATGTGGAGAAGAATCTCAAGATCTAGAATCAGCAGACCTCTGATATTTCTTAGCTTTTTAATAGTAGGCAAATTAGTAGGAGCACCTCAGCCTCAATTTCCTTGTCTTCCCAACTATTGTGATAAATTTGGAGAAAATCTTATTGACTAACATTCCTCTTGGGGATAGTACTAAATTTTTTTGGAGTAATCATTTTGTTGAAGAACAAACCCCAAACAAAAACACAAAAAGTAATTTTTTAAAACGTGTGGGGAAGTAAAGATGGCCATTAAATCTGTTAGCATGAGTATGATAAATTTGTTTTGCTTTAAAGAAATAGGGGGATGAAATCAATAAAGAGAAGAACAGGAAAGACAGGTGAATAAAGGGAAAAAAGAGGTCAGATGAAGTTGTAATAACTTCTTTCAGAGATTTTTTTTTTTTTATTGGCTTCAGGAACACTGTCAGCCAATGTGTGGGGCAGAGTGGAAGTTCTGGAAAGTTAATATCCTTGGAAGTAGCTAGGGTCTTGAATATATATCTCAGCCTGCATGCCATACCATTGGCTGGGATGAGACCTCTTTAGGCATATTCTACAATGCCTCCGGGGGTTATTTAGTGGCACTGAGCTCCAATTGTCCACAATGGTAATTTTCCTGATTATGTAACCTTTCTTGGTTTATTCCTTTCTTCCCTACCTCACTTTTTCACTCAGCCACCCATGTTCTCTTGGATGAACTCCTACATAAATTATTGGCACTTAAATTCTGGTATGATAATCTGCTTCTGGAAAAATTGAAGCCAAAAATATGAGTTAATAAGATGAAACTCACAGCTAGCATACACTCCAAATATTCAGGATTCAAATGTCACCATAGGAAAATAAGTTGCTTAGAATTTTCAGAAAATTAGAAGACAGGTTTTGTACTTATACAAGACATGTAATTCGTGACTTCATAGCAAGTTAAAATAGGTATATGAGAGGTCCATTTACATCTGATTTCCATTTGTATAAAAAGTGCTACTATAATAGGTTGGCTGGGTCTAATGCATGTCTCATTGAGTCCTGTCCAACATTTTATGAGGTTTAAAATATGAGGGATAATACAAATACAAGTGGGTTGTAAACTATTAAGTTCAGGGCAATTATGCATCATATCTCAACCTTGTGATTTCAGCCATATGACTGAAATTTATTTTGATCAGATATATATTATAGCTCTGACCTACTTTGTCAAGTTCACTTAGCTTTACCACAAGTCTGAAAGAGAGCATGCATTGTTACGTTTTCATTTCCTTATTCCCAGTCTAAAAGCCATCCTTTTCTTCTTATCTGAGGAGATCTGCAGCTCCAGCAGTTTTTGTATGACATCTCTCTGCTAAAATATGCAGCTTGGGGGTAGGTCACATAAGGGATTCTTTGCACAGTAAAAATAAAATGGTACTGGAATCTTACAGAAGACCACTCCCCTGTCCCAATGGTTAGGAAGAGGCAAAGATTGTATTTGTCATGCGTATTTTTTGTGTTAGGGATTATTTCTCTGAACCAGGTACCAATCGTGGCACAACCAGTAAATGAGGCTCTGAATACTGTTTTTGCTGGTTTGTTTTGTTATCTGAGCCATGCTTTTTAATTGATGACTGCTATCCTCCGTTGGGGTCCAAGCTTCACGGCGCCAATGTGCTACGTAGGGCATAGTAATCTTGCTTTTTTACCTTGGGGCTCTTAAAGAAGACAGTATCACTTTGAGAACATGGTCTTGTCACAGAAATAGCATGCAAACTGGTTCACAGAGTATTATGACAGCTCTGAGACATATGTAGTGTCACTGTTTGTTCAGAGGTACTATGGGTCCATCCCTCTAGATGTCAAAAGTAATTGCAGGTCAGGATGAAAAAGGAGATATTTCTTGCTATGAGGATTCACCTTTCACCACCTCCTAGCTTACTATAGCTTTGTTATTTCCTGATTGGCAGCATTGTCCAAAGCTTGTTTCTAAACTTTTAAGAAATCATAGCTAAAAAGAATATCTAGAAAAAAAAAATGCCTGAGTTACCAGATTTAAAGCAGGCCACCATGGAGAATGTGACCCAGCAAGTTCACACAGAGGCCAGCAAAACTTTTGTCCCTAGACTCGTTTCAATTCCCGAAAAAGAAAGATGAGAATTGAGACCTTGGCCTTTCAGTGTTTTGTGTGTGTGTGTGTGTAAAATCACTACTGCACATGAGCTTCTATAAGAATGCACATGTGTGGGTCAACTTCACAGGAACATGCCCAGGAGCCCAGGGGTCATAAAAGTCTGGCGCTGGACTGAACTCATTCACTCCACCTCTTGTGTCAGTCCCATCTGCCACAGTGGTAGATCTAAGTACTGCTAACTGACCATAAAATTGAAGACATGACCTTCTGCGTGCTCTGCTACCCAATAGACACGCCTGGGTCACATGTGTACAAAAGAAAACAAGAGAAGGAAAATGGCAAAAGAGAAAAAAGAAATGGCCGAAATGAAAGAACCATTAAAAGTAATTAGATTGCTATGGTAATGTTACTAATATTAGAATAATGCTACTTAGGTGAAGTGTGTCAGAGTAGAAAAAACATCAGTTTAGAAAGAAAAGTTTGAATCTCCACTAAGTGACATCTCCAGTTTCATCATCTGTAATGCAGAAATATCTACCTCAATTAATTTATTTTATAGAAAACATCAAACAAAAAGCGTTGTAAGAATTAAAGCCCACGTGTGCCAAGTGTCTATCACACTATCTAGTAAAAAGAGGTCCTATATCAACAGTGAATATAAGCACCAATGCTCAACGTTTTTCAGTGAGTAAATCTGAACAGTTCTATACAACAAAGCTATCTTTTATATTTCAGTAGAGTTGCTTGTTAAGCACTAGTGTTATTTTAGGAGTCCATCTGTAAATAATCTAAATGAGTAGGTAAGCCGGGAGTCACATATATTTGGAAAAGCTGTAAAGTACAGTGCTGATTCTAATATCATTCTGCACTCAATGAATCTGAATTCAAACAAGAATGTGGCATAGAATGGAAAACTATGAAGTAACTGAATTTTGATCCCTAATAATTGAGTCTAAATAATAATAATAATCCCACCAATACCTCAATAACACTATAGCTCTCCTGTAATATACTGAGTAACTTTGCATATTCCAGTATATGACCCTAAACTAAGACATTTACTTAGCCTTCATTTCTTCACAGAATTAATGGAGAGACTGCGTAAGATAGACGGTACTTGCCAAGTTTGAAACCTCATAGTTATGGAAAATTTAATAATTGTGTGAACTAAAAAAAAATGCATTTCATTCATTCTAAACCAGAATGAAAATTTTTTTCAAAGAATTACATAGCTTTTTATTTATTTTTAAAAGTTGAATTTTAAAACACCATGTATATCAAGACATTTATATCCACATTGTGAAGTTGTGATTGAGGTTTCACTACCTTGACTCTTTCTGGATTCCTGGACAATTGTATCTAAATCCGCACCCTAAGATCAGGGCATGATATTGGACCAGGTTGGTAAAGATAACAGGAGTGGTCTGCTCTGCCAAACCCAGGAAATTTAAATTTGCCACAGATGGGCTCATTTTGTAAAGAAAGATGTAGAAAAATAGAGATGCATCTTACCTTCAGGATACACTGCCAGAATTACTTTCTTCTAAGTATTGTTGAGTCAATTTAAAGTTATAGAATACAGATAATTTTTACAGTTTCCTTTATAAGACTGTATAATACAGAAATTGAAATGGAAATCAGGCCAGCCCACAGAAGCAAACACACAAACGTACACCACATGCTTTAGTGGAGTGCATGGTTAGGCAGCTTGGAACCCATTTAAGTTTATTCATTTGATGGAAGTAATATTCTTTAGACCTTAAAGCCTTTATTCAGGCTACAATATAACAAGTTGTATCACATGTGTCTTCTCTCATGCACTCCCATTGCCTCTCAGCCAACCTAAGGATTGGTATCCATATGCAAAATAGCCTATTCCTTTTACTGTATAACCAGGCTCAATGGTGTTTATGTAGTAGTTTGGTGTTGGGGAAAAGTGGGTTATTTCAAATGCTCACATTCCAAAACAAACCAACACTCTGCTCCTCAGAGAATGAAGCTCACTAAATGTTTGCTGCTGGCAAATGGATATGCTCTGAAGCCGTCCCAGGAGGCTGCTTTGACAGATGTCAGCTGATGGACATTTGCACAAAAGTGTCTAAAATGCCTTATTTTACACCCAGTGTCAGTTGGCACATTACCTTCTTATACCTTCTGTGTTTCCATTAAATTAGGTTGGAAACAATGCCTCCTATTTACTGAGCAAATTCTTTTCCATGTGAATGGTGAACAATTGCAACCATTACTCTGTCAACCATTTCCATCCGCTCAATTAAAAACGCCTACACACTGCATTCTGAATCGTAGTCACCCCTGAGTGGAGCCTGACTCTGGCACTCACGACTGGTGAAAACTCTCTGATCACATCCGGGTGACAGCAGAAGGTTCTTTCATTTGCAATCCTCTTAGGGATTCTGAGAAAGTTAACCATGTTCTATGGACTGTTGGCAAAGTGTCATGTCCCCATTCAAAGAAAAAACTTTCCATGACTTACTAAGAAAGCCATTATGAATATCAAAGAGATACTATGAAAGCATGTTTGATGAATTAAGTATAAATGAAGATAAAATGTACCAGTTGGAGATTGTATTTTTTTAACCATGAGTTCAATGTCTATCTATTCCAGACATGGTCAAATTCAAAAACATGGGAAAATGGAAAAAAGAGACTAACTTTTAATCTCTAAAATATTGTCATTTTCTCTAGTGTTTCAGTAGGTGCTCTTACAATTATCACTTGCCCAAAAAGTCATCAATCTGATCATAGGCAATATAGGAAATATTTCTAAATTGATATCTCACCTCCCATTCACAGAAAGGTTTTTGTCATAAATTTTAATAATAATATTTCATGTATTGTTTATTAATGCATTTATTTACATAATATTTTACTTAGTGACTATAAAGCCCATAGCACTTTGCAGGATCTTGAAAGAAATCTATTTAACAAAAATTCAGTTATCTGGATATTATACCTCATGGTAGTCAACAAAATATTTATTCAAGAAACAGTATATATTAATGCAAATTAACACATGGTTACAAGCTCAAGTTACCATATCAGAGGATACCTAAACTGACTTCAGGAGGTTTAAAAAGACAGGCAGTTTGAAAATATATGATAATAGATACATTATAAGGTTTAATATTAACATTTTACCCAATTAAGATGACCAATACATAATTGGTCAAAGGTGACTGAGAAAATCTTGTGATATTTTGGAAGAAACTACTTTCAGATTCAATTGCTATTTAATGTGCCCATTTTTGTTGACAATTTAAATTTTTTTGGTAACAATCAGTTTTAAGATGGAAAACATGCCCTGGGTCAAAATAAAGTGCCATTTTTGCTGCACTGAAAAAAAAACTATATTACAGTTTGATTCCATGCTATGTCTAACACTCTAAGCTTTATTTTACTTGAACATTTTCTGATAATACTTTGAATGCAGAACTAGATATCAATAACTTCCTAGTTTACAATTCCAAGTATTTCTCTTAATAAGAAGTAGCAAAAGAGTTTGAACTATTCTGAGAATAATTGAATTCCATAATTCATTGATATTGAATCTAAATTATTTCTTTAACATTCTCTTACTTGCTTTCAAATTGTAGTTAATATTTGCAACATTTCTTTTAGAAACCTAAGGTTGTTTTTAAAATTAAACAAAAAATGAATGAAAAATACAAACCAAATTTGACCAAATGAGTTGTGTTTCCCTCATTAAGATTTCTCTGTTTAACTAGATACAGGCACACTCTTCAAAAGAGATACAATACCAGGATTTATTTTTCGTAGGTTTACAAATCTGATTTTGAAGGTTTTCTAGTTTCACATACTCAGCTATGTTCATGTAACAAAAGTTCAATCTAGTTAGAGGTAGAATACACACATAGGAAGTAACAAAATATGGCAGAACAATAAATAAGAGTGTGATGATGTCACATAAAGGTAAGGCCACAGGAACTTAAAGTGAGCACTGCTCTGTCAGAAAGGGATAGACGTAGTTGAGAAATTTTTATGAAAGAAATATTTATCAAGAAAAAGAAATATATGGAGGTTTACGGATTCTGAGTGGAAGAATATGATTTCTGAGGCAGATTCTGCCACATACTACCTCTAACGGTGGAAAAATCATTGATTCCAATTTGTATATTAGAAAAGAGAGATTTGTATACTTCAAAAGATAGGGCAACTCATTTTTAATAATATTCTGAAAACACTTGTAAGCTATAATGAATTATAGGGTTTTAAGAATAGTGATTATAGCCAAGATCCCAGAATGAAGACTTACTTTGTCTGCCTGCCATAAGAAATTGGGCTCTCTGTAGGAGCTCCGGGGAAAAGAGAGATAGGGCACAGTAGAACTTCCAGCTGTCTTGAGCCAAGACTCAAGCATCGCTCTTTTCAACAGTAGTCATGAGTTACATATGGCCATTTAAACTTAGATTTAAATTAATAAAATTAAATGTAATTAAGAATTCATCTCAGTCTGGCGCGGTGGCTCACGCCTGTAATCCCAGCACTTTGGGAGACCGAGGCGGGCAGATCACGAGGTCGGGAGATCGCGACCATCCTGGCTAACACGGTGAAACCCCGTCTCTACTAAAAATACAAAAAAAATTAGCTGGGCGTGGTGGCGCGCCCCTGTAGTCCCAGCTACCCTGGAGGCTGAGGCAGGAGAATGGAGTGAACCCGGGAGGCGGAGCTTGCAGTGAGCCGAGATCGCGCCACTGCACTCCAGCCTGGGCGACAGAGTGAGACTCCGTCTCAATTAAAAAAAAAAAAATTCATCTCTGGCATGGGGGCCACACTTCAAGTGCCTAATCGCCGCATATGGCTAACACGGCCATATTGGACCACACAAACAGATAATTTCCATCATCACAGGAAGTTATTTTTTATAAGCTCTGCTCTATAACTGTAGTTCTCAACTGGGGGCAATATCTCTCTCCAGGAGATATTTGGCAATGTCTGGAGACATTTTTGGTTGTCACGATTGGAGTGGCAGAGGCCATCGGTGCTGCTAAATACTCTTCAACGTGCTGCCTTGAATGCATTGCAATGAATTCCTTGTCCACACACAAAAAGACACTTCTGTTTCAAAAGCTTAAGAAACCCGGCTCGAGATCAAGCAAGGCCAAGTTTCAAATATGAATTCCCCTGGCATGTGGACTATGGGGGAAAGAATTCACTCTGGAGAAAGTCATCTCAACTTGTAACACTTGTCAGCTTTTTGAAAGAAGCTCTATGCATGATAATGATTTGTCACCTTACATCGTGCATGGACAGAAAGCTCTGGAAAATAAATAGTTCTAGGAAACATATAAAGGATATGAAATGAAAGCAAACACTGCTACTAGAGCCATGCTTGGGAGTATATCAGTAAGATTAGAAATAAATAGCGGAGGGGCATGGTGGCTAACGCCTGTAATCCCAGCACTTTGGGAGGCTAAGGCGGGCGGGTCACCTGAGGTCAGGAGTTCAAGACCAGCCTGACCAACATGGTGAAACCCCATCTCTACTAAAAATACAAAAATTAGCCAGGCATGATGGTGCATGCCTGTAATCCCAGCTACTCGGGAGGCTGAGGCAGGAGAATTGCTTGAACCCGGGAGGCGGAGGTTGCAGTGAGTGGAGATCACACCATTACACTCCAGCCTGGGAGAAAGAATGAGACTGCAAAAAAAAAGAAAGAAAGAAAAGAAAAGATCAATGTTGTTGTCTTTAAGCCATGACAGGTGCAGCAAATGCAAGGAATAAAAAGAAACACAATGCCAAAGCAACCACTAGATGCCACCTGGTAAGCCAAGAGGCAATGTAAAGAAGGAGTTAATATGGCCCATATTCAGAAGCCTATAGTTTTTATTTGTAATGAAGAACAGTAAAACATATGTCCACCAGTGTATTAGAGACTGTCTCCTTCAAATCTTAAACTATGTTTTTACCTCGAAAAAGAGAATAAATCTTACTAACTGTAGCAGACACTGCCCATATCTCCTTGGATTCATCTTATCAATTCTGCAACCCACCCCCATGTAGTCTCTGACTGACTCTAGATGTGAAAGTGCTGCTGTCTTGCCTTGAGGCTGAACAAACTCAGTGTAATTTACGCTCCAGAACTCTCTGCAGGGTCAGAATAAGGTTAGAATTTTGCTTGAAATTACAGCTTTGCTTGGCTCCTTGGTCCACCCTGTCCTGCTCCTAACTCCCTGGATTTCCCTTCCTTAAACTCTTGCACTTCCTTAATTCATCACTGCACCATGCTTCAGGGGCTGCTACTGGAGAATCTGATGTAAGGTAATAATGTTCAGAGGTCATTTATTCTTTCTATTGTTTTCTGTTTCCAGATATTTTGATTTCTGCCCTTACTATCATGATTTTCTTCCTTCTGATTAATTTTAATTTACGTTCCTCTATTTTCCTTAATTTCTTCAGTTAGAAGGTTAGGTCATGATTTCAGATATTTCTCTTTTATTCCCAATATATGCATTTAATGCAGTATATTTCCCTCTCAGCTTTGCTTCAGCTGTATTCCACAAATTATATGTGGTCTTTTCATTTGTATTCACCTCAAAATATTTACTAATTTGTGACTACCTTTTTGTCCTGTTCAATTTATACATATTTGGATAGTTTTCCAGATATTTTTCTGTTTTTATTTTTTAGTTTAATTCTGTTGTGATAAGAAAAATATTTTGTGCGATTTCAAGTCTTTTAAATGCATGGACATCTCTTTTTTGATGCATTTTGATAAATGTTCGAAAAACACTTTAAGAATATACTTGTATCTATTAGTGTCAAAGAGTTCGAATTGGTTGTGTTATTCACACTTTGAATATTTTTTACTGATTTTCCTGGATGCTTTCTTTTCATCAGTTACAGAGAGAAAGGGGTTGAAGTCTCCAATTATAATTGTGGAGTTGTCTAATTTTCCTTTATGTTCTAACAGCTTTTGTTTCATGTATGTTAAAGCTTTGTTGTAAGATGCATTCATATTTAGAATTTTTGTACCTACTATGAAAACTGACTCCTTTTTTTATGTATTTCCCTCATTATTGTGAGCAATACTTTTTATTCTGAAGTCTATTTTTTCTGACATTGATATAGCCATTTCAGCTTCCTTTTCAAAAGGGTTGCAGGGCATTTTCTTTCTTATTTTTTTTAATCCTAGATATGTCTTTATATATAAAGTAAGTTTCTTGTAGACAGCATGTAGATTTTTTAAAATAGAATTGGGCAGTCTCTACATTTATTTGGTGTATTTAAACCACTAATATTTGGGTTTGTGCTGAGTTGCCGTTATGGATACCTTCATTGCATCCTCAGCATCAAATTCTGCTACCTTGTATTTAGTGGGGAGTCTGGGGTGCTTGCAGTTGTCCTCAATGTTCCCACTCCATTCTAAGCTTTTAGTCCACTGGTGCCCCCGAGTCACAAATATGTTCTCTTCCCATGTTTCTGCACCTCCCCAAACTTACTGTTATTGCTTTTTACTCAGTGACCCCTGGACTGTTGCTTGGGGACAGAGCTTTCTTCTATTGTCCTGATGATGAAACTTGGCTATGGGCAGACCCTGTTTCCCTAGGTATCCGAAACAGATTTGTCAGTGGCTCTGCCATATTGTGGCTTTTGACTTTGGTAGGTTCTGTACAGAAAACAATTTCCTAACCATCCCCTGTGGTAGGAGATGTTTAACAGCATTGGTATAGGATCCTAAGCCTAGGGTTTTTGCCTGCCCCTTTCCTAGGGTAATTTTTTTCCCTGTCACTCTTCTACCAGCTGCAAAATGTTCTTTACCTGTCCCTGGGAGATGACAGGATTTACTACTCTCTATTAGAGGCTTAAGGATTTTTTTCCGTAGAGAAAAAATAAAAAGATCCTGTGAGACTTTGTGCTTTTTATAGTGGTGACCAGTTCACTTTTTGATGTCTACACTACCGAAAAAAACTTTGTGCCCTCTCACCCTATTCCTTATTTATGTGTGTGTGTGTGTGTGTGTGTGTGTATGTGTGTGTGACAGAGAGAGAGAGAGAGAGAGAGAGAGAGTGAGAGAGAGCAGCCAGTGGAATTCAGGGAGAATAGCCTGGGAGTGTTCACAAACTCTTTTATTTTTGAGGATCATAGAGATTCTGTTCTATCAGACTAGCCTACAATAAAACATTAGCAATTCATTAACATTTTCATCTTTATTTTCATACCCTCTTCTATGTCATAGAATAACTTTTCCTCCTGTGCTGTCACAGCTAGTCACAGCTCATGACATTCTTCTTTGTGGACGTTTGTCTTTCCTTGTATCCTTGGCTTTTTTTGTTTATTTGTTTGCCTTGCAACCTCAGCTTTACAGTGAGTTCAAGAAAAGGTAGTCCTGGTTATTTGTTTATTTTTTCTTATCAGTAAGGTAGGAATGATGCTCTTTCCAGCTTTCTGTGGCTTAAGGAATGTGTAAATTATTCCCCCGCATGTTTTTACTTATAGGTGGGTTTTATTGGGTAACATATAATTGTCCCTTGCTTTTTATGCAGAGTGAAAAATTTGTCTTTCATTTGGGATACTTAGACTGTTTACATTTACACTAGTTACTATTATCATCGAATTTAAATCTGCTATCTTGTTGATGGTTTCCTATTTTTTTCCATTTGTCATTTTTTCTTTCACTTTGTCCCTATTATCTCCCTGCTTATGCATTAGTTTTAGTTAATACTTTTATAATTCCATTATGTCTTTATTTTTACTTAATTATTATTCATTCTTTGCTGTTTTACTTTGGTGATTGCTATAAGTTTAGCAGCATACATCCTAACTTATCACTATTTTCACATGATATTATTCCCCTTCATGTAACATAACCTTACAGCAGTATGTTATCAATTCCTTCTGTCCTTACTTTGGGCTATTGTCATTGGCTGTTTTACTTTTGCATATGTAAATCCATTCTGCTTAAGAGTCTCTGGGCTTTTTGGATCTCTGGTTTGATGCCTTTCATTGTTTTAAAAACTTTTTTTGGTCATTATTACTTCAATTTGTTTTTCGGCTCCTTTCTTTCTTCTCCTGAGATTCTAGTTACACACATGCTATGCTACTTAATATTGTCCCACTGCTCTTAGATGCCCTGTTCTCCTCATTTCTCTGTGTTTCGGTTGGGGTGCTTACTATTGACTCATGTTCAAATTGAATGATTAACTTTTGGAAATGTCCAATTGAATGATGAGCACTTCAAAGTTTTCCTCAGCTTATGATACCATGTATTTTAATTTTTACCACTTCCATTTGACTCTCTCTTAGGGTTTTGACAAAGACTCGTTCCTTGACCGAATTTTAGCTAGGTTCCTCTGATCCCTGTTCTTGACTAGGCCTCAATCTTAGCCATAGAAAACTCAAACTCTCAACATGAATGATTTTTCCACCTCCTCCCCGCACATGAAAAGACTTAAACACTTACATACTATCTAAATGATCAGGATGACCCTAGCCCAGCTTAAAGTGCCTGCCTAAGAAAGCCCAAAGTTGACAAAATAATTTGTTGTTTTTATTGTAACCAACACCTGGTGACAGGCCTCAGACCACCCTTTCTCAGAGCATTTGCTAAGGGCATATGATTCTGAATCCTTCCTCTGTCTCTTTGTAATGTTTATGTATCTCACACAACTCTAGAGTGTCTTCCTCGAAGACTAAAATCCATTCCTCTAAAACACAACCATACAAAAGGATAAGACATCTGTCCCCCAGTCTTCGTGGTAGAATATAATCCTAACTTTTTAATGGCCAGTTAACAGAAATGGACTAATAAACATTTATACTGACAAGCCCTTTGTAATTTTTTTACTTTCATGACTCCACTGAAGCACCCTTTGCCTGACCCCAAAGCCTTCATTCTATCTTTCAAATGCCCACCTCTGCACACCTCTCACAAATCAAAGTGGAGCTCCATTATTCAACTAAATTATTAACATCTGTTCTTGCTAGGTGCGGTGGCTCACGCCTGTAATCCCAGCACTTTGGGAGGCCGAGGCAGGTGGATCACGATGTCAGGAGATCAAGACTATCCTGGCTAACACAGTGAAACCCCATCTGTACTAAAATTACAAAAAAATTAGCCGGGCGTGGTGGCGGGTGCCTGTAGTCCCAGCTACTCCGGAGGCTGAGACAGGAGAATGGCGTGAACCCGGGAGGCGGGGCTTGCAGTGAACCGAGATCATGCCACTGCACTCCAGCCTGGGTGACAGAGAGAGACTCCGTCTCAAAAAAAAAAAAAAAAAAAAAAAATCTGTTCTTACCACTTTAATTAGTGTTCAACTTTCATGATCTTTCACAGTTTTCATCTTTTTTTCTGAAGTGTCCCATCTCTTCACATGCTGTCTACCTTTTCCACTGCATTTTTAACATGCTAATCAAAGTTATATGATATTCACTATCTGATAGTTCTAACAGCTGCATCATCTCTGAATCTGGTCCTGTTCATTGCTCTGACTATTGACAATGGGTAATTTTTCTTGATTGTATTATGCATGTGAATGTATGCATGTTTGGATTTTTGTGCATATTCTAGATATCTCCTAGAGAAGGAGAGGCTGAGGTCAATGGGGTTCACGCATGGGAACGGGAATGTGTCTCTTCTCAAGCAGCTAGTGTCGTGGACTGAGTCAGTCTTGTCAGTTGAGTTGGCTTGAGGTTTTATAACTATATGTTTAGCTCAGTACACCACAGGAAACAAATTTATTTAACAAAGCCTCCTCCTTAGGGTGGGGGATTAAATCCCAAGCGTATTCTCCGTAGTTGTACTCCTCTCTGAGTCCTCAGTCTTCCTGTGTGCCACAGAGGGAATCTGTCTTCATACTCTTGCCCTCTTGTCTTGATTCAGCCTCTGTTTCAAATAGATCTTGCATTCATAGATCTATCTCAGAACAGGATTTTATCAGAGCAGAAAAGATTTAAAGCTGGGATGTTAATGTTAACGTGATTACTAGAAATATTAGAGGGATCATATCCAGATGGGCTTCTCAGAACTACTCTCCAAGTAGTAATCAGAATTGTCCTACCAAGACATGCTGCTTCAGCCACATTCAGAAAACTGAGAGCTGAAGATGCCAGTATCATGAATATTGGTCCAGGATTATATTTTCTTATTTCTGATCCCAAGGTTAAGAAGCAGCTTCCAAATCTATTGTCTCTAAAGTCACAACACGCCTGGCAACTCCACACCAGCAAAGTGTGTGCTTCATATGCGCTGCTCTTTCTCCCAATTTACTTGGTCCCAAACTTAATTTGATCAGACATGCATGGTATTGAAAAAGATGAGTTGTAGTCAGGATAATAATTGCAAGAAATTTTACAAAATGTACATTATTTGTGACATATATTTTATTTGCAGTAGACACAAAACCTGTAAACCTATATAAGAGGTTAGAATAGGGGTTGAGCAAGTCTTTCCATCATATCTACTATGGATTTGAATCCTCTCCAAATTGATTGATGTAATTTTTTTTTGTAACTTAGTGCCCAGGTTTTATTCACTTATGAGCAGAACAGGTATATTAGTAGCTAGTAATAACAGATGTTGTTTATTGGATGCTAACTACTGGCCAAGCATTGTTGTAAAATGCTTCACATAATTTGATCAATGCAATTCTAATCAAAATCCCAAAAACACTTCTCACAGACTCTTATATGGACTATGAAATTTATATGGAAGAGCAAAGGCAAAATATGGCCAACATATTACTGAACAAAAACATGGTGATGGTGGATTTCCTATGCCAGATGATATTATTCATTTGAAGTAATAGAAATAAGACAGGATGGATTGTCATGATCATAAATGAATAAGTCAAAGGCACAGAATAGAATTGTTTGCAAAGCAGAAAATATTACTTGATATGTATAGGTTTTTACACACACACATTTTCAAATAAATTATTGACCAAAATTATGTACAAGGTGGAACTCTAAATTGTTAGAGAAAAGAATAGGAAAACATCTTTAAATCTTGGTGATGATAAGGAAAACAAAAATAATTAAAGCAAAAGTGGTAATAATAAGGGAAATGATAAATCCATCCGTTTTAAAATTAGCAACGTGTGTTTAAAGTGAAAATACCAACACAAACTAGAAAGAAATATTTACAACATACATAATGAACAAAGGGTTAGTGGACAAAATACAGTCAAGAAACATTTAAAAGCCTTTATAATAAAAAAATAGAAAAATTGGTAAAATACACAAGTATTTAACAAAGCAAAGACTAATAGCCAATAAACATATGAAAAATATTTCACTTCACTAGCAAGCAATGTACTGCAAATTAAAATAATGAACTACCATTTTTACTCATTAGATTGGCAAAATAATCTGACAAGATCAAGTCATGGAGATAATGTGGATTAATAGGGAAATAGGAACATATGTGCACTTACGGAGGGAAAATAAATTCTACCACTACCTTGGAAAATAATGCGATATTATCTCATAAAATAGAAGATACACGCATGTCTTTGTTTTTACTACTATAACGAAATAACTTAGACTGGGAATGTATAAAGAATGTAAATTTATTTCTCACATTTCTGAAGGCGGGAAGTCCAAGATTAAGGTGACAGCAGGTTGAGTGTTCTGCTGAAGGTGGCAAACTCACCTGGCAGAAGGAGGAAAGGCAAAAGGGAAGAATACTGCATTTTCCATGGCAGAGAAATGGAAGGACAAAAGGGTCAGATAGCTCTCTGAAACCTCCTTTATAAGGACATTAATCCCATTTGTGAGGGCTCTGCCCTCAAGACGTCATCACCTTCTAAAACACCATCTCTTAATACTATCACATTGAGTCATAAGTTCCACCATACGAATTTTGGAGGGACACATACACGCAAATCATGACTCAGCCATATGAAACCTAGGCACATACTTTTGAGAAATTCTTATACCTGTGCACTGGGAACCAAGCAAGAGACCTAGAGCAAAAAAAAAAAAAAATTACTGTGGCTAATTCAAATGAACTTAATTTTGAATAAAATTGAGAAACCCACAAAAAAGTACTTATAGAATTATACCAGTTATATAATGCCCAAGAACATAAAACATAAATATACAATGTGTCATATACGCATAAATACATATGTAGTAGCATTATTAAGACATACAAGGGGATGATAAATGAAATTTGGAATAGTGGTTTTCTATTAGAGGGAGGGAGAAAAATGTGATGAACTGGATATATAGATTATTCTGTGTCTTAATCAGGGTGGTGAACAAAGACATGGTGTTTATTATTATTGTATAGAGATAAATTTTACTTATATACATATCTTTATATATTTATATGTATTACTTATTGCATGTTTTTAACAGAAAAGCAAACAAAAAAGAAGGTAATTTTACAACAAAATGATTGGCAAGAAAGGAAAAATGTTATTAAAGTTGTGAAAGGCAAAATTAAAGAAGGATTTTCATTATACAAATTAATTACCACATATTTTCCATTTTTCATATTTCCCCCATGAATCAGCTACCAAGAAAGCCTCCTATTTTTTTCTCCCATATATGCTCCTTTGTATTAGTCAAAGTCTAGTCAGGAAAAAAGAAATCTGAATGTTTCAATTAGAAATGGTGTAATAAAAAGAAAAGAAAATAAATGATGTAATACAATGATTAATTGGTTACTGGATATTCCAAATATAAGTGCTGTAGTACAAAGACTGGTCACATGGGTGGGACAACACCTGAAAGACAAATAGGGGAATGGGAGGTAAACTGAAGGTTATTAACTCCAGGAAGGCTGAGGAACTAAAGAAAGGAGGTGTTGGAACCAGGTCCTGGGAGCAGAAGAAAGTTCCCACTTCAAAGGTTGCCACTACTTTCTGCACTGAGGTCTGAGAGGAAGGACCACGCTGTGGATGCTGGAGTGGCGGAAGCCAGGCAGATCCTTCCAGAGACACTGTCAATGAAGGAAAAGACAAAGAGTAAGTGGAAAGATTTCTCCCTCCTCCTGCCTTCTAATCTGCCCCCATGCCTCTTGCTGACAGAACCGAACAAGAAGCTGACTGGCAAAGAAAAAATGGGAAATGTAGTTTGCAGACTCCCAAGTCTCCATTTTAGTTTCTCAGAATTTGCATAGCCATATTAAATATTTTTTTTAATTTTTGTTTTTTGTTTTTTGTTTTATAGTGGTTACTCCCTATAAAACTCAGAGTGAAAATAAGCATAAATAACTCAAAAATATTTTTCACTCGTGTTGCTAAATCTTGTCTTCCTAAGTAAGGTTATGTATCCAGACCAAATTCTCATTTGTTATGACAGACTCTTAAGATAAATAAAAGATGATGTTACTGAGAGTGGAAGGGTGTGGCAGGCTGAAAGCTAAGGTGGCTAGCCCACCTGCAGACAGAAGATGGATAAGGCTGCTGTGATTCTTCACAGTCAACTCTATCCGAAATTTCTCTTACAACACAAACCCAAACAACAAAAACAGAGACCCAAGAGGAGCCAGCTTATGCTGCCAGATAGGTCATGAAGGCCAGCAATCATCCCATCTCATCCCCAGACATGGAGGATCATGCAGTTTGAGGTGAGGGTGACAGAGCAGTGCCATTTGCTTTTCTACCATTTTCTTTTGTCCTATATTTAATAGTTGTTTTAAAAATGAATATTTTCCTTCACTTAGTAACTGATATCCTTGAATGGCCAAGTCATTGGTGTCCTTGCCTTAAAAATGTACCTGGGATTTTAGTTTTATTCAAGTATTCACCATGCAACAGAACTGAAGACAATTGCCATTCAAGAGATGGTTTATTCCTGACAGTGTCCAAGAGGAGAGGGGCACATCACCCTAAGCAAAGTCACAGAAGAGAGTCTGGAGATTGGTCACGGGCAGAGGGAGTGAGCAAGAGCAAACAGAAAGCCTTCGTGGTGTTTTCCAGAGAAGGTGTGGGCAAGGCAGAGCAAGGGGACTGACCAGGAGAGTATTGACTATGTTAAATAATTTCATAGGGATCTAGCATGTAAAGCCTGGGCCTAGTTGTTTGAGACTTAGGCCTGGAGAGATTAGGGCAAAAGGATTACTGTCCCACAAGTCTAAGAGCCCAGAGAAAGCAGATAAACCAGGTGGTGGAGAAGGGGAAGAACTCTAGATTGTTTGCTTTGCATATCAAGGACATTCTCACAGGGAGTTGTTTGCTGTTTCCAGAATTTAGCTATCACTGGGAGGAGGAGCATTGATTCTGGAGGCAGCAAGTCCCTGGATGTGAAAATGTGAGATATGGAAACTAGCAAACATGATTAATGCGTTGATATATTAGGGAGAATTGATATCAACAGTAAATTAATCAAGGTGGCCCAGTTCCTAATAACCCATGGGTAATGAGAATTTATTTTTATGTTGATGTGTGTTCACACCCACTCCCTTGTCATTTAAAGCCCCTACACTATTGATGTCAATCCTTCATGTTGCTGTAGCCAACATTACAGTATTAACCATTCTCCTTATGATGCTTCCTCCTCAACAGGCACTGCCCTCATTTATCGTTCATCCCTTTAAAGAGCAGGTGCAGGGTAAATACTGCTCCCAGCACACCATCACTAAGAGCAAACGTTAGACTGCTTCCCCTGTACAGTTTAGCAAGTAGATGTGCTTAGATTTGGTTCTAATTTGTTGGAAATGATTTACTTTTCTGGTATCTCATAACTGCTGCCATTCTTTTATTTCTCTGATACAACTTTGAGAATTCCCTAGACCTCGATGCTAAATCCGCAATGCTACCCCAAGAATAAGGAGATAGGGTGGAGATGGCTGAAGGGGTTTTGAGAAATCAGCCCAGGGCTCCATTCAAATGAGCTGTCAAGGAGCTGTTGGATAACTGCACATTTTTATTTTCTGGAGACAAGATTGGAACATTGGGAATATGAGAAAAGAGTGCCTGATGCTTTATTTCTTTAAACTATTTGGTTGGGATGTAAGAATAACAGACAAAAGCCTCTGGGTTTAGCAGAATCATTAGCGTGAAATAATGTACCTGACTCCAAAAATACGTCAAAAAGCAATACGGAATATAAGCCAATTCCCAGCAGTTTGAATTTATTATTTATGATGCCGGTTAAACAAGGCTAATGTGCTCTGCAAAAGTAGTTATAGCTGCTATGCAGTATTAGTGGAAATTAGTCAGATGTTACCAGCTCAATACAAAGTAAATTTGCAAAGGTTTCTGCAAATGACAGTTCGGCTGAGTTAACATGACAGTTGAGAGCATCCAAGCTGTTTCAGTATTGGCAAGTAGGTTTAGAACCAAAGTCAGCATTTATCACTGAAGGAAATAAATTAAAATAAAGTGGGGGAGGGACAGTAATGAGCTTCAGTACTTTACCCATCATGCAGGAACAGTCCCCCTCCTCCTCTCTAATCCTGGTCTTATCAGTTTCCATGAAAACTATGAGGGTCACCTTTATTTTACATTGTTTGGCTTCTTCTCTACCTAGCTTCCTCTCTTCAAATGGTGTGCCCTAGGAATACCCTCTAGCATGTGTTCTGCCCTACAGGCCTGCAATTATGTCAGCTTAATGTTTCCCAAGGAAATGGGGCAAGAGGATCTTGTACTGGGCTGATTAGTAAAATTATTATGCTAATGAAAATACATATAATCATAATTCTTATTTTTAATTCATAAACACTATCTCATAAATACATTAATGATGTATTGTATAAAAAGGCTTAAGGCAATAAAATATTGGCTTATTTAGAAAACTTACACCACATTTCAAGCACCAAAGAATAAACATATTTTCAGAAGTTCCACTTACATTTCTCAATCTGGGCAAGAAAATATTAGTCTGTCTGTTTAAAACTTTCTGTTAAGAAGAAGCCATACTGATTTAGGGGGGCTTTGAATAATGCTTGAGCATTGAGGAAGGAATCAGTATCCTTCCAGTGGAAGGATGAGCTTCAGGAAATTCATTTTCAGATTGGATTTGAGTAATTCCTGCCCCTCCCCTCCCTCCCCTTCCCCTTCCCTCTCTTCCCGTCCCCTTCCCATCTCTCCCCTTTTTTTCCTTTAATGGGCATGTGCAGTGCACTTACTAAACATAAATTCTCCTCCTTTGTGTAAAAACGAAGCAATGGTGCATTCCCCATTGATCTTACCTCAAATTATTGGATGGGTAAATCATAAGAGCTTTAAAAATGCTTTGTACATTTCAGAGAGTATAAAAATTACTGGTTTAATTCTCATTATGAATTTTACATTTGGAATATAGGACTCCATAATCTGTATGCAAATGTATGTGAATTAGATGCATGTACAAATTAGAATCAAGAGTCCAGGCTCTTAAAACAAACATAAGGCTGTTCAAGTGACATTCATGACAATTAGCTTTCTTTTCCTTTAACTGTTCAATGTCTGTCACTACTATTCTGAAATAACTAAATTCATTATTCTATTTCAGTTCCTATTTCTCTATGAAGATTATTGCCCTGGTCTCCGAACTATTAGAGCTATTCTGAAAATTGTTCATAATTTGAAAACGTATCTTGACCATAGAAACAAATAATACAAAATTTCAGATACTTTGATAGTAAAATAATTTTGAACACCATCCAATTTTATCTTTAAAACATCTACTATGACACTTGTTTCAAATAGTATACACAGTAGTATATACACTTTTAATTATTTCTACAGCTGTCATCTTACCTGAGTTTTGCCACTATCTTTAAAATATTTGAAGCAGGAATAATTATCACTGTATTGTATTTAAATAAACAAAGACCCAGAGGCAAGAAGTGGCATGCCCTGGGTTACCTAGGAAATAACTAACAGTTATATACATTCATTTTCTGGGCCTGCTGTAATAACCACAAATTGGGTTGTTTAAACAGAAATTTATTGTCTCTCAGTGTGGAGGCCAGAAATTTGCAATCAAATTGTTGGCAGGGTTATATTGAGAGGTGACGCCAGCTGGACTTCCTGGGTCGAGTAGGGACTTGGAGAAATTTTCTGTCTTACAAGAGGATTGTAAAACCCACCAATCAGTTCTCTGTAAAATGCAGCAATCAGTAGGATTCTAAAAGTAGACAATCGTGGGGAGGATTGAAGAAAAGGGCACTCTGATAGGACAGAAACGCAACATGGGAGAAGACAATAAGGGAATAAAAGCTGGCCACCCCAGCCAGCAGTGGCAGCCTGCTCGGGTCCCCTTCCACACTGTGGAAGCTTTGTCCTTTCACTCTTCACAATAAACCTTGCTACCACTTATTCTTCGGGTCCATGCCATCTTTAAGAGCTGTAACACTCACCGCAAAGGTCTGCGGCTCCATTCTTGAAGTCAGCGAGACCACGAACCCACCGGCAGGAACCAATTGTGGACACAATATCCTTCTGTGGGGTGTGAGGGAAGGATCCGTTCCATGGCTGTCTCCTTGGCTGACAAGCTGGCTCTCTCCTTGGCTCTCTTCATGTTCAAATGGCATGCTTCCTGCAGGGAAGCCTGTGTCCAAATGTTTATTTCTTATGAGGACACCATCATATTGGATTTGGATCTGTCCTAATGATCTCACTTTAACTTTATTACCTCCATATATATCTTATCCATAAATAAGGTCTCATTCTGAGGTGGGAGGGATTAGACTTCCAAATATAAATTTTGGGGAAACACAATTCAACCCATGACAGTATGAAAACCCACATCCTTTGATATACTACTCAATACCTTGAATACCAAGCCACAACGCTGCTAAGGAAAGATGGGTAAAGATGAAAAAGTGTTAGCAGGGTGAATCAAAAGAGACCTTAATGATATGAAAATGGAGCAAAGTGGGTAATCATGGGAAACATAAAAAAAAATCAAGTACCTACCATAGATTGCGTGCAATTTGCAAAATTACCCCAAGATGGATCTAAATGTATTAATATACAACTTTTCTTTTATCCTTTGATGGGATTAACTACAACCAAAGTGAAGTTTAGGACGGAGTAAGAAAGCCCTTGCCTACTCTGTTTAGTTTATGGTAATAAATTCCAATTATTTTGAATTGACATTGTTCTGCACAGCCTGAGGTTGACTCCAAGAACTTCTTTCTCTGCTCTGTTAAGGTACCAAAGACAAATGACTATGCTAAATTCTTTGGCATAGCTCCATTTATTTAAACCTCATCTATGCTTTTCTTTTTCTCTTTGCAGGCCCTATGGGAAAAGAAAATACACACTGACCAAATGCTGAGCCTGTTATGAATTCTGTGATTTCAAAAGAGAAGTGAGCTAAGCCTGAGATTAAGCTTCTCTGTTTTAGGGGACTCTGTTGATAAATTATCCTAATAGGAATGGATACCAACTTTTTGTGTGTGTAAACTTGTGAGAGGTCATGGTCCGCCCCTCCACCCAGCTTTTTTCTCACCTATCTCCTTGGAAGTCCAACCCCATAAAATACTGAAACTATTAATTCACAAGACATGTGCACAGATCTTGTTTAGTTCTGCCCCTAATCTTGCTTTCATAAATATTTGAAAATTGCAGCTAAAGCCAAATTGTGCTTCTCACATAATGGAACTGCAGGCTAGTATAGCAGCGCAATCCTTTAAAGTTCCTGGAGGGGGGAAGTGAGAGATGATGAGATTTGGGGACAGTTTATGTGAGCAATTTGTTATGCATGCAGGAGGAATGGCGACTTGATGACAGATTCACTTCTTGGTCCTGAACCTTAATTAACAAGGCCCTCTGAGTAACATGCGGAGAAACAATAGGAAAATTCTTCTGAGCATTTCACAGATTATTCACTTATAATCTTTGGGGATTTATTTTATTATTATTTTTCTTTCTTTGTGAGCTGCAGCTTTGTTGCCTTGACATCCACACTCAAGAGTTATTGGTATCAAACCAAGCTATATAAAAAGCTATCAAGCACTTCTCAGATTTTCCACAGTTCAAAGCAGTGTTGGCAGCCTGCCAGCCATGAAAGATGAGCTGCACCCCAATGTGATGAGTGTGGCTGCACGTGCAAAAGGGAGCTTGGGGGTGAGGTAGGAAAGGCTGCCAACTTAGAGAACCCCACAGGGGAGAAAGCTGGATCCATCCCCATAGACCTGAGGGTCAATTCTGCCCCTGCAGGGAGCAAACGAAACTAATAATGTTGACTAGGTACAACCATCATAGAAATATTACATTCTTGGAAAATAATTTTTTAAAAGAGAAGAATCCAGCTATATTAACCAGAAAAATATCGGCGAGGATTTTATTTATTTTGGCCCCAGATACACCGGAGACCTTAGGTCTGGGAATCTGCTGAGACCAAAACACCAATGTGTAGGACCTGAGGTGATAATATTCTTCTTACAGACAGATGATATAAAATTAGGAATTTCTAAGAAATCTTGGAACATTCTATTATCCCTGATTTTGCCTGTGCACAAGCTTCAACTTTACTTTTTAATTTTTGTTCAGTCTTTTCCAATCCCAGTTGGTAAATGGAGGTGAAACCATGAGGCACATTTTAGTTTGTTTTAATCTTTCCAAAACTCAGTGATGCTTGGAGTCATTTTCAGGTAGCATGGTTGGCCGTGTTGTTGCAAATTAGGACATTAAGACCCAGAGACATTCTGTTCTTATCAAAGCCCGCGTAGCTAGCAAACACCAGAACTGAAACCCAAATTTCTACAATCACCAGTCACCCTCTGATCCAGGAATATATCATCCACTGAGTAACAGCATATTCACTTGTAAATGCAAACATCATATAAAGCTATGTAGAGCAGCAGTCCCCAACTTTTTTTGGCACCAAAGAGCAGTTTCATGAAAAACAATTTTTCTACGGACTACAGGGTGTGGGGAGATGGTTTTGGGATGAAACTGTTCCAGCTCAGATCAACAGGCATTAGATTCTCATAAGGAGCTCACAACCTAGATCCCTCACCTGCACAGTTCACAATAGGGTTCACACTCCTATGAGAATCAAATGCTGCCACTGATCTGACAGGAGGTTGAGCTAAGGCAGTAATGCTTGCTTGCCTGCCACTAACCTCCTGCTGTGTGGCCCAGTTCCTAACACGCCCTAGACCAGTAGCCGTTGGGGGCCCCTGATGTAGAAGACTCTGTTGGTGCCCCAAGTATTTTCTCTGCCAGTCATTTGTGGGTATTCTATGTTACACAAATTGAAAATGCAAGTTAACCCACTGAAGTGACCCTCAACCAATGAAGGATAGAAATTGGTGGATAGGGCTGGGCACGGTGGCTCACACCTATAATCCCAGCACTTTGAGAGGCTGAAGTGGGTAAATCACCTGAGGTTGGGAGTTCGAGACCAGCCCGACCAACATAAAGAAACCCCATCTCTACTAAAAATACAAAATTAGCAGGGCGTGGTGGCGCATATCTGTAATCCCAGCTACTCGGGCGGCTGAGGCAGGTGAATCCCTTGAACCCGGGAGGCAGAGGTTGCAGTGAGCTGAGATCGTACTCCAGTTGCAGTGAGCCATTGTACTCCAGCCTGGGCAACAAGAGTGAAACTCCATCTCAAAACAAAACAACAACAACAACAAAAAAAAAAAAAAAAAAAAGAAAAAAGAAATTAGTGGACAGCTCTCACAGCATCTTCACTACTTAGTGGCATAATTTCTATGCACATTCAACACAGGTTCTCAAAGTGTCCACGTTGGACTGAGACTTAGTTATCTACAGCAGTGACCAATTCATTAATGTTCCTTTTTCTGTGACCTATTCATTAACGTACCTTTCTCTTTCCCTGTCTCAGTTCTTCCCTCTCACTTTCAAATATATTACTTGCACCCAAATCAACCCAAACCAACACCATTAACTTGCATATTTATCACGTACTACATCTATCAATGAGCCCAGAATCCAAAGATCTCGCAACAGAAAGAAAAACCCAGTTGGATCTTTGTTTCCTGTTCCAGATATAGCTTTACCTACGACAAGAGAATTGCTACTTTCTTTTCAAAGTACTTTATGCTACCATGATATTTTAAGAATAATGCAATTTGATTGGAGGACAGACTTGTATAAAAGCAATTGAGAATAAAATGAATATCTACTTCTAAATTCTACCAACCAGAAATAACTACTGTTTATATTTTGGTAAATACAATTGTATATACATATATGTTTACAAAATAAAACAGTTTCATATATTGTTTTATAACCTTTTTTATTTAATATGTTATGAGCATTCTCAAGAGTCTTCAGATATTATTTTGTAATATTATATTTGCAATGGCAGAGAGTTTCACCTGATCTATATACAGAATTATAGTCAGTATTATAGGACATTATTTTTTCTATTTTCTGCTAACATCAACATCCTTAAACTTACAAAATGTTCTTATTTATATTCCTAATAGAGGTAAATAAAAGTGCCAACAGCTTCACTGCAACTAGCATTGCATCCTAATAAATTTGTTAATTTGCTAGTAGAAAATAGTATTTTAACACCTTCAAACATATTTTTTCCTTACTCAGTGATCTCCCTTTTATATGACTATCATAAGTGTTGCAGCCTCCTTGTTTGAGAATGGGTAAAACTTTGTTGTGAACTTTTCAACTTACGTTTCTTCGTGTTTGAAAAATATTCCCAGCAGCTGTCTGTGAATTCCATCTTAAGCAGCTGCTGGTTTGGGGTGGATAATGGGGCAGTAAGAATGTGCCAAAGGACTGAAGAAGTAAGAAGATAGGACTTTCTGAGGTGTTGGGAATTGAACTTCAACAAGATATTTCTTGTGGGTTTTTTAATGTGTGGGAGAAAGACTTTTAACATGTGACCTTCCCATAATATCTAAATCAACAATATCCTGTCTGTTTCTAGGTTTAAAAGCAAAGCTGCTTAAAAAAATGCAATAGAGCTGTATATGAATCTGTCTTTATTTAATCTCTGGTTTCCCCTGTTAGGAACACTGCACTATGACTTTCATAGTTCTTAAAGGGTTATAAGCTTAATATTTGCCAGGAAAGCTTGAGTGGTTTCAGAAACTTGAGAGAGAGAGAAAAAAATCTCTTTTGAGCATATGTACAGTCTAGCATCTCATTTCCAACTTGTAAGCCAACTAACCATAATGTCAGAAGAAAATTGCTGTAGTGAAAAAAAAAAGGAGGAGAAGAAAAAAATAGAAAGAGAGAGAGAAGGAAGGGGGAGAAGAAGGAGGAAGGGTTTAAGAAATAAAGAAAGGAAAAGAAAAAAGGAAGAAAGGAAAGAGGAAGGAAGGAGCTAAATTTAGTGGCAGACTACATGCACTACAGCATAATGTGGAATTCCACTAGAAGCAATTTCTATCATCACTTACATCCCAGGATAATAAATATTTTAAATGGGAAGGAAGAAGGTTTATACGAGTTATGCCTATTTCTGTGAATTTTGCTATTATTTTATTACTGACATTGTTTCTTGGTGTGCTTGGTATACATGATTTATTCCATGATTTAGGCTAATGAGTTTGCTCTCCAGACAGATTCAGCTACACAAGTCTCTGCTAATGCAGTCCAGTGTCTTCTACTTGCTTTCTTGTTAAGATGTAGACATCTGTTCAACCCCATTCTGGACAAACAAAGACTAAACAATATACTTTCTGACAGACCACTGCTACACTTTTTCCCACTGAATCCACAGTTCTGGATACATAGAACAAATGAATCCAACTCTCATTCCATATGCTAGCTGTCACCTTCAGAATATGTCTCCTCACAGCTACTTTCCTCATCTCGTTTCTCCAGTCACTCAAACCAGCATTGATTTCAGCTCTTCCGCTATCTGGATCAAAGGAGAACCAATAGCACTGTTTCAGTTCTCACAGTCCTCGTAGACATATTATTTTTTGCCTGGAGAAAATTTTTCCATCTGACACATTTATTCAGGGTTTGTCAATGAGCACTTGCATGATACCTAGACTGAAGTAGATGAATCGTGTATCCTTTCAGAAGTCAGTTTTGATCACTTCCTTTCTATAGCCCAAGCAAAGTTGAGTTATCAGCAAATTGAAAAATATGAGATGAGGAGTAAGGAGATATGGATCTTTACCCTTAATATACTCAATAAGCCAATCACTATTGTACCAAGAAGCGCAGTAAAGCCCACAATGAAGTATGGGTAACTCCAGCACACATCAACCAACAGAAACACAGAATTAAAACAATGTTAAAATGCTTATCATTAGTGACAGTTGGCTATGTTCCAGTACTTTAGATACAGTGCATTATTTTGTTAATTTCACAGACAGTTATTGCAAGGCTACAATGTATCGTATACTTTAAACATGCTAGAAATATAGCCATAAATAGCACCCAAATCAGAAAAATATTATTATTACACTCATATTACAGATTGATAAATTTAGGTTTATAAATTTGGATTGTTTGCCCCATGTCTATCATAAGTATCAATCAGCAGAAGAACTGAAGCAAGCTAACTGATTCTTCAGTATGGCATGTATCATGATGTACCAACACTCGGAACTGAAGAATCGGTTTCTACACATAGCTTTTTTCTTTTCTTTCTTTTTTTTTTTTGAGAGGGAGTTTCACTCTTCTTGCCCAGTCTGGAGTGCAATGGCGCCATCTTGGCTCACTCCACCTCCCCAGTTCAAGTGATTCTCCTGTCTCAGCCTCCCAAGTAGCTGGCATTACAGGAGACTGCCACTACTCTTGGCTAATTTTTGGTATTTTTAGTAGAGATGGGGTTTCACCATGTTGGCCAGGCTGGTCACGAACTCCTGACCTCAGGTGATCCTCCTGCCTCAGCCTCCCAAAGTACTGGGATTACAGGTGTGAGCCACCACGCCCGACCTACACTTAGCTTATTTTATAATCTACTTCTATATTAAATGAGAGATGGGGAAGGAATTTATTCTACATTTCTTTTTTGTATTTTTATTTTTTTTGAGACAGAGTCTCTCTCTGTCACCCAGGCTGGAGTGCAGTGGCATGATCTCGGCTCACTGCAAGCCCCACCTCCCAGGTTCACGCCATTCTCCTGTCTCAGCCTCCCGAGTAGCTGGGACTATATGCGCCCTCCACCATGGCCGGCTTATTTTTTGTATTTTTAGTAGAGACAGGGTTTCACTGTGTTAGCCAGGATGGTCTCCATCTCCTGACCTCGTGATCCGCCAGCCTGGGCCTTGCAAAGTGCTGGGATTACAGGCATGAGCCACCGTGCCTGACCTATTCTACACTTCTTTTCCTTTGCCTTTTTCTCTTCTTCCATTTTCTTCCTTTTTTTTTTTTTTTTTTTTTTAACCACTGCATTCTTTTTATCTCCTGGTATTTTCTTTGCGGTAAGAAAAGCATTATTAGTTATTTTCTTTAAGGAACATGAACAAATGAGACTTAGACTGCAGAGTATTTGCCTCTGTGTTAAAATACTCACTATTAAACTGTCTCTATTTTCAGTACAATGTAAATAGTTACTGGAGTTTGGTATGGAAGAGCATCATATTAGCATGTGGAGTTGCAAAGCATTACAAATCAAGTAGGCAGGAATGCATGGTGTAAAACCAGGGGTCCACAGGCAGGGGAGTAAAGGTAATTCCCTAATTGTACAGAGAAACAGAGATACGTTGACTTTGCTGAAGTGTTAGTATTTTAAGCACAGTAGAGATTTGTTTCTGCAAGTAGACACAACAAAACTCTCCAGTATTCCAAACGATTGAGACAAATATCTTATACAACCCATAAATCAAGGGCCATGTTTATGTTCTCTGAAACATTCTGCTACAGTTTCCTTCTTGAATGATAAGCTTCTACAAGAGTGTTAGATGTGAACTAAAAAACAAGAATGCTCTTTGTTTTGGTTAGACAGTCACCATTTTTGAAATAGAATGTGCCTTGCTGTTCTAGGAACTGTTTTTTTAAATGATTTCTTAGAAAACGTGATAAATGGTTTTTCTCAAGATGTGGAAATGTGCTCCAGAAGGAGCAGACGGGAGAAGGAGTTATGAAGGAAATAAAAAGCAGAGCTTCAGTTTCATGATTTAAAAAGCGGAAATCAGAATGTCACTGTTACAGGGGCATAACTGCTTTTTTGCTTTTAATTCAGGTGCTACTTGGATTCTGTAAACTTGGTTTGCTGATAAATAGTGTGGGTGTCCTTTCTTTATAGTTGTTTACAAGATCAATGAATAAAAGTAATTTTACATACTTATATTTTACATAACTATCTAATAAAAGTAAAATTGAAAGAAATACACACACAATTCCATCATCTGGATTAGTAAAGAAACTATGCTATAAGCCTTCATTATATCGATGTTGGTTCTACTGTACATGTAACATAATAGCATGATGTACTCAGGGTGTCAGATCACTACCTAGATATGTGTAAAGCATATAATGGACCATGGGCTACATCTCACTTGGATTTACAGGAAGATAGCATGAATATGAAGGATTTATTTTTAACTTCGTATAGTTAGTACTTGATCATATCCTGAAGTGTTGTTCCTGAGTTATGTGCTTGATTTCAATTTCTTTTTCAAAAAAATTCATTTAGTTATTTGAAGCTACAAAGAATAGCAGTTAAGAGGACAAGCTTTAAAATCAGTTACATGTGTTTAAAAATTTTGAAATTTTCTCTCAGGACTGGCATCTTTATGTCCTTGTCAGTTTCTCTATCACTGATTTAAGCCTTCTGATTTGTAAAATGAAATACTACTTAAATGACAGGGCTACTAATAGAGTTGAATGAGTTAGCAAACATCAGCATCAATCACAGATGTCATCTGGAAACTCCCTTCTCTTCTGAGATTTAAGTATACTTGGTTCAAGTTCATAACTACTTTAACTGTGAGAATGGGAAAATCCTTGGGTAATTCCAGAACATTCCTGGTCACTTAGTCCTTCATGGCCCTCACTTTTCAGCTGCTTCATTCTTACGAGCTTTCTCAGATTTATTCTTGGTCAGATGGGTCCCAAGCTCATTTTCTTCCTCACATGTAATTCTACTCAAAAAAAGTATTTTAACAAATTTAATAACGGATTATGTTTCTTAGACAATTTTGCCAGTTTCTGTAAACATGGCTATATTCTCTTTTACACCTAGGAAATAGCAGATTAAAAATCCTTTCTTGCCTTAGGCAATACAATTTTACTCCTGGGCAGGCTCCCCAGATTCTGCCCCGAATTCTTAGTCAGGAATGTTTTCGGCAATTTACATAGACAGCTATCTAAGAAGAGTTCATTTTACTAAACAAATAAAATATGCTGTACTTTTTGTACTATAAATATTTTAATTTTTGTTGAGTTGGTAGAAATGATTCCTGTCTATTACTGATAGCATGTAAATATGGAAATAATGCACTCAACACACTTGTCCTCATGGCCCACAGAAAGTTTGTGCTCTACTCTGTTTATCCCCATTCACTCACTGTTTATTGAACACTCCCTGTGTATCTAGCACTGTTCAAGATATCGTAGAGACGGTTTGTGGCTCTCAAGGTGTATCTTTTATTGGTTGTCTAGGAGGACTACTTCCAGGGTTTATGTTTAGGAATTTAATATTTTTTATAAGGCATAAAGCTGATACTTTGCTATCTATCTGTCCTGTTCATTTTGTGTTTCTATTTAGTTCAATAATTGGGTGGGTTATAATAGCCTAATTTAGGTGATACCCTAAACCCCAACATTATTATTATTGTTAATATTTGACAACATGTATGTTTCATTTCTCAGAGCTCAGTGTCTTTTGACCTCAAATTACTTTTTTTTTCAACTTAAGACATGTTTTAAAGTACAGTTATTAGCTCACAAACAGCCAGTAGGCTTTTTCAGCTCCCATCACTGAGCTTTTGCATAAACTAGGACAGAGATCCTGCTTTTCTTCAGCATAAAGTAAGAAACTGCTACTTATCGCCTTCAGCTGGCCTCAGCTGCAATATTTTTTGTCTACTCACATCAAACTTTTATATGCGGTTATTTTAAATAGATTTGTTTGAAGTGTGAATGTATGCTGTTAGAGAACACTTTTTTATTACAGGCTGGTATAGTTTGGATATCTGTCCCATCCCAAATCTCATGTCAAATTGTAATCTCCAATATTGGAGGTCAGACCTCATGGGAGGTGGATTCCTCATGGGAGGTGGATTCCTCATGGGAGGTGGATTCCTCATGAATGGTTTAGCGCCAGCCTTTTGTGCTGTTCTCATGATAGGGAATTAATTTTCATGAGATCTAGTCATTTAAAAGTGTGTAGTGCCCCCCCACCACCTTGCTTCTGCTTCTGCCATGTGAGATGCCTGATCCCTCTTTGCCTTCCACCATGATTCTAAATTTCCTGAGGCGCCCCCCCAGAAGCCAAACAGATGGCAGCATCATGCTCCCTGTGTAGCCTGTGGAACCGTGACTCAATTAAACCTCTTTCCTTTATAAATTACCCAGTATCCGGTATTTCTTTATAGCAATGTAAGAACAGGCTAATACCCAGATACACATCTTCACATGTACTCGCATGCACATGAATACCAGCACTCTGTCAAACATTGTTAACACTTGAATCGCATGTTTTTGGGGATTACCACTGTGACACTCTTTATCAACTGGTACAATCAGCAGTTTAGCATATTTTGGAGAATTGATTGATGCATATTTATTAATGAGGGGAACAAGGATGTGACAATACAGAATAAAATAGAGAAAATAACTTTTTATGGAATGGGAATTATGACAATAAAAAGAGAAGAGAGGCCGAATGCAAAAGCCACGTATTAGCTGCTTGCAATCTTGGTTTTACTCAGTGTCCAGAGACATAAGAAAATGTGGCAGCCTCTCAACACAAGAAGAGGATGCTAGGTAGAGCCAGGTAGCATATCGGAGTCTCACCCAGCCAAATAGACTGAGTTGCAAAACATTGCACCTGTGCTTGCAGAGCAATGTGGTGCTGAACACAAAACAGAATCAGAAGGCAAGTCACGCAAAAGGCTAACCTGGTCCATAAGTACCCAAAGATGAGTGTAGGCACATATAATACAGAACTGATAGCCATGTTTAAGGCACAAATACTATGGCATTCAGAGCTGTCATTTTCAATTGCTGACTGGTGGCCATAAGCTTGTTGGTTTATTTGCTTGCCTGGACATATTTTTCCTCAGAGTTTTCAAGCTGAAAATTTGCATTAGTGTTTATACCTAAGAAGGGAAACTGACTTGATATGTCATAGCAGTGACATCAAAAATCACTGAGAAAGTATTTGTAAATAAATTAAATAATGAATATTTTATACTGTTTACTACATTTAATTCAATAGGCAAAATGAGTATAGTAAATAAAACTGCAAAAATATAGAAAAGGGTGGAAGTGAAACTACTTTCTATATTTACAGAATGGAAACAAATTACAATTATACAATTAATGTATACAGATGTAAAGGTAACCGTTCCTCAAAGTGTCATTAAAGGTAAATAATAAACACATAAACAACATTATTACAAATGAAACACACAGTTTCAGTATGAATAAGCTGTGCTAAATTCCTAGTAGCTAATAGGTAAAGGGAATTGTCAGACAATTCAAAGAACAAAAAGTACGGCTCAACAAAAGGAAAGTTTCAGGCTCATCAGTACTCAAAGACAAAAGCATTAAGTGACAAAATACAAGCATTTTCATACTAAAATGCCAGGTTCTTATGAACTTTACACTTATCTATGGATGGATAACAAAATGGTTTCAATTGTTTGAACTGCGAGTCATCAGTCCATATCAAGAGTGTTAATTTATTAACCTGTTCTCCATCTTTCTTGGATGTCTTTTAGGAATTATAAAATATCTAAGATAGACCTTCTATTTCCATTCTATGCTTGCAACTTTTAAAATTATTTCTTATATTGATAAATGTCAGCATAGCTCTTCCAAATATCCATGTCATCTAATCTAGAGAAAATCCAGTATCTCCTATCCATTATGACAACTTCTCTTTCCCTGAAAGACATCATGCTAGTCCAAGCCACCATCTGGCACCATCACCCGGACATCTGTGATAACCATTTTACTGGTTCCCTGTTTCTCTCAGGCTCCTCTACTACTTTCAGTGAGCAACCGAACAATCTTTCAAAAATTCAAACCAGATCATATGATTCCTGTATGTACAATCACAATCTATTGGTGCCTTTACATCATGATTAACAGGAAATCTCATCTTACACTTACCAATAAAGCTGTCATAATCCAGTCTGATTTTCTTGTGGACCCCACCTATTTCTTTCTTCCTTACACATAATACTGTGGCCCTCATGGTCTTCTTACAGATCTTTAAGCATGACTTCAGGATAATTATTATTGCCCCTCCCTCAGTTTGCAACACTGATCTCTTACATATACTTGTATCTTACTCTCTCTATATGTTCATGTCTCAGATCAGGAATACCCCCCTTGGGAGAGCATGTCTATCCTGCTCTATCCCCTTCCTCTGCTTTAATATTCCACCTAGTGTTGACCACAATTTTACATTATATCATATGTTCTAGTCTATCTCTTTATTGTCTCTCTCACTAGAGTTTAAGATCAAGGAATGCAGGTATTTTTCTCTCTTTTTCTAGGTATTTAATAAATATTATTTAAATAACTGGATAAATTAATTAATAGGGAAGTATCAGAATTAACTCAAATGAGCAACAACAAAAATAGCTAAATTAAATGGAATATTGCAAATCATATTTGCAAAAAATATTTAGTAATGAAAAATAGTTAATATTAACTGAATTAATCTAAATGAGCTCTTATTTAGGGCAGTTGATTCAATTTACCAAGCATTCCTTTTTTTTTTTTTTGAGACGAAGTCTCGCTCTGTCACCCAGGCTGGAGTGCAATGGTGCAATCTCGGCTCACTGCAACCTCCGCCTCCCTGGTTCAAGTGATTCTCCTGCCTCAGCCTCCCAAGTAGATGTGATTACAGGCGCATGCCACCATGCCCAGCTAATGTTTTGTATTTTTAGTAGAGACGGGGTTTCACCATGTTAGCCAGGATGGTCTTGATCTCCTGACCTCGTGATCTGCCTGCCTTGGCCTCCCAAAGTTGTTGGATTACAGGTGTGAGCCACTGCGCCTGGCCTTACCAAGCATTCTTATACAAATAAACAGAATCTTAAATTACAGTAATTATTTCTGAGCTATAATACTAAGGGTGATTTTTTTTTGTTTGTTTCATATAAACATCTTTATCTCACAAAATTTTTATTTTTCTTTAATGTTAAAAAAAAAATCTCAGTCAGAGGTCTGAAACCAAGCTGAGGTCCAACCAGGCTTGTCATCTGTAGAACTGATCAAGATTAGATAAGATCAAAGTAAAAGTGGGCATTCAATTAAAAAACCTCCAGTGAATCAGTATGCCAGGTACCTTTAGTTTCTTCTTCCAGGTCTACTTTCCAACTTTCACCACTCTGCTGTCTGCTTTAGAAAGCTGATGTGTGAGAACACATCAAGATAGCAGTCTTCGTGCAATCTTGGATTTTCATTTCAGCGAATAGAGAAATCTCTGTCGGACACTGAGGGCCACAGGAGAGTTTCTTAATCTCCAGCTCCCTCTCTGTCAAGCAGCCTACTGCTGTCTCCTGTATTGGAAGGCCATCACTCCTCTAGAGGAAGCTGAAACTACTCATCTCTTGCTGTCTGCACACACTCTTCTTGACATTTTCAGGTGGCAAGCACTCAATTTACTAAGCTCTCATTACTGCTTCATCCCTGTGGTCTTCATATGTCAAATTTTGGTAAGCGGAACACCTTCCAATTATTATATCCCGTCTATGCTTTGTTTTCTATAGGGACCCTTAATGAGACTGCTCTGGTGCTCAGTCTTATATCTTCTCAACTTACCCTTTTACACCAGGCATAAGTGAGGCAAGGAAATAGAGTATGCTAAGGGTATCCTTGCATTACCTTACATGAGTTGCACCATGAGTTTCCCTGTTTTAGCTCCTGGGCTCTGGGCGTCTCCACATGGAATGTCTCCAGGAATCTACCCAACTACTCTGATGCATGAATGAACTTGGAAGTAAGAAAGTTAACAAACCATGAGGTGACCTCTTACCAATGAAGGACAGGAGTTGGTGAATACTCTCCTCTCCTTTATATTACAGTGACAATTCTGAGTGCTTATTTTACTTAGATATTGCAGTGTCTCAGTAGGATTTAACCGTGGGTTTTCATGGCAGTGAACGAGCTCAGTAATGTATCTTTGGATTGCCAAGAATGGATGCCTCTATCCTTGTCTTATTCTTCTAGGTTGCCATACTCTTCTAGCTGCCATGATCTTCTAGGTTGCCATACCTCTTGAGAGAATCCCCAATAAACTACCTCTTGCAAACATCTGTCTCACATATTCTTTTCTGGAACGATCCCAAACTTGGCAATACCATTTTGATACACACATTACACAGTCACATATACACACAACACACGAGTTTCATTTAATATCAAGAAAATTTGTTGTGCCAGTTCCAGCTACTCAGAAGGCTGAGGAGAGAGGTCCTCTTGGCCCAGAAATTCGAGGCTGCAGTGAGCTATGATCATGCCACTGCACTAAAGCCTGGGCAACAGAGTGAGAACCTGTCTCAAAAACAAAAGCTCATTGCATAGAATTATTAAATAAATTATCATTGAGAACTGTGCAGTGTTTCCATCCCTCTTTCTGATGTGCTCCCCTCCTTGACCTCTACCCAACATTTCCGCCCTCCGATTCCCTCATTCTCACCATATTCACATGAATGGGAATAAATATACTTCAGTGCATATTGAGTAATCCATCAGTAAATTTTTCCAGTATGGTTTCTGACAGGTCTCAAAGAGGTTCATAAGAGCATTTTCCCTGAGGGCAACAACACCTTTAGCCAGAAGTACTAAAACCTTTTAGTGAAAGGGAAATTGGAAAAACGTTCATATTCTCTACATTTTCAAAATTGAGTACATTTAAACTTCAGTTTCCAGACTTAGAGAATAAACTTCTAGCCTAATTTCCATAGCGAAGCCATAGGCAAACAGGTGCTGGAAAGAATTCCAATCCCTCCCTTTCACAGCCTGGCCTACAGGAGTCCTGACCAGTTTGTGAGTGTCTGCAGTAAGGGCTGTGCAGGCCAGGTCTGAAGGTGGTATTGTTTCATGCAGAGCAGTTGGAGGTTTCCATCACCCTTGCTGATTTCAGAGGACAGGAGTTTGAAGTGTTTCTCCTGTAGAGAGAGGACCAAACAAACAAACCAGACTAACATCACAGCTAGGATTAAACACACACAGCTGCTGTGAACATACCCAAGTATAAACTCTTAAAAAGATAAAACAGTGGGTGAAATATCAGCATGACAGAAGTTTTCATATTAAATCATACAACTTTGATTTTCGTCTTTTTTTTTTTTTTTTTTTTTTTGAGACGGAGTCTCGCTCTGTCGCCCAGGCCGGACTGCGGACTGCAGTGGCGCAATCTCCGCTCACTGCAAGCTCCGCTTCCCGGGTTCACGCCATTCTCCTGCCTCAGCCTCCCGAGTAGCTGGGACTACAGGCGCCCGCCACCGCGCCCGGCTAATTTTTTGTATTTTTAGTAGAGACGGGGTTTCACCTTGTTACCCAGGATGGTCTCGATCTCCTGACTTCATGATCCACCCGCCTCGGCCTCCCAAAGTGCTGGGATTACAGGCGTGAGCCACCGCGCCCGGCCTGATTTTCGTCTTTTAGTAAATTAGTTTTCACTGATTCTGGTTACAGTTAGGAAGCAGAGAAACAGAAGTATTGGAACAGCAAGAAGGATCTGTTCTTGGGCCATTTCCAAGCAAGACCTGAAATGGGAACTCCCAGGGAGGAGGCAAGAAAACCTGATCTTGTGAGATTTCCAGAGTGGCTTTGCTTCTGAATGAGTTCTGAGTTTGCAGAAGATGCCATTTCATAGTGCTTCCTTGGTGCACTCATATAAACCTCACATCATTTGAGGTTTGCCCTTCTCCCTTTCAAAATGCATCTTGTGTTACAAATTAGTGTAAACAGCAAAGGTTATAATCTCCCTCCCTTCTTAATTCTGATTTACATTTACAGGAAAGTCAAGCGGAAAACCATGAGCTGGGAAATACCACTCATCTGCAAAGAGGCATTACTGTTCCAGACCTGGGGGCTGAATAATGTAGTTCAAAGTCCCATCTGCCAACCTCACTGATCCCCCATCTCTCTGCCCACAGCACACACACAGCTATCATTCTAGTGCCATTTTACAGATTTACCTGACTTTCTAAAAGTAATTGGTTTAGTGTCACACTCATGTACCAGTTATGGGGAACATCTATGAGGCCCTGAGCATCAGACAAAACAGGAGGTCGCTCAAAGACTGTGTATATTATGTTCTCCTTGGCTACCAGTTGGCTTGGGGAGTCTGTTTCTATTGGGAAAGCAGTCGATAAAACTAATTCTTGCTCACATTTGTTTAAAAAAAAAAAAAAAACTTCTCTGACCACAAAATTCCCAAGATAAAAAAATGTAGCCTATATTTTGGGTTCCCCATGATAGTCCATTAGTTTCTTTCTTTTTTTTTTTTTTGAGATAGAGTCTCGCTCTGTCGCCCTGTCACCCAGGCTGGAGTAGAGTGGTGCGATCTCGGCTCACTGCAACCTCCGCCTCCTAGGTTCAAACGATTCTCTTGTCTCAGCCTCCTGAATAGCTAGGATTTTTTTTTGTATTTTTAGTAGAGACAGGTTTCGCCATGTTGGCCAAGCTGGTATTGAATTCCTGACCTCAGGTGATCCGCCTGCCTCGTCCTCATAAAGTACTGGGGTTACAGGCATGAGCCACCGTGCCTGGCCCCATTTATTATTTTCAAGCAATGAACACTGGCAATATTATCCTTCTGTCATTGTATGGGACTGTTATACACTAAGCACATAGGCATTAAAAATACATCAGAGACATATTTACAGTTATATGTTCTCCTTTGGAATTCCTGTCACTTCTTATTAAAATGTCACTGAAGATTTGAAATGTTTTCGTTTTTATTTTCCCTTTCCAAGTTGTCTCATAGTCAACAGCTTAGGATTTCCAGTTGTAAATGTTACTGGAAATTACAAAAGAATATTTATTAAGGTCTTCAGTTTTTTACCTGTTGTAACTTTATGAATAAAGTTTTTTCTTTTTTTTCCTGACAAATATGTTTGTTTTCTGACACAAAATCATTTGGAATGGGGAAATGGAAATGTGTCAAGAGAGATAAATGAATGTGTTTAATTGTTTAGTCACAGAATTAAAAAAATCTAAAAATTAGGGGAAAAATATTTTCCTTACTTTTTAAAGTACAAGCCTGGTTTTCTTTACACCTACAATGTTGAATAGAATTGTTTTCTTTAATTAGGAAAAGTTATAGAAGATACAGATTTAATACCTCAATATTTTATGGAGAAAATTCATTATTTGGAAGTAGCATAAAATGGGGATTATATTGGTTTTGTTTTATTGTTTTTGCCTTTTAAACCTATGGCTGCAATTTACTGGAGGAGACAGTTAAGCCATAGTTCCTTTCCATTATTAGCACGCTTCATTACTTTGCAGCTCTGTTATTTAGGCCTTAGTGATAATAAGATGAATATCACGTTATACCATATGCCATAATCAAGTAACGAGCTGTATTGGACATTTGTTAATTGCCTTTCCAACATACATTTCCTATTTTTATTTGAGCAGTACATCAATTTCCATCTAGCCTCCACTCCCAACCCTCTGCCCCATTCTCAATCTAGTTCTAGTAAGACTACCTCTATTTCCCCTTACAGGGCTGGAGCTTGTGATTTAAGTTATATGAGTGGTTAATTCCCATGAACACAGGAACCAGTTCAAGGACAGATGTTTGACCTCAGTTTAGCAGACAGAGTCAACAGCACTGGATTATGAAACCTTTCTTTGAGTCACATGATGACAATCAAGTTACTTTCACTACACTTGGTTTTGTAACGATATAAGCCTGAAGGTGGCAGAGAAAACAATGTTGAATCTGGCAATGAAGCCCACTTTTTAAAAAAATCTAGGTAAGTAAAAATCTATAATTGTCCCTGGAAAAACTATTGAAAGCAAGGGTTAACAGTGCTACATTTACATTTTAACTTCAAATTATAAGTATACACTATATTTTATCAAAACATAGATGCAATCACATGGGATTAGAGCAAATTCTAACCTATCTGCACAACTCCAGTGTCTTCTGAAGGATTTCTAGAAAAATCCTGCAGATTTTCTATTTAGAAGAAATTTTAGTTGAATAACTACCTAATTTTTCTATTTAGAAAGATACATATATTTGTGTGTTTGTATATATGTACATATGTGTGTATATATATTTAGTATATACATACATATACATGTATGTGTATGTAAATATACACACACCCCAAACACATACACATATAGATACACATATACATACCCACACACACACACAAATAACTCTCCTCTTTTTAGGATTCTATCAGTTACATATACTTAATACTGTTATTGTAAGAAAATCCCTCCAATTCTCCAATTAAAACTAAAACCAAAATAAAACTAAATATTCTGAAAGAGGATTACAGGATGCACCAAAGTTTTCGAAGACCATTAAGATGACTTGAATTACATAAATAATATTATGAAATAATCAATGTACTTTTTTCCTAACATATATTTCAGTACTTATTCAAATGTCTCCTATTTCTTAAAAGTTGGCCAATAAGAATAAGGAAACAGTACAAGGAGTTAGATCAATAACTTCTTCTTCATGGCTTGATTTGCTGAGTGACAAATGATCACTCCATTTCAAACAAAATCTCCTGTATACTTGATAGCATTGTACAATTTAAGGAGTGGCGGGCTACAGATTAAATGCAGCTACAAGTTGAGAAAGATAATATTTAGACTATGACAAAAGTACTAATTAACACGCATTTTGTTAGCTTGTAATTTTGATATATCAGAGTAATTAAAACAGGCAAAGATGTCACGAAAATTTAGGACAGATATATTGTGATAAAGGGAGAGAAGTTCAAGGTTTAGAATCTGAAGAATTGTGGGTCTCTTCCTAATCTAACTTGCTTAGCTAACACATTTCACAAGAACACTGAACCTTCAGTGAACAGCATGAGAACTGGAGGCTGAAGAATATGTGAGAATATTAGAAGAGATAATAAAAATACTTAAAATAAATGTAGTCTTTTTTTTTTTTCTTTTTGAGGCTGAGTCTTGCTTTGTCTTCAGGCTGGAGTGCAGCGGTGTGATCTCTGCTCACTGCAATCTCCACCTCCCAGGTTCTAGCTATTCTCCTGCCTCAGCCTCCCGACTAGCTGGGACTACAGGCGCCCACCCCCATGCTAGGCTAATTTTTTGTATTTTTAGTAGAGATGGGGTTTCACCGTGTTAGCCAGGATGGCCTCGATCTCCTGACCTCGTGATCCGCCCTCCTCGGCCTCCCAAAGTGCTGGGATTACAGGCCACTGAGCCCAGCCCTATTTTTTTATGTTTCTCTCATGATTAAAGTACATGTAAATTTATTCATAAGGTTGTGAGTCTAGCTTTAAAACCAACTTTTTGGCTTCTTTCTTCCAGAATGAGTGATCTTCTCTACCTCCATCATTAGTAGATGGGGTGTCTTCTTAATCACTTTCAAGAGAAAGAAGCCATACTTTGAATCTCAGTAGACTCTATCTGCAGTTTTGTTTACCTGTAGTCAACCACAGTCAGAAAATATTAAATGAAAAATTCCAGAAATAAACAATTCATAAGCTTTAAATTGTTTGCTATTCTGGGTAGTGTGCTGAAATCTTGCACTGCTCCACCCAGGACATGAATTACCTCTGTTAAGTTTATTCATGCTGTATATACTATCTGCCCTACACAATGTGAAATAGGGAAAATACATAATATATAGAGAGAGTTCAGTACTATCTGTGGTTTGTAAATGTAATAAACTATTTGACATGAAACTTCTGCAGCTGTGCGTGACTGCAGTCACTAGTAGTGTCACATGTGTTTCTTTTCATGGACAGTTTTACTCTTTCTTCCCATAATATTTCCATAGCACATGTTTTACAAATGGGTTTTACATGGTTATCTGCAGGAATCGGTTTTATTTGTTTTTTGTTTTGTTTTAGTTTGCTTTGTGTACATGTGTCCATATGTGTGTGTGTCCTTCCGTCAAACATATGACACTTCTTCCTTTTCTCTCCCCACCTCAAGGGCATTTGTTCTGTGTGGCCACTGAACGGCAATTAAGTGTTTTCTCTCTGAGAAGGTGGATTATTAAGGGGTTGGTAGCCAGTGCAGATTGCTTTTGATTCATGGACAGGATTTCAAGGGACTTTACTAAAAGAAAACAGAGAAATATCTCACGTTGTCTTCATCAATTCAATGATTTATTAACAAAACTTGTAACTGTGCCTGGTTTTTAACAAATGCAAAAGAACAACAATTTACACAATATTATTCATTCCAATAGAAATGCTTACATTTCTGTTATGAAGTATCTGGTTGCACTTATGAAATAACCTTGCAATTTCTTATGCCGAATACCAGTACCTCCAATATTTTTCTCAGGATTTGCCCTCTTTCTGCCGAATTTCAACCGAAAGAAATCCTTTTGGAAAATACATTGAAAAATGTTTATAATCTCTCATGATACTGCATTGTGTTGCAGATTCTCATTTACATGTAAGCTCTCTTAGTTTTGCTCCTCACTGCTTTGTAAGTGTTCGGCAACACACCAGTTGAGTGAAGGGGAACAACAATCTTGTCTTGCACTCTGCTTGGCCTTACCTACCTTGGAGATAAGATGGAGTTCAACTGCATGAAATGGAACTGTTTGGCAAATAAAGTAACATAGGCATTTAAGGAAAGGAGAGTTCATAGTTAATTAACTGATCTATATATTTTCCCCTACTTGAAGAGTGCTCCCACTATCAAGTAGAGAGTTAAACTGAATTTCTCTGAGATGAGATTATAGAAAAGCTTCATTCCTCCTTGTTCTACTTATCCTTAGCGCTACTAGTTATTAGCTCATAACACCAACACTTTCAATAAAAACTCAATCTTGCTTACCAAGAAAGGTATCCTGGTTTAAAAATTCTAATATCTAAGTAATCAAAAGTTGTGTACAAATTTGGCTGAGCATTCTTTTTCCATTTTTTAAAAAAAATCTCTGGACATTTACCTGAGAATATTTTAACCAATTTATTAATTGAAAAAGGGATTAATACAAGTTTTCCATAGTCCATGTGTTCAACTTTTTTTTTTTTTTGATAGCCAAGCTAACAATTTTACTTAGACTACTGGCCTTAAACAAAATGTAGCACAGCAAAGAAAACAAACAAGCAGCAGCCAATGAAAGAGCTACAAACCACACAGAGTGGAACAGGAGGCAGAAGTAAAAAGTAGAAAACAAAGAAGAATGTGTGTGAGCCCTAGAGGGACTCTTGCAGTGAGCCTGCGAGCCACTGAAAGAAATTTGGAATCATCTAAGGTCTTTTTACCTAACAATATACAAAAGCATCCATGGACTGAATTCATTTAAAATACATTTATTGAGAGAAAGTGCTTTTTTGTCTTTTTCCTAACATGGCTTCCTTTGCTATGAACTTCCTGGTCCCAAAGCCTATGCTTAGGCTCCTCATTGTAGAACAATTCGTTCTGAATTGAGTTGTTCCTTCTTTTCTCCTGGCTAGAATAATGAAAATTGTATTTTAGTAAGGTTATCTGCATTAGTTTGCTAGGGCTACCTTAATAAAGTGCCAAACAGGGTGGCTTAAACAACATAAATGTAATATCTCACAGTTCTGGAGGCCAGAAGTTCAAAATCAAGCTGTCAGTAGTGTTGGTTCCATTTGAAGGCTGTGAGGGAAAGATCTGTTCCGGGCCTCTTTCTTTGACTTGTAAATGACCATCTTCTTCCTGTGCTTTCATGTCATTTTTCCTTTTAATGTGTCTTTCTTTCCCCATGCATTCTTTTTATAAGTTCACCAGTCATATTGAATTAAGGCCTATCCTGATGACTAATCTGTACTTAATTAGTTACATCTGTGATAACCCTAGTTCCAAAAGCAGGTCACATTGCAAGGTACTGGTGGTTGGAATTTTCAAAGTATGAATTTGTTGGGGAGTGGGGGTTACAATTCAACTTATTACATGTTATATTTTCTGTATAACATGCTGCCATTCCTTTACAATTTTTCCACTTCTAGACAGTAACATAAGTGAAGCTTTACCCAGTGGAGTAGAACTGAAGCAATATTAATTAGTGATTATACTCATTGGTTCTAGAATTGTCAGAGATGTTTGAACAAGAGCAACTCCATCTTGGAGAGGGGCTGAGTAAAACAAGGCCGAGACATACTGGGCTGCATTCCCAGGAGGTTAGGCATTCTAAGGACTTAGGGCCCTCCAGACCCCAGAATGGTAGATCCACTGACAGCTTGCATTGTGCACCTGGAAAAGCTGCAGGCACTCAATGCCAGCCCATGAGAGGACCCATGGGGTCTGACCCCTGCAAAGCCACAGAGACAGAGCTTCCCAATGCCTTGGGAGCCCACCCCTTGCATCAGCATGCCCTTGATGTGAGACATGGAGTTAAAGGAGATTATTTTGGAGCTTTAAGATTTAACGAGCGCTCTGTCCACTTTGGACTTGCAGGGAGTCTATAGGCCTTTTGTTTTGGTCAATTTACCCTGCTTGGAACAGGAGTATTTATCCAATGCCTGTACCCCCATTGTTTCTTGGAAGTAACTAACTTGTTGTTTCTTTTACAGGCTCATAGGCAGAAGAGACTTGCCTTATCTCAGATGAAACTTGAGACTTGGACTTTTGGGTTAATACTGGAATGAGTTAAGACTTTGGGTGACTGTTGGGAAGGCATGATTGGTTTTGAAACGTGAAAAGGGCATGAGATCTGGGAGAGGCTGGGGTGGAATTATATGGTATGGCTCTGGGTCTTCACCCAAATCCCATCTCAAATAGTAATCCCCGTAATCCCCACTTGTTGGAGGAGGGACCATGTGTGAGGCGATTGGATCATGGGGGCAGTTTCCCCATTCTGTTCTCATGATAGTGAGTGAGTTCTCATGAGACCTGATAGTTTTATAACTGTTTGACAGTTTCTCCTTCACACATTTTCTCTCACCTGCTGCCATGTAAGACATGCCTGCTTCTGCTTCTGCAATGATTGTAAGTTTCCTGAGGCCTCACCAGCCATGTGGAACTGAGTCAATTAAACCCTCCTTTCTCTATAAATTGCCCACTCTTGGGCAGTTATTTATAGTAGTGTGATAATGAACTATCTCATCTTCCTATCACAAGATGAGATAGGAGGTCAGCACAAGACACTGGTCACAAAGACCTTGCTGATAGAACAGGTTGTGGTAAAGAAGCTGGCCGAAACACGCCAAAACACACCAAAACCGAGATGACAATGAAAGTGACCTCTGGTCATCCTCACTGCTCATATGCTAATTACAATGCAGTAGAATGCTAAAAGACACTCCCAACAGCAACATGATAGTTTATAAATGCCATGACAACTTCAGAAAGTTACCCTATTGGGTCCAAAAATGGGAGAAACCCTCAGTTCCAGGATTTGCCCACATCTTTCCTGGAAAACTCATGATAAACACCACTTGCTTAGGATATAATCAAGAAATGACTGTAAGTGTAATCACAGTGAGCAGACCAAGCCACAGCTCTGCCTATGAAGTAGCCATTCTTCATTCCTTTACTTTCTTAATAAACTTGCTTTCACTGTACTCTATGGACTTGCCCCAAATTCTTTTTTGTGCAAGGTCCAAGAACCCTGTCTTGGGGTCTGAATCAGGACCCATTTCCAGTAACAGAATCATACCCACCTGTATGTTTTTTTCCTCCTGGTGTTGCTACTTTTTAGCTCTGTGACTTGTGTTTCTTCATACGTAAAGTAGAAATAATCCCATCTATCATGTTAAGTGCTTAGCCACTTTACACATACTGCACTTATAAATATTTATTATAAAATATTATGGAAGAAATAAATTGCCTTCCAAATCTAGGTAGTAGTCCATACACTTTGATTATGAATCTTTACAATTCTAGCAAAGAGCACCTAGCTAGTTTGGAAAATATAGAGACAAAGATTTACCTTTGTTTGGAATATGAGAAAAATCTTGCCAAAAAGGGCAAGGATTCAAGTTTTACAGATACCTCAGGTAAATCATAAAAGACACTTGAATTCCAAGTGTTTTTATTTTATTATTTTATTTTATTTTTTGTCTCTGAAATTAGGTAATGGCCTCATCAAAGAGTCAGTTGGACACTCTTCTTTCATCTCTCCAAACCCGTTTCATGGATCAATCCAGATGAAAAGCAAAGGAATCAATCCTTAGGAAGAGAATAGTACCCATTGAATCTTGTGTTTCTACCCAAAACCCCTGCAGTAATATCTAACTGCTTCCAAAGCATTGTAGACATGCTAATTCAATCTCATCATTTCTACTTCAAATTTTTATATTGAGAAGATGTCCATTTCTGCTTGCTCTGACTTTTAGGGCACTTTATTTATAGTCAGCTAATACTGATTGTCGGTCATCTAGATCAAAATCTAGGTGAGCTCAGAAGTGTTCTCCTTTTTTCACAGTAATAACTTTTCAGGATTTGATGTAAATATTTCACACATATTATCACATTTAATACTCAGATCAATGCTTTTATGTGAGCATTAATATGATTATCAAAAGTTGGGGGAAGAAGAGAACCGGCTTGAGGAGGCTTATATTGCCCAACTTCTCAAAGTAAATGGTGAAGATAGAACTTCAAATCACATCAGCATGACCCTATTACCTTCCCCAAAACCTTATATTCTTGTTTTTTTCTTTTCCAGGAAGATATGCTGTGAGCTAGTATTATATTCATTAGTTCTTAATGCAAACCATAGTTAAGAATACATCTAGAATGTGAGTTTCTTATGATTATGCCTTCTGTCTTATTTATAGTTTTTACTTTCTAAGCTATGAAGACATATTTATAATTAAGAAACTCAATCTTCAGAGTTTAATTAACGCATTTGACATATTTTATGTCTGAATTGCTTTCCCTGTTTGACTTTGATGATATGCCTTGGGATATGGACTATGTATACAATGATTCATATAGTGATGCATACTTGGAGTTCAATAATGATAAACAATAAAGAAATATTACCTAACAAAGATACAACTTTCATGCTAAGGACAAATTAGCTAAATGACTTAGAATTATTTTGCTTTTATATTGGAAAGCAAAGACATATCTTCATTGAATGAAATAACACTTTTCATGTGTCCATTGACAAATCCCCTCTCCTGTGCAGATAGAGATGGAAGTCAGATATCTAACAGTAATCCTTATTGGAATGAGTAGGGCCCAAATCACCTAGTAAATGGTTTCATTAATGATATTGTCTCTGTATAACTTCCAATCCTAGATTTTCTTAATCCAAAACAGACTCAAGTCACTGATGGATACATGCCTTCAGAACCAGAGGATTGGCAGATGAAATGCATCAGAGGATACACCAAAAAGCATAAACACAGCTTCTGTAGATAAATCTTAAATATATAATACTTCAAAATGTCAATGGCCAAGTACACAAAACATAAATTCATTTTCTCAGGTTTTGGCATCATTTGCTTTAGAACTCAATGATCAAATGACATTGGGATTTCTGTAAGTTCTCAAATGTACTTGATTTATCCCAAAAGATCACTTGTAAATTGAGTTTTAAAAATTCAGTTATGTATTATGTTTCCAGAAAGGCTCACCAATTCTGAATTTTTAGACCCTTTGAATAGCGTAGCTTAATTTAATTTCTATAACTTCACATATTTGAATTCATTTTTTCTTAAAATGAGAGTTATATTAAAAATAAAAACAAAAAGTGTCAAATTTAAATAAATATATATTGGGAAACTACTATGTGCCAAATGTTGAAGGTATTGAAGACATGGGTAGAAGAATAGATACATAGATATTGATAGGCAGATATTCATAGAGGTAGAGACAGAGACAGAGATAGGGATATGTATCTGTTCATCAATCTATCTTTTTTTTTGCATTTCACATTGGGCAAATATGATGACCTTCCCATTATATAACAGGAGGTTAGCACAGTATAAAGAATGGTAGTCAAATACTGTCTTTATGCCTGTGATGCTTTGTGGTGCAGAACCATTAACAACTGGGTAAGTTGAAAGTAAAGTGAAAAGGTTTCATTGGAAACCTGAGCTCTTTTTGCTTCTACTCTTTTTTCCTTTTGAAAACTAGACAAATTATTGAGGTAAAAGCACCACGTTTTCAAGAATACAATCAAGGTTATTGTAAACCAGGATTCTGTCTTTTCGACGAAGTAAGAAGCTATAGTGGGAGAAAGATTAACAGAGAGTAGAGGGTAATCTTGGCAGCACCCTCCCCATATTATATTATTGTTTGTTTGTTTTCTAGGAAGATGTCCTGTGAGCTAAAATTATATTCATTAGTTCTTAATAGCAAACCATAGTTAAGAATATACCTAGAATGTGAGTTTCTTATCAGTAGGACTTTTGTCTTATTTATAGTTTTTACTTCCTAAGCTATGAAGGCATATTTATAAGTAAGAATCTCAATCTTCGGAGTTTCATTAACTCATTTGACATATTTTATATCTGAATTGCTTTCTCTATTTGACTTTGATTGTATGCCTTTGTGGTAGGAACTAGGTATATAATGATTTATATAGTGATGCTTACTTGGAATTCAATAAATAATAAATAATAAAAAAATATTGCTAGCAAAGATACAACTCTGATGCTAAGGACAAATTGGCTAAATGACTTAGAATTACTTTTGCCTTTATACTGGAAAGCAATGACATAACATCTTCATTGAATAGAGTTACACTTTTCATCATTTTAATATCTCAAATTAATCTAGCTGTGCATGTTCCCTCTTCCTCCCATTTGAAGCTTTAAATTCACCTTTACATACATTTTGTAAAATGCTATCATTTTATTGAATATGAATTTTGAGTGATATCAAATAAGAACTGAGTTGGCAAATGATATAGTCTAGTTCATCAGCTCAGCACAGTATACACAGTAGCATTTGGAGTCACTCAAAATTAACTTAAATAATGAAGGTGAAAATATTTCACTTGCACTTACCTTTATTTCTGGCTTTCATATACCATTTCCTTTCAGATCATGAACTGTTCAGTCTTTTGTGCTGTTATCAGTGTTCAATTCTTTGGCATGGCATGCAGCAAGCATCTCTCCAGGATGTCAAATCAGAGAAGAATGTACTTATGTTGCTTGCTTCATTGTGATATTCATGTAGGCTGAAGTCTGATGGAAGGAAAAAATCCTATAGAAGATGCTCACGGTTTTGCTCATTCCCACCTCAGGATCTCTGACAAGCTGTTTTCTGCCTGGAACACTCTTCTGCTTCTCCTTCTTGTATGATTCTTTCATCTTTTTTCTGGCAACTTATTATTCATCATTCATGTTTCAGATGAAATGATTCTTCCTCAGGAGAGCCCTCTACTCCACTTCTACCTTCTACATAAGTTAGGTACCTTATTAACATTACTCATACCCCCCTGTACTCCACATAACATTATATTTATTAGATTAACCATGACTTATTGGAGATGCATCTTCTTAACCAGATAATAAATCCCACAAAGGATGAACTTCCTGAATTCATTACTATTGTGAAAGGAAAATAAATCTTGGTGCCTCAAAATCAATAAGCTAAAGGGAAAAGTCAAGCTGGGAACTGCTTGGGCAAACCTGCATCCCATTCTCTTCAAGGTCACCCTGCTGTTCATTGAGATAAATGCATATCTGATTGCCTCCTTTGGAAAGGTTAATCAGAAACTCAGAAGAATGCAACTATTTGTCTTTTATCTCCCTATGACCTGGAAGCCCCCTCCCTTCTTTGAGTTGTCCCTCCTTTGCTTCGAGTAGTCCCACCTTTTCAGACCCAACCAATGTTCATCTTACATATGTTGATTGATGTCTCATGTCTCCTTAAAATGTGTAAAACCAAATGTGCTTTAACCACCTTGGGCACATGTCATGAGGACCTCTGAGGCTGTGCTATGGGAGGGCGTCCTCAACCTTGGCAAAATAAACTTTCTAAATTAACTGAGATCTGCCTCAGATATTTGGGGCTCACACTATTGTCCCCAGAATACCAATCTGAGGTATACATAGCAATCATCTAATAAACATTTGCTGATTGATTAGAAGAACATTATTTGATCATTTATGACCACTACCCAGTAAGATCACACATACTGTTGAGTCAAAAGAGTGAAGTTTTACTTTTGAATTTGGCTTGTAAATTAAGGAAGGCATTTTACTATCACAAATAGCTTTGAGGCTCAATCAATCAGTATTTGATACAAATCATGTGCTTTCCTTGAGCGACACTAATATACCAATGCAAAATGTTCAATAAATGTTCATAGAACCTGGACATTTCTAGGTCTGTAACCTGCGTAAATTGAACTGGTAAAGTTAACTTAGATTTTTTCCTTGGAAATGATATAAGATTATAATGTATTGGCATCCTCTGCATAAAAAGAAAAAAGATTCATTGGCAATCTACATTTGAACTTAGCACAGGCTGAAAGGACTGCATTACAAAGGTTTATTCTTATTCTTATGAGTGATCCCTTGAGCTGGGATGAGAAGAAGGACTGGGAGGATAAGAAGAAATGGCTACAAAAGGCTGGAGAGAGGCAGAACCTCAAGTCAGGATCTGATGAAACCCAGAGAAAAGAGCTTTGCAATCTGAGTAAAGAATCACAGCTGCAGTATTGAAACACATGGGCTCCTCCTAAATAAATAACTCATCACAAGACAGAGTCATTACCAAGATGCTCCCAGAATGTTGGTGCAATATGAATACCTGTGTGTTACTGGCAGAGCAATGTGTAAATTATGGTAAACATTTTGTATGTGTGCTTGTTTGTTCATTTTGGTGAATCAAGAAATTCCTGTATTACTGGAAATTACATAGGAAATCCCTTTATCACTCTCTCTATACATGTATTTTATGAGGAGAAGAAGAAATGCAGTATCTAATTGATACTTTATGAGGCAATGATATGAGAATTCTCTCTCTCCCTATCCAGGCCTGCAGATTTTTAGGAATTTAACCTCATTTGTTATTTTTAAATTTCATTTTCTGGGGCCCAATATTTATTGTGAAAGATAAAGTAAGCATATAGTTCTAGGAGATATAAGAAATTTTCTGCTTATCTTTAAAAATCTTGTCTATCTATAAGAAATCTAATCTAATTTAGCAACCTTAAAGGAAGATTAAATTATTGCAGGACTTTCTGTAATTCAAATCACCTGTTTAAGAAAACCACTTAAGTACCACTTTAACAAGAAAAAGGTTTTACTAATGTGAGAGTATGAATAACCCATAGATTTAAGCTCTCTGAAAATAATGCATGCCTCTCGCTTAGTCCCCCTGTTTAGCCCACCAAACAGTTAGTTTAGAAGAGAAATTTATGTTTGATTTCTGAACCAACATGGTTTAGTAAATTAAATCACATTTGAAAGTTAAATGCAAACAAACAACTGTCTGGTTCAAGTGTTAGAACCATTTGCTCTTTTTTCTGCTCCAAAATGTTTGTCTTGATTGAAATCGGTGGTCAATCTTTCTCTATCCTCTCTTCATTTTACTCACTCATTTATAAATTTCAACTGGTGATATTTCTACTAAAATAGTGTAAGAGAGGTAGATGTATTTAAATAGGAATATTAATTTATTCATTCATCTCTTTTCATTACTATTTGTTATTCTGAGTAAAAACACAAAGGGTAGGATTCTTAATTATATTTAACCAGTTCTTGCGGTCAGTTGATTTTATTTTATTAAATGTCAAACATTTATAGTAATGGCTCCAGTATGTTTTGAGGACATTATGAACATATGCTATTTGAGGGTCTTACAATTGGGCACCCATATTTTCAAAATACAAAATACCGTCTTGAATTTTATGATATTTTGCCATCTCTGTCTTTGTACTATTTTGTATCATTTGACAATATTAAATATCATTTGTTTATGAAACAAAGATTACTCTGAATAACCCTACATTTCCAGTTTCAGGGTAAAATGTAGTTGAAAGAAAAGCTAAACCTTATAATAATTACTTTAAGGTGTAGCAGTGGTTTAGGTTGTTCCAGGAAAATAGTTATTCTCTTGAAGAGTAGCAGCTTCCAGAATGTTGAATGCAAGGGTAACCAAGCATAAAGCCTTTTATATCTGGTCTTATGTGCACTTGAGAAATGACACCAGTTGCTTTTGCAGTAAAGTCCTTTTTAAATAAATCAACTCTGAAGAAAATTGAGAGTCCTCAGTGCTATAGAGAGAATCTGTAAAAAATCTTGAAGCTCAGGGGCACTGGAATGCTTAAGTGTGAAATCCATTATTCTACCATGATTAAAGCAGTTCGTCACCAATTAGAGGAGCGTGTTCTTAGTTAATCAATGGAGGTTAAAGAGTTTTCCCTTTCTTTCTAGAATTAGTTTCCTAATTAATAAAAGTGAATTTTAAAATGGCCTTCTGAGGAACAGCTGCGTTATCTATTGTTTATGGAACAGCCTCACAGTCATGCTTGTTTTTCGGCATGGAGAGAGAAATGAGAGTAATTTGCATAAGTGGAATATTATTTGCTCTGTTGATTATTTTTCTCTCTTTTTCCTTTTCTGGGTACTGTTCATTTCTATTATTTTAATGATAAGTGACTTTCAGGCAGAAAACAACTGTCTGTTATTTTTTGACCTCACAAAACAGGCTAAAAATATGTTCATATAAAATTAGTATTATATTAGACTGCATTACATGAACAGCAATATGTTCTTTGAGCAAGAGTCAAATTCATCCTAAATCTGTTTAAGACAAACGGATATAGGTTGAACATCCCTAATCCAGAAATCTGAAATTGGAAATGCTCCAAAATCCAAAACTTTTTGAGTATTGACATGATAATATAAATGGAAATTTCTATACTTGACCTTGTGTGATGGGTTGCAGTCAAAATGCAGTCCGACTTTTTTTGTTGCACAAAATCGCTTAAAATATACAAAATTACCTTCAGGCTATCTGTATAAGGTATACATGAAACATAAATAAATGTGTTTAGACTCAGGTCCAATCCCCAAGATATCTCATTATGTATATGCAAATAATCAAAAATCTGAAACACTTCTGTCCCCATGCATTTTGGATAAGAGACATTCAACCTTCAGTATATAGTCTTAACATGTAGAAAGTTACATCTTCACTTGAAAATAGACTTTACAAAGTAGTTTTTAGCAGCAAACTATGATTTTTGAGGGACTTAATGCCACAATTCTAAAACTACCTTTAAAAAATGGAAGTTTTAGGGACAGGTGTGGTGATTCACGCCTGTAATCCCAGCACTTTGGGAGGCTGAGGCAGGCAGATCACCTGAGGTCAGGAGTTTGAGACCAGCCTGGCCAACATAGTGAAACTCCATCTCTTCTAAAAGTACAAAAATTAGCCAGGTGTGGTGGTGCACACCTGTAGCCCCAGGTACTCCGGAGGCTGAGGCAAGAGAACTGCTTGAACCTGGTAGGTGGAGGCTGCAGTGAGCCAAGATCGTGTCACTGCACTGCAGCCTGGTGACAGAGGGAGACTCTGTCTCAAAAAAAAAAAAAAAAGGAAGTTTTAGATATTATTTATCTAAAACTTAAAATGAATATTTCCTTGTGTTTCTTAAATATAATAACTACTCTCCTGAAAAGAAACAGATTTTCCTATCTAAATTTCACGACTGTGCTGTTTATTTTTTTAATTCATGGCAATTGTTATGAGTTCAAAATTTATAAGTTGAAGTTCTAATTTCCAGCACCTCAAAATATGATCTTATTTGACCTTTATAGGGGCAAACAAGTTAAAGTGAAGTTCTTAGAGTAGGCCTTAATTTAATCTAACTAGTGTTCTTATAAAAAGGGGATATTAAGACCCAGAGAGATACATATGAAAGAAAGATAGTGTGAAGAGACATAGGCAGAAGACAGCTATTTCTAGGCAAGGAGAGAGGTCTGGAACAGATTCTTCCCTCAGGACTCAAGGAATGGAGCCAAACCTCCTGCTGACACCTTGGGGTTGGACTTCCATGCTTCAGAACTGTGAGAAAATACATTATTATATAAGCTTCTGAGTTGTGATACTTTGTTATGGAAATCTTAAAATACTAATGAAGTAATACAGTTATTGCTAGGTGGTATGTTTTAACGAAAAATTCTAATACTGTCTTTTATTTATATGTTAATTATGCTGCAGTTTAGAAGTAAAGTGTAAGTGCTAAGAGTCTTGGGCTCCAATATCCAACCTGCCTATCCTCTAGCTATGAAACAATGGACACTTTCTATAACTTTCCTGTGCTGCAATTTCTTCATTTATAAATAGAAATAATAGTAGTTCCTAACATACAAAAGTGGTTGTGAGGATTAAAATAGATGAAAAATATAAAATGCTTATCCAAGTGCCTGGGTTCTAGTAAATACTCCATAAATTTTAGTGGCCATAAAGGTGACAATTTACCAATACAAATTGCTTATCCAAGTGCCTGGGTTCTAGTAAATACTCCATAAATTTTAGTGGCCATAAAGGTGACAATTTACCAATACAAATTGCTAGTGGAGTTTCATCTATCATGAACGGAGAACATAACTAGGAATCTGCTGGATTTCTAAAAATTAAGATTTGCAAATATATCACAGCACATGGGGAAGACCTTACCATACTTCATGCTGTGTTACTGATTTCAACCAAAACTTTCTCAAAGCTTTCTTTATTGAATAACATACGTGCACTGTGGACTGTCCTATATGCTCTCAAGGACACAAAGATGCACCAGTCAGCCATCCTAATGATAAGATATTGCTGTTTAGTTAGAGAGATTGCCTGTGGATACATGTGGCTCTATTACAAAGGCTCGATTTCAAGAGAACAGCTGTCAAGATTGATTCTGACGTCTCTGCTTAGATCTGTACTCCACAGAGAAAGCATTCTTAAAACATCTTACCACTGTGGTTAGATACTTTAGCAAGTCATTCATTTTTTAATGAAGTTGTTAATTCACCACACCTTTATTTACAGCTTTATGTATGTCAGGTTTTGTGCTAGGCTCACCACTTGGACATATGGGATGAAAGAGCAAGAGAAGGAACTATGGAAAAATCAACTCCACTCAAGCAGATTTTGTGTAATTTTCCTGTTTAATAACTATTAAAATATTAGCAGATAGAAAAGTGTCTCCTAGGTGCCCCTGGACAGAGTTTGTCCTACTTGTTTATGTTCTCATGGAAGCTGTGTTTACCTGAGTCATTGCACTTAATCATCTTATATTATTATTGATTCATTAAAAAAAACTATTCTGCTACATTCTCCAACATGTTTTGTTTTTTATATGCTTAGACCAGCATGGAAGCTGACATAAATCAAGTGCTTTATTAATAAGAGATTAAATTATTTATTCTAAAAGAGGGAGGAGGAGGAGGTAAATAATCATGAAGGAGGACTTAGTATTCAGGCAGAACTTGCATAAGACGAGGGAATAGACAAGAGAATATGGTGGGGGAAAAAGCTTCCAGGCAGATGGAAAATCCAGAGCTAAAGCACACATGTGGGGAAAGGAATATTTGCTGAAATTACAAACAAGTCAATTTGGCTAGGGTCTAGTATATATAAACGCAAATCAGGTAGCATTTAAAAAGGCAAATCCCATTTACATCATGGAGGCTCATAAATGCAAGGCTAGGGAATCTCTACCTTAATTGTTACAGCTTAGGAAACAACACTCCATGATTCTTCATTGCCTCTGGCGTAATCTGTCGACAGTGTATAATTTGGAAAAGACATGGGGGAGTTTCACTGGCATCCAGATATATTAATTCAAATTACTCTCTGGTTAATTCAACCCTGATATACTTTAATCCATTAATACAAATTTCTTTCTTAGTTGTTTTGATACATTATGAATATGCCATTTAGCTGAATGTATTATGTTTCATGTTTTAGATTATTTACTCTTAAATGAGCAGTTAAATGTACCTGCTGTGTCCAATAGATGCTAATAAATTTGATCTGCTTACATACATTGAAATATCTTGGAAAATATGAGATATATGTAATATCAAAAAGTGATGAGTAATAAAATTAGATCATAATATGTAATACTTAAATTGAGAATATTATTTGTTTTCCTAAACATACTCATCAAATACTCCATACAGGTCAAAGTAAAATGGAATCAGAAAGTGAAGCTTGAGCTAAAGCTACACGGTGCCACGATAACTTTAAGGAAAGGTAATATAGAAACCAAATCTACAGTTTAAGGTGATTCTGGGCACTTGGTTGAAAAATATGCCAACAATATGCTGGTAAGAAAAAAAATCCTCTGAAACATCAAAATGCTGCATGATTCAGATACGTAAAAATAGACATACTATGTATGCCTATAGGGAATACATTTTTGATGGCTGTCATGGGAAAATGCAATGCCTTCTCTATAACACTTGTTTCAATATTGATAAATTTCAAAAACATAATGTTGCATGAAAAAAGTTGCAAAATTATTCTTAAACTTGAAAGTCATTAAAATTAGTTTTAATAGGTCCCATACAAAAAGTTTATTATATATTGATACAGAGATCTGTAATAAAATTATACACTTCTCCTTGGGAATGATATACCCTGACTTCAGAATCATAACTGTCTATGAGACGAATAGGAGAAATATTAAAAAAGGGTGCTGGGGATGTAGAGGTATTGATGTTTATTTGTTTTTTAAAGCTAATATCTGTGTGTTATTAATACAAAACAAAATAAAATACTTAAAGCAAATGTGAGTTATTAGGGGAAACATCATTTTCAAGGCAAAACACTGATCTTAACCTCTTGCCCCCCGAACATTTAAGGTGCCCACTTCCCTTAAATCAAAGACATCCCACTTAGCTTTTTTCAGAGGCAAATTCTTCCAGGTTGCATGATACCTTTGCCTCCAGAATCAAAAGAAGCTGGACACTTTTATATCAAGAAGATAAAAGAGTAGGAAGGAAAGAATAAAGGGAAGAAATTTGGTTTTGCCTTTGGAGGCAATACATAGCCTGCATTTTAAAATATGTGTGTGTGTGTGTGTGTGTGTGTGTGTGTGTGTGTGTGTGTTAGAAATGATTATCTCTATTAGTACTATATTACATTTTTATGTTTTTGCCATATTCTTCTATGTTATCTAATATTTCTAAAATGAGTGTGTATTACTTTTACCATCAGAAAAGAAAATACATTTTTAAACAGTTATAAGAAGATTAAATGTTAATGTAGAGAAAATAAAATGTTATGTAACCTATACACACTCTTAAAACTCAAAAAATAAAAATAAAAAAACAAACAATCCAATCTTAAAAGTGGGTTAAAAAACCTGTACAGACACTTCACCAAAGAGATATATAGATTGCAAATAAGCAATACAAATTTACAAAGATATTTGACACTGTTTCTCATTAGGAAATTGCAAATTAAAATAAAAATGAGAGACTACTACATACCTATTAAAATGGGCAAAATCCAAAGTACTAATAACACTAAGTGCTGGCAAGGATGTGAAGCACCAAGAATTCTCATTCATTGATGGTGAGAATTATAAAATAGTACAGCCACTTTGAGAGACAGTTTAGCAGATTCTTACAAAACTAAGCATGATCTTGCCATATGTATTAGCCCATTTTCACGTTGCTGATGAAGACATACCAAGACTGGGTAATTTATAAAGCAAGGGAGGTTTAATGGACTCACAGTTCATGTGGCTGGGGAGGCCTCACAATCATGGCAGAAGGCAAAAGGCACATCTTACATGGTGGCAGGCAACAGAGAAATGAAAGCCAAGTGAAAGGGTAAACCCCTTATAAAACCATGAGATCTCATGAGACTTATTCACTACCATGAGAACAGTATTGGGGAAACCACCCCCTGATTCAATTATCTCTCACTGGGTTCCTTTCACAACACATGGAGGTTATAGAAGCTACAATTCAAGATGAGATTTGGATGGGGACACAGCCAAACCGTATCACCATAATATAGAGAAATTGTGCTCTTTGATATTTACCAAAATGGGTTGAAATCTTATGTCCATACAAAAACCTACCCAGGAATGTTCATAGCAGCTTTTTCATAATTGCTGAAACCTTAAAGTAATAAAGATGTTCTTCCGTAGGTAAATGAATGAATAAACCATGGTATATCCAGACAATGGAATATTACTTACTGCTAAAATGAAATAAAATAAAATTGAAAAGATATGGAGGATACTTAAATGCACATTACTGAATGAAAGAAGGAAATCTGAAAAAGCTACATGCTATAAGATTCCCACTATTTTTCATTCTGGAAAGGGCAAAACCATAGTGACAGTGAAAAGATCAGTGGTTGTTAGGGGTTAAGAGAAAAGGAGGGATGAACAGGCAGAGCACAGAAAATTTTTAAGACAGTGAAACTATTCTGTCAGATACTGCAGTGGTAGATACAGGTCAGTTATACACTTGTCAAAACCCATAGAATGTAGAACGGCAAGAATGATACCTAGTGTAAACTATGGACTTTGGGTGATAAAGATGTGTCAATGCAGGTTCATCAATTGTAACTGACATACCTCACTGGTGTTTAAATAGTGGGGAATGCTGTAAGAGTGTGGGGGAAGAGAGTTTATGAGAACTTTCAGTACTTTCTGCTCAATTTTGCAGGGGAACTAAAACTGGTTTGAAAAATAAAGTCTAATAAAAATTACGTAAAATATATTATTAGTGTCTTAAAAAAATTATACAATCCACACACATCACTACCTTTGTCCTTCCTCCTTTAGTGGAATAATTTTATTTTAAATTAGTTCAAATCAGTGAATGTTCATTAAGTTGCATGGATTTTGTTGGACTTGATTTCTATCATTTTGAAGCTGAGGCATATTCTCACTCTGTTCTATTAAATTTAACGCATTTTAAAGCCATATTAATACATGAACTGTAATATAATGGTAAAAGTGACAGATCCCTCTCTCTGAAAAAGCTCACAATGTCATAGGAAAGACTGTAATGTACACAAGTAAGTTCCAGTATCATAGAGTTTGCACAGTAATAAAAGCTTTACCCTGTACAGTAACTACTCCTAAATGGGCCAGTCAGGGTGAAAAAGGCTTCAGATAAATTTAAAATGTTAATATCGCAATGTCAGAGAATATCCTCTTAACAACCTCATTTCTGTATAATCTAACAGACCCAGAAGAGAGAGAACATTGTTCTCTTTCTACAAAGTAGCCAATTTGACAACACTGAAAACTCAAACATCTATTTGTTTTAATTTAATATATTTTTATTTCCTGATACATTTGGTAGAAGAAGAGCTTAAAGAGGAAAGAAATATTTTTTCTCAAGTTAAATGGTGGGGTAGCCAAGGCTGGTTCAGAGAATCCTCAATGTTTTCAGTACCACAGGCTCCTTCTATCTTTCTTTGCATTTCAACATGCTTTATGTAGCTCCATTGATCAAGATCGGCTCCTGGTTACAACAAGGAGTCCTTGTAACTTCAACCACCATATCTTCTTCCTGGGTGACAGAAAAAGAATACAGTAGAGCCAAAAAGCTTTCTTTTTAAATAAGTTGTTTCTTTTTAAATAAGTTGTTTGTTGAAGTGTATCATTCATGTATAAATAGTGCAAAAATCGAAGATACCACCTCAATTATTTTTTCCAAAATGAATTCATCCATGTAATCAACACTCAAGAAACAGAACAAGGTCAGGCGCGGTGGCTCACGCCTGTAATCCTAGCACTTTGGGAGGCCAAGGCGGGCAGATCACGAGGTCAGGAGATCGAGACCATTCTGGCTAACACGGTGAAACCCCATCTCTACTAAAAATACAAAAAATTAGCCGGGCGTGGTGGTGGGCGCCTATAGTCCCAGCTACTCGGGAGGCTGAGGCAGGAGAATGGCGTGAACCCAGAAGGCGGAGCTTGCAGTGAGCCGAGATCACGCCACTGTACTCTAGCCTGCGTGACAAAGCGAGACTCCGTCTCAAAAAAAAAAAAAAAAAACAGAAACAGAACATTGCCAGCACCCAGAAGACTCTCATGACCCTTCCCAGTCACTGAATCGCTATACTGCCTTCTCAAAGTACAAATTAATTGTACCTGTTTTTTAAATTTAACTAAATAAAATGGTACAGTATATGCTCATTTGTGTCTTGCCTTTTGTATGCAACATTACAATTGTGTGTTCAGTCATGTTAATTAGTAGGATGTTATTTATTTGCCAATGTAAAATAGTATGTCCTTGTGTGCAGTAAAATTTTACCATTTTACTGTTACTAGGCATTTAGGTAGTTTCCACTTCTAGGCTATTGCAAGAAATACAACTATGAAGATTTTTGTCCACGTCTCTTGTATATGCCTGCAAGTGGAAAACCCTGAGTCATTGGCATATATTAATCAATTTTCTCAAGAGGTTGTATCAATTCATATTTGAACCAGCAGTAATGAGATAATTCCAGTTGCTCCACATTCTTCTTAACACTTTGTATTTTCTACCTTTTATTTGTCTTTTGGTAGAGGTGTGATAATATTTTATCATGATTTTTAACTCATATTTCCTGATGATTAATAAGACTAAGCCACAATTTTATGTTAAAGAGTAATTAAAATACTCTCTTTTATAAAGTGACATCGTATTTTTACCATTTTTCGTTGTAGTATATGATTTTTCTTATTGATATGTAGGATGTTTAAAAAAAAGCTCTATATGGGCCAGGCGCAGTGGCTCACGCCTGTAATCTCAGCACTTTGGGAGGCCCAGACGGGCAGATCACGAGGTCAGGAGATCGAGACCATCCTGGCTAGCACGGTGAAACCTCATCTCTACTAAAAATGCAAAAATAAAAATAAAAAAAAAAATTAGCCGGGCATGGTGGCGGGTACCTGTATTCCCAGCTACTCGGGAGGCTGAGGCAGGAGAATGGCGTGAACCCAGGAGGCAGAGCTTGCAGTGAGCCTAGATCATGCCACTGCACTCCAGCCTGGGCGACAGAGAAAGACTCCATCTCAAAAAAATAAATAAAAAATAAATAAAAATAAATAAGCTCTATATGAGTCCTTGATGAGTTACTACATTAGATATATGTATTGCAAATGCTTCACATTATTAGTTACTTTTTATACCCTTAATTGCTTCTTTTAATAGGTAGAAATCCTTAAATCTGAATTTGTCTATTCATCATTTCTCCTTCATAGTTACTGTTAGTGTTACATAGTTACTCTTGTTTTATAAAATTTGTCTATCTCAAGGTCATGAATAGAATATTTCATCATATTTTTCTGGAATCTTTATTGTTTCATAAGCCATCAGAAATTACTTTTTGTATATGATGTGATGTACAGTAAAAATGTATTTATTTCCACATAGATATCCAATTGACCTAGCACCATTTATGGAAAATAGCATTTTTACTCACCAGACTGCAATGATACCTTTTCTATAAATCAGGTGACCCTATATGTTCAAACTACCATTTCAATCTCTTTTCAATTTTATCTGTATATTTATCTATTGTTACACATATTTCATATAGTCTCAATTATTGTAACTTTACAATAAATCTGGGAGTATAAATCCTTCAGTTTTATTTTTTTTTATTTCAAAATTGATGTAGCTATTCCTGGCCCTTTGGATGTAAATTGTAGAATATGCTGTGCAATTTCTGCCAAAAGAAAACCTGATGTGATTTTTATTTAATTTATGAATTAAATTGGGGGAAACTAACATCTTTACAATAGTGATTTATGGTTCACTGTTGTGAACCATGGTTGGGAAACTATGAATGTGATCTGTTTTATTTTGTCTTTTTTAGTTTATCTAAATAAAGTTATGTTTTAGTTTAGAAGACATGTATTTTTTTATAGATTCATTTCTGCATATTTGATGTCTAAAATGTTGTTGTTGATATATAATAAATTTTAATATTTGTTGCTACTGTAAATAAATGTAATTGATTTTCATATATTGACCTTGTACTCAATTACATTGTTAAGTCCATGCATTAATTCTAATACCTTGTGAATAGATATTTCAAAAAATTTTACATGCAAAATCATGTCATGTGTAAAAAATATGTTTTGTTTCTTCCCTGAGATTCCACATCTATCTGAATGTTTTCCATATGCTGAGCATATTTATCATTTAGGAATGATACAGGCCATGAGAACCATAAACCACTTCTAACAGTGGCTTAAAGATATAGAGAATTATTTTCTCACATAGTAGACAGTTTTTGCGTAGCTGCTGCCATTGGCTCAGTGGTTCAAAAGTCAGAGTCAGGCCATCAGTGGTACTCTAGGCCTGTTCTTAATGCTTTCAATATGGTTGAAGCAAACATATGCATCACTTAAGATATTAGAGAAGAGAATGAAGCCATCTATATACGGATCTTTATTAAAAAAATCCCCAAAAATCTTAAACAAAATCCTTATGTCTTATTGGACAGAACTATGTAGCAAGAACATTCCTAGTTGTCAGAAAAATATAGATGAGTAATTTTATTTTTAAGTCCCAGTGAAGGAATAGATAGGGACAAAGTATTTGCAAATTACTTGTACATCAGCTAACAATTCCTGGCAGCTGAAGTTTGTTTTCTAATATTTTATTTTTGTTTTGGTGAAACTTTTTGATGATGACCAGACTTTGAAAATAGCTATTAAATAACTTGCTCACTATCATACATAATTACAGTACTTCTTTTAAGGTAATCATGAGTTATTTTTATCATATTATGCAATGTTGGTCAGATTTTTCCCATTCCATGTTCTCCTTGTAGAGTTATATTAAATTACAACGAGAAATGCATCATTGTGGAGAATCAGTATAGTTGAAAGTTGAGATTCTGCAATCATGAAGAGGGCTGTATGTGAGTCTTTGAATCACGTATTGTTTCTGTGATATTCAGCAAGTTATTGCATCTTTCTCAGCCTCAGTTTCCTCTAGGCATCCTGCTCTACATTTTATGAGATTTTTGTAGCTACCACATGTAAAACAGTCAGCATACTTCCTGGAAATGGTAAACATAAAAAATTAATAAATATTGTAAATATCATTATGATTATTTTATAACAATTGCATTAGGTCTCCAGAAAAATTATAATTTTTCTGAAATAAGGTAATGCATAAAAATACAAAGAAATATAGTAAAAACAAGTCACTGATCAAAGGAAAATAAAATACTAACAATAAACAATTATATCTTTTCTATAATTTTAAATAAGCAAATATTTAAGGCATTTAAGTGGCATAACTGGAGAGTCAGAATGTTGGCTGAAAGTAAAAGCAAAGCAATCAACAAAGTCATGTGAATTTCTATCCATTTGGCTACATCTCTCTCTGTCTCTCTCCCTTTTAGTTCTTTCGATATAACTGTAACACAAATTTAGGTAAAATAGCAATGAGGGGGTATGAGAATCTGATTAAAGCTATGCACACTCATTGCATAAAAGTATATACATATGTATAAACACATTTTGGTGTGTAATTTTAGAGATTTTGATATGTGTACACCCACACACACACACTTTGGTGTGTAATTTTGAAGATTTTTTTCTATATTGTGGAATCTAGAGGTGCCATGTATGGCAGAATAAAGCCTGTGAGTTGAATACATCCTCTTTTAGGCCATGTTCTTACCTCTAGAAAAAAAAAAAATGTGCTACTGCTATTTCTGTCCATTGGCATTGTTTACTAACTGAAATGAAACAAATACTCTGAAGCCTATGACAAAGCACGCAAATATGAAAGTATTTCATAGGTAATCAGTGAAAAGGAACATCATTCCAAGGAATCTGAAAACCTAATTCTTCTGACATTTTATGCATGGCATTTATTTTCTCTCCTCACTACTCACTCATATTCTAGCTTCCTGTACCAAACTATTGACAGAAAGGAGAAAATATCTCTTTCCTAGAAATTATATTTTTGTATGACTATCCTCTATAATTCCCTCCCTGTCTGTAAACTGTACATTCTAGGCCATGAAATATTCAACAAACACCATGGTGATGCCTTTTCTTCTAGACACCTCTATTTTACAAAACAGATTGTTTACAACTGTGTTCCTCTTCTGGCTAATGGGCACCCTGGGGAAATGTTGTTGGCTTTGAGACTCACCACATATTTCCAACAAATAACAATCCTAAAGCCAATAAAATCTGATAGCAGCAAATATTATTCAGTGATCTCTGAATGGAATAGGCTCATATTTCTCTTCCCCTTGGGGTATGAAGGAAAAGGACATATTGGGATGTGTGAACTGCAGCCACATATAAGCAAATGATTTCAAAAAGTAGTGGAGCATTTCATGTTCTTTGGAGTCAAATGGGAGTCCTACCCTGTCAAGCTTAGTTGCAGTGGTAACGGGTTTCTCTTTGGGGACCACAATATACATTCATTTGCTTCCCATTTGTTTTGCTGATACAGCAGCCATACCCTGGCAGGTGCTGCCGGGGACTGCCAGAGCGATGAAAGCAGATATAAATTACACCATTCTATTGGGTTCTCAGACCAATAGCAAGAATTAATGTTGCCCCATGAAGATCAAAGTGCTTCCTAGGAACCTGGGGAAACCAATACATCACTGATGGTGCCAGCTAGGATTCTGTTTGAAAACAAAGCTTAATGAGTAGCAAGATGAGAAAAGGTAGGGAAGAAAACTGCTAATAAAAAAATCAGAAGTGTTCTGGATACTTGGGTTTAAGTATTTTAACCATGCTGCTCTTTTCATATTAAGATAGATGTATATTCAGTTCACTGTCATTTTAAAAAATTTAAACATATATTTACTGTGCACCTACTGTGTGCCACACACTAGGGAAAACATACACAAAACATAGTTTCTGACATCTAAAGCTTAGAATCTAATGTGGGAAAAAAGGAGTAAATAATTATTCCCAAAAATGATGTATTTGGTGATAGGTTAAACACAGAATGCTGTGAAAGCAACAAGAGCGGCACTTGTCACAACCTCAGGGAAGTTGACAGAGGAGACCTAGACCCAGGACAGGTGGCTGCTAAGTCAAATTCTAGAGGATAAGCAGAGAGAAGCCAGAAGAATTATGGGGAGATGAGGGGAATGATGAAAACTTACAAAAGCTATTATTTTGTTCAAATTGGCAGAGTACACAAAATAATTGTGTGGTAAAGGAAAAATAGAAAAAAAAAGGATCATCCAAGAATGCCTTAATTGCGGTATAAAGTCTAAAATAAGGACCCAGTATATGTGTTCTTTAATATCTGGGGAAAACCAAGATGAACTCAAATGTCCTAGCCCAAGTGCATCTCGCCATTGTGGTCTCATGGACAAGGTATCATAGCCATACCACCTTCTTTATCATGGAGACCAAGAACAGTGGTTGCTTACATCCGTGTAGAAGATTTCAGTTTCTTACCAACCCACAAAACTATTGAAACAAGCCAATCACATCTTCCTGTGGGAACCAAGCTTTACCCTACCCTCCTAATACTATAAAGCCTAACTCCCATAGCCCCTGCTTATTCACCTATTTCCCAACAGCAATCCATTCATGGTCCTGCATAGCATGGTGAGTCATCATCCCCCAAGATGTGAGTGTATGTCACTAATAAGCTGCCATGGACCTCATCTGTCCAGTGTTGTATGTAGTGTACTCAACCATCTTCATAACTCTAGGGCAGGAATTCTTCTTCCACCAATGAGGTGAAGAGGATATTAATAAACACTACCTTGGGAAACAAGGTGTTATTATTTCTATTGTTGTACAAGAGAATGTTCAAGGACAAATAGGTTTATTGTTTGTTTATTTGTTTGGTGAGAGTGAAGGTGGGGGTTGATGAGGAAACTAGAAATTTAGTTTAAGCACATAGCAGTGGTTAAGCTTGTAGAAAATAAAAAAGTGGATGCAATTTGCTTATATGAATGTGGAGAAGAGAGAAAAAGAAGAGAGCATGCAGATGCACGTGAAAACATTTGCAGGTTGCTTGATTGGAAATGAAGAAAATTCCTGTATAGCAAGTTCTACTTTCTACTTGAGGTTTAGAACAAGGGTTCTGATATGGTTTGGCTGTGTCCCCACCCAAATCTCATGTTGAAGTGTAGCTCCCATAATCTCCACATGTTGTGGGAGGGTCCCGGTGGGATGTAATTGAGTCATGGGGGTGGGCCTTTCCCATGCTGTTCTTGTGATAGTGAATAAGTCTCAAAGATCTGAATGTTTCAGAAAGGGGAGTTCCCCCGCACACGCTCCCTTGCCTGCCTCTATATAAGACGTGACTTTGCTCCTCATTCACCTTCCACCGTGACTGTGAGGGCCCCCGAGCCATGTGGAACTGTGAGTCAATTAAATCTTTTTCACTTATAAGTTACCCAGTCTCAGGTATGTCTTTATTAGCAGCATGAGAACAGACAAATACAGGATCCCTGAGAATGATGGAGGATCTAGTTAGACAGGAGATCTGGGGAACATACAGCAAGTTGAAAATGGCTAAATAACTATGGCGAAGAATAAAAACATGTATCTCCTAGGGCAGCTGAGTTGCCACCACCAAAATATTTTATTCTTTTTTATTTAAAATGGACATAGATTACTCACACTAGGTAAAAAGTCACAATCCTAGCTTCAGAATCTTTGTAGGATAAATGAGAAGGATGCTAAGGAACTTGATGAAAATAGCTCAGACCAAGACTTTTGGAATTGTGTATACTAATACATATGTGTCTATATGCTGACGTTTATATTGCTCTGATGTATAGCAGTTTATTGTTAATTTGTAAAAGATTCTTGATTTAAATGCTTTGTGGGTGTATATTATCTTGTATGATATGGTTAGGCTTTGTGTCCCTACCCAAAGGGACAAATCTCATCTTGAATTGTAATTCCCAGGTGTTGAGGGAGGAACCTGGTAGAAGGTGATTGGATCATGGGGGAAGTTTCTCCCATGCTGTTCTCACGGGTGAGTGAGTTCTCAGGAGATCTGATTGTTTTACGTGCTTGGCAAATTCCTCCTTCCCTCACTCTTCTCTCTCCTGCCACCATGTGAGGAAGGTCATTGTTTCCTCTTCACCTTCCACCATGATTATAAGTTTCCCGAGACCTCCCAGCCATGTGGAACTGAGTCAAACCTCTTTCCTTCATAAATTACCCAGTCTTGGGTATTTCTTTATAGCAGTGTGAAAATGGACTAATACATTGCTTTTCTCTAAAGGCAATCCCTGGAAAAAAAAAATGCTTGGAGATAAGAATTGGTATCAGAAGAAGAATAAGGAAAAAGAAGGAAATAGGTGCTTTCTTGAAATGTAGAAAGTGTCTATTAAAAAATAAGATAAAAAATGGTAAGATTAATAATGGTAAAAAAGCCTTGATATGGAGAAAAAAATGTTAAATGTGATGTAAAGCAAAGAGATATGCTTCATGATTTTAAATGTTTTCTCTTAAAGTTTTTCTTTGTTGCTGTGGAAAGAAAAGTTGCTTTTTATGTTCATTTATAATGATATCCCATTTATCTGCACATAACTGAAAGGTTAAGGACACACTTCCAATTTAAATACAAAGAAACAACCAAACAAAAACAAACCTAAAACCTAAGCAAACTGGCAAGAAAAATAACAATAAAACTGATTCAAAAAAATCCTGAACATTATGTGTCAGGTGTTGTGGGTTGAATTATGTTTCCCCTAAAAGAAGCTGTGTATGTTAAAGACCTAAACCCTGAGACATGTGAATGTGATCTTATTTGCAAATAGGGCTTTTTCAGATACCGTCAAGGTAAGATGAGTTCATATTGTATTAGAATAAGACCTTTTCCATGATTTGAACTCTAAAAACAGAAAGGAAATTTACACACAGAAAAAACATAGAGAAAATACCACGCGACAGTAGAGGTAGAGATTTGGGTGATATGTCTGCAAGAATTTTTGGCATCTACCAGAAGCTAAGAAGAGGGAAGGAGAAATGCTTCCCTTGAGGCTTCAGAGAGTACAGCCCTGAGACTCCTTGGTTTCCAAATGCTATCCCAGAGAACTGTGAGAGGATACATTTGTTTTGTTTTAAGCCAACCAGTTATAACAGCCCTAGGAAACCAGTGCATTGGTGAAACATTCAAAAAGGCTTTCAGAAAGCCCAGCAGTGACATGAGACAAGCCTCTTTTCTGAGTTGCTTATTTGTTAAACCAGATGCTCTTGCTTTCTGAATCATTCTATTTTTGCTGAGGTTTTCATCACCAAAGACCTCACCATTCCTTTTTGTTTTAGAAATGCCTCACTTCCAAATTCTATAATCAGAGCACTCCAGGATTAGGCCAGCATACAAATCATTTCTACAGATTCAGAAACGTGTCTGTGTCTAGACTTAAAAGGGCCTTTATAAAGAATGAGCTCAGGTCCTCAGAAAACTTTTCCATCCAAACAATTTACTCAGCCTCAATTCAACACATCTCAGTTTGTAGGTTTTCTGCATGCCTTCCCCATTGTTTCACATTTCTGTATAGTGTCTACACAGGAAAAAGGGAAAATTGACAGAAAAAAATGGAGAAAGGAAGAAAGAGAGGAATAGGAAAGGTGGGAGAAAGGGAAGGGAGAAGAATTTTCTTCAAAAAATTAATGGACAGCTTTGGCTGAAATCAAATGCTTGTTTTGATCAATTTACATCAGTAAAACCACAATAGCTATCCTTATAGTACTAGAAGATGATGGAGAATAAAGGTGGGGTGTGAGGCAAATAACATTTTACCTTCTTATGCACCACAGTACATCTTTTTTTTAAAAAAATTGCTGTTAATAAGACATAAAATGACAATGAAAGAGCTACTTTCAATGCAGGTATCCTTTGAGTTCTGAGCAGTAGTTTAGCAAGAATATCACAACCTCAAAGTATTTCCTTGAATTCAAAAGTATGAGTTCAAATATTTAAAATAACCCCCTCCATTTTATTCCCATAAGGTCCTGGCTGTATATAACCCATGTATTCAACTCTATCAACCCAAACCTGGAAAATGGTATGAACAATAAAGTAATGAAAAGTGCCCAAGTCTTTCAACAGATGAATGCTGCAAAATACAACATTCAATGAGTATCTATTATATTATTACATCCTGGATTAATAAGAATGTGTGCCCTCTGCAAGAAGATGAGATGTAAAAGAGATTTTGAAAATCTTCCATTTTATTCAGCGATCCCCTCATATTATTTGTGTTCTTATTCATGTTTCTTCTCTCCTTTCACTCAATCAAGCTTCCTATTTTAATGACATGATAATTTTTAAATGACATATCATAAATTCCTAAGGATGCAACACTTCTCCAAGAATGCAGGTGGATTATTCTGTTGTCACTTTAGTCTGGATGAATATCTAGAGGATCCATATATCATTGACCATAATTGCAAGCTAAATTGTTGATACAAAGCTAAAACTTCTTTGAAACATTAGGCTGAATTTAATCTAGTTCTTCCTACTCAGCTCCTTGACCCCTACTGGGAGATATGTCTGCTTTGTAAAATGAGCCTAAATTTATGAATCATCCACTTGACAATCATGTAAATTAATGGCACTTGATAAATATGCCTTTTGCAATTGCAACGATGACTAAACTGTGTATTTTGTTAACTGCACCATTTATAGCTCACTGATTTTGGATTGAACACAAGTTTATTTGTTCTATAAATGTTTTCAATGCCATTTCTCTGTCTTTGAGTTTAAAATAACTTTATCTATCCAGGGGACTTCTTTATTGAACACTTTTTAAAGCCCTCATCAAATATCATCTCTTATCAAATTTTAATACAATTTATGTTTACCGCTCAGTGAAGACACAGCCAGATAAATTAGAACAAGAAGTCCTTCAGCTACATCCAGCTTCTGATTAGTTGGATATCACTCCAATTTGTCTCCCTAGAGAATAAGCAACACAATAATAGCTGAAACACCACTCTAGGAAACTGATGCCCTATTTATCTACCCTCCTGTTAAATAGCTTTTATTTCCTTGGAGTCAACTTTAACCAATCTACTTTGACATCTGCTCCCCGGTTATATCCTAATACCTATGTCATCCCCTCTCAGTCATCAAATTGCTTAGGTTCCAGGTTGATAGGATTTCTTTCCGCCCCACTCCTGTCATTATCCTGAGATTTTTCCATCCCTGATGATAACACATACAGCTGCCTAGCCTCATCTGTTCCATAGGCGTCTCAACCAATGGCCTCCACTTCTAATCTTTTCCAACCCTTTCCCCATAGTGGCTATTGGCTTCTCCATCTCTAAAATCTGAACTTTGTTCTTTGACTACAATCACTAATATTCCACTTCATCACTCACATTAATTTTTTTTATATCAATAATTCTGGTACTTTACTTGACCACATTCTGATTGGTATCACCCTTTTTTCTCACTGGGACAATAATTTACTGTTAGATAGCCTTGTCTAACATTTAATCATCTGAATCTTTTACCAACTCCACCAAATTCTGAATTTCATTGATTCTCTCTTTCTCAAAATTTCTGATCTTCAAGAGATCCTAAAATTTAACTTTCTCTCTCTCTCATATAGAAAACCAGTTGAGAAAAAAGTATATTTTTGTATGGATTGGCATCACAGAACAAGTTTCTTTTCTATCTGTGTCTTCACTGTCATCTGTCAATATCTTTACGTGGTCCTGGTCAACACTTCCAGTCTTCTAAGAAGGTAGATTTTTATCAAAGTCTTCAGAACTCTCACTCTAAAACCTAGTACATTAATAAGAAATTTATCTGTGAGAAGTTGTGAAGACATCATGTGTATATAACCTCAGTTTCCTGTCCTTACACCTACACTCTCATCTGCAATCACCTTAATGTTCTCTTTCTCTAAGATCTTGATAGGAACCACTATCGTCTGTTTTCCTTTATCACCTTCTTCTTTTTGTTTGATTTTTTTTTCTGACCATATCCTTTCCTTTGGCCTCTTCTTTTTGTTTGATTTTTCTTTCTGATCACAATAGCATGTTCCTATCCCTTGAATAAATGTAGGAAATCATCATTGAATACCATGCATTCCTATGTGGACTACTACTTATCTTTAAAATGAAGATTCTTAAAAATTTAAGTGACTCTTGGTTTCAGTACTTCTTGGACTTTATCCTCTCCAAAGCCCTGTTGGAATATGCTTTTTTGTCATCCCTACCACTTCCTGGAAAGCAATAATGTGTCAGTCACAAATGGTTTTAAAGCTCCCAAAACTGACAGAATCATGTGACACTTCCACATTCTTTGGCATAATTGACATTCTATGTCTCCTCAACATTCTCTTTGATCTTCAACAGGAGGCTTTTTTGAGTTTGCTTTTGTGTTAATAACTATTACCTTTTATACGTTTGCAGGATGTTCTATTTCTATTCCCCAACTTCATGTGGTTGACTTTAGGTTCTGAACAAGGTTCTGTTGTCTATTCATATGCATGTTAATCCCCTTAGACACTTTGAATGACTTCTGACAAACATCTCACCTTTGCTCCAGATCCTTATATCCAACTACCTACTGCATGTCTTTGCTTGGGGATGTACACCTCAGTCAAAACTTTACGATCTCCCTAAATTATTTGCACCTTCCACTCCACCACACTGAAAAAAACAAAAGGCAAACAAACAAAAAAACTTCCACCATTTATATTCCATATGAAAATGTTTGATGTAATCACATAATTGCAATGTTAACCTTGGTGGTAGTATCCTAAGAAAGATCCACCTCTATGGTGGGAGAAATAAGTAACTGAAAGAAGTGGTTGGAAACATGCCACCTCCTATCCATTTGCAGTATGAGAAGAAGGCCTGGCGTTCCTCTTTTCTCTATTGCTAATTGTCTTAGCTGCAATTTTCTATCGTTTGTGGCACAGAGGTTTAGGAATATTATTTTAATAGGAAGAATAATCCCAAGAAGCAGGTATAAGGTACAAGGGCATAGATGAAGAGATAGCTCATGCTAGAATGTTATCAACAGTCAAGTTTCTTCAAGTATGATGGATCAATCAGTTCTTTGCTAACTCCTAGAAAAAAAGTCTCAGGACTTTTGTGGGGTTGATGGAGAGAAGAATATAAAGATTCCCCTCTAGTATTGGTATTTACAATTGGCTAAAGATTCTTCAATCAAGGAGTTAACTACCCTGCTTTTGAGCATTTTCCATAGTAAAAGTGGCCATGAGAATGAGGGAACTGAAGTTATGTTAATACAAAACCCTTGTGCTGGTAGTCAGGGCCTCGCTGCAGGCAAGAAGCAAGTTTCTGTCAGATTAATCTTGTTAGAAATCAATCAGACCCAACACAGAACTAGAATAAGATGGTAAGGCTAAAGTAGGTGAAGTGTTGCTTAAGTTGTTTGCATCAGCCATCCTTACTCAACTTGCTAATCATAATTTTATCCTGCTCCTGTTATAGCACACGAAAAGAAGAGGGAAGAGAGCAGTGGTGATCCTTCTTGACTCTAAGGTTGTAGTGACTTAGCCTTTGGACTCTAGAGCTGGCAGTTATTAGAAAACTTAAAAGTCCTAGTATAAATACCACAGACATTAAAAGGATGAAAAAATATAAATTATTGATGATTTGATGCCAATTAAAATTCAATTATAGAGATAAAATAGACAATGCTTGGAATACTCATATTACCAGAACAGACAAAGAAGAAATAGGAAGTCTGAAAATCCCTTTATGTGTCAAAGAAATTCAATTCTACAATACCCACAACTGAAAGTTCTTGGCCTGGACAGATGCACTGTAGAGTTCTACTAAACATTTTAAGGAAGAAATAATGTCAACATTAAACAAACTATTTCCCAATATGAGCATGTACAGTAAATGTAAATTTCCCTCAAAGGTTTGTTATGGACTGAATATTAGTGTAACCACAAACTTCATATGTTGAAATTGAATTTCCAATGTGCAGTATTTAGAAATGGGGACTTTAAGAGGTAATTAAGTCTGAGAGCTCCACCCTCATGAATGAGATTAGTGCTCTTAGAAGAAGAGACCAGAAAGCTAGCTTGTTCTCTTTCTGCCTTTCGAGAATACAAGAAGTCAGCAGTCTTCAATACAGAAGGTCCTCACAAGAACCTGCCAATACTGGTGCCTTCCCCTTATAATTCCAGCCTTCAGAACTGTAAGAAATAAACTTCTATTGTTCATAAGCCACCCAGTCTGTGGTGTTTTGTTATAGCAGCCTGGAATAGCCAAGATGGATTGCTTTATACATGATAATTTTTTGTATGTTTTATTTTAATATTAATTGTGTTTAAAATGTGTTTTAATTTCTCTTATTATTTATTCTTTGATGTGGTGTATGGGTTATTTAGAAGCATAATTTTCAAATATTTTGAGGATGATCCAGATACCCGTTTTTTAATTTTATTTTCCTAATCTAGTTCTTATGGTAAAAAACACATAATGTTTATTATTTAATTATTTTGAAGTATATAAACTAGATTTATCAACCAGATCATCAACTAGTTTATCAACTAGTTAAAGTAAAAAGAAAAAAATTAGACATAAAGTACAAACAGCTTAAGAAAAGTAGAATGACTATATTAACATACACCATAGTAGAGTTCAAGATAAGGAGTCTTACTGGAGATAGAGAAGAACATTTCATAATGACAAATGGCCAATTCAGTGGGAAAATGTAACAGTCTTAAACTTATATGTACCAATAACAGAGCCTCAAATACAAAAAGCAAAAACAGCAGAACTGCAGGGAGAAATGGATATATCCAGAATTATATTTGAAATTTTAATCTTTCTCAGTATTTGATAGAACAAGTTAAAAAATCAGAAAAGAAAGGAAAATCAATGTTGTAGTGAGTACAAAATCCAGGAAGCGTAGTTTATTGGGGGCCATCTCTCAAGACTAGCTACAACACAGATATAAAGCAAATATGACACGATGATCAATTACAATTGTGATAGCCAAGGCAATTAGTAAATACCACAATACAAAACGCTTTGGGTTTTTTAAGAAAACATAATTTAGTAAAGTATTCCCCAGTGAGGTAAAATAAATTATATACCTTCAGCCTGGTGTGGTGGCTCAAGCCTGTAATCCCAGCACTTTGGGATTCCTATGTGGGTGGATCATGAGGTCAGGAGTTCGAGACCAGCCTGGCCAACATAGTGAAACCCCGTCTCTACTAAAAATACAAAAAATTAGCTGGGCGTGGTGGCATGCACCTGTAAACCCACCTACTCGGGAGGCTGAGGCATGGAGAATCACTTGAACCCAGGAGGTGGAGGTTGCAGTGACCCAAGATCATGCCACTGCACTCCAGCCTGGGTGACAGAGTAAGACTCCATTTCAAAAAAAAAGAAAAAGAAAAAAATCATATATTTTTACATCAGCAGCATTGTAAATGTTAATGATCTTAGTCCCCCTCCAATTCCAAAATGTCCTTTTTATTATATTAAGTTTCCTCTGTGTGAAAGTCTATATGCCAATTTAATCTGTCTGACTGGTCAGCTGCTTTGGATTCCCAGGATTAGGATTCCTACTCAGAATCCCAGATTGCTTGGCTGGATCACCGAAAATTTTTCTAATTCTTGCCAACTTTTTAATTTTTTTGACACTGAAATTTGTTCTTCAGACCAACTGTCAGCTGGGTACCATAGAGTTGATGCCAAACATTGAGCGTGAATTCTAGTTCTCATGCTTATGGGCAAGAAGCTTCTAAAATATTTTTGGTTTATCCTTCTGGCTTAGATACAAGTTCATCTTATGATTTGGTTGAAAACCTTCAGTAAGTAGTAAGTGGATTTCTAGGGAACTATCAGCCCATGTGTGAAGCTTCACATCTTGGTTCAAATATCAAGCAATTCTATATAAAATTACCGACTGGATGACTTATAAGAGATCCAGTCCCTGAGCATCTTAGAGATATTTAGCAAATGTGTGAATATGTCTTCTGGGTGACACTTCAATATTGCTGATATTTAACAAGAAGGAGTTCAATGTCTTAAGAAAACTAAAGTAAATCTCATGAAAATTCATTGCTGGAAACATTTTTTGTGGAAAAAATTAAATTAGAATTTTTCAGGAACAAGTAAAGGATACCTACTCCTGCCACTTCTATTCATCGTAGTACTGGAAATCCTAGTCAAAGCAATGAAATCCTATAGACAAGAAAAAAATACACAAAAGGCATGTAAATCAGAAAAGAAAGAAGCAAAGTTGTCTTTGTTTGCAGATGACATCTTATAAAGAAAACACTGAATACTTCACCCAAAAACTGTAAGAAATAAATGAATTCAATAAGTTGGTGGATACAAAATAAACATGCAAACATCAATGTTGTTTCTGTAAACTAACATTGACAGCAAATATCCTAAAAAGAAATCAAGAAAAAAATTCCATTTATAATAGTATTAAGAATAATACAATTCATAGGAATAAATTAAACCAAGGAAACAAAAAATCTTTATATTGAAAACTATAAAACACTGACAAAAGATATTGAAGAAAACACAAATAAATGAAAACATATTCTGTGTTCATGGACTGGAAGAATTAATATTGTCAAAATGTTCATAGTTGTAATTCCAGCACTTTGGGAGGCCAAGGCAGGCGGATCACAAGGTCAGGAGATCGAGACCATCCTGGCTAACACGCTGAAACCCCGTCTCTACTAAAAATACAAAAACAAAATTAGCTGGGTATGGTGGCACGTGCTTGCAGTCCCAGCTACTAGGGAGGCTGCGGCGGGAAAATGGTGGGAACCCGGCAGGTGGAGCTTGCAGTGAGCCAAGATTGCGCTACTGCACTCCAGCCTGGGCGACGGAGCGAGACCGTCTCAAAAAAAAAAAATGTCCACAGTACCCAAAGAGATCTACAGATTCAATGCAATTCATATCACACTTCCAATGACTTTTTTTTCACAGAAATATTTCAAAAAATCCTAAAGTTACTATAGAAATAAAAAAGATCCTGAATAGCCTAAGCAATCTTGAACAAAAAGATAAAAGCCAGAGAAATGCTACCAGCTTTCAAAATGTATTCGAAAGATATAGTCATTCAAATATCATGGTAGCAGGAAAACAGACATAAAGACCAGTGGAACAATGTAGAGAGCTCATAAATAAATCCACCAATTTATAGTCAATTGATTTCTTCAACACAGGTGCCAAAGGCCCATAATGGGGAAATTATAATCTCTTCAATAAATGGTTTTGGAAAAACTGGATATCCACATGCAGAAGAATAAAATCGAACATCTCACTTACCCCATAATTAAAAATGAATTTAAAATGAATGAATTAATTAATTAAACATAAGAACTATAACTGTAAATTTACTAGAAGAAAACACTGAAGAAAGGTTTTACAACATTGGTCTTGGCAAATGGCAAATAATTTTTAGATATGACTCATAAAGCACAGGCAACAAAAGCAAAATTAGATGAATGGGATTGTAGCAAATTAAAACTGAAAAGCTTCTGCACAGCACACAAAGCAATAGAATGTACAGTCTACAGAATGAGATCAACTATTTGTAAACTATACATCTCATAAGGAGTTAATAACTAAGATCCAATCTATATAAGGAACTGTAACAACTCAATCGCAAAAAAACAAATAACCTGATTTAAAAATGGGTAAAGGACCTGAACAGACATTTTTCAAAAGAAGACATGCAAATGGCTAGTAGATGTATGAAAAAATGGTCAACATCATGAATTATCAGGGAAATTCAAATTAAAACCACAGTGAGGTATTACCTCATACCTGTTAGAATGGCTACTGTCAAAAAGACAAGAGATGACAAGTGTTGGTGAGGATATGGAGAAAAGGAAACCCTTGTAAACTGTGGGTGGAAATGTACATTAATACAGCCATTATGAAAAACAATATGAAAGTTCCTCCAAAAATTAAAAATAAATTACCATATGATTCAGCAATTCCACTTCTGGACATATGTCCAAACGAAATCTAATCAGTATGTCAGTGAGCTATTTACACTTCCATGTTTATTGAAGCATTATTCACAATACCCAAGATATGGAATCAACCTACATGTTCATAAACAGATAAATGAATAAAGAAAATATGGTATACCATAAGGTACTACTCAGTCCTAAAAATAGAAGGAAACCTTGTCATGTGCAAAAACATGCATGAACTTGGAGGCCATCACGCTCGGTGAAAGAAGCTAGACACAGAAAGACAAATTCTATATTGTCTCACTTACATTGGGAATCTAAAAAAGTTAAATTCACAGGGGCAGAGATTAGAATGGATGTTACCAGAGGCTGGGAAGTGTGAGGGGTGGGGAAATGGGGAGGTGGTAGTCTAAGGAGAAAAAGTTTCAGACAGATGTCAGATTGGTAAAATAAAATAAAAATATAATTTCAATAGCCAAGTCATTTCATCTGTCCATAGCATCAGTATCTCTCAAGAGCCCTCGAAGAGAGTCAACATCAAATGATAATATGTAATTAAAACTAATCCTTGATCAGCTACCACTAAAATTTATCTGATTTATATTTTCAATTAATTTCAATTTTAATGGAAATTCAATACATATTATTTGTAATATGCATACATATAAACTCACACAAATACACACACACGCACAGACACACACATACCCCTCATATAGTATAGTACAAAGGCAATGTTTTGGTAACGGTCTAATATGTACGTAACTACATTTGTACATTTGTACTTTGGAGTAAAACATGAATAAAAAGCATTTCCCTTCCCTTATGAACTTTTCACATGTTACACGTTAATACAATGTCATGTTGTGGCCTGTGGCATTACCTTATGTGTGAAAATAAAGCAACCATCAAGAGAAATCTAAAATTGGAGTACTTATGTTCGCCAAAATAGAATTCTGGTATAAACTCATGGAAGAAATATGATTTCATCATCAGAAGTCTGGAGTTAAATTTTTTTCCTTTTTCAAGTTTTCAACTTTACACTAGAATATGTGTAATGTTTTGGGCATATTATTAAAAAGATATCTTCCTTAGAATTTTATCTGATACCCTTTAATACAGTTATAGTGGTATAAAAATTTGTGAGACTTCGAGAAGCTTAATGAATATACATGCACGTTATCTAAACAGAAGATCATAACTTTGCTTTTAAACAATTATAATCCCTCCTATTAATTTTTCTTTTGAATGCTATTCAGCTTCAAGGCTCTGTGAGCCATTTGAAGTAATTTATGAGCTCAAGATACATTTCTTAAGGAATGAGGTATCCCTCATTCTGTGTCCCTACCCATTGATCTAGAAAAAATTTTCCTTAAAATAATTGCACTAAATGATTTCTTGCCTTTATTATCGGAGAAGACAGCCCTCTTTCCCTCCCTAAAAATGAATAAACTATAGATTATAATAATTTATTACTTTGATACCTGAGATTTCTTATTGTGTAATAACCATTGGAATAGGCAAAATCTGATCAACCAACATACAACAAACAATTCTCAAGTATTTTACAATTGATTACAAAGAAGCATAAATGTTTTTAAACATATTTAAATAATTATTTTAAAATGCATTATTTACCTAACTGAACATAATGCAATCTTTGGAGATCCCAGGTGTATTTTTTAAAACAGGCCTAAAAGGAATTAAAAAGTTGATCTAAAGTAATTATTATGATCCATGAGAGAAATAACTGTTCATCTTAAAACCCTTAGGTTATTTCAATTTAATAAGAGTCAAATGTACACACATATTGAATGCTGAATTTTAAATAAATAACAGTTTATTATTATTTCTCAAAAATACTCCTTAGGTACAAATGTACATTGTGCAATCTAAAAATTGTCAGCTTGAACAATGGAGTAATTTGTGAGTTTGCAGTGTGTCAAAAAAAGGAAAATAATAATAATGAGAGTAAAAATGTCTAACATAATACACACATGCTAAGCCAATTTTTGGAAGTATAAATGGACTCCTATTAAAGACATTATGGAGTAGCAAAAATCATAAAAAAAAAGTCACTAATATTTAGGCTATCCCTTTAGAAACATGCTACTTTTGGCTGGGCGTGATGGCTCATGCTTGTAATTCCAGCATTTTGGGAGGCTGAGGGTAGGAGGATCACTTGAGCCCAGAAGTTTGAGACCAGACTGGGCAACATGGTGAGACCCTGCCTCTACAAAAAGTACAAAAATTAGTTGGACATGGTGCTGCGTTCCTGTAGCTCCAGCTATTCAAGAAGCTGAAGGATTACCTTAGCTTGGGAGGTGGAGGCTGCAGTGAGCGTGGGACGCCACTGCACTCCAACCTGAAAGACCATGTGAGACCCCTTCTCAAAAAAAAAAAAAATTAAAAAGAGAAAAAGAAACATACTATTTTTTCCCTGACAAAAATTTATTATTAAAGTAATATAATGCTCTTTGAATAAAAGAAGGGAGCACATACAGATAAAGTAATAACAACATTAATAATAAAAGAATAGAGAGGACAGGCTTCAAGATGTCTGAATAGAAGCATTTTATGCTCACCTTCTCCACTAAGAAGAACCAAAATAGTGTATAGACAGTCACTCTTTGAATGTATTATCCAAGAAAGGATGGTGGAATTCAACAGAGAAGTGACAAGAAACACCAAAAGCTTGCAGGAAGGAGAGAGGCAGCCTGCCTGGTTGGGATCTCCTGGGAGCTGGCAGTGATGTCTAAATGCAAGGAAAGGGTGAATGAAAGACTTCCCGTGGCCCACGTTCCTACCGTGGAATCGTGCAATGCTGGCCATGGAAGAACCTCCCAATCACTGAAACTAACACAGCAAGCTGCCAGAAGAATGTGGAACAAAACTGCTCCAGCGAGACTGCTTGTTTTAGGCCCAACAAACTTCCTGAGAACTAAGGAGCTACAGCGAGGATCCACTTTCAATTCTTTGGCAAATTGCATACTGCCCTGGGGCACAGTTGCTCAGGGAGTGAGGTGTTATGGAAACAAGGGTGTCACTGTTATAACAGAAAAGTGAGCTGGGAGCATTCCCACCACCAGGACTAAGAATCAAGCAAGACATGGGCTGCAGCTATTGGTTCCAGGAAGAGAGTGATGGTGAGATGATGATTGGGACACAAGTGGGGTGAGGGGGGGCCACTGGGTTTGAGTTCCCACAGCTGGAATGGGGATGTGACTTGGTGCAGGCTAAAGCTGTTAAGGCTTGATGGAGAGCCCTGCCTTGAATGGGTGTAAGACAGACGACACATACCTCACCTACCAGCCCAAGTTGTGGCCACTGAGGATGGTCTTACCTTCTCCAGTGGCATGGCCTCATCATCACCATGGCTGCCACTATGCCTCACTTGAGTGCTCCACCTGAAGCCTGAGGATTGCCCCACCCATGCCCACCATGGCTGCTTCCTGCTGTCACCACTGGGAAGCCTGAGGCACCTGGGCACTCCTCCTGGGGGCCTGAGGCTGGGCCTAACCTTCCAGCTGCTATCATTTCTGCTGACGCCTACCTTTGAGCACCAACTGTGGGACTGGAGTATGGCCCAGCTAGCCCACTGCAGCCACCACCGGCATAAATGTGCACCAGTCAGGACCCAGAGAATTGTCCCATCACTCCTACTGCCATCACCCAGTGCTATACGAGCTGCTCAGGGGCCTAGGAACCTGATCATCCACCAAGTTTATCACTGCTATTAAAGGCATCCAAGCAAGCCACTTGGAGGTTCAAGAATAAGCCCACTGGTAATTGCCAAAACAAGTGCCAATGTATACCACCTTGGAGCACTAAGATAAGTATGCTCAGCCCACTACTGCCACCATGGGGGACTAAAGATTGGCCCATTTGGTATCACAGCTTCCAGCACAACTTCAACCTCCACTAATAACCCTCTGAGAGAATCATATATGCCACTGTTGCTATTTACACCCAAAGAAATCATATAGAGACTATGTTACCACGCACAGAGACTACATTACCTAGCTTTAAAGCCAAAGTAACCTACTCAACCAACACCATAAATACGTCTTCAGAGAAACTTATTCCCCTTTGAAAATAAATTAAAAATTAGGAAGAAGTAATTGATATGGTTTGGATTTGTGTCCCCACCCAAATCTCATGTTGAATTGCAATCCCCAGTGTTAGAGGAGGAGCCTAGTGGGAGGTGATTTGATCAGGAGGGCGGACATCCCCCTTGCTGTTTTTGTGATAATGAGTGAGTTCTCACGAGATCTAGTTGTTTAAAAGTATGTAGCGTCTCTCCTTTTACTCTCTTCCTCCTTCTCCAGCATGTGCCAGCTTCCCCTTCACCTTTTGCCATGATTGAAAGTTTCCTGATGCCTCCCCAGCCATGCTTCCTGTACAGCCTGCAGAACTGTGAGCCAATTAAACCTCTTTTATTTGTAAATTACCCAGTCTCAGTTAGGTCTTGATAGCAATGTTAGATTATCACACTAGATGTGTAGATATCAACATAGGGAAACAGGAAACATGAACCAAAAAAAGGGGGAATATGAAGCTGCAAAGGAACAAAATGACTCTCTAGCACTAGATCTTACACTAGACCTTAATCAAAAAGAAAGTTCTGAATTCTAAGATATGTAATTTAAAAGTTGATTTTGTTTTACTTTACTATATTTATTTATTTTACAGACAGGACCTCATCCTGCTGCTCAGGCTGGAGTGTAGTGGCAGGATTTTAGCTCACTGCAGCCTCAAACTCCTGGGCTCAAGTGAGCCTTGCACCTTAGCCTCATGAGTATCTAGAACTACACGCACGCAGTATCATGCCGAAGTTTTTCTACTTTGTACAGATGGCGTCTTGGCATCTCACTATGTTGTCCAAGGTGGTCTCCAACTCCTGGCCTCAAATGATTCTCTTGATTTGACCTCCAAAAGTGTTGGAATTACAAGTGTAAGCCACTGTGCCTGGCCAAGATTTGATTTTAAAGAAGCTTAGTGAGATATAAGAGAATTCTAAAAATCAATACAAAGATATCAGAAAACAATTCATGATATAAATTTTAAAATTACCAAAAAGATAGATATTTTTTAAAAGAACAAAATAAAAATTTGGGGACTACAGAATTTGCTTGAAGAAATACAAAATATATTTGGAGGCTTCAACAATAGTCTAATCCAGGCAGAAGAAATAATCTCAGAACTTGAAGAAGATGTCTTTTGAAATAATATAATCAGACAAAAAGTTTTAAAAAAGAATTTTTTTAAAAAATGAGCAAGGGCTTCCTGACATTTGGGACAGTGTAAAGCAATTGGACATTCAAATTATCAGTATCCCCAAGGGCAATGAGACAAAAAAAAAAAAAAAAAGAATTAGAAAGCCTATTTAATTAAGTAATAGGTGAAAAAGCTCTTAAGTCTAGCAAAAGATTCAGACATTCAGATACAGGAAGCTCAGTGATTCTCAGGTGGATACAATGCAGAAAGGGCTTCTCCATGGCACACTATAGTCAAACTGTCTACAACTAAAGAAAAAGAGCAACTCCTTTTTAATGAATTAAAAAGAGTCTGACTAGTATGAGATGGTATCTCATTGTGGTTTTGTTGCATTTCTCTAATAATTAGTGATATCGAGCATTTTTTTATATGCTTGTTGGCCTTGTGTATGTCTTCTTTTGAGAAATGTCTCCTCATGTCTTTTGCATACTTTTTAGCGAGTTACTTGTTTTTTGTTGTAGTTTGTTTGTTTTGCTTGTTTTGTTTAAATTCCTTATAGATTCTGAATATTAGACCTTTGTTGAATGCATAGTTTACAAATACGTTTTCCCACCCTGTAGAGTGTTTGATAAAGCCTATGATAAAATTTAATATCCTTTCATGACAAAGTCTCTCAACAAACTGGGCATAAAAAAAACATGCCTCAGCATAATAAAGGTCATTTATGACAAATCCACAGCTAACATCAGCTAAAAATTGAAAGTCTTTTCTCTAAGAACTGGAACAAAACAAGCATGCCCACTTTTACTGCTCCTATTCAACATAGTACTGGAAGCTCTAGATAGAGAAAATAAGCAAGAGAAATAAACAAAAGGCATCCAAATTGGAAAACAGGAAGTCAAATTGTTCCCCTTTGCTGATGATAACATCTTATATCTAGAAAATCTTTAAGACTTCACCAAAAAACTCTTAGATTGATGAAAGAATCCTATAAAGTTGCAGAGCATAAAAGCAACATACAAAAATCTGTAGCATTACCATAGAAAAGTAATGATCTAGCTGAGAAAGAAATAAAAAAAATTATATTTACAATAGCTACCAAAAATACCCTGGAATAAATTTCACTAAGGAAGTGAAAGATCTCTACAAGGAAAACTACAAAACATTGATGAAAATAATTGAAGATGACACAAACAAATGGAAAAACATCCCATGCTGATGAATTGAAAGAATCGAAATGGTAAAAATTACCATACTGCCTAAAGCAATCTACAGATTCAACATATTCCCTGTCATGATACCAACATCATTTTTTTTCACAGAATTAGAGATACTAATAGTCATATGGAACCAAGAATGAGTGTAAATAGCCAACATAATATTGAGCAAAGAAAAAAAAAAAACAAGAGTTGGAGGCATCACATTCCCTAACTTCAAATTATATTACAAGGTTGTAGTAACCAAAACAATATGGTGTTGGTATAAAAAGACACATACACCAATGGAACAGGATAGAGAGCCTAGAAATAAACCTACATATTTACAGTCAATTGATTTTTGATAAAGCCAGCAATATCTTACACTGGGGAAAGGACATCCTTTTCAATAAATGGTATTGGGAAAATTGGATACCCACATATACAGAACATAGCTAGAGCTCTATCTCTCACCATATAAAAAAATCAAACAAATGAACTAAAGACTTAAACATAAGACTCAAAACTATAAAAGTACTAGCAAAAGCCTGGAGAAAACTGTCCCAGACAATGATCAAGGCAAAAAAAAATTATGACTAAGACCTCAGAATTATAGGCAATAGAAACAAAAATAGACCAAACGGGACTATATTAAATTGAAAATCTTTGGCACTGCAAAGGGAACAAGCAACATAGTGAATACAACCTGTTAAATGGGGAGAAAATATTTGCAAACTATTCATCTGACAGGTTACTAATATCTAGAATATACAAGGGACTCATTTCAACGGAAAAAAAATCTAATTAAAAAGTAAGCAAGGACATGAATGAACGTTTTTCAAAAAAAAGACAAAAAAAGGTGAACAAGTATATGGAAAAGGGCTCAACATCACTATCCTTAGAGAAATGCAAATCAAAGCCATCATGAGATATTATCTTACACTAGTCAGTGACTATTATTTAAAAAACAATTATTAATAATGCCTTTACAAATTAATAAAACTAAAATTTTTAAAATAAAAATTGCTAATGGCTATTATTAAGAAGGCAAAACCTTTAATAGATGTTGACAAGAATACAGAGAAAAGAGAACTAGTATACCCTGTTGGTAGGAATGTAAACTAATACAGTCACTATGGAAAACATTATGGAAATTTCCCAATAAACTAAAAATATAATGAGATGGTTTGGCTGTGTCCCCACTCAAATCTCAACTTGAATTTTATCTCCCAGAATTCCCACATGTTGTGGGAAGGACCCAGGGAGAGGTAATTAAATCATGGGGGCCAGTTTTTCCCGTGCTATTCACATGATACTAAATACGTTTCTTGAGATCTGATGGGTTTATCAGGGGTTTCTGCTTCTGCTTCATCCTCATTTTCTCTTGCTGTCGCCGTGTAAGAAGTGCCTTTTGCCTCTCACCATGATTCTGAGGCCTCCCCAGCCATGTGGAACTGTAAGTCCAATTAAACCTCTTTTTCTTCCAGGTCTTGGGTATGTCTTTATCAGCATCATGAAAACAGACTAATACAGTAAATTGGTACTGAGAGTGGGGCATTGCTGAAAAGATACCCAAAAACGTGGAAGTGACTTTGGAATTGGGTAAAAGGAAGAGGTTGGAACAGTTTGGAGGGCTCAGAAGAAGAGAGGAAAATGTGGGAAACTGAAACTTCTTAGAGACTTGTTTCATGGCTTTGCCCAAAATGCTGATAATGATATGGACAATAAGGTCCAGGCTGAAGTGGTCTCAGACGGAGATGAGGAACTTGTTGGAAACTGGAGTAAAGGTGACTCTTGTTATGTTTTAGCAAAGAAACTGGCAGCATTGTGCCCCTTCCATAGAAATTTGTGTAACTTTGAACTTGAGAATGATAATTTAGGGTATCTGGCAGAATAAATTTCTAAGCAGCAAAGCATTCAAGAAATGACTTGGGTACTGTTAAAGGCATTCAGTTTTATAAGGAAAGCAGAGCATAAAAGTTTGGAAAATTTGCAGCCTGACTAAGGGATAGAAAAGAAAAACCCATTTTCTGGGGAGAAATTCAGCCCAGCTGCAAAAATGTGTGTAAGTAGTAAGGAGGCTAACATTAATCCCCAAAACAATGGGAAAAAATATCTCCAGGCCATATCAGAGACCTTCAGGGCAGCCCCTCCCATCACAAGCCTGGAGACCTAGGAGGAAAAAGTGGTTTTGTGGGCCAGGCCCAGGTTCCCTGTGCCATGTGCAGCCTAGGGACTTGGTGCCCTGTGTTCCAGCCACTCCAGCCATAGCTGAAAAGGGCCAAGGTACTGCTTGGGCTGTGGCCTCAGAAGGTGGAAGCCCCAAACCTTGGTAGCTTCCATGTGGTGTTGAGCCTGTGGGTGCACAGAAATCAAGAATTGAGGTTTGGGAACCTCTGCCTAGATTTCAGAAGATGTGTGGAAATGCCTGGATGCCCAGGCAGAAGTTTGCTGCAGGGGCGAGTCCCTCATGGAGAACCTCTGCTAGGACAGTACCAAAGAGAAATGTGGGGTTGGAACCCCAACACAGAGTACCTACTGGAACACTAGCTAGTGGAGCTGTGAGAAGAGCACCACAGTCCTCCAGACCCTAGAATGGTAGATCCACCAACAGCTCGTACTGTGTGCCTGGAAAAGCTGCAGACACTCAATGCCAGCCTGAGAAAGCAGCCAGGAGGGAGGCTGTACCCTGCAAAGCCACAACAGTGGAGCTGCCCAAGACCATGGCAACCCACCTCTTGCATCAGTGTGACCTGGATGTGAGATCTGGAGTCAAAGGAGATCATTTTGTAGCTTTAAGATTTGATGGCCCTGCTGGATTTTAGACTTCCATGGGCCCAGTAACCCCTTTGTTTTGGCCAATTCCTCCCATTTAGAATGGCTGCATTTACCCAATAACTGTATGCCCATTCTGTCTAAAAAGTAAATAGTTTGCGTTTGATTTTACAAGTTCATAGGCAAAAGGGACTTGCCTTGTCTCAGATGAGAGTTTGGTCTGTGGACTTTTGGGTTAATGGTGAAATGAGCTAAGACTTTGGGGAACTGCTCGGAAAGCATAATTGGTTTTTAAATGTGAGAACATGAGATTTGAAGGGGACAGGGGCAGAATGATATGATTTGGCTGTGTCTCCACCCAAATCTCAACTTGAATTGTATCTCCCAGAATTCCCACATGTTGTGGGAGGGACCTGGTGGGAGGTAATTGAATCATGGGGTCTGGTCTTTCCCTTGCTATTCTCATGATAGTGAATAAGTCGCACAAGATCTGATGGGTTTATCAGGGGTTCCCACTTTTGTTTCCTCCTTATTTTCTCTCGCCACCACCATGCAAGAAGTGCCTTTCACCTCTCACCGTGATTCTGAGGCCTCCCCAGCCATGTGGAACTGTAAGTCCAATTAAACCTCTTTTTCTTCCCAGTCTCAGGTATGTCTTTATCAGCATCATGAAAACAGACTAATATATATAATTACCATTCAATCCATCAATTCCACTACTAGAATTGGAATTCCAAAGGAAAATAAATCAATAGATCAACGAGATACCTGCACTCACATGTTTACTGCAGCATTATTCACCATACCAGAGATACGGAATCAACCTAAGTGTTTATCAACAGATGAATGCATCAAGAAAATGTGGTATACATACACAGTGGAATACTATTCAGCCATAAAAAAGAATAATATCCTGTCATTAGCAGGAACATGGATGCAACTGGAAGTCATTATTTTAAATGAAATAAGCCAGACACAAAAACACAAATATTGTACATTCTCCCTCATATGTGAGAGCTAAAAAATTTGATCACATGGAGTTAGAGAGTAGAGAGATAAATAATAGAGATCAGGAAGGGTGAATGGGGGAAAAAGGGGAGAATGAAGAGAACTGCATTAAAGTTTGCAACCATATAATAAAATAGAAGGAATACATTCAATGTCTGTTAGCAGAGTAAGTGGACTATAGCTAACAAAATGTACTGTACTTGGGTGATTGACATCATAAATACCCTGACTTAATCACTACCTAGGATATGCATATACAAAATTTCTTATGTATTCCCATAAATTTGTATAAATTAAGAAAACAAAGATATCTAAACACTGACTGTCAACAGGCTTATGAAAAATTTTGAGGAAATAGTTTTTGAGTCCTTTGTCCTTGCTGAATTCACTCACCCTTCCATATCCTCATAATATACCAGTCCCATAACTTCCCTTGACTCCTTATTTTACTGTTACTTTTATAATTTTAACTATTAACTCACCTTTAATAAATGATGATGTTGTGCAGTTTATATAACTGGTATTATTTGTATAGTAGTTCTCTTCATTCACAAAGTACATTACCATTACCAAAGATATTTCTAAATATATGAGATTATTTTACTCCTCAGTACAATTTCTATTTCTGCCCAGATTACCAGATTACCAATCATTTCTCAGTTTCTCAATGAAAACTTGTAATTGACTTTTAGTATTTACCAGTTTCAATTTTAAAACAAGCTTGCTACTTTTCACTTCAAGATATGTTTTGTATTTTGCCTTTTGCTTCCAGTTTATCTGTTGTTACTATAAACTCCATCATTACTGTCATTATCCCAATAGCAATTATGAATTATTACAGACATTCTAGTAGTTAGAAGTCATGAGATAGAATCAGGAAGCCTGGATAAAATTTGTACAGCCCTGGCCAGGCACGTTGACTCACGCCTGTAATTCCAGCACTTTGGGAGGCTGAGGCCATCGGATCACAAGGTCAGGAGATCGAGACCATCCTGGCTAACACAGTGAAACCCTGTCTCTACTAAAAATACAAAAAATAAAAATTAGCCGGGCATGGTGGCAGGCGCCTGTAGTCCCAGCTACTTGGGAGGCTGAGGCAGGAAAATGGCGTGAACCCAGGAGGCAGAGCTTGCAGTGAGCTGAGATCATGCCACTGCACTCCAGCCTGGGTGACAGAGCAAGACTCCATCTCAAAAAAAAAAAAAAAATTTGTATAGCTCCTAGTAAGTTCATTAAGCTCACTGGACCTCAATGATCTCATCTGTAAAATGAAGATAATGATTACAAATTCTCTCTTACATTGTTTTGAGGATTAAAAGTTACTTAATTCATGTAAAGTGCTCAGAATATTGGCTCATAGTAAGAGTTTTAATAATTCTTATTATATTTCATTTTGCTTTTCCAAATAATTTGCTAAGATAATCAAGTTTATCATCTAATTCAATTAACTCAATCAGGTGATATAAATACCATTTTGAAGAATTATTGATATTTTTATTGCCAAATATTTTTTCATTAAATGGATATATCACATTCTATTTATATATTTATCAGCTAATGGACATTTGTGTTTTGTCTACTTTGTGGCTATTATGAATAATGTTACTATGAACATTAATGCTTCCATTTTTATGTAGACTTTTTTTTCATTTCTCTTGAGGAGCATAGAAATACTAGATTATATGATAAATCCTTGTTTAAATGCTCGAGAAACTGACGGACTGCTTTTCAAAGTATTAATAGCTACACCAGAACTAATTCAACTAGTTATTTAATGAAAGTGCTTAGCACAGTATCTGACACATAGCAGAAGGGAATTAAAAGCCATTAGCTTTTCCCTGTACTTCCAGCACCCAAATTCCATCCACTCACATGTGTAAGGTCTAATAACACCAATATATTATCGCCTCTCAGAGTGTGATTATTTATTCACTCAAAAGCACTACAGATCAGCTACTTTCCTAGTAAGTCTATAAATATGTAGACATTTTCCTGTGTTTCACTTCTGGTATCACTGTTAATATTTTGAGGTATATTTTTCTAGATATTTTTTAGTTTAAATACTAATATGCCATGGAAAATTGTATACATAATTTTTAAAGAGAAATATTACAACACAATTGTTTGAAACATATTTAATTTTTAAAAGATCCAGAGAAAGATATTTTGGATATCTAGTCAGGTCAATACGTTCAGATATATTACTTTTCAAGGTAGATGCCTAGTCTCTTATATTAAAATTTTATAATTTAATCAATCTAGGTATTCAGGTGTTCATTTACTATGGCAAGCAAGGATTCCAAATACACACCTTTGTGTGTGTGTTCAATGTGTTTGCGTATAATTTTATAACAGTTTTGTTGAGATATAATTCAGATACCATAAAATATACCCTTTTAAAGTATGCTTAGAATGTGAAGTTGTTCAAGCATCACCGCAATCAATTTTAGAACATTTTCATTGCCCCAAAAAGTAATTCCGTATCCATCAGCAGTCACTCCCCATTTGCTCCCAACTTCTCTAGGCCTCGGCCAATACCAATCTATCTTCTGTCTCTATAAAATTGCTTGTACTAGATGTTTTATGTAAATTGAATAATATATTATGTGGTCTTTTGTGATTGACTTCTTTCATTTAGTACAATGTTTATAAGATTCATCTATTTGGTAGCGTGTATCAGTAGTAGTTTATTTTTATTGCCAAACAATATTTCATTGAATGGACATATTACATTTTATTTATACATTCATCATGTAATGGACATCTGGGTTGTGTCTACTTTGTGGTTATTATGAATAATGTTGCTATGAACATTCAAGCTTCTATTTTTTTGCATAGGCATTTTCTTTTCATTTTTCTTGAGGAGTGGAAATACTAGATCACATGATAAGTCCTTGTTTAAGCTCTTGGGAAACTGATAGACTGCTTTTCAAAGCGGCTACACCATTTTACATTCTTAATCGCAGTTTATGAGGCTTCAAATTTCTCCCCATCTTTACTAATGCTTTTTTTAATTAACTTTTTAATTTTTGCCATCACATTGAGGGTGAAGTGATATATCATGTGGTTTTGGTTTACATTTACCTGATGGCTAATGAGGTCAAGCATCTTTTCATGTTCTTATTAGCTATTGAAATATCTTATTTGGAAAAATGTCTATTGTGGTCCTTTGACCATTTTTAATTAGAATATGTGTCATTTTATTATTACATTGTAAGAGTTCTTTATATATTCTACATATAAGTCAATTTTGGGGGAAAAGAGTTTTGGAGCTCTCTGTTCTTATGAAATTTCTCTCTGTCTCTCTCTCTCTCTCTCTCTCTCTCTCTCTCTCTCTCTCATCAAAATCTCTGGGTCAAAGATGAGAGAACTTGAGAAGAGTTTGTTGCCTCTCCTCTCCTTGGCTTATTTCTCTTTGCATGGAATATTACCCTATGATCATGCTGGAGTGATGGTGATTGGGCTCTAAGATTCCCATCCTCTCCTGCCTGGGGCATAGCCTCTAACCTATGAATGGTGGCTGCATAAAGAAAAAGAGACCTGACTTCTTAGTTGCACTCATTAAAAATGTATCTTCTGCAACTTGGAGTTTACGTGAATGAGAAATGCTGCTCACCTGCCCCTCCAAGTGAGAATTCATATCCATAGGTGGAAGATGAGAGCAAAGGGTGTCTAGTCTTCTCACCAACACTCAACCAGATTGGAGATTCTGTCAGTCTTATCTGGGTGGTGGGGAGAGAACAGACTGTGGCTCAAGTGCTACAGATTGTTGGTGTTTTCTACTGATATTTAGTACATTTTCTTGAATAAATGTTTCTTTGTTTGTTGAGCTGGAGATTTTAATCGTTATTTTTAAAATAATTTTTACTTGTGGCTGTTTCACTGGGGGAGGGGTCTGTGGATCTCCTTACACTACCATTTCAGGGCTATTAAATATATATATTATATATTATATAAATAATTATATAAATATATATTTATGTTATGTGAATATAACTGTAAAAATAGAATTTGGGGACAAAAAGTAATATTAAGTTTAAACTTTAACAGATATATTCAGATTACCCTCCAAAAAGTTGAAGCAATTTATTCTCCTTAAGAGTGGAGGTTTTTTTATTACTATTATTATTTAGATTTTATTTGTTTTGTATTGAAGATGGAAACATTTCTAAATTGTGGAAAAGGAACCAGAAAGGAGGAGCTGTTTGCGGATAGATGAGAAAGTCATGGATGAAGTGTCTTGGGGAAAAGTTTAAGAATGAATCTTGAACATAGAATAAGTAATTAGTCCTGGGTTGGAAGGATAAAGGAGCAGAGATAACATTGTGGTCAACACATAATTGTGTTATTTAAGTTCTAAATATTTTTATGTTTTAAAACTTGCATGTTTCCCATATTGATTCCATGCTTCTGCAAAAAAAAAAGTGTTATCCTTTTCTTTAATAAAAGTGTGACTCTGTGCTTTTACAACCTTAGCACACTTACATATCTCTGATCACATACTGTTTTTCAAAAGGTATTTTTTTTTTCATTAGAAATAAAGAAAATGGTCCAGGTCCGGTGGCTCATGTCTGTAATCTCAACACTTTAGAAAGTTGAGGTGGGAGGATTGCTTAAGACCAGGAGTCTGGGACCAGCCTGGGAGACATAGTGAAGCCCCATCTCTAAAAACATCATTTAAAAATTAGCCGAGCATGGTGGCACATGCCTATAGTCTCAGTTACTTGAGAGGATGAGGAGAGATCACTTGATCCCAGGGGTTCAAGGCCACAGGGAGCTATGATCATGCCACTGCATTCCAGCCTGGGTGACAGAGCAAGACCCATTCTCTAAAAAGAGAAAGAGAGAAAGAAAGAAAGAGAGAGAGAGACAGAGAAAGAAAGGAAGAAAGAAAGAAAGAAAGAGAAAGAAAGAAAGAAAGAAAGAAAGAAAGAAAGAAAGAAAGAAAGAAAGAAAGAAGGAAAGAAAGAAAGAAGGAAAGAAAGGAAAGAAAGAAAGAAGGAAAGAAAGAAAGAAGGAAAGAAAGAAAGAAGAAAGAAAGAAAGAAAGAAAGAAAGAAAGAAAGAAAGAAAGAAAAAGAAGAAAGAAGAAAGAAAGAAAGAAAGAAAGAAAGAAAGAAAAGAGAGAGAGAAAGGAGGGAGAGAGGGAGGGAGGGAAGAAGGAAGGAAGGAAAGAAGGAAGGAAGGAAGGAAAGAAGGAAGGAAGGAGAAAGAAAGGGATGATACTTTTCTATATGACAGTACTATGGAGAAAGTTCTACCAGAATCTTAAATAACTGAAATTTGTCGTAGAGAGATTTAATCACCGTTATAAAATGTGCTTAACTTTCATTAGAAAACTCCTCAATACATCCAGTTGATACCATCTATGATCATGCCCTTTTATAGAGCTGACAATATCAAATAAGGTTAAACGTATAGCCACAAAATATGGCAATAATTGGGCATCTATTTCTCAGCAAAGCAATCTGTCTTGAGTCTTTAGTTTTGCTTTAGTGTGTTTCTGTCAAGATCTCTCTTCCATCTTTAGTGGTAGAATATTGAATTGAATGCATAACTCTGTGATTTGAAACATTAATTAGGGCAATGTGCAGAAGAAAATTTACATAGAAGTCTGCATTTTACACAATAGAAATTAAATTTGCTACTAATATGTGTCAGACTAGCCTGCTTTTATTTTTCAAAAAGTTGTATGTTGAACACCTAATATTCTGCTTTCACATATATTGTGTAATTCAGTTCTCCATATTTTGGAGTTGGGTAATGAGCAACTGGAGAACATCCAGAAAAAGGCAATCAGAAGAGTGAATGATCTGGAAATGATCTCAGAAGAAAATTTAAGGAATAACAAATATTTACCATGGAGAAGAGAAGGATAATTGTGAACATTAAAATTGTCTTTAGATGCTATGGGGAGAAAAGACATTTGATTTAGTCTTTATAGAACCATAAAGATTAACAAAGTTATTGAAAGAACACTTTATTAAGATTTAAAAGTTTTCAAGAGTTATATCTTTTACTAAATAGTTATATGCCCTTGGGCAAATGCTTTAACAGGTCTAGGGTTCCATTCCCTTCTGCCAGTTCCTTCTGTTTTATCAAAACATGTGGCTCTCAAATGTTCTACTTCTGTAGAGGCTTTTATAGATTACCATTATGTGTCTTTACTTGATCCATGCAGCCCTCCAGTGAAACAAAACGTCCTGTAAATCATCCATTCCACTTGTCCCTAATTTCCACTAAAAACAAAACTAAATGCAATGGCAGGTGCGGCAAGAGCAACAACAAGTCAATTATTTAAGTAATTCCATGTTCAATCCCATCCTCCTTCTCCGAGTTCTTTCCAACTAGCTGTCTTTCCGAATAAATGGTTATGAACTTAATGAGGCACTGATGTAACATATTACTACAAAATTAATAACTTAGCCAATACTAAGGTATTATATATAGATTAATGTCTAGCGGAATGAAGGTTAATAGTGTTAAATATGTAATCCTAAAAGTTATTTTTTAAAAATCTTCATGGCTATAGGATGACTGAGACATTATTTATTAAAAAGCCATTTAGGAGAAGACCTAAGGGCATTAGCTGATGATGAAATCAATGGGAATTCACAGTGGAGTGTAGTAACCATGATAATTAATTTTAGATTATATTTATGCTCTAAGAGTATAGTACTTAAACCAAGAGAAATGCTGTTCACATTTTGCCCTTAATTTGTCAGAACAACGTGGATTATTAAGAGCAATTTAGGGTCCTACTCTTTAAAAGGAATAGCAACAAATACTTAAGGAAAATGGCAATGACGAGACATAGTAAAACCATGTCTCATAAGAAAGAGTTGAGGTAAATAAAATCATTTGTCTAAGACTAGTAGGGAAGAAAGGGAGAAGGTCCTAACAGCTGTTTTTGTAATATCACGTGCAAATAGTTTTGTAAACAGTAAATAGTTTTCTAAAAGTTTTTGTAATAGTAAATAGTTTTGTACAGCCAGAGTGATAAAAGTATGCTCATTTTATATTTTCCCAGTGCTATGAGTTTTGATTCTACAAAGTTGGGTGTGTAGAAAAAACAACTTTTTCTTAATTCAATATGATTTCCATAGTAAGAGAGTAGTTGAAATCTGTTTTCATTCAATTCAGCAAACCAACATAAACCCCACATTTGTGGAACATTTTGCTTAAGTTCTGGGAACTTTCCCGGTTTTATGGTACTGTAGGAAGTGGAGGGGTTTGCAGCATGATTCTTGAGAGACCTGACTACCCATGTAGCCCCTGGAACTTCTATTGTTCCACCTGGCATTGGTTGAAAGCACGATGAACCACCACTGAGGGGTGGTTCTTTTCTAGCTATTTGGACATCTGAGATCTGATAGCCCTTTCTACTGCATCCTTAATATTCTTGAAGAGTCAGGTGTGCTCTAATGCATTGTGCAAGGCTGGGACATAAATCTTTTTGCAAGGCCATGGATAGTCCCTTCGTTCTGGTTGTATCAGGCAATGATTTATTTCTACAATCTTGTTATCTCCCTGAAACTCTAATTCTAGAAAAAAAGGAAGACATGAATCCCTTTTACTTTTCTGATCTAGACTGTCTTAAACATTGCTGTTAGCATGCAGCCTGGTTTGGTCCTAACCATAAAGATATGTTTTATAACCTCTCCTGTGTCCTTTTTCTGCAAATTTGTGAAAGCTTCTTCTATTCTAAGAGGAATCTCTTCTCTTAATCTTGAGGCTTATCTCTCAGATATGCCCCTTTTGCCATAATGAGTTATGTATGCCTCAGAGATATGCCTTTGTCAGAGATACTGAGATACTTAAAAAGATCATGCCCAATTTCTGAATTAATTGAGAAGGGAGGAGTAAATGGGGAAGCAAAATATGCCCTTTATTACCAAAAAAAGGCTAAATAGGAAGACATTTAACGCAAGAGGCAAATAAGTTATCTAAGCAAATTAGCATGTTACAATCTAATCAAAGTCATACTGGATCGGAAAAGGACCTAGGTGAGGGCTTGCCAAGGAGAGACAGAACATGGAGTGGCAGAGAGGAAGGACAGCTCCTTGTTCATATGCTCAGTTCAAGAGAAGACACATGGACAAAAATCTTGATTTTTGCCTTACCAGGATGCATATCAATCTCTGTTGATTATGTGGAATCCAATGGTGACTGATTTTTAAATTAACTGGGACAAATCTTCCCACAAGAGGCTGATTTTGGACCTGTGTTCCTTCCTTGTCTGAAGACCCGATGTATCTAAAATCTTGATTACATTATTTCTCTTTGTCCCCACTTCCAGTTCTCTAATAGAAATGGAAAAGTATGTGTTCTATCTAAAGTCATAGCATCAATGTTGTCTTGTAAGCAGGCAGTTTTAGGTTTTTGTCACTGTGCGACTTCCATTGCTTCTTACCATGGGATTACTGAGATCTGGGGAGCCTGCCTCCTAAGCTAAGTCATCTTTTATTGTGAAAGTAACACCACCAGAAAGCAAATGTAAAGGAAAGTTGATGACAAACTTGATTTCTTAAAACTTTATTGCTCATTTATTTGAATATTTTTACATTTTTCAATATAGAGTGGTAGTTCAAGTAAATATTCGCATGGTAATATTAGGTTAGAATGTTCAGTTTAACCTGTCTACACTGTAATTTGATTGAAACACAGGAAACACTGTCTTTGGACTGATCTTGCCACTGACCCAAAACACAACATTTTGAGAAAAAAAGTATTATTAGCGACATGGAGAAACTATTTTTCTGCAGAACTCAACAAATAAATTTACCACTTTCTTCCAAAATAAAGTCTCATGAGAGTAATGGTGTTATTTATTATGAACTAAAAATCAATTGATTATAATATTTATTACTACATAAATGTATGATAATTTAGTTTCACTTATATTCTTAAAGTGATTGATGAATTATAGTACTATGCTAAGAAATGCCTTGAAGAAAGTTGGATAAGAGTGGTAAGTTACAAGTTCCATGAACACCCATATTAACCCTAATGAAATAGAAACAGTGCCAGTCTAAACAGGATTGATAAGGCATGGATGTGAAGTAAGCAAAGATTGCCAATATTATTTTGGTCTTAACTTTTTTTTTTTCTTGTAAATGACATGTAATAAACCTTACCTAACTGTAATGGCACAGCTTGCGCTGAGATTTGGAAAAGGCATCATGCAAAAAGAGCAACTCTAACAACAACACTGGGTGGCAGGAGAGGCAATGCCAGTGAGGGAGCTGATCAGCTTAGAATAAGCACAGCCCCTTTCTCTCTTTGCTGTATAATGTCCTGGGGTGCAGTTTTGTCCATATTAATTGTTATATAGGAAAGGGCCAAAATGCCTGAGATGAGCCTTGATAAAGACGATATTTGATTTAGAAAAATATATATATACATAATATATACATTATATATACATATATATATAATGTATATATCCTTTAGTTGCCTGTTAACTCACTTTATATTTACTATGTGTGACTTCCCTTGGAAGTAAAGATTTTTTGTTCTTAACAAAGGTGATAGACAAAAAGACATTTGTTAATTTCTCACAATCTCAATGGACCATTTCTCATTGATAAAATTAATATTATACTTGCATTACACCTGATAATTTTTACCTTTTATTTTTTTCTTGCATGCTCACTAACCTATAATGTAAATTACCTTTAAAATTGATTATCGTGTATCAAAAACATTTCAGGTTTTGACGATCAGTATGGTCTGGGGTCTGGATGATTTTAGAGGAAGATTACTGTTGAAGATAAAGCCAGATGCACTTGAGAGAAAAAAATTAAACATTTGAATTTAAAAATTCAGAACACTGTGTGTCTGTGTGTGTGTGTGTGTGTGTGTGTGTGTGTGTGTGTGTGTATTCTGTATGGTTCTATTTGTATAAAGCTCTGGCAAAGAAAAATCTACCCTTTGGTGACAAAGAATATTAGTGACTAAAAAATTTAAATATAAATATTTGATATACAATGTTATTAAAACTCTCTTATTGCTCTTTACACTTAATAAGTATAAAATAAGTCCTTATCAACAACTTACTGAATAATTAAAGGAAATAAATAATTTTTAAAATATAGTATATTTTGCAGAATAAGTTAACAAGAATATACTTTCAGTAGTTATTTTCTTTTTCATAGCTTATGAATTTGAAAACATTACTAATATAAAATTTAAAAAATAGTAAAACCACACCAATGCACTAAGAATTATATCACCAATCTTATGCTTGAAACAACTTAGGTAAAATTGAAAATCATATAATCTCACTAGTGTGCTAAAAATATATATGAATATATAATTATAATTTCAATATTCCAAACAAACTATATCAACATGTTGCATTTATGACCACTGTAATTGAGTGGAAGGATAGCTGATGCAATCTTTAAAAAAAAATGCTTATTGGTTTGATTTTTTTCTCAACTTTTATTTTAGACATAGCAGATATATTTACATGTTTGTTACAAAAGTATATTGCATAATACTGAGGTTTGGGGTGTGATTGAACCTGTTACCCAGGTAGTGAGCACAGTACCCAATGGATAGTTTTTCAGCACTTCCCTCTCTCTCTTCCACATCTAGTAGTCCCCAGTGTCCACTCTTCCCATCTTTTTGTCCATGTGGACCTAATGTTTAACTCTTACTTATGAGTAAGAACATGCAATATTTGGTTTTCTGTTTCTCCATTAGTTCACTTAGAATAATGGTTTCCAGCTGCACCCATATTGTTGCAAAGACATTATTTTATTGTTTTTTATGGCTGCATAGTATTCCATGGTGTATATGTACCACATTTTATTTATCCAATCCACTGTTAATGGGCGCTTAAGTTGATTCAGTGTTTTTGCTATTGTGAATAGCACTGTGATCAGCATATGGGTACATGTGTCCTTTGGTAAAATGACTAATTATCCTTTGGGTATATGCCCAGTAGTGGGATTTCTGGGTTGAATGGTAGACCAGCTATTAGTTATTTAGGAGATTTCCAGACTGCTCTCCATAGTGGCTGAAATAATTTACATCACCACCAACAATACATCAATGTCCCCTTTTCTCCAGCCATGCCAACATCCTATTTTTCTAGCTTTTTAACAAAAGTAATTCTAACTGATGTGAGACTGTATCTCATTATGGTTCTGATTTGAATTTCTCTGATGATTAGTGATGATAAGTATTTTTTCAAGTTTGTTGCCCATGGTTATGCCTTCTTTTGAGAAGTGTCTATCAGGTCCTTTGACCACTTTTTAATGGGGTTATTTATTTTTTGATTGTTGATTTTTTTATGTTCTTCACAGTTTCTGGATATTAGACCTTTGTTTGATATATAATATGCAAATATTTTCTCCTGTTCTGTAAGTTGTCTTTTTACTCCCTGGGTAGTTTCTCTTGCTGTGTAGAAGCTCTTTGGTTTAATTAGGTCCCACTTAACAATTATTATTTTGGTTGCAATTGCTTTTGAGGACTTAGCCATAAATTATTTGTCAAGGCTGATGTCAAGAGGGGTATTTCTTAGTTTTTTGTCTAGTATTTTTATAGTTTGATGTCTTACATTTATGTCTTCAATTCTTGAGTTAATTTTTCTATGTAGCAAGCAGTAGCAGTCCAGTTTCATTCTTCTGTATACGGATAGCCAGTTATTCCAGCATGATTTATTAAATAGAGAGTTATTTCCCCATTGCTTATTTTTGTTAAGTTTGTAGATTAGATGATTGTATTACATCTATTTTTCTATCTACTTTTGAATAAATAGATAGATGTTAAATAGATGAAAGTCATGGGGGATGTGTGTCTATAATATGTATATATAGAAATAGCTAGAGAAGCTCAAGTCAGCAAGATTTTTATAAGAAAAAATGAAAATAATTTAATGTCAATTCATACAATTTTAAAAGTCACAGATTTCACTATAAAAGATTAGATGTTTAGCCTTGTGTATATACAAATATACACAAGTATGTGCAGAAACAATTACAAATATGTGAGTGTACTTGGATTAGTAAATGTATTAGTCTGTTTTCGCATTGCTGATAAATACATACCTGAGAATAGGCAATTTATACAGGATAAGGGTTTAATGGACTTATATTTCCATGTGGCTGGGGAATACTCGCAATCATGATGGAAGGCAAGAAGGGGCAAGTCATGTCTTACATGGATGGCAACAGGCAAAGAGAGAGCTTATGCAGGGAAACACCACCTTACAAGCCATTAGATTTCATGAGACTTATTCACTATCACAAGAACAGCACAGGAAAGACATGCCCCCATGATTTAATTACCTCCAACAATTTCCCTCCCAAAACATGTAGAAATTTAAGATGAGATTTGAGTAGAGAAGACACAGCCAAACTATTTCATTCCACCCCTGGTCCCCGCAAATCTCATGTCCTCACATTTCAAAGCCAATCATTCCTTCCCAACAGTCCCCCAAATTCTTAACTCATTTTAGCATTGACTCAAAATTCCACAGTCCAAAGTCTCATCAGAGACCAAGCAAATCCCTTCCACCTATGAGCCTGTGAAATCAAAAGCAAATTAGTTACTTCCTAGATACAATGGGGGTACAAGCACTGGGGAAATACACCCATTCAAAATGGGAGAAATTGGCCAAAACAAACGGGTTACTGAACCCATGCAAGTCCAAATTCCAGCAGGGCAGTCAAATCTTAAAGCTCCAAAATGATCTGCTTTGACTCCATGTCTCACCAATGCAAGAGGTGGGTTCCCATGGACTTGGGCAGCTCTGTCCCTATGGCTCTGCAGGGTACAGCTGCACTCCTGGGTGGTTTCATGGGCTGGTGTTGAATGTCTGCAGCTTTTCCTGATACACAATGCAAGCTGTCAGTGGATCTACCATTCTGGGGTCTGGAGGACAGTGGCCCTCTTCTCATACCTCCACTAGGCAATGCCCCAGTAGGGACTCTGTGTTGGGGCTCCAACCCCTACAGTCCCCTTGGCACTCCCTTAGCAGAGATTGTCCATGAGAGCCCTGCCCCTGCAGCAAACTTCTGCCTGGACATCCAGGCATTTCCATACATGTTCTGAAACCTAGGTGGAGTTTCTCAAACCCCAATTCTTGACTTCTGTGCACTGGAAGACTCAATGCCACGTGGAAGCTGCCAAGGCTTGAGACTTGCACCCTCTGAAGCCACAGCCTGATCACTATATTGGCCCCTTTCAGCCATGGCTGGAGAGGCTGGGAGGCAGGGTACGAAGTCCCTAGGCTGCACACAGCACAGGGACCCTGGGCCTGGCCCTCGAGACCACTTTTTCCTCCTAGGCCTCTGGGCCTGTGGTGGGAGGGGATGCCATGAAGAAGACCTCTGACATGCCCTGGAGACATTGTTCCGTTTCTTGGGGATTAACATTCAGCTAGTTGTTACTTATGCAAATTTCTGCAGCAGGTTAGTATTTCTCCTCAGAAAACGGGATTTTATTTTCTATCACATTTTATCACATAAAAGTGCAAATTTTTTGAACTTTTATGTTCTGTTTCCCTTATAAAACTAAATGCCTTTAACAGCACCCAAGTCACCTCTTAAATGCTTTGGGGCTTAAAAATTTCTTCTGCCAGATACCCTACATTATCTCCCTCAAGTTCAAAGTTCCACACATCTCTGGGGCAGGGGCAAAATGCCACCAGTCTCTACTAAAACCTAACAAGAGTTGCTTTTGCTCCAGTTCCCTACAAGTTCCACATCTTCTTCTGAGATCACCTCAGCCTGGATTTCATTGTCCACATCGTTATCAGCATTTTGATCAAAGCCATTCAATAAGTCTTTATGGAGTTCCAAACTTTCCCACATTTTCCTATCTTCTTCTGAGTCCTCCAAACTGTTCCAACCTCTGCCTGTTACCCAGTTTCCAAAGTATCTTCCACATTTTTGGGTATCTCTTCAGCAGCACCCCATTCCTGGTACCACCTACCTGAATTAGTCCGTTTTCATGTTGCTGATAAAGACATACCAACACTGGGTAATTTATACAAAAAAAAAATGGTTTAATGGACTTACAGTTCCACATGGCTGGGGAAGACTCACAATCACGGTGGAAGTCAAGGAGGAGCCAGTCACATCTTACATGGATGGCAGCAGGCAAAGGGAGAGCTTATTCAGGGAAATAACACCTTATAAAGCTGTCAGATCTTGTGAGACTTATTCACTGTCACAAGAAAAGCACAGGAAAGAACTGCCCCTATGATTCAATTACCTTCAGCTGGGTCCTTCCCACAACACATGGGAATTTAAGATGAGATTTGGGTGGGGAGACAGCCAAACCATATCAGTAAACATAATGATGTTATATATCTGTGTATTTTGAGAGTGATCAGTAGCAATGAACTCACCTATTATCCAGATTCTTGTTTTAAAATACTATTCTCCAGTGACAAAATACAGGACTACTTGGAGAAATGCCTTATTCTGAGACTGGGACAGTGGAAATATCAGATGAGTTTGGAACACTTTTTTGACCAGGAAACAATGCTTAGTAAACAAACATATGAAGGCATGTCAAAGGGACACAAAGCCAACCTAAAAGTGAACACCCAATGACAAAAATCTGAACAATTTGAGAATATATATATATATATATAATTCACATATTAGTCAATTAGCAACCAAAGTATAAAATAAATATGTGTCCTTACTAATATAAATAAATTTATGAATAAATAAGGAGAAAAGACAAATATTTTTACAAAGTAATTCCAAATAATATGTGTAGATACTTCCCCTACATAAAAGGTGGGACTTAATCCTTCTCAGCAAAAGCATGCTACATGTAGCAATGTAACAGTGTCAATTTGTTTGTTTTGGTAAATATACCATAGTAATCCAAAGGATTAAAAATGAGTAAAACTGGGTAATGAGTATTAAAAAACTCTGTTTACTATCTTTGTACATTTTTTAAGTCTAAAATTATCAAAATAAACATTTTAAGAAATCTAGATAATGACTATAATGGTTGTGTCAAATTGACTATGCCATAGGATGCCTAGATAGCTGGTTGAACATTATTCCTAGGTGTTTCTATGAGATGTGTCTCACAGAAGAGATTACCATTTTAATAGGTGAACTGAGTAAAGCCTACAACCTTCGCCAACGTGACTAGGCATCATTCAATACATTAAGGGCCATTCCAAAGCAAAAATGCATGGTAATGTTGAATTCACTATCAGAATAACTGAGCTGGAACATCAGTCTTCTTCCCTTGGCACTCCTTGTTCACAGGCCTTCAAACCTAGACTGAAATCTGTTGCTTTCCTGGGTCTTCAGGTTGTAGATGGCAGTTAATGAGACTGCTCTTCCTCCATACTTTTGTGAGTAAATATCTTTATATGTTTCTCTCATTGTTCTGTTACTCTGAGAACCTAGTGTAAATAAATAATACAATGTCTTCAATAAAATGTGAAGAACAGATGTAGATAAATTTATTTTTATTTTTTAATTGATACTGCATAATATTTGGATATTAGGGATATATGTGATTTTTGTTATGTGTATAGAATGTGAATTGATTAAGTCAGGATATTTACTTAATACATATACAGGATATATCTATCACATTGTGTGTTTGTCATTTACATGTGTTAGGAATATTTTAAGTCCTCTTATCTAACCATTTTGAAATATAAAATACATTGTTGTTATCTATAGTCACCCTACTCTACTATCAAACATTAGAACTTATTTTTCTATCTAACTCTAAATTTGTACCCATTAACCAATCTCTTTTCACTCTCCACACACTAACCTCTGCTATCATTCTAATCTCTAGTTACTTGAGATCCACTTTTTTTAGTTCTCACAGGTAAGTGAGAAATATATTTGTCTTTATGTGCTTACCTAATTCCACTTAATACAATAACCTTCACTTCAACTCATGTTGCTGCAAATGAGATGATTTAATTCTTTTTTAATGGCTGAATAGTATTCCATTATGTATATATACCACAACTTCTTTATCCATTCCTCCACTGATAAACACATAGATTGATTCCCTATTTTGGCTATTGTGAATAGCATTTGCAGTAAACATGAGGATGCAGGTATCTTTTTGATATACTGATTTCCTTTCCTTTGGATGAATACCCAGTAGTGGAATTGCTGGGTCATATTGTAGTTCAATTTTTAGTTTCGAAGAAATCTTCAATCTGTTTTCCATAATGGCTGTACAAAGTTATGTTTCCAGCAACAGTAAATATCACCTGCATGTGGTATTTTTTGTCTTTTTAATAATAGCCATTCTAACTGGGGTAAGATGCTATCTCTTTGTGGTTTTAATTTGCATTTCCATGATGATTATTGATGTCAAGCATTTTTTTCATATACGCGTTAGCCATTTGTATGTCTTCTTTTGAGAAATGTCTATTGATGTCCTTTGCCCATTTTTTTAAAATGGTATTTTTTTTCCTGTTGAGTTGTTTGAGTTCTTTAACTTGCAAATATATTATTCCACTCAACAGACTGTCTCTTCGCTCTATTGATTGTTCCCTTTGTGGTACAGAAGGTCTTTACTTTAATATAGTCCTTTTCGTCAGTTTTTAGTTTTGTTGCCTGTGCTTTTGAAGTCTTAGTGATAAAGTCTTCTAAATATCCTAAAGTGTTGTCCCCATGTTTTCTTCTAGTAGTTTTATAGTTTGGCATCTTATGTTTTGTTATTTAACTCATTGATTTTTGTATACGGTGAGAGATAGGTATCTAGTTTCATTCTTCTTCATATGGAGACCCAGTTTTCCCAGCACCATTTATGAAAGAGTGTCTTTTCTCCAACGTATGCCTTTGGTACTTTTGTAAAATCAGTTGGCTGGGAACACATGGATTTATTTCTGGGTGATCTATTGTTTCATTTGTGTATGTGTCTGTTTTTATGTCAGTACCATGCTGTTTTGTTTACTATAAACACAGTGTATTCTGAAGTCAGATAATGATTCCTCCAGCTTTGTTTGTTTTGCTCAGTATTGCTTTGCTTTGGCTATCTGTGCTTTTTTTTTTTTTCCTTTGCTTCCATACAAATTTTAGAATTTTTTTCAACAATAAACTGGATCAAGCAGAAGAAATAATTCAGAATTTGTAGATGAGTCTTTTGGAATAACCTAGTCAGAGAAAAAGAGAAGAAAAAAATAATTAACAAAGTCTCTGTGACATATTGGACACTAAAGAGCCACCAAATACCAATATATTGGTATTTTGATAGAGATTGCATTGAATCTATAGATTACTTTAGGTAGTGTGGTCAATTTTACCATATTATTTCATGTGATGCATAGCATGAAATGTTTTTTTATTTGTTTGTACCATTCTTAATTTTTTCATTAGTGTTTGTAGTTTTCCTTCTAGAGACCTTTCACTTCCTTGGTTCAATTTATTCCTAGGTATTTTTTGTTGCCATTGTAAATGAGATTGACTTCTTTTTTTTTGTATATTTTATTATTGGTGAAAAGAACTGCCACTGACTTTTGTATGTAATTTAATATCCTACAGCTTTGCTGAATTCTCTTATCAGATATAAGAAGGTTTTTAGTGAAGCATTTACATTTTTCTAAATATAAGGGCATGTCATCTGCAAAGAGGGATAATTTGACTTTCTTTATTCCAATCTATATGCCTCTTATTTCTTTCTCTTGCCTGATTGCTCTGCATAGAATTTTCAGTATTGTACTGAATAGGAGTGGTAAAAGTGTGTATTCCTGTCTTGTTTCAGTTCTTAGAGGAAAATCTTTCAGCTTTGCTCCACTAAGTATGATGTTAGCTATGAGTTTATTATATATGGCTTTTACTGTTTTGAGGTACGTGTTAATTTCATGCCTAGTTTTTGAAAGGTCTTATAATGAAAAGATGTTGAATTTTATGAAATGCTTTTTCTGCATGTCTTAATCCTAAGAGATTCCAAAGAATGAAGATAATATTTTATTTCATACCATGTATGTGTATTGCACATTTTTATTAAGGTATACTAGACTATTCTTGCATTTTGTAGGATAAATACCACTGATTATGATATATTATCTTTTAATATACTGTTGGATTAAGTTTGCTAGTATTTTGTTGATTTTCGCATCTATGTCCATAAGGAATATTGGCCTGTAGTTTTCTTTTTTATCCTTTTTGGTATCAGATTAATGCCAGCCTTGTGGAATGTTAGAAAGAATATTCTCCTCTTAAATTTTTGGAATGGTTTAAGGAGAATTGGTGTTAGTTCTTCTTTATAAGTTTGGTAGAATTTGGCAGTGAAGCCATCTGTTTTTGGGCTTTTCTTTGTTGAGAGACACCTGATTCAATCTTGTTACTCATCACTGGCCTGTTCAGGTTTTCTATTTCTTCCTGATTCTGCCATGGTAGGTTGTAGGTGTCCAGGGACTTAATAATTTCCACTAGGCTTTCCAGTTTGTTAGCATATCGTTGTTCATAATAGTCTCCAAAGATCTTTTGTATTTCTATATAGTCACATGTAATATCTCCTTTTTTGTTTCTGATTCTGTTTATTTGGGTCTTCTCTCTGTTTTTCTTGATTGCTCTAGCTAATGGTTTATCTATTTTGTGTCTCTTTTTTAAAAAACTACTTTTTATTTTGTTGACTCTTTGTATCTTTTAAATTCTCTGATTTATTTATTTATTTATGCTGTAATTTTTTAAATTTCTTTTCTTCTAATTTTGGTTTTTGTTTCTTCTTGATTTTCTAGTTATTTGAGGTGAACAGATGTTTATTTGAAGTCTTTTTACCTTTTTGATGTAAGTATTTATTGCTATAAATTTCCCTCTAGGTACTGCTTTTGCTTTATCTTATAGGTTATTTCATATATTGTATTTCCATTTTCATTTGTTTAAAATTTTTTTTCTCTTAATTTCTTCACTGACTCAATGGTTGTTCAGGAGCATTTTGCTTAATTTCCATGTATCTGTACACTTTCCAAACCTCCTATTGTTATTAATTTCTAGTTTTATTTCATTGTGGTCTGAATTGGTACATAATTTTTAAAAATTTGTTTAGACTTCTTTTGTGGTCTGACATATGGTCTATTCTGGAGAATGTTTCATGTGCTGATGAGAAGAATGTATATTCTGCAGCTGTTGGATAAAATGTTCTGTTGATGACTATTAAGTCAATTTGGTCTAAAGTGAAGTTTAAATCTAATGTTTCTTTCTTAAGTTTCTATTTTGTAGATCTGCCTTATGCTAAGAGTTGACTTTTGAAGTTCTCAAATATTATTGTATTGAAGTCTATTTCTTCCTTTTATATCTAATAATGCTTTATACATCTGATTGCTCTGGTGTTGGATATATATATATATATATATTTATCGAGAATTGTTATTATTCTCTTGCTGAATTGATCCCTTTGTCATTATATAATGACCTTCTTTGTTTTATTTTACTGTTTTTGACTTTAAAGTATATTTTATCTGATATCAGTGTAACTAATTCTGCTCAGATTTGATTTCCATTTGCATAGAATATATTTTACCATCTCTTCGTTTCAGTCTATATGTATATTCATAGGCGAAGTGAGTTTTTTTGTAGGCAGCATATAGTTTTTCACTTTTTAAGAACCATTTAGCTAGTCTGTACATTTTAAGTTGGAAATTTAATCTGTTTACATTCAAGGTTATTATTGATATGTGAAGACTTATTCTTGTCAATTTGTTAATTGTTTTCTGGTCATTTTGTATATCATTTCTTTTCCTTTCTCTCTTTTTGCTTATTATTGTAACTTGGTGGTTTTGTGTAGTGGTACTCTTTGAGTTTTTTATGTCACTCATTTGTGTGTTTGCTCTGTCAGTGAGTTTTATAATTTTATGTGTTATCCTAGATGGTAGACATCATGCTTTTGTCCCCACATGTAAGACTCCATTAAGCATTTCTTGTATGGCCTGTCTAGTGGTGATGAATTCTCTCAGTTTTTGCTTGTCTAGGAAAGATTTTATTTTTTTTTTCTTATTTATGAAGTATAGCTTTGCTGGGTATAGTATTCTTGCCTGATAGTTGCTTCCTTTCAGCACTTAAATAAATCATCCCATTTTCTTCTGGCCTGTAAAGTTTCTCCTGAGAAATGCATTGTTAACATTGTGAGAGTTCTCCTATATATGCTAGGTGCTTTTCTCTTGCTGTTTTTAGAAATCTTTCTTTGTCTTTGACTTTTGATACTTTGACAATAATGTGCCATGGAGAAGACTTTTTTGAGTTGTATCCATTTGGGACCTATAAGCTTCCTACATCCGGATGTCTAAAGCTCTTGCTACACTTGGACATTTTTCAGCTATTACCTTGTTAAATAGGTTTTCTATGGCTTTAGGCTTTTCTTAAACTTCTTAAAAACTCAAAATTTGAACATTTGGTGGCTTTTGGCATTCCATGTGTTACATAATCTTTGTTCATTCTTTTCTTTTTTGTCTGACTGGGTTATTCCAAAAGATATATCTTCAAATTCTGAAATTCTTTTTTCTGCTTGATCCAGATTATTGTTGAAGCTCTCAAATGAGATTTTTTGTACTTCATCCATTAAAATATTCAGCAACAGGATTTTCATTTGCTTTTTTTTGTGTTATTTATTTCTTTAATAAATTCCTCATTTATATCTTGAATTTTTTCTGATTTTCCTTTTATTGTTTATTTTTCTTCTCTTGTATCACACCTTGTGCTTTATTATTATTACTTTGAATTATTTTTCTGGGATTTTATAAAGTGATTTTTGATTGAAATATTAATTAAAATATTTTGCTGAGGAATTATTGCATTTTTGTAGGTGTCATATTTCCTTGCTTTTTTATATTTCTCATGTCCTTATATTTATATCCATCCATCTGATGTAACAGTCACTTCTTCTAACTTTTTTGCCTTTCATAGGGAAATATTTTTTCCTAAATATATATTTATAGTGTTGGTTGAATAAGGCATTTTGACCTTGATTCTGGGTAAATGTAGTGGTAGTTTTTAATATGATTTTTTCAGCTGTAAATACAATCAGTGGTGTCTGACTTCTTTGCTGGCTTAGGCTACAGTTGATAGTAGAGGCTGTAGTGAGGTTTCCATCCACCTGAGGGATGCCAGGTGGGCCAGATCTCAGGCCCCAGTAGTGGAATCAATAAGCTAAGGATGCTTGTTATTGGGCCTCCAGGTAATATACATGAGCATTAATTGGTGTGAGTGGGTCTAAGCACACCAATTCTTGGGCCTCCAGAGAGTTTTTCTAGTGCCAAAAGTGGCAGCAGTGGGCTAGGTGTGGGGACGGGTGGGTCCTCATTGCCTTTGATGGCATGCATGGTCACAGTAGTAGCGGGACAACTCTCAGGTCCCCAGGTGGAAAGCATTTGTGTTAGTAGCGGCTGTGGTGGGCTGGGTGGGCCAGTCCTCAGTCCAGATTATTGCCTATAATCTGGGCCATAAAACAAGTGAAATACAAAGGAAGCAAACAATAATTAGAAGTGGTAGTAGCCAGCTCCACCATAAAGGAACTTATGGGGTGTTGTTAAGTGGAAAAAGGATACAAGCCTAAGGAGATGGTTTGAAGTATAACACTGAATCTCCTAGCAAACATCTTGCTTACTGAAAATCTGTTTTATCTTGGCCTTGTTGATATTTATTAAAAATAAAATGAAAGTTTAAAAATCCTGTTTTTCTTATCCCAGGGAGAGAAGAATAGGTAAGTAGGCCAAGTATGGCTAACACTGAAAATCTGCAAAGGAAGGAAGGAAAGAGGGAGGGAGGGAAGGAAGGAAGGAAGGAAGGAAGGAGGGAAAAAATAAAAATAAATGGTATGTATAAATTGTAACATCATTGATAATACATGGGAGTTCCTGTTTTCTTAAATTATGGCCACCAATGGTGTCAGGCTGTTATAGCAAAATATCATAAACTAGGTGGCTTATAAAAAAGAGAAATTTATTTCTCACACTTCTGGAGGCTGGGAAGTGCAAAATAAGGTACAAACAGATTTGATGTCTGGTGTGGGCATGTTTCCCTGGTTCATAGATATCAACTTTTTGCTGTCCTCACATGGTGCTAGCTAGCTTTCTCAGGTCTTTTTATAAGGACATTAATCCTAATTATGAAGACTATGCCCACCTTATCTTCTTCCAAAGGCCCCAGTTTTGAATATCATCACCATGAGAATTAGGATTTCAACATAACGAGTGTTGTGAAAACATAAACATTCAGATCATAACAAGTGGGTATTACTAATCCTTTTAAATTTATATATTATTTTAAAACAATGTATTAGCTTTAAAATAATTTAATGTGTTTTTATATAATCATAACACTAGGTTACTATAAAACATTTGTAAATTACAGAAAATTGTTCATACAGAACATTTGTAGAGCTGCAGAAAAGAATAAATAAAACAAACATTATTAACAAACCAAACACCCAAGGATACAGTAAAATATGGACAGTGGTTATTTACCCTTAAAGAGATTATATGTGTGTGTGTGTATATATATATATATATATATATATATATATATATATATATATATATATGATGTTGAAACTTACACATATTTCTAGAGAATGTTTTATTATGACTCTTTAATTAGTACTAAACATTTAAACATTTTATTAAATATTCTCTCACATTGTGATTTTTAATGGCAGCATAGTTTTCTACTTTATACCAAGTGCTGTGTTCTGAACGTTTGTGTGCACTTCCCCCATAATTCACATGTTGAAATTCCTTACCCTCAAGGTTGTGGAGTTAGAACAAAAGGAAATGATTAGGTTATGAGGGTGGAGCCCCCCAAAATGGGATTAGTGCCCTTACAAAAGAGGTCCTAGAGCTGTTTTGCCCCTTCCATCTTGTGAGGAAATAGTTAAAAGACATTGTCTATGAGAAACAGACCCTCACCAGACACCAGATATGCTAGTATCTTGATTTTAGACTTGCAGCCTCTAGAACTGTAGAAACACATTTCAGCTGTTTACAATATTGCTACTCATTTTTTAACATTTTGTTGTAGCAGCCCAAATGGACTAAGACACTGTGCTATAATTTATTTTTTTATATTAAGATTTATTCTAAATTTTGATTCTTCTAAATATAGTATATATTTAGTATATATATAATGCACCTCTCTTACCTAATGATCATTTCTAAATAATCATAACAACATCGAGTAAAACTATGTAATAACACATATTATTATTAAGATAAGTATAAGAAATATAATAATAAATTGTCCCTGTTCTAAAAGGTAATTATATAATGCTGAATGTGTCAGAGGCATTCGAACCAGAGTGACTCCATTTTGAGTGAGGGCTAGGAAAATGAGGCTGAGACTTGCTGGGATGCATTCTCAGAAAGTTAGGCATTCCTAGCCTCTAGATGTTTATGGTTAGGGGAATAAATTAATAATGTTTACTAAAACAGACTCCGACTTGGGAGTGTCCAGATATCCTAATATCTGGAGAACAAAGGCATTCCTAATTTTTCTTTAAAGATAATAATGTTGATTCTTGGAAAATACAGTCATTAAGAAAATTAATCCTTTATCACAAACCCTTGTAGCAGAACACATCTGCCCATATATACAAGCATTGTACCTAGGATGGATTCCTTCATCCTCTTACTTTCAGGAACTCCCTACTCTGTCTATGGAGTAGCTATACTTTCATCACTTTATTTTCTTAATAATCCTGCTTTTACTTTGCACTGTGGACTCGCCCTGAATTCTTTCTTGCACAAGATCCAAGAACCTTCTCTTGGGGTCTGGATCCAGACCCCTGTCCTGTAACATATTTCTGGTGACCCAGATGGGATTATAGTGCAGAAATCCTGACCCAATGGCTACATTTGGGTAAGTGTTGTGGTACTGTAACATATTTCTGGTCAACTATGGAAGGGACAATATTGAAGGACCCCACCCCCTCCAACCCTCAAAATAGACTGCAGCACTGATTGGATGACTGGGTAAGTGGTAGGTACCCAGGTAAAGAATAAGATTGGGTTAGAGGCTCAACTTAGGGGAGTTAGAATCTTTCCTAAGACAGAATGGGTAGAGGCCCCTCTTAATAAAAGGCAAGCATGCTTGACTAACCTCAGGTTAGAGACCTGACTTAGGAGGGTTAGAGTCTCTTCTAAGATTTAGGGGGTTAGAGGCCTTCTCAGTAAAGTCCTTCTCAGCTAAAAATGGATTTGGCACCACAGGCTATGCTCTTTGTATTAATCTGCCTTGTCCTCCTTGTTGCACAAGTCAATTTGTTGGTCTCTGTTTCACTGTCATTTTCAGGAGACTTTATTAACTGGTCTTAGGGATTTTAACTTCCTCTCTTCCTATGTGCCTCCCGATATCCATCTGTCTGCTTGTGAAACATTGGGAACAAAAAGCAATGAAGGCTCTGTCTCTAAGATTGTTGATTGAGATTTGGTATTTAACAGCTATGAGCAATAAGATTAGATAGATATGGTTATATTTTGTTGCTGCTATGCTGACTAGCTGTGATCGAGAAGCACTAGGATGGAAATTAGGGGACTCTTCTCCTTGCTGTTTTGTTTCATATTGGACACTAAAAAAACTTCTTTCTTTTCTTGGATTCAGGCAAACCAGCTTTGCTTGTACAATCCACACTGCTACTATTGCCCAGAACCTGCTTGCTCTGGTCATTCCCATCTAAATCCTCTTCATTTCCTTTGCCTTATTCGACATTTTTATTGAAGTCCATGTTGTCGTTTATCTAAGATTCATGGCTTTTATGTTATGTTATTTAAGTTATTTGGATAATGTGAATCATGTTTGACTAGAGGAAAGGAAGAAAAGAGCTAAACATACTAGACAATCCTTTAATGTAAGCCGCCCTGGTTCAGCGGACAGTTTGGGGTGGAGCAAAACCTCCTTCTGTCAGCTCTGAAAATTCAGATGTGTCAGTTCTTTCTCCCTCTAGCTCAACTGAAAGTTCTATTGAGAACCCTTCATACCCTCCCCCATACATTTCTAGTCCCACTGTATACCCATCGCTCCCTGAGGAACTTAGCCCAATGAATACTACTCGTAGTGGAGCCTCCTATCCACCTCCAAAGGAAAATCTTTGTCCCCTTAGAAAGGTGGCAAACAGAGAAGAAGGCACTGTGAGAATACATGTTCCCTTTTCTTGGCCTGATTTGGCTCTATGTAATTTCTCTGAAGATACAGGAAGATTCATCATAAGTTTGAGAAATTAACTCTGACCTATAGTTTAACTTGGCAGGCTCTGCATGTTTGGTTGTCTTTGTGTTGTACAGTGGAAGAGAAACAATGCATTTTGGGGACAGCTATGGCCCATGCAGATGAGATATTGGCTCACAGTCCGAACCATAATATATATCAGGCAGGAGATATAGCAGTTCCAGCTCAAGACCCATAGTGGAACTATCAAAGGGCAGTGAGGACTTGGGGAGGAGAGATCATATGGTCACCTGTTAGATGGAAGGGATGAAGAAATGTATGAAGAAGTCTGTTAACTATTAAAAGGTTAAGGAAGTTTCTCAGAGTGAAGATGAGAATCCAACTTTGTTTTGAGGGCATTTAGTTGAGTCAATTAGGAAATATACTAACACTGATCCTACCTCAAGGGAAGGACAAACCCTTTTGGGACTACATTTTATAACCCGATCTGCTCCTGAAATACATAGGAAACTACAAACAGCAGCTATGTGTCCCCAAGCTCCTAAGGAACAGCTTTTGGATATGGCATTTTTAGTTTTTACTAACAAGGACAAAGCAGAGGAAGCAGAAAGAGCAAGAAGGACCTCCCACAAGGTGCAGCTGTTGGCTGCATCCTTAAGTGCACCTCCCAAATGGGGCTGCTCTCCTGGCTCTTGGCCTGAACAAGGGAAGCTGAAAGGTGGGAAGCCCAAAGCTGGGTGTCCGAGTCACCATGCCTTGGGCATGAATCAATGTGCACACTGTAAGAAAACTGGCCATTTGAAGAGGGATTGCCCAGCATACCGAAGGGAGCCATCGGCAGCCGAACCAATGATGGCAGAAATAGCCAGGCAATCCCAAAAGTGATGGAGCCTGAGAGCTTCCGCCACAGCTCTCAGACAACTAGCCATATCTCTAGAGAAGACTTGGGTAATCACGACGTGCCAGGTAAGAATATTAACATCCTTCTGGACTGCTTACTCTGTTTTGACCCATTATAATGGGTCACCCCAAAACTGTATAGTCACAAGGACAAATGGACAAGCCTATAGATGCCATTTTACCTTTCCTTTAAGCTGCTCTTCAGGGGTTTTAGTTTTCTCCTGAATGCCCCACCCATTGTTGGGAAGGGATTTGTTAACTCAACTGCGAACAGTAATATCTTTTGGAAATCACAAGGCACACAAAAATTGCTCTTTCTTTCCTGTAAATAAATAGCAGGCATTTTTGCTAAACTTAAAGTATGCCAAATTTTGAATCCAGCTACCTATTTGCCTGAACCCACAGCCACTCTAGATCATACTTATATACAAGTTATGGAGCAAGTTTACTCCAGCCATCCAGATTTAAAGGATGAGCCTCTAGATAATCTCGAGGGAGAATGTTTTGCAGATGGAAGGAGCTTTGTACACCAGGGAAACAGGAAAGCTGGGTATGCTGTTGCCAGTCAACACAAGGTAATAAAATCTTAGGCCTTACCACCTTCTACCTCAGCTGAAAAGACAGAATTAATAGCTCTTATTAAAGCCCTGCAATTGGGAAAGGACTTAAAAATTAACATTTACATTGATTCTAAGTATGCCTTTCTGGTACTTCATGCTTATGCTGCTATGTGGAAGGAACGGGAACTCCTAACTGCTAAGGGCTCCCCTACAAAACATCACTTAGAAATTCTAAATCTTGCTGGGCACATTGGCTCCCGCCTGTAATCCCAACACTTTGGGAGGCCAAGGTGGGCAGATCACTTGAGGTCAGGAGTTTGAGACCAGCCTGGCCAACATGGTGAAACCCCGTTTCTACTAAAAATACAGAAAAGCAACAACAACAAAAATTAGTTGGTCATTGTGGTACATGCCTGTAGTCCTAGCTATTTGGGAGGCTGAGGCCGGAGAATCGGTTGAACCTGTGAGGCAGAGATTGCAGTGAGTCGAGATCAAGCCACTGCACTCAAGACTGGGAAACAGATCGAGACCCCATCTCAAAAAAAAAAAAAAAAAAAAAAGAAGAAGAAGAAAAAGAAAAGAAAGAAATTCTAAATCTATTAGATGCTGTTTTGCTGCCCATGGAAGTAGTTGTAATCCATTGCAGAGGACATCAAAAAGGAGACTCTAGTGTGGCTAAGGAAAACTTTTTTGCAGATGCAGTTGCTAAGGAAGTAGGTTAAAGGAACCAGTTGGACTTGTGAGTATGTTAGTGCCCTCAGGCACTGTCATGACAGAACCTAGGTATACTACAGAGAAGCAAAAATGGGCTAAAGGTCAGGATTTAATTCAAGATCCTTCTGGCTGACTTATCAATAACAACAAGCTGTTAATATCAGGGGCTAATCAGTGGAAAATATTTAAGCATTCGCATGACTCTACTTATTTGGGAAAAGATTCCCTGTTTCAATTAATGTCATGGCTTTTTATAGGAAAAGGCTTACTTAAAGCCGTAAAGCAGGTAACTTGGGCCTGTGAGCTATGTGCCCCGAATAACTCAAATAACCAGTCTTTACCTCCTCCTCTAGTAATGCCTGTTCAGCATAGGGAAACACACCCTGATGAAGATTGGCAAATAAAAAGGGTTTAAATATTTATTAGTATTTGTTGACATCTTTATCGGTTGAATCAAAGCTTTTCCTATCTGGTCTGAAAAGGCAACTGAGGTTTCTAAACTCCTACTAAAGGAAATAATTCCTAGATTTGGGCTGCCTAAGAGCTTACAGAAGGATCATGGACCATCTTTCACAGTGACAATTACCCAAAACATATCTTCAGCCCTAGGAATTCAGTACCACCTTCACTCGCTATGGGGGCCACAGTCTTCAGGGAAAGTAGAAAGAGCTAATCAAACTCTAAAAAGGACTATTGTTAAACTATGGCAAGAGACATCAGAAACCTGGCTGTCTATTACCTGTAGCCTTATTATGGGTTTGAGTGGCCCCTAATGGAAATCTGCAGCTCAACCCTTTTACAATAATGTATGAAAGACCTTTCTTAACTACAGATCTCGTAATAGACATAGATACTTTCAAGCTACAGAATTATGTGATCAACTTAGGACAAAAGCAAAATGTATTCCTTCAATATGGAAATCAAAGACTCCCTTCCCCCACTAAGAAAGACAATCTTGTTATAACCCAGCTGGGAGACTGGGTCTTATTAAAAACTTGGAAGGAAGGATCCCCAGCAGATCAACTTTCCCCAAAATGGAAGGGACCCCTTTCCTGTAACAAATGTTTATGGCTGTTGTAAGATTTTCACATATATTATTAGGTTAATTTTGAGGGTTTATTTCAATTTTCATTTCCATTAGAAGGGTATCTTCCTAATATTGAGTATCCATTTTTATTCAGTGCCAAACTTTTGTGAATTAGCTCTTCAAAAAAGTTTACTGTTGCTTTTTGTCTCCTTCTTCTTCTCTCTCTCCTCTCTTTTATTTTGTATATATATATTTATATATATATATGTATATACACACACCACACATAGATATATGTTTATATGTATATACACACACACACACATGCTCAAGGATATATATACACATATACATATATATCCATATATATATATCCCTGACTATAAATTTCTACTTGCCCATGCTGTATTCAGAGTTGAACTCAGTCTCTCTCCCTCATTGCAAGACCCCATTGCAGTAGTTCCTATACCTCTCACAATAGTCCTGAACAAAGTTTTTCTTACCATGATTTAACAATTATCATTGAATAATCTTTCTTTAACAGTTCAAGCACAAGTTACAGTGTTATTGATGAGTTCAATGATAATAAATCAACCATATGTATTGAATAAGGTGCCAATACAAATAAACACACATAAAACAAAGTTATGTATTGATTGCTTGATGAAAATATGATCAGAGGCTTACAGGAACCTAACCTTCCATTTTCTTTAGAAACAATGTTCAATATTTATTCATATATGTGTCCGTGTGTGGGTATATAATTAACCTGCATTCCATCTGTTTTTAACTATTTTTTTCACTTTTCTTGCTTTTTAACTCATTTTTGCTTTTTAATTGATTTAGTTCATTGTTTGATTCAGAGAAAAACTCTTCTGTAAATTTTACTTTACTTTATATATAAGAAACCTGTCCCTATCTTATGAACTAATACATATGTTCCCATATTTTCTTATGGTTGAATGATTTATTTTTTCATTCGACTCTAGTACATCTGGATTTCATTTTTTTTAGTGTAAGGTACATAGCACTGTTGTTTAAGAAATGTGCTCTGTAATTAAAATGTTTCCTTTTGTTTCACATACCAAAGGCAAATAAAACTAATACACCAGGGTCCTGTCACACATTTTACTTCTTTTGAAGGTATCTCTTTGTTAGTTAAATACATCATGATTGGTAAAATACGGTTTCCAACCTCTCACTTTGCTGAAATGTTTAATTTGGGAGTAAACATCAACTTTAAAGCAACCAGGTAAAATATTTTAGTTTTAGTTTATTGTTTGTGTGGAAATATTTAAATTGTTATTTGTTTTGCTTGGGGCATTTTGTTTATTATTTCACAGTACGGCAAATTCCAAAGGCATCCTTTGCATTTCAATGAGTAGAGTAAGTCCTCAACAGCTGACTGTAGGCTTTTTGCCTCTTTGATTCTTGGAATGTGACACCATTCGACTGCCCTAGACATCAAAGTATCCCTGGCAGGCATGGCAGGAATTGACATTGGCTGCACTCCTTGGGTCTAGCTACAGAGCATGGGCAAGAATCATCTCTACTCATATGCTTAGTGCAGGGATCACTGCATCAAAATTCTGAGTCTGTTGTTTGAAATAAACAACTTAATCCACTTAATCCTGCTTCCCTACTGAGTCTTTCCTTTGAAACACCAAAGACAAAACTAAAAAGTACTTGAGAAACTTCTTTGAGACTTGCTACCTATGCTCAAAAGCCAAAGGAACAAGGTAGTCTCCTTTCAAATGTATATGTCAACTTGTACTTGGCATTCACTGTAAACAATTCTGTGTGCCAAGAACCAGCATGAGGAGAACAGCAAGAACATCAGAATACATGCTCTGCAGGACATGAAGGTCTTTCTGCAGCACACAATATTGTCAATATCTATCTAGGAATCTTCTGCACTATGAAGTATTCTTAATTCAGTAAGTGTTATGCTTATGGCTATAAAATACAATCTTCTTAGTGTTTATAATTTTTTTAACAAGAAGGACAAAAAGGATAAATGTGTCTTTGTCAGGCCTCTGAGACAAAGCTAAGCCATCATATCCCCTGTGACCTGCACGTACACATCCACATGGCCGGTTCCTGCCTTAACTGATGACATTCCACCACAAAAGAAGTGAAAATGGCCTGTTCCTGCCTTAACTGATGACATTACCTTGTGAAATCCCTTTTCCTGGCTCATCCTGGCTCAAAAGCTCCCCAACTGAGCACCTTTTGACCCCCACCACTGCCTGCCAGAGAACAACCCCCTTTGACTGTAATTTTCCTTTACCTACCCAAATCCTATAAAACGGCCCCACCCCATCTCCCTTCACTGACTCTCTTTTCGGCCTCAGCCCGCCTGCACCCAGGTGAAATAAACAGCCTTGTTGCTCACACAAAGTCTGTTTGGCTGTTTGGTGGTCTCTTCACACGGACGCGCACAAAGTCTTATCTTATATTTCTAAACTATATTGGACAACAAATTCCAAATAGGAACTTCCGACTTTAGGCATGCACGGAAAAAATTTCTAGTACCAAATCTATATTTCTCAGAAAAAAAATTCACCAGATATGTAGACTAGAGTATCAACAACAGATAGTTTAACAAGATAGCTAGTAAAGTATTGATAAGGCTCCGATAAGTGGAAAAACACCGGGTTCTTCGTCTCGAGTTGAATTGGAGAAAATGACACGGACACATGTGGAGCAGAGAGTTTAATAGGCAAGAAAGAAGGGGGAAAGAAGAAGCTCCCCTGTGCACAGACAGAGGGAGGGGCCTCCAAAGCAGAAAGAGGGAACCCCACTTTCAGGTAATATCAGCCAGCTATATTTGATGGCTGGAGGAGGCGGTGTCTGATTTGCATAGGGCTCAGGGGATTGGTTTGACTAGGGATGTTATTCACGTAGCCCCCGAAAAAACTGGCCCTTCCACCCTAGCCTTTTAATACTCAAATGCAGGGCGCCATGATGTTCCACACACGTAGGGATATGTGGGGGTGGCCATGCTGCCAGGCACATGTGGGGGCAAGGGCGAGAGGACAATGGTGGGAATCACCATGTTGGGTGGACCAGTTTCTTATGGCTGGCATTTGCATATCAAAGGTGGCCAGCAGGGTCTAAGAGCCAGAACTTTCGTGCTAGACAAGAGCTGCAAAAAAAAAAAATCTTCCAAGGACCCCTTTTTTTCCTCTCTATCTGCCTAAAATAATTTCTTAATAACTACTACCACAGTGTCTGTAAGAATCTATCTGCTATCTTTGAAGACTCTTAAGCCAATTGCCACAACTTGGATAAGAAATGGATTTAAATTTGGTTTTCTTTATTTGTTTAAACTGGGGTTATCTCCACAGATTTCTTTCTGGGCAACATGATTTAGATTCTTTCTCCCTAAAACTGTCAGACTAGTATTACTGAACACCACATTCTCCATGTTATTTGACTACTCAAAAAATCTCTGACAGACACCAATTTCCTAGTGCGTCGATTCTGAAGTACTCTGGTTTTATGTCCCATGCATCATAACACAGATGTTATTATGATATTTTACTTAATGTCTTAGTGAGTTTGGGTTGCAATAACAGGATATCATAGACTGGGTGGCTTATAAACAAAGAAATGTATTTCTTACAAGTAGATTTATTAGTGCTGAAAGCTATGAGGAACAAGCTGTCACATTCAGTATCTGGTATGTACTGACTTCTGGTTCAGAGAGCCTGCACCCAATGTCCTCACATGGTAGAAGGGATAAATGAGGTCTCTGGGGTCACTTTTGTAAGGACATTTATTCCAGTCATGAGGGAGACTTACCTACAAAAGGCCCCACCTCCAAATACCGTCTTATTGGTGTCTTGGTCTGTTCAGGCTACCATAACAAAATACCTCAGACTGAGTGACCTATAAACACCAGAAATTCATGGGTCACAGTTCTGGTAGCTGGAAAGGTCAAGCTCAAGATGTCAGCTGATTTGGTGATGATGCCTCCTAGCTGTGTTATCACATAATGGGAAGAAATAAACAGGCTCCCTCAGGCCTCTTTTATATGGGATCAAATCTCTTTCATAAGCACTCTGTCTACACAATTTAATCACTTCCCCCAAAGCCCCAACTCTTAATACTATCGCATTGAAGATTCGTTTTCAATATGAATTTTGGGTGAAGGACACAAACATTCAGATCATAGCAATTGGGGATTATGTTTCAACATATGAATTTTAGGGGGACACAAACATTCCAATTTATAGCCTCTGATCTAATTTTCTATACCCTCAAGACTATGTCGTATCCTTTAGTTTTCTTTCTATTTCTATCTACCTGCTGTACTCATTTAGTTGTTCTTATCTGTGGTAATCTGAATTACCATCATTAATCTGTGTTATATCTTAAATTTTCTATACTTATCTACCTTTCACATTCTAATAGATTTACAATTTAGCAATTGTTATGGGGATTAGGTTTGTTGTCCCAAATAACTTGCAAGTCCTCTGAAGGTATGAATTACGTATTATTATTTCCTGTTTCTAAGACACGTTGAACAAGACAACTTGCATTTAAGAAAGTAAAGAACAGGGGATGATGATGGTGATAAAAATTGACAAAGACATTTTACTTTTACTATTAGATAATGATGAGTAACAAAAATGTTTGTGGAAATGGCTTTTTAAACTTCAATTTTGATGTTTTAAAATTTTAATTTACTATGTACTCATCAAAAAAACTTTGAATACAATTAGAAAAAGGGGTAAAATGCTTAACAAAGATTATGTGGGTGAGATGATTTACAGGATATTTTATTTTATTCCCTCTCAATTCATTGTGTTAAATGTGAATTCTAAACTTCTCTTCAAAGAATTAATATGTCAGTATGTTCAATTCTTTGTCTTCTAGTTTTAAACTTAACTTCCTCGTAAAGCAACCCTTTTCGATTACCTACTCCACCCTGACTCATTCCAATCACCTGCTCCACCCTAATTCATTCCGATCACTTGCTTCACTCTAACTCATTCTGATTAACTGCTCTGCCCTGACTCATTCTCCACCCTGCATAACCATTTTTTTCCCGCCAAAGCACTCACCCCGGCACTCTCTTTAAATTAGCCAACCAGGATTAGTTTAGCCTGTGCGGTCTAACCCTGGCCAATAGGGGAACGACACAGCTGCAGGGGACACGTGCGTCAGGGATAAGAACCCCTTTCCCTCCCTTGTCCAGGTGTGTGCTCACCATTGCTCCATCCGTGAGGTCGCACCCTTCCGTAGAAGTACCTTGCCTTGCTGAGAATTAAAAAAAAAAAAAAAAAAAATTTATTCGAGTGCTATTTCTTTTGCAGCACCGAAACTTTATATATAACAATGTGTTGCTGTTTTCTTTGATAAAAATGAATGAATATTTAGCAAATAAGTGAGATTACTTCAAGAATCTAATGTTAAATATATAAGCCTTTGTGCACTTGGTTGCAGCAGTGGACTATAGGATTAAAAAAAAAAAGAGATGGACTGAGAGGATTTGAGCAGGGCAGAAGATGTGTCTAACCTTGTACCATTTGAAACCATTTGTGATCTCTCTTAAGCCCAGTCTTTCACAGAGCCTTCCAGTTGATGACTGGCTTTTTCCACCAGGAAAAGAATGAAGACAGTAGGGTTAATGGAAGAAGCTTGTACTCCAGCTATAACTGGCTTGAAGCCACAATTGATATCCATACTCTCACTCCTCCATTGGCCACCACTTAACCACTGGGGTCATCTCAGAATTTCATCATCAGGTATTACAAGCCTTCAGTTGCTTTGCTGTTGTCAGGCTGTGGCTACTGTAATTGATTACTTAGTTATTACTGGGCAGTGAAGCAACCATAGATACATACTAAATCTCATGACTTCCAATGAAGTCCTTTCAGCTACTATAAATTCTTGCAGTAACAGGAGTCTTCACCCTTTTCTGTCTCCCTGTCATTGTACTGGCATGAGGAGACCCAAATCACCACATGGTGATCTACCTACAATTTCAGTGGAATCCTTGCTGTGTTACTTCTTGGAAATGTTTTCTGTAAGGAACCAGGATCAATAATCCAGTTGATTCAAAAGTCATGGGCATCAATAGCATATATTCTGGTAATGAAACACTAAGAGTGTTGATAAGAATGTCCAATCCTACTTCCTAACTATTCAGGGAATTGTCCTGGAGCTGCAAATGATCTCTTCTTCTTTGTATCATTTAATTAGGCTTCATGCTTCTGGATGATACAGTATATAATAGTATCAGTGGGTCTCAGGGTAAAGTGAAGTTTGTTATATCTCTTTTGCTATAAAAGGGTCACACGATCTGAGAAAATTATGTGTGTAATCCAGTTGTAGCAAATCAGAAATGTTGTAAGTTGTTAGGGTGTGGTACTGGCACATGTACATATGGGTATTCATTCTGGGAAGGACAAGTTACTGTCTTCTGGATAGATGGTGTCCAGTATAATCAACCTGCCATTAAGTGGACAGTCAGATTATTTTAGCAATGCTGCCTTATCAGTGAACAGCTTTGGATTTTGTTGCTGACAGACCAGGGATTCACCAGAGGTAGTAGCTTAGCCAACCTTAATGACAGGGAATCCATGCTTTGGGCTGATAAATATCTATCCTTCTCATCATAGCTATTTAATTTCTGGCCTTATGGACTAGGCTGTACAGTACCAAGGAGAAACACTGGCTGACCTCCTCTGAAAGAACCATCCTGTCTGGTTGACTTTTGAGTGTACCTCTGTTCTAGATACGTCTTGAATGTTATTAATACAAAGACCAAAGATTTACACATTCTTCCAACCCCCATATGCCCCTCTACGTTCCCCTTCCCAAAGCTTCCTTACTTACCTCTGATCCGTGAAATTTGTTTCTTCCAGACCTCTAAATAAAGCCAATCATTTTACCACTGATTGTGATTCTGTGTATATCCATACCTCAAGTCACTTCTACATTTCTCCACAGTGCATACAACTAAGTATATTGTTTAGAATTTAGCCAAATGAGAAGCTCCTCCTTCTTCATTGTCCATAAAATAAAGGCCCCAGGGATAAAGAGTGACAGAATATCCAAATAATGGCAAGGTAGCTAGTATGGTGGAAGCCCAGATGGAAAAGAAGTGGAAAATATGTCCTGAGAGGTGATATGTCCCCACAACACATACAACCTGAAATATTATAAGCATTTTAAGCATCATTAATGATTGTACAGTGATTTATTTATAATACCATTTTCATCCCCTTTTATGCCTCAGGTGTTTAGGATTCTTCCTTCTCATTATTTCTTCCTTTCCTTTTTCCCCTTTCTTTCTTTTCCCTCTCCCCTCTTCCTCCTTCCTTCCTTCCTTTCTCTTTCTTTCTTTTCTTTCTTTCTCTCTCTCTCTCCTTCCTTCCTTCTTTCTTTTTTTCTTTCTTTTCCTCCCTCCCTTTCCCCTTCTTTCCTTCCTCCCTCCCTTCCTTCTTCTCTTTCTTCTTGCCTATTTTTTATTTGAAATGTCTTTATTAAGCCTGATATTTATACACAGTGAATAAGAATACTAAATACTTTCTGAACTGACCATTGTGTTGGCTGCTGTAAGAATTAAAAGCAATACTAAGTCACACTACTGGAATAAACTAGACTATTCTAAGTATCACAAGCATCTGTAGCTAGGAGAGCCTATATAAATATCTTAGGCATCACCTTCTCCATTATCTCATTCAATGCAAAAATCTCAGATGAATAGCCAACTTCTTCAAAATATTTAACAATAAGGACCTTACTGCTTTATTAAATTACTATTTTCTGCTTGTATATCTTCTTTTGAGAAATGTCTGTTCATGTCCTTTGCCCACATTTTAATGGGGTTATTTGCATTTTGCTTGTTGAATTGTTTAAGTTCCTTACAGATTTTGGATAATAGCTGTCTGTTTGATACATAGTTTGTGAATATTTTCTCTCATTCTGTAAGATATTTGTTAATAGTTCCTTTTGCTCTGCAGAAGCTCTTTAGTTTAATTAGGTCCGACTTGCTAATTTTTAAAAAGACACATGCATTTGTATGTTTATTGCAACATGATTCACAGTAGCAAAGTCACGGAATCAATCTAGGTACTCATCAATGGTAGATTGGATAAAGAAAATGTAGTACATATACACCATGGAATGTTATGCAGCCATTAAAAAGAACAAAATAATTTCCTTTCCAGTAACATGGATGCAGCTGGAGGTCATTATCTTAATAAATTAAAGCAGAAATAGAAAACCAAATACTGTATGTTCTTACTTACAAGCAGAAATTCAACATTAGGTACACATGGAGATAAGCATGGAAAAATAAACACTGGGGATTAGTGGACGGGGGAGAGAAAGAGGAGGGCAAAGGCTGAAAACTACCTATTGGGTACTATACTTACTACCTGGGTGTTGGAACCATCCATATCCCAACCCTCAATATCATGCAATATACTCATGTAAAAAATCTGAACATGTATTCCCTGAATCTAAGATAAAAGTTGGAATTATTTTTTAAAAAAAGAAAAATACTATTTTATTGCATTAATTTTTTTTCATTAATTTTTTTTTCATTTTAGAGTAGCTTTAGTTTCTCTAATCTTCTTATTCTGACTTGAGATCCACATTCTTGAACTTTTCATTCACTAGTACTATTTATGTCCTCTGGAAGAAAAACAAAAACAAACAAAAAAATTATTCCAAAGTCATTTGATCCCTCAGATATTTCCTTATCTCTTTCATTCTGTTTGAATTAAGAAATACACTACCTTGCTGGAACCCGGGAGGCGGAGCTTGCAGTGAGCCGAGATCACGCCACTGCACTCCAGCTTGGAGTGAGAAAAGTTAACAAGTTTATTTTCTGCAAGATTTCTTGTACTTTATGATAGAATGCATACTAAGGTCTTAAGGAGCTAGAGTTCTCCAAAACACAGTTTGGAAAACATTTGGAAAGTAAAGAATACTTCTTAGCTTTTTACTTTTCTAACTCCAGGTCTAACTCCTGAACAAAAGTCCAGAAGTGTATTACCCACTGCTTATTAGACATCTCTTAACAGATGGGACGTGTTCACCATTTACCTTCAGTGCGTAACAAAGTGCCTGGTACATAGTTGCTAGTTATATTTTGAATAATATAATAAATCTCTGAAGTCAGGAAAGTATGTGTTGGTCTCTTTCATCTTCTTTAAAAACCAAGTTTGAAAAACCAGAGTTTAGTAGACACAATGGAACATTTGGCTTAGAAGAAAATTAATAAACTTATACATTTAATTTATTTTTCTTAAAAAAGAAATAGAAGCTGAAAATTCTAATGGACTTACGTTAAGTGTGTAATCATATGGGGCCAGTTGTTTGGCCTAGGTTTGACCTAGTAGGTCTCTAGCTCCTTGAGACCTTACTATGCATTCTATCATAAAGTACAAGAAATCTTGCAGAAAAAAAACTTGTTAACTTTGTTAACACAGTATTGGCCAAATTATTTACTATGGAACCTCTTATCACAGAAGACCTGACAATATCTCATAATATTGATTTTCCAGAAAACAGAATTTAAGACTCTGACTTATTTGCACAACATTCCCTGGAATGTCAACGATACCAATCTACTCATGAATGGCCAAGTATTTTATATAAGGATGATATAAACAGCAAATAATATGACCATTACAAGCCTTTGGGATTACTAGCAGTATACAAAGATGATCCTTGCCATCAGCCAACCTTACCCTAAGTTTTCTGAAGGGTCTGACATTTTATCTGTAGAGATAAATGGTAATGACATGTTTCCTTAAGACTTTTCTAGCAAAAACTGGAAAGGCAATACATGTTGTCCATTTTTGCAAGTGAATATTTTCCTGTGCATCACATAAATAGCCAAAGGAAAAAGAAAAAAAAAATCAATGTGGCCTATGCAAATTTAAAGGGCATCTGGATGTGTGTGGATATGTCTAGGTTTATTTGCATGATCTCTCTTTATTTTTCCTGCTTTCTCTGACCCCTTCAGACAAAACATGCGCCAATCTTTGAGTTGTCAGGATAAATCTCTTATGGCTATCACCTTGTTTGTAAAACTTGGAGATCTGAAGAAAACACTGTCAAGTGATGATGAAAAAAAATGCATTCTTCTCTTCTGACCCTGCCAGGCTTGTGAGCACAATGGTTGGAGAAGAAAAAAGTCAAGGCAGCAGCTGCCAGGCAACGTCTGCTGTGAGCAGGGGACCTTTTCTGGATTGCTAACAACAAGGATCATGCAAAGGCGTGGGAGCTTTTTATGGCCACTGTTCTTTCTCTGGCTTTTATAAAAATGTGTTTTACAGGTGAATCAGTGCTTATAAAGTGGGAAAGAAGGTATGAGGAGGAGCTGGCATGGAATACTTCGGCAGTGTTCAAAGAAAAATAAAGAAAACAAATGAGAGACGAATGCCTTTTCCTTACAGGCCAAGGAGAAAAAAACCCAAAATCAATGCCATTGGCCAACTCTCCCTGCTGGGAACAATTAGGTCAGGCTGCAGAGAAAATGAAACATTGTAATTTAAAATTGTATAATTCTTAATATTTTACGGAATTGGGCACGAATCAGGTGCCTCCTCCAGCATGTGGCTGCCACGTGCCTGGATTTTGAACAGGAATGTTGCACCTTTGGATGCAAGAAGACAGGTGGGCTCTGCTTCCTCCCTCCTGCTGGTTCTAGGTAAGTGCTTATTGGCCTCAAACTGATTTGGCCACCGGCAGCATGTGAAGCTGGATCACAAGAATGAGGGAGCTCAGATACAGTGGCGAACTCTTTGCTTCCCCCCAAATATCAAACTGAAATGAAAAACAGAGGACATGGCATTAAAAAAACATGTATATTGAGGTGAGACTCAGCCCTCAGCCAAATAGAGAAACAGGGACAGATATGAAGATTTCTCATTTCTCTAGAGGAGCGTCTACATGTGGACAATTGGGGAAATGAGACAGAGTCTCGCTCTGTCGCCCAGGCTGGAGTGCAGTGGCGCGATCTGGGCTTACTGCAAGCTCCTCCTCCCGGGTTCACGCCATTCTCCTGCCTCAGCCTCCCGAGTAGCTGGGACTACAGGCGCCCGCCACCAAGCCCGGCTAATTTTTCGTATTTTTAGTAGAGATGGGGTTTCACCGTGTTAGCCAGGATGGTCTCGATCTCCTGACCTTGTGATCCGCCTGCCTCGGCCTCCCAAAGTGCTAGGATTACAGGCGTGAGCCAGCGCGCCCGGCCAAAAATATTTTCAAAAATTCACTCCAATGCCCAATCCTTCCCCACCTCACCAGTCTTCTTTCTCCTAGCAAATTAAAGAATTGAAATTTCCTGTACAACTCTGACTTTGCAATGCTGTTTATCTCTCTTACATTGTTTTCTACTTTGTTCTTGTTTTCACTGAAAGATAGCACCCAGAATTGAATGTGGCACTCAAGGAATGGTCTGAAATGGTCTTCTCTCCCATGATTGCTTGCTGAATACTCTACTTTTCGATAGCCTCTATATGTTTCCGGTTAGTATTAACCCTTCTATTTCTCGACAGGAATGCATGTCTTTTGCAAATCTTGTGAAATTTCGTTGCAAATACAGTTGACCCTTAAATAACGTGGAGGGTAGCTGTGCTGATCTCTTACACAGTCAAAAAAACCGTGTATAAATTTTGACTTCCCAAAAACTTAATTATTAATAGCCTACAGTTTACCAGAAGCCTTATCAATAACATAAACAATCCATTAATGCATAGTTTATATGTTATTTGTATAATTTGTTGTATTCTTACAATAAAGTAAGCTGGGGGAAAAAGGTTATTAGGAAAATTATAAGGAAGAGAAAATATATTTACCTTTCATTAAGTGGATGTGGATCATCACAAATGTCTTCATCATCGATTTCAGGTTAAGTAGGTTGAAAAGAAGGAGGAAGGGGAGGGGTTGGTCTTGCTGTGTCTCGGGTGACAGAGGCAGAAGAAAATCCATGTATAAGTGGACTAGACAGTTCTAATCTGTATTGTTCAAAGGTCAACTGTACTTTTAATGAATCTGAAATTTCTAGAGGACTGAGACTGTACTTCACTCATATTTATTCAGTTTCTTTCACAGTGCCTGGCACATTTTAGATACTCAGTATGTGTTGATTAAATCACAAATTTTACACCCCTTTTGAAAACATGTTCTTGTGTCCCCAGTCACTGAAGAATAAAAGCCATTGTCTTTGAAGTAGACTTGTATCAGATTCTGTGCATTCCAAGCCCGTATCCTTTCAAGCCACCTATGGCATTTTTCCACTGTCTTCCTGCAAGGGTTCTTTTGTCACAGGAAAGGAGGGAAATGGACAAGTGGAGGGGACAGGTGCTCTTAAGCAATAAGTAGCTAGAGTTCAAGGAGAAATACCCTGGTTTTCTCCACCGTTCATGCAGTCATTTGGAGGTTTCTTGTCTACAGTCATTTAGAAGGTTTCCACTGGGATTGAGCCCAGATACCCACAGGAGTAATCTGTTCATAAAAACACACTTTATTGAGCTGCATTATTTTCTGTCTCATTTTTCTATTGCCCGATTGTACTTCCTATGATCCCTTTTATATCAGTTAGGATTCAACCAAAGAAACAGAACCAGTAGCAGTACAATATAGGAAGATATTTATTATAAGAAATCGAATTTACAAATGCATGAGCTGGCTAAAAAGTTGATATCATGGGGTGGGCATTCAGAAAAGGGATATCATAGGCAGGCTGGAGTCTCTGGGGACAGGCTAGCGCTGTTGTCTACAGGTGAGATTTATTCTCTCTGGGAAACCTCAGCCCTGCTTTTGAGGTTTTGCAACTGATTCAGTCAGCTCCACACAAATTATCCAGGACAGTGTTCCCTACACAAAGTCTACCGATTAGAAGTTTTAATTATATCTGCAAAATCTCTTTACAGCAACACCTAGGTTAGTGTTTGGTGATTAATTAGTCTTAGAATAATTGAAGACAGTAGTCTAGCCAAGTAGACACCTCAGGAAAGCCATTGCAAGTTCCCAAACTACTTGAGCTCATTTGTAGTCTCAAGGTCAGCTCTGAGAGAACTCAAACTAATACAAGATTCTTGGTAGTCCAATAACAATATACTTTTGTCATATTTGTTTTCCACCGTTGGTCATGCACAAATATTTGCCACTTAACGAACAAAAGTGCTGTCAACTGTTTCCCAATTTTCTTTTCCACTCTATTGAATATTTTTAGACCCTGGCACAATTTCCACTCACTGAAATATCATTCGTCATTTCACAGATGCCCACAGTGATATCCATTTGGGTGCATGCAAATATGCCAGCACTCTTCAAATTCTGGGCACACTTTATGATTGTATCTCTTACATATGGACCCTCTCTCCTTCACAAGTTTTGCTTTTTTTTTTTTTAATGTTATTATGAGTTGATTTGGCCAGAAGTGATAAGAGTACTATGGAGCCTTCTGGATGGAAGCTTGAAGAGCCATTGAGTGATTTGCCATTTTTCTTTTTATGTGTCTTGGTGATCAGGGAAGCACTGAAGCAAGGTTCCCACCTCCAGGTGAACCATATTGAACACATATTATGAATTGCAAAAGAAATAAACACAAAAACATACGCCTGTGTGTATGCACTTGCATGTGTGTTAAGCTACCGAAATTTTGGAATGGCTTGGTGGCCTACCCTAACCTACTCTAACTAGTGTACCTTATGATTCTCTCATCTGTTTAGTTACATTTGATGCTCTCTTTGCCTTTGTTCCTTGTAACAAAGAAGCTCTCTTTGCTCTTGGTAGCATCACTACATTTGTATTTAGGGTATGGCACTTATTATAGGCTACTTAAAAAGTCACCTCTACACATGTATCTATGAAATCACAATTTATGAAAATTAAAATGTTTCACTCAATTTTACTTTACAAGCCCAGTATCAAATAATGTCTTGAATATAGTAAATAGTTAACAAATTGTGGTTAAATTTATAAATTAAGATAGTCAAAAATTTCTAGAACTTCTTTGGTATGGCTATTCAGCTCTATATCAAAGCAAATATTTAATTCTATTTTTTTAATTGTCAAAATTTGTTTAGAACATCATAGTTTGTCTGAAGACTTGATGATTTTAAGTAAATTCTCTCATATTAAACTAACTGGAAATCATGACAACACTTAATTATAACCTATCGCTAGCCCAGTGGATTACCTGCAAAGAAATGAGAAGAAAAGGATTCCGGAAACTGGGAAATGTAACATTTCACAGTGTAAATTGTATTCTGCCCTTTGCCTTTCTAAGTAACATAATTGCATAATGATCTCACTTGCTCCAGAGAAGCACCCTGACATCTTTATTATATTTGCCTTTATCTGGCATGAGATCTTTTTCAGGCCAGCAATGTCTCTATTTAATACTTCAGTTAAATATACCCAATTAAACTCTATACTGACCTTTTTAAACTAGGCTGTTTCAACTGATTCCAAACCTGCGAGCATTATATGAGGTGATTTCTTTCCTGTCTCCCTATGGTTTGAGAAGTTTGAAAGTTAGACAATGCTTGCATAGAAAGAAACCTCAAGCTTACATCTTTACTTTGAGTTCAATATTGCTATGAAGGTCCCCATGGAGTTCTAACAAATAATTGTTGCTTAAAATTTTTAAAAATGAACAACAGCCATAGTTACTGACCAATTTTTTGTAAAGCAACATTATACACACAGTTATCCATATTGCCTGTTCACACCTGTTAGATGTTAAATCGTGTCCCCCAACCCAAACAAAAAGTTGAATTTCTAACCCCTAGTACCTTAGAATGTAATTGCAAGATTATTGAAGATGTAATTTGTTAAGATGAGATCATACTGGAATAGGGTGGGCCCCTAATTCTATCGCTGTCCTTCTGAGAAGATCACTGTATAAAGGCAGAAACACACAGGGAGAATGTCATGTGAGGACAGAAGCAGTATTGTAGTTATGCAGCTGCAAGCCAAGGGGTTCCACACACTGCCAGCAAACTACCAGAAGCTAGGAAGAGGTAAGGGGTAACACAGGTTTCAGATAAAGTATGGCCCTACCAACACTGCTGGGTTCCAACTTCTAGCCTCCAGAGCTGAGAGACAATAATTTCTGTTGTTTTGAGCCACTCAGTTTATGATGCTTCATTACAACAGCCCTAGGAAATAAATGCACTACTTATTCATCTAATGCACCCACCTTGAGATGGCGTGAATGAGAAAGAAGGCCCTGAAGATATCGTGGCTGCCTAATGCATAAGAGCTGAAATGGCAAAGATGGTGGTGGTGGTGTTTCCATCTGGTAAAGTATTAAGAATCGTCCTGTGGAAAAAAATAAACCGTGGACAACAGGGCTCTGTAGCAAGGAATTGGGGAGCCCTTAAGCCTATGGGATTTATTTACTTCTCAATAGTTATGTGAAAACCCCTGTGTGTTTGCCTCACCATGTGCAAGATTCTCACACAATGTTTACACAGTGTTTACGTCTATTCTTCAAAGCAAAAGGAGTATTTATTAAGTAAAGTAAATATTCAAGTGAGATCTCAGAAGCACAAGATTTTTTATACTTTTACAAACAATGTGTTCTTTTTTTTTGGCTTTAAGGAAATTTGAAACCCATACATTTTAAACATTGTCTGCATTCAAAACCTGATCTCTCCTTTCACATTTGATCTTGGCTATTCCTAATCAACTTGCTGTATTTATTTCCAGAAAACACATTCTAAAATGATCTTAATTGGAACATGAACAGCCTTATGAATAATAAGAAACTGGAAAGAAAAGCAGATCAGGTTTGGATAAAATACAAAATTAAAAATAAGACCAGATGAACTATGAACAGTTTACTTTAAACAAATGTATTATTAAAGGAAATTGCTTAATATTCAAACTCATTAAATCAAGTTCAACAACTTTTTTTTCCTCTTTAAATAACTCCTTTCTGAATCAATGCAAACCACATTTGAGCTGTTTCATCAGAGCCTGTTTGATTTGTAAATACAAGGCAAAGGACTAAAAACAACAAAATATCCTATTAAACATCAAACTAATTGGCAAAATGACCTTTTAGCTCTTTCAACAGATTTAAAAATCTCAGCCAAGCATCTGAATTTATGGTAGTTTTATCTTTCATCACTATAGTCAGGTGACCTTCATCGCTATGCCCAGGATTCAGTTCTCTGTGGACTTCCAAAGTGTAAATCAGCCCTTGAACTTGATCGTGAAAGGAAATTTGACACAGAGTGTTATAGAGAGACTAAAATATGACTCTTTTATTGAAATGTTTACCCTGAAATGATATTTAATGCTTCTTCTTCCAATTACTCACATGTTAATTTCAACTTTGTTTCTCTGGCCTCCTTCTCTCTGCCCTTGAGTGACAGGTATATTAGCTAAGTTTGTCAGGCTAGTTGCCTGTCCCCCAAGAGAAAACCCAGGAAGAGCTGACCTCATGCTCACAGCATGCGGGGCCAACTCAGACTACTCTATCAGTCAGCGCCTGGGAAGGGCAAGCAGGGTCCCAGCTGCCTTCCTGAGTGAGCTTGATGATAAAGTTTATCCCATCAGGAATGAGAATATTGGTCAGAGTCCAGTTGCATGGCTTATGTTGAGAGTGAACTTTTCGACATTTCAAATCTGCCATATCAAATTAAGCAGAATAAAGCCGGCTGTTTGCCCGATTATTTATAACATCACAGGAAACTTAGAATGACTTATTAAAGAATGGAAATATTTCTCTTTCCTTAGAAATAAGCTTGCCACTGCCAAAATATACAGCAGCTGGCTGTGTATGGAAATGGTGCAAAAAGAGTTCCCAGTTCCAAGGTTATTAAAACATACCTGGGTTCATTTAGAGACCCAAACTCAGTGCGAGGATGAACAATCTGGTCACAGCCTGGGGTGCCACAATGAACTGCTTGGGTAGCCCTTGTTTCAAACACATAAGAAACAAAAGTAACAGGAACATTTGATTTTGCTGAGAATGTTGCTGACCATAGGCTTTGGCCAAAGGTGTTTATCACCTTAATAAGTCCCTAGGAATGCAGCTGAAAGGGTGACTTTGAAAGTGTCTGTAGCATTCCTGCTTAGTTACAAACTGCATCAAGAACAGAAATCACTGAGCAAAGCTAGCAATGAATTTCGGAGATATAAATACTGTATGTATGAGAATTTTTTGGATGTAATTTTACTACTTCATTACTGATAATGTGGGATCACTGTAAGTAATTTAAGAAAGTGAAAATATATGAAGCTTTTATTTACCCCAAATCTTACCATCCATTACTAACATTTTAGTATATTTCCTATCAGTCTTTTTTCTATGCAAAATTGTATTCATGTTCACAAAAATCTTGTGTGAGAAATTACATTTTTAAGTAACTTGTATTTTAACTAAACAAATATATATACACACACATACGCACATTACATATATAGGCACACACCTACACATGCACACACACACACACACAGCTATCTATGTCTGTCTATTTCTATCTATTTTATAATTGTAGTTATCTTTGGAAACCGGATGTTTGATAACAGCATTTTATTAAACCACTCGGATATTTCATGATTTATTGAAAATATCCTTTTTTGTCAGTTATTTATGCTGCTCACAATTACCCTTTATTGTTATTACAAACAATGCTACAATGAATATTCTCATATAAAAATTGTTCTTTTTATCTCTGAATACTGCTTTAGGGTAAATTATAAGAAGTTGATTTAATTGGGTCAAAGAAAATCAACACCTTTAGGATTCTTAATACGTATTGTCCAACTGCTTTCTATAAAGTTTGTACAAATTAACTCCTACATGGTTACCTTAATAGCAATTTTCATGGTTATGAATCAAGGTCCTATCCCATATTCTCCTTGAACTCTTTAAATACACTTTTTTTCCCTATCATCTTCTTTCTATGCAAGTGTCAACCAAGTTTGTGAGAAGAGTTGTTATTTCTCATTCAGTACTGATATAGGGGATGACAGTATAATGCACACGTATGCATAGTCACATACTTACCTATCCATTCATGTTCCTTTTGATCCCCAAAATGAGTTTTGATAGTTACAACACTTTCTAGTCTTTCTGATTATGTCATGATGTAATCATGGTGATTGTTTAAACATATACACATTTTAATTGGTACAATAAAACAATGCGCATGTTTATTATTTTGAGTACTTGCTGACATATGTAGCGTGCAGGTTGTGCTAAAAACATGTCAGTGTGTTGATGACTGCGAGTGATGTGTGACTCACTTTCTGTGTATAATCCTTACTGACACGTATATGCCTGCTCTAGCTAAGATGGATGGAAACCCTCATTACAACTGAACACCGTAGCAGTATCAGAAAAAAGGCAGAGGAGAGTTCAAGAAAATAAATAAATAAATAAATACATGAAATTTAAAAAATGAAACAGAAGGACACTGGAAGAAAATAAAAGAGGGCTGAAGTAAGGAGCCAGGGTAGCACACAGGTAGAAGGGATAAGTGAGGGAGGGGCCATTGTGCACTGCATGGTTCTTCCAGATATTTCTTTGAAATGAATTTGCCCTTACCTGTCTTTGCTCACCTACTTAAGTGAGTGATAGATTGCAGGCAAAAAAGAGACCATAATTATCCACTAGAATTAATTCTGAGTGCTTTTTAGGAGTCTTCTTTTTTTTCCCTTTAGCTCAGCCATATTTCTTCCAGGGAAGAAAGGAGGCATGCATGTTGGTTCAGCAGTATTTCCCAGCATAGCTTTTGGGACAATAGCAAAAAATAGATCTGAAGAATCAACTCTTGAACAGGTATTATTTTCTCTGGATTTTCAACACTTCTTTTATCATTCTTTTTTTTTTTTTTTTTGAAAAATTATAGTTGGAATGGAGACACCCTGTGTAGAGCATATTTAAGGCACATTAAGAATTATGATATGAAAAACGATTTTAAAGTTACTCAGAAATTTATCAAGTTTATTGCCTTTAGAAATAGCCCAACTTTAGGAAGGAGACTCTAGTTCTTTGGTTGTTGGAACAAAAGAGAAAAATCTATTATTTCATATTATATATGCATACACATAAATATACAATGAGTATATATAAAACATACACACATATATGCATACTTATATAAAATAGAAACATGATGTACATACATATACACACACATATATATTCATAACTCATTCACAGGTAACTTATATTTGTCTAGTAAAATCCAAGGATGTTTTGTTGTTAAAATATTCCTATTAAAGATTTACACATATGATTCTTTTTAAGTTCCAGGCATAGGCTTATAAAACACTATTGCCTTGTTTAATATTTTTCCACATTTTATATTAAAAGCTTGATTGCCTGGAAAATATTATGAGACAGAGTCATTGTAGAGCTAATATGAAGATTGCTGCTCATTTAGTATTTGAAAAAAGAATATCCACTATTAATTGAAAAGTCCCTTAAAATACATCTCTCTTTTTTAACTACATATTTGTATGAGACTACATTTTCTTTATGCATTTCAACCTAAGCAACATATAAAAACAGGTTAAGTGCAGAAGATTTGAGAACCCAGCTGTCTTTATTAAAACATACATTAAAGAAATTTGTAAAAATTTAATGAAAAACTATAAAGCAATTCTCACTAAATTATTTTTTGTATTGGAAAACATAATTTTTTATAAATCATGCATGAGATTTTATTCTTAAAACATCAGTCTTATTATTTTTAAATAAACTGTTTACAAAATGTTTACATTTTTATTTGTTTTTTCATTTTAATGTTTAATGTAGCAAGTATTGGTGGATTAGAGAAGCTTTTATTTCCTTAGACTTCTTATGTTTTAGAAAGGAGGGTTAAGTTAGATATATTTCTCAATATGAAACCTGAAGATGATGTATAATAGATCTATTTGAAGTGCTTGTTAAAATATAGATATCAAGACCTTTCCAAGACTCACCAAGTTAGACTCCGTGAGAGATGCCTTTCATAGAAGGAACCTTGGGGATTTTTCAAGTTCCATTGAAATTGGAGTGTTATCTATTAGATGGCCTCTGTTGATTTTGCTTCACTTTTGCTTTGCTCCAGGTGGGTAAACACCAAAATCCCTGAACCACCAGCTATTGCAAGGTAAACCTGGTGTTTGAATTACCTAGGCTTCAAGTCCCTTTTTATATATCTACATTTTAGGATTGGCAGAGAAAGTAGAAGATGCCCAACTAAATTTGAATTTCAGATAGAAAATAATTTCATAGTATAAGTATGTTACATGCTACACTTAGGACATGTATATGTTAAAGAATTAAATAATATATTCATCATTCATCATTTATCAAAATATTGGATCAACATATTTATACTAAAAATTATTCATTGTTTATCTGAAATTTAAATGTAACTGATTTGCCTGCTTTCTGTTTGTATGTTTTCTTTTGATAAATCTACCAGGTGCATCACATTTTATACAGTCTACCATTGCTTCCAGATGGTAATAGCCATAAAAAGATTAAGTGAGACAATATGGGCATGTCTAACCTTCAGGATTGATTAATTATATGAGCTTAGGTGGAGTCAGAGGGAGAAATGACAAAACCTGGACACTCTTGAAATCACAATTAAACGTTTATCCACAATCTAACCCTCTTTTTTTCTTTTCTTTTCTTTTTTTTTTTTTTTAATTTATTTTTGTTGCTGTTGTTGAGATGGAGTTTCACTCTTTCTGCCCAGGCTGGAGTGCAGTGGCGCGATCTTGGCTCACTGCAGCCTCAGCCTCCCAGTTTCAAGCAATTCTCCTGCCTCAGCCTCCTGAGTAGCTGGGATTACAGGCGCCTGCCACCATGCCTGGCTAATTTTTGTTTTTTTTTTTTTTTGGAGACCAGGTTTCACCATGTTGTCCGGGTTGGTCTAAAACTCCTGACCTTAGAAGGTCCACGCCCACTGGCCTCCCAAAGAGCTAGGATTACAGGCATGAGCCACTGTGCCCGGCCAATCTAACACTCTTATAGAATAAATCTCTCTAAACTTCCCTTAGAATTTCTTTCAAAAACGGTCTTTGTGAAACTCATGTGGCTGTGCTTTCAGTTACTGTTTATTTCATTTCAACGCAGCTTTTCTCACTGTAAATTCATCACCACATTGGAAGCAACGTCATTCCCAAAGCAACTGGTTGTAGAGTTTGCAGTTTTTATGTTTGTCGAAGCCTCTGTTCTATTATGTGAAAATTCAGCTCTGCTTTTAACTGCTCTTACATGTATGGTTCTAAGAATGTAAACATTCTTTAGCTTCTGCCTCCTTATTTTGTCTGTCTCTCCAGAAGGTCTATATGACCTCTTCATAGGCTGCTATATTTACTGGCTTCTTACCCATTTCTACCAACGCTGTTACCTCTCCTCTTCTAAAAATACAAACTTCCCTCTGAGCAATATTCTCCATTCAATCATCTTTTTAACCTTTTTAAATTCTAGTCCTTTCTGATTCTACTTGTTGCAGATACCAAGTCTGTTTCTTTTCTTCTTCTTCTTCTTTTTTTCCTAAAGAAAAATGATTATGTTTTTAAGTGAACGATCTGGAATAAGATAAATAAATATTTTAATATCAACAAACAAATAATATTTGCTTTTTCTAAAGATTTCAACTATAATTGAGCAACCTGTAAAAACTGTCTTTCATTTTTATTTTTTTAAAACAATTAGAGAGTAGTTTTTATTTTCTAATAGCTGGCATTCTCCTAAAATTATTTTCATAGTTTATTTCTACTTAGACAGTTGGCAGGACCAGGTTTTGACATATAATGTGAAGTTTGGTCTTTAGAGTCCAAATTGTTACAGGAAGTCAGGGACCCCAAATGGAGGGACTGGCTGGAGCCGTGGCAGAGGAATATAAATTGTGAAGATTTCATCTTAATATGGACATTTATTAGTTCTCAAATAATACTTTTATAATTTTTTATGCCTGTCTTTACTTTAATCTCTTAATCCTGTTATCTCCGTAAGCTGAGGATGTATGTCACCTCAGGACCACTGTGATAATTGTGTTAACTGTACAAATTGATTGTAAAACATGTGTGTTTGAACAATATGACATCAGTGTACCTTGAAAAAGAACAGAATAATAGTGATTTTTAGGGAACAAGGGAAGACAACCATAAGGTCTGACTGCCTGCGGGGTCAGGCAAAAAGAGCCATATTTTTCTTCTTGCAGAGACCCTATAAACAGATGTGCAAGTAGGAAACATATCGCTAAATTCTTTTCCTAGCAAGGAATATTAATATTAATATCCTGGGAAAAGAATGCATTCCTGGAGGAGGGTTTATGAATGGCTGCTCTGGGAATGTCTGTCTTGTGCAGTTGAGATAAGGACTAAGATAAGCCTTGGTCTCCTGCAGAACCCTCAGGCTTACTAGGGTTGGGAAAACTCAACCCTGGTAAATTTGTGGTCAGACCAGTTCTCTGCTCTTGAACCCTGTTTTCTGTTGTTTAAGATGTTTATCAAGACAATACGTGTACCACTGAACATAAACCATTAACCAGTAGTTCTGCTTTTACCCTTTGCCCTGTGATCTTTGTTGGGCTCTTATCAGTGGTTCTGCTTTTGCCCTTTGCCCTGTTCCCTCAGAAGCATATGATCTTGTTAGACCTTTATCAGTGGTTCTGCTTTTTGCTCTTTGAAGCATGTGATCTTTGTACCTACTCTCTGTTCTTACACCCCCTCCCCTTTTGAAACCATGAATAAAAACTTGCTGGTCTGAGACTCAGGTGGGCAACATGGTCCTACTGATATGTGGTGTTACCCCTGGAGGCCCAGCTGTAAAATTCCTCTCTTTGTACTGTCTCTCTTTATTTCTCAGCTGGCTGACACTTACAGAAAATAGAAAGAACCTACGTTGAAATATTGGGGGCAGGTTCCCCCAATACAAATGAGAAGCAAGATTCTGACTTCAAAAGCCAAAGTTCTATCTATGTTGAATAGAACATTCTCTTAAGTTCCAATGGATAAGTGTTTCTGTTCCCACTCAATTCAGCAACTTAGCCTAGAACTTAAATCCAGAAAATACCTTACTAGAAAAACTGAAATAAAATAACTTGAACTGGGGATATGTTTATGACAAGTGAATTGTTTCCAACTTTTTTTTTCAAGCCAATTAAATGACTACCTCTAAAAAATCCCTTGTAATATTTCCAAATATTTATTTTATTTTAGTTTAGTTTATTAAACTGATGGTTTCAACTAATGAAAAAACAAAATTGAGCTCTCAGAATCAACAAAGTTGCAAAAAGAAAAACTAAATGGCCATTTATATTTGTCTGTATTATGTAAGATGATTATCTAACTAAGCCATGTTATTTTCTCTAAAGCAGAAGATTTATTCTATTTTTTATTATTTACTGTCTAGGACATTCTGTCTATTCGTGTCTGCTGTCATCGACATTTACCTGATTACCATTTCAGACCCTGTAAAAACAATATTTTTGCCATGTTTATACTTTGCTATCCCTATGGTTTTTTATATTGTAAAAATAATATTATAAGAGTAGAAAAGTTTATTTTGAAAGAAAAGAAAATCCTAGTGTCATAGAACAAATCTGTATTTACTTATATTACCTTTAAATCACTTTTGTGAACAAATATGTAATGTTTGTCACAGTGTACATAGCATATATTCAGTGTTTACAATTTTTACTTTATACTATTGTTTTAATAATTTCATGAGAACATAATTGTGAATGGATTTAGCATATGCTTATCAAATAGGTACTTAAATTCATCTTTGAATCTGCAACTTCAAAAATCTTTCCTTTCCATGTTGTAAAGTACATAATATCTAATTAAGTTGATGCCTCAAAATTCATGCAGACACTTTCCTTGTAGTTTCTTTTCCTTCTGCTCTTTTAATCATTTTATTACAGATAATGATACAATAAATGTTAGCATTTTTTTGCTTTGCATGATTTTTTGGGGAACTGAGGTTTCTATATTGGATGATCTAAAGATTGGCCTATCAAAGATTACTCCAATTTTTACTGCCATCATCATGGTTAGAGCACATCCATACATCATTAAATCATCAGAATTGTTTCTTATTGAACTAAAATCTGGTGTAAAAAATAGCTGTAAAATATTATTTATTTTTATAAGTGTATATTTCTTTTATTTCTTACATTACTATGGAGGCCAAACCTTTTCCAAAATTTATGTGCTACTTATTTTTTATTGAATTTTTCAATGTCTGTTATCCATTTACACCTTTTTTTATTTTTTAAATTTAATTTATACAGTACCTGTATATAGTATACAGGTTTTCGAAAGGGGTAGAGAAATAATAAAAACTCAAATCAGTAAGAAAAGAAACAAACAACCCCATCAAAAAGTGGGCTAAGGACATAAATAGACAATTCTCAAAAGAAGATTTAGAAATGGCCAAGAAACATTAAAAAAAAATCCTCAACATCACTAATGATCTGGGAAATGCAAATCAAAACCACAACGCGATACCACCTTACTCCTTACTCCTTACACCTTACTCCTGCAAGAATGGCCATAATCAAAGAATCAAAAATAGTAGATGTTGGCATGGATGCAGCAATCAGGGAACACTTCTACACTGCTGGTGGGGATGTAAACTAGTATAGCCGCTATGGAAAACAGTGTGGAGATTCCTTGAAGAACTAGAAGTAGAACTACCACTTGATCCAGCAGTCTCACTACTGGGTATCTACCCAGAGGAAAAGAAGTCATTATTCGAAAAAGATACTTGCACACGCATATTTATAGCAGCACAATTCACAATTGCAAAATCATGGAACCAACCCAAATGCCATCAATCAACGAGTGGATAAAGAAACTGTGATATATATATATATCTATATGATATATATGATATCATATATATGACATATATATCATATATGATATATGATATACGATATGATATATATCATATATGATATATATATATATTAGAATACTACTCAGCCATACAAAGGAATAAATTAACAACATTTGCAATGGCCTGAATGAGATTGGAGACTGTTATTCTAAGTTAAGTAACTCAGGAATGGAAAACCAAACATTGTATGTTCTCACCGATACATGGGAGCTAAACTATGAGGACGCAAAAGCATAAGAATGATACAATGGACTTTGGGGACTTAGCAGGAAGAGTGGAAGGGGTGAGAGGGTTAAAAGACAACAAATATGGTGCAGCGTATATTGCTCAGGTGATGGGTGCACCAGGATCTCACAATTCACCAATGAAGAACTTACTCGTGTAACCAAATATCACCTGTACCCCAATAACTTAGGGAAAAATAAAATTAAAAAAATTAAAATTAAAAAAAGAAGATTGAGAGCAAAGAAAGCAAAAAATCTAAATGTTTTGCAGTTGGACACTCATTTTGGCCTAAAAATATTAACAATCACCTTAGCTTCAAAAAGGAAAAACAAATAAATGAAGGATTTTATAATTCTTTTGGTGGGAAGGTACAGTAGTGACATCTTTAGTAAAACAGCAAGTTTTAGATATTAACTTCTTCCTAGTCTTTCTTACTCTTTCTTCCCTGTCTCTATATTACTGTCAATTAAAATACCCAAAGATAATAGAAAATATACAAAATCTATTTTTGTATATTTTGTACATACAAAATCTATTTCAGATGATTATCAGTAAATGGCTGACCCCTGTTACTGAGAGAAAGGACTAGCTGGATTTCCTAGGCCAACTAAGAATCCCTAAGCCTAGCAGGGAAGGTGACCACATCCACCTTTAAACACGGGACTCGCAACTTAACTCACACCCGACCAATCAGGTAGGAAAGAGAGCTCACTAAAATGCTAATTAGGGAAAAACAGGAGGTAAAGAAATAGCCAATCATCTATTGCCTGAGAGCACAGCAGGAGGGACAATGATCAGGATATAAACCCAGGCATCCGAATAGGCAAGGGCTACCCTCTTTGGGTCCCCTCCCTTTGTATGGGAGCTCTGTCTTCACTCTATTAAATCTTGCAACTGTGCTCTCTTTTGGTCCGTGTTTGTTATGGTTCCAGCTGAGCTTTTGCTCGCCATCCACCACTGCTGTTTGCGCAGTGGCAGACCCACCGCTGACTTCCATCCCTCTGGATCCGGCAGGGTGTCTGCTGTGCTCCTGATCCAGTGAGGCGCCCAGTGCCACTCCCGATCAGGCTAAAGGCTTGCCATTGTTCCTGCATGGCTAAGTGCCCGGATTCATCCTTACGGAGCTGAACACTAGTCACTGGGTTCCACGGTTCTCTTCTGTGACCCACGGCTTCTAATAGAGCTATAACACTCACCGTGTGGCCCAAGATTCCATTCCTTGGAATCTGTGAGGCCAAGAGGCCCAGGTCAGAGAACAGGAGGCTTGCCACCATCTTGGAAGCGGCCCACCACCATTTTTGGAAGTGGCCCGCCACCATCTTGGGAGCTCTGGGAGCAAGGACCACCCGGTAACATTACCTCTGCCTAGATGTTGGGGTGGAAGGAGAGAGAGAGATTAAAGCCTAAATATCTAATGATGGGATTCAGGGAACACAACCCCAAAATATGCCACCTCAGTATATTGAAAATCAGCAGAAGCCAGACAGTCTCCATAATCTTCCCCTGCCCTTCTTCCCTGAAGTAGGTCATAAAACCTAGGAAGGATTTTCTAATCTTCCCCTGGAGACAGGTCATGAGACCCTCATATAAGACCCTCATATGAGACGGTCACATATACCGCACACGATACCTAGAGGAAGGGAATATCTTTATCTCTGAAGACAAAAGGTCACAGCGAAGATTCTGGACTAACAGGCCTTGCTAAGTTTCCCTCAGTAATGACCATCAACTTAAACCCGCTTTGTTCTTTCACATTTCTCCATGACTGTCCTGTCCACTCTTCATCAAACCTGACATGGAAATACAGAGGTTTAGCCGTTTCCTCAGGTCTTCATTTCTTTATGAAGGTGTTCATGTCACATCAAATTTATTAAATAAATTTGTATGTTTTTCTTTATTAATTGATTTTTTGCTATAGTGAGCTTAGCCATAAACCCAGGGTAGTTAGAGAAAGAGATTTTTTTCCTCTCGTATACTTACAAGTGAGCTTAAGGACATAATAGTAGCTTAACTGTTTTGAACAGAGAGAATATGATGAGTTATGCCACCAAAAGGATTGTAGGTATTTCAAGAAATACTATATTACCATCCCAAGCATTACCTAATAAATAATTAGCATATGTATGATTCATACTCACAATCAATCCATTTGTGTATTAATAGTTCATTCTGTACTCCTGCATATGAAAACGGGGAAGTAGAATGTGGATTCTTCCTGTTTTGTTGAGTATAGGAGAGGAAAAAAAAAAATTACTTATCTTAGACTCTCTAGATGGGTCTCAATAAATTAGACGGGCCAAAGACAGGTTAATGAGAGAAAAAACATGTTTACTAACATGTGCATTGCACATATACACACGGGGGCACCCAGTGAAGCGAAAACCAGTGGGGTGGTTAGAACCTGGGTTTACATATCATCTTAGGCTAAAACAAAGGAAAAGGAGTTTGGGATTTCTGGAAGGGAGAGGCAAGTTATGAGAAGGTGACCAGGAAAAGTGGAAATCTGCATATGGTTTGTTTTGCAGATTTAAGTCTGTGCCTTATCTATTGATGAGTTGTTAAAAATTCTTCTCTTCCTGGCATGAGAGAGAAGTATCTCTACAAATAAAAATGTCCTTTACAAAAGGAAAACTTGTATCTCTACAAACGAAAATTTCTTTTACAAAAGGAAAACTTGTGCCCTAATTTTAAGGCTTTTCCTTCATCTGCTGGTTCTCTCTGGTTTTTAACTCAAAATAATCCGTATGCTAAAGAGGCATATTTGGGGGTAGCAAATTCCGATACGCTTCATGACTTTTAACCAGATATGGCAAGTGAAGTACAACAGCTGCACTTTCCAATATCTGTTTGGTCCATTAAATAAAAACAGCAGCATTCAGTGAAATACATTTATTTAAGATGGAGGGGGAATTGTTTGCAAAATAGGGTGTAAAACTTTATTTAAAAGCCATTTCTACTCATAGTATTTTCTCTGTGTACTATAACAGAGTTATAGTGCAGTAATGGTTTGCTTATGGGCAACAATTAAGCACCTGCAGTCACTCCACAGGATGTAGATTTCACATGAATAGCTATTTTATATATATAAACAAATAAAAACGTGTACATGTAATTGCAAAGGTAATTGCTTGAACTTAAAGTTTGAAAAAGACAGTTTCATCTCTTTTTGAAAAGCTGTTTGTTTCCATACATGTAATCCAATTAAACATGTTTTTGATTCCTAGAAAAATAAATAATAATATATTTATTATTCTTTCAGTTCTCTACAACAATTCCACCATCATGAAGCTATTTATGAGTAATAATCATACAAGTGACAGTACTAAGGTAAATACATGAGCAAGTCACAGGTGGGAGTTTACTTTTTGTCATTTATCCATTGTCATAGTTTTGATGATCTATACTGGGAGAGCAAGACTACTGCCTCAGCCACTGTCTCATGTCCTCTGGATCTTGAATTATTCCTTGTTTTTACATGTCTTCTATGTCATGAGAAGCTATTTGCAATTTATTCCAATTTAGAAACAACTGATATTCTGATATCGAATTTCAGTATTGCCATATACCAGTTAAATGACCCTAAATAAGCCTGAATTTCTTTATGTGAAAATGGGGCTTGAAATAATAATCATTGCTCAGGTGGGTATGCAGAACCTCCCCCTGGAAGCAATGAATCTCACAAGGAGGAGCTTCCCTCTAAAATTCGTACCTACTGCTTCAAGATTCATAGCATTAGCAATGAACTGCCTTCACACTGTAGCCTCCTGGGGGTGCTCCTTCTTCATCTGTACCCTGTACCCAAAGTGACTGGACCTCAACTTTCTGTAGCAAAGCTAGGCAACCAGGCTGAAAGTTACAAGTGGTTTCATCAGAACCTGTGGATAACAAAAGGAAATTAGTTCATAGGGTGTATGGTGCAATCTTGTAAGTTTTTTGAAGAGCCGAATGGTGCAAGGAGAGAAGATTACGTAAATTAAAACAGTGAAAGATAAAGGACAATGATGATTTCCTTAATTTAAAAAACATGAAATAGACTTGAAGGCATGTTAAGGTGTCCAAGTTGTGTTATTTGGACAGTTCTGATTTTATGCAAACAGTGCATTAAAATGAGACTGAACTTTTAGATGAGAGAATTGTAAAGCAGTTAAAAGGGCCTAGATTTTGACAACAATCGTATCTGAACTTGAATATTTGATTCACTATTAACTTTGACACTTTGGTGAAATTATGTAGCCTCTCAACTGTCTTCATCAGTTTAAAAAAAATGAAAGATAATGATAGTACCTACTTCAGAGTCTTTGGAACAGCAACCAAATACCTAGTACATTATCTGGGATGTAATTAACATCTAATATTGAGGGCAGGATATGAAGTTGAGAGCATACCAGAGGGATGAAATTGATGGTCTCTGGAAAGACAGGCAGTGGTTTCTAAAGATACATTTATAGTAACTCAAGGAAGAAATCAAATCAGACCATATTCTTCCTAAAGGTTTGGAATGCTCTTAAGTCTACTCAACTTTCCCCAAAGATATTTAAGAAAGTCTACTGAAGGAAACTTTTCTGAATTCTTCGATCTTGGTTAAAAAATTCTCCTAATTTACTGCATTAAAATAAGGGCAAGGTTTATTTAAAAATAGAATAAAACTTTTGTATCATAAAACATAATGCAATCTTAGAATAAGGTTCCTGTTGAATACTGATGTACTTTGTTTTAATAAATCAATTTCACATGATGTATACGCTATGTATATAACATTTTGTAGACAAAATGTAACATTTCTGACAATATCTATTCTCAATCTAAGGTCTTCATTCTTATTTCTTATAAAATATAAAATTATTTCTTAAAAAAAATCCCAGGTATAAGTTCATGTGATTCTGATCTATTGTGAGTTTCAGGGTACACAACCCAAACTGGGATCTTACTTCTTTCAAAATCCCAAGTTTTTAGCTTGGAAAATTCAAACTCCATGCTGAAAAATTTGAATGAAACACAGCTCTATTGCTTATTTTTCTTTGATTATATGCATTAAATAATATTAGATAGAATAATTGTTATATTCAAAAGACATATTAATATAAACCAATGACTTTAACAAACTATTTCAAGGAGAAATTTGTCTCCTCCACATGTATTTTTCTACACTGTTCTTCACTTGAGGATTATAGAGAGCACATTTTCAGCAAGAATCTCAGCACATCTTCTTCCTACAAATAACAATTACGATTTATGCCAGCTTATCCCTGTTGTCTTTGTTGCTTCCCAAAGGAATTCAACAAAAGCAGAAAAGATTAATGAGGGAAGTTGAAACTCGTATTATATCACATAGACTCAGAAACTTGCCAAGTTTAAAGTCAAATTAGGAACTGACATTAAACTTTGAAAAGTTGGTTGTAAAGAATAGGATAGCAACTAAAATTTACAGCAGAATAAAATGTTAGAGTCCCTAATAAATGTCCAAGGAGAACATATACTCTAAGAGAATAGACTCATTCCAAGGTTATCTTAGATTTCACAGAAACATTTCTATTAAGTTTCTATGAAAGAGAAAGATATTTTAATAATTCACATAAAAATTATATTTCTCCTGCATCACTGTAAAATTGCTTATAATTTATTATCCAGTACAATATTATAATTATAAGATTCTATGAGTTACTTATTTATTTATTTTTTCTGAGACAGGATCTCACTCTGTCACCCAGGCTGGAGTGCAGTGGCATGATCTTAACTCACTGCAGCCTCTACTTCCAGGGCTCAAGTGATACTCCCACCTCAACCTCCCAAGTAGCTGGGACCACAGGTGCATGCCACCATGCCCAGCTAATTTTTTTTTGTATTGTTTTGTAGAGACGGGGTCTTACCATGTTGTCCAGGCTGGTTTTGAACTCCTGCCTTCAAGCAACCCTCCTGCCTTGGCCTCCCAAAGTGCTGAGATTACAGGCGTGAGCCTCTGCACCCAGCTTGGGAATTATTATAGTAAAAATAGAATTGTAAAATACATAAAAACAACAAATAACATACTTTATCTAAAACAGAAGAACCATACATAAGAAGAGGTGTATATTTTCTCACTAGTTCACATACTGTCATCTCCTATGATCTAATCACCCAATTCCAGAATACTAGAGCCAGGCCTACCTTGCCTACTTAACGATAACCATGAAACAGTTAAATGGTAAAAACACAAGTTAGATATAGCAAGAGAACATGTGTCATAGCATTGTGCAGAGAGTTGCTATTTCAACAATAGTAGTAATTTCAATAAAGTAAAATAAGAAAGCTATATTCAAATTGTCAGAATTCAGAAAGTTGCTCCATGTGCCCCTGTCACCCTGAATTCTAGACCAATTTAACCCCTCCTATAATCAAAGTGATGGTGGATCATAGACACAATAACACAAATTTAAAAATGTGTCCAATTCCCATAATAAAGTAGCTGCCGCTGGTGTTTTGTGGAGCCTACAGCAAGGAAGCTTCCCATAGCTTTGCATTATGTAGATCTAACTAAGTAGCAATTGTAGTAACAAGAATTGTAGAAATTGATTTGATGAGAACTGTGTTAGTTCATTTGCATCACTGTAAAGAGATACCTGAGACTGGATAATTTATAAAGAGAAGAGGTTTATTTTGGCTCGTGGTTCTGAAGGCTGTACAAGCATGGCCCCAGCATCTACTTGGCTTCTAATGAGGTCTCAGGAAGCTTAAAATCATGGCAGAAGGTGAGGCAGGAGTCCATGTATCATACAGCGATAGAGAGAGCAAGAGGAAGAGGAAGAAGAACTAGACTCCTTTAAACACTAGCCACTGTATGAACTCAGAGCAAGAATTCACTTACTACCATGAGGAGGGCACCAAGCCATTCATGGGGGATCCACTCTAACAACTCAGATACCCCCCAGCAGTCCCCATCTCCAACATGGGGGATTACATTTCAACATGAAATTTGGAGGGGACACATATCCAAACCATATCAGAGAACTAAGGAATATTTGATGTTAGAACTGTAAGCAAAAAAATGATAGAGAAATTAAGAATCTACAGCAAAGGATAATAAATCCCTGACTCAAAGATCTGGCCTTTCAGCACAGACAGGCAGAGACAGACTTTAGCACCTCAGTGAAGCAATGAGCATTGAAGAGAAGAAAGAGCAGCAAGCTGGAGACATTTCAGCTGTACCTTGCTAGTGATAAAGAGATGGACGTTAAAAACTATATCACACTTATTAGTAAGCATGCATGTAGAAGATTGCTATGTGGCAGGCACTAATCCAAACCCACTAAAAATGTTAAGTATAATCATCTTCATAACAACCCGTGAGATAGGAACTACTATTATCCATGTTTTGCAGATGAGAAAACTGAAGCACAGAGTGGTCAAACATCTTGTCCAAGGACATAAAGCCACTACACAATCTCGTTAGGATTGGAAGCCAGGCACTGTGTCTTCAGAATCTGTGCAGTGCTGTCAACCACAATTTTAAGTGCTTGAAGAATGCTAAATGGAACTCTGCCTCAGTTTTAGCAGAGACCTCAAAAATGAGAGAAAGCAAACAAACCAACATAAGGGCTCCCTCATCCCAAAGGGAGGCACTTTGATGAATTTGTAGAAATTCTAAATCAGTTAGGGCTCATTAAGTTATGCTGCAGTAAAAAGTGACCCAGCCTTCCAGTAGTGCATCTGCAATGGATTCCTTCTTGTTCAAGTTGTCTGGTATTTCCAGTTAGGTGGGGTTTTCTCTTCATCATCTCTACTCTGAGATCTCAACTGAAGGCAAGTCCTTTGTCTAGAACATTGCCAGTTGTCATGCCAAAGAGAAAGTGGGCCCTGGTAGGTTTTGCATCTGTATTGCATGCTCCTGCCTATATGTGACTTTTGTCAGTTCTATTTACAACTCATTGGCTAGAACTAGGTACACCTAGTTACACCTAGTTACTCCACTAATCAGTAAGAGAGCTGGGAGGGCAATTTTACCATGTGCGTGGAAAGATATGGAGGGAAGGAACTTTATGGGAGAGGTGGAGAACTAGATTTTTGTGCAAACGTCAGTAATTACTACCACTACCAAGGGAGTTTAAAAGTTCTTTTAAAATACTTGACTCGTTACCCACTCAAAGTGCCCAAGAATAATGGCCAGGGAATTTGCATTTGGTGAGAGAATATCTTTAGAAAAAGCTGTTGGAATATCTTTGGATTTTCCTTACCCCTCTCTTATGGAAAAAGAAAAGAGATGCTGACTGTCCTCACTTCAAATATATGGGACTAATTGCAAAGCTTGGTCTATGTCCTCTGGAATTTCGGGACCCAATGAACTGAAGCCTGCGTCACAGTGGAGTAATCACACAAGTGAGCAGCTAACTGAAGCAGCTTGCTTCACCAGAGTAGATGACACTTGCTTCACTTATGTGATAGACAGATGTTTCTTGTGGAATAGAGAGAGAGCAAGGGAGATGCAGAAGCAGATGAGTCATTCTAGAGCCATCTTTAAGTGGTTTGCACAAGAGACCCTCCTGGAGATGCAATGAAACTTCTTGAGAGCAAGAGTGCGTGGAAATGGTCTGAGAACCAACATCACCAAGAGGGACCCTAAGAAGCCAGACAGATTGTATGTCTCCTCCACAGGGTAAAAGTTCTCAGCAACGGGGTTCTTCTGAAACAAGAAAGCACCACACCAAAAAGGGTCAGCTTTAAACTCTGACCAGCCTGGGCAGCACCAGGTTTATAGAAATGTCAAAAATAACCTATTTTCCTCTCCTTTGCAATTGTTCTGCACACCCCCTCGCTCCTGCCATGGAGAGGTCAGAACACAGTTACTTAGGGTGAGATGTGTGTGCATGTGGATGGGGAACTAACAGTGTGAAAAGCAAAGAAGGCAAGCTGGCCATGTCCACCTTTTCTGCTGCAGGGCTTCCCATCTGCACCAACCTGAGCTCCAGGAGGGATAGACCAGGAGAGGGGCAAAATCATAGGAACAAGTATTAATTCCGAATGAAATTCAGAATGTTTTGTATAACTCTGAGCTATACATATTGACTCCAGAGGTGAGGCTGTTCGTGACTTAATATAAGTGGAAAATATTCATACTCTAAGAATGAACAAATAAACTATGGGCTTGCCTGTGAGCTCACTCTCTGCCAGAGAAAGCACTAGCACCACAGAAAAAGTTAGCATGGCTTCTTGATGCTTTCTAGAAGTTTCTTCTCTCAATATACAGTGCTAGTGAATGCCCCTGCTCTAATATAAATTTAATTCTGTTCAAGTAATTTTTTGTTATCTTTATATTAAATAGTAGAGCTAAATGTCCTGGCTGTATGGCCCCCAACTCTTAACAGATCTCACAATCTTAGTGCTCAGAGTGGATAAAATGATAAACAAATCCACTGCAGAATATAGGCTTGAATAACTATATATTTCTCAGGATGGGACTTACACTTGCAATAGGCCACACACACACACACACACACTCTCTCTCTCAAATGATTATTTCATTTGTCTTATTTTTTTCAATTTTTAAATATGAAGCAATAGCAAACTTACAGGATATATGCGAGTACAGCACAGTCATTTTGCCCCCTCAGATCACATGTGAGTAAGATGCTGACATCATGTCCAAACACTCCCAAACACTTTGATGTGTACATATTTCCAAACCAAGACATCTGTCTATATAATCACACCATTTCTATCAAAACCAACAGACCAATGTCAGTATATGCAATGGTTAATTTTATGTGTCATCGAGGCTAAGCTATGATGTCCAGTTGTTTTGTTCAACAGTAATCCAGATGTTGTTATGAAGATATTTTAAAGATATGACTAATATTTACTATTAGTTGATTTTACATATAGGAGATTAGCCTGGATAATGTGAGTGGGTCTCGTCTAATTAGTTGAAAGGCCTTAACAGCAAAACTAAGATTTACTGGGAGAACAGGGAATTCGGCCTTAGAACTATGAAATAGAAACGATTTCAGAAACCATTTATATACAGTTGGCACTTGAACAGCACGGATTTGAACTGGCCAAGGTCTACTTATATGCAAATTTTCCTTCGTTTCTGCCACTTCAGAGACAGAAAGACAAACACACTCCTCTTCCTATTCTTTCTCAACCTACTTACCATGCAGATGTTGAAGGTCTACATCTTTATGATGATTTACTTCCACTTAATGAATAGTAAGTACATTTCCCTTTATGATTTTCTTCCTTTTTTTTTTTTTTTTTTTCAGATTGAGTCTTGCACTGTCACCCAGGCTGAAGTGCAGTGGCACAATCTCTGCTCACAGCCTTCACCTCCCAGGTTCAAGCAGTTCTCCTGCCTCAGCCTCTGGAGTAGCTGGGATTACAGGTGTGTACCACCATGCCTGGCTAATTTTTGTATTTTTAGCAGAGATGGGGTTTTGCCATGTTGTCCAGGCTGATCTCAAACTTCTGACCTCAAGTGATCTGCCTGTCTCAGCCTCCCAAGGTGCTGAGATTACAGGCATGAGCCACTGCACCTGGCTCTATGCTTTTCTTAACAACCTTTTTTTCTAGCTTGCTTTATGGTAAAAATATAACACATAATGCATATAACATTCAAAATACACAGGAATCAGCTATTTATGTTATCTGTAAGGCTCCTGGTCAACAGTAGGCTATTAGTATTGAAGATCTTGGGCAGTCAAAATTATATGCAGATTTTCATATAACTGCATATGAAGGGGTGCTGTGCAGGGGATCAGCACCCCTTTCCGCCTTGTTGTTCTAGGGTCAATTGTGTTCTCTCTGCTCTCTGTCATGTGAGGTCACAGTAAGAAGAGCATCATATGGAAACAAGGAAGCAGCCCCTCACCAGACACTGGATCTGCTGGTGCCTTGATCTTGGACTTCCCAGCCACCAGAACTGTGAGAAATAATTTCTTCCTGTTTAAGTCAGCCAATCTGGGGTAGTTTGTTGTAACTACTCAAGCAGAGTATGACAGAAATATATGACATATATATTTAATATATTTAATGTATTTAAAGATGTATATAGGATATATATATAGATATAGATACAGATATTTAAAAATAGAGAGAGATGCAGCTTTATACCAATATTTATTTCTGTGTGTCCCCGTGTATACTAAAACCACATGTTCACAATCACATCTTTAATTTCAGTCCAATGCAACAAAATCAGCTAAGGTGGCATTTTGTCCCCCCGCCCCCTGCCCCCCACATGCTAGACCACTCTCCTGTGGGGACACTTTTCTCATCCAGCTGGCAACAAAATACCCTCAGAACACCCTTCTGTGAATTCATGCTCCTTAGCCCACTCTGTCTAACACCTCAGGTCAGGCCACTGCTACTACTACATTTCACATGCACAGACACCCTGCTCACCCTTCTTGGATTCTGACTACCAATATTGGGTTGTCTATCCATGGGGCTAACCTCATCACCACAGTTGGATCCAACACTGGGTGCTGGGCGGCCACCATGCCCAAATGAAGGCCATTCTCACCCTCACTGGGCTTTAATATACAACTTTAGGCCCCACAGTGCCACTGCATTCCACCCAGTCTTCCTTGCCCAGGCAGACCTCATGACTGTTGGATAGGAATTATTCAAAAGGTGAAGATAAAGGAAAGAAAGAGAAGATAAAGAGGAATAAGAAGAAATAGAAAGTCTAAATGATTACTTTAAGCCATTTTAATTGCTTCTTTTACAATTAACATCTTATTGAAATCAAGAAAATACATTTGGTTCACACTTTTTTAAATGTATGATTTCCATCAATAAGTAAATCAATAATATAGTCACAACATCCAGGTTTACTTAGAAATTTGGAGAAAAGTAATCAAGCAGTTGAAAAAGTAAATTAATTTCAGTGAGCTTAAGTTTCAAAATTCCTTCACTGTTCTTTCTAGAATATTGGAATTTATGGTTAAGATGCTGCACTTAAAGGAATCATGATATCACTACCTAAATAGACTCACCTAGTTCTGTGGCCTTGTAGAGTTAGCTCTCCTCTCTGTGATTTACCTTTATTATTTGTAGAGGGAAGGTGTTAGGCTCGGTGATCTCAAAGACCTTTTCCATCACTAATATTCTTTGATTTGAGGATCAAATAAAAAGCAATTTATTTTCCTCTACTAGACTTTTTTTTTTTTTTTTCAAATAGGTATATAGTCCAGTAACAATGCATTCCTTGTCTTACTAACTAAAAGCTCCATTAAAGAAAGCATTGTAACCCAGAGCGCAGGCCACCTCACATTTTCATGAGAAAGCTTTTAAGCACTAAATTTCCACACTTATTATTTACTTTAACTTCCCATCTTTCATGGAACCAGACATGCCCTCTGTATTCAAACTTTTCCATCACCTATAAGAACACTTTTATGTGGTTAGATTTAATGTTTTAATGTAAGGAAATAAGGAAAGATTTTTTTTTTTTTAAGTCTCGGGATTGCTTTAAATTTTGAGTTTCATTTTTAATCACACATCAAATTCAGCAAAATTGCAAATGTAGTCACATTATTTGTAGTGAAGAGATCCTCAATTATTTTTATGTATAACCTCAAAGATGCATAATTCTTTATCAACATAATGGGTATCAGAAGGAAAGGTAAATCAAACTTTTTAAGAGGAAAGATATTTGTGATACAGATTTTGGTAGTAAGAAATATAGTTCTTTTGCACATATTTATTGCTTACTAATTAGTTTGGGATTTTCAAACTGATAAGCTGTTGTCTGTGTATGTGGAAAAACACGAAGAGACATAAAGGAAAGAACAGAGAATTTACCACTCAGAACTGAACAAGCTCATTTATGGAGTCAAGTGCGGGAATGATCCAATGGGGAAGTAATGCGATGGCCGCCCACCATCAGAGGGAGCTTAGAAACTGATGTTAGATGTCAGCATATACTCAGATAAAGAGCTTCAGGCATCAGACCAGGCATCACATTCACTTTGAACCATAAGCTGTTTTGTTTTGTTATTAAAACGTTGGTTTTCAGACTATTCACTAGATTTAAATTTGAATAAATATTTCAGGGACAAAAGTATTTCTGGGACAAAATGACTTCAACGCCTTCCCCATGTGAGTGCTGGAGGATTTGATATGACGTTAGCATTCAGAAGCTTCGCAGGCAGTTCTGTTGGGTGTCCTACAATGTAGCTTGGAATTTGGGAAATATGTGAAACTAAGCAAAATGTAATGGGGTCAGGTTTTCAAAAAAATATCTGTATGTATTAGAATGAAGTGATGCTTTATAGTATAAGAGGAAAAATGTATTTTCTTCTTTTTTCTTGCTTCAACTCCTCTACTGCCAATGTGAATGCAAACTGATAGATTTAATGGAACAAAAGGCAGCGGGAACATGATCTCTGGAGACTCCCAAGGCCAGACTAGATAATTAACTACCATAAATGCTTTAAGAACATTGAAGTATATTTTATCAAATGATGGCTTTGATGACCCAGAACATCCTTTGTGACCTCTAATTGGATACATTTGATTTCTGTGTATGTGCCTGTGTGTGTGTTTCAAAACTAATGAAACTCAACTATTTTTATGAAAGATTTATAAATTTTTACCTTTAAAATGAATGTAATACTGTCAACCCAGTAGCTGGCAAACATAAATTTGCTAGGCTGAAACATCTTTGAGTATTTATCCACTTCAGAAAAAAATGTGGGGCTTTTAAGAGATAACAAACCCTAGTTCTCCATCATTGTGTCAAAATCTCAATATACACCTGGAATATTGTCTCTCTCTCCAACTTCTGCAAAGAAGTGACTGCAACATATAACACTCCTCAGCTCTCTCTATATATATACACATATATATGTGTGTGTATATATATAAAATATATATTTATATATATAATGTGTATATATGTGTATATACATATATAAATATATGTGTATATATATGCACATATATATCTGTATATGTACACATATACATATATACACACACATATATCTGTATATATACACATATATACATATATATCTGTGTGTGTGTATAAAAACTTCAACTATTTTTATGAAAGATTTATAAATTTTTACCTTTAAAATGAATAAAATACTGTCAACCCAGTAGCTGGCAAACATAAATTTGCTAGGCTGAAACATCTTTGAGTATTTATCCACTTCAGAAAAAAATGTGGGGCTTTTAAGAGATAACAAACCCTAGTTCTCCATCATTGTGTCAAAATCTCAATTTACACCTGGAATATTGTCTCTCTCTCTCTCTCTCCAACTTCTGCAAAGAAGTGACTGCAACATATAACACTCCTCAGCTCTCTCTATATATATACACATATATAAATATATATGTGTATATATATAAGATATATATATGTGTATATACATATATAAATATATGTGTATATATATGCACATATATATCTGTATATATACACATATACATATATACACACACATATATATCTGTATATATACACATATATATACATATATACATATGTGTGTGTATATATATACACATATATGTATATGTATATACATATGTGTATATATATACACATATATGTATATGTATATACATATGTATATATACACATATGTATATATACATATGTGTATATACATATATGTATATATACATATATGTATATACACATATATATGTATATATATGAGAGAGAGAGAGATTCTGATGTTTAAACTCGAACCTACTTAAGCAGAAGGAAAAACTGCCGCATGTAATTACACCATGGCAAGTCTGAGGCAGCGCTGGTCCTAAATAAATACAATCAGAACCAAAGACATGAACACAACCAGGATATCACTCTTTCTCTCATGCTGCTTTTCCCTGGGATTTGGCTTAAATTTCTCCCTCTGCAGATAGGCTTCTTTCATTTTCACAGATTTCACTGCAGAAACCCCAAAGTTGAGAGTGGCCACACACATACCCATGGAACTTGATTAGTGGCAGGAGAATTATAATTGTGGAACTGGCATCTCTCTGCAGCTGTATGTTTGCTGAGTTGAGAAACTTGGAGACCTACCTAGTGCCTGCCGTCCCTAAGCTCAGAAACAGAGTTCTTAGGAGAATCTGACACGTGCTCCAGGAGTTGGGTATATGAACCGAAGCAGCGGCTTCTCCTTGGCACCAGAATAGGACAGAGGCTGACTGGAGCAACCTGTGGTGGAATGGAGGAAAGGAAGGACTGTGGTAATCTATTCCTCAAGTGATATGTGATCTTCCTGTCTGGAAAGGAAATAGGTTGGAGCAAATTTGCTGGTACCTCGACTGAGAGGTACCAGACCTGTGGACAGAGGAAAAGTAGAAGATTCTCACACATCAAATAATTGTACTGTGTGGAGGCCTCAACACAACTCACACATGTGCCCCATGAGAAGACTCTTTAGACAGAAGGTGTTACCAGCCAAGAGAAAACGACCGTAGCATCAACTAAAGAGAAGGCACTTTTCCTAATCCTTCACCACCTGCCCTGAAACTGGAGAGGCTGAGACAGAAAAGGCTGTGGATCAAACAAATGGTGACCTAAGAGCTAGGAGAAGAGCATTCAATGGAATATTAGCAATAACTTCCACATGGCGCGGGAGATTTTTGTTAGAATCAACAAAAGTCATGGAGTTAGAGAATCTGCCCAAAATGTTGCACTTTTTTTCTTTCTTCTTTGTACTATTCTATGTTGCTTTATCTAAAGTAATCAGTTTGCTGATTCATGTTTTATAATATAGATCAGGTATAGTGTTTAAACATTTCTCTTTTTTTGTTTTGTTTTGTTTCGTTTTGTTTTGTTTTGTTTTGTTTTTGAGACGGAGTCTCGCTCTGTCGCCCAGGCTGGAGTGCAGTGGCGCCATCTCGGCTCACTGCGAGCTCCGCCTCCCGGGTTCAGGCCATTCTCCTGCCTCAGCCTCCTGAGTAGCTGGGACTACAGGCTCCCGAAAGGACGCCCGGCTAATTTTTTGTATTTTTAGTAGAGATGGGGTTTCACCGTGTTAGCCAGGATGGTCTCAATCTCCTGACCTCATGATCCGCTCGTCTCGGCCTCCCAAAGTGCTGGGATCACAGGCGTGAGCCACCGCGCCCGGCCATGTTTAAACATTTCTTTGGTAAGTGGCTTCTTTCATAATTTATCCAAGTCACGTGGAATCCGACAATAAGAACCATTTGGGTGTCATCTGAAACCAATAGCCCTCTCTCCTTAATTCCAGTTACCAATGCAATATTAAAGCTGGGGTTGACCATTGCTATCACCCTGTTTTGCTTCATGCCAGGCTTATCCATTCCTGTTGGGGAGATGTAACTTTACTTGATTGTTCTGTGTTTGCTTCCAAGGGCCATACACTCCCCTGGCTAAACTTCCTCTCTTTCTGGCAAGCCTTTGTCTTCATGAAGGAAACTCTTGAATGTGCATCTCTTTAATGCCACTTCTCTCAGAATGACTGGACAAGAGAGCATTACTTTCTCAATTGCCGTTTTGTCCCAACGTATCATTTCAGGGAACATTTCTATTTTTCTATCTCACACATCTTTGAATATGCATCACACTCATTATAATGGCTCATAGTAGGCTGATTTAAATCAGTGTGCACTTGATAGCTGTCTTCCCTTGTGGCGTTCATGCATTGATTGACACTGTCAACATGGAGGAACCCCTAGAATGCAGGAGGGCAGGGATAAAAGAAATTCTGACTGTTTTGATATAATATCTTGCATGCTTCCAAGAGCAGAGAGGTTATTGATAAAATATTGGGAATATTTCTCAACCCAGTACTATAATTTTAGACCCAAGTCATAGAATAATAGAGCTGGGTATGTCCTTAGAAATAAGACCTCAGCCCTCTCGCTTTTTAGCAGAGAAAAAAATGCTTTAAATTAAATAAATAAACAAACCTTTTGGAAATAACCTGCTGGCAGAGGCAGGACAAGGGCAGAGAAATTTTCACTTTTGTCCAAAACTCTCTTTCTCCCCTCATTAACTATGCTGCCTCTTCATTTTCTGGAGTCCCTGTTAATTGCAAATACATCCAGTAGAGGAGAAAATGAGGCCATTTGTCGCTTGCCTTTACCAGACTTATAAAGTAAACATCTAGCTGCAGTGGTTGAATTTGTAAGGTTGAGAAAAATTCCAAGAGACACAGCTCCATGATGAATGCGCATTCAACAAAGTACAGTGAAAGAATGTTTATTTCAAAAACACCTGAATTTATTTTCTTAATTGAAGCACTGTCTTGGCAGTGTGTGCTCCAAACAACCAGTGGATCGACGGCACTTATACTGTGCTACTACTCAGAGGACAGTCACAACCCAGCACAGCGGAGTAAGCTCATGTGTAAATGCTTTCAGAAGTAATATAGAGTGGAGCTGATCATGGCAAATTGTGCAGAGGTAGCAGTGTCATCTGGTTCTACTAAAACAATGTAATCTTTGCTTCCAACTCTTGTCCTCTGTCACCTCCTCCTTCCACTCTTTTATTTCCTTATATTTACCGCATGCTTCCCTGCTCCTTTGCCTTCACCCCATTCTTAGTCTCCTCCCCATCGCAGCTATTCCTCATCAAGAACTCCAGTCTTCTCTTCCTCATTCTCTTTGTTTTCATTTCTCAGTGCCTTACTGCTTGGCTGATCTACAAATCTCTTTAGCTTGTAAACTCCCTGAAGGCAGAGATTAGGACTCCCATGATCCTGGGGTCAGTACAGCATCTGGCCACCAATAGGTACTTAATAATTGATTTTTAGCTTGATGAATAATTTATGTGCCATGGAAATTAAGATATTTCTTCTTTAAAGAATAATGTGGCTGGGCGCGATGGCTGACAGCTGTAATCCCAGCACTTTGGGAGGTCGAAGCAGGTGGATCACAGAGTCAGGAGTTCGAGACCATCCTGGCCAACATGGTGAAACTCCGTCTCTACTAAAATTACAAAACTTAGCCAGGCATGGCGGTGCATGCCTGTAGTCCCAGCTACTCAGGAAGCTGAGGCAGGAGAATTGCTGGAACCTGGGAGGGGAGGTGGGGGCAGCAGAGAGTCAAGATTGCGTCACTGCACTCCAGCCTGGGTAACAGAGAGAGACTCTTGTCTCAAAAAAAAAAAAAAAAGAAGAAGAATACAAGGGTGGGGGGGAGATATGCTAATGGCTTCTTTCTAAAGCATTGGTCTCTGTAAAAGGGGGCCTCTAGGTTTCCATACTATGCCCAGGGTGTTAAGTGTGCAGTGGTTTGATATAAGTTTTCCAGTTGTACTATAAAGGTGGCCTTCCATTGCCCTAATCTAAAGGTAGTTCTGAGCAGTAAAGAACTCCAAATGATATCATTAGTTGGAGACTCAAGGTGGACCCTATAAGTGATCCATTACTCTAGGCAATAATTAACATTTATTTTTCCTTTCACTTCCGTAACTGGGAGAATGCAAATTAACTCCTGAATCTTTAGGTTCTAGGGAAAGAATCATAGAGATCATCTACTCCCAGTGATCTTTATCTGACTCCTGGAAATCACAGTGGCCTATAAAATTTGCAGCATTTCAAAAATTGTGACAGTGATATAAGCTAAAAAAATGCCTTAGTTTTTGCCTGAAAATGTTAGAACTCCGTATGGTAATATTCCTTATAATTTTGTGCTCAGCAGTTTCTGACTAGTAGCTATACAGTTTTAAAAATTAAATAAAAACTGAAATGTATGGAAATTATAACTCAATAAATAAACAAATGAATATTTAAAACTTCATAAAAATACATTTCCACTTGTGAAACCTGTAGGATGCAGGAATAATATATGTGGCTGTTGGTAGCAGGAACTTTTGGAAAACAGATCTAGTTCAGACTCTATTCATATGAGAACAGTTGTGTCTGGAGTCATTAAATGACAACTCATGGCAGAACAATGAATGAGAGGACCAGGACTTCCTCCCTCAGGCCAGTGCTCTTCCTCATTCAAACCTCTACTTCTGTACAATTCAAAGAGCTCAGTGTGAGCCATTTTTCATGCATACTCAATTCTGACATTCTCTTTAGTTATAAAACATTCCATAGGCCTTCTCAAGTTATCTCATATAAGTAGGCTGCACTTGCCTGCACATTGAGAGTTTTGAAACACATCTACAAATCCTTAGGAGGTATGTTCTTTGTTGTTTTGTGACCCCGTGATGGCTTATTACTTCAATACCCTGAGGACCCTATGGAGACAAATGGCTCCAAGCTTCTCAGGCTCTACAGCTTGTGCTAGACCAGATAAAACATGTTTGTGTTACAGGTTAAACCTTAACAAAGTCTCCCTGCAGGATTACATTCCCCTGTTTCCACTAGAGGGAAAGAGGAGATTTTAGATATAAATGCACAAGAAGAGTTGAAAAGGCTTTTAGTGAACAGGAGCAGAAATGGCATAGCAATATAAGAAAATCCTGCCAGCACCAGCTTCGGAAAGGTGCGCACAGAATGCTTCAGATTTAGAGAACTATACAAACGTAATATGTGGTTTTCCAATACAAAGTCATTCCCAAAGTTACTATACGTGGATAAAACCCTAAAGATCACTTAAGACTTCATACTTGGTAGATTTTACTTTTGGTGATAACTAAAAATCATGTCTCAATGGATCAGAACAGTTGCGAAAGCAACATCATAGTTTGATTTATTACTATTCAGCTTGCACATTACTTCCGCTCAGAATCTTTTCCGACACTCATTTCTACTTTGAAAGCCCCATAGTTCATATTGTTATCATAGTTCCAAATAATATTGATTGAATTTATACATTCTGTTGGAGGCACAAAGTTGGGCAGTATGCTGCCACCTGCTAAGTTAGAAATTATTTTTGGTCATTGGCTGGATTCCAGTGCCTAAAAGCACAGTGCCTGGACAAAGCTAGATGATCAATGAACTCAGATGGCTATATAAATTATTAGAATATAAAGGCCATTTTGTGTAATGGGAAAATTGTTGGAATTTAAGTCAATAGTTTTTTTTTTTTAAGGTGGTCCCTGACTTAACCTCCATCCCAGCAAATACTATTTTATAATGAGATTGTCTTTCTTTGGTAATCAGTCCCTTAGAATCACTGAAGCTAAACTTGATGTTGTGAATAGAACTGTGTCTCCCCAAAATTCATACGCTGAGATCTGAAACCCACAGCTTAGAATGTGACCTTATTTGGAAATTGGTTTGTTCATGATATAATTAGTTAAGATGAGCTCATTAAGGTGAGCCCTAATCCAGTATGACTGGTGAAATTTGGAGATGAGCCCATAATACAGGGAAAATGTCATGTGAATCTGAAGACAGAGATCAGGATGATGAGCCTACAAACAGGAATGCCAAAGACTGCCAGCAGACGACCAGAAGCTAAGGGAGAGGCACGGGACAGGTTTCTTCCTCATGGTTTTTGGAAGGAACCAACTCTGCTGATGCTTTGATTTCAGAACTGTGAGACAATATATTTCTGTTGTTTGAAGCCACTTGGTTTGTGGTACTTTGTTATGGCAGTCCTAGAAAATGAATGCACATGCTGATGCAGGTTCCGTGTTTAAAATACAATTACGCAATTGACCTTTCTCCATACATCTTAGAGAACAAATCAGTTAATTTTACCCAGGCAACCTCAATGTGAAGCCTAGTCATTGCCTTAACATAACGATCCTTATCCTTTAACATAAGCCAGGATTTCACCTACTTGATACATAAAGAATCTGTTGGTTATATCTAAGGTTTAACCTACTAAGACAACAACTTTTGGGAGAAGATATTGAGTTTCCATCTACCTAGATCTGCTAATGTAAGTGTGGTCCCTCCTTACTGTACAAGAAAGAACTCAGTCTTCTGGGAACCCACTAATAGCGGAATCATGCCACCAAACATTTTCTACCACTAATATTCACCAAATCCTGTCTAGAATAACAATAACAACAAAATGTTACCTTCAGTTCCTTATTTGGCTAGACATCGTCCCTCTTCTTCCATATTCTATCTACAGAAAGAGGACACAAGGTGGTGTAATAGCTTTCTTGAGGTTTATCATACTGTAGCATTCCTGGATGGAATCACTCATCCAGCTTCACTTCTGGAATGAGAAACTTATATACAAATTTCAAAATAAATATAGTGAAATATTGTGGTTCTTCCCATCTTTGACACAAATAATGATATGACCTTGTATAATTCACTTAAATTCTAAGGGTCTTAGTTTTATCAGTCGTAACATAAAAATAGAAAGGGTTGGATGGAAAGGCTTCCAAGTCACTTTCAAATCAAACTTTTAAAAATATCTACATAACCAACTCTTTTCAAGTATTTATTCATTCATCCATTCCACAAATGATACTGAGAACCTGCTACATGATTAGCATGTTTCTAGGACCCTGCTCTCAGCAAATTTGCATTTCAGTGAAATGACAAACATACATATTAACAACAAATTAGGTTACATGAGATTATTAGATAGATAAATTATAGGAAACAAATAGGATGCAGTGATGGTGATGAGGGAGGATAACTTCTTCAATTTGATTGGATGAAGAAAGTCTCTCTGAGTAGACCTGAAGCTGAAATGAAATGACAAGGTGGAACCAGCCGTGGGATGACTGCAGGATGAGGAAGCAGTGAGTGCCCACGTACTTCGGTGGGAAGAGGAGTTTGAGGAACCTAAAAACAAGCAGTGTTGCTCATAAGCAAGAAAGACACAAGTTAAGATGGGTTAGCAAGATAGAAGCTGCAGGTAAGATCCTGCAGTCTTTGCAAAGGAGAATCGTTTCTACTTTTAAAATCAATATCAGGTGCTGAGGGGATTTTGAATTGAAGAGTGATATGGTCATATTACTTTAATGCTTGTCATCAATTGCTGCTTCACTAAGGGAAATAAATTATCAGGAAGACAATGTAGATATTCTTACCTTTTTTTTTTTTCTGGTACTTGAGTTTTTTCTGTCTTGTTTTCTTTCTCTTTCTCTTTCTCTTTTTAATTTTTTCCCCCTTACTTTGATTTCTAATTTATTTCTCATTTTCTTTTTCTTTTTATTCCCTTCATCAAGTGGTGCCTAATGTAAGTGTGGTCCCTCCTTACTGTATCATAAACAGGTATTATGGCAGAGATAATTTTCACTGAAGAGATTAAAGCTGTAGACCCCACTAGGGGTCACTTCTGACCTACTGATGAGTCCTTAATCCTGTAATTTTGCCTTGGGGTTTATAGCCAACCCAGGAGTCAGTTTTCCTTCTGATCCTATAATTTTCCACCTTCATGAACCCCCAAGGACCCAAGTCAAAGGCATTGTTATCCACATCCTCTCTGGACACAAGCCACTCCAGGAGCCAGGCAGGCTATCAAAACAGGCATGCCCCAGGTGCTTCTCTTTGTTCAGAGTAGATTGGCGCTCTCGAACTGGGAATTTGGCTCATTGACAAGAGTGGCATCATTCTGTAAAGTGGAATGTCACCGGAAAAACTGTGATTGCACAAGGAAAGCCTGGGCTGTCTGTCTGCCTCTTACTAGCAGGCTGCCTAAGGGTCCAGCATCCAGGCTTCCTGAAGCTTCCTTCAATTGTCTTCACACACACAGAGTTCAGTACCCACTTAAAGACACACAAATTTGCCCTCAGCCCCCTGCTGAAAGTGAATCTTCCTGTGATTGATTTCCAACTTGGTTGCTTCTGAAATGACACTTTAATTAATTGAAGAATGTTAGAGGCATCAAGTCTAAGTGGGTCCCTTCGGTACTCTTCCTCATGTACATTTATGTGCATATATTAAAAAATGCCCATACCCACTGTCTATATGCGCACATATATTTTGTCATCATGTCTAAAGTGAAAAGGTGAATCTGACCTTTATAGTCATTTCACTACACAAGTTGTCTGCAAGGTCCTTGGAAAGATCAAGAAAGTAGCAATTTTGCTTATACTAGATGAATTATTGAGTTGAACTTGATAATCTGTAAGATTTTTTTTTCTTTCTCTTGTACTTGAACCAAAATTGCTTTTCTAAAATTGAATGCATACCTTGTGGAAAGCTTTGATCACATTATACTTGTTTTAATTGCCTGGTACAAATGAATATGTGCATCTAATTTAATGTTATCTTCTTTCATTTTACATTGTTTTGTGGTCTAACAGGCCCTTTCACCATTTGTCTCCCTACAGTTCAGATTTACTGTTTATCTCATCTTATCAATGAGAATTCTGAGTCTCACTATGGTTAGAAACTTTCCCCAAAGTTACGTGTCTAGCACATGGCAGATCAAGGACTAAGTCTAAGATCTCCTGAATTTAATTCCAATTTAGTGCCTTATGTAACAGAATCTTCAAGCTGTGTCTGTAAAGGGCCAGGTAGTAAATATTTTTAGGCTCTTCTAGTCGTGTGTTCTCTATCACAACTGCTCAACTTTGCTACTGGAGCATAAAAACAGTAACAGTCAATATTTACATGAGCAAGCATTGCTGTGTTCTAAGAAAACTCTATTTTTGGACACTGAACTCTTAATGTTTTATAATTTTCATGTATCATGAAATACTAATCTTTCATTTTTCAACCACTTAATGGGGAAAAACATTCTTCAATCACTTGCCTTAACAAAATAGGTGGCAACTGGGATTTGGCCTATGGGCTGTAGTTTGTCAAACTATCTGTGAATGGAATTATGATCCAGACAGCTGAGACGAGTTCATTTTAGACCCTTGTGGAATGGGCAATTTAAGGTCTCTGGAACAATTCTCATCATTATAAATCATCAGCTGAGTCTTAAGAATCTGTCATCAGGGATTAATTTCTGTTACGATTTCTCTTAAAGGAGAATAAAGTGAAAATATTAATTGAGTAGAAGCAACTTAATGAGAACAGCTGAATTATATTTTTAAAAATATATAATGAAGAACATGACTTGCTTTCCTACTGAAAAAAATATTATTTATAGATTCTAGGAGTTTCTGAAGAACTCTCAGAAAAAGTCAAAGAAAAATATCAAAATCTATCATATCCCAGTTCAGTTTAATTATAATAATATATGGATCTTATGGGCACAGATAAGAATACTACTCAGGCTCTCCAAAAAAGTAAACCTTTCTTTGTTCTGATTATTTAACTAAAAACAATTTGCTTATATTTAATTAGGGTAATATAATATACAATTGCAAAAGTACAGATTTTCAAACTGTTGGAGAGAAATGAAAAATATTAACAGTTAATTCTATAAAATAAATGTTCAAGTCATATCTGTTAACAACTACATAAAATATTACAAACCAGACAAATACTTCCTAGATTAGCAGTTGGCTCATGCTGAAAGAGAAAGTTCTCGTCCCCAAATCTGGTCCCAAAATGATGAGTAACTATAGGGTTTAAGTATTAATAAAATTAGACTGAAAACCAAGAAAATGGAAAATAGGTCATTGCCATTTTATCTCAGTCATTGTTGAAATAACAAGTTTAAAACTCAGTTTCTATATTCAGGTTTATATTTATAATAGAGTAAAATTAAAACACATATTAAAATAAAATGTGGCTAGCTAGACGCTTTTCTAGGTCAAAAGCAGTTGCATTTTGGAGGCTGATGGTAGAACTAAGAACAGATCTGATTGCACATTGGGAGAGGAGGAGGAATGAGACATCACTGGCTCTTTATGATTGCCATTGATCAAGCCTCTCTCTGTGTTAAAGAAACTGGAATGTGTCAGCATCTCCTCTCTGTCCATCCAAATTCTATCCACCTGTAAGGCTTGCCTCTACTCCTGCTTCCTCCAACATACTTTCCCTAATTATACCTGCTTATGAACCTTTTTGATTTCCAGACATTGCAATCTTTATTTAAGTGATCAGTGTAGATAGAGATGTCTCTGTATTGTATGTCAGAAATGTAAACTACTAAGGGCAGGGCTCATTGCAGACACTTACAGTGTGTCCCTGTTTTGCTCCAACAGCAGGTCACTCTTGGTTGACTTATTACTTCTTTTACAAACCCTGAAGGAAGGGACAACCTTTCCTGTCACACTGTCAGTAGAGACCCATCTTCCCAGACCTTACATGTGATCCTTTCAGAGATGACTCATGGGATTGGGTTTCCACGTTTTCAGATTTCCCACTGCAAAAACAAAAATATTAATAATAAATACTATTGAAAAAGTGGAAAGAAGGCTTTAGTAATAGTACTCAGAAATAGTCTGCTACTGTAAGTCAGAAAATACTCAATGACTTCTATGGAAAATGTGCAACTTAGATTTCTCAGAATGTGGCATTTTCTTTATTCCCTTTTCAGTCTGCGAATATTTTCTTCAGCCCTGACATAATTCTTGAAAACCAGCACCATCGAACACAGAGGGCATTGGATCAGAGCCTGACTCTATTTTTAAGATCAGTTCAATGGTAGCTTGGAACAGATCAGCAAATCAACACCTTTCAACCTGCTCAGCTCTTATGTCTAGATGTAGCATTGCTCTTTTAAATCTTAAAAATAAAATGAAGGTTATGATGATCTCTGTATCTTCCTGGTGAGTTATGTCTCAGGCTCTCTAGAGATGAGAAACTCCTTTAATTCAGCAAGAAAGTAAGTGGACAAAATTTAGCATGAAGGTGTGTATACATACAGAAATAAGAATAGTTAATGTTTATTGAATGCTAACTTTGTGCCAAATGTTATGCTAAGCAATTTATTTATCACAACAACTCTAAAAGGTAGTTACTATTACATTGTTCTCTTTATAAATGAGTAAAATGAGGCACAGGCAGACTAAATTAAATTGACCACAGCAAGTCAGCCTTTAAAATGCAGAGAATGGGCTTAAATTCAGGATGACAGACTTTTTAGTCTGTGTAATTTACTCAGAGACGGTGGCCGTGGATATATTTATAGACAAGTGATGAAGATATTAAAAGCGAATAATGATAAGTTAATATAAAAATAACAATGGTTGTTTGTCTGGAAAGGAGGCTTATACATGGCATCAAGTGTGCAAGGAATGATTTTTTTTTTCACGTGATTCTTTTTTACTCACTTAACCATGTTCATTGAGCACATATTATCGGCAAGGCAGACAATGGTGAACAAAATATACCTGGGCCCTGCTTCATGGTCATCTTCATAAAGCCTTATGTAAGGTTTCAAGGCCATGTTTTCTATGATATTACAGGATCTTAAAGTTGGAAGGAAACTTACAGACCATTTCCTCCCTGCCTTTTTTCTCTTCTTTCCACACCTGCCTAATTTGTAGACTCAGCAATGTCTTTGGATTCGAAGGCAGAAAAAATATTGACCATTATCTCCTGTAGAATATGAGTGTTTTTCTTTTCTTAAAAAAGGGGTGCTTGTCCAGTCTTTATGAAAATAATTTCCCAGAATAAGTGTCTTCCCAAGAATGGAGCAGTGAAATAAAGCCTGGAAATTCGAGTCAGATTTGAATTCTGATTGCCACATACTATCAGTTTGATTTTAGGCATATGATAAGATCTCAGATTTTTTATCTGTAAAAAAAGAGTCAGTGATTATATGGACCCTATATAGTAGCTGAGAGAATTCAGTAAGACAGAAAAACCCCAGTTTACCTGAGACAATTAAAGTTTATACCTATTTTCTGAGGATAATTATTATTAGCACTCTTTACTAGCTAAAGTGACCCACTTTGAAAAATGAAAAATGCTGTGTCCCTACTTAATGCAGCACTCTAAAAACTTTGGTTATTTTAATGGCAGCTCATTTCCCTTGGACAGCTATAACTATATGTATCAGATTTATTCTTAATACAGAGGATAAAACTGAAAACTAAAATTGAAATTTATACAGTGCCATGTGTAACTCAATAAAGAAATATATTTTCTAATTTTTGCAGTATCTTCTTATGTTAGCCCTTCAAGTGTTTATAACTCCTCAATTTTTATCTTTGCCAAACTAAATATTCTCAGTATTTCCAATCTTTTTCCATTTGAGGTGGCTTCCAGTGCCAAGACCATTTTGGTAATTCTCTTTTGAACAGACCCCAGGTTATAATGTTACTCTTAAAATGTAGTGACTATGTCTTAAGTCCAGATGTCTTCTATTCAGTTAATGCAACATTCAAAGGGATCATTGGTGCCCTTTACCTAGGCCCTACCCATGCATTAATTGATCATATCAGTGCAATTATCAGTGCTTGACTGTGTTAGCTTCATGGAACTTTCAGCCAGCTAAATTTCTGGGTCTTTTTCAGCAGAAATATTAAGACAGTCACCTCTGCTCTCTACTTCTGCAACTTCAGTAAGTTCTAAACTCCACAAGATTCCTCCCTTCACCAAGATGGAGACTAGATTTAATAAACACCAATGCTTACCCATGCTCATCAAAATCGTTCATGAAATTTTAGAGTCAAATGCTAGAGCTTCCCTCTAATCTATCATTGGTGTGCTAATTAATGTGCTTTATAAACAGTTGATGACAGATTAGATGTATGCTATAGATAAATCCTCTATTGATCTTGAACATATATTAAAATTATGCTATCCTTATTTATACATTTTTAGTATTGATTATAAAATTAATAGATCATTCAACAATTGTTGGTAAGGGAACATATGACTTTGGGATCTAATTCAAATTTATCCACATAATAAGTGTGTGACTTTGGACAGACCACTTAATCTAAATCTCATTAATTTCTTTTTTGAAATGTGGAGGTAATTATATATGAGATAGTGCATAGATAATATTGAGCACAATACCTAGCACATTGTTAACAATTAATAGTTGATAATTATTATTGTTGCTGTTAGTATTATTGGTATTATGTTTAGAGCTGGAGGCAACCTTGGAATTAAGCTTTTTAGAGGCCTTAATTTTATAGAACAACAAACAGAATTTAAGAGAAATGAAGATATTTACCTAAGGATTCATGTTGTTGGGATTTGTTGGGTTTATAAGAGAAAATTAAATTTATATTCACTGTCTTCACTTCTCAACCCATTTAGCCATCCATTATCTGCAATCTGAAAGTCATCATCAAGATTATTCTATACTTTTTCTTTTGAAATAGTTTCCCTAACTTGCATGTGAGAGATCCAAAGACCTTCTCTCTTTTTGCAATTTCTTTGCTCCACTTGACATTGCTGAACCCCTCCACTGTTTAAAACTTTCTTTTTTTGATTTCCATGGCAGTAGTCTCAGCTCACTACTTTCATCCTTGTCTGTTTCAATTTTCTGTATTTGTTTTTCTTCCTGTAGCAAATACAGTGCTACATTCAACTCTCTTCTTGTATTGGCTATTACTCTCATCACAAGTTATCTGATTTATTTTCATGATGCATTAACAATCTTTAGTTATTCATAGGTTCGTTTTTTTAACGCTGGTTTCTTGTGTCAGAAATATATTTTGTACACGGAGAATCCATGTGCTTATCTGACATTTGTCAGCCTTCTTTCAGCTAGGCAAGACCATGTTACTACTTCTGGCCATTGGGCTGTAAGTTGAAGTTACATATTTCATCCATGAAACAAAGCACAACCAAAAACATGGGCACTCAATATTGTCTCATTCCTTGACGCAAGAATATTAGACAATTTGTGTTTTAATAGTCAAGCTATATGATACTGGATTTGTCATCAGTTCAAGTCCTTGAACCTCTGGACAGAGAAGATTACTTTAGTGACCTTTGTTGGATATGTTAGAAATGAAAAGTGAGTAAGAAATAAACATTTATTATGTAAAATCACTGAAGCTTAAGGGTTATTTCTTTTGTCGGCATAAACTGGCTTATCTTAATGCAAATACCTCTCAGTATAGTTTATGACCTTTGTTTCCAACAATGTGTTAGAGATTTCTATGAGGATAGTCATTAAAAATGACCATATCCAAAAAATATCTACTAAAATATGTTCTTATCTGAATATTTCTAATTATTTAGCATGTTCTGTCCTTTCTTCTGCAAAATATCGATGATTTCCCTTGTGTATCATTGCCTCTCCCATCATGCTACTTCATATTGTAATCATCTCCAATGTTGGTAATGACCTGGGTTTGCTATGTCTGGTATTTTCCATTCCAAAGCACTCTCTCTCTCTCTAAGACACTTTCCCTTCTTCAAATATAGTTGTTTACATATTTCATTCATAGACCATGAATATTTACATATATTCATAGTCTACAGTAAGAAGTTATTCAATCTGCATACACATCTCTTTTCTGTTCCATTTAATAAAACTCCACTTACAGACACAATAACTTCATCATATTGGATGTTTACAAAACATTTATATTTTATACCTCAGTTTATTTTTTATGATAGTTTGTTTTACCTAAAGATACTTTTCATTGTTTATGTGGTAAAATCATCCTGGTCTTTCAGTTTCAATGCAAATTCTGGTTGATGATTCATGGAACTTGGATTATGGGAAAATTAATTTTGGCCAAGGATATTGGGGAAGCCTTCAAAGAAGAAGCAATACTTATTACAACCCTTTTTGCAAGCAATATAACTTGTATTGCATTACAGTTATCAATGTATATTTTATCTACTTTTTATCTATCATCTATCTATCTATCTTCATTATCTCAACTTGATTATATAATGATTGAGGAAACAATCTTATCATTTTCATCTTTATGTCTCTTTCACTCCCAGTGTTTCTAGAAGCATGCCTTTAAACAAATATTTTATAATTGTTGTCTGAACTGAAGACTGAATCTCTTTTATTCTATCCACATCTCTATTTGCTTTGCCAACAGCTCCCTGAACATCTACTTAATGAGTCTTTCAAGAATCCTTAAAATACTGATAATGAGATTACAGGTTTATAAGGCCCACAATTAATCTCTTACTACATTATTAAAATTTGGTATATTTGCTTACCTCTGACATTTGATAATGTCTTGAAATATTGACAATGTATTAGTAATCCTAGCCACAAATTACTTAATATATAATTGGCCCTTGAAACTTGAACTCATTAAAGTACCTGTTGCTGTCTTACAAACATTTTTCTAATCCTGTGATTAACTAAGTATTTGATTTACCTTTTTCATTATAGGAAGCGTTTTCATCAAAGAAAAAGATAGAAAATACAAAGATAAGTAGCGCTGCCTTCTCTGTCCACTCCTTTTATTCTTTGCATGCCCTCAAAACAATAAGCAATGCATCCCTTCATATCATTAATTTGTCTTCTCTTTCTCTCTATCTCTATTTCTTTCACTCATTCCCTCTCTCTCTTCAAACTACTTACATACTTTTGACATTGGTCCATAAAGGGTTCACAGCTTCAGCCCTTCACATACGCATGTATGTCCATGAGGCATAACACATAATGGTTTTATCCTTCCCCCAAACAGGTAACTCATCATCTAGTCTAATAAATAAAACAAGCTGAGCACAGTGGCTCATGCCTGTAATCCCAGCACTATGGGAGGCCAAGGTGGGCGGATCACGAGGTCAAGAGATCGAGACCATCCTGGCCAACATGGTGAAACTCTGTCTCTACTAAAAATACAAAAAAAAAAAAAAAAAAAAAAAAAAAAATTAGCTGGGCATGGTGGCGCATGCCTGTGGTCCCAGCTACTCAAGAGGCTGAGGCAGTAGTATCACTTGAACCCGGGAGGCAGAGGTTGCAGTGAGCAGAGATCGTGCCACTGTACTCCAGCCTGGTGATGGAGCAAGACTCTGTCTCAAAGAATAATAATAAAAAGCAAAATAAAATAAAATGAAACAAATAAGGCAGTACATGATCACCTCTTTCATCTACAGTTTCCCTTCAAAATTTCTAGTTGATTTTTTCTAAGACCGTATTTATGAATAGTATTTTGTTATGTGCATTCACTGTATGTGTATAATCATCTCAAACTAATTGCAATTTAAATTATTTACAAAACTTTGCTATTTTAAATATTTTGGTAGAGAAGCGAAACCCATTTTTGTTCAATTATGTTTACTGCATTGCTATTAAGATAAATTCCCAGAAGTAGACTTTTTGAATCTAAGTGTATACCAGTTTAATTGTAGGTATATACTGCCAATTTGTCAATCAGAAAGAATGAAACTATTAATTCTTATTCTATGTTGGTCTGTTTCCCACTTTGCTACCCATGGGTACTATTTTAGCATTTGTCACTTTGATAGAGAAAAATATCAATTTTTTTAATACTTTGGTCATTAATATTTATGTTTTTAGATTACAAGGTATTTGTATTTATATGAACTAACTATTCATATTCTGTGCCTATTGATCATTAGTATATTGGTGTTTTAAAATGATGTATAGTAATTATTCATAATAATTAAAGAATATTTTGTGTGTGTTTATTACATGTGTTGTAAATATTTTTCCTAAATTTTACCTGCCTCTAAAATGATGTAAAGATTCTGTAAAATGTACTCTTAACATAATGACTAAATAACTTTTAAAAATATTCAAACTTCAATCAAATAAACATTATAATAAGAATTGCAAGATTTCTGGCCTAAGTACCATTCTAGCAAAGGTTACTTCATCTCAATTATATAAAAATATTTTTAAATATTTAATTAGATTATATTTATTAATTTAGCTTTACATGGAAATCTTTAATATAGCCAGAAAACATTATTATGAATGGTACATTGCAGTCTACATTGGTAAAAGCTTTAAAATATTCAGAAATATTCATATAAACATCTATATCATTCTGAAAAATAAATTCAATAAATTTTTTTGGTGGCTGATATGATAATTCAGTTTTCCTCTTTTTAATTTTACAAAACATAATGTTTACTAAGACGTTTTCAAATATCAAAATATTTTCTCAATCTTAAACTCTCTGTTTACCAGAGTATATTATTTAATAAACTCCTATGTTTGAATTTTTCTGATATTTTACACAGAATTTTCCATCTTATTCCTAAGTGATAACTGCTTATGACTCTGGTTTCCAGGCCACACTCCAAAGTCTCCCGGTGTTGTTCAATGAAAGCAGCACATGATCCAAAGCAGGAGGAGTGATTAGTATTGAGCACAAAGCAGTCTGGGCCCTGGTGCCACTACCCTTCTATGCAGTGCTCTTCTGTATATCAAATATGTGGATACATAGGATAAAATATAATTGTAATGGTATACCTAATTATATAAATAAATTATATAACTCATAATTTATTGTATATTTTATAATTACATATTATATAAATAATACATAATATCAATAGTCATCACAGTAAAAGATCAGTGTGGAGTAAAGGTGTTAGCATCTGAGAAGGTGGAGAAGAAATGCAGATGTATATTGATAAAATTTCCACAAAAGATCTGGGTTATTGGCTCTTGTTGCTCAATGAGAAAACCTTAGATACACACATCTAACATACACACAGCTATACCGCCGGTAGCTAAATCAAGATATCAAGATTTAAACCAGGTCTTGTGATACAAGTTGGGGTTTTCTTTGTTCTACATTATTTAATTTTACTACTTTTACCAATATTCAGAGTAGAATTTCTGTCTGTACAAAAATGTTTGTTCGTCTGTGTGTGTGTGTGATGATATTATATATTTGTGTTAAAAAGCTGTACTTTTCCATAAAAGAGCTAAAACTTGGTGGAGTCAACAGAATTCTAAAAGTTAAGGTTGACTTTAAACTTTCTTTTTATTCTTCTGGTATTGCTAAATACATAGGAAGACTTAGAAACTTGGGCTCCATTGTTTTTTTTTTTATTATTTTATTGTATGGGTAGTGTTTCCACCTAAAAGCTTTCCAAGTATCCTAGAGATGTCCTTCAGAGCCTATAGTTAATGTAAAATGTGTAATGGTTATACGGTTGTCCTAAGCTAACATATTGTGTCCTTCATTTTGATATCACACTCAAAAGCTCTTTTCTTCCATCAGCTCACTTCTCTGACATTCAATGTCTTCTAATGGATGCTGCATTTGTACATATCTCAGACTGCAAGATTGGCTCCTCCTGTGTTGGCTGTGGGAACATTTTTTTGGTTCCCCCTCACAGCACTTGTATGGCAGCAAGTAATAGCTTTCATCCAATAATGCTATAAAGTTTGCAATGGTTCACCTAATTGCACAATTAGGCACACTCAAGTTGGCAGTTTATTTCTTAACATACACTTTCCCCGAACTACCATAGTAAACTGTAGAGGAAAATGCCAGTCAGCTAAAGGTCTGGAAATTCAACTGCCAAATGCCAAGGTTCTTATGCCAAGACATTCAGCCAACCCTAAGCAAAACTTGGCTTTCAATCCTGGTCCGGGGAGGGAATCACGAAACGCGCCCGAAGTATTTACAGGCTAGACAGGTTTTCTGTTGAAACATATTCATAAAGTGGTCGTTAAAGTGATAAAATACAAACCAAAAATGATTTTTCCTTTGGAATTCCCTATGTCAAAGGGACGTTTTCATCCGGTGTGGCTGACTGTTGTTCTGTCATGACCAAAAATAAATGCACATAAAAGAGTAACAAAGGGGCAAACATCACTAGGGAGAAATTTATCTGGAGCCTCTCATTGCAGAGTTACTGTTCCTCTTGAGTCAAAGATATTGCCTTTTCTCTTCATTTTCTAGCATTACTGATCACACAACCTCTGGCTTAAGCTAACTTTAACTAAAATAACAGTGTGATTACCTGTATGCTAGAAATAAAATTAAAAAATTATTGAAATATTCTATGCCCAGCCATGACAATTATTAGCAGGTTTATTTTACCCTTGAGGAAAAAGTAACCAAATTAACCTAAGTAATGTCTGGGAAATTATTCATATCTGAGTATTTCTTTGTTCCGGATATTCTTTGCATTCTTCAATAACTTCTTCCATTCTTTGTTGGGTTGAAGCTGACTTCGAAGAAAAGTCAAAATTCAGTCTTGCACACCAAATTCAAAACCATATTGAAAACAAATGTGACCATGTACTAGAATAACAGCCCAGTGTTATTTTTTCCATATGCATTTTCCTCTCTAATTTTCCCCTATTCTTCTATCCCTAAAGCCTGAAGTTTGCCTTGTCTGACTTTATTAAGCATATAAAAAGACTGCCTGGGTTTTGTGAAATGAAAATTTAAGCAAGTTGCACAGGTGGCTGAGGAGATGCCAGAAACATAACAGCATAGGGCTCGTCCAAACATTAGAAGAATTGACTTCTGTGACACAAAACCTTCTAAGAAATATCCGCATTTCCCTTTAGAAAACATTTAGTAACGCATATGTAATATGTAAAAATAATGTATTTTCTCTGTTCATTTAAAGTATCATCAGATATTGGGTTGTAAGGAAATTATGAAGAGGCTATTTGAGAATCAATGCCCAATTTCCCTGTTTTGATCTCCCAACATCCATAAGATCTCTCACAGCCCACTCTGCCAGCCACCTGACCCCCAAGTTTTACAGAAGTGTTCCTGTTCTCACATGGCTTTGAATCCTAAGTGAGGTGTAAATTAGTCTTTGCTAACCATTGTGCTGATCTTTAAGAGATGTGTGCATGATATTTAATAATAAGTTACTTTTGATGTCTGTGAAAAACTTAAAAGGGCCAAGGGAATGAACATTGAGTAATCCACATGAAGCAGGCTTTATTAATCTGTGGTTACAAAATAATGGTGTCTCTGAATTTTCTGAGTGACCTCATTTTTGTCCTTAAGGCTACGCCTTGAAAATTGTTAGAAATTAAATTTTTTTGAAGTGTCTTGCAATTCTTTTTGGATGTTCCTCACTTGCTCCCACAAACTAGCCCATCAACTGAAAACCAACTTCGGCATCCAGTCTATTCTTCCTCATTTCCTGAATCTGCTTGGTCCACTCCCTGCTCAAGAATATCCATGCCAAAGGTACCTGTCCAGGTGCTTTGACCAAGTCCTGTCCTGAGCCTGGAAAAATATTTTTACATTAAAACCACTCAAACAAAGGCTATAAATTTCTTATGCAAATGTATTTATTTTGCTTATATAAAAAGTAGAAAGTTCACTGAAAATAAACATGCCAAACCCATGAGATTGGTTTAAGTCAACAAGTGGGAGAGGAGAGAGTGTCTAAGGGTTGCAGACAAAGAGAACATTCACTTTATCTCTGGTGTTTCATTTATTACACTAACACTAGTAGTGACAGCTTTAAACTAATATGCCTAAATGTTAAGAGTAGTTACTCTCAAGGACACAACAAGAACAGACTACAGGCCAATATCCCTGATGAACATAGATACAAAAATACTCAACAGAATATCAACAAACTGAATTCAGCAGCACATTAAGATCATTCACCATGATCAAGTGTAATTCATCACAGGGATGCAAGTATTGTTCAGAATAGGCTAATCAATAGATGTGATGTATCACATTAATAGGATGAAGGACAAAAAAACTATATGACTTTTTTCAATAGATGTAAAAATGTTATTTGAGAAAATTAAATGTTCTTTCATGATAAAACTCTCAACAAATTAGGTATAGAAGGAATGTACCTCGATATAATAAAGGCTGTATATAACAAATCCACAGCTAGTATCATACTGAAGGAATCTTTTCCTCTAAGATATGAAAAAGAAAAGGAGGCCCATTTTCATCACTTCTATTCAATATAGCACTGGACGCCCTAGCCAGAGTAATTACGTAAGATAAATAAATACAAAGGCACCCACTATGAAAAGGAACAAGTTAAATTGTCTCTTTCTTCAGATGATATGTTCTTACATGAGGAAACCCCTGAAGACTCCATTAAAAACCTGTTAGAGCTAATAAATAAATTCAGTAAAGTTGCAGGATGAAAATCAACATACAAAAATCAGTAGCAATTGTACATATTAATAGCAAACTATTTGAAAAAAAAATCAAGAAAACAATCCCACTTACAATAGCTTTAAAAAAAATGAAGTACCTATTAATAAATTTAACCAAGGGTGTAAAACATCTCTATGCTGAAAACTATGATAAATTCATGACAAAATTGAAGACATAAATAAATGAAAAGATATTTCATGTATACACTTTGTAAGAATTAATATTATTGTGATAGCCATATTACTCAAATAAACCTACAGATTCAATTCAATCCTTATCAAAATTCCATGACTTTCTTCACAAAAATGGAAAAACACAATCTAAAAATTCATGTAGAACCACAAAAGCCCTTGACTAGCCAAGGAAATTTTGAGCGAAAAGAACAAAGCTGGAGGCATCACATAAACCAACTTCAAAATATCCAATAAAGCTATAGTGATCAAAGCAACATGGTCCTGGCATAAAAATAGACGGATAGATTAATGAAACGGAATAGAGAACATTGAAATAAAACCACATACTTACAGCCAGCCAATCTTCCACGAAGGTGCCAAGAACACATGATAAAGAAGGCACATTCTTTGCAATGAATGGTGCTAGAAAAACTAGATATCCTCATGTAGAAGAACGAAACTAGTAGTAATTGTGTTATAAATTTGGCTGTTCCAGTGGTAGGTGCATATATATTTAAAATTGTGATATTTTCTTGTTGGACTAGTCCTTGTATCATTATACAATGTCTCTCTTTGTGTTTTTTAACTGCTGTTGTGTTAAAGTTTTTTTTGCCTGATATAAGAATAGCTACTCCTGCTCACTTTTGGTGTCCAATTGCAGGGAATATCTTTATCCACCCCTTTACCTTAAGTTTATTTGAGCCCTTGTGTGTTAGATGCATCTCCGGAAAACAGCAGAAACTTAGTTGGTGAATTCTTATCCATTCTTCCATTCTGTTTCTTTCAACTGGAACATTTAGGTCATTTACGTTTAATATTAATATTGAGATGTCAGGTAGTATTTTATTCATTGTGCTATTTGTTGCCTGAATATCTTTTTTAATTGTGTTTTTGTTATATGGGTCCTGTGAGATTTATGCTTTAAGGAGGTTCTACTTTGGTGTATTTTGAGGATTTCTTTCAAGCTTTAAAGCTCCATTTAGCAGTTCTTGTAGTGCTGGCTTGATTGTGGTGAATTCTCTCAGTGTTTCTTTGTCTGGAAAAGACTGTATCTTTCCTTCATTTATGAAGCTTGGTTTCATTGGATAAAGAATTCTTGGCTGATAATTGTTTTGTTTAAGGAGGCTAAAAATAGAGCCCCAATTCCTTCTAGCTTGTGGAGTTTCTGCTGAGAAATCTGCTGTCAATCTGATAGGTTTTCCCTTACAGGTCACCTGATGCTTTTGCCTCACAGCTCTTGAGATTCTTTTCTTCAGGTTGACTTTAGATAAACTGATGACTATGTGCCTATGTGATGATCTTTTTGCAATGAATTTCCCAGGTGTTCTTAGAGCTTCTTGTATTTGGATGTCTCAATCTCTAGCAAGACTGGGGAAGTGTTCCTCTATTATTCCCTCAAATATGTTTCTCAAACTTTTAGTTTTCTCTTCTTCCTCAGGAACATCAATTTTTCCTAGATTTGAATGTTTAACATAGTCCCAAACTTCTTGCAGGCTTTGCTTATTTGTTAAAATTCTTTTTTCTTTGTCTTTGACAGATTGGATTAATTTGAAAGCCTTGTCCTTGAGCTCTGAAATTCTTTCTTCTGCTTGTTCAATGCCATTGATGAGATTTTCCAGTGCAGTTTGCATTTCTCCAAGTGTATCCTTGATTTCCAGAAGTTGTGATTTTTTTTTAATGCTATCTATTTTACTGAAGAATTTTCTTTCATATCCTGTATCATGTTTTTGATTTCTTTAAGTCGGACTTTACCTTTCTCTAGTGTCTCCTTGATTAGCTTAATAATCAACCTTCTGAATTCTTTTTCTGGCAATTCAAAACCAATAAAGAGATTTTATCTTGCTTTAAATTAATTGCTGGTGAGCTGTTATGATCTTTTAGGGGTGTTAAACAACCTGGTTTTGTCATATTACCAGAATCGTTTTTCTGGTTCCTTTTCATTTGGGTAGACTATGTCAGAGGGAAGATCTAGGATTCAAGGGCTGCTGTTCAGATTCTTTTGTCCCAGGAGGTACTCCCTTGATGTGGTGTTCTCTGGCTTCCCCTAAGAATGGAGTTTCCTGAGAGCTTCCCCCAGGAATGGGGTTTCCTGTGGTGATTGTTTTTGCTCTTCTGAGTCAAACCACCCAGCAGAGCTACCAGGCTCTGGGCTGGTACTGGGGAATGTCTGCAAAGAGTCCTGTGATATGATCCATCTTGAGGTCTTGCAGTCGTTGACACCAGTACCTGCTCCAGGGGAGGTAGCAGGAGGATAAAGTAGACTCTGTGAGGGTCCTTGATTGTGTTTTTGTTTAGTGTGCTGGTTTTGTGTTGGTTGGCCTTTAGCCAGGAGGTGGCATGTTCCTATAGGGAGGATTCAAGTTTGCCCTAGGGACACTTGGTTAAGTATTCAGGTTTTTCAGGGTAGGCAGGGCCACAGAGCTCCCAAGAGATTATGATCTTTGTCTTTGGCTGCCAGAGCAGGTCGAGAAAGACCACCAGGTGGGTGCAGGCAGACATATCTGAGCTCAGCCTCTCCTTAGGTGGGGTTTGCTGAGCTGCTCTGGGGGTGGGGGTGTGGTTCCCAGGCTAATGAATTTATGTTCCCAGGGGGATTATGTCTGCCTCTACTGAGAGATATAGGTCACCAGGGAAGTGGGGGAAAGCCGGCAGTCACAGCTCTCATCCCCCTTCTATGTAGCCCACAGTCTTAAAGGCCGGTCTCACTCTTACCATGCCCCGTCAACAGCACTGAGTCTATTTCCAGACAGCTGGTGACCAGGGCTGAGAACTTGCCCCATACCATGAGCCTCCCCATTGAGAAAGCAAGCAGACTCACAGCGTTTCAGCATCTCAGAGAGCCTGCAGCAGTGATGTAGTTCCTTCAAAGGGTCTGTGGATTCTCTCAACTTTCCTGGTGTGTTGCTGTAGTAGTTCTTGGAGCAAAAGTTTATGATGTGAGTCTCCACACACTGTTCTGTCCATCCGAGTGGGAGCTGCATGCTAGTCCTGCCTCCTATCTTCCATCTTCAAAATTTTTAATTTAGTCATGTTTATTCAAGAGTGTGCTTTCCTGCTTCCTACTTTATGAACTGCTCCACAGACTGAGCTACTGGGTTTTATCTAGTGCCACAAAGCTCACTCACGTCTTCTTTATAATCTCCTTTAAGCAATCACATGTATGTTTGCAAAAGGATAGTATGTTTTGGATCACAATTTATGATCTCATGCTACACAAATTACTATGCGCCAAATTTTGTCAAAAAACATAGAATAGGTCACTGAAATGATAGAAGCATATTAATTTTCCTGTCATTGGGAAATCTGAAGGAACTTCAATGAGTCATATGTTATGTATACTTGAGATTGTGGAGGTTGCTTAGAGTATACATCATTTAGAGTAACATTATCAAGTCATCCTCTAGTCAGCCCCAAACACCTAATCAATAATTTCTAACTAATCTAAAACACTTGTGTTGTCATTTTCAACAATTCAAATTAATGGAAATTTTGAAGATGGATAGATCTTGACGGAAACAAGCAGAGAGATAAAGCAGATGGAGAAAAGAGGGAGGCAACGAAGGAAGGGAGGGAGGGAGGGAGGGAGGAAGGAAGGAAGGAAGGAAGGAAGGAAGGAAGGAAGGAAGGAAGGAAGGAAGGAAGGAAAAAATAGACTTTGCAACTTATGTAAAAGAGAGATGTGCAAGATAAAGAAAGTTAAATTCAACGTGGCATTGAATAGAAAGGTATCAAGGAACAGAATGCATGAAAGGAAAAAAAAGCTTAAAATGTGATATGGGAAATACGCGTAGAGGTCAGTACAATATATATTACAGTGAGTGAAGTGACCCACTGGTTAGAACCAGAAATGGTATGCACATTCAAACCTGAACTTGACATTCTAAGCCATCCAGAAGAACAGCAAAATCAGGGGTCTGTAGAATGGGATCCCCAAGTATAGAAGCACAAGCAGGCCCAAAGAGTTGAACTCGTAAAAATGTAAAATCGTAAAAAATGTAAATTGGCTTCTCTTGAATATATGTAGAAATCCTTAGCGGGCTGGGTATTTCCCAAACCAAAGCCATGAAATGAAAAGGAAAGTAAACTCTGGCTGAGTTAATTGGCAAGTATTTCTGAAAAGAGAATGTATCAACAAAAGGGGTGGTCTGTGCATAGTTTAAAAAAAATTAAACCGAAGAGGGAGGACTTGGCAGCTTTTGTCAACACCTTCCAAGACAGATAATTCCAAGCTCTGAAACATTTAGTATGCTGGTGACTATATGAACTGTTATTTAAGCCTCTCTAATGCACTTAAATATTTTTTGACACAAATAATACAGTTGTTTGGATAAAGATGTAAATATTTAGTTCACAGGAAATATATAGTAAATAAAAAATATAATATTTAAGGTGACAAAATTCCATTTTTCTTCTTCTACACTTAGTATTGCAAAATAAGTCACAAGTTACTGAAAAGTATACTGAAATTAATGATCTTTGTATGACACCATCCAGAGATAATTACTGTTAACATTTGGTTTATCTTTCCAGCTTTTTCTACAATGTATGTGTGCTTACTGTCATATATTTTACACAAAAAGAAAAGTTATATGTTATGCTTTTTCATTTAGTTCCACACATTTTTAAAATTTTTATTTTTTTCTAAAATGTTATAAAAATAGAGAAAATGTAATGACCTCCCATGTTCTGATTATTAAGCTTCAAAATTATTAACAGAATCATTTTTGTCCAGACCTCACACATTTACCACCACCCCCAGTTCTGAATTATTGTAAACAAACCCCAGATATTATATCAATTAGTCTATACACATATCTGAGAAAAATTGCAGGAAAGTTCTCTGGGTGGCTTTGAATTGGCCCAGTTCTCAGTTTTTTTCTTGCTTGTAGTTCTCAAGAATAATGGTTGAAAGAGTTTGGACACAACATCTTGAGATAAGGACTGGCCAGAAAAGCCCAGGCTCTGTTCCAATCTCCCCTAGAATTGGGATATCCTTTATCTGACCTAAAGGGTCATGTGGCTCTGTGGCAGAATGCCCTGGGCGGACTACTTTCTAGGGTTCTGTATTAGTCCATTTTCACACTGCTATGAAGGATTGCCAGAGACGAGGTAATTTATGAAGGAAAGAGGTTTAATTGACTCACAGTTCAGCAATGACTAGGGAAGCCTCAGGAAACTTACAGTCATGGGCGAAGGTGAAGGGGAAACAAAGCACCTTCTTCATACGGTGGCAGAACAGGGTGAGCACAATCAGGGGAAATGCCAGATGCTTACAAAACCATCAGATCTCCTGAGATTCACTCACTATCACAAGAACAGCATGGGGGAAGCCACTCCCATGATCCAATTACCTCCACTTGGTCCCGCCCTTGACACACGGGGATCGTGAGGATTACATTTCAAGAAGAGGTTTTGGTTGGGGACACAGCCACGCTATACTAGGTCCCTCAACTGCAAGTGGGGCATGTGCAGATGAGATTCCATCCACCCTGGCAGGTTTTCTGAGCTTTGAGGGACTAGCTCACAATGAATTCTAGGCTTCTGCTGTCCCTTGCTGCCTATCTGGAAGAAAAAACATCCATTTCATGTAACTTGTTGCATATGACTGTGTTCTGTCTCACCAGACTCAGACATGTTGGAAACCAATATACAATGAATCTGTTTTGCAAATATGGATGTCTTTTTAAAAACATAACAATACCAATATCTTATCTAACAAGTTATTACAATTCCTTAATATAATCAAATGTCATTCAATGCTTAAATCTCTCTGCTTGGCATCAATATTTTTTATTATTCTTTATGAGCTTTATGATCCAAATAAATCCTATGTTGGATAATGTATTTCTAAGTTATTTTTAAATGATTGGTTCTTACTCCTTCACTTCTTTTTTTTCCTTGCAATTTGTTTTAAGATGGAATCTTTTATTCTGTAGAGCTTGTCAAGACTGAACTTTGCTGATTACATTTCCATGATATCATTCAATATGTTCTTCTGCCCTTGTATTTCTTACAAATTAGAATTCAATGTAGAGAACTGATCAGGTTCAGACTCAGTTGCATAGTATTTCACTGTATAAAATTTTTACCTATATTAATACTAATGATATTTTAATACTTTATATTTTTCTGTTATTATAAGTGTTACTATAATTTTAAGCATAAATTTTTGCACATTTATCTGACTACTTACTTAAGATAATTTCTTAGAAGTTTTATTGCAGAACCTAAAGGTGTATGCTTTTAAAAAAATTCCTGGTGCATATTGTCAAATTGGCCTTCAGAAAAATGATCCTATTTTAAATCACACTTGACATACTTGAAAGTCTATTCCCTCATATTATTTTAAGAAATCTTGTTATGGCTCTTTTTTTAGTATTTTCAGATTGATAGGATATTTTCTTCTTTCATTCAGTTGAATTTTTGTTACTTTTGAATTTGAGCAAATTATACTGCTATTGTAATGTGATTTAAAAGTTAATAAATTGACATTCTGATTCCTAGAAGCACCTTTTGTATGATAATTAGCATGAATTGGTCACTGACAGTCTGATGAAATCTGAAATATTAGAATAGAGGGTTGTATTTTGTAAATTTAAGAGCAGATTCTGGTTCACCGTGATTTGATCACACTATAGTTACTTATCGCATTACTGACCTCTTTTCTTAATGTTAACACTATAGGAATGAAATAAGAAAAGTACAGTTTGAAGATAAGAAGAAATGTATTTCATTCCATAAATTTGAAGTGATATAGAAAACACACATCTAGAGGTTTAATTCTTCACCCTCCAGGCCAATCTTTACAATTTCTTTTCTTTCTTATTAAACAGAGACTACAGAAGCATATCGATTTTTCATTATTGTTAAAAATTTTTCAAATGCTTCCAATGGAATATAATTAGCTTTACCAAGCACTGTGCTCTGAGCCTGAGAGATAATGTCTTTCTGCATACAATTCCTCTGCAGTTGCAGTGGTCTTGAGTATAGTTTCTGAAGGTGATCATTCCTGCTCTTACAGTGAAGTTTTTGCAGCAGAGCATCTTTTCTTGTTGAATTTCATATTTCTTGGCAGCCTGTAGGGATGTTGTCAGGATAATATATTAGGCTATTTCATATTATCTCCTTGGGAGTTTTGCTATTCTTTTGGTATTTTTCTGACAAATTAGAAGTTAATGTGAGACAGTGCATAAACTGCAGGGAATTTTTCTCTTTTCTTTTTCTTAATAAGTTTGAAATCAATTGAAAAATCATTCTAGAAAATAAAATACCTTTTGCTTCTTTATTAATCTGTATGCTCAGTATTTAACAAGTAAGCATTGTGCTGGAGTAGGTAAAAAAGTAAGGAGGCAGATAAAAAAGTAAAGTACATAAGAAAATTCCCCACTAGAAGTTGTGTATGTAGCCACTTCTATACAGTAAATTGTAACATACTGTCCAGGGATAAAACATCGGAGCAATGTTTGACTTGTGCTTTGGGAGCCAAGAGGTGTTAATAAATGTTTTGGGTTGAATTGTGTGTTCTCTATCCCCAGTAAAAATATGTTGAAGTCCTAATTGTCAATACTTGTGTTCATAATCTTGTTTGGAAATAGGGTCTTGAGAGATTCAAAAAAGTTAACTTGAGGTTATTAGGATGAGCCCTAGTCCTGTGTGACCGATATCCTCATAAAGATAAAATAAGAATAGTGAAATTTGGACATAGACACACAGATAGAACACCATGAGAAGACACAGAGATACATAAACACAGAAGGAAGACAAGACAGCATGTGAATATGGAGAACTGGAGCTATGCTGCCACAAGCCGAGAAACCCCTGGGGCTGCCAGAAGCCAGAAGAGGCAGAGAGGATCCTCCTTTGGAAGCCTCAGGGAAAGCATGGTCCTGCCCACACTGACTTCAGACTTCTAGCTTTCAGAACTGTGACATAATTAATTTCGGTTGTCTTGAGCCCCTCAGTTTGTGGTACTTTGTTATAACAGCCCCAGGAAATTAATGCATAATTATATTTGCAAGCATGGAGAAGACAAAGGGTTGGATTCAAAGGAGGAGGAAACGTTCGGGGATTAACTTTCATTATACAGTCTAATAACTCATATATCACTTTCTTCAGAAAGCATTTTTTGGTCACTCTTAGGCTAGTTTAGGGGTACTTCCTACATACTCCCCTGATATATAAGTTCCCTGTTATAGCATATATGAACATTTATTGCAATTGCTTCACCAATATCTCTTCTAATCATAGTATCTGCTCCACTATTAATTCTATGAAAAAGGGATTAGTATTGTTGTTTCTTCTTAGTCTTTCCTATTGATACAAAGGGGAAATGCCTATTACAATTGTGTAGTGTCTTTAGAATATGATTAAAATGTGCCTTCTAGTTTCTCCATTCACTACACACACATACACACACAGGTGTGTGTGTGCACACATGGACTAAATGAGTGCATGGAATGCCATCAGGTTAACCAAATAGTATGCATCTACAAAAAATCTATTTTTCACGTACTTGTCAATGGGCTGAAATCTTGCCTCCATAGTCTCACTCAACAGCAGGGTGAAAATTCTATACTCCGATAGTAATTATTATTTCATTGGTTAAACCACTAGAAGGTGAGATGATTTGTAAAAAACTCGATAGATCACCCCCTAAGAATATTCCTGAAGAAACACAACTCATAGAATGCCTATGAGTTTCCAACTAAATAAGCATATAAGGGTTTATTATTCAGTAATATTGGTGTAAGAAACTGGAACCTATCTTTCATTCTGAATAAAAAGCAATAAATAAGTCACTCACAGAACATGAAAAGTCATTATGTTATAAATCTATCTCATAGTTAAAAACTGGCTTATTTTCTTTAAATTAGTTACCTCTAATCTTAATTCACAAGTAGATCTCTATTAGCATATTAAGCTACTGTTCTTTTCCTGTTTTCATTTTTGTAAGACAAACAAGGTTTTTTAAAGGGCACCCTTGTTGACCTAGCTGCCTTTCCTGTATTTTATTACCCCTATTATACATAGATTCAATTTATAACAGATAATAGTTGCATAACATAGCACTGGGACAGCTGTGTTATTCATAATTTCATTTCCTCTAATAAAGCTTTCACATTTGAAATTGTTGTTTTTCTGCATTAACATATAAGTAAAAAGTAAGGATTAACTGGCTTCCCATGTAGTTGGAATAAGATGGGGGTCAATCTAAAAAATAAATAAAAATAAAATTCTTAAAGCTAGGTAATTGCTTCTATATTGTATTATTGAAACAAGCTTTACGTAGTTACGTGTTGCTAACCTCTGCATTTCTAACTATTCTTCAGTGAGAGAAGAAATATTAATACTTTAGTCTTCAGCAGTGAGTACCAAAAAGCAAGTATTTAATCCTGACCTCTGTACAGTGAACACCTGGTAGTTTCGGAGCAATATCTGGCAGCCAGTGACTGTAAGAGTTTCCAGTGGGAATGGCCATTCTTGTCAGCTCAGCAGTGGTGGTAACTGAGGTCGTGGGAAGAGAGCTAACCACGACTTCCAGAAGCAGTTGTCATCAACACAGAGAAGCCAAATGCAATCCCTTCCAATCAAATCCCTTATCAAAAATTTCCTCCAAAACCAATCTATTCTATCTCAGCGTCTACAATGGCATCACGGTTCTTAATATTGATAGTGTGTCCTTCCTTTTCCTTAAATAACAAAAGTTCTCTGCAGTTGTCAGGATATCCTTAGAGAAAAGCTGCAGTCTCCAATATAGTCTTACTGTTTTCCTATATGTTATATTGTGAGTGTCCATGTATAAGAACAATGTGTGGTGATAAATCACAAAGAAATGACCCCGCTTTTGGGTTTTTTAAAAATAACTACTTCCATTGATAAGAGTAAATTATTCATTTAGTGTCTTATCTCATTCCTTTCTAGTACCCTTTTTTTTTTTAACTTTGCAGTTTTTATCTTGAACCTCATCATTAGCACTTAGAGGGACAAATATAAGTGAAACAAAAGTCACTCTTTGATACATAATTAGAACTTAATTTTTATATATGTATGTACATAGATACATAGATGTAGATATATAGATATAGAGATATAGATATACTTTTTTTCCTTTCCAAGTCTTTGTCCTCCACAGTACATCATTCATTGTCACAGGTAACTGAGAGTTGATTCTTTACGTATTACTGCTAGGCTAGGTCGCAGGAAGGATTAGTTCTACCAGATTAACAGTTTTTAATGTTTTTTTTCCTTGTAAAGCCAACCTGAACACTCACAGGCAGAGTCAATGAGTTCTTACAGCCCTTGGATGCAGCCTTCTTCTGCAGCTAGGCTGGGATATTTTCCAGAATAGAATAGACATGTTCTAAAGTGTCTTGTAGAAAAAGCACATATTGACAAGCTGTGGTTGAACCTGAATCAAAAACAGTCGGGCCCAGTGCTTTGGGAGGCCAAGGCAGGAGAATCATTTGAGGCTAAGAGCGTGAAAGCAGCCTGGGCAACATAAAAAGACCCGCATCTCTACTAGTCCCTTCTCACACTGCTAATAAAGACATACCTGAGACTGGGTGATTTATAAAGAAAAGAGGTTTAATTGGCTCACAGTTCAGCATGGCTGGAGAGGCATCAGGAAACTTAAAATCATAGCAGAAGGGGAAGCAAGCATGTCTTTCTTCGCATGGTGGCAGAAAGAGATGTGAGTGCTGAGAGAAGGGTGAAGCCCCTTATAAAACCATCAGATCTCATGAGAACTCACTCACTATCACAAGAACAGCATGGCAGGAACTGCCTCTGTGATTCAATTATCTCCACCTGGCTCCTTCCACAACACGTGGGGATTATGGGAACTACAATTCAAGATGAGATTTGTGTGGGACAAAGCCAAACCATATCACCGCCTCTACAAAAAAAAAAATTAGAAAAATTAGCTGTATGTGGTAGTATGCACCTGTAGTCTCAGCTGCTCTGGAGGCTGGGGCAGGAGGATTGTTCAAGCCCATGAGGTCAGGACTGTAGTAAGCTATGCCTGCACCACTGCACTGCACTCCAGCCTGAGTGAGGGTGAGAACTTGTCTCTTAAAAAGAAGAAGAAAAAAAAAAGCTTGAGATGTTACTTTGAGTTCCTGTAAATCGTTAATTAACTATCTGCTGCATTAAGAAATATTTACATATAGAAACAATAAAAGTGTCCTCAATAGGAGACAGCAGAAGTAAACAAAGCCACATTTGCCTGATGGAAAACAATAAACATAAGGGATTAAGTAGTTCCACATAGTGATGTGAAGATAAAACATAGTATTAATTACATAAAGGGAAGCACAGAAGAATCTGTATAATATGATGTCCTTGTGTCAATAAACTTAAAGCATGATAAGTAGATACCTGAATATTTATGTGATGGTATATGTATTTATTACTGTATTCTGGGGTGGAATGAGTTAAAATAACCTACTAATAATTGTTAGCTTTGAGTAAGAGAAAACAAAATATTCTTTTACAAAATTTTTTGTTACCTTCTCTATGGTTTGCACTTTATAAATGTGCATGTTTATTGTTTTTACTTCTTTAAAAGCAATCCAACTATTAATAATGTAGGTGACCATTTGTGGCATCATTAGTAGGTTTGTTGCCTTCCTGACTTCATATGTAAAACAGCAACACATAAACTTTAAAACCTTAAAGTTATGTATAAAGAAATTGCCTGTCCCTGGAAATGAAGTTCAGTGTTCACCAGTATTAAAAAAATTTAATTTTTGTAGATTTACCTTTAATTTTTTAATTAAAATTTTAAATTGACACAGAATAATTGTACATATTTATGGGGTACATAGTGATGTTTGGATACATGTATAGTGTGGTCAGATCAGTGTAATTAGCATAACCATCATCTCAAATATTTATCATTTATTGGAAGAGGTATTTTTAAATATAAAGCAATTTTAGTGGTAATGAAGACTGAATAGATAAATCAATTGTTGAGACTTAGCTCCACGTTGATGGCTAAATATTTTATTTATACTTAAATCCTGAACCTGTTTTGTTAGCTCTTTCACCACATTGCAGAAATTAATGATTAAAATTTACTGACAGCATAATACTTTAGGAGGTGAAGCCTAGTGATTAACCACAGACCTAAAAGTGGGGGGAAAAAGATCAGAGGTATTAAACTTAGGGCAAGTGTATTATAAAAATCTATCAGTGAATTCTTCTTTTTAATCACTAAATAATAAGCTCCATGAAAGCTGATATTTTTATTAAATTTAGTCCCCATTTTCCTCACTGCCTAGAACACTACCTGGCAATTGATATATTTTCAATAAACACTTGTTGAATGAAAGTTCAAATGAATGAATGAACCGTGTGAACACCATGGAAAGTAGTAAATTTCTTTCTTTGCTTTTTTAATTTATGAGAATTTAAACTTCATAATTGCATTCATTGTGAAATACTTTACACTGAGAAGTATAGAAATGGAAAAATAAAAATTAATTATGTGATGTGTCAAATATGCCTTTTAAATTCAACTTAGTATATTTTACTGATACTGGGACTTAGATAAGAGAACTATCATAGAATTAATAACTGCTTTGAGCCTTTTTTTAAAAAAACACTTTACCATAAATATAATTTGTGTGTGTTCACAGCCGTTATTCAAGTGCATTTGAAATGTTTAGAACAAAATCATCTGTGATCCCTGCACATTGGGAGGCCACGGCAGGATGATTGCTTGAAGCAAGGAGTTCCAAACCAGCCTGGGCAACATCGTGAGACCCTGTCTCCACAAAAAATAAAATATTTTCCTGGCAGGGTAGTAGGCTCCTCTACTGTCCCAACTACTTGGGAGGCTGAGTCACCCTGGGTGATGGAGCAAGGCCCTGTCTCTAAGGAAAAAAATATCAAAATTAAACCAAAAGCTTGGACTCAGTAATTTATGGTGTTCAGGGATTTAGTGCAACAGATGAAAAAATTGTTACTGCCCAAGATTTTTGCAACCTTTCTCCTTCATCCAGCACATAGGCTGAAGAAAGTGGCCCAACTCCAGAACCCAAAATGACAAAGAGAAAAAGAAATTCTAAGATATCTGTATAAATCTAGAGCAGCAGTCCTGTACCAAATCATTAGTCATGGTTTAAAATTTACAACTACCCAAATAATAGCAAATGCATCAATGACCATCACACTAGTAAAAATGTACACCAACTGCCTACCATTTTTGAGAGCCTGTAGGGATACAGAAGTCCTAAAACAGTGTATACAGACAATTGTAGAGAAAAACAAATTTCTGAAACGGATACAATGATGTTGCCATTAAATTTTATTTTTTCCTTGGAAAGACAAGGGCAAAACTAGGCAAACACCTCCACTGCAAATTCTGAAGACCATTCCAAAGTCTTACGTAAAAACAAGCAAATTCAGATTTGTCAGGTGTGTCTTACAATTATGTGTGCACTCAAAAATATCATCTAATACATCTCTACAATTGAAGCCCTGATATCTAACACGCTAGACATCTAATATTTACTAAAAGCCTGCTGAGAAAATATCAGCCTCTTTCGTGTAGTAGTTTATCCTAATTGATTGGCTGGAATAAGGAGGTGTATCTCTTGGAGTATCAGAAAAAAAAACTAGGAAACACTGCCATTTCTTTCTGCTGAGACAAATGATCCATGGCCTACTCATTCTATAGGACTCTACAAGGTGTAATCTCAGCACTTTGCTTTGCCTAAATGCAAGGAAGGACCTTTTCTGAAGCCTTTTAATTTCTAGGGAGAATGGCTGGCTTTCTGAAATCAGACATTTTGAGTTGCATTATTTTAGCTATTAAGAGTGTGTTGAGCAGCAAGTATTCCCAAAGCGTGGTCCAGAACAGACAACTATCTCATCAATAGTTGGAGGCTGGGATCCGAAAGTGTAATACCTTGAGAGTATGGAGTGACTTTCCTCTCTAAGGATTGTAACAGTGGTGTTCCTTCAAATTTTAAATACACTCCAAAGTAAGAAAATAGCTGAAGGGTCTTTTGTCTGTATGTACTTGTATAAAATTTCACTTTGTACAATGGTACGTACATACTACATTAAGTTGCTCTGGAGATCTTTAAAGTGTGTATGATCTTGGGTTCTTTGAGTTCAGAATAAATACTAAATAAATAAATGTGTATAATAAAAAAGACAGGGAGAAAGAAGGAGCTGAGCAAGGTGGGATATGCCTGTAGTCCCAGCTATTTGGAAGTTGGGATGTTCGCTTGAGCCCAGGAGTTAAAAGACCAGCCTGGCCAAGAGATTGGGACCTTTGTCTCAATTAAAAAAAAAAGAGAGAGAGAAGAAAAAAAGAATAGAAAATTCATGGCAACTAGAAATATACACAGCCCCTAGAGTAAGTCTGTGCAACTATGCAAAATGTAAAAAAAAAAAAAAAAGGACATAAAAATGGAAGCTCCCTTTTTATACACTTAAATACCATGGCAATGTCGAATTTGTCTACATTTTTTGAAACACTCTGAATGTCTACATTTGTCTCAGAGGAAACATGTAACAAACATTCCACAAATAAACAGATCTCCAAATTGTGTTTTGAGTAGCTCTACTTTAGACTATGCTGAGGTAAGAATTAATGAGGATACGTTATGTGTAAAGAAATACATATATTAGAACTTATTTCATACTTCTATAAGAATAATGTTTCCGTAGATGATCTTTTCTTGCTTAAGATTTTCTGACTACTACTCTGATCACTGGAATTAAAAAGGCCCTTAAATTGGAGCTAAGTAAAATAATCTTTGATGTTAGTTATCAACACATTGTTTTATTACTAATAATAATTTACTACTTTGTCTCTCAAACTCTAGAGACAGTCTGACTAAACCATTTTTTCTAGAGGCCTTAAAAAAATTACAAAAATATACTTAGAATTTACAGCTCTAATACTATCAAAATCCTATCTTTTCATATAACTGAAATTAATATTATCACTTTATTTTGAGAGCTACATTTAGTTGCAAACTGACCTGGTAACCAAAATTTTTTTCTAATAATCTCTATCTCTAGACCTTATACTATTTAATGTCCTGCTGCTATCAACAGAATAGTAAATTCTCAGGCCAGATAATCTAGATTTACATTATATACACATTACATTAAAGTTACTAAACTTTAATATTTGAGGCATTAAAGAATAAAGAGGAAAATCAGCTTTTTCTTTTCTTTTTTTGGTTATAAGAGTGCAAGTGCAGAAATGAGTAGACCAATGAAGAGAATTGTACAGTGGAAGGTAAACAGTGAATTAGCCATAACTGCAGACACTGGGCTTAAACAGTAACCCTGGTGAGGTAGGCACCCACTTTGACTTCCAGCTATAAATTAACAATAATTATTACTGTAATAATAATATAATAATAATAATCCAGAGATTATAGCCTGATGTGATATAGTAACAGACAGATGTACAGTAGTTTCCAAGTCCCAATTAATGTGAATGAAACTATTTATAGAAGCTCATCATGCAATCATACCAAAGTGTTTATTTTGTTCTGGGACTTAAGACTTTAGTTACGATCGTTATACCAATGCAGAAGTTTCAAAACGTAGATATAAATACAACAATGTGATTTAAGAAAGAGAGAATATTTTTTGGCTGGGTGCGATGGCTCACGCCTGTAATCCGAGCACTTTGGGAGGCAGAGGCGGACAGATTGCCTGAGCTCAGGAGTTCGAGACCAGCCTGGGCAACATGGGGAAACCCCGCCTCTACCAAAATACAAAGGGAATTAGCCTGGCGTGGCTGTGTGCTCCTGTAGTCCCAGCTACTCGGGAGGCTGAGGCAGGAGAATTGCTTGAACTTGGGAGGAGGAGGTTGCAGTGAGCCGAGATGGCACCACTGCACTCCAGCCTGGGCGACAGAGCAAGACTCCGTCTCTACGGAGGGCAAAAAAAAGGGAAAGAGAGAATATTTTTAAAGGGTAGCATTTTATCTCTCATTTGCTCATGGGCACTCATTTAAGAAAAATGCAAAATGAATTGTAGTTTTTGTTGTTCCACAAGCCATTCTGAAAACAAAGCTATTGATGGTGAAGAAGGTACCATGTAAGTTACATTCTATGTGAGGTCAGTACTTACCAAAATCTATTTGGGCTTTTACATATCAGAATCATTATCGACTGTTGCTACTTGGTATAATGTTCTAAAATAAATGTTGTAATTATAAAGATATATAAAAGGTGATGTCTTGTATCTGTGTGTATGGGTGTGTTGAGTAGTAAAAAGCTACTTTAAAACATTTAAGAACATTATACTATTTAGCATCTGCATCTTTAAAAAAAAGGGTCCCTGGCTGATTAACTGTAATATGATCGTAGAAACAAGAAATATGGTGAATTGATTGACATAGTGATGAAAAACTGTAATCAGCAAATCTCCACACCCTATGGAAATTTTGCACTATGTCCTTAGCCTGGGGAACTGCTGGCAGATTCCACTCAAGTTCATAAACCATAGCATGCTCAAGAGGAAACAGAAAGGAGAGAACCACAAGATTGTACCAGACTGAGGAGAACTTGAAAAATGTCATCTGGATGTGATTCATTTCTCACCATATTTTCAGCTGCACTAATTTCAAACTTAGAGGATGTGGTTTTGTCACTTGTGATGAAACAGAACTGCCTGTTTCTAGTGCCATTTTACTGTATGACCTCAGGGCATGAGAACTGGGCAAGATCTCTACAGCCTGCCATGTGAAACTGAAACAAAGGAAAGGAGTTAGATAAAAGAGAAAATACACACGCCCTCCCTTTCCAGTCTCTTTCAAAAGAATTCCATCTCTTGGAGGGTAAATCACAAATGGAGACCATTTTGGAAGTTTCCTGTTGATGATAATCGGGGACCCGTTACCTATTGAAGCATGAGTACAAATTCCACCACTGATAAAGCAGGTGCATTTTTACACTATTGGAATATTCATGATAAAAGAGCATGTTGCTAAGTATGGCATTAATTTGACCCCTCTTGCTTCCCAGAGCTCAGTCGCTCCAGTATTAAGTTCAATGCTGTTTATTTAAAATGCAGATATTCCAGTTATTCTCTGCATTCTATGACATTGATAGCACAACAACAACTATACATGGCAAGAAAATAATTTCATGTCAAATATATAACTCTCCTGGAAGAGGGCTTTCTCAATGGTAAGATGTGAAGAGGTACATTTTCTCAGCATAATACGTAGGCTAATCTGCCACTTACAACAAGTATGCAATAATAGGTGGACAGGAGACAAAACCACGCGCACTCAAGCTTCTGGAATTGTTATATTCCAGGGCAATGCCAGAGATGCTGAGAGCATTCTGTACAATTTTCCAGAAGCTTTGACCTCATCCTTTTTAGCTCAGCGTAGCATTTGAAATGCATACCCAGATGAATATCCAGACACAGCTCTGCTTTATACAGATGCTCCTAGACTGACAATGGGGTTACATTCTAATAAACCCATCATAAGTTGAAAATAGAGTAAGCCAAATGTATTTAATATGCCTAACATACTGAACAGCATAGCTTAGCCTCATCGGGCAAAATCATGAAATACAAAGCCTATTTTATAATGAAGTGTTGAGTAGCACATGCAATTTATTGAATATTGTACTGAAATTGGAAAACAGAATTGTTGTATGGGTACCCAAAATATAGTTTCTACTTAATGCGTATCACTTTTGCACCATCAAAAAGTTGAAAAATTGTTGTCAAATCATGATAACTTGGGCACCATCCGCAGTGGCATTGTACTGAGGCTCTTAGAAACACAGAGGATCCCCACAGTATGAGGGGAATACGTTAAATATAGCCTTCACATAGCACATCGCAAACTAATAGGAAGAAGATAGAAGGGAAAAGACGATCTCCTCTCAAGTGTGCAAAGATTCTGGGGATTTTCAGATATATTTATATTTTTTCCTTCTGGAAATTATTTCTAGAAAATTTAGCAGAGCTGATCATCCTTTTCAAGACAAAGACTTACTACCTGGGCTGGAGCCGTGAAGAGCTTGGTTCTTTTGAAAATGTCTCTTACTGTCTGTGTGGCCTTAGATAAATGTCCTAAAATTCTTGAGTCAAGTACACTCAGATGAAGTATCTACACCTATTACACCTGTGGCACAGGCAGGGCATGTAAGAATGATCTTTAGAATGAAACTGGCACTTCCAGAGACATGGTCATAATAGAGACAGATTGCTATGCTCACTAGAATGGACTGTCACAGTACAAGAAACACCTTATACATTTAGACAATATGTTTGGTAGCAAGTGTTTTTTGATTATTTCTAACTTAACTGGAAAAGTCAATTAACAATACAGTCTCTTGGCAATTGTTACTCCTGATAGTAACATGTAGGCTCACGGAAGCGCATGTGCTCACAATATGCCAGTTTATAGCAAGGAAAGGAAGTACATGAAAAAATTAGCACCTTGCCAGACACTAATAAATGAGGATTCCATCCCTTCCCCTCCCCCACTGAGCTCTCTGTTCTTGACAAATGTGTTATACATGTGAATTATATATTTAAAAGTTATTTTATATTGAAAATAGGTTTTAAAAAAGAGTGATCAATACGATGTTTTACCAAAACAAAGTTTTATTATTCTTTTGTATTTCTTTATTTTTCTTTCTTCTTTTGTTTTCCACTTTTATTTATTTATATATATATTTATTTATTTATTTATTTTTGATGGAGTCTTGCTCTGTCGCCCAGGCTGGAGTGCAGTGGTATGACCTCAGCTCACTGTAACTTCCACCTCAGGGTTCCAGTGATTCTCCTGCCTCAGCCTCCCAAGTAGCTGGAATTACAGGTATGTGCCACCATGTCCAGCTAATTTTTGTGTTTTTAGTATAGATGGGTTTCAGTTGGCCAGGCTGTTCTTGGACTCCTGACCTCAGATGATCTGCCCTTCTCGGCCTCCCAAAGTGCTGGGATTACAGGCGTGAGCCACCACGCCCAGTTGTTTTCCACCATTTTTTAGTTGATTTATTTCCTAGTAATTTCATAGTTCTAGTCAGAAGATAAGAGGTCTAGCAGTGAACTTCCTTGAGATGGCAAAAAGGGATACTATTTTTCTGCTTCCATATAGTACATGGCAAGTTAATAGGAAGAAGATAGAAGGAAAGAGATTTTGCAGAAGTTATATTCAATATTCAGGAGACTGTGGGGAATGTTAGCAGATATAGATGCATACACACAAATTTCCAGGAGTGTATTCAGCAGGATGTAAAATTAAGGGATTGTTATTTTATCATCATTTTAGAAAAAGACATACTTAATATTTAACCAAATCCTACCTAATCTTTTAAATGAATATAGCAGAATGAAAAAATAGGCTTGAGTATGTTCCTAGATATAATTAAGACTATTTTAAGGTATAAATAGTAATGTCTTCTCTATTCTTAGTCCAACTAATGGTACAAAAGAAAATCTTATGCCATCCAGTCGTTCATTTGCGATTTATAGTAACACAGAGACATTAATTCAGAACAGTGATTGGATCCATAAGCTGCTAATCAAAAGAGGTCTAATGACTCAGGTCTGGAGCCTCATGTTTGTGGTCTGTGAGCCTCTTGGTATATTGGAAAGAAAATGTCTGAGAGATGCACCAAACCAACACCAAACAGGTGATAGTTTGAATGGATTCGAAAGGCAAGTATTTGAAGCAGGAGGAACTTTCTGATCTACAGACAGTTTCTTCCATAAATACCCCACCCCCAACACATACACATACACCCCAGGCACCAGACTCTAGTCTTAAAAGCTAAGCACAGAGAAAGGCTGGTTGTTAGTGGTGCAACCAGGGAGGATCAGCTTAGAAGTATTATATTTAATCTAGGCTGACTTCTCGCATCAAGGACAGGGTGGATTTGGCTGTCTGGACCTTTATCAGCAATTTTTCCTTTTGAGCACTTTGATTTGGCAAGCATTTCCACTATCTGATGGTCCTGAATTTAAGAATGTATCCCAGATTAAGTTCATCTCGTACATTTTTCCTTACTGTATAAATTTAGGAACACAGTTTGGTATGATTAGCTACAAATTGTAAAACAAAACTTTTGCTAAAGTTAGCATGTTAAAGCACAACATATTAAATATCTAGGATTCAATATTGTTTATTTTGTACAAAACACTTCTTACTTCTTACCTTTTTTCTTCCACTTGATCAAGAAGTAAATAATCAGGAAATGTTTACAACAGGCAGAGGCTATGTCCCTCTTCAAGAGACATCCTAAGATTTCACTCATGGCCACATCATGCTTGGTGGAATGCTTACACAAAGAGCCCGATTTGCACAACCTGATTCCCAGAGAAGGGGACATTTGAGGGAAAGTAAAAGAGAATAAGCATGTCACGTATTTTGCAGAGTACTCTGTGTGTGTGTGTGTGTGTGTGTGTGTGTGTGTGTGTGTGTGTGTGTGTGGCATCTCTCTCTCTCTAGTGGCTAGAACTGTCATGCCTGGTAATCTCATTAGGGTAGTGGTTAGAGTTCAAGAAAGGCTTCATAAAAGGGATTCATAGAAAAAAAATAACCTGTAGCATCATTTACCACTTAGCCTTACCCTCCTCTTTGGGGTGCCACAATTTACTCTCATGGGAGTGACTTAAAAAAGGCCAAATAATTGGCAGCCACATTTTCATTTTGTGCAAATTTCTTGTCTTTGTAAATGTTTTATTCCTCCCATGTAAATGGTTATCAAATCAGAAATATGACAAGCATTTGGGTCGTAGGTAAATTTGTAATGGGTTAATTTTGCCTGCTGCCCCAATAGAGCTGATTTATCAAGACAGGGGAATTGCTATAGAGAAAGAGTATAATTTACACAGAGCCAGCTATACGAGAGACTGGAGTATCATTATTCAAATCTGTCTCCCCAAAACTTTGGACACTGGGGATTTTTAAGGATAATTTGGTGGGCACAGGGCCAGGGAGTGGGGTCAGAAAGGAAATCACAAAGAGTCAAACTGGATTCTTCTTGCTGTCTTCTGTTCCTAGATGGATCACAGAATTGGTTGAGCCAGATTACCTATCTCGGTGGCATCGCCTGGTGAATCAGAATGCAGGGTCTGAAAAATATCTTGAGCACAAATCTTAGGTTTTACAATAGTAAAGCAACTGGGGAGGTTTGGAATCTTGTGGCCTGTGGTTGCATGACTCCTAAACCATAATTTCTAATCTTTTGGCTACTTTGTTAGTCTTACAGAGGCAGTAGTCTGGTCCCCAAGCAAAAAGGAGGTTAGTTTTGGGAAATAGCTGTTATCACCTTTGTTTCAAAGTTAAACTATAAATTCCTTCCAAAGTTAGTTTGAACAAGGGCAGCTTAGAGGTTAGAAGCAAGATGGAGTAGGTTTGGTCAGATCTCTTTTCACCTTTGTCATTTTCTCAATGTTACATATGTTTTGCAAAGGTGATTTCAAATTTAGGGCTAATCTGATGCCTAATGATTTTTAAATCTGGATATGTACTGCATCTAGAAAGCAGAACAGACATTATTTCACTGATACTTAAAATTAGGGTTTCCAAAAGGGAAGAAATGAAAATCTCAATTCACTTTAACTTGCGGCCAGGTCCGATATTTTAAACTCTAGTTCCTGATGGCATCTTAAATTCAGCAAAATACTTTTACCCAACACCTTTGGAGAAGGAAGGAGAGGGGAGAAAGTATATGTATGTGTATATAAGTATGCATACTTCTCAAAACCAGACCCCCTCCTTTCTTAGCCAAAAGTATAAAAATCACATGCAAAACTCCTTGTTAGGGACCAACAGTAAGTGCTGCTACCACCCTGGGCTGTCAATGGTGCCTTTCTGCTTGCAGCCTGGGACAAGCCACCTTTGTTTTTGAACAACATTCAGCAATTGACCTGGCTGATCTTCCACTTCTTTCCCTTTCTTTCTGGCTGCTTCAAAAGAATGATTCTTTTGTTGATGGCAAACCAGCAGAGACTTGGCAGCACCTGTCTTTATTTAAAAAACTGATGCCTGGCAGTTACCTTTTTATTTTTTCTTTTTTAGCATGAATGAATCTGCAAGAGGTTAATGGTGCCCAGTAGCACTATTATAATTAAAATTCTGCCAGTATTTTTATAACAACTGTAGATTTCCAAAAACAACCTGGAAATGCTTTGCAAACAATTTAGAAAGTAGTACTAGAAATCGTTTTTGAGGTATAACAATACGCGCACGCACACTATAGTTTTGGCCTAATTCCTGCTTACCAGAATAACTGACTACCATGCTGCTTACTTGTTTACTTTGAAAAACAAAAAAAGCGAGTCTGTTTTACGTCAGGTGAACTACCTTATCTACATGTGATTATCCAACAGGGAAAATCATGTCTTTCTAACGCAGTATATTCTTATGGCATATTGTCTCTGAATATTCTCAAAGGTAAGTACTTAGGTATCAGGATGTTAAATGGGGTTTTCTGTTGTCTTAGTATTTTGGCTAATGTCCAGAGCTGAAACCAGTTGCTTTAAGGTACCAGCACATTTTAAAAGAGTACCTAGACCCATCTGTGGGACCCACTGAAAAAGAGCAAAACCATTTCTGACATCATTTGTTTAACACCCACTTGCCATCTGCATTTTCAGGTTAGAGATTTATCAGAGCAAATGAAGCTCATTTGGAAGAGTGTTGAGTGAGTGTTGATAAGACAGGGAGTGGATAGCTTTTCCCTCCCTTCCCAAACCAAGTGAGAGTTTTGATAAAACTGGTTGAATAGAGAGTGGCTGCTTGCCAGAAGGGCCAACCAGAAATGCTCTCTTCAGCTGTGTGCTTGACCAAGGTTGACATGCAAAGTTGCAAGTGCCCCCTGGAACGTGAGGAATATTGAAAATGTCCCTGACTCCTGTAGGAAAATACCCATTATTTTCACATCTGCCATGAAACATTACATGTAATCAATAAGTTGCAGTACCTACTGAAGGTCCTTTTCATTTATTTATTTATTTATTTATTTAGCCTTTTTAACTTTTCTCACAATTTTGGCAAAAGCAAACACAGCCTGCTGGGGTTAAGGGGGTGGGGGAGGAGCAGACAGTGGTGGCTGGAGCAACAAGAGGGAAAAAGAGACTCTGAGACTCAATCCCTCACACATATCCCCACTGTGGGCCTCTGAGATGCTGAGATAAGACAAGGTGAGACTTAAATGAGTGAAACACTAAGACTTTTAATTGAACGTGATGTAGAGGTGTAGATTAAATGAATGTTGTATGACTACAAATTAATACAATTCTAATATTCACAAGTGGCAAAAGTGGGATCTCCCTGAAATGCTATCAATTACCAGAAAAACAAACACAGCAAATTATTTGAAACCAGAAAGGGAAGAACAAATCACTAGACTAGTTCCACTAATAGGCCATAGTAAAAAGAAATTATGTAGTATAAACCAAAAACAAAATTTTAAGCCCCCCAACCATCTGAATGGACACCTCCTCTTGGCAATTGTATTCTAAAGTTAACATGAAAAATTAATTCAGGCCATGATGTGAAGGAGGGGATGGGCATGCCTCTTTATACCCTCCTCCCTCTTGAAATTACGGATAGAACAGGCTCTTTAGGTCCGAAAAGAAACATGTACAATCTGTTCTCTCTGAAACCTGCTACATGGAGGCTTCATCTGCATGATACAACTTTGGTCGCCACAACCCCCATCCTAACCCAGACATTTCTTTCTACTGACAATAACTCTTTCAACCAATTTCCAATCAGAAAATCTTTAAATCTACCTATGACCTGGAAGCCCCCACTTTGAGTTGTCCTACCTTTCTAGACTTCACCAATCTACATGCATTGATTGATGTCTCTCTCATGTCTCCCTAAACTGTCTGAAACCAAGCTGTGCCCCAACCACCTTGGGCACATGTCATCAGGATCTCCTGAGGCTGTCATGAGTGCATTTGTTTCTTTTCTTTTCTTTTTTTTTTTTTTTTAAAGACACAGTCTCGCTCTGTCACCCAGGCTGGAGTGCAGTGGCGTGATCTCGGCTCACTGCAAGCTCCACCTGCCAGGTTCACGCCATTCTCCTGCCTCAGCTTCCCGAATAGCTGGGACTACATGTGCCCACCACCACGCCTGGCTAATTTTTTTGTATTTTAGTAGATACGGGGTTTCACCGTGTTAGCCAGGATGGTCTTGATCTCCTGACCTCATGATCCGCCCACCTCGGCCTCCCAAAGTGCTGGGATTACAGGCGTGAGCCACTGCGCCTGGCCAATGAGTGCATTCTTAACATTGGCAAAATAAACTTTCTAAATTGATTGAGACCTGTCTCAGATACTTTTGGTATGCAGTAGTTTAAACATAAGTATGAAAATTCATATTTTCTATTATTTTACAAATCAGTAATCTTACAATAATACAAGTTCAAAGATAACCCTTAGCTTTTCTCCATCTGCAACTTTAAACCTAAAGAGAATTTTGAAGCCAACCACAGTAGTTTTAGAAAAACTGCCACAGTCAAAAGCTTTCAAGAGGGGTCATCTTGTAATGACCTGCTTGGATTCATGTGAAAGGATCGTAGGGTGAACATTAATAATAAAATGAGATAAATCTGAATTTGAGTTTCTGCTCTCACATTTGCTATCTCTTAGGAAGTCAATTACTTAATTCTCTGCATTTCTAGTTATTCATTTGTAAAATAATAAGTAATAAACACTGTTTCATACATTTGTTGAAAGGATGAAATAACTTAGAAAGGGTGTTTGTATGATGAAGTTTTGATAGAAATTTTTCCCTTCCTTTTTCCTTATCTTCCCTCCTTTCTTTCCCTCATTCCTTGGTTATTTTCTATTTGGTTTTCAGGAATTGTTAGTTTTTCCCTCCCTTCCCCCAGCTCTTTATTCCCTGAAACAACTACATTTGAGTACCTCCAGTAACCACCTACTTATGAAATCCTTCCTAAAGCAAAAATTTCAATTTAGTCTTTAATCATAAGGGAGTGCCTATAGTTCAAATGAGCTAGACCAAGCAATTGTCATTTTTCCAGAATCCGCTCAAACCCACCTGCGGTTTTTGTAACCTACTTTCTTTCAGTGATGAAACTCCCATCCTGGATCCCAGGCAAAGTGAATACATTCCTATCCTAACTATAAGCCTGTCATTTCTTCACTTGAGAATCTTCTGAATAAAATGCTTTTCTCCAAAATTAAACCCTTCCTAGTTTCTGTCAAATCTTTCTCTGGGAAAAGAATGCTGACATAAACTTGTACCACTCTGTGATAGGAAGCGTCATGCTTTCTTGAATGTTGTCCACATCAAGTTTGAATGTAGCAAGACAGACACAGGTTCCTGTTTTTATTTATGGGTTCCAGTTTTTATTGTGGATCCCAATTCACCCTCACCCAGGTCTTGCTTGACTGTTGATCTAACATACCTATAGCAACGTTAGTTCCGAAATTAGGCTAAGAGCCTTTATCTTTCTCTTGCTAAAATGAACGGAATGCTTTTTTTCCTATTTCATATAATTATGATTTTAATTCCAATCTTGAAGCCTTGCTTTTGAATCTTTTCCAATAAAGAATTACTAGCAGAGAGAAAAAATGAAATTTATAGCACAGAAGCATTTATGAGATATAGACAGGATCATACAGCCCTAGTGTGCTTGAAATCTTCCTTTAAAGATTTAATGCATATTAACTTTTCATTTTACATCATAGCATATTCATACATGTTTAAAATTAAATAAAAAATTCTCCTTCCCAAGTCTTTGAATAAGTAAAATTTCAGAGAAGATATACGCCTACTTCATAATTTCCGATGCTTGGTGGATCACTGCAATGTTCAGTGCAGACCAGTTCCAGCTTGGAAAAATCATCATAAATGGTTTCTTACTATTGAAACTACTATGAAATTTTAATCTTCAACTTTCTCCTTTTCGAGCTTATTTTTATTCTTTCCTGAATTTTCTTAACTTAGAGGTCTATATCTGTAAAATTATCAATGCCTATTGTGGAAAGCTAATGTTCTAAGCTCCAAATATGTTTTAGATAAAATTTGTAGAAACAATATGTTTTCTTTAAAGCAATTTTATGATCTGAGGCTCCCATTGTCATAATTACCTCTAACAAAAAATGTAATCTTATAGTTACAATTACTCAGAAAATTATTCCATATCTTTTCCTTTTCATTGTGTGGCAAGAAACAAATATTGTATATTAGAAAAACCTTAACTTAAAAATTTCACTAAATAATTTTTTAAATTAGTTTGCTGAAATCATCTTATGTCATATTTTTATATGTAACTATTAAGTTTTAAGGTAATTCTTCAGTTGCAGTACATTAATGATGTGTATAAATCATTTGATTTTCATATAGAGACAATCTCAAATCTAAGGTTATATTTTACAGGGCAGTGGGGACCCATCCTGGTAACTAATGGAAGAAAAAGACATTTAACCAAGTTACATAAGTTCAATACATAGAAGAAATAAAATCATCAGCACTCATAGTTTATTCTCTAACAAGGAAGTCTCCAGAGATTAATGATTAGTTTACCTATTCATTTAATAGCTATCAACATTACTGCAATCTGAAATCTCAAGAAAATAATTTTTTTGACCTTTTGTAAGTGCACATTATTAAATACTGGAAGAGCCAGTCTAGGAATAAAAGAACTCATGAGGCTGGGCACGGTGGCTCACGCCTGTAATCTCAGCACTTTGGGAGGCCGAGGCGGGTGGATCACAAGGTCAGGAGATTGAGACCATCCTGGCTAACACGGTGAAACCCTATCTCTACTAAAAATACAAAAAATTAGCCAGGTGTGGTGGCGGGTGCCTGTAGTCCCAGATACTGGGGAGGCTGAGGCAGGAGAGTGGCGTGAACCCGGGAGGTGGAGCTTGCCACGAGCCGAGATCGTGCCACTGCACTCCAGCCTGGGTGACGGAGTGAAACTCCAAATCAAAAAAAAAGAAAAAGAATTCACGATAATGGGAAGGTTTAGATATATCCTAACTAAAAATTTTCCATCTATGATGTTTAATGTTTCTACTCTGTTATTAAATCCTTTTTTATTTTGACAAAATAACTTATGGTGCTTAGTAGCCAGCTGAAATATTGAACTCTGGCCTCTAGTATATGTATAGAGATTACCTTCATATAAAATGTAATGGGACTATAGCATTGAAATAGCAATATTCCTTCAGAGAGATAGTAATTAGGAATGTTAGAAATAAGATGAAAAAGAACAACGCTAATCCATTTGGCTTAAGAAAAATAGAAATAAGACAATGGACTCAAAATCTAGGCATTATCAAAGAAATAAAAAGGATTAACCACGTGTTTTTAACTTATATTAAACACTTCAAAGCAAAGGTTGTCCTTTGAAAAAATACGGCAACTACTTTGCTAGTTAGAAGACTGAAATTGGAAAAAAACAAAACAAAACAAAGCAAAACAAAACTCCACATTTTCAAACCTGAGAAATGGTGGGGAAAAGAAAGGGAATGAAAGAAGAAAACAGAGGAAAGAAAACAGGTGAGTTAGAAGATACAGATAGTCAAAACTTATCTTCAAACTGGTGGTTTAACTTCTCAAATCATGGAGGAGGTTATTAAGGTTGAGGAAATCTCTGAGGACCAGAAATTTTTTTTTTAATTTTGGTTATATTTTGGGAAAAACTAATATTGGATTTCCCTGAGGTCAAATAAAAGGCAATAGAGGAGTAAAGAAAACAAAACAACATAGGTAGAGAAAAATCTAATTTTCACTTCCAAGCTTTAATCATTTTTTGTATGAAGTGGGGAGAGGCCAAACATGGAGGCTTCTACGCAGGAGTGCATTGCCTTTACACTGTTACCACTGTTATACTGTAGAATGAGTGGACGGGAACAAGAATGAAGGATATGTATGTTAATCAGAAGAGTTGGTAACACCAGGGAGGACTGATGGAAGCCCAACTAGCAGGAAAAGGCCACTAGATTCTGACAGAGCTAAGAAATATTAAAAATTAATGAATCAGAGATATCAACAACAGAAAACATAAGGATGCCCAATGACAGGAAGTGACCATTTCTATCGGCACAAAAATCATCCAGCACACATGTTGAGATAAGGATGATCACATGTGTCCTCTTCCCTCCAGCCAAAGCCAGAAGGTCATGCAAGGCACTGTCCCCACACGTCTATTACCATCTGATAGTGGAGCTATGAGAAAACCCGCAGGACTAAACTTATAATCTAAGCAGACAGAAATAAACTTAAATATAGAGCATTGCATATTAAATATAAATATGTTTTATTCAGATTAAGGAAACTTTGCTGCTGTTGTTGTTGTCCCTTTTGTTTCATAACACCTAGAAGTTGCAGTCACATTGGGGCCATCATGACACTTTAGGAAAGTAAAGAAACAGCGTATTATATATATCACTGCATCTAGTATAAATATACTTAAAATGTGAAAAATAATTTTTATTATGCTAATAAATTATGCCAATTTAACATATTAAGCACTTTTGCATAGCATATTTAAATTATTTAAATGTCCATATATTTTTTTAAAATTGTTTAATTTTTATTTTGCTTTAAGTGCTGGGATACATGTGCAGAATGTGCAGGTTTGTTACATAGGCATACTTGTGCCATGGTGGTTTGCTGCACCTATCAACCCATCACCTAGGTTTTAAGCCCCGAATGCATTAGGTATTTGTCCTAATGCTCTCCCTCCCCTTGCCTCCACACATCAACAGGCCCCAGTTTGTGATGCTCCCTGTGTCCATGTGTTCTTATTGTTCAGCTCCCACTTATGAGTGAGAACATGCAGTGTTCACTTTTCTGTTCCTGTGTTAGTTTGCTGAAAATTATGGCTTTCTTAAAATGCTCATATATTTTAACATGTATTAAATAATATTTAAGCCAAGCGCGGTGGCTCACGCTGGTAATCCCAGCACTTTGGGAGGCTGAGGCAGGTGGATCACTTGAGGTCGGGAGTTTGAGACCAGCCTGACCAACATGGAGAAACCCTGTCTCTACTAAAAATACAAAATTAGCCGGGCATGGTGGCACATGCCTGTAATCCCAGCTACTCAGGAGGCTGAGGCAGGAGAATTGCTTGAACCCAGGAGGTGGAGTTTGTGGTGAGCTGTGATGGTGCCATTGCGCTCCAGCCTGGGCAACAAGAGTAAAACTCCGTTTCAAAAAAATAAAATACAATAAAAATTATATTTAAATGTGCTTTCTCTATTATTTCAGATACAGGTTCAATTGCTAAAATAATGGCAAAAATAACAGTGGGCTAAAGTAGAGAGACTATTTTTTTTTCAGTCATCTCCCTGTAAACAGGAGGCTTAAGCCTCCAGACCTGAAGCTAGGTCCCAGATTCTAGCTTGTCTTTTTGCCATACTTAGCAGATGTCCTCTATTAATAGTACAAATCCAGGTTCTGCCATCAAATCTGTATTCCATACAGTTGGGAGGGGATAAGAAATGAAAATCACTTCTTTTCCCATTAAGAACATTATTCAATATTTGTAAACATTCCTTCTCTTCACATTCCATTGGCCAGAAATTAGTCACATAGCTCATTACCTGAAAGGAAAGAATGAAAATAGTTTTGTTTGAGTGACCATAGACTTAGTAAAAATGTGGGCATTTTATTACCAAAGAGAAAAGGGGAAGAATGGATATTGGATGATCACCAGCAGTTTCTGCCGTGCCTGCTTCTATACAAATGTAGCTAACATATATTACATGCTTCAATGTAGGCATTAAATGTATCTGAATTTGTGACATACACAGAATAAATTAATATTTTAAAGGGTTTTTTAATGTATTAATCACCATCTTTTTAACAGAATTCCTCTTCGAAGAATTCTTCCACCTCCCGAGTTTCAAAAGGAGAATAAGTAGTGTGTTATCATGTGTATGGAGGCAGAGCAGATTCTATTCACTGGTTGTATTTGCAAAAATCTGTGTGATACAGTGTTAAAAAAAGTACTAGAGCTTTATAACTACAGCAGGAACTTAGGCATAAGCTCACAAGTGAATCTTTCCTACATCTCCAAATTCTAATAATACGGTAGAAAAGAATGTATTAGAAAATATGCATAGCAATTTTGATAGTTTTCTGAAAAGAACTGTAATTGCATACACAAATAAATGAAAAATTTATACCCACAACTCAAAACATTCCCCAGAGAAATCAACATGAGAAATCCTAGTTTTTCTTCAAGAAATCCACAAAGAATTCTCGAAATCAAGAAAAAAAAATAGTAGGAAGGGGACTTGTGGAAATTATAATGAAACTTACTTAAAGAACAACATTTATTCAAAAAACTTATAAATTTTTATAGCTGTTGATATAGGATAAGATCATGATCACTACCTAAAACTTCATATGATTTCAATATGTTAATTATGCCGTGGTGAAATGACGCTGAATCACTAAGTACTGGGTCAGGAGATAAAAACTATACCAGTAATTGGAGTAGTGGTACTTTCATTAAAGAAATGTTAAGTATTAAAAAGAGATTAAGCCTCAAGTGCAATTTAAAAAAATCTATAGAGTATAGGAATAGCAGATGTAGGCAATAGCCACCATTTCTAGGGCCAAGGGGAATTACTGAAAGGAAAGACAATCTTTGAAGAAGCATTTCCTAAGGCTGAATGTTCTACCAACTAGGCAAGGGTGCAGCTGTGCTCAGGGAATGAAGTTTGCTGAGGTGCAACAGAAAGAAACTACTGACTATGAAACCATATGCTGGGGTATTGCCACAAATCATTGAATAAATAATCTCTTGGAGGCTGGCAAGACTGGCTGGTGATACTTGGTAGAAAGATGCCTGCTGAGTGTTTGTGATATTTGTTGGATGGTGTGGGTCACTGGGTTTCATGTCCACCATTGGTCAAGAAGCACCCATTGGCCTTCATGGCATAGAAGCCAGAAGAAGCACACTCAAAACAGTAAGATAAACTCCTTCAGTGTCCTCTACCGAGCAGCCTAAAATTTTGCCAGCTAGCAAAGAAGAAATGTTTACAGGGTCCAGCTTCAGTATCACGAATCTGTGTTAAGAAAGATGGATTTGAACTGAGAAGAAATAATTTTAAAACTAGAAAAAAATGCTAAGATTATTTTCATTTTGGGAAAAAATATACATTCTATTTAACTGTAGGAAGTGACAGAAAGGTATTCTAAAGTGTGCTAAAACTTAAGTATGACTTCTGCTTCCGCTCTGAATTTTAAAGAGCTTGGGAATTATGATGCCTGTTTTTACAAGAAGAAACATGTGGACAAACTGAAAATAACCATAACTATTCATGGACTCACTGGAGAACTGAGGTGACAGGAAAAATCATTGCCCTGAAATCTGGAAAGACAAGTATATCCAGAGGGAGACACAGGGAGGATTTGCTCAGCTGGAGCAGAAGCCACTGGAGCCACAACCTAGTAGGAACAATTAAATTATAGTTTTGATGAGGTGCTGGAGGCAGAAAACGAACTTGTGTGAGAGTGAGAAATTCTTAGGAACTGCAGTCTTCAAACAGGGTGGCACATTTTGGTGGGTTTTACATTAGAAACCCCCCAGGTTCTCCTGATGAACAAAACAAGAAAAATATCCCCCTGGTTCTGGCTGGGGGAGATGGAGATTGTTAGAGTAACTATTGTGAAATATACCTAGAATCTGCTCTATAACAAAAGTCTACTCTCCAGAGAAAAGACATTGCCAGACCTAGGAAAAGGGTAATGTAAACATCTATCTAGACAAAAACTCTAAGAAAGGATTGAAATTCTAAAAATAAAAAGCGCTGTAGCAGAAATAATAAAAAAGCCTTATACAGTATCATTGTTAGACTGAACACATCTATAGTAGCTTGAAGGTAATGCAATAGAGACTTCCAAAGCACAAATGCAAAGAGAGAGAGAGAAACACACACACACACGCACACACACAAAACACAAAACAAAACAAAAACAGAGCAAAGCACTGAAGAACAGCGAGGCAATTTCAAAAGGTGTGACATATACATAATCGGAACACCAAAAGAAGAGAGAACAAACCTGAATGAATATTTCATGTAATAATGGCCAAAACTTTTCCATATGAATGAAAGACACCAAATCACAGATACAGGAAGTTCAGAAAAATCAAACAAGATAAATACCAACAATGAGCATAACACAGCATATAGTATACAAAGTACAGTAAACCACAGACAAAAATTATCTTTGAAAACATCAGTGAGAAACAATGTACTTTTAGAGGAACAAGGATATGGATTACAGTAGCTTTCTCATCAGAAACTACAGCAACTGCAAGGAAGCAGAGAGTGGAGTGAAATATTTCAAGGGTTGACAGAAAAAAATCTAGAATTTTTTATGCAATAAAATTATTCCTTAAAAATGAGGAAGTAAAAACTTTATCAGATAAAGAGAAGAAATTCATTATCAGCAGTCCTATCCTGCATGAAAGGTTAAAATAAGTTTGTCCGGATGAAGAAAAATAGTATAGATCATCAACATGGATCTGCATAAAGAAAGGTAGAGTATCAAAGAAGAAAGATGTAAGTATAAAGCATATGTTTTACTATGTTTAATTTATTTTAAAGTATAATTATTTGTTTAAAGCAATAATAGTAACAATGTATTGGGTAATAGTAGCATATTGATAAATGAAACGAATGTTAGCAATGTCACAAGGAGAGGAAAATGGAGAATATTCTGTTACACTTAATCTTAGCCAAAATGCGGAGAAGTGATGAGAATATTCTAAGGTATCTGTACTAAACATAAAGGATACAGTCGTATTAGAAGGTAAACATAAATCATCTAAAATGTATATTTTAGCCAAGCACAGTGGCTCATGCCTGTAACTCCAACACTTTGAGAGGCTGAGACGGGTGGATCACCCAAGGTCAAGAATTCAAGACCAGCCTGGCCAACATGGTGAAATCTTGTCTCTACTAAAAATACAAAAATTAGCAGGGAGAGGTGGCAGGCACCTGCAATCCCAGCTAGTTGGAAGGCTGAGGCAGGAGAATCACTTGAACCCGGGAGGCGGAAGTTGCGGTGAGCCGAGATCACGCCACTGCACTCCAGTCTGGGCAACAGAGTGGGGCTCCATCTAAAAAATAATAAAAATAAATAAATAAAATATAAAATAAAATGTACATTATAAACTCTAGGACAACCAACAAAAATATTTTTAGAATGGATACAACTGATACACTAAGAGAGGACATAAAATCATACAAAATGTTCCATTAAAAATAAAACAAGAGATCACAGAAACAAAAGAGACAAAGAAACAAAGAACAATTGCCATGAATAGAAAATAGTTATAAATATTATAGATATTAATAAACTATATGTCTAATCATTTTAAATGTGAATGATCCAAACATATGAATTTAAAAGTGGAGATTGACAGAGAGGATTAAAAGAAAAACAACTATATGTTGTCTTGAAAAAAATCTACCTTAAATATAAAGTGATAGGTTACAAGTAAATGGGATCAGAAAGAAATACAGTGCAACACAAATAAAAAGAAAGTTGATGTAGCTATATTAATTTCAGACAAAGCTGACTTCAGAACAAGATTATCAGCAATAAAAGGGAACACAAGAACATGCTAAGCAAACAGAATAAAGAGTAAATCTTAATGTGTATAAATGTAAACACACCATTTAAAAGATTAGAGTATCACAGGACATGCAATCTGTGGCAAAAGAATAAAATTGTATACAAAGGTACAAAACAACATCACTGAAGGCCATGGAGAAAAAAGGTCATAACCTTAGTAACTTTGGAAATGAACAGAGTCTATAAGACTAAAGGCAAAAAGAACTATCTAACTGAGCCTAATACTACTCTAGTTAACAAAGATTTTTCCCATAGGAATAAGAGTAAACAATTCTGAAACACACATGCATACTAGAACTGAACAATTAAGTAAATGAATAGCATTGGTGAAAGCCAGGTTTGTCACTGCTGAAGTGGGACTTCAGAGAAAAGCAAGGCAAGAAGGTAGAATAATCCATGTGGTAAGGGATTACAATTGGCTCTCATCATTATGGACTCATGTTTAGCTTAATATAGACAGCAATAGATATAGATTTGGATATAGATATAGATATAGATGATGGCACATATGGATATGTATATGTGTATACATATATTAGTATACACACATATATTCCCTTGATCCTTCAGCTGAGGGGACCTAGGAGCAATGTCACCCAAGTAGCAACCATACACTGTCTTAGTTAATTTTGCTGCTTAACAAAATACCTGAAACTTGGTAATTTATAAAGAGTAAAAATTTATTTTTTACCATATGGGGAAAAAACTCAAACTATTTTTTCTTGGCTCTCACACCACCACAACAATAAATAAAAAAGACTTCTGTGACCAAATGTGTGGGGGCCCTCTAATTCAGTTACATTCGGGTGCTATCTACCTGGAGATAACCTCAGATTCCACACACTGGGGGCTCAGTACCACATAACTCCCCCTGACTTCAGACAACACCTATAAGTCCCATCCTCTGGAACTTTTAACACAACCATCTTAAAGTTGGGGTTCCCACAAACCCCTCTTTAGTTCTATTAATTTGCTAAAGCAGTTCAAAGAATCCAGGAAAACTCACTTGCGATTATTGGTTTATTATAAAGTATATTACAAAGGATACATATGAAGAGATACAAAAGGTGAAGTGTAGAGACGGGGCGCTCAACCACTCTATACTTCACCCTATGTGACTCTTCATCTGTGTCCTTTTCTCTCTCAAGCAGGACAACATGCTCTCCCAGGCAGGACACCCTTTAGGAATCTCCACATGTTCAGCCATCCGGAATCGGAATTTCGTTCTTTTGAGTTTTATGGAGGCTTTGTTAAGTAGGCATGATCAATTACATCATTGGCCATCAGTGATCAATTTAACCTTTAGCCCCTTTCCTGTTCCTGGAGGTGGGTGGTGAAGCTGAAAGTCCAACCCTTTAATCACACCTTGATCTTTCAGGTGACCAGCCCCCATCCTGAAGCTATGTAGGGGCATCCAACCATCACCAACTCATTAGCATACAAAAGACACTTGAGACTCTGAAGCTTCTAAGGATTTTAGGAGTTACATGCCAGGAAAGGGTAATGAAGACCAAATATATTTCACAACATCACACTCACAGCTTTGGAGGCTGAGAGGTCCAAGATCAAGATGCTGGCAGGTTTGGTGTCTGGTGAGGGCCTGGTCTCTGCTTCCAAGATGGTGCCTGGTTGCTGTGCCCTCCCACGGCAGAAGGGATGGAAAGTCAAAAGGAGTGAACAGCTCCCTCACACTTCTTTTAAAAGGTCACTAATCCCATACATAATTGCTACAATCTTGTGATTTAAAACACCTCCTAAAGGCTCCACCTCTTAACACTGTCATACTGTGGTTTAAGTTCCAACATGTGAATTTTGGAGAAACACATATGTTCAAACCATAGTGCATACCTAGCACCCAGAACTTTGTTTCTAACACTATAAAAATAAGCAAACAAACAAACAAACAAAAATCAGGGCTTCTTGCAGAAATGGCTTATTTTAGGACCTTGACAGGATATATACAAGATAACCATGAAGAATCTTACAGAGTCAGAAAAGGAGTATGTGGTAAAAAACACAATAATGGGGACAGGCTCCAGCTGACAATGTTTCCAATGGTCAAAGCCGATATGAATACACATTTGAATAAATACATAAAATAAGGAAATAAAAGAAAACTTAATGTAAAAATTTAAATAATTTACATAGATATTCCTCCCTCAAAGAATTGGAGTATAACTCTCGGCTCCCTAAATGTGGATTGTGCATATTGCCTTCCATCCAAAGAGTTAAGTATGGAAAGGGGGAAATAGAGTCACTTACTGTGGGGAAACCTGACAAATACTGCCTCAGCCAGATAACTATAGTTAGCATCAGCAGTGATAAGCCATGTTGATAATGCATAACTTTGATAGACCATTGCTATGTTGTCATGAGAATGGCACTTTACCTTTGTAGTTTTTCTCCCCCAAACCTATAACCCTAATCTTATAATGAGAAGAAAACATTACACAAATACCAGCTGTGAGACAATCTACAAAATACCTAACCAGTATGTCTCAAAACTGTCCAGATCATCAAAAGCAAGGAAAGTCCAAGTAACTGTCACAGCCGAGAGAAGTCTAAGGAGGCCTCATGACTAAACATAATGGGGTATTCTAGATGGGATCTTGGAACAGAAAAAAGAACATTAGTTGAAAATTACGGCAATCTGAATAAGGCAAGGAGTTTAGTTAATAATGTGTTAACATTGGTTCATTAATTGTGATAAATGTACTGTACTAATGTAAAATGTTAATAGGAGAACCATAAATGTGGGCTATGGGCTACATAAGAATCCTCTTTTCTACTTTTACAATATTTCTATAAGTCTAAATTTATTTTTACATAAAATTATATTAAAAACTAAGAAATTTCATGTAAAGACTTAATAGTAATAGAGCATATAAATCATAATATATGAAGGGTTTGAGCCAGGGTAATATAGAACATAGAAAACCAGGTGAGGTGAAATTTAAAAAAAAATCTATTTAGATAGGAATGAAAATAAAATAATTGCTACATATATAAATATATATACACATACATATATATGCATATAAATACATATATGTATAGGTATAAGAAAACGTCTACAGGCTTGCCAAGGTTATATTCAGAAATAAGTTAATAGCCTTAGAATTAATTTAATGAAGCAACAACAATCAAACATCAACTTTTATGAAAATAAATGATAGCATCCAATGCAGATGAGAGTGTGTGCAAATGTCCACTTTCATATATTGTTGATTATAATATAAATTGCTATATTATAAGTGTAGGTGCTGATGATGTCTACTTTTTAAAATATGAGTGTATTTTTGCCATAGAACTTCATTTTGCAAAATATATGCTACATAAATTGTTCTAATACATGATCTGTGAGCAGAAATATGCATTGCAGAATTTAAATAGCAAAAATATTGTAAAAAATCTGATTGTCCTCTAATATTGGACTTAGTTACAGTACATTCAGATTTAGTGATATTACTTGGCAAGAATAAAATAAGTTATACCTGTAGTTATTAATGTGTAAAGATTTTCATATATTTTGCAAAGCAAGTTTTAGTGTGTAATTTTTGACAGGATGAATTCTCTGGCTGAGAACAAAAGAAAAAATGAAAAGAGAGAGAAGCAGAGAGAAGAAAAGAGAAATCTTATATAGATATGTATTTTACAAATTTGTGAAATGTATAATGATAGAAGATTGCTTACCTAAATATGGAAGTCCTAGATTGGAAGACAGAGTAATATTTCTTGTATAAATATAAAGTGTATTAATAAAATAAAAGGAATCTATTGCCAATAGAATTTTGGCCAATAGAATCTATTGCCAATAGGATTTTTTAAATAACGTAAAAAAATTTTAAAAGAATTATGTTTTCAACTCATGAAATCACAAAAGAAGAAGGAAACAAAATAGAAATGAAATGTGAGTCATGGTAAAAGAAGAAATTGTTGGAATCAAAGACAATTCTGCTCATTTTCAAATGTATTCAGAAAAGTAAATATAAAAGTAATATGTATTTGTAAAGTTTAATTTATTTTCAAAAATGTGGGAATGTTTTATCCATATAATTGCAGTGATGGGTACTTTGGTGTTTGTTTTATTATTTTCCTTGATTTCTTATAAATGTTTAAGATATTGCATGATTAAAATATTTTAAAGTTTAAAAATTCTTGACAAAAGAGGCACAGCTATAGATATTTGCTATTTGTTTAAAATTTTAATATATGGAAGTAAAACATAACTTTTTACTGTTAAGTTTCTGGAATTACTGCCTTACACATTCAAAATATATGTTTAAAATAGTTATTCTAGAGGACAGTTTGACAATATATAAAACTGCTATGCAAAATGGCATATATTCAATCAAGTAAGTTTGCTTCTAGGGGTATGTACTCAACAAATTATCATGAATGGATAAGTATACTTATCCATTCATGTTCACTGCAATTTTGAATCTATTGGTAAAAACATAGAATAAAACCTGCATATTAACCTTTTAGGATTAAATAAACTACATTCCAATAATTAAAGTAGCTTCCGTATAGAAATTCCAAATTATGAAAGATAATTAAAAGTATAGAAAATGTTTTCATGTTATAATTTATTAAATTTTTAAGTATCAGATTATAAATCCCTCCATATTGTATTATCTTATATACATAAAGTGACTTCTCTCAGTCTCCTTCTCTTCCTTCATGCATTTATAAAATGTATGGCTATAAAAAGCTCCAATTGCTAACTTTTTATTTTGGGTAAATTAAATTGAAGGCAATATATTTTTTTACATTTATGTTTAAACACCTAACAACTAAATATTGTTTTCAGTATAAGAAAAAAATATTACATGTGCAAAACAGTAACCTCTTTACACTGCATGAAACACACAAAAAAATGTTATATATAATGAAAAAGAAATAGCCCAATGACCTGCCCAGCCTCCAAACAGCACAAATAAGATAAACTTTACTCTAGGTTCTCTCAAATCTCCATCTGTTAGCATCCTTTTAAGCTCAAATTATCTCTTTATGTCTAACCAGGAATTGCTGAGCTGTTAGAGAAAGTCATGTAAGCTGGCTATCTGGATCCATTGAAAATGCCTTCTTTCTCTACTCAGTTTTTCTTTGTAATCCTTTTATTCCCTAATGGTTGAATTCCTATTTAATTCCCTAGAGAAGCTATTTCAAAACATACTCAATTTACTCCAGCCCCTGAATTCACCCTCGCCTTCCTCCTTCTCATCAGATGACATTGTTGTTTACTGTATTCGCATTAAGAATGGCAGGCTTGAATTTGCTAGCCCTCTGTAGACAGTACTTGAAGGAGACAAAGAGATACCCTGAATAAATAAAAATAAGATTAGTTAAGCTCAAACTCAATTGTTAATATATTAAGCTAATTGCTAATATATACATCTTCTATTTTTGCACAACTATTCTGTTATCTATTTCTGCTTCTCTCTGTTTTTGCTTTATATTAAAAACAAAAAAAGGTTCACACATAAAGAAAATTACTGTAGAAGATTCTCTGAAAATTAACATGGGCCAAGTCAAATGAATCATTGGGAAAAAGTATAGAGGTGGTATAGACCATGTATACTTGCTTCATAAAAGACAGACATTCGTCCAAATTTTGCTTTCATCAGTGATGTTTATGATAATGATGATGATGATAAGATTTATTGCAAGCTCTGCTCTTTAATTATTTGGTTTACTACTCTCAATAACACACTGATATGGTGTTATTATTACCTCTGTATTACAAAAGAAGATCGGAGGTTTCATTTTCTCATTTATTTGCCCAAAGTGATCATGTTACCAAGTGATGAAAGATTCAAATTCAGTTGTGTCTGGCACAAAAGCTCATATTCTTATCACCATGTTTCATTCCTCATTAATCACATATTCACACCTAAAATCTGAGTGGAATCCTACAAAAATGTAATAAATTCAGGGAATGAAATGAGGAAGATGTTTCAATTGTGTAACATAGCAGTGAAAGAAGATATTCACAAAAGTGACAATGAGGAAAATTTACCAGGATTACAAAGGGAAATGTCAGCATGCCATAAGAAGAAGAAGAAGAAGGAGGAGCAGCAGGAGGAGGAGAAATAAATCAGTTTATAAACAATTTATTGAATGCGTTGGGAATACATTTTAGTGCAGGGCCTGTTCCACATACTTCTTACTTTCTCTTTGCCTTGATCTTTTCCCTCATGCTCAGTATTACTCTTGTAATACAAATCTGGGATTTCTATTATCCACTGCCTTGAGTTTTAAGTAATATTATCCATGTGTATGTTGTAAATTATGAATGTTAATATACATTAGAAAGTATATTTGTCTATATATTCTTAAAAAATCAAAGGTGGAAATCTAGGTCTAAACGGGTTATGCTTTTGTTATTAAGTGCAGATTTAAAGACTGTTAAATGATATTTGACATATGTCATTGCTCTCATGGTTGAACATACTGACAATTAGCTTAAAAATTCCATTGGCTCCACCTTATGGCTCCTTATTATCAAATGCCTACGTTTTCCCCAATAGCATGCTCTTTTTAACCTGCACTTACTATGTTTTGATTTAAAACTTTCTATATGCATGTCCTTAGTCATGTTTCCTGAATTAAAATTATAAATACCAGATCATTTTACTTACTTTCCATGAGACCTACTGTAAATTCCTGTTTGATTCACTTTGATATTTGGCAAGTTCTTTGAATTCCTTTTCTCTGTTGTATAAAACGATGAACAGAGTATGGACTAATATTAAGAGGAGCGGGTTCCAGTAAAATTTTGCCACAAGTATCTGTATGTTTTTCTGTCAATTATTTCATTTTTCTGGGACTTGCTCTAGGAGTTGTATCTAAAGAGGGTACTGTTGGAGGTATTTGATTTCAATTTTTTTAAAATTCATATTCTAAAATTTTATTTTCATTTATTTTTCTCAAGAAAATAAAGCTAGACCCAGAATCAAGACTTAGCTCAGCCATTTTCAAGTCCAAGAAAGCTTATCTCGGGCTTTGTTTCTCTATCCTATGCTTCCAAATTTCCCTGGATATAGCGCTCTGTTAGCACCTAACATACTTTGCAAATTATCTACTTACACTTCTATCTGTTACACTAAAGTACAAATTCTTGGAAGGCACAGAGCTGTCTTCCTCTCTCTATCCCCGTGCATCCCAACATTAAGTACAATATCTAATTGTAGCCAACTCTTATTTCTGTCTGCCTTGCATATCTGCTTGCCTAGTGAAACTGCCTGGCTTTCAATTCACTCTCAAAACTGTCACTCAAGTTATTCCATCCATGTGATTCTATTTAGCTTAGAATCTTCCTCCTCATCTTCTGAATTTCAACTAAGGATGCAGGCATGAGGATTAGAGGACCTGCCAACCAATGGCGATATCCTCTAGAACTGTTTCTCAGATAATGCTCTTAGAACCCAGACTCTGTCCACAATCTGCACTTCCACTTCCTCAATCTAAGTCGCTCAGTTTTTCCTTTGATTCTGTAATAAGAAATGTGACTTTTCTTAAATTAAACCCACCAAGTTTCTGTTGCATGTACTTAAAAAAATATATTTGATTCCTTGGCATGGACCGAACCAGGTTTTGAGGAGCCTGAAGTTTGTATAATTTTGGAGTCTCATTTTAAGAAAAAGAATATAAGCTATTAAAACAAAATTAGGCACAAATTGTCTATATATGTGAATATGAACTGTCTCTCTCTATATATACATATGTGTACAAAACACACACTCTATATATATATGTATATTTTTTACTTTGTCTCTATATAGATACATTGATTGAAAAAGAATCTGTATATATATAGCTTATCTATCTTGAGAAAATAATACTTACAAATTTTAAAAATTTGATCAATACCAGAAGAATCAGAAATTGAAATAACTCAACTTTTCTTGTTAATTTTATCTGACATACTTCCTTGATATTTTTAAGTGTACATTTTGATTGTATACTTATTTAGTGGCTTCATCTTATGACAATTTCACTATTTTGTTTATGTTGAGAATAGAGAGATAATTCAGTTTTTCAGGTGGCATTGTTAAAATTGTATTATTATTATTAATCATTTAGACAAGTTTCAACTTCACACTTCATGCTAATAATAAATGTTAATGTTGTTGTCAGTTTCAGGGTTTCATTGATTTCGAAGAATTTAAAGTGTGTGTGTTGACAAAACCTAAGTTTTCTTTGATTTTTCTGATCCACAATTACCAGCTTTTTGTCAGAGCTTGCTCTTATTGTGCTGGCATATTATGAGTTTCATCTTGTTTTTTTTTAATTCTAATATTTTTGTTAAAATCAGAAAAATAAATCTTTCTGTTATGTATTCGTGTAACAATATCTCCTACATTAAGTAGATTATTAACAATAAAAAATCCGCCTTTTTCTTGTATTTGAAATACATCTCTAATTCATAACAAATTTCTACTTTTGGTACAGTGTAAAAGTTTTGTTTTTAATTTCCTTCTCAATATTAGAATGAAATGTCTACTAATTTTACCACTCACATAATTATGACTTAAGTTTCAGGTTCCATTCAGTTTATTAGAAAAATTTCCTAATTTTTAATAACCTTAAAGTGATGAAAGAAGGCATAAAACACACAAGTCCAAATAAATGGTCTATCATTTCTTTCCTGTTTAGTTGAAATGTTGCAAAACATCTTTCCTCTTTAAAAGGTATACCGCATTTTCGCAAATGTACCATTTCCCTTAATAAAGAAAAACAAAATGTATTGTACACTTATACATGCTGAAAATTTTCATACATCCTTGAAAGAAAAGATTTTCTGTTTTAATTTGTCATTGTTGAAAACCAAATTCCCCACTAAAATTGTATACATCACATAAATGAAAAAATTTTCAAAAGCCAACTTCTCATACCACATATTTCTAACACTCATCTATCCCATTAGGGACATACTTGCAGTGTTAGGCAGTACAGGACAGACTCCTTTGTGCCCTGACAAGCGAGAGTCAGCATAGACATGACCCAAATAACTAGACATGGAAGTTACTGTGAACCAAATCAATATCGTCCCAATGCACACACACTAAACACATATTCAACTCAGTTCCTTTTTGCCAAATCCTAATATTGCCTGTGACCACTCCAGTGGTGCCTGGCTAAGGGGAAGTGTGACTGAGGGGGAGCTGGAGTGGTAGTGGGTGAGGGCTTGACCAATCATAGGGAAACTATCTTGCCCTCAAATTTGGTAAAGGCATGGCCACGTGCATTCATCGGTGGGGCCTTTCCCAGGACGTGGAAGAAAACCTTACAAGTCAATGTCTCTTCAAAGGGAATTCTTGGTATATTGTACATGCTAAAAAATAAAAATAACAATAAAACATGATTGTGTTTGCTGTTAAAGGGTAGAAAGAGTATACAGTATGCCAAACACATCTCAAGAGTTAGTGGCATTCTGAAGAGAAAGAAACTATCATTAGATATACTGTCCTTGTCATTTTTAAACAAACTCCCTCTGGGGGATTCCATTGAGTGGCATCTTCATGAATTTCATCAGTAGGGATACCTGCTATGGGACCAGGCAATTCTCTAATATGGTGATTGGGATACAACCCCATTCCTAAAGCAGCAGCAGTGCCCAGCCCCATTATTCATGAAAAATGGTGAAAAAAGTAATAAAGCACAAAAAATGAGGTGTGCTCTAAAAGACAAGGAAGATTACATCAGTGAAACCTTCAGGCATTTTCTGCTGCTTAATCCATTATCATTTTCCTTAAGAAGTTGAAAAATTAGGTGCCTAATTCCAATTGTTCTATGAGAATTTGAAAAGACACCAGGGCACCAAATCTCAAAAAATTTTAAAAGAAACAAAACTAAAGTCCCTCATGCAAATGATAGTTATATGAAAAAACAAATGATAAAGTCATTTGGCTCTTAATTTTTAATATCCTTACAAAGTGTTTTCTACCTACCCCAACCCTCCACAACCTTGCCCCACTTCATACATAATATTTCACATGAAATTAGACTAGCGGAATGATTATATTTGTTAGTTTTAAATTATATGTGGAAATGTTTAAATATCTGGCTTTTAGAAATTGAAGGAATTTACTTACTTTTAAACAATTTTATAAATAGCAATCCAATATTATACATTTAATTGTAGATGTATGTATTTATGTGTGTGTGTGTGTGTGTGTGTGTGTGTGTGTGTATGTATGCATGATTCATGGCTAAAGAAAACATTAAAAAGCTACTTTGCTAGTATACCTCAACACAGAAATATTGTAATTGTAAATGAATAATGAAGAAATCTAGAAAATAATTCAGAGATTAATTTCTGCAGTAATCATCAGAGACAGGATTTCTAATTCTGTTCTTTAAAGCAATACTATTTGAACTGTGTGTGTGTAAAATGTGGGAAATTTTTCCCATTGTAATACACAGGAAGTAATGCATGTTACATTCCTTCCCAAACCCAGAACATGGAAATAGAAATGGAAAAACAATTTAGGCTATAAAATTTCAACAGTAAAGCAAAACAGAGTGCTGCCCTTTAATTTATCTACAAGTCTCCAAAATCCTGATCATAGCCAAATTCAATGGTATTTTAAATCACTGAAGTATGTTAAGAGATACAAAATAAATTCCTGAAAATATCTATCCTCTCCCAAGAGCATTTCTCCTGACAGATGGGAGAATTTATATTTCAGTCCTTTTGGTCTCTCTGTTCTATCAGCGTGCAGGCCTATACTCACACACATGGACAAGCACCCACAAATAATAGTATTTATATGAGTTAACTCACATCTTTAATTGAAATCTCCCTTCTCTTCCTGTTAACCATAGCATGGCCACCCACGATGCTTGTTCAATTCCAGAAGTTTCCTGCTCATTTAGGCAGAATCCTGGAGGCAGAATTCATGGGGGATTAACACTCTAAAGCATCCTTTCACCGTGAATCTCAAATCATTTTGCACATTTTAATTCATTCTTGGAAAGCCACAGACAGGAAGTTAACTGCCATGCCTGTTTTTCAGAAAAATTCCTTTAAATAGAGAGAGATTCAAGTAGATAGAATATATTTAATTCAAGCATATTAAATCAAACACGAGGCATTTTTAAGATGAAATGTTCAAATTTACATAAAAACTATGCTTTAAAAGAGGTATCGTAAAAATCCCAGCCAGGTTTGTAATTAGCTATATCAAGTGAAACACACACATTTACAAACAAATGTTTTATTTAAATGACCGTGCTAATGCAGACTAAAAGAACATAAACAGTGGTGACTAAATCTGTTTATAATTAAAATCTTAATGCATATTTTTCATGTAGCTTACAACATAAGGGTCAGTAAGACCCTTTCATTATGTGTGTAAAAGAATATAACACACTGTAAATACAAATGAAAGATAGTACATTTGGTTTACCCTCTCTCACAATTCATACCACAAAATATGGTTTTAAGTAAAACAAAATAAAACAAAAATGAATACTTTATAAAGTGTCTAATACATTGTGGGATGAAATTACCCTATACATCTTTCCCTAGGGCAACAAAAATTTTGTTTAACATATGAAGATGTAATTTTAGGAAAATTAGACTGTGAATACTCATAATACAAATAGAAGACAGAATGCTTTGTTTTGATAAAGGTAGCATTTCTGTCGACTTCCAGGTAAGAAAAAAAGCAGGTGAAATCCAATTTATTTTAAAAGGTCTTCAGAAAGTGACCCATCCCAAATTAACTTCTCGACTGTCCCATAGTTCAAATTAAAAAAAAAAAAAGAAGTTTAAAGAACAAGTCTGAAGATAAAGAAGAAAAAACAAAAATAATGATATCTGAATGTATTTTCAGTTTTAATCAGAATGTTTTAAAAAGGAGAAAGAGACAGTAGAATTACTTTCTGAGTAATTAGAAGAGAAGATTTCTAAATACATAAGATACACCGTGTGTATGTCGCAATCACATTACAAGTCATAACCAAGTCACAATGAAGTGCATGTGACAATCAAGTTACCAAACGAGGGGGGTGGGGGAACTATGGTATAGAAGAACATGTCAGTTCACGCAATGCTATACTGCGATTTTAGACTATCTTTAAATACAATTAAACAAAGTTATACAGTATCCATTAGTCTTTCCTGGTCTGATAACAGCCTTTCAGTAACAATTTGAGAGATTAATCAAAATAGTCAAATTACATGTATTAAATGCACACACACACACACACTCACACACATATTCAGTGGTTTTTAATGTATTCACAGAGTTGTGCAACCATCACCACAATCAATTTTTGAACATTTTCATTAATCCCCAAATAAATCCCTGTACCCATTAGCAGTTTTAACCAGTAACGTTATTTAAACCGGTTTTGTACATCCCCACTTTTGATCTCTCAACTTGGACCATCCTAGTGTTCTGACTGTGTGTCCCTTGTAATTCCTTCTTCTTTCGTTGAGCATAAGATGGCAGGATGTCACAATATGGTGGTTTAAGATCTCATCTCTGCAGCCAAATTGCCTGTGTTTAAATCCTGATTCCCTTCCATACAAGCCTGGCCTCTCTAGCAAATTACTAACTCTTTTTGTGCCTCAGCCTTCTCATCTGTCGAACAGAGATACAGGTAATAGTGGTATCTCCATCATAGCATTTTGAGAGAATTAAATTAAAAAGACAAAGTATTCGAACAGTTAGCATATATGTTAACCATGTTTTATCAAAGCAAATTGTTTTAGATCCTAGACTATATCATGAGAAAACAGTTGTGTTCTCAGATAGATCTGGAACTTAAAAAGTGTTTCAAATTTGTAAATATCTTAATGTAAATAAATAAAATAATTTTCTTAGGATATGTGATATGAATTCAAACTTATTTTTAAATTATGTAAATGAATTGTTCAAATGTGTATTATAGTTGAAAAAGATAATATCTATTTTGATGCCATTCGATTCATCTTTTTGCTCACAAGCATATGAATGATGACTTTTAAATCAGAAACATCTATTCATGATGCAGATATACGCTGTGTTTGAAATATTGGTCAACATGTATTTAGTGCAAACCAATAGAGGGCATGCTGGTCATAAAACTGAGTGTGAGATTTATCCTCTGTGGCTCTAATTAACGGCATCCGACAAGCTGTCGGTCACCGCTGGAAAACCCATGTTTGTGTATGTTCTCGTTACATCACCTGTGTTTGGAAGCAAGAAGATGTCTTAGTGAGGTCCCGCCCACAGCAGACATGATGCTGTGCCCAGCCGCTCACCCCACTTCACACCAGCATGAACTCACTGAACTTTGGTTGAACTTCCTTGTTGAGTCGAGTACATTTTTTTAATGCAATCTATCCTAGTTAAGCCTAATTTGTATTTCATTTCACAACCTTGTCATTTAACACAAGCCCTTCAAGATAGATTTTAGGGCAGCAGCTAATCTAAAACCTAAATGAAACTCATTCGACCCACCAAGGACATGCTTTCTGTTCCTGGAAGACATTCTTAAGAGAAGTAAATGGGCAAGCATCTCTATAAATTGACTTTTTTTTTTTTTTTGTACTCCATGTTTCTGAGTTGTCTTCTGTTATAGTGAAAAATGACTACTATATATTTTTAGCAATTTTTTCAAATTTTTTTTCTTCCTGGGAAGTCATTTGTTCTTTCAACAACACATAACGGGGAGAATATGGCCAATATTGTCAATCTTCAAGATTATATTTAAAAACTTATCAGGAGTGCACTTTGCAGACTTGGCTATGACAGGTTATATGCGAGGACAACTTTCTTGTCAAATAAGGGTGGTGTGCCTAAGAGGTTTTAATTGCTTTTATTTTTAAAAAAGATTCTTTGCACACGAAAATGTAGCCTTCCATTAACTCAGTAGTAACGAAGATAAATCTTAGCAGAGCAATTATTTCTTGAAGTTCAGATGGCCACACATAAATTTCTTTCCTTGAATTCAGCACATTTTTTGGTTATCTGGTAGGAACATTAAGTCCTTCAGTATAGACAAGCTTTTCTTTTGGGGGGGAGAAGGAGTTATTTCCTTTCTCTTCAAATGTATTTCAAATTTATTGTGTTTGGATAGGCCTGTTGGAATAGTTGCCACTTGTTTCCAAAGTGCTTCTGGAAATATGACTCCTAATTAAATATAAATTGTATAGAATACAAGTATTCTATACCGGATATAAACCTCTAGACTTGGATTTAAGAAGCGCACTGTGAACAGAACTCTCAGGCTGAATTCATTTACTAAATAAATATTGTCTATAGTATGCACAAAGCACTGTAGAAGATAAGATGATGAATAAGATAGAACTTTATTCTCTATGAGTTTATAGATCTTTAGTATAGGTAACAATAATCATTATTATTTGCTGAATATTTACTAAGCATTTGGCATTGCGGGTTTTAAAGATAAGACATACGCCTGATTGTGCAATAGTTTTTGTACAAGGAAGACCTGAGTGCAAGTCAAAGTAATTTTATTGAGCACCTACTATGTAACAAGGATGATGAATGCTCATGGTGCCAATCAAAAACAACTCTGCTTTCACAGAGCATACACTGGTTAAATGCTCTAAGAAAGAAATAGCTAGCTCCTGTGTTATGGGATTCAGAAAGGAAAGATTATCATTTCATTCTGTGTGGAGGAGGTAGCATTATAAGAAAGATTTGGGTATGGAAATGCAGACAGGAGGGAGAAGAAAACCAAGACATCTAAATTATTTTTATCTTGAAGTATAATTTGAAGCTATTGTTAAGGAGAACTTGTAACAATGAGGAACTTTGTCAGAAGTTTTGGAGCGTGTGTATATATCCATATATATATATAGATATATATAATTTTAGAATATTATATATTTATAATTTCAGAAAATTCCAAACTACTAATTCCAGACAAGATCATGTACAGAAGAATTGAGTGATACAATAAAGCTATTTTTATTTCATTTATAGGCTCATTGAAATTGCAAAGCTCTCGATGTACAATCCACCTATATTCACAATGTAGCCAAAGTAAACCTTGAAAACATGACGTGGTCTTAGAAATTACTGGAGCAAAAGGGGCTATAAGAATAAAATTAAAGGATTTTCTTTCTTTATTCTAAATAATATTGCCCTGATTCCTAGGAAATACTCCAAAAGCTTATGGGGATGTACATACCCATTTGATTTAATATCTTGCGATTAAAGATGCTATAGCTGAATCTTGTGCCAAACCCTGTTAACTTCAAAAGGGGAAACATCAGATTCAAGAGGCTGAAGAGGAGACCCAGAGTCAGCAAACAAGACGTGCTTTTATTAGGGGCTTACACACAGGAGAGAGACTCCAGAGGTAGTGGGCTGGACAGGAGAACCACAACCACTTGCAAACAACATGCAGTTTCTATAGCATTTTCACTTAGCAGCTTCCTTTAATGACCTCCACCTGGCAACTTTCATGCAACCTCAAACTCAGAGCCTCTCTATTCCCTCTACAGCCCATGTTTCCCAGGACTGGCTAGGGGCTCAAATGTTCCTCATAGACAAGGAACAAATCTCTGGCTTGGCTACTCCTGGATTATCTAGCTTGGAACATACATTCAAAAGCACCTACCATACGGGATCATCCTAAGGGTGTGCTTAATTTATTGCTATCGGGTACCTTTACCCTATGCCTACAAACAATGGCCAGTCAATGAATTGTCTTTGTATGTATATATCAAAAACATTTTCTGCAGAACATGAACAATAGAAGAGTATTTCCTTTGGGTAAAAGGCTAAAAATATATAGGTTTTCTTGGATATTATCTATTTTTTTTCTTAAAAACTAGACATTTGAGGCTTTTTCAGTTTCCATTTAATTCTCACAAATTATATTTCATATTTTGACTTTCAATTAAGTTCGTTCTTCTAACTAATAATTGCTGGGAAGGCCTGAAAGCAAAGAGAGCTACCATCTTTTGCACTGTACTGACGTCTGCATTTCAGTGGCAAACTGATTCCCAACTATGCGTTGTATTTCCTTTTCTAGAGTTCCAGGATTTACTGGGATGGTCACCACTGTATAATTGCAAATGTAAGTGCTACGATAATTATTGTAATTACTATTATTAAACAACATAAGTCTCTTGCAGCAAGAAATGAGTTTCTGAGTAATGGAGGTGATTTTATAACCTAATGGGACTAAAGTCATTTAGCTGTCTATCTTAACTCTCCAATCACCAAAAAGGGCAACATTTAAAGATTTAGGCAAATCTTTCAACCTAGAAAAGAGTTGGAAAACGTATTTATTTATTTATTTATTTATTTGACACAGAGTCTCGCTCTGTCACCCAGGCTGGAGTGCAATGGCACAATCCCAGGTTCAAGCGATTCTTCTGCCTCAAACTCACAGGAAGCTGGGATTACAGGCACCCGCCACCATGCCTGACTAATTTTTTGTATTTTTAGTGGAGATGGGGTTTCACCATATTAACCAGGATGGTCTCAATCTCCTGACCTCGAGATCCACCTGCCTCGGCCTCCCAAAGTGCTGGGATTACAAGTGTGAGCCACTGCGCCTGGCTGTAAAAATGTCTTATTTTTGAATTAATATGGCCTTTTTTTTTTAACATTTTTTTGAGAGACAGAGTCTCACTCAGTCACCCAGGCTGAAATGCAGTGGCACGATCTTGGCTCACTGCAACCTCCACCTTCCGGGTTCTGGAATTATAAAGTATTCTAATGCCTCAGCCTCCCGAGTAGCTGAAATTACAGGTGCACACGACCACGTCTGGCTAATTTTTGTATTTTTAGTAGAGACAGGATTTCACCATGTTGGCCAGGCTGGTCTCAGACTCCTGGCCTCAAGTGATCCACCTGGCTCAGCCTCCCAAAGTGCTGGGATTGCAGGCATGAGCTACAGTGCCTGGCTGTTTTTGATGATGCTTTTAATTACCAAAGCATAGTTCTCATTTGTTGTTTCTTTTCATTCATATTAATTTTTAAATTATAAATGCAAGGACAAACTCACACAAACCAAAATAAATGTAAAGCACCAATCCACAGAGTGAGGTAGTACATGTTTGCAGAGATTTCTTGGCTTATTAACAGCTAATCACCTTTAAGGAAAAAATAAATAAGGCTTTAGCTGGCCACATTAAAATCATTCTCGAGGCTATGAGTCCTTATGGGTAGGATTTAATATGTGTCTTGAATTTCAGCTTAAGTAAAATTTGGCAAACCTTTTCAGTCATTTATAACCACTGATAATCCCCATAGTTATGATAATCAGTAGGGTAAGAGTCCAGTTGCTTTGTGGGTTTTTGCAGGTATAAAGTATGAGAAATGCAATTAACTTCAATTTAGAGTGAAACATATTTTCCTCCCAGATATTTTGTCCTGTGACTGAGCTTAAGGGAAGTAGTAGAAAATACTTGAAGATAATACATGTATATAAATAAATGATAAACTATAGCTGAATAAATTTGGAAACATGGTACCAAATATCTTCCTTACTATGATAGTCTTGTTGGCGTCATTGCAGAAATGTGATCTAACAAATTATATAAAATATGTAACAAAATGGAGGCACGCTTGACAAAGGAATCACACCATCATATGAAAATACTTCTATCTTGTTTTTTAAAAAATAATATTTATAGTTCTTACTGTTCATTCCTTGAAGAAGTAACTAGGAGAGATAGCATCATGTTGGCCATTAGCATTTACATTAAGAAGGGATCACCATTCCTAATTAATTTATAGTAGCAGAATATCCATGCAGATACTGAAAATACTGCATGAAAGTAATATATACGCTGATAAAATAATTATTTTCTTCATAGGAGCATAACTTTGAACAGATATGTTTAATAGTGCATTAACTTTCTTTTCACCTGGCAGGAAGAAAATAATATTGTTCTATTTCCATGACCAGTAATTATATAATTTTTATTTAGTCCATCAGTCGCGATAAAGAGGGATCATAGAGGACCATTCTCAGACAATATAGTATCCATCAAAGGCATCATGGAAAAGTTAGTAAATTGAAGATGATTACAGTCTTCGAGTAAGCCATCTACTGAAAATGTACATTAAATTCCAGTTCCTAGTTCCCTAGGTTCCACTGAGTTATCCATTTTCCTTTTTGTAAAACAATAATAGTAATAATAGTTCTTAAATTGCCTTGATATTTTCCTTTCTCCCAATAAATTGGAAGACAATTAGCAATACATCAGAATGCATTCCCCTAGAATCTTTCTTTTTCCCTTCCTTCTCACCTGGAAAAGTTAACCCCAAAAAACCTTTTAAGTACATTTGTCCAATAATCATGGCTGATCACCACAGGATGATTCCATTTTCTTGAAGACAAAATCGCCCTGGGCACATCAATGGAGACTTGGATGGAAAACAAGAGTTTTGGTTAGAAAGCTAATCCAGATACAATAAACATAAAATTGTGATGCTCTATCTGTTGTTTGTTCCTTGTTTGTACAAAATTAGAAGGTGCTAATTGATCTTCACTGCATTGGAAAAAAAAATCATCCTAGCTTTTAACAGCTCTTTTCCATTAATGGGATTCTCATAAACTCCAAGGATAATGAAAACAAAACAAAACCTTGAATGGAAAGGCAACTGCACCATAAAAACCCAACATTGCTTTAGATTTTTAAAATTGTCTATCTGGAAAGTAATTAAATCTACTATTGTTTAGCACTTTGTGTACATTTTATACCACCTTAAGTCTATAAAGACATTAACTGTTGCATACCTTAATGACCACAATTATTTCATTAATTTGAAGCCAATGCATACAATCCTGTTCAGGTTAAGTGCTTACATTGTGAGGCTGAGTTAGTAACAAAGGTTCAAGGCCAGACCTCAGTTTCTTCTTTGCTAGAAAACTTCAATTCATTCGTCTGTGATCTCTATCACACCACCTTTATTTCTCTTGCAAACAAATGCTAACATTATTTGCCCCTTCCTAGTGCTCCTCAAAACCCATAACAACTCATTTTCAGCCACTGCATTATAGCAATAATTATCTTTTTGTCTCTGCCCATTCTTCCAATAAGCAGCTCAAGCTTCATATATTCTTTGTTGCTAACTATTCCTTTCTGTTTTATTTTTTATTTATTCCATCATTCTGATACTGCCGATGACCCTAGACAGAGTATTTTCTTACCTTCCTCACTTTTGAATTAATTCATCCATTATACCAGACTGTCTCTTATGTGAAACTGACAGGTAACGGCCTTTACCATACGCTGGAAAGTATCAGGCAAAGTGGAGAGGCAGAAAGACAAGGGTGACTGTCCCAGCTCAAGAGTTCCCAGCACACAAATAGGAAAGTTCCTGAATCTCCAATTTTCTTTGTTCTCATTTGTAAAATGACTTTTAAAAAGTTTACTTTATGGATAAAAGGAATAAACGTGGTGTACCATAAGTATCATTATCCTTCTCATTCTCTCTTCTTCTCGACACCTGTATATACTTAAACACTCCTAGGTATTACCTGGAAGTCGTGTGTGCAACTAAGGCTCTGCCTCGAAGTTCTGGTAAACGGTGCCACACTGTTCACCTCTGGAATTAGGATTCATGGTATAAGATGCGGCATTCATTTCATGTTTGTTTGTTTTCTGCACAGTTTTCAAAAGAGCTTATTGGGATGCTAGAAGAAACAGGTCCACATGGAAGAATCCCACTCATCTCTTACTAGTCTTTCTCTCACCTCTGCCCCAACCACACTAGGCCCTCTCGATGAAAATAGAACCCACACTTTATGCTGGGGCTTCAGTGTCTCGTATTAGCCATTCCTCTGTCCTGCCTGGCCTGTTCCCTGGTTTGCCCATGGCTCAGATCCTCCTCACTTTCAGCTCATGATTCCATTGCCCTGTACCATGATGTCCTTACTTTAAAATTGCCACTGAATACCCTGTACTTGCCACGGATCGCACATCTTCTTTTCCTATCAGCTGACTCTCATACTGTTTATTTCGCACATTGTCTGCCAAGCCTGCATGTCAGCTTCACGAGGGCAGAGATTTCAGTTTGTGCTGTGCCTAGGGAAGTACTGGGGATATGTTACATGCTCTGTACCAACTTGTACACTCTACAGATAAATTAGATATGCCTAGCTAAACAAGTTGACCTCTTAAGGAAAGTTTTTTTTTTGTTTTGTTTTTTTTTGGACAAAGAATATGTACTGCAGCCTTTTAAAACCTCAGGTCAACAAAGCTTAATGCACTGCTTCAAACGTATTTCAAATAAAGAGAAATAAGCATTGCAAATCTATGTTGCTTGATGCTTTTTATTTTCTCAAAAGCCAAAAATAATTAAACAATTAAACATTTAAAATAGTTAAAATAATAATGGGCATGCAACTAAAAATAATTTCTTTGTCCTAAAATAGAAAGGAGAAGTGATCTTTAAATTTACCAAAGAGGCAAATAGAACATTTCTTTGAAATTCTTTCTGTACTCCTCATAAATTCACTATCTACTTTTGATTCCATTCTGTATTTTTATGTCTAATATATTTCTTTAGCTATGGAAGTGAAGAAAAACACCCACACAAAAACCCCACTAAGTTTCTAAATGTTATTTACTTTCCATGATAAAAATAACCTATACAGATTTTTTAAATATACATTTATTCCTGGACACTATAGAAATTGTTTGGTTTGATTTCTTATTTAAAAAAATATTCTGCCTGTAATGGCACCATTGCTAATGGGATCTTCACACTAATTCTATCCACACAAGGAGAAGAATGAAATGGAAAAAGTGACTTGGTGATTAGTAATTTGTAGCTCAATGTGAAATCTTTTGGCAGGATGTGTGTTCCTGTATCCCGTAAACAGAGTTAAAAGCTGCATTGTATTTACATCCAGAGGGAGCAAACTAATGTATTAGCACATTATAATAGAGGGAAAGATGGAAATAAAGTGGCTAATGTTGGCAACTAAGAATCACAGAAATCAGAGAAGTGTCTGTTATACCTCGGTTTCTAGACTAATGATTGTTGGATTTAGCTAATAATAGGCAAATTACTTGAAGATAGTAATAACTGAAGTTTGAAAGCAAATTCATCTACAGAATCCTTTTAAGCTCAAGTTACTTACCAGTAAGTATAGCACATTATAAGTTTTGATACCCTGTCATTTCTTGTTATTAAAGATGTAAAGTGCTTGAAATCAATAGGACATATTGCTCTCATTATGCTTCTAATTTGTGGCTAGAGATACCGATAGTATTACTATTAAAGCTATAATTATATTTACTTATTCATCATACTGTTGTATGTAGCTGAGAATAGGATGTATCTGAAACACGTAAAAATAAAATATGCAAATATAAAGTTAAATGTCACCATGACAAATGTATTGACTATTCTTCCTCAGACCCATAGCTCATGCTGTATTGTAAATAAGGAAGCTCCATCATTGCTTGATTTGAGGAAGCATATTCAAGTGTTTTATTAGTTCCAACCCAGATGGAGGAATAGTGATGATACTAAATGAGCTCTTTCTTTTCCTTTAAAGCATGCAATTTCTCACATACAAAATCTTTCTCATTCTTCTGCTGTGCAGTCATTAGGGCTGTCCACAAATATTTGATTACTGCTCTCGTTTTGGGGATAGGGTAGATTGGCCTTTCCCACCTCATGAAATTTACTCTTGATCATGTGCCTGGCATTGGCAAATAGAATATAAATAGAAGTGACAGGTGTCACGTACTAAAAAGAACTTTAAAGAATGAGTGCATACTTTTTCATTGGCAAAGGCCTTTTTTTTTTCTATGCCAGAGAAAGAAGGGAGTCTTGGGCTTAGGTCCTCTTTAATGGACAAAGACAACGTGGAGGAGAGCCCTTTCCAATCTTTGACGCACACAGCTTGAGTGAAAAATAAAGTTTTGTTGATTTAATCCAATAATATATTAGTATTATCATCACAGCTTAGTGTAGTTTATCCTGAATGATTCATTTGGTTACATCAGATCGTTCAAATATCGTCCAAGAACTTCTCAAAAGTCTCTCAGCACACCCTGCTCCTTTTGCCTCCTCTTCAATTACTCTTACCTTACCTTCTATTTTTTGAGCCAAATATATAAAATTATAACTATAACACAATGCATATGAATTGTGCTAATAACAGACTGATGACCTAGTGGGGGGCATACCTTTGAAAAAGTCAGTAAACAGAGTTGGTACCCACCATCCAGAAAATATTTAAGTATTTTAAAAGACCACATCAGAATCTAAAGGGAGCTTTCTATATTGTTCTGTTTTCCTAATTAAATACTCTTTTCCTTAATGACCCGTGTTTAATATCAATAAGACTATATTTTTATCCCATTTGTGATTTTTTTTGTTGCTGTTTGAATAGCTAGAGTTAAAATAGCATGCTTATTATATACACACAGTTTGAAAACATAGCATTTTTCTAATTATATAGTCATTCATTTGCAACCGATAATTCTTTCAGAAATATTTATTATGTGCCTTCTACATTCCAAGCACTTGTCTAGGTTGCTGGAAATAAGGCAATAATCAAAATAGATACAATCCTGCTTGCATAGAATGCACATTCCAGTACAAGAGAGACAACATTAAATAAACAGGTATATAATATGCTAAGTGTTGATATGTGCTATGAGATAAAGCATATTAAGAGGGATATCTCCATGGCAAAAATGATGGAAAGAGAGGAATAGTTATTTTCATAAATATTGTTCAGGTGAAGTTACTCTGGAGAGTAACACTGAAGCCAACTCTTGAAGGAAAAGAGTTTGAAAATTCTGAAACTTTAGAAAGTCACAAATAAACATATAAAATAAATTCAGAAAAGAAAAAATGTAAAATAAAATATAAATTACCCATTTTCAAACTAGGACTAAATATTTTTGATATTAATGTCATGGGTTTAAAAAATACAAATAAATATACCTACGTGTCTATTAATTCTATGTCATTAACAATTTTTTCATTTATATTAATATTTTATTTTAAAAGTCTGGAATGCATGCTAAACTATTAATACTGGATGATTCTTGAAGGTGGGATAATGAGAAAAAACTTTTGTATTGTGCTTTTTATATCTTTGTATTGCCTAATATTTTAAATCAGAAAACTCATAAGGTTTTCAAATATTCTTCTGCAGGGTAATCATCAGTGGCTTTACAGCATTCTATTATACAGCTAATTAGCTAAAACAAAATTTATTTTATTAAGCCACCATTATTGGATATTCAATCTTTCCAATTTTTGGTGAATAATATGATTTTTAATGATTTTCCTGAGAAATATATAATATACCAGCTACATTATAAGCTAATTAGACTTTCATGGACTAGCCTGGTAATATATAGCTTTGCTTTCTATGGGTAAAATTGTATTGTGCATTCCAAACAATTTATATAAAGAGTAAGCTTTGGAGCTTAATCCATGGTTTAATTGTGTGCTTTCTCCACAATTAAGTAGTTTTACGACTTGAATCACTTTATACATTGCTTGCATATGGATATTTCTTAACTTTTAGATGTTCTGGCCTACTTCAGACATATATGAAGCAACAAGTATGATTTTTTATTTTAACAGTTTGTAGCACTGAATCATCAATGATAATTCAGACACCTAAACCACTTGCTGGAGGCAGAAAGGAGGAGGGGTAAACTGAAGCAGCACATCAGGTTAAGTCCATGACTGAGGAAATTAGATGATATGCAAACCTCTTTGCCATCAGGGAGTTTAGCATGGTAACCAGCCCTCCACTCCCCAGCCCAGGCTTATTTGACTATTCATCTTTGTGTTCAAACACACCTGGAACTACTTTTAACCTGGAGCTATCACAGTACACTGAAATTGCTCTTTTCAATGTCTACCACTTATCTGCAAACTTCTTAAGACCAGAGGCTACATATTTTCTCTGGGAAATCATTACATGCTAGGTCAGTGTCCAGTGCATATCAGGTCCCTGGGAAATGTTTGCTGACCTGAAATAAGACCACCTAAGGGATGTCACAGAAAACAATATTAACGCTGATGTTAGAATAATGTAAATGCCTACTGAGAGAAACGCAAAATTTGTGAGAAATAAAAGCGGAAAGAATGGCATTATTGGGCCTGGAAAATCCATTTTCAACACTCACATTGGAGTTCCCCAGAATTAGACAGGACAAGAGAGAGAGTGTTACACTGAAATAGTGTCAATGCTGCTACAACACTGAAAAAAATAGATTAAAAAATGTTTTTTTCTTCCAACAATAATATCTTAATTCCCTCCATGAAAAGTACTTTATACATCTTATATAAGAAAGATATAAATAAGAAAAAGTCATAAAGAGACTCTGGCTAACAACCTGAACCTTCCACTTTCTCCCTGACCCCCTTTTCACTATCCCAACCCCTTCTGTTTGGACAAGTTAAGGATGGTAACAACATCTAAAAAATCATTCCATGCAAATGGTGGGAACAAAATTGCTGACAGGTCTACAAAGTTAATGTTAGAGCTTTTTTCTCCCAGTATATTATTATTCCACCTAAAGTAACCATGAGGACACAGCCCTCAGTTTTCCAAGTACCATAAAGTAATTGACTGACAGTCCTCAGTGCTATGGTCTGAAATTTATCACTGCATTTGCGCTGAGGTCATCCTTCCCGTGGACTACTCCCAGCCAATGCTGAATGTGGAAAGATACTAACACAGAAGCATTCCTGAAAGATGGCAAATTATTCCAGGTGACTTTGGCTTGAGGACTCCCATTGACATTTCTCGACTTTTTTTAGATTGCAAAACAATTTAAAAAGGTTCTATCTAAGGTACTTTCTTTTCTTCCCTTTTTTTCTTCTTTACTTGGGGTCAGACCTGCATTGTGATCTGATGGCTTTCTCAGTGTTTCTGCCTCTCTATTTTGTCCCAGGAATTTCTCATAGTAACATTCTTGTACACTTAACCTGAACAATAAAACAATATATAACATAGACTGGTGCCATAATGCCTTAAAATGTATTTTATATGTATTATCTATATCATGCATCTGTCTATCCACCCATTTATCCACCTGTTGTTTAAATGCGTTCATGAATAGATTGTAAGTATGTTGACAATGCCTGATTTATCCTGTGTGACACTTCTTCAGCCCTATATGTATTAGTTTCCTAGGGCTGTTAAAGTACTACAGACTGAGTAGCTTAGCACACAGAAAAGTATTATCTTACAGTTCTGGAGGCTAAGGGTCTAAAATCAAGGTCTTGGCCAGGCCACACATGCTTTGAAATCTCTAGGGTTGAATCCTTCCTTGTCTCTTCCTAGTTTCTGATGGTTACCATAATCCTTGGTGTGTCTTGGATTGTAGATTAATCACTCCAATCTTGGCCTCTGTCTTCACTAGGCTTCCTTTTCTTTATATCTCTTATCTCTATCTCCAAATTTTCCTCTTCTAATAAGGACATCAGTCATTGAACTTGGGCCACCCTAGAACAGTATGACTTCTTTTTTTTTTTTTTTTTTTTTTTTGAGATGGAATCTTACTCTGCCGCCAGGCTGGGGTGCAGTGGCGCTATCTCGGTTCACCGCAACCTCTCCCTTCCAGGTGCAAGGGATTCTCCTGCCTCAGCCTCCTGAGTAGCTGGGACTACAGGCACGCACCACCATGCCCAGCTAATTTTTGTATTTTCAGTAGAGACGGGGGTTTCACCATGTTGGCCAGGATGGTCTCGATCTCTTGACCTCATGATCTGCCCGCCTCGGCCTCCCAAAGTGCGGGGATTACAGGCGTGAGCCACTGCGCCCGGACTGACCTCTTCTTAACTTGATTACATCAGCAAAGACCTTATTTCCAAATAAGGTAACATTCACAGGTACTCCTAGTTAGGATTTGAAAATATCTTTTCTGAGATACAATTCTATCCAAGATGCGGTGTGACGTGGTTTCACTGCTGCTGCTGGTGTTGGTTTTGTTGTGGCCACTGGCCTTTATGCTTCAAGTAATCTCTGCAACCCTGTTGCTAACACTCAACTCTCTCAGTTCAGCTTAGTGACTCCTAAGTCCTCATAATCAATCCCAATCACCTTTAGCTCTAGTGTAACTGATATTTGTTCTGTTCCTATACAGCATTTGGGAAGATGATCAGAAAGATATATGTTGTTCCTGAAATCATCAGGTGAATGATCCCATCATCCTACTTCCTTGCATGGACTCTCCAAACAGAAAGCACACCAGCAAGTTCATCTGGGCACAGTTTTCATCATATCCTCCTTTTCTTGCTCCTGATCTGGGGACTTATTAGTGGGAGAATAATGAAAGTGAATCCACAGGTATAAGAGAATTAGGCATTTGTGAGGCTGAGAAAATAGGCTCCTGGACCACATATAAGGGTTACTCTAGGCATCTAATTTTTCCAAACCAACACATTGTGGCATCTTTCCAGTGCTGGGCACAACGCTTGCACAGAAAAGTACTGAGTGTTAAACTTACAAGGAGAAAAAAAGTGAATGCCATCCTACTGTACTCTTTATCTATAATTAAATGTTTGTGTCAGCATCTATATTTCTGTAATTATATCATGGAAAAGTTCCTGTTATATAAAAGATATTAGGCTAGTTACTGAAATAACAAAGAAAGATAAAAGTCATTTTTTAAGTACCTGCAAAGGACAGGCACTGTCTTTGTTGCTTCCCAAACACTTGTTGTCTAAATTTCTAAGGACAATTTTTTTTGTAGCCAATATTATCCACATTTCATAACAAAAGACCTGATATCTGTGTCAGAACTTGAAAGACAAGTTCAAAGCTTAGTCTTCAAAACACGTGGCATTCTACCTTTATCCAGGTGGAATTAAGCATAATCCTTGCCCATTAGGAGCTTATCCTATTGTGTGGAATGATTCCAATGTCATGTGGTTTCAAAGCAATGTAAAAAGTTCCTTCATTCACCCCCTAACTCTGTACCTTCCCAATCTCCTTCATCTCAGTTAATGCCACCATTAGGCACTAGGTGTGAAAAGAGCCCATATTGATTTCTCTCTTTCTACCTTCAATTCCAATCCATCAGCACACTCTGCTGACTTTAGCTCTGAATCGTGTCATAAATATGACCACTACTCAACTTCCCCTTAAGACCACCTCATTCTGAGTCACCATTATTATTCTGCTAGGATTACTATGACAGCCACTAAATTGATTTCTTGGGCTCAATCTTGCTTCCACTACAGCTCACTCTACAAATAAGAGTGTAGTGATACTGCAGAAAATAAAACACACCATGCAACTCCCTTGCTTAACACATTCCATTGGCTTTTCATTGTCATCAGTATAAGGTCTTGATTCTTATCTTGGACAAAAGATGTCACAGAGTCTATCACGATGTCTCTTTTTTCTCCCTCTTTATGCCAGGTCTATGGCCTAGCCACAGTTGCTCACAATCTGTGCGTCAAATCTGTTAAACATTTTCTTGCCTCAGGGAAAATCCACCTGTTTTTTGCTTTCCCTACACTATCTTTTCATAGGTTTACACATGGCTGGCTCTTACTTATCATCCCTGATTCCACTCATATATTACCTGCTCAGAAAGACCTTCATAAAAACTCAGCTAAGGTAATCCCCTAATGATTTGCAGTAAAACTCTATCTCATAACCCATTTTATTATCTTCATAGAATTATCATTGAGTAAAACTAACTTACTTTTTGAACTTGCTTTTAAAAAGTTATCTATATTTTTGTACTATAAATAATTTAAATTGTGCAAGAGCAGGTTTATCGTGTTACTTTTTGTTCCTCGATGCTTTACCTGTGTCTAGTATATAAAAAAATTTTAAAAATATTTGATAAGTGTCTGACTGTTAAAATGTTATATAAGGAGAAATATAAGCAACTGACTGCCTGGGGGAATCAGTGGTGATTGAATATGCAAGCTTAGTCACGAAGGCCTTATTCCTTCAACAAATACTTAGTAGGGGTCGACTATGCATCAAGAGCTACATTAGGAGGAAAGAGTTACTCAGCAGATCAAAGTATTTCACATTTCAAACAATGTGGGAAGACTGTCATTAAAATGATAAGAATGGCTTTAACAGCAAGTACTATTAAAGTTCAGAAAAATGAAAGGATCATAGCACGCTACAGTAACCAATAAATGCTTCCCTGGGAACTGAATGAGATACCCAGAAAGAATTGACTCAATAAGTGAAAGGAAGTGTATAGCAGTAAGAGTTAAAATTGGAAAGACTAGAGTACATGAATTTGGACTCAAGTCAACAATGTCTCAGCGAGGGCTAGGTAGTGCATGGTTTGTGCAGTAAAATAGGAGGAGATATAGTCAAAATTCATTCTGAAGAGTCCATGGAAGCCTTTGAAGGAAAGATTTTCAAGGAGTCTCTCAATGTAGACTCAGGTGCACTTTAAACTCAGCCTCTTCAACTGTCAGAAGAAAGTCAGCATGTACCAATCTATTTTAAATTTAGTTTATTCCAACTATATTGAGAAGAATGAAAGGTTGATTTTTGGTCTTTGTTGGGTTAGAAGTTTTGAAAAAGCAATGGTAGAATCAGAATTAATTTCATAAAATTTCCTTTTGTATAAAAATTGAAAGTTTTTGCTTTTCTTTTGAGATAATGTGTGTGTGTGTGCTCACACACATAAGCAAAAACTGATCTTTATTCTTTCCCAAGTTTAGCTCCTCCAAAGGTAAATATAGAATTAGCTAGAACTGGCAAAGACATGTTAAACTATCTAGATAAAATGATAGAACTTATAAGTAAGATTTCTAATATGATAGGTATGTTAATCTTTTATGATGAGTGTAGGGAGAACTATTTTTTTGAAAGTTCTTGGCAGAGAAAAGAAATCTAGTGTCCTGACTACTAGTGACTTCATATCTCAGATAGAAATTGGAAGCTTCTGCATACTGAAGAATTTAATATATTATTTTAAGCCTTAGTTTCTGCCAATTTAATACAGAGGTAGGCTGGCCAAATACTATATGTGCATGCATGTGTGTATATATATATACACACACACATATATGTATGTATGTATATATACACAGACATTTATATACATATGAGTATATGTATATTGCATTAGTCCATTTTCACACTGCTATAAGGAACTGCCAGAGACTGGGCAATTTATAAAGAAAAGGGGTTTAATTGACTCACTGTTCTGCATGGCTGGGGAGGCCTCAGGAAACTTATAATCATGGTGGAAGGTGAAGGGGAAGCAAAGACCTTCTTCAAATGACAGCAGGAAAGAGAGAGCTACCAACAGCAGGGAAAACGGCCTTATAAAACCATCAGTTCTTATGAGAATTCACACACTATTATGAGAACAGGATGGAGAAAACCACCCCCATGTTCCAATAACCTCCTACCAGGTCCCTCCCTCAACACGTGGGGATTATGGAGATTACAATTCAAGATGAGATTCGAGTGGGGACACAGAGCCAGAGCATATCATTCCACCCTTGGCCCGTCCCATATCTCATGTGCTCACATTTCAAAACACAATCATGCCTTCCCAACAATCCCCTAAAGCCTTAACTCACTCCAGCATTAAATTAAAAGTCCAGGTAAAAAGTCTCATCGAGACAAGGCAACTCCCTTCCACCTAGGAGCCTGTAAAATCAAAATCAAGTCAGTTACTTCCAAGATACAATGTGAGGACAAGCATTAGATAAATGCTCTCATTCCAAATGGGAGAAATTGGCCAAAACAAAGGGGCTATAGGCCCCATGCATGTCCAAAGTCTAGAGGGCCAGTCATTAAATCTTAAAGCTCCAATATAATCTCCTTTGAATCTATGTCTCACATCCAGGGCATGCTGATGCAAAGGCTGGGCTCCCATGGCCTTAGGAAGATCTGCACCTGTTGAGTGTGGCTTTCCCAGGCTCATAGTGCAAGCTGTCGGTGGATCTGCCATTCTGGGGTCTGGAGGATGGTGGCCCTCTTCCCACAGCTCCACTAGGCAGTGCTCCATTGTGGACTCTGTATGGTGGCTCCAAACCCACTTTTCCCCTTTGCGCTGCCTAGCAGAGGTTCTCCATGAGGGTATCGCCCCTGCAGCAGACTTCTGCCTGGACATCCAGGTGTTTCCATATGTCTTCTAAAATCTAGGTGGAGGCTCCCAAACCTCAGTCCTTGACTTTTGTGCACTCACAGGCCCAATACCATGTGGAAGCTGCCAATGCTTGGGGCTTGCACCCTCTGAATCAATGGCCTGAGCTGTACCTTGGCCCTTTTTAGCCATGGCTGAGACCCAGGGCACCAAGTCCTGAGACTGCACAAAGCAGCAAGACCCTGGGCCCAGTCCATGAAATCATTTTTTTTCCTCCTAGGTTTCTGGAACAGTGATGGGAGGGGCTGCCATGAAGACTTCTGGCATGCCCTAAAGCCATTTTCCCCATTGTCATGGTGATTAACATTTGGCTTCTCTTTACTTATGCAAACCTCTGCAGCAGGCTTAGATTTATCCCCAGAAAATGAGTTTTTCTTTTCTATCTCATTGTCAGGCTGCAAATTTTACAAACTTTTATGCTCTACTTCCTTTTAAACTAAGTTCCAATTTCAGATAATCTCCATCAAGTTTAAGCTTCCACAGATCTCTAGGGCTGGGGCAAAATGACACCAGTCATGTTGCTAAAGCATAGCAATAGTGATCTTTGCTCCAGTTCCCACCACTTCAGCCCAGATTTCATTGTCTATATCACCATCAGCATTTTGGTCAAAACCATTCAACAAGTCTCTAGGAAGTTCCAAACTTTCCCACATTTTTCTGTCTTCTGAGTCCTTCAAACTGTTCCAACTTCTGCCCGTTACCCAGTTTCAAAGTCACTTTCACACTTTTGGGTCTCTTTATACCTTGGTACCAATTTACTGTATTAGTCTGTTTACACACTGCTATAAAGAACTGTCTGAGACTGGGTAATTTATTAAAAAAAAAAAAGAGGTTTAATTGACTCACAGTTCCACATGGCTCTGGGGAGGCCTCAGGAAACTTACAATCACGGTGGAAGGTAAAGGGAAAGCAAAGACCTTCTTCACATGGTGGGAGGAAAGAGAGAGCTAGCAAGACCGGGGAAAACTGCCTTATGAAAGCATCAGATCTTGTGAGAACTCACTATCATGACAATAGCATGTGGGAAACTGCTCCCATGATCCAATTACCTCCCACTAGGTCTCTCCCTGGACACATGGAGATCATGGGGATTACAATTCTAAATGAGATTTGGGTGGGGACATAGACAAACCATAATATATATATTCATATATATACACACCCAAACATACATAATGTATGTAGTGTATATATACACACACTGCATGTTAACATGTATTCATCTATGCATTATATGTATAAAACAGAGATAGATAAATATAATAAAAAGCAAAGACATGAATGGGTGACTACAATTAGTCAACTTAAAAAAAATCTAAACTATTTAAAATGTATAGAGTTTAATTTTATATTTTTCTTTTTTATTTGTTTTTAATTTACTGTCCAGATTCAGTTACTAAAGAAAAAGTTAACTTTTTATAAATCTAAATATGTGAGAAAAAGTTATCATAATAGTTTATCTTCCAAACTGAGAAATATGAACATGTTAGCACTTTTCTGTGGGCTTGGCTTGTTTGCAAAAAAAAAAACAAGATCAGCATGTCCTTCCAGCTACATGCTCTTTACAAATATTTCTGGATTTCCTTTTAAGCTGCTAAACTGGCACAGAGGCCTGGGTATTTAGAACAGTTTTTGCTTTCTTCATCCAGACTCATGGTTTTAAATCCCTAGGACCAGCTCAAATATTGTTGATTTATTTATCTATTTCAGATAATGGTTTTTATGCAATATAATCTTTTTTTATTTTTTAACATTTATTTTAAGTTCATGCGTACATGAGCAGGATGTGCAGGTTTGTTGTATAGGTAAATGTGTGTCATGGGGATTTGCCATGCAGATTATTTCATTGCCTGGATATTAAGCCTAGAATCCATTAGTTATTTTTCCTGATCTTTTTCTCCTCGCACCCTCCACTGTCCAAAAGGCCCTAGTGTGTGCCATTCTCTTCTATGTGTCCATGTTCTCTCATCATTTAGCCCCCACTTGTAAGGGAAAACATGCAGTATTTGGTTTTCTGTTCCTGCATTAGTTTGCTAAGAATAATGGTCTGCAGGTCCATCTATGTCTCTGAAAAGAACATGATCTTGTTCTTTTTTATGGCTGCATAGTATTCCATGGTATGTATGTACCACCTTTTCTTTATCCAGTCCATCATTGATGGGCATTTGGGTTGAATCCATGTCTTTGTTATCGTGAATAGTGCTGCAATGAACATATACATACACATGTCTTTATAACACAATGACTTATATTCCTTTGGGTATATAACCCAGTAATGGGATTACTATGTTGAATAGTATTTCTGTCTTTAGGTCTTTGAGAAATTGCCACAATATCTTCTACGATAATAAAAAAGAATGGGAAAACTAAAAATATAAGTGCTTTTAGAGAGAAAACATTATAAATAGATTTAGAGAGTTATGCCAGAAATCATATCTACAAAGTAAAACTTGTAAATTATTTTTTCTATTCAAACCAATTTAATTTCAAGAAATGATTTGCTGTTGATAATAAATGTCAACAATATTAAAAGAATAATTGTTAACCAAGGCTTTCTGTGACTAAGTTTAAAAAAATTCAAATGAATGACGTTTCTTTTTTCTGTTAGATAACCTCAGTGCCCTCGAATGTCTATCAAATTCTAAAAAGGTTGGTGGCAAATGACTTAAGTGTTCCACCTGCCAATTAAATGAAATGAAATTTTCAGGATGATATAATTTCTCTGGTTATAGGTTATCATAGCTGGGGAAACATCACATCAATGATATTGTCAACAGACTCAATTTGTGCTTTGTCAGCCATTTGTAGAAAGACAAAAGTGAAGAACTATAAAATAGATGAGATGAAATAGTGAGACACACAAGATCAAGTTCTCCATTCTACTGGCTCACACAAACCTCGGTTCTTCATAAGAGAAGAGTACGATTCATACTCAGTAATCCGCAGATTAAAGGATTGAATGCTAAATAATAAAATGTTTAATGTATTTTGTTAGCATATATACTTTTCAGGCAGTGAGAAAGTTTTTAACAAGAATGATAGGTATCAATTATTGAGTCTCTGAGCACTCTGTTGCCTGTATGTTCTCCCACATATTTAATCACATTTCATAGTCTCAATAAGGAGATAGATGCTATTGTCCCCATCTTATGGATGAAGAGACTGAGTCAAAAATTGTTTGTCAGTGCTAAACAGTATAAGAATTCAAACTTAGCTCTCACTAATGTCAAAAACAGTGTTCTTCCTGCTATACTACACAGCATCCACAGAAAGCACAAACAGTAGTAAAAAGTGAAAACTTAAGCTAACTGCCCTCTAGATATTTCTCTCCAAAGCCAAGCTCTATATTAGGTTAGCAGGTCAACTAAATGTAGCTGTTTGAGAGTTAAGCACATATAAGCTGATACAAACAGTAATGCCAGAAGTAGGGAAGTTTTTCATAGTGTAAATATTTTGTTTGTTGGTGAATAAAAAAATGATCGTTTATCTTGGGCAGAATCAACGAGTGAGCCGTTAGTAGGGTGGTATTGGAATCAGGATTCTTAACATTCAGAGAACAGTTTGAAAACTTGGCTCTTTGGCTCTTTTTTTTTTTGTATCATCAAAAATAATATTTAAATAATTGTTAACATCCTACAACGTGACCTGTGAGGTATCTTTCTCTCTACGGTGTGAAGCATGACCAAATGGATCATATTTTAAGAAGGCAGAGTAGTCAGTTGAAGAAAAGATCTTAAATATTATTTTAATATATATGTTTATTCTCAATAATGTTAAATCCACATAATCCTACTGTATATCTTAAAGAATGACATAAATGTTCGAGTTACGCAAATTTAGTTCTGAATGTTTTGTTTTTCATTTGACTTATGCTAGCCTCATGATAGGAACAGAGAAGAAATATGTTCTTCCCTGGGAAACTCCCGCAGTGTTATGAAAACATGAATATGGCAGAGGTTGTAAGTTAACTTTGAAAGTACGCAGATAAACTTTGAATTATTTATCTGTGAAATTCAAAACATGTGTGGGTAGCTGCTTGTTGGACAACTCCTCTAAATCTTCAGTACAGTATCACTGAGCACTGCCCTCGGTGATTTGGAGAAATTAAAAGGTAAGATTTCTGCTTACTGGAAATAAGTCATGAACTGGCTTTGCATGTCTCTATTTTGGTCTGGCATGCACATTTACTGGAAGGTCTAATAGTACCTCTGAAGAGATTCAGAATCAGGAAATGATGTAACATTATTTCCATTTCAGATATTGGCCTAAATGGCCTGATAATGATAACTTGCTGATGCCATGAGAGAGAGAGAGAGTGTGTGTGTGTGTGTGTGTGCGCGCGCGCGCATGTGTGTGTGTGTGTGTGTGTGTGTGTGCATTACATCAGTACAGATTGCAAGGATACATCTATGTATGTATTTCAGAATGCCATGGACCCCACATTACCTCTGTATGAGAAGGGGTGCAAAAAGCAACAACCTTTTGAAATATTTAAACAAGTTAGTAATTATACATAGTTAAACTTTTTTAAAGTGGTTATTTTATTGATTTTAATGTTGATATTACAGTTTTTAAAATAGTTTGGTAAACAGAGATACAAAATTATGAATACGGAGTTATAGTTGGTGATCCCCTTGCTTTTTAACTGGTCTCTTGGGCTGTGTAGTCACCATCTGGACTACATGAACAGTCAAGTGTGGGAATCTTCTTAACATGTAAAATATTCACCTGTCTTCTTAGGCCTATTTGGTGTAAACTGAGACTTTGCCCACCATCACTACTTTCTACAAGATAAAAATGTCTAGAATGAGCCAGACTCATAGATCTCTACATTTCTAAAGAGGTTACATCCTTTTGTTGTGTTTCCAGCAAAAGCTTAGGTTTGTACTTATGATCCTACTTCAATTTCTTTGAGCACTAGGCTCCTTATGACAGAACAGCTTGGGCAGAAATAATCAGCAAGCCACACCTCAAAGGTAAAAGAGCAGGACAAGGGAAGCCCAAGGCCATTTCTTCTTGTGATCACATCTCAATCATTTTCTCCCACTGTCTTTCATTCATGAGTCAAATATCTGAAGATTGCTGATAAATTCTAGCAGAGTTCCCACTTGAATAATTTGCTCCAGAGAAAATCCGCATTGTTTAAAACTTCCCATCGAAGTCTAACCACCACCAACTTTGAATTTTATTGCAGATTTCTAAGTTCCTTCTCTTCACGGAGGACATGGTGTGCTTCAGCTTGCCATATGAGCTTTGGGGTATGGTAAAGTTGTGAAATTAGGACATGGAAAGAAGTACTAGACTTAAGACTAAATGTTACGTTTACTATAAAATCTAGGTCTATTACATATATTCAATAACTTTCCTAAATTTCAGAGTACACTGCACATGATAATTCTGTTGGTCATGTGGCATTAAAATTGTCCATTTTTGAGCTCTACTATGTGGCATGTATTATAATCATGTATTTTACTAGCAAGGCAATTTTACAGTTTTACAAATGGGAATATAACAAAACTGAGTTACCGTGCTGACTGCAAAGTTCATGAGAAGAAAATAACCTGAATTCAGCTTATCTGACACTAGGGCCTTGCCCTTCCCAAGACAGGAGGCAACTCCTCTGATACTAGAGTATTAGGCAGACACAGGGCTCAGAATAGATTCTTCCTGCTTTAGAAAAGATTAAATGAAGAATTGTCATTTCAGTGTTATTTCAAAAGTGTATATGGTAATAGGGTAGAATTCTCAGGGTTACATAACCAAAACATAACTATACCACACCTTGATCCTCTATCTACCTCTTCAGCTATTAATTCAAATCCAAAGTCCAGATTACTTTAACCATTAAATTTTCCATTTTCTAAGAGCACATGTAGTTTACAATAAATAATCTAAACATCTATTTTATGCCAAAGGTTGTTGTGTAGTGTTTTTGTCATTTCGTTTAAGTAATGATTGCCTTTAAGTGAAGGGCCCTTTAGTAAATTCTGTCTACATGTCTCACTGCACCCTAGCTCCCATAGTGGGACTACAATCGACATACAATAAATATAATAGATATTATTTTTGTAACTTAAGCAATATAACTGCTTTTGATAATTTTACAAAATTTCTATTACTGTTTTAAAACAAATAAATTTAGGAAAAATAATTTCTTTTTGTGGCTGCAGTGCTGATATCTAATGAAGTCTTGAATGGATCATATACATTTTCAAGGCTTCAGTTTTGTCATCAGTAGCGACGGCAGGAGTAGGCCACCCGGAGCAGCCACTGCCATCAGCCGGCTGCAGCAGGGGGTCACTAGCTGTGGTGGCAGGAGTGGCTGTGGGAGCAGCAGTGGCAGTGGTCGATCCCCTGTGCCCAACTTTTCTCAGGCAGTGGACTGTGACACCCCTACCCTTGCATAGCTGGGCAGGACCCACTCCCAGGCCCGGATCTTCCACCACAGTCTCAGCCTCACCCCTTGCCACATCCTGGGGACCCACAAGCACCTAGCCAAAGGTGCAGCCGGGACTCACGAAGCTGGCCCCAGGAGTGTCGGATTTGTTTTTGCAGGGTAGGCTGGGGTCACCGTACCACTTCCACCTTGCCTGACACCCTGGGAACTGCTGTGATAAGGCCAGGCTGAGTTGCCTGCCTGCAGGGGAGCAGTGTGTTTGGGCATGGAGGAGTGGGCAAGAAGGGACCCTGAGATGGAGCTGGGCCTGGGGCAGTGCTTTGCTCCACAGAGCCAGGAAGAGCTGGGAACAGACAGGAGCTCCCAGGCATGGCTGCAGCTGCCTAAGTTGCGACTGTGAACCCAGACATTTCTGAACTCTCAGGGGGCCTGGGAAGGCCACCTCTTGCCCCGGCAGGCTTGAGGTTGTCCGCTCCTTCGGCTTGGCTTCTCCCTGCTGTCTCAGCCTGCTGTGATCTCAGAGCAAAGTCAGGGCCAAGCCTGAGCATTGTTGCAGCCCTGCCAATTTTTCATATGCTCAGAGAAGCATTTACAGACCATGCCCCTCCCGCCTTGACCCCCTCCTGACTTTGGGTCCCAACAAGCACGGGAGGGAGGCTGAGGGGGTGCTGAGGGCAGCTCAGTGCTGGATTACAGGCACCTCTTGGCACAAACAGCCTGGGTGCCATGAATGGTGGCAGGAGGCAGACAGGCTCCTGGGTGAAAGGGGGTGAGGCCCCACCTTCAAGCTAGGAAGGTCTGAAGCTGCCAGTCCCACAAACAGGAGTGGGAATTTGTGGTGTTTTTTCCAGGCTTGTCTATGGCTGCCCATGGACCAATTGGTACACACTTCTTCCCCTCTGAGACCCATTAAAGCCCAAGACTCAGGCAGACTCAAAGAGACATTGGGATGACCAGCTGCAGAGAGGAGCTGCCCACCCCAAGGTCTCCTCTCTGCAGAGAGCTGAGGAGACAATGAGATTGCAAGCTGCAGAGAGGAGCTCCCCTCTCTGCTGAGAGCTGGACACTCGTCTAGATGACCTACCTAGCAGAAAGGAGCTACCCTCTCTGCTGAGAGCTGAACACTCATCAGAATGACCTGCCTAGCCAAGGGAAACTGCCCTCTCTGGTGAGAGCTGAACACTCATCGAGACCCCCTGGCTACAGAGAGGAGCTTCCCACTGTGGGTCTCGTCTGAGCTGTTCTGTTGCTCAGTAAACCTCCGCTTCATTTTGCTTACCCTCCACTTGTCTGTTTGCCTCATTCTTCCTGGATGCAGGACAAGCACTCAGAACCCACCAAATGGCAACACTAAAAGAGCTGTAACACAAACAGGCCTTAAACACTTTTGCATCCCACATTGCAGGCAACAAGGAGAGAAGAGAGAAGGGGAGAAGAGCTGCAGCTTTTTGGGGAGCCCAGACCTAGGAACTCCCTGAGCCAGGGCTGTGACATCCTCTTTAGGGCTCTGTGGTTCCTGGCATCACCAAGCTTCTGGGCACCATACCACATTCCTTAGTGTCAGCCATGGAACCTGCTTATGGTACACCTGGTCCAGCCACAGCCTTGCAGGGATCCAGTGCCCATGCTGGCACCTGGAGCTACTCACCCTGTGGCAGCCAGTATGCCTGCCTATGTGCGGTGGCTAGAGCCCACATTCATGCACACACCCCTAGCTGCTACACCCCTGGCTCACTCTTGGCAGGCATGGGATCCAGGCTAGTAGTAGGAGCTGAGTGCAGCCTGCAGCCCTAGTGGGCAGAACGTGCCCAGCGGGCCTGTGCAAAACTTGGACAAAGGTGCCACCAGACCCAGAGGTTTCTGGCTGGTGAAGCAACACTTCAAGGATCCTGTAAGAGCAGAATAAAAATTCTATTACATTTCTCATTACTATGGTATGAATGTTTCTGTTACTTCAAAATTTATATGCTGAAATCTAATCCTCAATGAGTTGGTATTAAGAGACAGTGCCTTTGGGAGGTGATTCTGTCATGAAAGTAGAGCTCTCGATAATGGGAGTAGTGCTTTATGAAAGAGGCCTGAGGGGGCTTGTTTGCCCTTTATGCAAGGTAAGCATGCAGCTAAAATGCGCCATCCATGAGGAACAGTACCCCCACCAAAAACTGGACCTGCCAATGCCTTGATTTTAGACCTCCAGGCCTCCAGAACTGTAAGCAATAAATTTCTGTTTATTAAAAATTTCCCAGCCTGTGGCATTTTGCTATAGCAGGTTGAAAGGACTAAGACACTCGTCATTATTCCCTGCATTAGCATTATCAGCCCATCTAATTCTTCCCATTTAAACATTTCCAATTTGATTTATTTTATAAACAAGAGGGGAAATAACCAAATGTTTTTCAGAATGTACATCTGATGTTAGCACAATTTCCAGGCCATGCTCATTTAATTCAGGGTGCTGTGTGACTGAGTGACCACAGACAGCCCAGATCATCATTTTATGCTTTCATTTCCACTAAAGTAAATGAAAATAGTGACTTATTTCCTAGTGCAGAAATAAAATTAAATAAAATAATTTGAAAACTACTGCTGCACCATAAACTTTGTTTTTCCTTTCTTCTTTTGAAGGAAAAAAAAATCAATGAAGAAATTAAGATGTTTTGTGTTTTTGTATCCATGTATTTTAATTTTTTGTTAATTATTCTTACTATTGTAATTATTTATATGCTTATTTCTTAACTTTATCATGGCTTCTCTGTTTTTTGCCTAATTTTGAGACCCTTAACTTTTTAGCTATTTAATATTTTTACATGTGTTAGTCCTCTTTCTAGCTCTTGTTCTAGATCATTAATCCACGAGTTAGAGCTGATCTAAATATCTCTATTATCTCTATCATATTCTTCCTCCATTCAATTTTTTGTTTTTTATTATTCTTATCTTCAAAATCTTCAGAAAATTTGCTTTCCAAGATTCTGTATGCATAGGAAAAATAATCAAATTATCTCCATAAATAGAAAGAATTTTAATAGACACCTTTTATGGGTCAATTAAGCAAGTCTGACTTTCTTCCATCTTGACATTTATTTCTAATTTTGTGACAAAGCACTTGACAATTGATTGATCTATCAAGGCTTGCTACTGGTAAAACTTCCAGTTCTGGATTTTATTTGCATTTGAAATGAGAATCTTGTTATACATTCTCAAAGATAATCTAATCTAGTCCATTATGTGCATTTTTTTCTATTTCTTTATTTTTATTTTTATTTTTATTTTTTGAGATGGAGTTTTGCTCTTTTGCCCAGGCTGCAGTGCAGTGGTGAGATCTGCAACCTCTGCCTTCTGGTTTCAAGTGATCCTCCTGCTTCAGCCTCCCAAGTAGCTGGGACTACAGGTGTGCACCAACATGCCCAGCTAATTTTTGTATTTTTAGTAGAGACAGGGTTTCACCATGTTGGCCAGGCTGGTCTCAAACTACTGACCTTGTGATCTACCTGCTTCGGCCTCCCAAAGAGCTGGGATTACAGGCATGAGCCACCGCCCCCAGCCTATGTGCATTTTTTAACCAAAATAGAAGTTCACTTTTTCATCTTTTTCTAGCAGAATACTAAGACTTAAAGCCAACGAAGTTGCTTTCTTCACTGAGTTAACACCTTTACTGCAACTCTAACACGAAAAGGAAAGTTCTTCCTAGGCCCACTCTCATTCAGTCATTGGTTTCCACCCCATATCCCCACCTCTATAGGTAGCTCCTCAAAAATGAAGAGCAAAATTTTTAGTAATGTCTGTTTTCCTGGAATGAACTGACCACTTTTATCCTTCAAACGAATGAGCAAATGATAATTAGGATTTTTTATAACTTGTGATTGAGAAGTGATCATGATCATAGACATTCTCATCTCTTTATCTCTAATATGTCAACAAATTGGATTCTATTTTTAATTACATAATATCAGAATATTTGGTATTATATAACTGCAGTTCAAATTCTTTTTTCTTTTCTTCCTTCTTTTTTTAATCTCTTTCCTTTTCTCCCTCTCATTCTTTCTCCCACACTTCTTTCTTTCCTTTCTTTCTTCCTTCTTTTTTTTTGAGATGGAGTCTTGCTCTGTCACCCAGGCTGGAGTGCAGTGGCATGATCTCAGCTTACTGCAATCTCCACTTCCCAGGTACAAGTGATTCTCCTGCCTCAGCCTCCTGAGTATCTGGGACTACAGGTGCATGCCACCATACCTGGTAACTTTTTGTATTTTTAATAGCGACAAGGTTTCACCATGTTAGCCATGATTATCTCAATCTCCTGACCTCGTGATCCACCTGCCTCGGCCTCCCAAAGTGCTGGGAATACAGGCATGATCTACTTCCTTCTTTATTTCTTATTCTTTCTCATTATGTCTTTCTTTTTCTTTTTTCTCTCTTTTTTCCTTCCTTTTTATATCATCTTTATTTCTTTTTCATGTGTGTTGGTCTGTGTGTGTAAGCACCTGTGTACATTTTGGTCATTTGGTCAAAATGACGTAAACACAAATATTCTCTGATTACATTAAAATTAACAAGCATAAAGTAGCAAACTGAGGTCTAGTCCCCTGACTCTTTAATTAAAGTGTGTTATGTACTTTGTATAATTCTTTAATTCTTCCACTTGTATTTTTACTGAGTTTTCAGAGTTCAAGTGCTGATCTTTCACACTGCTTTTGCAATAGGGTAGATAGGAATGCCCTGGCCTGGGATTGGAATATATTATACATAAAGGGATTAAACATTTTTCTAAGAGCCAAAAACTTAGATATACTCTCTCCTGAACAATAATTGGAGATTTCTTTTCTCCAAAATAACTTTCATTTTAAAAACCTGTCAAGCAAATTCCAAAGTACCCGCTTATCCTCTGTCTCTCTAGAAAGAGATTAAGGATATGAGGAAAGTAAGTCAAATTTAGCCAACTTCATAACAAGAATATAGCTTGGATTTTATTCTCACAGCATAATAACACAAAATCAGGAATCATCTTTTAATCTCACAGACTTTCTTTCAGGGAGCATCCTTAAAAAATTCAAATTTCATTAAACCATTGTAGAAGGTGTTTCAATCTGCGGGACATCTTCACTGTTGATATAAATCATCCAGATCTGAATATTGTCTGGGCCTAAAAGAATACTTTAAGCAGGAAAGCCAGACATCTCTTACTCGATTTCCTGAAAACTCAGACTTCACTAAGATTTGGCTTGCATTCCTTCCACCCTGGTGAAATTCCAAAACTTTCAGATTTATATCTCTCATTGAAGACAAAGTAGCAGCATATCAGATTTTTCTTCTCCAGAGAAGAACAGTTTCTAATTAGGGACTTTGCAACCATAAACCACTTGGAAAAATATTTAGGCCAATTCTTATATTTGGCATTTTTCCTTCAGTTGAGATCAGGCTTCCTCACTTTAGGTGGATAAACACTATCTCTGTTCCTGAGTGAAGGCTCTATTCCAAGCTCTGGGACTTCCAACTCCCCTCACTATAAAATGTGACCCCAGTCACACTCTTCCCAGGAATGCTTTGCTATCTTTATCACATTTTCTCATACATGTCAGGGTCATGAAAGGGACATATATCTCAATTCTGGCTTTCTATACTCATCTATTTTATCTAGAAATGTGGAAAAGTCTGATAGTTTATCCTCATTTGTAGTTTAATATTTGTCTTGAAACAGCCAACAACATTTATAGACATAGAAAACCTTTTATATGGGTAGAGAAGAGATAATAATAATGATAATTGACATTTATTGGTTACTTGCCCTGTGCCAGCCACTGGGTAAATGTAGAATAGCAATCTTATATTTAATTTGAATCCACCAAACAGTCCTATGAGTTTGATACTATTCTTCCCATTTTTTAGAGGGGAAAATTTACATTTAGAGAGTTTAGGGAACTATCCCATAGTTTCTCAGCAAGAGAATGGTAGAATTATAATTCAAATGTAAATCGGTTTGGTTTCAGAAGCTTTGATTTTACATATTACATCACATCCTTCTCAAAAATTGAATAGCAAATGTGCTTTGCAATATCTGACATCACATAAATTCTACATTAGCCAACCTAAAAAAAGAGATGAAAGTAAGAAAAATAACTAAATACTTTTGAAAACTGTTGCCTTCATTGACACAACACATTTAAAAGGACAAAGTAGCTGTTGAAAGAAAATAAGCGCGCTTTAACTTGGGAATTTTTACTGAATTGCATAACTACTCAATTGGTCTATATTTAAAAATTATAATGTTATCACATTATATGATGAAATGATACCAGTATACATAGCTGCTTCTCACATCACTATAAAGAATACTACCTGAGACTGGATGATTATAAAGGAAAGGTTCAATTGATTCACACCTCTGCAGGCATAACAGGAAGCAGGAAGCGTGGCTAGGAGGCCTCAGGAAACTTACAATCATGGTGGAAAGTGAAGGGGAGGCAGTCACCTTCTTCACAAGGTGGCATGAGGGAGTATGTGCAAAAACAAGGAAGTGCCACACTTTAAAACCATCAGCTCTTGTGAGAACTCACTCCCTGTAATGAGAACAGCATGCAGGAAACAGCCCCCATTATCCAATCACCTCCCACCTGGTCCCTCCCCTGACATTTGGTGATTACAATTAGAGATGAGATTCGGGTGGGAAGGCAGAGCCAAGCCATATCAATATCTGTTACAGTCATCCTGCCAAATTCATGGTGAACCAGAGTGAGAAACTACCTCCTTCTCCTATATAAAACTACAAAAAATGCTTCAAGATAGCAAGGAAAATAATCTATTTTTAAAAAGTTATCTTCAAAAGGACCACTTAATGAAACCAACAGTACTTTGCCTAGAAGCATAAAGGGTTAAAGGGGAAATTTCCAAACCACAGTTTTTCTTGGGGTGAGGAAGGGACCACATTACTTTCATTCATGGAACAACATGCCCAACAAATGGCAGAAGTGTTCTTAACCTTTTTCCATTTACAATTTCCATCTCAGCTTTAAACTTTTCCATTCCTTTCTGTGAAAATTTTAAGATCCATTAGAAAATATCTAATATTGTAAGCACTTAGCAACTGTAAAGACTGAAATTATCTCCATCCATCAACTCAGTATACAAAACAATACCACCCATTAGAAGATAGGCAAAAAGAACAGATAAAGTCCAATCTATCAGCCGGGTGCAGTGGCTCACGCCTGTAATCCCAGCACTTCCTGAGGCCAAGGGGAGAAGATCATGAGGTCAGGAGATCGAAACCATCCTGGCTAACATGGTGAAACCCCGTCTGTACTAAAAATACAAAACATTAGCCTGGCGTAGTGGCGGGCGCCTGTAGTCCCAGCTACTCAGAAGGATGAGGCAGGAGAATGGCATGAACCTGGAAGGGGGAGCTTGCAGTGAGCCAAGATCACGCCACTGCACTCCAGCCTGGGCGACAGAGCAAGACTCTGTCTCAAAAAAAAAAAAAAAAAAAAAATGTTGAATCTACCTCAGTAGAGAAATCCAGGTCTCAAGCAGAGTTTCTTTAATTTGTATAGCAAAATCACAACTGATTGACCTATGTCCACTGCCAATGCTCCACAAAGACTACCAGAGTAACTTACTGATGAATCAAAGATGAATTAATCACTTACTGAAGGAAAAGCACCACCTCGAGAGTCTTAGTACTGTCTCAGAAGGCGGGAGGTCAGGAATGGATATCTATAGTCTTGTGGGGTTCATGCTGTAGTGGTCTTAGGCAGCCTTTTCAATGCAGAGATATGATAAGGATTGGCTAATGTCTTTGATGTAAGAGTTTAGAACCGATGGATACAGCAAGATGCAAGATGAGAGTCTCGAAGAAAGAATTTATACATACGTGTTTGCCCAGTTGAGTCATCTTTTATGTTTGGAAGGGACTATTTACTCAAATGAACAATATGTTGTCCTGAGTAGAAAGCTAGTTGAACACTATATTCATTTTCATTAATTTCTTAAGCAACCAATGAAGTTGAGAAGTGGATCCCAGTTTTATCTTTCTGGAAAAAAATGGGAATGAATCATAAAGTTATGTTGCTATAAAGCAGCCTGTTTTTGGTCTGATAAGTAATGAAACTGTACGTAGTCTTGGTTCTCAAACAAATTATCTCATAATAACTACATATTTTCATAATTTCAATATTTTATTTTATTAAAACAGTTTCTTTAAGGTATAATTGATATACAAAGAACTCCACATATTTAATGTATATGATTCATGAGTTTGGGCAAATTCAAACACTTATAGCTTCATTACAATCAAAGTAATAGTCACATCAAGCACCTCCACAGTTTTCTTTTTTTGTTGTTGTTTAAATATTGTTTTTTTTTTTTTTCTTTTTTTTTTTCTTTTTAAATTGATCATACTTGGGTATTTCTCACAGAGGGGGATTTGGCAGGGTCATAGGACAATAGTGGAGGGAAGGTCAGCAGATAAACAAGTGAACAAAGGTCTCTGGTTTTCCTAGGCATAGGACCCTGCGGCCTTCCGCAGTGTTTGTGTCCCTGGGTACTTGAGATTAGGGAGTGGTGATGACTCTTAACGAGCATGCTGCCTTCAAGCATCTGTTTTTAACAAAGCACATCTTGCACTGCCCTCAATCCATTTAACCCTGAGTGTACACAGCACATGTTTCAGAGAGCACAGGGTTGGGGGTAAGGTCAAAGATCAACAACATCCCAAGGCAGAAGAATTTTTCTTAGTACAGAACAAAATGGCATCTCCCATGTCTACTTCTTCCTACACAGACACAGCAACAATCTGATTTCTCTATCTTTTCCCCACATTTCCCCCTTTTCTATTGGACAAAACCACCATCGTCATCATGGCCCGTTCTCAATGAGCTGTTGGGTACACCTCCCAGACGGGGTGGCGGCCGGGCAGAGGGGCTCCTCACTTCCCAGAAGGGGTGGCCGGGCAGAGGTTCCCCCCACCTCCCTCCCAGACGGGGCGGCTGGCCGGGCGGGGGCTGGCCCCCACCTCCCTCCCGGACGGGGCGGCTGGCCGGGCGGGGGCTGGCCCCCACCTCCCTCCCGGACGGGGCGGCTGGCCGGGTGGGGGCTGCCCCCCCTCCCTCCCGGACGGGGTGGCTGCCGGGCAGAGACGCTCCTCACTTCCCAGACGGGGCGGCTGCCGGGCAGAGGGGCTCCTCACTTCTCAGACGGGGTGGCTGCCGGGCGGAGGGGCTCCTCACTTCTCAGACGGGGCGGCCGGGCAGAGACGCTCCTCACCTCCCAGATGGGGTCACGGCCGGGCAGAGGCACTCCTCACATCCCAGACGGGGCAGCGGGGCAGAGGCGCTCCCCACATCTCAGACAATGGGCGGCCAAGCAGAGATGATCCTCACTTCCTAGATGTGATGGCGGCCAGGAAGAGGCGCTCCTCACTTCCCAGGCTGGGCAGCCGGGCAGAGGGGCTCCTCACATCCCAGACGATGGGCGGCCAGGCAGAGAAGCTCCTCACTTCCCAGACGGGGTGGCGGCCAGGCAGAGGCTGCAATCTCGGCACTTTGGGAGGCCAAGGCAAGCGGCTGGGAGGTGGAGGTTGTAGCTAGCCGAGATCACGCCACTGCACTCCAGCCTGGGCAACATTGAACACTGAGTGAACAAGACTCCATCTGCAATCCTGGCACCTCGGGAGGCCGAGGCTGGCAGATCACTCGCGGTTAGGAGCTGGATATTAGCCCTTTGTCAGATAAGTAGATTGCGAAAATTTTCTCCCATTCTGTAGGTTGCCTGTTCAGTATGATGGTAGTTTCTTTTGCTGTGCAGAAGCTCTTTAGTTTAATTAGATCCCATTTGTCAATTTTGGCTTTTGTTGCCATTGCTTTTGGTGTTTTAGACATGAAGTCCTTGCCCATGCCTATGTCCTGAATGGTAATGCCTAGATTTTCTTCTAGGGTTTTTATGGTTTTAGGTCTAATATTTAAGTCTTTAATCCATTTTCAATTAATTTTTGTATAAGGTGTAAAGAAGGGATCCAGTTTCAGCTTTTTACATATGGCTAGCCAGTTTTCCCAGCACCATTTATTAAATATGGAATCCTTTCCCCATTTCTTGTTTTTGTCAGGTTTGTCAAAGATCAGATGGTTGTAGATGTGTGGTATTATTTCTGAGGGCTCTGTTCTGTCCCATTGGTCTATATCTCTGTTTTGGTACCAGTACCATGCTGTTTTGATTACTGTAGTTTTGTGGTATAGTTTGGAGTCAGGGAGCATGATGCCTCCAGCTTTGTTCTTTTGGCTTAGGATTGTCTTGACAATGTGGGCTCTTTTTTGGTTCCATATGAACTTTAAAGTAGTTTTTTCCAATTCTGTGAAGAAAGTCATTGGTAGCTTGATGGGGATGGCATTGAATCTATAAATTACCTTGGGCGGTATGGCCAATTTCACGATATTGATTCTTCCTATCCATGAGCATGGAATGTTCTTCCATTTGTTTGTGTCCTCTTTTATTTCGTTGAGCAGTGGTTTGTAGTTCTCCTTGAAGAGGTCCTTCACATCCCTTGTAAGTTGGATTCCTAGGTATTTTATTCTCTTTGAAGCAATCATGAATGGGAGTTCACTCATGATTTGGCTCTCCATTTGTCTGTTATTGGTATATAAAAATGCTTGTGATTTTTGCACATTGATTTTGTATCCTGAGACTTTGCTGAAATTGCTTATTAGCTTCAAGAGATTTTGGGCTGAGATGATGGCGTTTTCTAAATTATACAATCATGTCATCTGCAAACAGGGACAATTTGACTTCCTCTTTTCCTAATTGAATACCCTTTATTTCTTTCAACCAATATCCCTGATGAACATCGATGCAAAAATCCTCAATAAAATACTGGCAAACCAAATCCAGCAGCACATCAAAAAGCTTATCCACCATGATCAAGTGGGCTTCATCCCTGGGATGCAAGACTGGTTCAATATATGCAAATCAATAAACATAATCCAGCATATAAACAGAACCAAAGACAAAAACCACGTGATTATCTCAATAGATGCAGAAAAGGCCTTTGACAAAATTCAACAGCCCTTCATGCTAAAAACTCTCAATAAATTAGGTATTGATGGGATGTATCTCAAAATAATAAGAGCTATTTATGACAAACTCACAGCCAATATCATAATGAATGGGCAAAAAGTGGAAGCATTCCCTTTGAAAACTGGCACAAGACAGGGATGCCCTCTCTCACCACTCCTATTCAACATAGTGTTGGAAGTTCTGGCCAGGGCAATCAGGCAGGAGAAAGAAATAAAGGGTATTCAATTAGGAAAAGAGGAAGTCAAATTGTCCCTGTTTGCGCTTCATTTATTCTTAACTTGCCTTCTGATGGTTGGGGTTGGGGAGGAAAGGTGTGTCTGATAATCATCATTACTTATGAAACATATGGTACATACTTTATAAAAGATATAGATTGTCAATTGACTAACAGGATTTAAACTAAAAATAAATTTCTAAGCCCCTTGACCAATTGAATGGACCCTTGCTTTTGGCCAAGGGCACTCCTAAGTTAACCTGAAAAACTAGTTCAGGCCATGATGTTTCCATGGGGTCAGGCATGCCCATTATACACTCCTCCTGATACGGTTTAGGTCTTTGCCACTCCCCAAGTCTCGTGTCAAGTTATAATTCCCAATGTTGGAGGTGGGTCCTGGTGGGAAGCCATTGAATCATGGGGGCATGTTGCCCCTTTGGTAGTGTTCTCTTGATAGTGAGTTATTGAGAGATCTGGTTGTTTAAAAGGGTGTATCACCTCTCTGTCTCTCTTCCTTCTGCTCCGGGCATGTAAGATGTTGCCATTTCCCCTTCACTTTCCACCATAATTCTGTTTCCTGAGGCCTCACCAGGCATGTTTCTTGTATAGTCTACTGATCCTTGAGCCAATTAAATACCTTTTCTTTATAAATTACCCAGTCTCAGGCATTTTTTCATAACAGTGCAAGAATGAACTTGTACAGAAAATTGGTACCAGAAAGTGGGGCATTGCTAAAAAAAGACCTGAAAATGTGGAAGCAGCTTTGGCACTGGGTAACGAGAAGAGATTGGAACAGTGTGGATGGCTCAGAAGACAGGACAATGAGGGAAAGTTTAGAAATTCCTAGAGACTTTTTACATTGTTGTGACCCAAATGCTGATGGTGACATGAACAATGAAGTCTAAGCTGAGGAGGTTTCAGATGGAGATGAGAAATTTCTTGTGAATTGGAGCAAAGGTCATTTTTGCTATGCTTGATAAAAAACCTGGTTGGATTGTGCCCCTGCCCTTGGAATCTGTGGAACTTTGAACTTGAGAGTGATGATTTAGCTTACCTGGTGGAAGAAATTTCTAAGCAGCAAAGCATTCGAGATATGGCCTGGCTGCTCCTAGCATCCTGTGCTCATATTCATGAGCAAAGAAATGAGGTAAAACTGGAACTTATATTTACAAGGAAAGCAGACCAAAAAAGTTTGGAAAATTTGTAGCCTGGTCATGTGTTAGAAAAGAAAAACCTATTTGCTGTGGAGGAATTCAAGCCAGTTGCAGAAACTGGCATAAGTAAAGAGGAGCCAAATGTTGATAGCCAAGACAATGGGGAAAAGGCCCCAGAGGCAGTTCAAAGACCTCCACAGAAGCCCCTCCTTTAATAGTCCAGAAGACCTAGAAGGAAAGAATGATTTTGTGGACCAGGGCCAGGACCCTGCTGCTCTGTACAGCCTCAGGACATAGCACCCTGCAACATGGCCACTCCAGCTCCAGTTGTAGCTAGAAGAGGCCAAGGTACAGCTTGGACCATTGCTTCAGAAGGCATAAACCATAAGCCTTTGTGGCTTCCATGTAGTCTCAAGCCTGTAGGTGCACAGAGTGTAAGAACTGAAGCTTGGGAGCTGTATTAGTCTGTTCTCATGCTGCTAATACATATCTAAGACTGGGTAATTTATAAAGAAAAAATGTTTAATTAACTCACAGTTCAGCATGGCTGGGGAGGCCTCGGGAACCTTACAATCATGGTGGAAGGAGAAGCAAACACATCCTGCTTCACAGGGCAGCAGGAAAGACAAGTATGAGAGCTGAGCAAATGGGGAATCCCCTTATAAAATCATCAGAACTCATGAGAATTCACTTAGTATCATGACAACAGCCTGAACAGCATGAGGGTAACTGCCCCCATGATTAAAGTACCTCCCACTGGGTCTCTCCCACAACATGTGGGGATTAAACTACAATTTAAGATGATATTTGAGTGGGAACACAGCCAAACCATATCAGGGGCCTCCACCTAAATTTCAGAGGATGTATGAAAATGGCTGGATGCCAAGGCAGAAGTCGGGTACAGGAGTGGAGCCCTCGTGGAGAACCTCTGCTTGGGCAGTACAGAGGAAAAATGTGGGGTTGGAGACCCCACACAGAGTCCCTACTGGGGCACTACCTAATGGAGCTATGAGAAGAGGGCCACAATCCTCCAGACCCCAGGATGGTAGACCCACTGACAGCTTACACTGTGTTCCTCAAAAAGCAGGCATTCAATGCCAGCCAAGGGGGTGGTACCCTGAAAAGCCTCAGGTGTGGAGCTGCCCAAGACCTTGGGAGCCCACCCTTTGCAAAAGTGTGCCCTGGATGTGAAATATGGAGTGAAAATAGATTATTTTGACATCTTTAAGGGTTAATGACTGCCCTGCCATATTTCAGGCTGGCATGGAGCCTGTAGCCTCTTTCCTTAGGCTGATATCTCCCTTTTGATAAGGGAGTACTTAGCCAATTCCTATACTCCCAATGTATATGGGAAGTAACTAACTCGTTTTTGATTTTACAGGCTCATAGGCAGAAATAACTAGTCTTGTTTCAGATAAAACTTTGAAATTTGGACTTTTGAGTTAATGCTGGAATGAGTTAAGACTTTGGGGGACTGTTGAGAAGGGATGATTGTATTTTGAAATATGAGAGGAATGTGAGATTTTGGAGGGACCAGGGCCAGAATGATATGGTTAGGCTCTGTGTCCCCACCCAAATCATATATTGGATTGTAACCCCACTGTTGGAGGTGGGCCTGGTGGGAGGTGACTGGATCTTGAGGGCTGTTTCTAATAGTTTAGTATCATCCCCTACTGCTGTCTCATTATAGGGTTTTCATGAGATCTGGTTGTTTAAAAATGTGTGGTTCCCTCCCACCCCAACACCAGCACCTCGCTCCCTTTTTTCTGCTCTGGTCATGCAAGACATTGCTTACTTCCCCTTTGCCTTCAGCCATGATTGTAAGTTTCCTGAGGCCTCCCCACAACCTGTACAGCCTGCAGAACCATAAGCCAATTAAAACTCTTTTTTAAAATAAATTACTCAGTTTCAGATATTTCTTTTTTTTTTTTTTCAGATATTTCCTTTTAGCTGTGTGAGAATGGACCAATACACCTCCCTTTAGAATTTAGGCACAGTTGCCCAGCATTTAACATTAAAACAGAGACCTTAAAACTGGCAAAGTAAACTCTGTAGCAATAAAGATACCAAAATGACAGATAGTAGGCCCTCAAATAAATCAACATATTTTATCCCCAAATATATTTATTTGACATATTTTGAAATGGCTCTACAGAGCTTGCATGAGCAAGCAAATGTCTTGGGAAAATCTACATTTTATAGAGAATTCCTTTCCCTTTCCTGATCCATTTCTTGTTCTAGAAAAGAATTAAGTCTGGCAATTTTTTAAGTCTGATAGGAAATATTTACAATCTATTCTCTCTAAAGCCTGCTACCTGGAGGCTTCATCTACATAATAAAAACCTTGGTCTCCAAAATCCTTTATCTTAATCCAGACACTCCCTTCTATTAGATCTAGGTCTTTCAATAAATCCTTTCAACCAATTGCTGGTCAGAAAATCTTTGAATCCACCTATGACCTGGAAGACCCCCCCTCCAACCACCTTCAGGTTTGTATTAATTCATTCTCATTCTGCTGTGAAAACCTACCTGAGACTGAGTAATTAATAAAGAAAAGAGGTTTAATTGGCCCATGTTTCTGCGGGTTGTACAGGCTTCTGCTTCTAAGGAGGCCTCAGGAAACTTACAATCATGGCAGAAGACTAAGTGAAAGTGGGCACATCATCACATAGCTGGCAGGAAAGAGAAAGACAGAAGGGGGAGGTTCTAACACACTTGCAAGCAACGAGAGTTCTCATGAGAACTCTATCATGAGAACAGCAAGGAGGAAGTCTGCCCCCATGATTCAGTCACCTCCAATCAGGTCCTTCCTTCAACACAGCAGATTACCATTCAAGATGAGATTTAGTTGGGGACACAGAGCCAAATCACATTAGAGTTGTCCCCAGTTTGTCTGGAACAAACCAAGGTACATCTTACATGCATTGACTGAGGTTTTATGTCACCCTAAAATGTATAAAACTGAGCTGCAACTTGACTACCTTGGACAAACAATTCTCAGGACCTCCTGAGGCTATGTCACAGGCATGTCCTTATAACTTTGACAAAATAAACTAAAATAATACCTGTTTCAGATACATTTTGGTTTACAGAACCAATCCAAAGCAATATAAAACATTCATTGAAACCAAAAGACTTGATACTAAAAAGTCCTTCCGCCAAAGTGCTGTGATTCTATTATTCCGCATTTAAGAATTTTAAGGTAGCTGAATTTTATAAAAGGAGAGTAAATTACAGACTTCACTACACTTTGGTTATATTCAGGCTTTAATTCCATAATTCAGGGAGGCCATAAATAAATTACTTTAAACACATGTAACAGAAATATATTTATTCCTTACACCATTTTCTCATGTGATGTGAAGAAAGGTTTTTTTAGGTCATCTATCCAACAAATTTGGAAGAGCATGGTTCAAAAGTGATCAGGACCCACACAAAAAGAAAAATAATAATAAAGTTAAGAAGAGATATGTCAGGATTATGTGAGAAATAAATACGAATCATTGACATCTAATAGACAAGATGAAGATATTTGGACCTCATGGAGAATTTTATTTTTAATTATTTATTTATTTTTATCTTTTTGAGACAGGGTATTGCCCTGTTGCCCATGCTGGAGTGCAGTGGTAGGATCTTTGCTCCACTGCAACCTCCGTCTCCCAGGTTCAAGTGATTCTCATGCCATAGCCTCCCATGTAGCTGGGATTACAGATGTGTGCCACCATGTTTGGCTAATTTTTGTATTTTTAGTAGAGACGGGGGTTTCATCATGTTGGCCAGGCTGGTCTTGAACTCCTGACCTCAAGTAATCCTCCCACCTGGGCACCCCAAATTGCTGGGATTACAGGTGTACACTGCCATACCCAACCTTCATGGAGAATTTTAAATTGAAAACTTAGAGAGATAAAAATAAATGGAGGCTGGGCACGGTGGCTCATGCCTGTAATCCCAGTGCTTTGGGAGGCCGAAGCAGGTGGATCACAAAGTTAGGAAATCGAGACCATCCTGGCCAACATGGTGAAACCCCATTTCTACTAAAAATACAAAAATTAGCCAGGGGTGGTGGCAGGCACCTATAGTCCCAGCTACTCAGGAGGCTGAGGTAGGAAAATCACTTGAACCCAGGAGGGGGAGGTTGCAGTGAGCCAAGATTGCGCCACTGCACTCCAGGTGGGTGACATAGCGAGACTCCCTTTAAAAAAAAAAAAAAAAAGTCTATTTTTCCTGGAAAATAATTAGAAAATGGTATCTATTAACACAACCCTGGCTTTTTGTAACAAGTTACAAGTACAAACCTAAGCAACTTATGAAAAGCAGAAAACTAAACCGTCCTCCATCAAACAGACTCAGGTACACAATTTATTCTCTCTCAAATTGTTTGTGGAATCTTTAGAGGGCAGATACTACCAATCAACAAAAGCTAATTATGATATAAGAACAGGTCTAGGAAGCAGATTCACCTGACTGACTGAATTTTGACTGATAAATTCAATCAAAATAATCATTTAGGACCTCCAAATTCAACAAACCAGAATTAATTTTTATTCTTCCTACCTTATATCAATGTAATGGGCTCAGATGCTTTTGCTTGAAGGCAAAAAGTTACATAGATGACCATTCCAACAAATATATTTAGTGACTATTTCTGAATATTTCTATTAATAAATGGAAAGGTAAGTTTAAATTCAAGTTGGCAATGTTCATGAGATAGGTTTATAACGATTTACTATAAATAACTATAAATTCCATTCTTGCTTTAAAAAATATATAAAAATTGCTGAAGGAAGTGGAAATTTGAACCACTTGAAATGACATTTGCCATTTTCCAATTGTTCAGAACCTAGATGCATTTTGAGCACTTTTTTTCCCCAAAGAATTAGTGTACATGTTTGTTTATAGTAACTAAACACTGCTGCAGTTGAAAAACACAAGATATGACAGTATAATTTTTATAAAAGCTCTAAATTAAGCAGACACAAATACTGAAAAACATGAGGGGGACATGACTGCTTGCTTTAAGAGCACATTAAAACTAGACCCCAAATGCATTAACTTGAAAATAAATTATTGCATGTGACTGTGTTATCAAATAGCCCTTATCAGCAAAAAATTTGCAAATGAAAAAAAGCATTCACACAGCATGTGATAAATGAATATGCTGGAATGTAGCTTGTAAGAGATTAATATGACACTTTAAATAAATTAATGTGTTAATTTCAAGTTACTCAATAACTATTATCATCCCAAGAGAGAAGGAAGTGCACAAGAAACTGTTTAATTCTCTCCCTTTTGCTTTTTCCCTTCCTTTTCAAACAGTACTCTAAATTTTCCAGCCATGGAAGAGTAATGAGGATAAATTAAACTTAATTCTAGGGCTTTTCTTTGAGCTACTGAAGGAGACATCTTTATTTTTCTGCTGAATATGAATGAAGAAGGACGCAGTCCTGAGTAGGGAAGGGAAGATTCAGGAAGCAGAATCAAAAAACAGTGAAGAAAGTCAGTTACACACTGTATTAAGTTCACCTCAAGCTAAAGATACATCTGTAATGTTCATTTGCACCAGACAATATCTACTCTTTTTTTTTAATTAAAATTTCTTGTTATAAACAACCAATGCTATTGTGTGTAGCTGACTGACACAACTACTACTTGAGACTACCATTACAGCAGTTATTACTGTTACTACTTGAGATCGTCATTACCAGACTGAATGAAGGGATGAACATAGAAAATGATAACAGAAAACAAAAGTAACTATTTTAAGGAAAGGGGAACTGGGGAAGAATAAAAGAGCTCCCTGCTTCTAGTGAGCAAAGGCAACCCCACTGAGTTACCAGAGCCCTTTATATTTATTGAGTAACAAGAGTAGGGAGGAGGGGGTAACGATTGGTCAGCTGCTTGATTGATCACAGGTTCACATTATTGCTAACAGGCTTCAATTATGCCTAAACATAAGAAACACTTGTGCTTGGGTCATGACTGCCCTCAGCAGTCCTTCTGGGCTGCGGACACAGTTTGTCAGTTTGCCAACATTCTGTATTTACGAGAAACAGTTTGCTGCTTACTCATATAGCTTCCAGTGGTATACTGAGTTGATCATGACCCTCATTCTTTTGTCATCCTACAATTGTGACCAATAATTGTAATATTTTAATCAAGCTCACAAAAATAATGAATTATGGAGCTTAGTTGTTTAAAGTTGGCATTTTGAGATAGGAGCTTGGTAGAACTGGTTTCATAAGATACAGGTCACAAAGACCTTGCTGATGAAACAGGATGTGGTAAGGAAACTCTCATCAGTGCCATGACATTTACAAATGCAATGGCAAAGTCCAGAATTTACCCCTACATAGTCTGAAAGGGAGAGAAACCCTCAGTTTTGGGAATTCCCCACCCATTTCCCAGAAAACTCATGAATAACCCACCCCTTGTTTAGGGTGGCTACTATACATAGTATACTATGCACAGGTAGTACTATGGAGGTTACTGTGGAGTAGCCACCATTTTATTCCTTTTCTTTTTAATAAACTTGCTTTTGCTTTACTCTATGAGCTCGCTCTTGAATTCCTTCTTGTGAAGCCAAGAATTCACACAGCCTCCCAGGCTGACCCTTAATATGAGAGTTTACCCTGCGATAATGTGATTAACTTTCCTCTTTATGTGTTCATTTAATTCCTATTCTCCTTATGCATTCTGCATAACAGTAGCATTGTGCAGTTTCAGACAGGGTGGCCAGGCCAGACTTCACCATAAAGGTGATTTTTGGAAAAACAAATAAAGCAAGCGTTTCCCATGAGAATATCTGGGAAAGACTATTTCAGACAGAGGGAGCAGCAAATGCAATGGCTTTCAGGTGGTATGGTGCCTTGACCACTCACAGAGTAAGGAGAAGCCCAGTGTTGCCAGAGCGGAGCAAGAAAAAAGAAGAAGAGTGAGGCATGAGGTTAGAGAGGTAACAGCAGGCCTAAGAGCACAGCAAAACTCAACATTCCGATCAAGTCCACTCTATAAGCAAAATTATTAAGCAATGGAGACACAGAGGTGAAAGTAAGATTGCTGGATTATCGTTATATAAATGGAAATCAGACTCTAGGAAAGAAAGCAAAGGGGCTGGGCACAATAAACAAGAACGGAGATCAAGAATGCAGTTCAACTCAGAAATGTTATTGAGAATCAACTGCAATGTGCAAGTCGGGACCAAAGAACGTCTGAGTTAGGTGGCCAAGTCATATTCAAGGTTGTCAGCTCATTCCAGGGTGTTTTCAGTTCTTCAAAGTAAGGGAAGGCCTTTAGGTATGTTAAGAAATGCCATAGGTCCTGTCAGAAATAGTGAATTCCCCAAACATGCACTAGAGAGAGGAGAATGATTGAGGACCTCAAAAGTTTGAAAGCCAAGTATATTTTAACTGCAACTGACATGAAGCATTAACCCTTGTGCTATTTCTACTGACTTCTTTGCAAGATATTGATGGTAGAGTTGAGAAGAAAAACACATAAATTAGGTCTCACATTTTTCAGATCACTGTCAGTGTAGAGGTGACAGGAAATGAATGTGTTTCCTGAGATCACTCAATATCTTGATAGAATCAAAAGCAGAAGGCATTGATTCGACAGGGAGGAAAATGAAAGAAGCGGCATCTGTAGAACTTCGATATATCTGAATGTTGGCCATCACTCCTACATTTATCTCTTTTCCAACACAGATGAGCCACTGTTACTGGAGACATTGACAATAGAAAAACTCCATAAAGGAATCATCTATAAAATTTCCAAAACAAAAAATAACAGTAGCATTACATGGTAAAAAATATAATAATGCAGTGCCTTATGAATTAAAATCTATTCATTATCAGATAAAGTCAACCAAATAAACCAATTGTAGGAAGCAGCACTATGTGTGACTAATACCTATGATCAAGATATAAAGTGGAAAATATGGGTATTTTATACATAACCTGCCACTAGCAGCCTTGGAAAAGATGAGAAAGACTAATTCATATAGAAACACACGCATATATAAAGAGTGAAGCAATTTGAATTGTGTCAATTAGTAAGCAACATAAGATTTTTAAAGTTACTAGCAGGCATGAAATTATCCAGTCTTAATTTTGAGTTCTCTTTCCTAAGCATATGGTAATACTGGCCTTTCGATATTTTCAGAGGTAGGCACAGCTGTAATTTAATTTGGCCAATGAAATTAAGCAGAAGTGGTATGCCATGTTTATTTAAGAACTTTTAATATGGTCTTTAAGAAATGGTTTGATTTGCCATGTTTCTCTCTCTCTCTCTTTCTTTTTTTTTTCTTTCATATTAACCATCAGCATTTTGGATGTGGTTTCTCCATTAGCCTGTGTCCCAGAATAATGATAATAGGAAGAGGAGCAGCAGCCAATCAGAAACTGATAAGTGGGAGAAAAGAAAACACATCATGGTCATTTTAGGCCACCAGAATTTTAGGGTTGTCAGTAACTACAGTATAATCTTGTCTTTTCTGAACATAAACTCATCATAAATTGATTATTTTTTGTATTACAACAGTTTCTAAAAATACAGGAGAAAGAAGATCCATCCAGAAATAAATATAAACAAATATGTCTCCTAAGCTGATCTTTCTTTGATTTAATAAATATACCTTTCCAACTTGGCTAGTATATATCAAAGCATGCAAACACACACACACACAAACACACACACACACACACACACACACACTGGAAGAGCAATGAAAACAGAAGGACTAAAAGAATCATTCTCTTGGTAATGGTTCTCCCAAGCAAAGTGAAATGGCATGAGTAATGTCTGTTATCAAAGAAAGAGATTAGATTGTCAGAAATACTAGAATTCTTGTCCAATACAGTCCAAAGTTACATATAGTTATATATATAAATATATATGTTATATATATATGTAACACATAATATATATATAACATATGTATACCTTTGTTCAGGAGATCTTTTATCTTTCTTTTTAGTTTTGTGTGTGTGTTTATATATATATATACATATATATGTGTGTGTGTATATATATATATATATATGAAAGAAAGAAAAAAAAGAAAAAAGATCTCCTGAAAAAATGTTCCCGTCTACTTTTGTTTTATGTACTAGTTCTCTCAAATATCAAGGTTATTGCTTTCTTTCTCCGATATTTATGGAAAATTCATAGAGTTCTAGCCATAAAGCTGTAAAAATTTGAAAACATAATATAAAACTTCCCAGGACTCTATCACTGAGACACAGACACACAGAACTAAACTTGTTACACTTGCAAGCGCTGTTGTGTTGAGAGTTAGGGTATATGTGCATTGGTCTAATGGAAGATAAATAAAATGGATGCATCATATAATTTTCCTCACACTAAGAATAAAATAAGGTACTGACGTTCCCAGAGCAGACAAAACAAAACTTCAGTCCTAAAGTTTATAGCACTAGTCTTGGTAGTTGTCCTTTGGAACGAACGAAAATATATTTTAACTGATAACATGGAGGAAAATAGCTTTTCCTCATAAAACATGTTAAAAGTTTCACTGAAGGACAAGATGTCACAGCAAGACTGTGATTGGCAAAAGAAACTTCTATGTCCCTCCTGCCCCAAGGACTAAGAAGTTTACTTCGTTAGATCACTTACTGTATATTACTTAACATTTCAATGGTTCTAAATGTGTTTACTTTTTCAAATCCAATTTGAAAAACTTTAATTAAATTGCCTTGAAGAAGCTCACCCAAGAACGACTATAAATAGACATGGGAAATATACTTTACCACTTTTTAAACTTTCGCAACATAAGAATACAATGCACTTGATGAGTTAATGTCAAATAAAACTTGGAACTTGGCGACTTGCAACTTCTTAAGATCCATCATTTCCTTCCTATCGAATGAGTCATAATTTTTAGAACCACCTTTGTTATCAGGAAGAATAGAAGTAATGTGTAGGCATTGTGTTTATATAATTTCAAAGATTGCTGGGTTCTGTGGTAGGAGGTAGAATTTTCTTTTCTTTAAATAAAACTTATTAGCATTGGTAAATGTTCACAAAAATATTTCTCCTAGCTTTCTTTTATTTGTGCTATATACACTGAGGATTCCTAAATTCAGTTATTTCCTACTTAGGAATATAGTTTGAGTCTTAAAAAATATCTTCAGCTATGTGTCTGTGTGTGCTATGTTCTGATGTATCCCCAAAAATTTATGTATTAGAAACTTAATCCCCAGACGGGTGGCGTTTGGAGATGGGGTTTCCTGGGAGGTGGGCAGAGCCTTCATGAATGAATTAAAGCCATTATCAAAAGGGCTTGCAGAAGAGCTTTTTCTGTCTTCTGCTTTTCCGTCATGTGAGGACAAAGCATTTGTCTACTTTTCACCCTTCCATCCCTTCTGTCACGTGAGAACACAGATTTCCTCCACCGTGGAGGACGCAGCATTAAGGTGCCACCTTGAAACCAGAGAGCAGACCCTCATCAAGCTATCAAACCTGCTGGCAACTAGACTTGTACTTCCTACGCTGCAAAACTGTGAGAAATCAATTTTTGTTCTTTATCAATAACCGAGTCTCAGATGTTTTGTTATAGCAGCACAAAACAGACTCAGACAACACGGTTCTCCTTTTTTTTTTTTTTTTTTTTTTTTGGAGACTGCGTCTCGCTCTGTTGCCTGGGCTGGAGTGCAGTGGCGCGATCTCCGCTCACTGCAAGCTCCGCCTCCCAGGTTCACACCATTTTCCTGCCTCAGCCTCCCAAGTAGCTGGGACGAGAGGGCCCGCCACCACGCCCAGCTAATTTTTTGTATTTTTAGTAGAGACGGGGTTTCACCATGTTAGCCAGGATGGTCTTGATCTCCTGACCTCGTGATCCGCCCGCCTCAGCCTCCCAAAGTGCTGGGATTACAGGTGTGAGCCACCGCGCCCGGGCGGTTCTCCCTTTTTTTAAATGTTTGCTTATTTATTTTAGATTGAGTTATATTTTACACAGTATGGTGTGCAGAAAAAAAAAATTGTTGCCCCCCTCAAAAAATTTCCAAATTCTAATCTATGAAACCTGTGAATATATTATTTAAACAAGACAAAAGGGAATTTGTAAATGTGATTAGATTAGGGATATTGAGATGAGGAGATTATCCTGAATTATGTAGGTAGGTATAACATGTCCACAAAGGCTCTTATAAGAGGCAGGAAAGGCTGAAACAGAAATGAAACGGTCACAACAAAACCCCACATCAACTTGATGCAGCCATGAGCCAAGGAACACAGACAGCCTCTAGAAGCTGAGAAAGTCTAAGGGAAAATTCTCAGAGCCTCCAGAAGAAATAAAACCTTTGATTTTAGCCTCAGATGAAGCTTTTTAAAATTCAGAACTCTATAATTTAAGATAATGAATTTATTAAATTATTTTTTATACCACTGTTTAGTCTAGGCAATTATTTTTGGGATTAGACTTTCAAAACAGAGGCAACAAAAGAAAAATAGACAAATGAGATTGTAAAACCAACAAGCTTCTGCACAGCCAAGGAAAAAATAGAGTGAAGAGAAAACCTATGAAATTGGAGCATGTATTTTCAAAACATATATCAGGTAAGGGTTTAATATCCAAAATATACAAGAAATTCAAACAACTCAATGGTAAGAAAACAATTCAGTTTTTAAAAGGAACTGAATAGAAATTTCTTTAATGAAAACATACAAATGACCAAAGATATATGGTACACCTGTATAGGGTACTTACCATGAATGAAGCTTGTAGAATTAGAAGCTCTGCGTAAGTCTTTAAGTGTGTGGTGAGTGAACGTGAAGGCCTAGAACATTACTGTACACCACTGTAGACTTTATAAACACTGTATACTTAAGCTGTGCTGAACATAGAAAAATAAAGTAATTGCACTATTACATTAAGTCAGTAGGGACATCACCAGGTCATAGGAATTTTTCAGCTCCATTATAATCTTATGGCATCACCATTGTATATGTGATGCATTATAGACCACGAAACATTATGCAGTGCATGACTGTATTGATATCTGACAAAATAGGTTTTAAGACAAGCAAGTTTTACTAGAGATAAAGAGGATCACTTTTTATGTCTCCATAATTTTCCCAAAGGACTACAGACTTTTTTTTATTATTATTATGCTTTAAGTTCTAGGGTACATGTGCACAACGTGCAAGTTTGTTACATATGTATACATGTGCCATGTTGACGTACTGCACCCGTTAACTCGTCGTTTCCTAATGCTATCCCTCCCCGCTTCCCCCACCTCAAAACACGCCCTGGTGTGTGATGTTCCCCTTCCTGTGTCCAAGTGTTCTCATTGTTCAATTCCCACCTATAGGGAGAACATGCGGTGTTTGATTTTTTGTCCTTGCGATAGTTTGCTGAGAATGATGGTTTCTAGCTTCATCCATGTCCCTACAAAGGACATGAGCTCATCATTTTTTATGGCTGCATAGTATTCCATGGTGTATATGTGCCACATTTTCTTAATCCAGTCTATCATTGATGGACATTTGGGTTGGTTCCCAGTCTTTGCTATTGTGAATAGTGCCACAATAAACATATGTGTGCATGTGTCTTTATAGCAGCATGATTTATAATCCTTTGGGTGTATACCCAGTAATGGGATGGCTGGGTCAAATGGTATTTCTAGTTCTAGATCCTTGAGGAATCGCCACACTGACTCCCACAATGGTTGAACTAGTTTACAGTCCCACCAACAGTGTAAAAGTGTTCCTATTTCTCCACATCCTCTCCAGCACCTATTGTTTCCTGACTTTTTAATGATTGCCGTTCTAACTGGTGTGAGATGGTATCTCATTGTGGTTTTGATTTGCATTTCTCTGATGGCTAGTGATGATGAGCATTTTTTCATGTGTCTGTTGGCTGCATAAATGTCTTCTCTTGAGAAGTGTCTGTTCATATACTTCACCCACTTGTTGATGGGGTTGTTTGCTTTTTTCTTGTAAATTTCTTTGAGTTCATTGTAGATTCTGGATATTAGCCCTTTGTCGGATGAGTAGATTGCAAAAATTTCCTCCCATTCTGTAGGTTGCCTGTTCACTCTGATGGTAGTTTCTTTTGCTGTGCAGAAGCTCTTCAGTTTAATTAGATCCCATTTGTCAATTTTGGCTTTTGTTGCCATTGCTTTTGGTGTTTTAGACATGAAGTCCTTGCCCATGCCTATGTCCTGAATGGTATTGCCTAAGTTTTCTTCTAGGGTTTTTATGGTTTTAGGTCTAACATTTAGGTCTTTAATCCACCTTGAATTAACTTTTGTATAAGGTGTAAGGAAGGGATCTAGTTTCAGCTTTTTACATATGGCTAGCCAGTTTTCCCAGCACCGTTTATTAAATAGGGAATCCTTTCCCCATTTCTTGTTTTTGTCAGGTTTGTCAAAGATCAGGTAGTTGTAGATGTGTGGTATTATTTCTGAGGGCTCTGTTCTGTTCCATTGGTCTATATCTCTGTTTTGGTACCAGTACAATGCTGTTTTGGTTACTGTAGCCTTGTGGTATAGTTTGAAGTCAGGTAGTGTGATGCCTCCAGCTTTGTTCTTTTGGCTTAGGATTGTCTTGACAATGTGGGCTCTTTTTTGGTTCCATATGAACTTTAAAGTAGTTTTTTCCAATTCTGTGAAGAAAGTCATTGGTAGCTTGATGGGAATGGCATTGAATCTATAAATTACCTTGGGCGGTATGGCCAATTTCATGATATTGATTCTTCCTATCCATGAGCATGGAATGTTCTTCCATTTGTTTGTGTCCTCTTTTATTTCGTTGAGCAGTGGTTTGTAGTTCTCCTTGAAGAGGTCCTTCACATCCCTTGTAAGTTGGATTCCTAGGTATTTTATTCTCTTTGAAGCAATCGTGAATGGAAGTTTACTCATGATTTGGCCCTGTGTTTGTCTGTTATTGGTGTATAAGAATGCTTGTGATTTTTGCACATTGATTTTGTATCCTGAGACTTTGCTGAACTTGCTTATCAGCTTCAGGAGATTTTGGGCTGAGACAATGGGGTTTTGTTAATATACAATCATGTCGTCTGCAAACAGGGACCATCTGACTTCCTCTTTTCCTAACTGAGTACCCTTTATTTCTTTCTCTTGCCTGATTGCCCTGGCCAGAACTTCCAACCCTATGTTGAATAGGAGTGGCAAGAGAGGGCATCCCTGTCTTGTGCCAGTTTTCAAAGGGAATGCTTCCAGTTTTTGCCCATTCAATATGATATTGGCTGTGGGTTTGTCATAAATAGGCTCTCATTATTTTGAGATATGTCCCATCAATACCTAATTTATTGAGAGTTTTTAGCATGAAGGGCTGTTGAATTTTGTCAAAGGCCTTTTCTGTATCTGTTGAGATAATCATGTGGTTTTTGTCTTCAGTTCTGTTTATTTGCTGGATTACGTTTATTGATTTGCGTATGTTGAACCAGCCTTGCATCCTAGGGATGAAGCCCACTTGATCATGGTGGATAAGCTTTTTGATGTGCTGCTGGATTTGGTTTGCCAGTATTTTATTGAGGATTTTTGCATTGATGTTCATCAGGGATATTGGTCTAAAATTCTCTTTTTTTTTGTTGTTGTGTCTCTGCCAGGCTTTGGTATCAGGATGATGCTGGCCTCATAAAACGAGTTAGGGAGGATTCCCTCTTTTTCTATTGATTGGAATAGTTTCAGAAGGAATGGTACCAGCTCCTCCTTGTACCTCTGGTAGAATTCGGCTGTGAATCCATCTGGTCCTGGACTTTTTTTGGTTGGTAGGCTATTAATTATTGCCTCAATTTCAGAGCCTGTTATCCATCTATTCAGGGATTCAACTTCTTCCTGGTTTAGTCTTGGGAGGGTATGTGTGTCGAGGAGTTTATCCATTTCTTCTAGATTTTCTAGTTTATTTGCATAGAGGTGTTTGTAGTATTCTCTGATGGTAGTTTGTATTTCTGTGGGATCGGTGGTGATATCCCCTTTATCGTTTTTTATTGCGTCTATTTGATTCTTCTCTCTTTTCTTCTTTATTAGTCTTGCTAGTGGTCTATCAATTTTGTTGATCCTTTCAAAAAACCAGCTCCTGGATTAATTGATTTTTTGAAGGGTTTTTTGTGTCTCTATCTCCTTCAGTTCTGCTCTGATCTTAGTTATTTCTTGCCTTCTGCTAGCTTTTGAATGTGTTTGCTCTTGCTTCTCTAGTTCTTTTAGAATTTAGATCTTTGACTATAGGCCTCCCATTAAACATCTGTGTAAGTATTGCTGTTTTGACAGCTTACTCTTTCAGAATGATTGGGAAATATATGTTTATTTTATTAATAACTTATGTTGACATGCTTCATCATAAAAAGTTGTATTTTTTTTTCACTGAAAACTCTGGCGTTTCCCATTTATGTATATATTTATGTTAAGACATTGCCATCAAACAGAGCTAAGTTGAGTTCCTACTTCAACATCTACTAATTGAGTGATCACAGTCATGATATTTAATCATCTAAGCTTCAGTTTCCTTATCTTTAAAATGGGAATAACATCAACAAGATTTTTGAGTATTAAATAAGACAATATGTGTAGACAATATAGTACAGTGCCTCACACACAGAAAAAAATGTTAGCTATTTTCATTATTTTATATATTTTTTCTTCTTTGACATTCCATGTGTCTTAAAATAATATGTCTAGATAAATTAAAAATAATTTACCCAGAAAAATAAAAATGGAAGCATCCAAATAATAAGATTGCTCTAAAGTGATGCTTCCTTTTTAATGAAAAATCAAATACTAAAAATGCCATTACAAAAATTAAAGAATAAAAACCCACAATTTTCAATCCAGCCTTTTCTGACCAAAATAGTTGATGACTATTTTCCTTTATTAATTCATTTAACAAATGTTTGTTAGGAAATGTATCTACTCAGCCCTTAGGGTACAAAGGTGATCGAGGCAATTTTACAAAATTCCTACTTGCAAACAGCTTACATTCCTATGGGGAGCTAGGCAATACAGCAAATGAACAGATATACAAACAAAATAGCGAAAGAGAAATGTTCACATGGTAGCATATAGACTTGCTGAGGGATGACCTCTTCCAAAATAAAAAGATGTGACGGTATCTACCCGTGGCAATAGAATTACCATCCATTTATACCTTGCCTCTCTCTAAAAGCAGGGACGGATGAGATCAGTTTTACAGGTTGTTTTATCCCCATTCTCTGTCACGATGCCTGTCCCTTGGTACATAACCACATTTATTAAATGTCTGAATAAATGAATACCATTTATTTGTTATTTTGCTATGTTGTATCATTTCTTTTAATTATGTTGTTAATTCACACCCTTTGAAATGCACCCTGAAATTCATGTAATTGTCATGTAGCAAAGAGTTTATGGGAAGTAAGTTACAAAATTAGGGAAGCCCATCAAAATAAAATGAGAACAGAGCAGACCCTTTGTAATGCATTTAAATATCAGTGGTGGAACCTCAAATTTACTGTATATGTGAAGATTTATTTTAAAGAAATGTGACTAATTTGGAATTCAGCTTCTGACACATAAAGAATGCTGTTGGGAATCCAAGTTCACATACATCCCATTGATTCTTCCTTTCTTTATATTAGTATATCAGAAATAGCTTAGTTGCTATCTAGAAATTCTCATTGTACTCTGCTGCCATTGTATGTGTGGTTATAGGTTTACCAACATTCTCTTTAAATATGGGAATAATTACATGTTTGGAAGTATGCTAATATCTCAGTAATAAAATTTTCTGAATCTTTATTATAGGGCAACAAAATTAAATTTCTCCTTTGCTGATATAAAATTTTGTAAGTTCAATAGTTGTAAATTCGAGTGAATCTGATTCAGTAGGAAGTATAATGTCAAGATTAACATATGGTGCCTATATTTCAGTAACTTGAAAATTGCTTAGATGCTTCTTAAGTAATGAAAGCAGAAATATGCTTTTCACAGAGCACTTTTTTATTTTATATACAATATTCTAGCTGTAGCAGATACATTGTTACCACCATCTTCTGCATTATTTTCCAACAGTCTGTCTAAATCATCAAAACAGTGTCTTTGAAACAACCACGCCATGTCCAGAAAGACTTATGAAACTTTTTATGTCTCATTTAAGTACTTTTGAACAATAAGAATATGAGTAGAAACCACTCGAATTTTTGAGATGTAGTTTGAGTCTCTGAACTCATGAATTTCAAGTGAAATTAAATTGGCCCAGATAAAACCACAGCTAGTTAAAGCAACCCTCATTCACCCTTATAAGCCAAATAATGCTTTTACATGTTCCTAAAGAATTCCTGTGCCATGGAAAAAAAAAACTCATTTTTGTTCACAATAAACAGCCCTGATGGATTTCTGTAGTTGATCCTGAGTACCTACATGCTTCATTGTCTTTCAATCCTAAGAACAGGCATCTTACAAAGACACAGAGGCAGAGGCCTAAAAAGCAACATCCAGTGCTCCATTAATGTCTGATAATCAGGGCCATTTCTAATTTGGCAGCCTGTGTGTTGTACAACAGTTTAAAATGATGCATAATATTTATTTCACTGTCACCCATATTGATCTCTCAATAAAGCAGTCAAATTTAATGTTTTCTGTAATGATAATTAAGTTCATTTAAGAAAGGGAGGCAATGACATCTGCCCAACAAACGGTATTGCAGTTAAGTTACAGGATTCTAATCAACACCAAAATCTGTTTATTATAAATCAAATGAAAGTTTATTAACTCACCATGTCTCTGCTATTTGACATGTTCATGGAAATATTTTAAGATTAGAGAGTCATAATTTCAATGTAGAGAGGTTTGGGGCAAAAGCAGATATCGGAGAAGGAAATTTCAAAATCAAAAGTGATTTTTGATGCCCCAGATTCACTTGATGGATTCATTATTCTGTATGTTAATTCACTCTGCTACCTTGTTCCCCTACCTTACAGTCGGCTGAGAGAATCTGTCTACTAGAAAAAACATCATTCCTAGGAAAATTTGCCTATTGAGAATAGAGTAAAAGAGAGAATTTCTAAGTCCTTAAGGTGTTTTAGTTTCACAGTGCTATGATTTTGGAGTATAAAATTTTATTTTTAGGACTTTTTTTTTCTCTATTTTTCCCCTGAAGCCCACAAGGTGGAGGGGGCTGGTTTAGTAAGAGCAAATCAATGAATCTGTGTCTAAGCATGGCATTTGCATGTGGATACAATAATGAATATTGGATACATTACCTTAAAAATCACAACGGAAAAATTATTTCCCAGTTTTTCCTCAATGATCTGGAGATTTCGTACATAATAAGATTGAAATAATCTAAGAACTCTCATTAATCCCTTTTGCTATAGCACAAGAAATCTGTCTCTATACAGCACCATGCATAGAGACTAGCTGGGAACCAGCAGCTCAATGAATGGCAAGGATAATCATGATGGCAAGGGTAATGGTTAAGATTGAAGATGATGACAGAAATAATGCAGTGTTGGCTTATTGAAAATCTAAATAGGGCTATTTAAGTTAAATTCTCAGTGAATAAATTTATAAACATGGACAGTGATTCCTCAAGAAGGTAAACATCTGTCATGAATGTATGTCTTTTAAGCTAGATTCCTGAGCAGTAAATACATGCACACTTTGCTACTGTTTGTAATCAGTGAACCACAGCGTGCATCAAAGTCAAGAAAAAAGTGAGGACTAAATTGTAGAAACTTTGAAAGTATTTGGTCCAGAAACAATAGTAACTTAACAGTAGAGAATTTGGACTTGTGAGTTTTGTAGTAGAAATGGAGCAAAGCTTGCCAGTTACAGGATATTTCCCAATAGAGTACAGTATGAGAGCTACAGATACAATCACTTAATATCTTAATGATACATCATAATTGCAAAGCCATTTCAAACACATTATTTCATTGATGACATACAACTGTTAGGTAATTTTTATTTTATTTTATTTTATTTTATTTTATTTTATTTTTTGAGACAGAGTCTCTCTCTTGCCCAGGAGCTCACTGAAACATCTGCCTCCCGGGTTAAAGCAATTCTTGTGCCTCAGCATCCTGAGTAGCTGAGACTACAGATGCGCACCATTATGCCTGGTAAATTTTTTGCATTTTAATAGAGATGGGGTTTCACCACGTTGCCCAGGTTGGTCTTGAACTCCTGAGCTCAGGCAATCTGCCCACTTCGGCCTCCCAAAGTGCTAGGATTACAGGCCTGAGCCACCCCACCCGGCTATTATTCCCATTTTACAGATGAGAAGATTGAAGTTTTTCTTATGTTTGCCTCTAAATATTAGTGGGTAATTTGAAGTTATTTGGTTTATTTCTTTTCTCTCCTATATGTTATCAAATTTAGGTAATTTTTCTACTCTATGTCTGCAAATGCATTCATGTGCAGAAGCACCAGTAGACTTAAATTTACAAGAATGTATCTACATTAATCTTAACTACTGACTAGCTATTTTCTTTTGGATTCTCTGGACTTCAATCACTTTATAAAAAAATTCAGGAATAAATTGCCTTCATTCTAAAGATTTTAAGTATATTAGGTAACAAAAGATCTGTGAATAAGAATTACATATTTTAGAGTGATTTATAATTTTAGAAGATGTTTGTGAAATTTCTGTAAAAAGGGCCGGGTGTGGTAGCTCATGCCTATAATCCCAGCACTTTGGGAGGCCAAAGTGGGCAGATCACTTGAGGTCACGAACTCGAGACTAGCCTGTTTAACATGGTAAAACTTTGTTACAATTCAAGGTGAGATTCGGATGGGGTCACAAAGCCAAAACATATCGGGACACTTTTCCTTTTGCTTATTAAAAAAAGATAAACAAAATCACAAATAACATATACGTATACACCAATGATGTCCTACTGAAACTGCCACAATGGGCTCTATCACCTAGTCTACCCTCCCTATAGTCCCATCAGTCCTGCTGATATTCACCGAAGGCTATAATTATTATTTCAGTTTTCTATCCCAGCCTTTCTCTGATCTGCATTCCCAATAAAGTCAGAAACTAATTGATATCCTGCTCTCCCAAATTCTTCAATACTTTTTCCTCATCCCTTGTTCTCCAAAACTTCATAAATCTCTAAAATAATACCTTCAAAAAGCTACTAGTCTCCCCCAACTTCTCCCTTCCTTTCAATTCACTGACTGTAATAGCCTGTCCGCTACAAATTCCTCCACGTTATGTAGACCAACAATGAATAAACTTTTTACTTTAAAAGGCTATGTAGAAATGCCTTAGTTATTGTAAGCCATTTGATTTCTGTCACAATTATGCAACTCTGCCATTGTAGTATGAACATGAACACATACATGTGTACATATTTGTAATAGGTGAATGTGGTACATATTTGTAATGGGTGAATGTGCCTGTGAGACTTGAAATTCATTTTCATAACATTCAACCTGGCACCTAGTCACCCTTAATGTATGATTTACGTATCTACATAGACGGTACCCAAATTACAATGATTAGACTTAAAATGTTTTGACTTTATAATGGACTTATCCAGGTGTCAAATGTATTCTGACTTACAATACTTTTGACCAAATGATGGACTTACTGGGGTATGAAATGCATTTTCAACTTGCAATACTTTTGATTTACGATGAATTTATCAGGATGAAATCCTATTGTAAGCCAGGAAGCATCTGTATACATATTTGTGTGTGTGTGTGTGACTGTGCCACACACATATATACACACAGATATATGTAAATTACTATATGCATTATGTTTACATATACAGACATATATATGCATATATTTATTCACACTCATGCATAAAAATTGTTATATAAATTTATATATGATAATCCTTATATGCATACGTATGTGTGTATGTTTCTCCTACAACCTCCCTATGCTCTACATCATTTGGCAGTAGCACTTCTTCAGAGCAACGTCTATATCCACCATCTCAATTTCTACTCTATCTTCTTAACATCTCTTAACACTGATTCAGCTGAAACTGCTGTAGATCAGGTCACAAGAATTTTACTCTTCCAAATTCAATGAAAATTTTTTTGACTTCATGTGGTTCTAACTCTTTGAAGCATTTAGCAATAATGACCATCCTTCTCCCACTGCCGTAGCCCACTCCCAGCTCTTGACACAGTCTTTGCTTTGGGGTCACGAAACACCAATTGTCCCTGGGTTTTTGTTAACTTCATTAACTTCTTCTCTTTTGTTACTTGTTTATTTTTGTACCCCGCTACTAAATTTGGGAGAATTTCTGGACTTAATTCTCAGCCCTCTCATCCTTCTTCTCGACACTAATCTAGGTAATCTTACAAATTCTCATGACTCTCCTTACCATGAGACATGTTCCAAAGTGTCTGCAGCCCTGATGCTACATCTGAGATTCACAGTCATTTATTTCAAGCTATTCGACATCTACACTTGTCTGTCTTGTGGATATCTTAAAATTAACATGTCAGAATTGACATTATACACATACACACACCAAACACTTGAAACAATCATTAAAATAATTATCTGGCCCTCTCAAATTCTCCTATGTCACATTAAATGACATTTACTAGGTTATCAAATACAAAAAAATAAAGTGAAGTTATGTAAGATGCTGGTTTTTTCAAGCTCTTTTTCTATCTTCAAAATAAATCTCAAATCTCTCCAACTCCATTCATCACTGCAACCACTCTACAATAGCACCACCATAACAAGGCTAGGCTGACCTTCCTATTTTCACTTTTAGTATCTGAAATCGTATTTTTCAAATATATATTTCTGGAGATAGCCAGACCTAATAATAATCTGGCCCCCAGTGTTCTTATCTGTTTCCTCCAAAATACATGCTCATGAGACTACAAATTCTGTTTCTGAAAAAAAAGTAATTGTAACTAACACACTCAGTAGCCATCTAATAAAAAAATAAAATAAGAGCATTTACTGTGCATGTGTACACACATAACCTTCTTTAATCCAGATAAATAACCTCAATGTGCTACACATTTTAGTTTTTTTTTTATATTGAAAGTAAATGAATAAGCTCAAGTTTGTCAATTACCTGCTTGAGCACACATAACTTCTGTCTCTTACATACACGATGTACTTATAAAACTCAAAAAGGATTCTAACAAACTGCATGTCATAAGTATAGTAATCGTAGTTGAAACAAAACACACTTATACATATCTAGAAAATGATTGAAGACTGCTTCAGAAATAGTTTTAAAATTCAGACAATAGTGTAAAAACAATTAACACACACCCCCCAACTCAAAATTAAAATATACTCAGGCTGAATCCAAATCATAATTATATAGCCCTTAACTCTCTTTCTTTATCCTTATCATTTTTTGGTAAATGCTCATCCCTTGAACACATCTTTACAATGCTTTTTCTCTATTCCTTTTGTGCCTTGAATGTTTCTCCTCCTAAAATCTGTTTATCTCAATCTGCCCTAGCCTGAAATCCAGACCACCTACCCCAAAACATATAAAATTGGTGTGCGGGCCCCCAAGCTTGTATGTGTGTCTGAATGCATCTCAGTGTGTGTGAATTTGTGTTAATTAACTGCAGAGTCAAACTGCTATGTTTTTTCAGCCAGGCTACCTTCCCAGAGGGATTGTTTTTGTTATACCAGTTGAAAAATACGTAAATGACAGAAAGGATCTATATATGACGAATAGAAGCTTTTCATTTATAATTATTCTTATGAATAGAGTTTTAAATGAATTCTATATAACCTTTCTAAATGTCTAGAATATTGGTTATGGGGTACAATCATTTCTACTTAGACACAGTCATTGATTTTTCAAGTATTCTGTTATGCTAATGTGGTATGCTCCTTGTTCTCTCAAGTTATTCTAAGAATCACTTGAAACAGTGATGAGCAAAATCAGGCTTCTATCAAGTACTCTGCATAGGAATTTAGAGAAAGACAGAGAAGGTAAAGGGTTCACGATTTTATGATAAAAGAAGCTATACTCTCCATCAAAATTTGAGAGAAATTTATTCCTGAAAGCAAATGATAATGAGATCTCGCGCTGAAAATCTGTAAGTTTAAAAGGCAATTAGCTTGTCTATCTTATTCACCTACGGGGGCAAAAACAATTCAGTTCTCACTGTTAAAATGGATTGCAGTCCTCACTGTTAAAATGGATTGCAGTCATATTGGATTTGAAAACCTGACTTTTTAAATATTTATGAATATCCGAACCCTGCATAAGAGTAGGAAAGAGGGCACATATAATTTAGAAAACTTTCATTCAGCTGAATGACTTCATGTAGATTTTTTATTTTATTGAAACGCAGATTGAAATATAAAGTTTACTATCTCTGTTACAAAAAATCAAAATAAAAACATTTAAAATGAAAAAGTTATAGGGTACCATTTTTTTGGAAAATAGACTGTCAGAGTAATTTCTTAAGATTTGTTCTTTTATTAGAACATTCTAAATTAGAAATGCTTTTAGAGAAAAGAGTTTTAGATTATGCATTCTTAGAACCATCCTGACTGAAACACAGATGAGGGTGTTGACACACAGATCAAAGACAATGTTTTATTGTGAGAGTAAAAAGTCAACCACTAGGGAATATAATTTGTTTAATGTTAATGAAAGTATCTGTACTTAGATAAGCAGGTTGGTTGACTATATGCTTGTATACCTTAAAAACAATTTCAGCCTGGGCATACTGGTATAAAACCTGGCTATTCATAGGCAAATAATACAAATCAATTATATTTGTCCTACAATGCCCAATCTCATACTTTAAGTACATAAAATAATTATTATGTTTCGGGAATAATGTTTCGATAGTTTATTGAAAATCATGTTGATAATTTAAGTAGGTTTCTAGACCAGAAGTTGGCAACCTTTTTCATTAAAGGGCCAGACAATAAATACTTTTGGCTTTGAAGGCCATAGAGGCTGTTGCAACTATTCATCTCTGTCACTGTAGTGAAAAACATTGACAATACACAAACAATGAGCACCTGAGTTCTAATAAAACTTTATTTACAAAAACAGGTACAGGTAGTGGGCTAATCCTACTCTAGGCTACCACTAGTTATTTTTAAATGCTTTCAGAATTGCAAAGGAAGAAAAGGTCTGTAATTAACATCCTACCTAAAGCATCTCTTATTTTTTGGATATGGGAAGAAACGAAAAAACAATAAATTATAAAATACATGTGTTGAAAAGTGTTTAGCAGCCAACTGACTAATTACTACTATCCATAGCTTGTGGACTTGACTCCAGCCTCCAGGATGATTACATCATTTCAGCTTAAAACCTTGAGTGATGAAGAACTCAGTACCTAAATAGGCCTGTCTCTGTTGTCTTCAATTTTTGGACAGTTCTAATTATTAAATACTTATCATTTATGTTGTGTTCAGAAGCAACTTGCAATAGTTGAACAGTGATTCAGTGTGAACTTGCCTAACATATTGCACTTGTTTAGATATGCATAAGCTAATTTTAATTATTTAGCATCCTTAAAATTAATGGCCTGCCTTAATTTTTATCAAATAAATGTTTTTAGGCATATTTTTGGAATTATGATTTTTTTTAACTATAAAATGCTTGCTGAGCTTTTATTGAGTGTCAGATGCTGTTCTGGGCATCAGGAATAAAAACACAAGTAGGTGGAAAGATTCTCTAGGAACTCACTGTCTAAGCTAAATTTTCCAACCTCCTGCTAAGTCTTCTAATTGCTCATGTTAGCTACATACACGTAACTGTGATCCGCTAGGAAGAACCTTGTCTAGAGATTATTTCACAATGATGGCTTGCTCATTTCTTTATCACCATATTCTCATGTCATAGTCATTGTCACTCAAAATACTCATTTATCTATTATGACTTTTATCTTTTAGAAAAATTGAATTTATTACCTGAGGTAAGTTTTTGTTGCCTGGTTCATGCTACTCGTGATTCATTCTAAGCAAATTTAGCAGAATCAAATATGCTGTCAAATCCTCCCCCCTTTATCAGTAAACTCAAACAGAATTTACAAATATGTTTTGCCACGATTGACAGCGTGCAGCGTTGGATGTACATTAAAATTTTATGTTGCCTGGTCCAGATATTTTCATACCTACTTCTTAGGATTTTTATAGATGCTTCTTCAACAGAGCCAACTCTAATATGCCACTCTGATTTTATGGCTTTCACTAATATTATCATTTTTTTTCTGATGTCAAATTTGGAACTGATAATATCTGATGAATTACCTGTGATTTCCAGTTATCAAACTGTGCTAAGGGACCATAGCTAAAGCATGACTCAAGAATTACTCAGTTTGGAGTCTGTGAGGTTATGCTTTCTCTACTGTTTCCTAAGTACGAAAAGAAACACACCCGGGCTGTGTTATCTTCTGTTATCAGAAATGAGAAGAAAAATAATGGGGGTGTGTGTGGATGTATTAATATTTGTTAAAGATAAGCTGCTACGTCAGGAATTTTGCCTCTTCCTTTTGAGGCCCAGCCAATATTCACTCAATACTATAAACATACTCACTTCCAGAAATTTAGAAGATGGGACAGAATTTATAAACCTGACTTGACTTTTCACTATCAGAGAAAACAAAAAAACCAACATTACTTAATTTGATGTTAACACTAGAAGCATCATGGCTTTCTGTGTTTGCAGAAGTTACTGTAAATGTGCACACTCATTTCTGAGACAGGATAATGAAGTCCTTAAAAAAAAAAGAAGGCTATATTTATTTCTACATGTATTTATTTGGTTTCCCTACTCTTGTAACTTGTAGTCCCTCGTTTTAGGAAAGGCTTTTTTTCTATAATCAGTGAAAAGATAACATATTTAAGGAAAAATGATGCCTATTATTTTATTTTTTACATACTGAGAGCTTTCGGGGTGAAAATTAATAAAGGAAAATGAATATATTCTCAAATGAAATTTGTATTTGAAAGGAAAATCTTGTACTTTCTTCTCGTTTTTTTGTACACTTCTTTATATGTTTGTTACTTATTTTTTTAACTAAAAAACCAAGTGTGCTGTATGAAGGCAGAAATTCCATTTGTTAGCAATAAAAGTGGAAACTTTCTCTATTCTAGTCTAAAACACCCTCAAAGAGCCATAGCATTCACCATCTCTGGCTTTGATGCCTACAAACCAGAAGAAAAAACGCTGTGTGTGTGCGCATTTGTGTGTGTCCCAAATTCAGACAGAAGATGAGATTTTGCTCAGTATGCACTGCAAGAGCCATTCTTGAGTAGAAGGAACACACTTTCAGCCCATTTCCAACACTTAGAGACTTCCTTTTTTCCTCTCTGAAAGGAATCTCTAGCCGTGCCTCATTATAGTGTGCAGTGGTAAAGAAAAGAGGAAGTGAGTGACAGGGAGGGCTGCAGGGAGAAGGAACTATAGAATCAAAAGAAAAGGTAGTGCGCTGTAAGATGAAAAAAATAACGCCACTTCCACTTTGAGACCAAACCTTTTTAAAGCTTGTAGTAATTTTCAACCTTTATTGCCACTATGCACACCTGCAAGAATATGGCTTTTGTATATAAGAAAAGACCATGTACATCACAATGCACACTCACCCACTTACTATGAGCTTATACATCCAGTCAGCTAACATTTAGATTTATCGGTGTTCACACAGCTCAGCTGAAGGATTTGTTTATTTTCAGACTTTCCTCATTTCTATAAACCAGTTTGTACTGGTTTGTACTAGAAAATGTAATGTCATAAATGTGTTGACACTTTTGTTCCCAAGGTTATTTTTTGTGTGTCTTAAACTTTTCTTTACCTGTTGTTAATTAAAATAGCTATTGATTTTTTTAATACAAAGCTATAATATGATATGGAAAAAAGTAATATTTTGCTGATTCCCATTGAAAAATTTCAAAGCTAAATGTGTGACTATGAAATAAAAGAAAATAAGCATCTCCATTTAAATACTTAGAAAATCAGGATTACACAAAATTCATGTTTAAGACAAAATTATAAAATTTATTTTCCTACTTAAATAAATAGAATCAGAATTGTGATCTATACTTTTATTACAGAAGTTGCCTAATTCTTGAGTATAAACTATGTAATCCTTAAAGTAACAGTTTAATCAAAATGCCTAAAAATTAAAAAACAAATTATTATTTTCTTGTACTTTTTGATATCACAAATAAACTGATGTTTTGGAATGCTTTGAACTGATGAAAACTAATCTACATTTTGAGATCTGTGTCTGCCACTAGGATAGATTGTTTGTTTCCATTTGATCTGACTCATAGACAGCTAAAGTTGGAAGAAATTTCTGAGGACTTGTAACTCAAAATACCCTTCACTGTATTATGCATGAGGCAGAAGACACTCTATTCCACCTGTTAAATCTGACTAAATGGAATTTAGAAAAAAACCGAATTAAATAAAAATTCCCAGCAATAGAGTGAAGCAGAATTCATGAACTGCATTAGCTTATTAAAAGGAAGGGCATCTAAGCAGAAAATAGTTCTCTTAGAGGCCTAAAATGTGGAACACCCAGACCTCTTGGAGACCATTTAGATGACAGTAGAAAATGATACAGGTAGTAGGCAAGGTTCTTAAAGTTGGACATGGCAGATTTGTTAATACTGTTCCTGACAGCATCATCCTTACATAAAGAAGGATGAATATTAACAATTATAACTGAGTCCAGAGGCCACTATATTCCTGTGGGCTGTCTCTAGTCTCAATTGGCACCCAACTTGATGCAAAATGAACACGTAGTCATGTATCCCAGAAAAAAAAATTGCCTCTAAAAGCAAGTATTAGTAATATAGATTTTACTGAAAATTTCCTGAAGGGGAGAGGAATAAGATTTACCTTATAAACAAACAATGCAATTTAATTATTACCATCTTTATTTTCCTCTAAATGTGTCTCCAAATATTAAAAGTTTCATCTATTTTTCCCCTTCCCTTATGTGTCTTTTCAAATCCCACCTATTATGTCTCGTAAGTTAGCCAGTGCCTTCTGTTTTTAAATACTGTACAGTAATACACCACCCCGGTGATTGGCATTTGACTCCATCCTGTTTTAGAAAGAAACTTGGTTGCCCAAGCTTGCTACTGTGGGTCTAGTTATTTAACACCTCTTATGTAGTTTAATGCTTATAACAACAATGCTATAATAGTGACATTTGTACATCAATTAAATGTATTTAAATTAAATAAAAAAATAAAACAGGCTGGGCCCGGTGGCTCACGCCTGTAATCCCAGCGCTTTGGGAGGCTGAGGCGGGCGGATGACGAGGTCAGGAAATCGAGACCTTTATGGGTAACACGGTGAAACCCCGTCTCTAATAAAAATACAAAAAGTAACTGGGCATTGTGGCGGTGCCTGTAGTCCCAGCTACTTGGGAGGCTGAGGCAGGAGAATGGCGTGAACCCGGGAGGTGGAGCTTGCAGTGAGCCGAGATAGCACCACTGCACTCTGGCCTGGGCAACAGAGCGAGACTCCGTCTCAAAAAAAAAAAAAAAAAAAAAAAAAAAAAAAAAAAAAAAAAAAAAAAATTAAAACAAAATGGTAAACTCTTTTAAAAAGTGTTATAAAACCAAACAATGTAGCTTCCTTTGCTTTGTAGGCCTTTAATAAATAGCGACAGTGATGTAGAAGTTTTGTTGAATGTTAAGACAGTATAGAAAAAAAGTCTAAAATACAACTTACTCATTAGGAATCAAGCTCCAGTGTTTCCTACTGAGGTACCACTGTGATCAAAATGTTCAAAAGTCCAGGCAGATGTTAACAAATGATTGTTGGTTGGAGGATGATTGAATCGTTTACTATTTTCTCAGCCTTTCATTTTGATGGATCTTTGCTCATTCGCTTTTGTTCATTTTTTATTTAACAATTAACAACATGCATCAAGTATCTCATGTTTGCTACAGGTTCTCTGAACACCAAGATGAACACTACATTGCTGTGCTTTGGGGTTTGTAAAGCAAGCTGACAAGAGTTAGTAATACATACCAAGAAGTTGCAATGTACAGCATTTTATGCAGTGTGAAGGAGATGGAATGAGAGAATATGCTTTATTCTGCTTGAAGAAATCAGTTATTAGAGTCAAAATGGCATGTTACCTGAACCTGGTAGGCTGAAATAGCTCTGACAATTGGGCAGGACATGAAGGTAACACTGGAGAAAGAGGATGAAGGGAAAGGTTTGTGAAAGAACATAGTGATTACATGAAAAACAAATAAATTGGTGTTGCAGAGCAAAAATGTCATAAGCACACACTCAAGAATTAGTCACTTTCAAGCTGCACTTAAGATCTGAATAGCTAAGGACAAGCTACTTAGCATATCTAATTCTCAGCAAACTCATTTCAAAATTGAGGATAATCATAACAACTTTCTCAATATGGAATGGTTTAATTTAAGCATTTGGCACATTTCTTGTCATGCTAAGTGTTTAACAAATATTAGCACATCTTCTTCCCTTTTTTTGCTTTTTAATTTGTCTTCTCTTTCTTCTTCTGAAAGTGTTACTAGAGTTGAAGCTTGAAGTACCGGAAGAGTTGAAGGTGAAGCACAATATTATCTGTGCCAAGGAGATTCACCAAGAGTGTAGGTAATTGTTCTAGAGCTTTAATTCTTTGAACTTTGCACAAAAGTAATTTTTTTCTATGTTGCTAGAAAATTTTAAGGATGGATTTTCTATTTATAAATGGGGAAAAACAACTAGCCAAGGGGAAAGATCAAGCTCACAGTTTTCCTAATATTACTGAAAAATCAAGTCACAGATTAATTGTATAAGAATCAATAATAACACAAAGATCACTTAACATTTCAGATGCTTTTATGGGGGCAAGAGTTATTGAGCAATGTTTTACTTTGAATGATTATTCTAACAGTTAATATCAATTAAACTTAATATGAATATAAGGAAGGAAAGAAATTAAATGCTATAATGATATTTCCAAGTTAATGTATAATTTATTTGTACTGTTACCTTTTATAGACCATATTTTTAATTTTATTTTTAAATTTTTATCTATTTATTTATTTATTTTTAGACCAGGTTATGAGACTGGCTAATTTTTGTATTTTTGGTAGAGACAGGGTTTTGCCCTGTTGCTCAGGCTGATCTCTAACTCCTGGGCACAAGCGATCTACTGGCCTCAACCTACCAAAGTCCTGGGCTTATAGGCGTGAGCCATCACACCCTGCCTATTGGCCATATTTTAACATCAAAACAGAGAGTACTAAAGAATGTGTATTTTCAACATCTTACTCTGAAGTTTTCTTTTTTTCTTTTTCTTTTTTTCTTTTTTTTGATGGAACCTTGCTCTGTTGCCCAGGCTAAAGTGCAGTGGCACAATCTTGGCTTACTGCAACCTCTGCCTCCTGGGTTCAAGTAATTCTCCTACCTCAGCCTCCTGAGTAGTTGAGATTATAGGCATGTGCCACCACAACTGGCTAATTTTCGTATTTTTTGTAAAGATGAGATTTCACCATATTGCCTAGGCTGATCTTGAACTCCTGACCTCAAGTGATCTGCCTGCCTCAGCGTCCCAAAGTTGAAGTTTTCTTTTAATTGAATAAAGTAAACAAACAAATAAACTTGGCTTGAAAATGCTTTTTTTTTAATGTTCCTGTACTTGAGTTTTTTGTTTCTAATTTATCAAGATTGATTGTTTAGTAATATGGTTTGGCTGTGTCCCCACCCAAATTTCATCTTGAATTGTAACTCCCAAAATTCCCACATGTCATAGGAAGAACCCCATGGGAGGTGATTGAATTATGAGGGTGGGTCTTTTCTGTGCTGTTCTCATGATAATGAATGAGTCTTACAAGATCTGATGGTTTTAAAAAGAGGAGATCCCCTTTACAAGCTCTCTCTCTTTGCCTGCTGCCATCCAAGTAAGATGTGACTTGCTTCTCCTTGCCTTCCACCATGATTGTGAGGCCTCCCCAGCCATATGGAACTGTAAGTCCATTAAACCTCTTTCTTTTGTAAATTACCCAGTCTCGGGCATGTCTTTATCAGCAGTGTGAAAACAGACTAATACAGTTAGCATTAATGATCTGGTAATAGTTTTCTTAGAATTATAAGAATAATGAACAATTATTATTCCATACATAATTGATAATATGATTAGAAAGAAAAATAATTGTTCCAATTTAGTTCCTACTGGGCAGACATTTTTATACAACAACATCTTTTGATTATAGTCAGCTAAAAGGACATTGGGTGCTAGGTTACTTCCGTTCAGGAGTTCAGAGATTGAAGTGAAATAGTCACATTGACTCTTAGGCTCTCCATTTAGTGAATGAAGAAGGTGTCTTTTATCTCTTTACTAGTTTACAACTTTTGGACTCTTCTTGATATATCACATGAAGAAAAACATAAGAAGTAAATTAATGACAACCATTATAGCTTTATGATACATGTGCAATTTCCCCCTTCCCTTTTTTTTTGGACTTATGAGAATTATATTCCCATCAGTAGATCTTTTGGTTAGTTATATATAGAGTTAGAATACACCTTTAATTCTACCAATTCATTTGGTAAAATAATCTTTCCACATAACTTCTGTGAACTCCGAAAATCTGAGACAGGTCTCAGTTAATTTAGAAAGTTTATTTTGCCAAGGTTGAGGACGTGCACCTGTGACACAACCTCAAGAGGTCCTGACGACATGTGCCCAAGGTGGTCAGAGCACAGTTTGGTTTTATACATTTTAGGGAGATATGAGACATCAATCAACATATGTAAAATGAATGTTGGTTCAGTCCAGAATGGTGGGACAACTCGAGGCGAAGGTGGGACAACTCGAGGCGAAGGTGGAACAACTCAAAGTGAGCAGGGGGCTTCCAGGTCATAGGTAGATAAGAGACAAATGGTTGCATTTTTTTCAATTTCTGATTAGCCTCTCCAAATGAGACAATAAGCTACACATTTATCTCAGTGAGCAGAGGGGTGACTGAATAGAATGGGAGGCAGGTTTGCCCTGAGCAGTTCCCAGCTTGACTTTTCCCTTTAGCTTAGTGATTTTGGGGCCCTAAGATTTATTTTCCTTTCACACTTTCTCCATTAATTCTTCTCATAAATCCAATAACCCTTACTCACAAACTTAATTAAAGACTTCAAAGTGTTTATTTTCATTATTCTCAACAGGTTGTTTTTAGTGATTCATAAGAAGCAAGCATGAACTACTTCCCTGATATAAATATACACTTATTTAATAGAATTTTTTTTAAATTGTGGAGACAAAACTGATGTCAAGGTGTTACTTAGCAATTCTTCTGCTATGTATGTCTGAAAATATTTTACCTAAATATTACCTAATTTCCTAAATGTCTTCATAGTAAATAACTTCATTTTTATACTCTCATTAAAGATTAAGAACTTATAACAAAATTATGTGTGATATTTATGCAAATCATCTCAATTTTATGCATATAATCATGTTTTCATATGCATATAATTTTTATCTCAAAGTAGAATAGTGTTTGGAGTAAATATTATGTTTAGATCCATTATATATGAAAGTAGGCCTAACAGTTGGATAAAAGAGTTTCACTTTAAAGTATCTTTCTCTGGTTTTAGTATTTGCATTGTTCTTATAAACCAGAAAAGTGGCAATATTATTTTTCACATTAAGTATACTAACAGAGGCATGAAAAAAATAACTGTTCCTGGTAAGATATAATAATTGGCATAAATGGTAAAATCTAGACAACACAACAAACTACTAAACACAACGTTCTACTTAAAAGTATAAGACCTGAATACCAGATTGTGAATTACGATTATGGAGGATAATAGAAAATTGAGATCAGGGCTAGATGGATCTAGTAACTGGTGTCCCCGTTTTCCCTAATAAGGAGTGGAATAGTACAATATGCACTGAGGGCTATCTCTACCCAGATTGCAAAGAGATGTAACATAGCATGTGACATTTTGAGAGAGTTATTTGATAGAAAACTCTGTGAAGGGAGAGATAAGATCAGAATGTATGTGTGTATGTTTGTGTGTGTGTGTGTGTGTGTGTGAGAGAGTGAGAGAGAGAGAGAGAGAGTGCTTATGCAATGGGAGAAGTAGTGGTTGGGACAGAAGTGCTCCAGATGGTAAGTAAGCGGAGAGTAAACTCAAGAGATTATTCTGAGTTGTGTGATTTAGCATTATCCTATTGTCCTTGAGGCATCTTTGGCTTAAAGCCTTTCACAAACTTTTCAAGTTTTAAGAAGCCAAACTACCAATCCCTAATTCTTGTACTGTTCGCAGAGCAGAGGGACTCTTGGATACCAAAGGAAGTGTGGTTGGTAGTCACCAATACATCTGCATAAGAACCAGAGATTATAATTGATACTAGGAGATGGCAAATGCAGTTTAGAAAATTAGAATAAAAGGCACGCTTCTTTAGATACCAGCTTTGTTGGAAAATGTCAGTGAAGAAAAAGAATTGGTTGCTCTTGATTTTCCTCCAGGTCTAACATGAAAAGATCAGGCTTCTGGCACTTTGAAAGAACGGAGAACTCATCAAAAATACCATGACACACAGGGTGACTAAAATAAAAAGTTAGGTTTTTCAGCAAAACAGAACTAAAGGAATTATCAGGAGCTGGAATAAAAGTGCACCAAGAAACAGTAGGAGGAGAAATTTAATTTAAATTTGCAGAGATGCTCTTCCATTCATTGTAATTCAGAGATGAGGTTTTTGGCCTTAGGATCCAAACCAATTAGTAAATTAAGTATTAATAGTAAGAGTGGAGTCTTTGACTCCTTGTGCTTTAGGTATAGGCTGTATTTAATGAATCCCTTCCATACAGTAGAGTATAGAAAGACAAGAGATACTTTCTTTACAGTAGAGAAATCTGAAAAGTACTACCTCTTCCAGAGGATCAAGGTAAACAAAAACAGTCATACATCATGTAAATAGCACATACTCTTGCTAGAATGTGACAAAGGGCACACGACCTGTCTTGTCTTCCTCTAAATATCTTATAACCCAGGACTAGAATGAGAAAAAAATCAAACCAATTGCAATAGAAGGACATCATACAAAGTATCTGACCAGTACTCCTTAGAACTTATAAGGCCATCAAAAAACAAGGTAAGCCTAAGGAACTGCTATAGTCAAGAGGATCATAAGAGACATGGCAACTAAATGTAATGTGGCATCCAGAAGCAGAAAAATCTATACACTGGGTAAAAGCAAAAAAGTCTGAATGCAAGTATAGACTTTAGTTAATAATAAAGTATCAATCAATATTGGTTGGTTTGATCATAACAAATGTACCATACTAATACAAGATGTGAATAATAGGGGAAACTAAGCTCAGGGATATGGGAATTCTCTTTACTATATTCAAAACTTTTCTGTATATCTAAAAATGTTTCTAAAGAATAATTTTGTCTTAAAAAGTCAATAGAAAGCCTGAATAACTAAAAAAAATGGCCACAAACAAAGTTACTGATCAGAAATGACACTTAAATTATTGTCACAAAACATGGTCCAGAATGACAAACACATGAACATTACTATTTAAAAATAATAGACAAAGGAGATACCAGATCTGTTTGTAATAGTGCCTGAAAGAATTTTAGTCAGAATGAACTGTAGAAAGGACAAAACAAATGATAGAGATCCATGATACTGAATATAATAATACTCAATACAATACTATAATACAAAATCACTTCTAATTTTACACATATGGGTGAAACTCATAATTTCCAGGAATAGGTATTACTTTATCTGCTTACAAACAAAAAAAAAATCTTAAAGAAATTAACCAAGACTGTTTTAATGTTCCCTCAGCTTAAGTAAACTTTAGACAGGTTTATTCCTAAATATAGATCATTGACTTCCCTTTTATTAAAGCATTTTTCTTGGAAAACTTGCAACTGTAAATTCTTTCTCTGCTGATTTGAGATATAAATCTTCTATAACCTATAAATGAATGTCTTTCTAAAAGATCTGGGGGTCATTTATTTAAAATGTAATCATCAAAAAAGACAGTGGTTTTATATTTCAGTCTCTGTGAGAGGGTAGGAGACTAACTTCAATTCCACTCATGTCTTCCAGTACTTTTCCAATAGCTCACTACAGAACTTGAAATTCTTGGGGTTTTTGTTTCTGCAAAGTTCAATCTCATGTTGAGTTTAATCTCAAGTTGAGTTTGCTCTCTCTCCCATATTGCAATAGTCTTGAATAAAGTCTTGCTTTCCTGTTTAAATAGTCTGATACAGTGAATTCTTTCATAGAACATAAATCAGATTTCAAAAAAATGATTTTTGACAAAATATTGATGGTAAAGGATTCTGACTCTAGATTTATTTTCAGTTATAATGGCATATTAAAATATGAGAGTCAAATAAAGACACCTTCAATCATGAAAGAACTTTGAGAAATTTCATATAGGTCACAACTCATAAAATAAATCATAAGGAGATATTCCAGCAAATCAAAAATTGATACAAGAACAAGAAGACATATAAAGGTAAAAGATAATGGTAATAAAGGAATTAATAAAAACAATAGTTAATTCTAAATTATTGATAATATTGGCAAAATATAACCTAAAGGTTAAATAAAATTATAAAACCAGAAGAAACATAATATAGAAGTATTATTAACAATCTGGAAAAATGTCAGATGATTTTCAACTACGGCTAGAAGATAGTATAGTGGGACATACGTAGACTATTTTTTTGTCAACTGAGAAATGTGTGTCTGGCTTTATGTAGAGAATATATAATAAGTATATTAAACTGTTTAAAGTTCCAGTTTAACAGAGGAATGACAAGAGAAGAAAGAAGAATAAATAATCTATAAATAATCAGACAATGAAGCAAAAGAGACCAATGAAAAATGATAAAGAAAGCGAAAATACACACCCATAAGAAAAATGTTAAACTCAAAAAGCAGATTGACATTGGAAATGAATAGTCAAGCCAGAAGAGTGAATATAAATGTGACTAGATATGCAACATTTTCTTTATCTTCACTATTAATGAGGGAAATGCAAATTAAAGCAACTTCCACATTTGGCAAGAAATAAAAATAAATAAATAAAAAGGCACTTCTATGAATTTTGATAGGATCATAAATAAGTATAGTTTTGCAAAGCAATTTGGCAGATTCTATCAAAATTTAAAACATGTCTAGTCTTTGTCCCAGCAATTTTCTTTTCAGAAATGTGGTCTACAGAAATAATTATAGATGTGCACAAAGAGATGTGTGATATAAAGTCTACTACAGCGACTATTACAACAATTGAGAACAACTTAAAGTTTATTAACAGATAAATTATTTTATTTTATCTGTAAAATTCACAATATGGGACATAGTACAGCTGCTATAAATAATAAAATGAATCTTTAGATTAATATAAAGTATTATCTATAAGATTATATTTTTAAAAGCAGATTTTTAGGACATTTCATATTTGATTCTTATTTGAAAAAAATCATATTTGTATGCATACACATATGCATACATTAACACACAGAAAGAGTACGATTGTTAAATGTAAATACAAATGATGGATATTGTTTAGCACTGGTGAAATTTGTATATTTGGGGAAGGATTAAAGGGCAAGGGATAAAGGTTAACTATTAGACTACAAGTCTATTTGAATTATTTGAATTGTTTTACAACCCCGGTACTTTTATTACTACAGGATGAAAAAACTGTTTGCACATTAGTATATATAATGTAAACAGACCATTTTTGTATATACACAACATAAATGCACACATCCTCTCTCAGAACATGGAAGGCATGTTGATGTTAGATTACTTTATAGTGGTATTATGTGCTAAGTAACTATTTTATTAGCTTAGAAATTAAAATATTATATACAGCATGTTTTTGAGAAGTTATTTTAAATTACCATACTGAAAAGTTTTTTGAATATATAACAATTAACAAATACCTTTATAATTGAAAGTATTCTTTAAAATCATTTCTCTCATTCATATCCATTTGATAATGTTTCAAAAATTTGTTTCTTCTAACTTACTCTTGCTTAATGCTAAACTAGGTATTTTTTTTTCTTAGGGGGATATTGTCATGAATAATTTTGTATTATTTTCTTAGAGTTTTCTTCTACTTTGTAGGAAGAAGACTCACTATCTGAGCGTTTCTTTAAACATGTTATTAAATACAAACACTTTCTTATATTGGATAAAGGCATTCTTCAGATTATACCCTTGACCATTACACACACATACATATCACTTTGTTTTAAATTTTATTTCATTCAAAGAACAAAATTTGTAATTACTGAAATTTTAAAAACATAAAATAATGTTTCTTATCCCTCACCTCTGCCTTACTTTGCTGAACACTCGTGTCTTTCATGGGATTTGAGGATGTGGCTCAAAATTTAAAACACGTTTTCCTGGGCTCTTAACAAAATTCTTACCAGTGATGTCTTTAGCCTTGACAATGAGAAACAACTTGTTTATATCGTCAGCTTTATTGAGAAAAAAAAATTAGGTTCTTACCTCTAAGAGGAGACATTCTTGATTTATTATTAAGCAAATCTTTATTTCTCTTTATCCAAAAGCTTTAGGGTCTAATATGCCCTCTTACCAACAGGCCTATGAGAATACAGTTCTATGCATTCACTCTCCCTGAAATAAGCCATCTGTAAGGTTCTAGGCAGCCAGCAGCTCATCAACCGGAGTCTGAGGAATTCCAAGGCAAAAACCATGCAGTTAGAAAATTACGGGTGTGCAGTGCAGATAAAATTTTATTTTCATTCCCAGGGGCTTCTCTCTGTACCTCCTGGAGGACCAAGTTGTTTTCCTAATTCCGAATAATTTCTACATCCAGCATAGCTATGATTTCTGCCAAATATTCAAAAAATTGTTAAAATAATGCATTTTGTGAGGAAAGTTTTTCAGGTATAAATGTAAAAGTGAAAATGATTTCTTCATCCTTTTCTAGTGGGAATAATTATTGCATTTGACCTGAGGAATCAAATACTTCTTTTTATTCATAAACAAAAATAGATGAATAGAGATACAGTTATGGATGGACAACAATTAGTGCTCAGAATGCTGGCACAGCTAAGGCAGGGAGAAAAGATGGAGCCAAAAATGTTGAATTTAGTGAAAATGACCAATCTGAAAGGTGGAAACAGCAGCCCCTGTCTCATTCTGCATTTGGAACAGGCACCCCAGAACAATACAGATTATTTATTTGAGAACCTAAAAATATCCCAGAGAAAAAACCCATCTATAGATACTACAATTTTGTGTTGCTACCAATGGAATACAATATTCACAGCCAGCACACCACTGAAATACAGGAGACAACTTTGCCTATGTCCACTGAGTTTCCAAACCATTTTTACTAACTTTTTTCTTTTTTCTTTTTTTCTTTTCTTTTCTCTTCTCTTCTCTTCTTTTCTTTTCCCTCTCCTCTTCTCTCCTCTCCTTTTCTCTTCTCTCCTCTTCCCTTTTTTTCTTTTCTTTTCTTTTGACATGGTTTTACTCTCATCACCCAGGCTGGACTGCAATGGTGCGATCTCTGCTCACTACAACCTCCACCTCCCAGCTCAAGTGATCCTCCTGTCTCAGCCTCCCAAGTAGGTGGGACTACAGGAGCATGCCACTACGTTTTTCTTTTTCTCTTTTTTTTTAATCATACTTTAAGTTTTAGGGTACATGTGCACAACGTGCAGGTTAGTTACATATGTATACATGTGCCATGTTGGTGTGCTGCACCCATTAAATCATCATTTAACATTAGGTATATCTCCTAATGCTATCCCTCCCCACTCCCCCCACCCCACAACAGGCCCCGGTGTGTGATGTTCCCCTTCCTGTGTCCATGTGTTCTCATTGTTCAATTCCCACCTATGAGTGAGAACATGAGGTGTTTGTAGGGACATGGATGAAGCTGGAAACCATTATTCTCAGCAAACTATTGCAAGTACTTTTTTCTTAAGTATGAATGAATACTAAATACAGTATCACAACATTTAAAGGAAGCCTTCATGATGAAAAGAAAGATAAAATTAATAGAGAGAGGGAATTTAGAAGAAACAAAACACAGAAAATAATACAAAAACCAAATCAATTGTAATTAATATTTCAAAGACTAGCAAGAATATATTATTTAAAAAAAAATTAAAGAATACTATGTAATAAGACCAAAGAAAAAAAATCAGGATGTGAAGTTTGTGTGTGTGATAGCAAAAAGAAATAAAAGTTTACCAGAAGTATTAAAAGATAATTTAGAGAATCTCCAGGCAAGCAGAGGAGAGCAACAAAAGGGTAGGAGGAAATAGAAAAGATGAATAAGGAATAATCTAACAGTCCTATTATTCAACTAATACAAACTTTAAAAAAATTCATAAAAAATGAAGTGAAAGAAAAATGTTTTTAATGTAAATGTTTCCTAGAAATAAGGGCATGATTTTCTATATTATAAAAACCAACACATGCACACACACAAACACCCAGTAATGTAGATCACTGACGAATTTTGGAATAAAAGAAGAAGTGGTCAATTTCTAAAGATGGCCCTCCAATAAACCATACTTCCAAGTACTTTCTTCCTTGTCTAATCACTATCCCCGCTTTAATTTGGACTAGTCCTATAAGAAATAGAATGTGGCAACAGTGATGCAGAGAAATTTGCATGGTTGGGTCATAAGAAGCTCTCTAGTTTCTGCCTTAGGACACTTCTTCCACCATTAGTTTCCATGCAGTGAAACGTCATGGCACAAGGAAAGGCCACAATACATGTAGGCACTCAGGGACAGCCCTATCTAGTACCTCAACTGATAATAGCCAGCATCAACTGCAACCCATGAGAATGAGCCATCTTGGACATGCCACCCAGTCACACTTTTGGATGACCTACATCCAACCACTTTTTTTTGCATTATCATGAAGGACCACAGGTAAGTTCAGCCAACACACATGATCATGAAGAATAACAATAAATTGTTTTAAGGCACTGAGTTAAAACAGGTAAACAGGCACAGGACATTTAGAAGAGTGTTGGGACTGGTTAGGACTCAGAATAGTAGCACATTTATTAAAGGCAGCTCCAGAACCTAAAAGGCAATGAGGCAATGGCTTCAAAATTTTAAGGCAAAACATTTTTATCCTGGAATTTCATATAACTTAAACTATCAACAAATGTGAGGGTTAAAATAAACTATCAAACAAAAACCTGCTTTAGGCATAAAGGCTTAAAATATTTACTTCTCAAACATGACTGACATTAAAAAAGTATGTATGAGATGCAGGCAAAGGGAAACCCAACCAAGATAATACCGAAGAGTAGTCTTAACACCAAAACTCGACATCAGAGAATCATCAATTCAAATTAAGCCAGGAAATGGAGGGTATGAAAAGTAAGATATATAAGAAGAGAAAAGAAAAGAAAGAAAGCTCTAGTAGGTAACCTGAAACATTTGAGGTTTTGGGAAGAGTACTGATGGATTGATGATTGATTTATTAGGATGTTTGAGTATAACTAATGGTAGGTTATAAGAACATAGAAAGCAAGATTTATATACTATTAGGTTGTGAATAGGGCTACTGATTCAATAACAAATTGTGATATAAATAATTATGGGAGAGACAAGAATTTTTTTTTTTTGAGACAGAGTTTCGCTCTTATTTCCCAGGCTGGAGTGTAATGGTGCAATCTCGGCTCACTGCAACCTCTGCCTCCTGGGTTCAAGCAATTCTCCTGCCTCAGTCTCCCAAGTATCTGGGATTACAGGGGCCCACCACCATGCCCAGCTAATGTATTTTTAGTAGAGGCAGGGTTTTACCACATGGCCAGGCTGGTCTCGAACTCCTGAACTCAAGTGATGTGCCCGCCTTGGCCTCCTAAAGTGCTGGGATTACAGGCTTGAGCCGTCATGCCCAGCTAGAAGAATTTTAATGCAGATGGAATAAGAAAGCTAATCCCCATATTTTGTCTATTGACAGAAAGACAGTAGGTAATATATAAAACTAACAAATCAATATAAAATAATATAATCCTAACAATAGCGATTCAAAGGTAAATAAGAAACATAAACAGAGATAAAAGTGGAAACCTCTGGGCATGCAAGTTGGTGTTGATGATGAGATGAACAAGCTTTACTGTTTTGTTATTAAATTTTAAATATTAATTGACTTTTTAAACAGTATCAAAATACCCAGAGAAAAAACCTTTATAAGCAAACATCTTTACACTGTTTTATGCTATAAATGCAAATAAATATGCAAAGATACAAACTAATAACCAAACAAAAAAAAAAGTGTATGAGAGATTTCTCCACTTACTGAAAGAACAAGAGATAGTATCACACTTCTAAATATTTTCTTACCTGACAGGCAAAAAATAGCAACAGAATGTTGAATTAATTTATATTTACCTGATTATTACTGAGTCTGGGCATCTTTACCAATGTTGATTCCCATGTTTTCTCTAGGAAATTTCTTAAATTCCTCTGTCCATTTTCCAATGAGTCACTTGTCTATGGGGGAATGCGTGTGAATGCTAGTGTGTGTCTTCCAGGCACTCTATGGCTATAGGCTGCAAAGCTCAACAGTTAACTTGGATTCCCCGTGCATTTTTTTCCTCCTCAACAGTCATAAAAAATAATGCTCTCAGCTGAATTCTATATTTTCCTAACTTTTTGACTAAGGTCTGTGTTGTTTTTCATTATTTTTATCTCTTTTCTCCCAGTTACCTGTAAGGCAAATACCTAGTTCAGTTCTCGCAGACTGTTTCAAACACAACCATGTGGCACAGTATCCACAGGAAAAATCACACATAGGAGAAATTCACACAAAAGCACATTTTTTTTTTTAATTTTACTTTAAGTTCTGGGATACATATGCAGAACGTGCAGGTTTGTTACATAGGTATACATGTGCCATGGTGGTTTGCTGCACCTATCAACCCATCATCTAGGTTTTAAGCCCCGCATGCATTAGGTATTTGTCATAATGCTCTCCCTCCCCTTGCTCCCCACCCCTGACAGGCCCCAGTGTCCCTGCATGTCCCATCCATGTCCCTACAAAGGAAATGAACTCATTCTTTTTTATGGCTGCTCTTATGATGAGTTTGCATATTGCCCTGCTTCCATTCTCTATTTGATTCTCTTTTTGGCTGCTTGGTAAGCACAGGGTAAGACCAAGAAGTCCACTCTTTTAAAAACATATCCAGTTGAGGAATAGACTATTATATTCTCATTCTTTTAGTTAAGACCTTTTCAGCAAATAATTTTTTTAGCCACATTTGGCTTGGTATGCAAGTGCAAACTTCCCCCTCCCCTTCCCTATGTGGAATAAGGAGAAATGTCTCTGATCGCAATCTTGTACTCCCCATAGAACCAAGTATAAGATAATTATTTCCTTCTCTTCCCTATGCCGGGGAACTTCTCATATAGACCCAGGTAGGCGTGTATAGGTTGGTGGTGGGAGGTTTGGTGTTTGTTGATATTAAGTCATAGGAATATAAACATGCTCCTGAATGTTGCCAGCTTCCTTTAAATTATGTGTATTAGCTATGCTTGTCACTACCATTGGTTCCTATCTTGAGACAGTAAGGCAGGAACAGTTCCATTTAATATCCCATTAAGTAAATATTTCAAGTGTTCAAACTGTAGTTTAGAATATGCTAAAACACTTCATTCAAGGATAACTTCTTGGTCAGTATCCTTTCAAAATACTTGGTCAGTATCCTTTATGCCCTAAAATAAGAATGTGGGTGTTGGTAATATATTTGGTAGTTGTTTCAAGAAGCACAAGTTAGGAGCATGATGCATGAATCAGCAAAGTAAAAATATGCTATAAAGTGTTCATGAATGTATGATCTACTGCAGTAGGGCTCAGACTCCCTGGAGACTGCCTGCAGAATTGGAGGCGTGCACCTCAGCATTGTCCAACTGAGTAACAAGGACAGAAAAGGTGATATATTAACCTTAACACCATTTCCCATTCCTTAGTAGATGACAGTTGCTCTGAGAGTGTTAAATCCCAGCTTCCATTGGGCTACCTTTCTCATGTGTTCAGCAAGCTCTTGAGGCACCAGAGTGCTGAGGCAGAGACAGAAAGGCACAAGCAGTTACAAATAAGAAGTTCTTGGATATCTACAAACTCCCCACCCCAGATGCAGGTGCATTTAGAGGAGGGCTGAGTGGAGTCTCAGTCTTAGCACCGTTGGTGGTGGTAAAACTTAAGCACACAGCTCCGTTTTCTGATTCCAAGTCAGGTTGTCTGTATGCTTCCAATCATCTACATTTTAACTACAAGACAAAGAAATGTGGTTTCCATAAAAGCCTAAGAAACACAAAAATACTGAAAAATTCCAGTCTTTCTTTGATTTTTGTTCTCTTTTCAAATTTCTTGGTTATGGAAACTTCCTAAGACTGGACTATTGTGACAATCTATAGTATTCTGATCCTTTACAAGCAACCTACAAAATTAATGTAAATCAGATGCATATATTTTCTGTTAATTATAAATTATCCCTGGGTGTTTGAGTTCTTGAGAAGCTGTTGGGAATCTACATTTCTTGATGACTTGTAATTTCTACGGTGTGCCTAATTAGGACTTGTCATGTCAGACTCCTATTGACTCTAATAGGGATGGCACCGTGTCTGAGAGGCCAAAGAAGAGACTTGGAGATAGCCAACAAGACATATCGTGTTTTAGGGGTACTTACATATAGGGACAGTCCAGTGGCAGCTGGCTGGACAGAAGAACCACTACTGTTTGTGAAAAGCATGCAGTTTATATAGAATTTTCACTTAGCTCCCTCCACCTAGCAACCACTATCTAACCCAAACAATGAGCCTCTATCTCCTGCATGACCCATGTTTCAAGCAATGGGCCAGGGGTTCAGATGTTCTTCATAGATAAGGAGTGAATCTCTGGGTTGGCCACTGCTGGATTCTATAACTTGGGACTTCAAACACACATCCTTCTTAGACCCCAGGGTCTTGCAGAGTAAGCTTAAGTTATTGCTGTGAGGTGCATCTGCCATACAGGAGTAAGTGAGGTGGAAGACACTAATCAGCGAATGGGATCCTGGGGGTATTTGAAGAATGAGTAAGATATTCTTAACCTTGGAAGTAGAGTGTGTTTATGACCCAAGTTAAATAACTGATGAGAAAAACTCAGTTTGAAGTTAGATACGGGAAGACAATCTGACATCTTCTTTATAAAAAGGAAACCTATAGCTAGATTTTTAAATTGTAACATGAGTGGAAATTATTCTACTCAAACTGTGGATAGCAATAGGTAAAATAGGCAAAAGGAGGCTCCTGTCTCATAAAGTGGATGAGAAAAAAAAAAAACAAGGCTGAATTATGGGCTAAAGCAAGAGACAATATAAAAGAAAAATAGACCTTTTGTGATTGCGGTAAAGGGATAGTGAGATGGATTAAGCAGGAGTATTCCTTAATTTCTTAATTAATTTATTCGTTCAAGACATTAATTGAACAAATGCCACGTGAAGATTCTTTGTCAAACAGATCCCGTAGCTGAGGAATCTCTAAGATATGTTTTAAATGCTGCTTAATTAGATTAAACATTTTTTTAATTGCTGCAATTTCTCACATACATAGTTTATCTCATGATAAATCTTCATGTCCTTAAAATATTTTTGTTCAAGTAGTTCTAATTTAAAAAAATGAATGAGATAAGAAGAGAGATAATCTAAACTTGCTGTGCAAAATGATTTTTACATGCATTGTTTATTTTTAACAATAGATTCATTCAGTTAAACCAATATCTATTGAATGATCATGATGTTACATACATTGTGCTAAGCTAAATATTATAGATTTTTTAAAAAGAGTAAATTATTGTGTCTGCCCTTAAAGACCATATAGTGTGAGAGATAGATACAGAGGCAGATTATTTTGATCTACTATAATATGCTAAATATAATGATAGAGATCTGCACAGGATGCAGTGAGATCAAGGCACATGGTGAGATGTGTCAAAACAGTATTATTATCCTGTTTTATAGGTGGTAAAAATGAAGTTCAATATGCAAGTGACTTAGAGTCACACAAATAATAAATGACTACATTGCAAAGATAGTACAGAAGCCTCAGCTCTTGAAAAAAAATTAGGTGCTCTTTATTGGAATAGAAACGTGGTCTTTCTTGGAAAGATTGTTAGTGAAATTGACATGGACTAGAGGAAGTAACAGGAAAACAAGGAAGCTCCAGTAGAAATTTTGTTGCCATAGCCCTTTGAGTATAGCTTCTTTCTATTTCCTTAGTATTATTTTTATTTCTGCATACAGAAGCTATGGTGGAGGAAAAGAAGGGGGCATTCTTAGAATCCGTATTTCTAAATGCTATGGATACTTTCTCACCTGACTCATTTCTTTACCATGACTTACATTAAACTGGGACATAGAAAACAAATGCAGAGAACATCTTTATGTTTCACTCGTACTTTAAATGGTTCAAAGTCTAGCCTTTAGATCTAATGCATCTGAAATTTATTCATTTTATTCATATATGTCATTTCCTAAAATATCATGTATATGTAGTAATAAATTAAATATACATTCTATACATGTAATTCGAAATTTAACACATCAAATATCAGAACGCTGCAGAATATATATTTAGTTGTTTCGTAAGGTATCACAATCTAGATCCTCTTTTATATTTCAGAGATACATAAATATTAATCAGATATAATTCTTTCCAGTAAACATAGGTAAAATTTGAGTTTTAGATATTGTACACTTGTTTTCTCTTTGCAAAATATTACTAATTGTGAGTCCATGCATAATTACTAGTTAGTATTTGTCCTTATATTTGCAAAATGCTTTATGAGAAATTTTCATAACCATACATCTCAAATCTATATTCATATAGCAAATGTACATGGTTACATTTATTAGATTCAATGTTCTCATTTGTACTAGCCTCTAAGATAAAACAAAGTGACATAATTATCAAAAATAAGTAAATTACTAATCTATATAATGTTGAATTCCTCAATATCAAAATGTGACTTTTATTTTTTAAGAAATATTAGAAAATAATATAAAATAATATGTAAGTCTGAAGTATCTTATTTCTTGAAGAAACATTAAGGTAAAATTGGACAGGTTGATGAAAAATTAATGGTCATTAACATAGGCGACAAGCCTGCATCAGGATTCAAAGAGCTCAAAAACAAATTTTAAGAGGAGATTTATAAACTACCTGAACCTTACCTTTTCCACAACCAGTGAAAGGCCAGGCACAATTGACATCCAAATAGCTGATATTGGTAGAAAAATGTGAGGTCTAGAGCTTAATGAGTCTATATAGTTTAACAGAAAAACTAGGAATGCCTGAGATTGGTGACATGCACAATCATTCACGGTAGAGTGCTGAGACACATTCGAAGCTGTCAATGTGTCTAAGGAAAAAATTCAGAAATACGAATAAAAGGTCAAAGGATCAGGATTTGATTATTAACTAAGAATCATTATTGGTCCCCTTTTCTAATCGAATTCAACATTTTAGTCCATTAACAAAGCGTGACTTAAAATGACTGTGGAGATCATTTGCAAACTAATATGGATTGTTAAACCATGTAACGAGTTTATTTGTTCAAGACTATTCTAGGAATGACGGATAATCAAAATGAGTGTGTGCTTGTGTGTGGGTAGGACAATGACTCTAAAATGCTGTGAAGAAAGATTTCATGTTTTGAATAATATTCATCTATTAAGATAACCTGCATCTATCACTTAATACATTTTAAAGCTTGATTACATGTTTGTTTTTATACCGAACAGATATCTTAGCAAAGAATAGGTGTGAAGCAAAGACTGTTGTTCTTTCAATAAAGCTTTAGAAAGCACTGAAATTAGCACATGCATACCAATTTGTAATGACAAGAAGTATTGGCGATGTATTGGTACATTATCTCTGTCCTCAGGGAAATTACAGTCATATAAGGAGATAATATTCATATATTTATAGTGAATAGATAGTATGAAATGATATGTTAAGGTGAAAATTGTATAGGCTGTACAATTCAGAGATGACCCATGAATTGGTTCAAGTCATTCAAGGAAGACTTTGTAGAGGAGATAGTGTATGAGCAGAGAAGTTTAGGTGATACACAAATTGTCTGGCAGATTACAATGAAACCTAATTCAGAGAATTATTGCAGGTATGCTTTGGGATAAAATATTCATAGCACCTAGTTTTCAACAATGCACCATTTTTCTTCTCACTTTTTTTTCAAAGGGTAGCTGGTGATAGCAAAGAAAGTTAATTATATTCATGGAGATTAACACAAAAAATAATGGTTAAATGTGAGTTTGTTCAGATCAGTTCATTGTATACCTAAATTACACAGATTAATTAAAAACCATTTAAAAGTCATTTTGCTTACGAGAAGGGTGAATAAATACATGAAGTCTTCAATTAAATCTGAAATTAACAAAGATTTACTGATCGAATGAAACCCTCTTCCCTAGGACCAAGCTGAACAGCAAGAGGACAGAGATATAAGACTAAGTCAAGACGTTTAGTTTAGTGGATGAGATAGTAAAGTAATAAAACAATCAGCTCCTGCTGAAGTTATGGACGGGTCCTCTGTGAAGATCTCGGAAGGAATCTAAATTTGACTTAGAGATGAGGAGAATGTGCAAAGCTTCGTTGAGAAGAGGGTATGTAAAATACGCTATAAAGCGTGAGTAGCACTTTTAGTTCACTGAAGAATTGTTAAAAAAAAAAAAAAAAAAAAAAAAAAAAAACGGAGGGGAGCCGGGCTCGGTGGCTCACGCCTGTGAGCCAGCACTTTGGGAGGCCACCGAGGCTGGCGGATCACGAGGTCAGGAGATGGAGACCATCCTGGCTAACACGGTGAAACCCCGTGTCTACTAAAAATATAAAAAATTAGCCGGGCGTGGTGGCGGGCGCCTGTAGTCCCAGCTACTCGGGAGGCTGAGGCAGGACAATGGCGTGAACGCGGGAGGCGGAGCTTGCAGTGAGCCGAGATCCTGCCACTGCACTCCTGCCTGGGCGACAGAGAGAGACTCCGTCTCAAAAAAAAAGAAAAAAAAAAGGGAGAGGAGGGGAGGTATTCCACATAAACAGGCAAATGTGAAGAAAGACATGCAGAATTGGAAAAGAATACAGTTGTTAAATAGCAAGGATGAGTGTGTGTGTGTTTGTGTGTGTGTGTGTGTGTGTAAGTGGAACTCAGATTTTAGAGGGGATTATATAACATGGACATTAACAATACTGCTACATCATTAATATTTGTTAAAATCTTTTCAAGATACATTTTAATGGTATTCTTTCAAATGCATTTTAATGGTATTCTTTCGAATGTATGTTTCTTTTAGCTACATCCAGAAATCTATTCTAATTCATTTCTTATTTGTATTTGTGTTTGTGTGTGTCTATTTGTGTCCTTGACACACATTACAAAAACATTTGTGTAAATTTATTGTAATAAATTTATTGTAAGGCAAAATTAATTATATAAATGAAAACATGAAATACAAACTTAGTAGTCTTTAAAAATGTCTGTTTTATAACATATTTATCTGACTCAATTTTATGCATATTAAATTTTTCATGTTTTTATTTAGATATGTTATTATAATATCTTCATTAATGTCACTGAGCTCTAAATATAGATTATGATGCTTTTACCACTGAAGAAAAATATTTTGAAATAGTTACCATTTACATAAGATCAAAAGTAATATTATCATATCTAATGTAACCTTAAAATTTCTTATATTGCTATTTCACCCATACTTAGTTTTATTTTCCTTGTGTGTTATCTATTCCTCTATCTGCTGAGGCTCTTTGTTGCAAGACTTCATCAAAGATATTGTTTACCCTGCTAAATACCAAATGGTGATAAAGATACTTGGTTTCCCTGGGAATAACAGTTAGTGCAGTTTCAGTTTGGGATTTATTCATTTTATCATTAAACTAAATTCACTTACCTAACTGGAAACAAATCCAAAGCAAAGACTCCCTTAATTCTTTCTTCTGAAGCATCTGATAACTGGTATTATCATAACTCAGGAGCGTAATAGAACCTCCACAATTACAGACGTCTCTGTTTTACTGGAGAACCGGCAAGCATTTTAAAAACATATCTATTAAGAGCTACTGTGTCAGGTACAATGAAGTCTATAAACAAGTATAAGCCTGCTCCCTATCACCAAGACTTTACAAACTCTGAAGAGGTAACAAATAAAATAAACTAACAAATAACAGAAAAATAATAAACACAACATTGTACAGTACAGACTACAAAAGGCAGCAAAACATGAGAGAAGGAGTTTTTAAAGACTCAGATATGGAGAAAACATCTTAAAACATCAATGGACCCTCAAGAGATAATTTAAATGACAAACAGGATTTGATTGGCACAAAAGAATGTGGAAGCCAACATTGTTTCATGAGGATCTAAGAGCAGTGACAAGGAGGTAGGGAGAGCCGGGTACATGAAGGAACAGCTAGTTCCTAGGAGTGAAGGGTGAACTAGAACAGTAGGCTTCCTGTTGTAAATAATGTTGAAAACAACACTAAGCAATCAATTTATAATTCATGGCAGTGAAGAAACTTTTACATTCATGAGCAACAAGGTGGTTTTGAAAAAACATATGTGCAAATATACGTTTATGATGGCAGCAGGGGCCCATCTGGAGTGGCCACTGTGAGGAAGCCGGCTGCACCAGGGCAGGCGTGGCTGAGGCTGTGGGGAGCTACCAGGGGCCAGGAGCAGGCTGGAGCCCAGTCCCCTACCAAGTTGGCGGGAGCGGGAGTCCAGTGCTCCTCAGCGCAGCTACTGTCGCCAGTCGGGGCTCTGGACCAGGCATCCTTGCGTTCTCAGGGTCCAGGAAGTCCCACTTCCCCCACAGGCTCAGAAGTGCCTGCTCCCGCTCCCTGGCTTCTCGCAGCTCCTGGAACCCTCTCTGATTTCGGAACAAAGTTGAAGCCAAGCCCAGGCGCTGTAGCCCGGACTTTGGCACCTGATACCTGTTTCCTACGTCACTTATTTTAGTAGCTCTGCATATATGGAGATGCATGTTTTAAACATATAATGCAGAAAATTTATTATTCTTTACTTAAACATTTTAGTCCTATTATTTTGCATTTCTATTTCCTAAGTATTTTGTTCCTTTACTTATATTATAAAGATATTATTTTGTTTTCTTCTAACACATTTAAAGATTCACTATGTTCATTTATGTCATTAGCACAGCTAAAATTTATTTTTATGTCATGTGAGATAATCAGATTTTATCTTTTCCATACGAACATCAATTGCCTCAAAATTATTTATTTAAAAAAATAGATTCTATCATTCTCATTTTTTTCATGATAGCAATTGCTAAGTATCCCAACTCTCTCTAAGCATGGGGCCATTTCTCAATCTTATTCAACTAGTATTTGTAAATTTGTCTTTTCCTTTTAAACAATGTATATTTCTTAAGTCTGGACATCTGGAAGGAAATGTGTTATCTTTGAAATTTCTTTAATAGTCTTATTTTTCTTCCTTTATCTACTTCTTTATTTTGCCGTATACATTGTTAAAAATCAGATTGCCAACATTTTTAAAACTATAATATTTTCACTACTATTGCATTGCATTTCTCATTTATTTGGATAGGAATAACATACTTTTATGCACAAGAAAAACATTCATTCTGTGCCTTTTATACCTTTCAATACATGTAACAGATACTACAAATTTTTGTTATATTTAATTTTTTCTTATATAAATTATTTGTATTATTCTAATAGGCTATTATTAAATTGTAGGTGTGTTATTGATTGTATTTGTGTTGGAGCGTGGGAAATATGTGCTTGTATCTAAAAGGAGAGCTCAGAGAGAGATAGAACTTGTTTTTCCCATCAACTAAAACCTTTTATTGGCATAACATTTAATCATTATGTCTCCTTCGTGTGCTCTCCTTCCAGCTTTCTCAGTCTTGTCTTATTTTTCATGATTTCAACAGTTTGAAAATTACTGGTCTGGTATTTTGTAGACTATCCCTCACTTTAGGTTTATACAATTCTTTTTCATGATTAGATGGGGGTTAGAGCTCTTGGTAAGACTATCACAGAAAGTAAAGTGCCTTTTCACAGCATGATAACAGGGGTAACATAATATCTACATGACATCATGGTGACACTAACCTTGATCACTTGGGCAATAGGATTTTTGCCAAGCTCCTCTCCAATGTAAAATTATTATTTTCCTTTGGAAGCAAGTCAGTGTGCCTAGCCCATACTCAAGAAAAGTGGGTGTTGTGGTTGGTCCGTGTCCCCACCCAGAGATTTCATCTTGAGTTGTGGCTCCCATGATTCCCACGTGCTGTGGGAAGGACCTGGTGGGAGGTGGTTGAATCATTGGTGCGGGTCTTTCCTGTGATGTTCTGGTGACAGTGAATAAGTCTTGTGAGATCTGATGGTTTTATAAAGGGGAGGTCCCCTGCACACGCTCTCTTTCCTGTTGCCATGTAAGATGTGCCATTCTCCTCTTTCACCTTCCACCATGATTGTGAGTCCTCCCCAGCCATGTGGAACTGTGAGTCCATTAAACCTCTTATTCTTTATAAATTACCCAGTCTCAGGTATGTCTTTATTAGCAGCATGAGAACTAAGACAGTGGGATTAAGCTCACCTCTTTGAGGGGAGATTATTTATGTATATTAATTGGAATTCTTCTGTAAGAATGATTTATTTCTTCTCTTCCATTTATTTAATCATTCAGTTATATCACTATGGACTCATAGCTGTATATTTTATCATAAGATTTTAATTTTTTTGTGTGTTATATTTTAAAGAACCTTATTAATATTACCATGAACTCATTAAAATAATTGGAAAACAATTATTTCACTGTGTGCTGAAATAGAAAAATAGAATTGAAAATACCCATTATACTCATTCCTGAAGGGTTTGAAAATATTCATCTATGCAGCTATCTGGAGGGATGGGTAGTAGTGCTTTCTCAGTTTGTCGTTTTCACAGATTCTTCTAAAACTTTAATGCATTTGACTTTTCCAGAATCAAGAAAAACCATATTGCCTTGATACACCCAAGTCATACTGCAAGTCATACTGTGTTGATACACCCAGGTGGGTAAAATTTTCCTTGTGTGTCCAAAAATAAGACATTTAAATTTATAATCAAACTTTTGTGTCTTCTCTTAAATGTGTCTTCATTAATTACCTCCCTTTTATATTCCATTTAGAGTTCTTAAACCATGCATCAAATCATGGGTTTTGTTTCACTAAACACAGAATTTGTCTTTGTGGCACATGCATGAGTTATAATTAAATTCCTTCTTTTCAGTACAGTTTCTTAAGAAGTATAAATGCAGATTGTACTAACTATGGATACACTAATGTATGCTTATCCAGAAAGTGTGACCATAACATTCCTATCTATTGATATTAATGGACAGGCAAACTTGCATTCCCAGTGGCAAGCAGATTATCTCTCTCTCAAGAGTTTTGTGACTTACCATATTTGTGTTGACATGCTTTCTCTAAAATGATATTATATCACAGTGTTTTGCTCTGTTTTAGTATTACCTGCCGGGCAAAATTATTCTTCTTGACAGTAAATTGTCTCTTGAAATGTCAGTTCCCTGCTTTAAAATTCCTTTCATCTATCATCATACCCCTATCATTCCTTTAATTAGATTTTTCTTAAGTTAGAAAAATATTTTAGATTATTTCTCATGGAGGCTTACAAATTAGCCCCTCCTTCTTTTTCCATCCCTTCTTATTAGCTTTCTTGGGTTTCTTTATTCATTATTAGTGCAGTATACATGGATCTGTAGAAGGCATGGCCTTCCTCTGGCATCTCTCACTATTATGCGAGGCTTTTTCCCTCTGTAGTCTTCCTTAAAAAATGTTCAATAGTCAAAAACTTGCATTTATCACCGCAGGAGGAAAAAAAAAAGTACAAATTGTTTTGAATACTTGCATCACTCAGGCAAAGAAAAAAAAAAAGAAGACTCAGTGTCAAAAGAGAGAGGCAAAAAATATGTGTCTGCCACAGCTTAGAGACTTTTCCAGGTAAGACATGATAAAATACATCACAAGGACCGATTGCCAAGGACAGATCATTCTTCCTACTCTAGTGCAGAATTATTTACTACATAGGAACTGTAGGTGATTTTTATTCAGCCATGATTGTTTTGTGCAAATTGAACATGTTGCCAGTTTTTCAACTGGTCTAAGGTATACAGAAAACTTTCCTGTTGGAAGCCTTTCTTGTTCCACCAAAGAGGAGTATAATTATGCAGCTGGAACTAGCTTTAAACATTTTATGCAAGATGAAGAAAAGAAACAAGATAGTCACGTGTAATAGGCTTTTACTTAAAGCTCTGGATGAAGCTATAACCACCATGTACATCGAAGACAGTGTTAAGAGAAAGAAAAACCCATGAATCCCTCAATCTATATCTTCTTACTGATTGTACGGACTGTTTTAAACCTGTCTGTACAATCAGTAAGAGGCAAAAATCACATCTACAAGTGTGAATTGGATAAAAGTCTACTTTATCTTGACTTTATCTTGTAAATGACTTACATGTGCCAAAGAAACCATGCTGAGAGCAACTCTTCTGTTGATTCTGGAGTGATGATGGTAAATTTATAAAAACATCTGAGTTGCACAATGGAAAACACTACAATATGTAAATAGCGTAGATGTGTGATCTTTGACAAATCACTTCATATCTCTGGTCTATGATCTATAGGATTCATTCAATTCTAAATTTTCAGTGACTCCAAGGCAATGCTATTTGATATGTGATTCCAAGACCAGCAGCATCAATATCATCTGGGAGCTGGTAAGAAATGCAATTTTTATTTTATTATTTATTTATTTATTTATTTATTTTTTTTTTTGAGACAGAGTCTCGCTCTGTCACCAGGCTGGAGTGCAGTGGTGCAATCTCAGCTCACTGCAACCTCAGCCTCTTGGGCTCAAGCAAGTCTCCTGCCTCAGCCTCCTGAGTAGCTAGTACTAGAGGAGCACACCACCACACCAAGCTAATTTTTGTATTTTTAGTAGAAACAGGGTTTCACCATGTTGGCCAGGCTGGCCTCCATCTTCTAACCTCATGATCCGCCCACCTCGGCCTCCCAAAGTGCTGGGATTCCAGGCGTGAGCCACCACGCCCAGCCAAAATGCAAATTCTTAGACCTCACTTCAGACCTATGAAATGAGAATCTCTGTGGGTAGGATCAATTAGTCTCTTTTTACAAGTTCTCCAGGAAATTCTTACAAATATTCAAGTTGAGAAGCACTGCTTTAAGACATTTGTTGTCAGTTGGAAATAAGCAGAAGACACAAATACATAGGCCACAAGGAACAACAAAAGCTATACTGGGGGAGGGGTTTTTCTCTATGTATAGAAGCAAAAGTTAGACAAAGTTTGTAATACATTTCTTGCTGTGGTGCAATACATTTTGAACAAATCTAAACAAAATGGATCACAGTTGTTGTCAACTTCGCAATACTCTTTCTCTTTCTTTTGTGAAAGCAGTTGTGTTACTACAGTGTAGTGTACATTCTGACTCCAGAAGAACCAGCAAGAGTGGAAAACTGTCCTACAAAAATCTTGTCAAACAATTAGTGCTGACATTCTCACAGTGAACTTATCCTTAAGTGGCACTCTGGAGGCTAGTGCTTCTGCCATGAATCTGATGCAGTTTTCTGATCCCCAAATGCATGAAAGACCACTTTTCTTCATGACACTAATATCACACTATGGGCACACTATGCTGCCTGTTCTCCAGCTTCTACATAGGCCCTTGTGAGGAATAGATCCTACTGCTATAACAATACTCACTCTCTCTTTTTGCACAAGGAAAACTTAATTCAACAAGAACTTCCTTTGGCACTTATAATATAAATTTTACTACACCTAAGGCAGTATAAAAAAGCAATAGAGAGGGGAGGGAGTCAACCAGAAAAACAAGCCAGAAGCAAAAGAAAAAAATGATGTCTTCCATAAGGCAAAGGAATTGGACGATTCAGGAAAGAAGGTCTGATGATGAGCAAATACAGTCAGCACACCTGGTACCAAGTGGAAGACCCACAGTCATGCTTCTGAGCACTTTTTATGAATCATTCTTATAGAAACTGTTCACTTAATCAGCAGTTGCAGAGTTTCATTTTAGTAAAAAAAGAAATAATAGAATCTGAAATCCTCAGCGTGGCAGAAGTAATGAAGCATTATTCTCATAGTAAGCCCAAAATAAGTCTTTACTGAATACACGAATGAATGAATGAGTGGATAACAATATGTACAATTAGGTTTTGTCAAATACAAAAGCAACACAGAGAAATAAGACTTTATCTCAATTCTTCAAGGTTAACGGTTTTATTTTCCCAGTGGATTGTTTAAGACAAAGGAGACTTTGAGGAGTAATACAGGTGTGAAAACAGTTTAAATGTTCTCAATGGGAAGATAACACATTGTCACTGTAAAAAACTCTGGCCCTGGTGTCATGCTACTTGTGTTCAAATCTTGACTTTACTACTTACAAGGTGGATGCTATAACCTCAGTCATATGAAATGGAGACTAAAAAATAAGAAAGTCTCCATTCCATCAACTTGTTTTGTAGATTAATATGCTAACGAATGTACAGACGTTGATACACTGGATATAGCTCACTCAATTATAAATCCATTTTTATTTTGTCACTATTTAAGGCTTTATGTTACCATATAACCTTTGAATAACGCATTTGTCTAAGAGAGATGAAAAATACTACCTGCTTCTCTTTTACCTAGTGTTTCAATTGCTGACCAGAGATAAGAGGGAAAAAACTTAAGGGAAGGAGACAACAGGCCAGACCTTGTTGCTCACATGTCAGTAAAGACTAAATATTTAAGGAGTTAAAACTCTGGCAATGCTAAACCTGTGACTTTAAACAGTCATCAAGTTTTTTTTCCCCCAGTAATCAAATTTTCCACATCTACTCAAAAAGAGTAAAAAGGTTATCATGTTTTTACTAAAAGAAGAAGGAATCAAAACAAAGAAGTAACAATCAGAGACATAGAGTGTTCAGAATGAAGAGAAAATGCATATTACAAAGCCACAGCTAAGAGGCACCCAGGATCACGTGAAAGCTAGAGCTTATGAATTGGGCAATCAGTAAGAAAAAACAAACAAACAAACAAACAAAAATGAAGGAAAGTAGTGGGGAGGTAGTAAGGGAGAGGGGAAGTATGGCAGGCGGGGAGGTGGGAAGGAGAGGGAGATAAAAATGAAAAAAAATTGCTTGTCTAAAATTGAAATGGTGTTTTCAAAGTACATAGGAGAAAAGCAAAGCCTTTTTAACAACATTATTGATAAAAACTTGTGCTTAAAGGAAACTTTTTTTTATTTGAAGACGAAATTTTGCTCTGCCAAATTTTTAATTAAGCAGTTAAACAAATACAAATGTTTTTCTGAAGAAAAGTAATCAGGACCCTGATACAGAGAAGTGAAATTGTTTAATAAAAAGGTATGAGGCAAAGCGAGGCAAAAACAATATCCAAAATTGAACAGAGGAGAAAAATTGAACTAATACCAGTAGTTTTTAAAAAGTAATAATTTAATAAGAAATAAATTTGTAATTAGTACAATATGACATGTCTGAATTTAATATAAAATCATGGTTATGATAATGTATAAAAATTACATAATAAGTCTATGGCAATCATTTTTTCATGTGGATTCAGCTATTCTTTATTAATTTTCAGTTATGTGGGTCATTCTGTATTAATTAAAATTCTAAGTAACTTTATAGATGTTTACTTTGATAGAGTCAACCTTGTCTGACAATTACAGGAGAGTCCACTGAGAAGATCAGTGGATAGAATCTACTAGAAACAATTTTCAGGTAATACCACCTTACCACGCTCATTTTCTACTCTTTCCTGCTACATAGTCTGCAACTCCTGGAGGTTTCAACTGTTGACTATAATTAGATTGTTCTTTTCTCTGTACACCTGCAATACCCCATATAGAAATACAGAATATCAAGAATTGGGCTCACTGATGAAGGGAAATATATTGGAAATACTCTCTCAGAGTATTCTTTGATAATTAATGTTAATAAACAAAACAGCACCTAATATTTTCTGAAGCATACTTTATGCCAAGGCCCTCGCTTCCTATGAATTATTATTATTTAATTCTGGCAAACAGCCTATGATTTAGGTATTAGTATGATATCTTTATTATTGATGAAGAAATAGAGTCAAGGATTGATTAAATAAATTACCTGAGGTCACAATGCTGCGGAAGGAAAGCCTGGGTCTCAAAAATGCATACTTGTCATACGTTGATATGCTTATGATATCAAATTGAAGTTCAATGTAAAAGTTGCTGCTTTTAATTATTTCAGTTTTTATTTTACATAGTAGCTTTTATGAAATGGACACTTATACTATTATACAATAATTCTAACGCAGATGTTAGGAATCAATTGTAGATTTTTTTTCTTATGTATGTAATTGGATTGCTCACAGAAAATTTAAAATTAAAAAAGATTATACTCTGTAAATTAAAACACAAAACAAAACATCAGCATGTACATTCATCAACTCAGGTAATTCTGGCAAAAAAAATCAAAGGAAATAAAACATAATTCAGAATACGTCAATGTAGACTTCTTTTTTCTTGATTCTTCATTAAGAACATGATTTTAGCCAACAGAATGAATCTGATCATCTCAAATGATTGTATTTTATGGTCTCTGAAGAGTTCACCCTATTTTACTTGTTCAAGTTAAATGAAAAGCAATACCTTTCAACTGATAAAAATCATTACAAAGTTTCTATTAAAAACACAAAATCTTATGGGTTAAATTGGGATAAAATATTTAAAGAAGCACACAGTTAAATTTAAATTTCAAAAAATGTTTTTTAGTATAAGTTTGTGCCATGCAATATTTGTGGGGGCAGACACAATATTTGTGGGGACAGACTGAAGCATCTTGTATTTTATTTGGCAGCCATAGTATAAGTACCAAAATGAATCAAATAATTCATAAAGTTTTTGAAGATATGTCAAATGTGTATCTTCTCAAGTAATAAAAATGGCATTTGATGAAATTAAAAATCTGAAGGATAGACCTTTTTACTCTAGACACTTTCATATTCCAGTTTAATTAGCTGCTGAAATGCTTCCTGATGAGCTCCTTTATAATGTTTCTTTCTTTTTAAAAATCACTTTGCTCTTTTTTTCCTGTATTATCATATTTAATGTGGTGAGACTGGGACATTTTATTTCATGTTTAGGAAAGGAAGTAGCCTGATAAATAATTAAATCTAGGATGTGGAATTTTTAGAATTGCCTTAAGATGAGGCACTGTTGTACTATCCTGTCTACTGTTCAAAGGGTGTAGATAGAGACATCAGCTTTCCTTACTCAAATCCTATTAAGGTAAGATGAACAAAAGACAAGTCAAAAGTCTCCATCTTGTACCCCACAGGTTATTCTGTTTAGACAGCCTCAAAACGATTCTTTGTAAGATTATTTTGCCCTAAGAGTATGGGGGGAAACATTAACCAAAAAAGACCCTATTGAAAGATTACTATCTGCAAGACAAAGCAAATGATTATGTTTCTTTATACTCCATAAATGAATCATAAAATATCTTAGCTCATTTCTCTGACATGTTAAATTAAGAATAATAGTTACTCAGTGGCTACAATCAAAACATAAAAACACATTTTATATTTGTCTCCATACCCAAAACACCTGGCTTGGGTTCATGCTGATAATAATAGTTAATGTTTATAGGGTTCTTATTTTATGCTAGCTTTTATCGGTGCTAAATCGCATAACAAGAGTTATCTTCTTATACCCACCAACATTATCAAGAAGGTAGTAATATTAGCTCCTTTTAATGATTAGAAAACTTGCCTAAAATCACATAAATAATAAGTGGCAGAACTTCTATAAGATATTTTTCTAGGTGAGAAAAACCCTCTGTAAAGTAGTTAATGGGTAACGTAAATTGTTCCTTAAAACATGGAGCGAGTGGTACATTCTACAGAAGCCTTCTGAACTAAGCTGACAAGCTTCTTTCTAGTCTTTCTATTGGTTAGTTCTAATCCTGATTATTAATAATTAGTTTTTTTAATCACAATCCAAGAATTTTTTTGGAAATGAAATAGATTATAGGCTCTAACCACATCCAACCTGATATTGTGCTGTTTATTCTTAAGGGATTCACATGCAATCACTTTCCAGTGCTTTTCAACCTTGGTTGCCTTTAGAAACTTCTGGGAAGCTTTAAGAAATACTGATGCTTGACTCCTCCACTGGAGTTTATTATTCAGTTGATCTAGAATGTGGACCAGGCATCAGGATTTTTAAAGCTTCCTAATTGCTGAAAAAAAAAAAGTTAACATTGTCTCTAGATGAAGATAGTTTATTGTGTATACTAAACCAGTGATAAGCCTTAATGCAGTTGTTTACAGTAGTCTTTGAAGGTGTCTGAATAACATTCAAATTGACCCGGCAGCTTTTCTAGAGTACGTATGAGCTATTCCTAAAAAGGCATTACTTTTAACAGACATATAACTCAGCTTCTCTTTGGAATACAGAACAAGAAGAGCAGGCTTTATCAGTTCTCAGAGGAGGGTCAAAAGAAGAAAGGGGAAAGTTGCAAAATATATGAAGGTATGAATAAAGTTGCTTAAAATCACAGCAATGATAACAGTAAAATTAAAATGAGAAGATATGCTCTCTCCTCAAGAACTAACATTTCAGCAGGCTGCCTGGCTTCTCAATGTCTGGGGGTATTAGTGCAGTAATCCCAGTCCCCAGCCCCCAGTTTCTAGCTCCAGCTTCTCATAGCAATTGGCATTCTTATGAGAAAAGCAAATAGGCCCATGCATGAAGCCTTTAGCCCCTTGAGGTTGCCAGAAAGGAAATTAATCCACATGCTAGATTAAAAATATAAAGAGGAAAGCAGGGGGTGGTGACTCTCGGTGGCGGCAGGAATAGACACTTGATGATTTAAGAATGTGTAAGTGGCTCTTGGCAACAGGGGTTGACTGTGGGCTTTGAGGCCCTCTGGGCTTATTGGCTGTGGGAGTCCTAATTATAAGCATAACAGATAAACTCATCATGACCACAACAAGCTACTTAATCTGGTCCTGCTAATAACAGCCAATTAAATTTGCATTATGAAATGATTTCTAGAATTGAAGGTAGGTGGACTTTTAATTATAGATTGTTTGGAAACATGAAAGATTTTGAATCAAGGGCTTGAAGCATTATCTTTGGTATGTGGTAATAGTTCTGATCCTTCCAAAATTGTCTCCTGTCCCTATAACAGAAAATCAGTGAGAAGTGGAGTCAAATTGCTGAATAATTTGGATATAGGAAATTAAGGCTATGTGTTTTTATTATTCCTTCCTCTAGACATTCTATTATTTCTAGTTAATTTTAATCAAGATGCTGAATGGCCTTTTATCTCTATTTTTTTTCAGCACTGATTCTAACTACCTAAGATTTGTTTGAATTTGGATTTTAATAAATGCCTTCTTCTTAACCTCTACTGCTAGCATTTGAACTAGTGGATTAGTAATGAAGATGTATAAAGATAAGGGAAAAGGAACATTAGAATTACCTATATTAGGTCTGCAGTGTCTGAAGATGTCTACAGTGCTTTGATTTCACACTAGCTGCCTGTGGAAGTCTAAGATGAATAAGTATTAAACTTATTTCAGATTCTGAGATCACAGAGGAAGGAGCCTCATTTAGCCCCATGTCTCTTACTGCAAACACAATTTCCAGTCAATAGAAGTAAAAGAAACATTGCTTCCAAATGCACATTTTGGAGTTCCTTCACTGGCTTATTTTTGTTTGTTTTATTTGTTTATCTGCTTGTTTGGCTTTTCTCTGTAACCTTCCATCTTTAATGGATACAAGAATAGGAAGGTATGTTTCTCTGGAGATGTTAAACAGAAGAATATGTATCGGTAAAGTAGATTTAGGTGTAAATTGGTGAGCTGGTTCTCAAATTTTAGTCAGGATCATCTGAAGGGTTTGTTATAAACACAGATTCCTGGACCTTATCCCCATTTTCTGATTCAGTAGGTCTGAGATGATAAATTGTTGGGACCCAACAATCTATCTTTCTGACAAGTGCCCACGTGATGCCGCTGCTGCTGGGCCAGGGATCACACTTTGTACTACAGATCTATTAACACTAATGCAAGAGTGACATTGAGGCATATAGTCCAGAAATGCATGAGCAGAGAATTCAGGACCTAAAGTCTCATTTGATTTACTCTAAGAATGTGATTTCATCAGGGACATCAGATTTTGTAACTTTCCCTTGAACCAATCCAACACATGAGAATGTATTCTGTGATGGTAGTCAATTTCTAACTTCTGTCTAAATGTTATTGGCATTGGTGGTATGAATATATGATATCCTTCCACTTTGTTATTATTTATTATTACCACTACTATTATTATGTCTCCATCATTATGCGGTACAACTGAGGTAAAATTATTGTTACTAGGTTCTAGGCAGGTAAACTCAGTATTATGAATCTTTTTTACTAAATTTCTAAATCCCAGCGTTACTGGGTCATGTTAGAGGCATTCCCTAACCTTGAAGATGATAGAAATAGCCTCAGTATCAGGCACAGCAAACTTTTCTAATAGTTCTTAAAACCACATTTCTGGAGAAACCCCAGATTCTTGGCCAAAGTTATTCTGTAACTACACATACAAATGGTCAAAAAGACCAGGACCTGATATGAATACATAACAGAAACGCAGAGACATAAATCCTTACATCCCAGACAGCAATAGAATCATTGAACAAGCTAAAGCTGACACATCAAACAAGCAAACAAATGAAAAACAACAACGAAGGCCTTCATCTGGGCCAGATGGGTACCAGGGTTTCTATACTATGTTTCACTTTAATAAACCAGTTAAATTTGTTTCAGATACCTATGCATGCCTCATACATAGGGACTTCAAATTCCTTACAAGTTTATATCTTACCTTATGTTTAGAAAATTTCTCTCCTCAATCATATTCCTACCTATTCCAGCCCTGTGTTACTGGGAGTCTTTGCATATTGTGGTCCTTCTAGAGATGATAATTACCAATGATGGATCATAGATGTTATGAAATGTTACAGCAGGAAAAGCCTGTGGAGATCAGCAAATTTAATTTGTTATTTTACAGCTAAATGTATTTAGGTAGTGGAAGGTGACAGTCACAGAGCTGGTGAGTGATACAGATCATACAGAAGGGCTGAATTGTGATTCCCTGCATGGTGCATTTTCTCTTAATATACTTCTTAAGGACTTCAGTTGTTCTGAAATATGCTTGTCAAGTCTAGCCTTATTTAAACTCTAGATATTGAAAAAATGATCTATTTTTTGTATACATTATAGTGGGTATTAGAGTTCTGATTCTCAAAAAAACAGAACCAAAATATATAGGTATCTGGCTCTACATCCATCCATCCATCCATCCATCCAATCTATCATCTTTCTATATGGAGAGACTTTTTTTTATAGAATTGGTTAATGGGGTTTTGGTAGCTAACAGGATTGAAACCCATAAGGCAGACAAGCAGTCTGGAAATTCATATTGATAAATGGAGGTGAGAATTGATGTTGCAATCTTGAATCTAAATTCTTCAGCACAAGCTAGCAGCCTGAAAATACTGGCAGTTTCTGTGTTTCAGACTTAAGACAGAATTTCTTCTTTCTCTGGAAACCCATGTTTTTATCCTAAGACCTTCAACTGATTGTATGAGGTATACACACATTGTGGAGGGAAATCTGTTTTATTTAAAGTTAATTGATTGTTGGCTGAGCACGGTGGCTCACAACTGTAATCTCAGTACTTTGGGAGGCCGTGGCACACAGATCACTTAAGGCCACTAGTTTGATACCAGCATGGCCAACACGGTGAAACCACATCTCAACTGAAAACACAAAAATTAGCCCACCGTGGTGGTGCATGCCTGTAGTACCAGCTACTCAGGTGGCTGGGGCACTAGAATCGCTTGAACTTGAGAGGTGGAGGTTGCAGTGAGTCAAAATCATGCCACTGCACTCCTGCCTGGGTGATACAGAGAGACTCTGTCTCAAAAACTACTACTACTAATAATAAATAAAATAATAAAGTCGATTGTAAATGTTAATCACATCCACAAATGGCTTCACGGTAATGTCTAGCTTGATGTTTGACTAAACACAATGCTTCATGCTACTATTCCAACTGTCTCTCCACCCCCTCCACTTCCGATAGAATTCGCAGCCCTAAACTTTGTGGGAATAGCAAATGTGAGGTTAATTTAGAAAGCCTGGAGAATTAGTCCCATCTATTCTTTGGGAGTATATTTTTATGCATTTTTAACCTTTTTAAAAATTTTCTTGAGTAAATTTTCCACCTATATTTTTCCTGTAAAAGAAAGTAAAAAGTTCTTTTCTAACATTTATAAATCATATAGCTGTTGTTTTAAAGATGTGAGTAGATGTAGCCAAAAATAATTTAAAAAAATAACAAATATATTTTACCATATTTTTTCTGGGAAAAATTATATACTAAGAAATGCAAAAAGGTCTGTAAATAATAGTCATAATTTATTCTAAATCTAATAAATCCAATACTAGGTTTTGAACTTTCCTGAATCTTAATGTTTTCATTACCCCAAATTGAGAGTTCAGGTTTTTTTTTTCCCGCTTTTGTTTCTAAAAACTGAATAGATTATTTTACATGAACGGTTAAAATCTCAAACCTGTTTTCACACATGCAGTCCTGTTACCTGAAAATGCCACCACCTTCTTCTTCTGTATGTATGTCTCAAAAATTGTGTTTGTTTGACTAACAAATTTTACTGTGTATGTGTGAGGTTTACAATATGACATTCTGGGATATATAGAGGTACTAAAGTGGTTACTATAGTGAAGCAATTAACATATCTATCATCATGCATAGTTACCTTTTGAGTGATAAAAGCAGCTAAAATCTATTTCTTTAACAAAGATCTTAATACAATATCATTTTATTAAGTACAGTCCTCATCTTGTACATTAGATCTCTAGACTTGTTGATGCTACATATCTGCTTCTTTCTATCCTTTTTCCTATATTTACACATTTCAATACGTATCACTCCGTTTCTGGTAATCACTATTTTATTCTCTAGCTCTGTATATTTGACTTTTTTAAAGATTCTACATATAAGTAAAATTATCTAATAGATTTTTTTCTGTGTCTGGCTTATTTCTGGATCTGGCTTTAAAAACTACATCAAGTGTCATGACCTCAATCTGCGATTCTACCTGCTACTAAATCACTCTCTACTCAGTTTCCCTGACAACATTTTGTTCTCCAAACGGTCTTATCTTATTAGGAATAGCTACCATATGTTAGGCGCCTGCTATGTGTCAGGCACTTGCTTAACATGGTGACATTTAGTCTTCACAAAAGCCCTAAATAATTGATATAAAGTTCCTTATTTTAGAGATTAAAGGGTGAGTGCTAAATTACTTAAAGCAGCCAAAATCTTACAATTTATAATGTGCAAAGACAGAATTTAAACCCCCTACTAGCTATCTGTATTTCTCCACCCACTTAGAGCTCTGCCCAAACTGGTACTATATTTTATTTATTCGTTTATGCCCAGCTGTAAATGCAGCCCATGAAACACGGTAATTATTTAATAACTCGAGTGATTGAATGAATGGTGGTTGAATGATTGAGTAGATAAGTTCCTTTTTTAAAGCCTAAGTCTTTTCACAGCAAATTTGAGGAGAGTCACAAAGTATAAAAACTCAAATTAATACCATTTATTATCCAGTTCTCTTATAGATCCTATAACAAACTTTCCGCCTAGAGGTTAGTGGCTTTTTACCTTAGACACTAGGTTAACAGGCAATTACTTCTTTATTGTGAAGAATGTGAAGGTTATCATAACAAATGATAGAAAAATTCAACTAAAAGAATACATCCTGTGAAATACAACCGTCCGAGGGGAGAAGCTATCCAACACTGCACCTTATTCTTCCGCAAAACATATGAGTAACATACGTCTAATCACGTATAATTAACATTTATAAAGCCCATACAAACTTACCTGAAATTTTTCCAGGTAAAAAGTAGGGTGAATCAGCTAGTGTACATGTTGATCATTTATAATAGAGTGGCATTTTATGTTTGCCTGCTTTGCAACCCTGTACAGACAAATTTCCAGAAGCTTAATGTCATGTCATGTCCAGCTTCTTGAAAAAAGCACTATGATCCTTTCAAAAGGCCTATGATTATGATTCCAATGAATAAATATTATTTCAAACATAAAAATGTGGGGCATAAAATCTGAAGGCTTACATTCTATTAGTTCAGGATGAACATAAAATGATTTAATCCAGGAGCATATATGTTAGTTTATGATACCAAAATTTAAGTAACATGTCCTTCCCTTACCCAGTGTTATTTCTAGGTGGCAACCTGTACAGTGCATTTAAGAAATCTACTACGTTGATATTCTATGGATTATTGAAGGCAGTAAGGGTTTTTCTGAATGTACCTGATAGAAAAGAAATTCTTTTAAAATTTCTAAACTTGAATTTGGGCCTTCTCAGATATTTCCCCAGAAGTTAACGACAATCATTGAAGACTCCTTGTAGATGAGTATAAAATATTTTGTAGGAAATTGAGGATTTTATTGGACAGATTTTTAGAAAGCTAATATCATGACTTTGGTAAAAAAATAAAATAAACAAAAGATTTTATTAACTCACTAATTAATGAGAGAAACAGTAAGATGGTACAGCTGTTTTGGAGGGGGATGTAAAAAACACACAAACAGACAATCAGGAATGATGACAATGAATTTATGACTAGATGTGCAATTAGTCAACATCTATAAGGCAATAATCAACTACAATCCATCAGACAGAACTTATTTGCATTTCTATGGACTGGAATTATTTGCATTATTATGAGATCTCTACAACTCAGAGTTATAAATAACTCAAGGACAATGAGAGATGAAGATCTGCCATAAAAGTAAGCTTGACAGAATAGGGCATTCAGCTGGTTTTTTTGCTCATTTTAAAATCTTTTACAACATGGCCTTATACTTGAACAACAGATTTTGGAAAAGTTGAAACTTGATTAGCAGTTTGTTGGTAGTTGAGTCTTTGTGGGATATGGGATGTCAGACTGTGTTAAGGTCCTAGAGAAGGGAGTGAGGCTACTTTGCATGAATCAAAGGTAGGAGTTTTCTGTGGTTTCTGAACTAGAGTGCGTGAGGTAGGAAGAAGAGGAACAGGTAAGTGGGGAAGTTTGTCAGGCTCAGTACGAACCGTTCACCAACTCATCTGAAGTGTCAGCTTCAATAAAGCAACTAAAATGGCAAAACCTTGGTGTGACTGGATATTTAGTGAAATCTGTTAGAAAGAACAGTTCACCGGTGTGTTGGGTGTTAGTATTGGACAGGGAGAGCATGTGAGAGCTCAGGAATAGAAGAGCAGAGGGACTTGGAGAGTTCTCATGAAGGTTGGGAAGAAGCTTAGTGCTTATTAAGGTCATTGTGGAATCCAAGCAGTGAGGCAATCCTGTTGCTCTCCAAAGGATCAGAGAGGTGTCAGCCCACTTTGGGATTATATATAATATACTGAAGGCAATATCTATCACAAAAGTTATTTTGAGTAATAAAATATGTATGTCACTTACAGTTTTGAAGATTTAACTTGGAAATTAATTTGTGTACTTCATGTAGACAGTTGGTTTTGTGCATATCAGGCCCACAATGAATGTTAATATCCTCCCTGACATACCCAATTTCTGCCTTAATACTATTGCTGTAATTATTTCAGAGACCTTCAAATGCCTTTCTTTCTCCTCTTTCCTTATCTAATAAATTTCAACCAAATCCTGCCAGTCCCATGGAGTTTACTCTGAGTATTCTTGTGGACATTAATCTCCTTTCTCTGAAGATTTATAACACTTAGAACCATACCCTGAAATCTCAATTGTTCTCTTCTCAGTTTGATCATAAGCTCGTAAAAGGCCTAGAACATAATACATATTATATCTATGTTTCTTCTTGAGTACAAAAATTCTTCATTTAAGGGGTGTAAGTTCTTATTAATGAATTCTGAAGAAAATGAGAGGTATGCAAAAACAATTAGAAGTGTTCTTTTATGACCTCTAGGAATTTATATTAAGAATGACACAATCAAATCTTCTCCATAAATCGGAGTGAGGATCAGGTTAGATAACATTCCAAAATCATTTGCTGACAAATGTTGATATATTGGGCATTGCCATATTCATTATCTCAGTTAATTCTGTTTATTTTCCTTGAAGTAAAAATTTTAAGAAGTGAAAATGGATGCAGAAGTTAAAATGATCATTAAATGGCAGTTATTGAGTACCAATGTAAGAAATTGTATTAATCTGTTCTCATGCTGCTAACAAAGATATACCAAAGACTGGGTAATTCATAAAGAAAAGAGGTTTAATGGATTCATGGTTCCACATGGCTGGGGGATGCCTTACAATCATGGTGGAAGGAAAAGGAAGAAAAAGGCACATCTTACATGGCAGCAGGCAAGAGAGCTTATGAGGGGAACTCCCATTTATAAAACCATCAGATCTCATGAGACTTATTCACTACCACAAGAACAATGTAAAGGAAACTGCCTCCATAATTCAATTATCTCCACCTTGCCCCATCCTTGACATGTGGGGATTATTACAATTCAAGGTGAGATTTGGGTAGGGACACAGCCAAACCATATTAGAAGTAGTAATCAACACCTCTGATTTCTGATAATAGGTTGCTTGTATCACATAGCTCCCAGTCATGTTTGGGTTACACTTAAATAATTCAGCAGAGATCTCAGGCCATAGTAGAATGTGTCTAGAATCAGCCCTCCTGGTAAACATCTTTTTATTTTTCTCTTCTCCTCTCATTTTATTCAATATGCTTCTTTCTTTTTTCCCGTAACCACAAGGTAATGTAGATGAAAACAGAGGTGGATTCTAATTATAAACTATATATTCAACCATAAACAAATCAATTAACTTATGATACTCCTATATGAATAGTCTAAGTATCCTTAGTTGGAATATTACTTTAGTGATAAAACATTAATCACTGAAGTTGATTAATAATCAATAGATACTATAGAAAGCTAGTGTATTTTTTTCATTTTCCCAATTTCACTTTTTTTTCTGCTGCTGTTTATATCTTGGATCTTCCAATGCCACTGAAATGAGCTACTTAACTCTCTGCTGACACTCAGGTCTTAAATAGTTTAGATGGCGATCTAAATTAGTCTTTGGATTGTCTCAATCCCTAGAAAGTGTGGAATATCTTCTCCAGTTGTTTCCTTTCACAAGATGTATTATTTTAGTTGACTTTTCCCATCAATTCTTATGATAACCTTCTCATTCTTCAAATAAGGAGATAAAAGAACTGTATCAACCATTCAAAAACAAAGACAAACCCTTATACCTTCTGCGTAATGTATTAAAGAGAAATAACTTTACACAGAGAGCTATAGCCAAGTCCCCCGAAACCAGACAGGCTACCCAAGAATAGCTAAAAGAGCACACTCACCTGTGTGGCAAAATAGTGAGAAGATTCATGAGTAGCGGTGACAAGGCTACCGAGAGCCTGGTGATAGCTGGTTGTCCAAGATGGAATCTTAATTCAAATTTAAACTTACCCACAGAATTACTAAATCTTCCTGTAAGTTTAACTGTTAGTCTAAAGAGGGACAACTCTTTAGACCCTAGGAAACAACCTTCCTACGGAGAGTAAAAAATGTTACCACCATAGTTGGCCCCAAAACAGCCACCAATTAATAAAGCATTTAAGCTCAACATCTAACTGTCTTAGACTCTAATCACTCTACTGAACTCCTAACATCACATTGGACTAATCTATTATTTAATAGAAGCAATAATGTTAATATAAGTAACATGAAGCTGTTCTCCATTGCATAAGCTTACATCAGACTGGAATAACACGCTGACAGTTAACAGCCTAATATTAAACGATATAATAAGCACCCTATTATTTACAATGTTAACCAAACACAGGTATGCCCTAAGGAAAGATTACAAAAAGTAAAAATCTTACCTTGCCTGTTTACCAAATCTCATCCTGCCTGTTTACCAAAAACATCACCTCTAGCATTACCAGTATTAGAGGCACTGCCTGCCCAGTGACATATGTTCAACGGTGGTGGTATCCTGACCGTGCAAGGTAGCATAATCACTTGTTCCCTAAATAGGGACTTGTATGAATAGCCACACAAGGGTTGAGCTGTCTCTTACTTTTAATCAGTGAAATTGACCTATCCATGAAGAGGCGGATATAAACAAATAAGATGAGAAGATCCTATGGAGCTTTAATTCATTAATGCAAATAAAAACTCATACAAGCCTACACGCCCTAGCCTCCTAGCCCTGCATTAAAAATTTTGGTTGGGGTGAACTTGGAGCATAATTCAACCTCCGAACAACCTAAACTAAGACCTCACTAGTCTAAGCGAGTTAATACACGTTGACTCAATAATTTGATCAATAGAATAAGTTACCCTAGGGATAACAACACAATCCTATTCTAGGTCCATATCGACAATAAGGTTTACAACCTCAATGTTGGATCAGGACGTCCTAATGGTGTAGCCGCTAATAAGGGTTCGTTTGTTCAATGATCAAAGTCCTACATGATCTGAGTTCAGACCGGAGTAATCCAGGTCAGTTTCTATCTATTTAATGTTTCTCCTAGTAAGAAAGGACAAGAGAAATAGGGCCCACTTCATAAAGTGCCCTCACTCCATAGATGATGCTATCTCAATCTAACAAATTATCACATACCTTATTCAATAACAGGGTTTGTTAAGATGACAGAGCCTGGCAATTGCGTAAAACTTAAAACTTTATAATCAGAGGTTCAACTTCTGCTCTTAACAATATGCCCATACTTATTGTAAAAATACCTCTATACAGACTTCTCCTATGACTCCCCAAAGCCTACGTAGAAGCCCTTATTGCCAGCTCAATAGTACTTGCAGCAGTACTCCTAAAGCTAGGTGGCTATGATATAATATGGCTTACTCTTATCGTCAACCCCCTAACAGAACATATAGCCTACCCTTTCCTCCTATTGTCCCTATGAGGAATAGTTGACAAGCTCTATTTTTCTACAACAAACCCATCTAAAATCACTTACTGCCTACTCCTCCATAAGCCACATAGCACTTGTGACTACAGCTAACCTTATTCAGACCCCTTGAAGCTTTACAGATGCAGACACCCTTATAATTGCTCATGGACTCACTTCATCCTTACTATTCTGCATAGAAAATTCAAACTACGAGTGAGTCCATAGCTGAACCATGTTACTTACCTGAGGCCTTCAAACACTGCTTCCGCTAATAGCTTCTTGATGACTTCCAGCAAATCTCACTAACCTTGCCTTACTCCCTACCATTAATCTAGTAGAACTCTTTGTGATTATGGCCTCATTCTTCTGATCAAATATTACCATTATGCTTACAGGACTTAGTATACTGATTACAGCCCTTGACTCCCTGTATATGCTAATCATGACACAACAAGGGACACTTGCATATTACATTTACAGTATTAAACCTTCCTTTACACAAGAAAATACATTAATATTTATACATCTTGCACCTATCTTCCTATTATCTGCAAACCCTGAAATTATTATGAGGTTTGCATGCTGTAGCTATAGTTTAACAAAATATTAGATTTTGGATCTAATAATAGAAGCCTGCAACTTCTTATATGCCAAGAAAGTATGTAAGAACTGCTAACTCATGCCCCCATGCCTAACAACATGGTTCTCTCAACTTTTAAAGGATTAGAGTTATCCATTGGTCTTAGGAACCAAAAACATTGGTGCTCCAAATAAAATGTTCATACCCAAATTATGTAAAAACATCTATCACATGCACCTTCATCATTAGCCTCATCCCTACAACCATGTTTATATGCACAGACCAAGAAGTCATTATCTCAAACTGACATTGAGTAACAACACAAACTCTCAAACTCTCACTAAGCTTCAAACCAGACTACTTCTCCACAATATTTATCCCAGTAGCACTATTTGTTACCTGATCTATTGTAGAATTCTTAATATGGTATATACATTCAGACCCCGACATTATCCAATTTTTCAAATACTTATTTATTTTCCCCATCACAATATTAGTTCTGGTTACTGCCAACAACCCCTTTTAACTCTTTATCTGATGAGAAGGCATAGGAATCATGTCTTTCTTACTAATAATCTGATGGTACCGCCAAGCAGTTGCTAATACAGCAGCCCTCCAACAGTTCTGTACAACTGCATCAGTGATACTGGCTTTATTTTAGCTATTGCATGATTCTTCCTGTCCTCTAATACATGAGGATTTCAACAAATATTTATTCTAGACCCTACTCCCAACTCCCTTCCATTAATTAGCCTTCTATTAGCAGTAGTGGGAAAGTCAGCTCAATTCGGCCTCCATCCCTGACTTCCATGCGCCATAGAAGGTCAAACCCCAACCTCAGCCCTACTCCACTCCAGCACTATAGTTGTAGCAGGAGTATTCCTGCTCATCCGCTTCCACCCTTTAATAGAAAATAACCTATCAATGCAAACCTTTACATTGTGTCTGGGAGCTATACTACTTTATTCACAGCGATCTGTGCTCTAACACAAAATGATCTCAAAAAAATTGTAGCATTCTCCGCCTCAAGCCAGCTGGGCCTTATAATAGTCACAATTGGCATTAATCAGCCACACCTAGCATTCCTTCACATCTGTATTCATGCCTTTTTTAAAGCTATGTTATTTATATGTTCAGAGTCCATCATCCATAGCCTCAATGATGAACAACATCTGAAAAATAGGAGGGCTATTCAAGATTTTAACCCTCACTTCCTCCTTCCGTATTATTGGCAGCCTTGCACTTACAGGTATGCCTTTCCTTACAGGCTTGTACTCTAAACATCTTATCGAAACTGCAAACACGTCATACACTAATGCCTGAGCCCTTTCTATTACTCCTATCGCCACCTCCTTGACAGCTGTCTACATTACTATATTATCTTCTTGGCTCTAATAAGACAACCTCGCTTCATGACTCTGATTATTGTTAACAAAAATAATCCTCTCCTAATTAACTCAATTAAGGGCCTAACAATTGGCAGCATCTTCGCCGGATTCCTTATCACCAACAGTATTATTCCTGTTTTATCACCCCAAATAACAATACCACTCCACCTGAAGCTCACAGCCCTAGGTGTGACCTCCTTAGGCTTCTTGCCAGCAATAGAAATTGATCTCATAACTAATAACCTTAAACTAAAATATCCATTACAGACATTCAACTTCTCCAATATACTAGGATTTTATTCAACCACAATTCACCGTACAACCTTCCACTCAAGCCTATTCACAAGCCAAAACCTGGCCTCACTTCTAACAGAGCTAATTTGACTAGAAAAGTCTATACCAAAGACCGTTTCACAAACCCAAATTTCACCCTCTATTACTGTATCTACTCAGAAAGGTCTAATTATACTCTAATTTCTTTCTTTTTTTATCCCATGTCTTCTAACCCTACTCTTAATTATCTAATCTATTACCCCGAGTAATTTCAATCACAACATAAATACTAACAAATAATGATCAACCAGCAACTACCACTAATCAACACCCATAACTATACAGGGCAGCCACACCCACAGAATCCTCACGCAACAACCCAGCCCTCTCACCTTCAAAAATCGTCCAACCCTCTATGCTATTAAAATCAATCGTGGCCAGGCGCAGTGGCTCACGCCTGTAATCCCAGCACTTTGGGAGGCTGAGGCGGGCGGATCACGAGGTCAGGAGATTAAGACCATCCTGGCCAACATGGTGAAACCCCGTCTCTACTAAAAAATGCAAAAAATTAGCCAGGCGTGGTGGTGGGCACCTGTCATCCCAGCTACTTGGGAGGCTGAGGTAGGAGAATGGCATGAACCTGGGAACCGGAGCTTGCAGTGAACTGAGATCGTGCCACTGCACTCCAGCCTGGGCGACAGAGCGAGACTCTGTCTCAAAAAAAAAAAAAAAAATCAATCGTGACCACTATCCCATCATGCTCCACTATTCACCGAACCAGCACCAACTCTATTAATAATCCTAATAATAAAGCCCCTCAGATGTCAATACTTGACCCTCAAGTTTCAGGCTATTTCTCAATAACCATCGCCGCAGTATAACCAAAAACAACCACTGCCCAAATAAATCAAAAGGCTACTAACCCCACAAAAGCCCTACCAAAATTCAACACAATGCCACAACCCACAGAACCACTAATAATTAGCCCTGGACCCCCATAAATAGGAGAAAGTTTTGAAAACAAACCTACAAACGCTATACCCAAAAGAACACTTAATAAAAATATAACATATGCCATTATTCCCACATGGACTATAACCATGACTAATGACACGAAAAATCATCATTGTATTTCAACTATAAGAACCATAATGGCCAATACTCGCAAAACACACCCCCTAATAAAAATTATTAATTACTCGTTCATTGATCTTCCCACACCATCGAATATTTCTATATGATGAAACTTCAGCTCACTTCTTGGTGCCTGCCTAATCCTCCAGATCATTACAGGATTATTTTTGGCCACACACTACACATCAGACACCTCCACTGCCTTCTCTTCAGTCACTCATATCAGCCAAGATGTAAACTACAGCTGAATGGTTCGCTATTTTCATGCTAATGGCACTTCAATATTTTTCATCTGCCTCTTCTTACATGTTGGCCGAGGTTTATACTATGAATGATTTACATTTTCCAGAAACCTGAAATATTGGCATTATCTACCTGCTCACAACTATAGCAAAAGCATTCACAGGATACATGCTCCCATGAGGCCAGATATCATTCTGAGGCGCTACAATAATTACAAATCTACTATCAGCCATCCCATATATTGGAACTGACCTTGTCCAGTGAATCTGAGGTGGATTCTCAGTTGACAAAGCCACCCTTAAAGGACTTTTTGCCTTCCATTTCATCTTATCCTTCATAATTACAGCTCTAGCATCTGTTCACCCTTTATTCTTACAGGAAACAGGATCTAACAACCCTTCAGGGGTTTCATCAGATGCTGACAAAATTACCTTCCACCCCAAGTTATATGTTAACTTGATGTCTAAGTTAAAAAGCTGCTGACTTCTAGACAGAGCCTTAATAAATATATAGGGAGGCTGAAAATTAATATTCTATCACTTTGATGTTTAATAGTTTGTAAACATTTAGATATTTATTTGAAAGGGCAGAAAGATTCAAAACACTGAACAAAGGTCATTAAAATACAAATATTTGCATTTTCTTTTCAAAGCAGAAACTGTTTTACTAATACAGAAGCATCTTGACTGTAATGAGTAGTTGTTTTGATTTATCAATCAAACCATATAATCGGTTACACTACAATTCAAAACAAATTAGGGTGAAAGACATATATGGTTTGAAGGAAGTGAAATCTTAATTTTTATTTCGGGCCCTGCCAACTATAAGCTGTATGATTTTGAGAAAGTTAACTTAGGCTTTTTGGGACTTAGTTTTTTTTTTTTTATCTGTAAAATTTAAGTAACACAGTTCAATATTTGATTTTCAGCTCTAAATTCCCAGGATGCAAGAGGGAAGGTTTTCTATGCCCTCAGCTGTGACTAGTTTGACGTATAAATAAATAGCCAGGGCTTTGAAGTATCAGTCTCAGTTATTTCGCCCTTTCTAGGGGTGAGTGCTCCTTTTTCTTCAAATGTCTCTTGGGGCTCCCCATTTATCTTCTCTCCACATTGTATGCTTGTCACATTTTTTTTTTCTTTTTATTCTAATTACCATTTTTCCCCTCAGAGTACTATCTTAGCTCACCTATGCATAACTGTTTGAGCTGACACTTTCCTGTTATTATCTAAAGTAGATTTAAAGAGAAAAGTTATAGGCCGGGCGCGGTGGCTCACACCTGTAATTCCAGCACTTTGGGAGACCGAGACGGGTGGACCACAAGGTCAGGAGTTCGAGACCAGCCTCACCAACATGTTGAAACCCCCATCTCTATTAAAACTACAAAAATTAGCTGGGTGTGGTGGTGCATTCCTGTAATCCCAGCTACTCAGGAGGCTGAGGCAGGAGAATTGCTTGAACCTGGGAGGTGGAGGTCGCAGTGAGCCAACATTGTGCCATTGCACTCCAGCCTGGGCAACAGAGCGAGATGCCATCTCAAAAAAAAAAAAAGAAAGAAAGAAAGAAAGAAAAGAAAAGTTATATTCTTGCTCTCTATAAGTGTACTGGTCTATGTCTGTGTTTGACTATAAAAAATAATCTTCTGCTTTATATTATTGACACCTAGCTATACATATGTACTCAAAAATCTTTGAACTCTTAAGGCAGTGGCAGAGTAAATTCATTTTCTTTGATGCATAACAAATTAACAAAGATTTGGTAGCATAAAACAACACATACTTATTTTCTCAGTCTCAGTGGGTCAGAAATCAAGGCATAGCTTAGCAAGATCCCCTGCACTGCTGCAATCAAGGTGTCTGCCAAGACTGGATTCTCATCTGAGGCTTTCCTAGGTCACATGGGAACACTCTGCTTCCAAGTTCATTCATGTGGTTGTTGGCAGAATTCTGTTCCTTGCAGGTGTGTGGACTGAGAGCTTCGGTTTTTTACTAGTTTCGGGCCAGAAGCCACCCTCAGCCCCTTGCCATGTGGCTTTATTAATAGGGCAGCTCCCAACATGGCAGCTTTCTTCTTTAAAATCAGCAAAAAAGAGAGCTTCCTAGTATGATGACAGGTGTTACAATCTTTATGTAACATAATCACTTTTATCTTATCATAAATATCCACTCACATTTGCCATATCTATTGATAAGAAGCAAGTCACACATTCTGTCTACACTCAAGGGGAGAAGATGACACAAGAATGCTAGGAGGCTAGGATTTGACCATCACAATGAGTAAAGGGGGGACTTCTGAACAATGAGAAATTATTCACAATATTTATCTTTTTTATTGATCCATGAAGGCCAGGTTTTTGATAATCTTGTAAACTATATGAAATAGTATGACCAGTATTAAAGAGAGAATGTCACATCATTGAAGATCTTAGTAGTAAGGTAACATAGTCATGCATTTTAGGAAGATCATTGATTACTCTCTGGAAACAGAAATTTAAGTGGAACAAGAATGGCAATAAAAAAAATCAATTAGGCTGCCCATCAATCCATGTGAAAGGCAATGTCACATCAGATTAGGAAGTGGTTATATAACTGACAAGCAATGGATAAATTTGAAATGCTGTTCTGAAAATATAATTGACGGGGCTTAGTGAAGAAAAGAGAATTTTGAAAATGACCTCTCTGGTGTGGATGTTGATGATACTTGTTTGCTGAGACTGAAATCACTGAAAGAGAAGCAGACTGCGTGAAAAGTAGGTTACTTCAGATTGGGGTAAGACTTTAACCTATAGAAAATAACTGAAGGCTTATAACCCTAAAATAAGAAATGGTTGAGCATGTTCTCAGAGCAACACTAGCATTTAGATAAGATAAAGAAACCAAGTCAGAAGAGGGACTGTCAGTTAGGGATGCGGTAGCAAATAACTTAGGTGGTTTATAAACAATAGAATTTTATTTCTCATTAACAGATACATATGTACTCATAGGATTTTATTTTGAACTCTTAAGCAAGTGGTACAGTGTATTTGTTTTATTGATGCATAACAAATTACCAAATATTTGGTAACATAAAACAAGTTCTGGAGGCTGGAAATGTGCCATCAGGGCACCAGCATGGTCGAGTTATGGTGAGGACCCTTTTCCAAGTGCAGACTTTTCCCCTCTCATTCTAGGGTCTTTTATACTGCACTAACCCCATTCCTGAGGGTTCTACCATTATAACCTAGTTACCTCTCAAAAGCTTCATCTCCTAATACCATCACATTGGGGGTTAATATTCAACCTATGAATTTTCCAAAGACACAAATATTCATACCATATAGCAAAGAATAAGAAGGGGCATTTGGAGAGAAGAGGATATCTACACACAATGATACCAGTGGATAATAGTGTTTTAAGAGAGAGAAAATATCAAAATTGTTTGTTATGACTGAGATATAGGTAAGACAATTAATGCAGAACCCACTGTTCTATCAATAAAGACATTTTACGTACACTCGATTACTGCCAGTTTTTCTTAAGTTACAGCTCTTTGGCCCCAAGGGCCTTCTGAAGTTATTTATAAGTATAAAAAACTAATATTGCAAATTAGTTCTTTAAAGTGCTATTTACATTCCACTACTTAAGGTGAAAATCCACTTTAGGATAATTCCATCCAGCATTGAATCCTGAAGAAACACAATCTGCATTGGCACTTTGAAAAGTAGTAAATGCTGCACAGCATTTTGGGAAACAGAACAATGGAAACACAAATTATTTGTTCATTTAGAGATTTATTTGGGATCGAAACTGCCATTTGTTTTGTAGTGACATGTACAGGTCTAGCATTTCTCTTCAAATTCTCTTGCAAGCTTTTATTTAAGCAATATTTCTAGAGATTAATGACTGCCTGGAAGGGCTTGCTCCTTAGTCCATTAACTCCAACCAGTCATTAATTTCCCTGAAAAGTGCTGTGTGAAAGTTATTATTGCCAATATGAACTGAAAATGAAAGAAACATACAGTATGCATATGGATTTTACTCACTACCCCAGAATGATGCAAAGTTAATTCATTTGTTTGAGGATATTCAGGAAAAACGAAACCCTTGTATATGAACCACTCACTTTGCTTAGTCTTATTCTTGGCAGTCTAGTTTTGTCTATATTGAAACAGTTAACTTACATTGACATTAGAAGAGCACGAGCACCCAGATTTAATCCAAAAACCTTGACCCAACCAATATATGTTAATCTTAAACACAATATGTTATACATAGTAGATTGTTAAAATTTTAGCCTACTTTGTAATGAGAACTTTCCTAGTTTGACAGAAATAGTTCTATAAGGTACAGATATTGGCACCTTATAGAGACATAAACTAATCGTTTACTCAGCTTAAATACAGAAATATCAAATTAACCTACCAAGAACAAATACAGACTTTTTTCCCCAAATATATTTAAAATGCTTTCCAAGATACTTATCACTGGATTGATTTCTTAGTGCAGACTGTTATTAACAGAATACTCTGGGCTGAGTAGTTTAAGCTATACAAATGTATTTCACACGTTTCAGAGGCTGAGAAATTCAAAATCAAGGTGCTGGTGGTTTTAGTGTCTGGTGAGTTCATTCTTTGTGGTTTGCAGATGATTGTCTTCATGTTTTGTCCCCACATGGCAGACAGCAGAGAGAGAGGAAGCAAGCTCTCTTGTGTGTTTTCATAAGGGCACTACTTCCATGTAGGATGATGCCACTCTCATGACCTAAGTAGCTCCAAAGAGCCTAATAAGTATATCATACCGTCAAATTGAGGTTTAGGATTACAACATATGAATATTGGAGACACAAATAGTCCATAGTAGTCTATCATGAATAGAACAGTGCTTCCAGAAGACACAGAATGTGATCATGAAGTTACGTCAAAACACACTTTACTTTTTGGACCATGAAATATTTTAAGATTTATTATATAAGACCCATGAGCAAAAAATTATTTTATCTCTTGTACATTTATCTGTGAGACTAAATAAGGTTGTTAAATCTTATTTTTTCCTAAAGAGGTTATTAAATATTTATTCCAATTATTGTCTTCATCTATTTCAATTTATAAAATGTTTTACACTTTTGACCATCTCTTTACAAAAAAAAAAAAAAAATACCATTATAGACTACATCTACTCTCTTCCAGACCAATAATTTTTAGCAGTATATGATTTTCTCTTTCATCAAATAGAATGAAAATTTGATTATGAGACTTCATAATAAAAATGGCATATATATGTATATACACCCATATATATACAGGTACACATATGCACATGCATGCATATGTAGATAGGTAAAAATACACTCGTGTCTGCATAAATTCATATGCATACACACTACACACATATGCATGTATATGTGTTTGTATGTGCATAAATATGTATACATGTACACATGTATGGTAATTAATCCCCAAATGCCCAGCACATGCATAATACACATTTACCGAAAAAATATGTTTTACGTCATACTTTTCACCTGTTTAATAACTCACAATTATAGCTACACTTTCATTGACTTACTATAAATCAAATAAAAATAAATATAGGTTCAGTAATTTATTATGAAATCTAAAGCTCATTCTCTAACTTAAGTTGAATACTTTTAGTAATCTATATTATAAAATGTGTTGTGTATATTTAAAAAAATGCCTATTCATGTGTTTATTTCAATTGAAATATGGAATCAATTGTTCTTTAAGAGAAAAAGTAAGCCTGATTTGTCTGATCAGCTTGACCATAAAGATTTGTTTAAACATGTTGGTAATGTAATAATTATTCCCATATATGTAGTGACCTAAATCTCAAACTTAAAAGTATTGGCAAAAATGAATTTAACATCTGTGATAAAAGTATTTTGTTAAAACATATCATGATAATAAAAATTTATTAAAATTAATATTTAGATTTTAAATGCTGAGTTTATTAGATTAAATGAGGTGCCTCAAAATAAAAGTGTCACATATATAATTAAATAGTCATTTGGTAAATCTTGTTAAGCATTTTTGGTAAAATTTCCAGACTCTGAGGAAATAAATGCTACTAAGGACTTGATAACAAATCATTTTGAAAATAATATGGTTAACATTTCTTTTCTTTCAACACTATTAAAGGAGAAACTCATTACTTGTTGATAGATCATCACAAAGGATTTTTGATGATAAATTATTCATAATTTCAGCTTTTAACAGAAAAATTCAAAAACTTCATTGTCATTGTTATAATAAAGTTTATTTAAATTACATCAGTGTTTTCTTACATCTATAAAAATCAAAAATAATCTTATCGAAAAATATATTTCACAACCAGTGGACACATTGATTAATGAAGTCAAGAACACACACACATATACACAGAACAGCCCAACCCCATTGAAATGCATTTGAAAAATATCTTTTTTAGATTTAATCATAATTTGTTCATATTTGCATTATATGTTTTAAAATCAATTGTGAACTAGTAATATTATACTTAAAGGCCTTTTAAAAGTAGCACCATTATTTCACAAAATATTCAAAAAATTAATTTGTAATTTTTTGCAGTAAAATATGTTGATTACAAGGGGCTTTTGATCATTAATTTGTGGAATAATAAGATAAAATTATATGTAAATATAAATATAATGTAAACCAATAAAAGACATTTTAAATGTTCTTACTGCTTTAAAGAATTTGCATTTTTTTTCTTGTTCACAGGTATAATAAGGATACTAAGTGCAAAATTTATCTTGTATGTGGGCAGGACTATTTTGCTTACTTTTTAAAAATGGAGCTTTAATTTTTAGAACATTTTTAGATACAGAGAAAAATTAAGAAGATTGTCCACAGAGTCCGATGTACCCCACACTGAGTTTCCACCATTCTTAACATCTTATATTAGTATGGCTCATTTATTACAATTCAAAAAACAGTATGGATATATCACCATTAACTAAAGTTTACAGTTTCAACCGGATTTTTAAATTTCACTTAATGCTCTTTTTTTCTTCCAGGATTCTATCCAGGTTACTGTAATACATTTATTTGCCATGTCTCCTTATGCTCTTCTTGGCTGTGACAGTTTCTTCATTGCATTTGATAAACTTAACAGCTTTGAGGGGTACTGGTTGAATATTTTGTAGAATGTCTCTCTCTTGGAATTATTCTGATGCTTTTTTTTTTGTTGTTGTTTATTTTGTGTTTTCCATGGTTAGAATGAGGTTAGGGGTTTCTGGCAAGCAGAGCATAAAGAAGTGCCATTTCCATTACATCACACCAAGGGCACTTTCATAGTCTGTGCTGCATTAAGAGACTATCCCAGGCTGGGAATTTATAAAGAACAGAAATTCATCTCCCACAGCACTGGAAGCTGGAAAGTCCAAGATCCAGGTGTTGGCATTTGGTCTGGTGAGGGTCTTCTTGCTGTGTCCTCACATGGCAGAAGGCAGAAGGGCAAGCTAGCCCAACACTGAATGAAGCCTCCTTTGTTAAAGTCCTTAAACTCATGCATGGGAGAGATCCCTCAGGGTCCAATCAGCTCTTTAAGGCCACACCTCTTAATATTATCGCATTGGCAACACCTGGATTTTGGAGAAGACACGTTCAAACCATAGCAGGTACATACGACAAACATGATTTATGGCTGTTGATGCTGATCTTGTTCTTTGGCTGAAGGGTTTTGTCAGGTTTCTCTACTGTGGAGTTTCTGTCTTATTCCCATTTCCACGTTGTATCTTTAGAGGCAATCAGTATATCCATCTCACACTTAAAGAGTGAAGAGTTTTGTTTCACCTCCTTAAGAGCAGAGTTTTTTACATAAATTATTTGGATTCCTACATAGGAGATTTGTCTCTTCTCTTCCATTTATTTATGTATTCAGCCACATTTAAGTTAAAGTAGACTTCAGTGGATATTTATTTTATATGTTGGGTTATAATTAAATATCTCTTTATTTATGTTATAGCTCAAATTTTTCTAGCTTTGACCAATAGGAGCTCTTTCAGTTGGCTTCTCCCTTTGATATAGCCCCACCAATGTAAGAGTGTGTGTGTATTTTGAGTGCTACTTTACCAGGCTCCTGTTGTATATTGTCTACCTTTATCCTGCTTGTCAGCCGTTTTTCTTCCTTTTATTGCAGAATGGTATTAGTAATCAAGATCTGGGTGTTGGGCATGTTCCCTGATATTGATTTCACTGCTTTCATATAAACGTAGCTGATAGAGGATGAAAATATATGTGTGCATAAAAATCCTGTGTACATATATATTTCCCAGTATTTTGGGGTGTTGCCCTCTGTAGCTACGTTTAACCAAATATTAGTTCATACTGATGTCTTCAGCTGTAATCCATTACATTTATCATTCGAGACTTCTCCCTACCTATCCCAACTCTATCTGTATCTCTATCTCACTCTCCGACAGTGAGAAATATGGCTCCATGTACCATGCATGTGCTTAATTGCTCACTTTTAGTATACCTGTATAGCAGTATCAGAATTGTAAACCCACCCCAAATGGAAGCAAATATACCAACTTGAGTAGAGTGATTATGTACAGTTCCTTTTGCCTTCACTCATACTGACTCCACTAATTTCCAAAGTTATTTAGGTCAGCATCTTTTCCCTGGACCCCTTCAGTGAAGTTGTTTTAATTATTTGTAATGCAATTAGAACATTTTCTCACAGTCTGCATTCAATCCTGAGAGCCCACAACCTCCTGAATAGTTTTTTCCTGCATTGTTTCTTTGTGCTGTAAAATTCTGCAGATTTTGACAAACGCATAAATTCATGCATTTGCCATTACCATATCACACCCAATACTCCTTCATTCTGAAAAAGTCCGTATGTCTCATTTATTTAACCCTTCCCCCTTTTCCTAGGATCCCTAGCAACCACTGGTCTTTTTAAAGTCTCTGTTTGTTTGCTCTTTCCAGAATGTCATATTATTTGAATCATACAATCTGTAGTCTTTTCAGATTGCTTTTTTTCACTTAGAGATAGCACTTTAATATTTATTCATGTCTTTTTAAGATATGAATTGGTGTATTTTAAAAATTGCTGAATAATATTTCATTGTATGGATGCACCACAGCTTATCTTTTTAAGGACACCTTGGTTATTTCCAGTTTTTGACAATTATGAATAAAGCTGCTATAAACATTTATGTGTAAGTTTTTGTGTGGACATAAGCTTTCAAATCAATCTGAGTGCAACTTGCTGCATTGCATGGCAGGACTATGTTTAGCTTTGTAGGAAATTGCCCAACTGGCTTCCAATGCTACTCTCCCTTTTTGCATTCCCAGCAGCAATAAATGGGAGTTCCTGTTGCTCTGAATATTCACCAGCATTGCTACTGTCAGTTTGTTTATTTGTCTGTTTTCTAATTTTAGCCATTTGAATTGGTATGTGATAGCAGGTGCACTAAAATCACTGTGATCTTCCGTCTTGCTCTTTCTTTAAACCTAGATACAAAATTGCCATGTGAAATATGCACCATTTTGACATACAAGTAGGGTACAACATATGTACACTGACCTATAGATGAAGATATGAGGCCATCCAAATTGGAATCTGCCACCTCAGTGTGAATCATGCTACTTGATAAAGGTAACATTTTCTACTACTATGTATAATTTTTCATCCATATATATATATATGGTACTTCTTAAAATTATATAAATAGATATGGATGAAATTATGTGTATATATATAATATATATACATAAAATTATGTATAAACTAAATTATGTATATGTATATACTATTATGTACATAGTATTATGTATATACTATGTATATATTAAAATACATAAAATTATATGTATAATAAAAATATGTATAATATATACTTAAAATTATGCATGTACATACTATATGTATATACTAAAATACATGAACTTATGTATATCCTAAAATTATGTATAATATATACTTAAAATTATGTATATATATAATATACACTTAAAATTATAAGTTCATGTAGAAGAAAAGCCATTGAATTGTCTACAGTATTCACATCATAATCAAATATTTCTTTTTAAATGTATCATTGCTATATTTCATATTTTTTGATATGTAAAAGGCACTGTACTGGGCTCTCAGAATTGAATACTGTATGTTTGCTTCTCTGAAAGATTTTAAATTTTGAATAGAGCATTCATATAAAATATAATTTCAAAAATTATATTTTTATATTGATTAATTCAATCATAAGGCAATTACAGAACACTAACCAAGTGGCAGTAACTATGTTAAGGTTGAGGTTTAAAAAGAAAATTAAAATGTGGCTATTCAGATGCAAGAGTTAATACTCCAGCAGAGGAGATAAAAGTTAAGTCAATTCGCACAATAAGGGAAAAGGATATTTAAAAGCAACATTTTATCTCATTTAAAATATAGTATGTGCTCTCCTTAATAAATTTGCCTACAAAAATTATACTTCTGGATACCTTTAAGAACATGCATCTTTGTGCAAATAAAAATTGTATTCATTTTCAGTATATGAATAAAAGTCTATAAGTACTACATAACCAATATTCTGCCTTATTGTGACAATTCTAAAATGCTTGAAAATAATATAAAGATAATTAATTGACACGTGTGAAGAAAAAGGAGGAAATAGCATATTGGAAAAAATTACTGGAATATTATCACTTTACCAATTTTTAAATATTTGGATAGGTTTATAAATTATAGATCATGCAATGTAACTTTCTGATAAACAAAGTGGAATGTTTGGAAGCAGAAAGCTCACCAAATTTCCTCTTTTTTATATGTCCATTCTTTTATGTTTAATTATAATAAATATATAGGCTAGGTATTCATTAAAAAGTACACTTATAATAACTATATTTTATTGTATCTAAGATTCCTTCTATTATGTACTACTAAGAAAGAAAAACAGGCTCTTACAACTCAGGAAGCTTGCTAGTTTTAAGGGTAGAGCCTCCATTAGTAGTCCTGTGATGTAAAGTAAATTATTTAACTTCTCTGAATCTTATTGTTCTTATTAATAAAGTAAAGCAATAAAATAGGTTTCAATTAATATGTATTTTGCAGACCTTTTAAACAGTGTGTTTTAATGTAGCCCAGACTAATGTTTCCCTCCTAAAAGATCAACATCTAGGAAACTAGGGAGGGAAAATAAGATTCGGGAAAAAATAAACAAATAACTGGAAAAAAGAAAGGTTGCTTTGAAATGTTGTCTGTGGTTGCTGTAATTGGAAGAGTGGCATGGGGGCCATTTTGGAGTGGTCTGAGTTTTTCCCTTTCCTTTATGCTCTACTTAGTTTAGGAAAATAAATACCTGTCTCCTCACTGCAAAAAACCAAGGCCAATGTCTCAAACACTGGTGTAGTTTTCTGCAGGGGTAATTTGTGCACAACATAAAGGCTTGAACTTATGAAGAGATGAAGAAATACCTGTCTATGACTAGCCTCTAGATTTAAATCACCCATTCTTCCATTATTAAACTCTTGATGCTGATATACTGCAAAGCCTTATAACACTTTCCCTACAGGCAAGAGGTTAAAAAACACACCTGAACAAAAAGAGATAAAAAAGAAGTGTTTAGTCGCCTGGGCATCTACAACATGGGGACACCCCTTCTCATTCTTTGAGACCACGTGGGTTGACAAAGACCAGAATACAGCTTTTATTAGATGCATTATCAAACAAAAACACTGAGAGTTCCCAGGGAAATATGAGCTCAGGAGGACTTTACAGATTTAAAAAACTGGATATCATCAAAGCAAAAGTATTAAAAATTTTGAGATATAGATTAAAAGCACAGTAAAAATACAGAAATATATTGGTAACATAAAATAAAAATGTATAGCAAATCATTAAATAATTAAGTATGAAAACAAAAACTTAAAGAACACAAAAGATGAGATAAATGGTATATAGAAAAAAGCTGGAGAATACATAATTGATTGGAAAATCACATTTAGGAACTCTCCCAGAATGAAGTGGAAGAGAATATAAAAATTTATAAAATGAAAGCTAAATTGTAAAAGATAGAATAGGAACAGTCAACATACAGATAACAGAGAACCCTAAAGGACAGAAAAATAAAAATAGAGGCAATAAAATATTTGGAGATATAATGAAGATACATTTCTCAGAATTAAAGACAAAAACATTAAGTTGAAATGGAGTAAAAAATGCTAAACCAAACAGATAATAGCAACAAAAATAATAAATGAAACCTATACAAATTCAAAACAATTTCCAAAAGCTTTTAAAGAATAATAACGAGCAGTCTAAAAGGGAAAAAAAATAACTAGCTTGCTCTTCAATAGCAACCATGGATTAAAGAAGGTGATAGAATAATATTTTGTAAGTGAAAAAGAAAATATGACTCTGAGCTTAGAACCTATTTAGCAAAAATTTATTCAAAACTATGGGTATAATTTCTGAAAAACTGTCTCAGGCACGTAAGGCCTTAGAATGTCTTCTCCTAAGTGTATGTTATAAAAACAAGTTTGTAGTCAAAATTTAAAAAATTCTGCAAGACAATGCAAGAACAGATGCCGCAGGACAAATAAGAACCTAGGATAATCTCATAGCATCCTCAAGGTAGTTATATTCTAAACAACTGCTAAGACCAAATAAAGGAAATATATAAATTCTACTTACAGTTACTAAGAATTAAAATTCTAACTAGACCCTGTACATATGATGGAAATTATTGTGAGAAGAACAAAACATGTTGACTGGACCGAAGTGAAACTATAAAAATAATTTTTTTAAAGTAAGATTGGATTATAAGGGAAGGAAAATTTGGCAAATTGAAATTAAAAAGTAAAATGGGAGAAAAAATGCTGCTCAATTGTATTAACATAACAATCAACATAAAAGGACAAAATGCGGTTGCTAAAAACTAGATTTGGATTAGATTTTTGAAAGTAGAAAATGAGAAGATCCAATTATAAGACGTTAAGAAGATATGCCTAAACATAGAGGATAAAGTTATACAAAGCAAAATGAAAGACAAAAAAAAAAAAAAATTCAGGATACTATTAGGCAAGACAGTTCATGACTATTAGGTAAGACAGTTCATGACACTAGCAGGCAAAATTGTTTTAAAAACAAAAATCATCAGCAAATATTAATGTTTTATTATACTATGCCATTAGGCTTAATTTGTAAGAATACATAAAATTAATAACATGCATGCACCTCATAAAACAGTCTTCAACTATATAAAGCAAAATTTCACATAATGACAGAGACATACAAACCCAGTGTCAGAGTAGGAGATTTTACTATGCCGCCTAATTATTATAGGTTGAATATGAAAGTTGTGAACAATAGACTTATTCAACTTAACTTCAGAGAGGGTGTGGAAAAGGAGAGAGTGTTATGTAAAAAGCGGTGCATTCAGTAAATTAGAAATTATATGTTCTCAAGTATGCACTAAATATTTAAATTAAATTATGTATTGTGCATTAAACATTAAAATAGTTCTCAAAGAACTATTTATAATTCCCATCAACTACTTTATAATTCTGATTTCAACAGAATTAAATTAGAACTTAGTAGCAAAAAATAAATTTGAAATACGGCTATTTGAAAAGAGTAACAAAATAGACAACCTCCAAAAAGGGTCATAGAAATAAAACTAAAGAAAATGCAGATAAAAATTATTGCAAACAAAAATTGAGACATGATTACAGATTGATAATAGAAGTTTGTATTCAGTTAAATTGTTATCCAATATGAGGATACAATAAAAAACATTCTCAAGAATATAATTACAGATGAGGCAAAAATGTAACGAGGTCATAATTACAGACAGCAAAAGTTAAAATATAACAGGTATTCTATATGTAAATTTATCCCCCAACTTTTTAAAATTTACATATGATAAAATAAAAATAAAATCTTAGAAAAATGTAATTTACCAAAAGTGACAGAAAAAGAGACAGGATCTATCGATAGTACTATGCTTAAGAAATTAAAGCTGTACTTTAACATCTTCCCTCAAAGAGAACTCACAGTCCAGAGGTTTTACAGTTGAGTTTTGGCAATGTTCAAAAACTAATTCATACCTTATAAAAACTCATCCAGATTATGCAAAAGGAAGAATTACTATTTATTTTATTCTGTGAAACAAATATAACATTGACACCCAAATCACAAAATTTCAGAAAAAAAAGAAAAATCACAGATCCCTTACACTTACAAAAATAGATGCAAAAATCCCAAAGAAGTATTAGCAAACATCCAACAATATATTTAAAGATTATACTCAATGATCAGTGGCTTTCTTCTGAAAATATAAATATAATTTAGTATGATAAGCCTGCAGATATCGTGTCCTACTTTAAATAGATAAAATTCTTGATTTAATAAATTCTAGTAAATTAGAAATAGATAAAAATTCTTTTATCTAATGGGTATATCTACAAATATACAACAAACAACAACCTAAGTGGAAAAATATATACATGTTAGAATATTCTTCTAACATCAAGATACTTGTTATCTCTACTTTTATTAATCACTACCTGGGATTTCTTAGCAAGCCAAATAAAATAATGAGAAATAAATGCCATAACATTAGTGAACAATTTTTCTGTGGCTGCTGTAAAAATGACCACAAATGTGGTGGCTTAACACAACACACATTTGTTCTGTTTCAGTTCTGGAGGTCAGAATTCTGAAATTGTTTGCAGTTGGTCAAAATCAGGATGTCAGTAAGCCACATTCCCTCTAACTATTCAGGGAAGAGTCATTATTTGCCTCCTCTGATAGCTGTCAGCATTCCTTGGCTTGTTACTTAAATTACTTGAATTATTGATCTTAACACCTTACTTTAATCTTTGCCTCTATGATCACATCACATTTTCCTCTTGTATCTGTGTAAAATCCCCCTCTGCCTCTCTATCTTATAAGCACAATTGTGATTTCATGTAAGACCCACTTTGATAATCCAGGATAATACCCCTGTTTCAAGATCCTTAACCACATTTGCAAAGACTTCTTTTGCCATATAAGATATTACTCACAGACTGCAGAGATTAGAATGTGGGTATTTTTTGTGCGACCATTGTACAGCCTAGGAGAAAGAAGAAGACATATAAAACTTTAACTTTTTGTAAATAATATTACTGTCTACTCACTACCAAAAAATCACAGACAAATTATTATAAATAAGTGACTGGATCTGAGTTTAATATTCAACACTTTATTTCGATTATATAATATGGCAACAAATAACAAGAGAGCATCATTTAAAAAATATAATATATGGTATCAACAAAAATTATCTTAAGGTAAAATAGTTGTAAACATAACCAGAATATCCAAGATTTACAAGGGATAAATGATAAATCTTTATTGAGAGAAATTAAAGAAGACAAAGGAAGAGATGCACAATGTTTATATATGGGAAGACTTAATAGAATTAATTTAGTAAAGATTACATTTAATAAATATATCAAGTTTCTTCAAATTTATCTTAAATTTTAGTGTAATTTTGATAAAAATCTTAAAATTATAGAACTTTTCTGAGGTGAATTTACAATTTACATGAATTACCCAATGGCCAATTATAATCCAGATACATCTGGAGGAAGTTTTCTTTAAAAAGATTATGGTAGGATATTTGTCCCGTATATAGCAATATTTATTATTAAGCAATGACTGGCACATAGATGCACAAATTGATGAATGGCATAGAATTATGAACCCAGAAACAAATATATATACTATATATATATTATATATATATAATTTTACATATAATATATATATTATATATATATGTAATATATATATGTAATATATATGTAAAATATTGCTTTATCAAGGAAGAGCCATGTTGTATCAGTGGAGAATGGAAAATCTATTCTAAAATTGAAGCAGAACAAAATATCTACTCACATGAGAATGCAAACAAAGAAATAAGATTTTTATCTTACAAAATATATCAATTCCAATTATACTGCAATATAATTGTATAAAGCAAAATTTTTAAGTACTTAGGAAAATACGGGTAAATCCAAATATCTTTTTAGCTTTTGGGTAGGAAAAGCTATGTTAACAAAAAATTAATAAATGATAAAGAAAAGATAAATTTATCTATATTAAAGCATAATACTTGTGTTCATAAAAAGGCACCTCAGATAACTAAAAATATAGGTCATTGATATGGTTTGGCTATGTCCTCATCCAAATCTCACTTTGAATTGTAAAAATCCCCATGTATCAAGGGTGGGACCAGGTAGGATAATTGAATCATGGGGATGGGTTCCTCCATGCTATTCTCATGATAGTGAGTAAGTTCTCACAAGATCTGGTCGTTTTATAAGGGGCTTCCGCCTTAGCTTAGCTCTCCTTCTTCTGTCTCTTGCTGCCATTTGAAGAAGGTTGTGTTTTCTTCCCCTTCTACAATGATTATAAGTTCCTGAGGCCTCCCCAGCCATGTGGAACTATAAGTCAATTAAACCTCTTTCCTTTATAAATTACCCAGTCTTGGAAATTCTTTATAACAGAATGAAAACAGACTAATGCAGTAAATTGGTACTAGTAGAGTGGGATGCTGCTATAAGGATACCTGAAAATGTGGAAACTACTTTAGAAATGGATAACAGGCAGGTTTGGAACAATGTGGAGGGCTCAGAAGACAGGAAGATGTGGAAAAGTTTGCAACTTCCTGGAGAATTGTTGAATGACTTTGACCAAAATGCTGATAGTGATATGGACAATGAAGTCCAGGCTGAGGTGATCTCAAATGGAGAAGGGTAACTTCTTGGGAACTAGAGCAAAGGTCACTCTTGCTATGCTCTGACAAGGAGACTGGTGGCATTTTTCCCCTGTCCTAGAGATCTGTGGAATTTTGAACTTGAGAGAAACGATCTGAAATTGGAACCTATGTTTAAAAGAGAAGCAGAGCATGAAAGTTTGGACCATTTGTAGCTTGATGATGCAATAAAAAAGAAAAACTCATTTTCTGGAGAGAAATGCAAGCCACCTGCAGAAATTTGCATAAGTAATGAGGAGCCAAATGTTAATCACAAAGGCCATGGGAAAAATGTCTCCAGGGTATGTCAGAGATCTTCAAGGCATCCCCACTCATCACAGGCCCCGAGGCATAGGAGGGAAAAATGGTTTTCTGGGCCAGGCCCAGGGCCCCCCGGTCCATGCAGCCTCAAGACATGGTGCCGTGTATTCCAGCTGCTTCAGCTCCAGCTGTGGCTAAAAAGGGGATGAAGTACAGCTCAGGCCATTGCTTCAGAGGGTGCAAGCCCCAGACCTTGGTGGCTTAATGTGGGTTTGGCCTGCAGGTGCACAGAAGTCAAGAACTGAGGTTTAAGAACCTCTGCCTAAATTTCAGAAGATGTTCGAAAATGCCTGGATGTCCAAGCAGAGGTGTGGTGCAGAGGTGAAGCCCTCATAGAGGACTTCTGCTAGAGCAGTGACAAAGGGAAATGTGAGGTCACAGCATCCACCCAGAGTCCCCACTGGGGCACTGTCTAGTGGAGTTCAGAGAGCCATTTGTTCTGCAGACTCCAGAATGGTAGATCCATCAACAGCTTGCACCATGTGCCTGGAAAAACCACAGACACTAAACATCAGCCATGAAAGCAGCCTGGACATGGGGGAATTATACCCTGCCAAGCCATAGGGGCAGAGCAGCCCAAAGCCATGGGAGCCCAAAGCCATGGGAGCTCTGGCCTCAACGTGACCTGGATGTGAGACATGGAGTCAAAGGAGATTATTTTGAAGCTTTAAGATTTGACTGCCCTGCTGGATTCTGGACTTGCATGGGCCCTGTAGCCCCTTCGTTTTGGCCAGGTTCTCCCATTAGGAATGGGTATATTTACCCAATGCCTGTACCCCCATTGTATCTAGGAAGTAACTAACTAACTTGCTTTTGATTTTTCAGGCTCATAGGTGGAAGGGACTTGTGTTGCCTCAGATGAGACTTTGGACTTGGACTTTTGGGTTAAGGCTGGAATAGGTTAAAACTTTGGGGAACTCTTAGAAGGGCATAATTATATTTTGAAATGTAAGAACATATGATTTGGGAGGGGCCAGGATTGAAATTATATGGCTCTGTGTCCCCACCCCAATCTCACCTTGAATTGTAATAATCTCCATGTGTCAAGGGCAGGATCAGGTGAAGATAATTGAACCATGGGTGTAGTTTTCCCCAGGATATTCTCATGATAGAGAGTAAGTTCTCAGAAGATCTGATGGTTATATAAGGGGCTTCCCGTTTTTCTCTGCTCTCCTTCTTCTCTCTTTTGCTGCAATGTGAAGAAGGACATGTTTTCTTCCCTTTCTGCCATGATTGTAAGTTTCCTGAAGCTTCCCCAGCCATGTAGAACTGTGAGTCAATTAAACCCCTTTCCTTTATAAATTACCTAGTCTCAGGAGGTTCTTTATAGCACTATGAAAATGGACTAATACAGTTATAAACTGAGAGAAAATATTTGTAACATATATAACTAACACAAGTGTTAAAAGAAAAATTTAGATGAGATAGAGAAAGAGGAAAAAAAAACAGGCAAAGGCACTATTTCACAGAATACAAGACACAAGTGGCAAATAGGACTATAAAACTGTAAGATGTTCAGTCTTTATGAGGAAATGTTCAATCTTAGTAATCAGGGAAATGTAAATTAGGACCACAGTATGATACTCTTTTATAATTGTTCAACTAGCCTTGGCAAATATTAAATTTGACAAGATGAGAGTTGGAGAAATTGTGAATCAAAGGCCCTTTTCACAAAGCAGGTAGAAGGGCAATTCAATACAGGCATTTTGGAAAAGTATTTGACATTTTTTAAGCAAAGATCTATGATTACATGCCTTACAAGCTAGCAATTCCACTCAGAAAAAGTTTTGCAAGGTGCATATCAGGAGAATATTTCAGAAAGTTCACCAGAATTATACAAAATATGGGAAAAAAAAGCACCCCACAGGAACACATTGCCAATGCAATGAATAAACAAACTGTGATATTTCAAACCAGTAGTACCCAACCTCTGGTGACTTTTGCTCCCAAGAGGACATTTGGAAATGTTTAGGGACATTTTTTGGTTGTCACAACTGGAGGGATGCTGCTGGCATCTTGTGGGTAGAGGCCAGAAGTACTGCTAAATATCCTATAATGAACAAGGACACTCAGCAAAGAATTATCAGCCCCAAATCTCAATTATTCTATCAAGGTTGAGAAACTCTGTGTTAAAAGAATGAAATATCTAGAAAAGAAATTAATGGATACAACTATATGTCATAATATGGATGAATTGTAACAGTTTGGTGTAAAGTGACAGTAATATGGTCCCAAAGATTATTTACAGCATCTTACCTTTAATGATAAAGTTAAAAACACCTAAAACTAAATAATATATGTATATATATTGGCAAAATGTTTATGCCAAAGCTATATTAAGTAAAATCACAGGAATTATGAAAACAATAAAAAGATACATCACTTGGAAAAGCAGAGATAGATATGAGATGAGAGACAGGTTGATATAATCTATTGTGACTATTCTAGCTCTCATTTTTGATGGTAGGCTCACAGGTGTGTGTGAGTATGGGTATGCGTGTGGGTATGGATGTGTGTGTGTGTGTGTGTGTGTGTGTGTATGTGAGAGAGAAAGAGAGAAAGGGAGAGACAGAGAGACAAAAAAATGAACCATTTGTGGGCCAGTTATGAAAGTGAATTATGAACCAAAGATTATGACGAAGTATAATTTTAATTTTGGTATTTCATTAATTAACTGCCATTTTCACAATAAATTTATACATTTATTCACCATCTTTGTTATCTTTGCTTACCATCAAAACACAAAAATCTTAACATCAAGAGTACTTTGCTACTTCAGAAACAAAATAAACATTAGTGAGATTTTAGATTCTTTCAGCCTCAAATGCTGTATCAATTAGCTTTTCTGATAATTGTCCACTGTACTTTATTGTATGTAAGTTATTTTTGGAAGCAAACATACCAGCTAGTAAGCAGACTAGCCATATATAGAGATTTGTCTAGCATGTTTCCCTTTAATAATATATTTTTAAAACAGTATAATTTATATATACAAATTATATATAATTTATAGTTTAAAACAGTATATAAAAATACACATTTTTAATGGCCAGGCGCGGTGGTTCACGCCTGTAATCCCAGCACTCTGGGAGGCTGAAGCGGGCGGATCACGAGGTCAGGAGTTCAAGAACAGCCTGCCCAACGTGGAGAAACCCTGTCTCTACTAAAAACACAAAAATCAGCTGGGCATGGTGGCACGTGCCTGTAATCCCAGCTACTCCAGAGGCTGAGGCAGGAGAACTGCTTGAACTAGGACCCGAGAGGCGGATGTTGCAGTGAGCAGAGATCGCGCCACTGCACTCAAGTCTGGGCTACAGAGCGAGACTCCATCTCAAAACAAAACAAAACAAAACAAAACTTTTATATATATAATTTATATATATTTATATATAATTTATAATTATAAAATTTATATATAATTTATATATAATATATATATAATTTATAATTATAAAATTTATATATAAATTATATAATATATATAAATTATATATATAAGTTGTTTTTAAGATGAAAATATTAAAATTAGAATGACATTTTGGTTTTCCACTGAGCTAAACTGATACTGTATCAGATAAGTTTGCTCACCAGAATTGATAATGAAAGATCTCTGCCGAAAGGGTAGTCAAGCAATTCACAAAATAAACATACCCTCCTTGGAGTGAATGGATCTAGGAGCACCAAAGTTAGGATGCATAAAATAGATTGTTTGAATACAGCTCAGAAGAGAGGCCTGTTGGCCATTGAGAACAATCTTGGTAGAATTCAACATCCAATTTTATTTACTTAATGACACCCAAAGTATTAGTATATATTTAATCTTTTCCTATAACTAGAAGCGATAAAGTTCTCAAAATGAGACTAGAAGTGTGTTGTTTTCCCTGACTTTACTAAATTTCAGGTTTTTTTTTTTTTTTTTTTTTTTTTTGCTTGTCTTGCAGAGGAAGTGAGGTGTAGGGTATGGCAAAAGTTAGGAATAGTTACAAAATACTAAAACTACACAGATGAGAAATGCCAGCTAAATTCGTGTGTGTTCCAGATGCAGGAAAAAAAAAAAAACAAAGGTACAAACAATGTCAGGATTGAGACAGAGATGGTCTTCTTCTTAGAAAAGAGTGAGAAGTCTCTGATGTTGAAATACACTCAGAGGCAACCTCTTCCAATTCTATTTCATCAAGGAGGTGGAATGAGTGGGCTGCCTACATTATTGCATTTGACTAGTTTCACTGAATGACTGTAGTAACAGAACTAGGATCAGAGAATAATGCTACCTACTCCTTCCACATTTGAGTCAACAACTAAAATATCTCAGAAGTTGTTGCCTTGAGACACCAAACTTGCTATTTTCTTTATAAGCATATGTACAACAAACCTATTTTTCTTAATATTTATAGATCATGATTTTTCTTTCTTTTGAAAGGTAAAACATGGTCTTAATCAAAGTTTACATATAAATTGTTCAAAACACACTTTAGTGGAAAATAATTACTCCCAGTGAAGCAATTTTTCACAGTGACTTGGAGAAACATAAGCAATTTTTTAATTATCCTGGACATGAAGTCATGTCTTCATAAAATTTATTTATAATTGAAATAGCAGTCTATCACTTAATCCATTTATTTTATTCTGAGATTCCCCCCACAAACAATGGAAAAGGCAACATATAACTGAGTTTTATTTGAGCTCCACTTTTATTATGGTACACAGAAGAAAACTATTAATTCAAAATTGGAGTGAGAGAGGCATTAAGGGCACCTATATGCTGATACCATAAACACAAGGATTCTTATATTTGTGAATTATTATGGTCATGCTGCCAAAGGCATGTGTCCTTAATATGGTAAGCCTAGGTTCTGAGTCACAGGAAGGAAGGTTTCAGCTCTGATAGGGAACTTTCAAGATGTCGATCCAAGGAAGAATTAATTCACATATTTTCTCAAATTGTTGTAGAGGAAAATCAAGTTGTTAAAGAAAAATTCTGAGGCTCTCTTCCTTGACTCCCACCTACAGTTTAATTTTCTTTATCATGAGAACCAGATGGGATTTAGAGACTACCGTCTGCAAGGGTCTATTAAGCGAAGCACAACATCATCAAGCTCTTACCTAAATAAGATGTGTATCTACTTATGCAATATCTGTAAACTTTCTATTAAATGGCCTTCTCCGGTTAGAGCTCTAATTTTGAATTTTGTTGTTGCATTTGCTGTTGCCATAAGTCAAGAAGGATTCATGTTCCTCCATGTGCTCAATCAGGTAACAGAGTTTTGACTAGATGTGCCCGTGGGTCTAGACATTCTTCCCTGTAGAAGGAAATTCGTAGAGCAGAGAAGTCTCCACACAAATACAAAATGACAGTCCCCACAAGTTTGGTCCAGGCTTCTGGCAAAATCTTTAATGTTCTTCTTATCCAGATCCAGATCATCTCTTGATTTCATTATTGCTTAAAATATTTTTAAAAACCTGTCCTTGGCGAAGGGCTGTAGGCCTTAAATTGGTGAGGAAATAGCACACATCCCCAGTATGGGCTAGGCCAACCCATAAATGAGATGCTTTTACTCTAAGAAAAAAACATGTTATTAACTATACAAAGACAAAAGTTATTAACCTTTTCACATATCAAAGAGAGATACTTAGTCACTTTGAATCTTTCAGATTATGGAAGTCCGTAAGTCCTTTAATTTCTGAACCTTCTAAACTAATTTTATCATTTTGTTATAAATTGTATTACTTTCCTATTGCTGTGATTATCACAAATTTAGCTCAAAACAACATGCATTTATTCTTTTACAGTCCTGGAGGTGAAAAGTCTAAAATGGGTCCGGAGGGTTGTGTTGCTTTTGGAGGCTCTGGGAGGGAACTTTTCTCTTTTCCATTTTGGCTTCTAGAGGATGCCTACATTTCTTAGCTCCTAACTCCCTCTTCTCTATGTTCACAGCCAGCTGCATAGAATTTTACCTGCTTTCTAGTGTCTGCTTCAGTTTTCTTTTATTCTCTGTTTTGTTTTTGTTTTTGTTTTGAGACAGTTTCTCGTGCTGTTGGCTAGGCTTCAGTGCAGTGGTGCGATCGCGGCTCACTGCAGCCTTGATCTCTCTGGCTCAATCTGCTTCCATCTTCTATCTAGGAGTTTCTTTATTATAAGAGCCCTTGTGAATACATTGGGCATACTCAGATAATCTAGGATAATCTCCCCATCTCAAGACACTTAATCACATGTGCAAAGTCCCTTTTACTGTGTGTAAAGTACATATTTACAGGTTCTAGGGATTAAGAGGTAGATATCTTTGGGAAGGGGCATTATTCTGCTTACCACATAACCATATTAGAAAGCTATTCTTTTCAAAACTCATCTTTAAGCAATGCAAAATAAAAGCAGCTAACAACATTGTTAGATTACATGTGGTCAAGATGTTTTTACAGATGTAAAGTGTGGCCTCAATGAAACTGAATTGTATTTCTGAGTGAGAAAATAAAATATCAGTGACTCTAAATACAGTAGCCTGGAAAACTCTTTAGGGGAATATAAGTAATCCACTTGGGGAGGGTACACGACATGAAGGAAAATGTTTCTAAAAAGAAGGAGCTAGATTTAAGTTGCTAAGCGCAAAGCATTGTAGGAAAACTTGGAAAATGACAATTTCATGGTGAGGCCACCATATCACAATTGCCTTTAGGTGCTGTTCAGCTACTTATCTGTGAAACGGTGACGGGGGAAGGGAGAAAACAGACTTGAAAATAGCACAAAATAAGAGAATAAATAAATAAAGCTTAGAAAAAATTCGTAAAGCCGTAAAGTCATGCCTGTTACTATGAGCCCCTTTAGCATTTTATGTAACTGTTCCCTTCCTTCTTAGTTATCCAGGATTTTGCAGAAAATGTTTATATTAATGTTTTGATTTAACCCATGACAGACACATGGACAGATACTGCAATAATGCAATGCCATATAAAGGAAATTTGTGCCTAATGCTTATATTGCGCTTTTAATTTATTTCCCCTTGAAACCTTTTTACAAGATGTGTCCATTTACTGCCCCTGGCTATTAAGCAGATATGGATATTACACATCAGTAAGAAAAGAAACATTATGGTAACATCTCACATATGTTTTTTGTGTATATAGGGTAGAATGTGTTCCCCTGGTAGTTACCGGTTTCCTAAAACCAGCTGCTCTGAGTATAAAAGCCACAATAACTATTCGTGGTTTAGTAGTTCCAAGCAATTTGTAGGATGTTTTATATCTTGACAGTGGTCTAGAATCAGAGAATAAAGTAGTGTATTAGCTGTCTATGTTGCATAACTAATTACCAAGGACTTGGAACCTTAAAAAAAAAAACACTCATTTATTTTCTCACAGCTTCTGTGGGTCAGGAGCCCTGACACAGGTTGGATGGGTTCTCTGTTGAGGATATCACAGGGCAATCCAGGTGGCAGCCAGGACTGGGTCCTCCTCAGGATCTCAAGTCAGTGAGGTTATAGATTGCCCTTGAATTGCTTGCAGAATTCATTTCTTTGTGTCTGTGGAATTCATGGCAGTTTTTGTTGTTGTTGTTGTTGTTTTTTCATCTGTGAAGGAGAGAAAGAAAGAGAGAGACTGGGGCAAGTCTGCTGTCAAGACAGAGTCATGTGTAATGGAATGAAATCCCTGGAGTGCCATCCTATAGCTTGTGACATGTTCAGTTGGTGGGCAACAGGTCACCAGGCCTACCCACACTCAAGAGGAGGTAGAAAGTGGGTGCAGACATACCAGGAGCTGGGATAATATGGCCACTTAAAGTCTGACCTTCACAGGGAGAAAAATTCAGACAGAATGAAAAACAAGATCCTAGTAGCATGGCTCATTTATCCAATTGGAGACCTCATATAATTTGTATAATATGTAAAAAACATTGTTAAAAATGCAAATTATGATTGCGTGTTGTGGTTAGTCTATACCGGAACTAAACCTTCCCTAAGGCTACACTTATATATTAAGAGGTATAGATATACACCTAGAAGGAAGAATTCCAGCAATGATGAGAAGGCCCAGCTATTCTTAAAAAAATCATTAAAAGTGCATATTATGATTGCATATTGTGATTAGTCTACACCAGAACTAAACCTTTCCTAAGGCTACCCTTACATATTAGGAAGTATATGTATGCTCCTAGAAGGAAGGATTCCAGGAATGATGAGAAGGCCCCAGGTATTCTTCAAATGATGTCTCTTGGGTAGATTCTGATGATCTAACTATAATAAATTAATTCATTTTGAAAGGTTTTGACTTGGTCTAACACACTTCCAGAGAGTAGTATGATCTTCAGCTGCTCTTATTCTTTTATACGTTGATATGAATGGTGGATTTGATTAACAAGTTCCAGTTAATCTGGACTGAACCAGCAAGACAGCCTGAGGCATAAGAAAGAGTAAAGGGGAAAAATAAGGAGTTTCAAAATGTCATGATGTTGTTCAGCTTTTTTTTGTCTTCGTATAGAAGATTATGATGCATATGGGTAGTTACTTCTGATTATCTCTAGGCAAAATTCCAGGCCACATAAAATATGATTATATATTAATTTGCACAACAAATGAGTTTAGTGGTGGGATGGGGAGTGTAGTAAAAAAACAAGCATATTAAACATAACATCTGATTTAAGTACCATGAGGTAATTCCTATCACTTCTAGCGTCCTTAATGTGGACAATGGGATCAAAATGGCAAAGTGTCTAAATCCTAATGAGGAAATCAGGAAAGGCCTCAGAAGGTGAGGACATGAAGAATGGTCCAGCTGTTCATTCAGACGAATATAAACAAAATGAACCAATAGTAAGTTTACACTTACTCTTTCCTAACTTTGTACTTACAAGTCTGTTCTTCTGGACTGGGAAATAGCTCTTTATACTGAGCACTCGAGGTACTTTGTATGAAAAGCTCATAGTGTCAGGTTGAGACGAAACTTTGCAGTGGAGCAAGCAATGGAAACCTTTGCAGAGCTAGGAATCTGGAATGAATGGAATCTTACAACTAGAATTCCACTGTGCTGCTCCATTCATCAAGTTCTTAAATACTTCAGGCAAGGTCAGGGAAGCATGTATAATATTTTTGGCCAGTTAACATAACCTGAACATCATTTCTTTCAACTGTATAAAATTATTTCTGCTAATTATCATGTCCTCTGGGATTAGTCTTAAGACTGATAGTTGAACAACTGCTAGTAGCCACCTCTGGGATTTGGTCTCCAGATAATATAATAGTTATAAAGGCATTGGAGCTATTCGTTTAAGGTTTTGCTTTAAAAAAAAAAGTTATTTATTTATTTTTTGAGACGGAGTCTTCCTCTGTTGCCCAGGCTGCAGTGCAGTGGTGTGATCTTGCCTCGCTGCAACCTTCACCTCCCAAATTCAAGCGATTCTCCTGGCTCAGCCTGTCTCGTAGCTGGGATTACAGGCACCCACGACCACACCCAGCTAATTTTTGTGTTTTGAGTAGAGATTGGGTTTTGCCATGTTGGCCAGCTGGTCTCAAACTCCTGACCTCAGGTGATCTGCCTGCCTCAGTCTCCCAAAGTGCTGGGATTACAGACATGAGCTACTGCACTCTCTACCTAGGTTTTGCATTATTTATCAGAAAAAATAAAACACCTGATTTTCACAATTTTGTAAAAAACTTTTATTATTTAATATAACGATATATATTTTTAATAGAAAGTAACATTTGAAATGGTAGTTTCCATCACTATAAAAGGTTATTTTTCACAGTGTGATTCAGCAGAAACAGGGTTGATGATATTGAAACAATTGTCTCAACAAATTAAAGTAAGTTATACATTTTATCAAGGGTTAATTGGCTTATTCATCATGAGAAAATAAAGAAACAACATAAATGCATACACACATGCATACATTTAACTAAAATGTTATGCACACTATCCTTTCAAAGCATTAGTTTTGGTTTAACCACTCACATTGTATTTTCACTAACCTGAACTTTTAAATTTCTGAAAAAAGTATATCAGCCTTTGATGTAGGCGGCCAGACAAGACACAGCCCTCATATTGGCTGATGATTGTTTGGTGAATTGAGAAATTTTATTTACTTATTTGATTAGATAAGCTAAAACTATCAAAATTGGGAAAAGTAGTCATGTTTCAACTGTTAAAAATTTACCTATAGCATTTTACTATTGAATAGTGAATTTGTTTACCTTAATTGCGGCCATAAAAATGTTTTAGGAAAACCTCAAAGGCAGAGAAGAGGAATTATTTTATTTCCTGCTTCATTTTCTTTATCCCATTCCTTGCCTACTACAATTACCATTACTGACATAGTTCTGTTTGGAATTTAGCCATGTAGGGAGCAATAAATCTGTGATTGGAACAGAATCTTTGGAAGAAAACATGAGCAATATTTGTAAATATATTAGGACAGTCATAAAGTGAACACCATCTTAAAATACTTAGGAAATGACCCAGGTGTATTACTAAAGGGGAACAAGAGAACAAGAATGAAACTTGGATAAGCAGAGAACCTGATAAATCAGATAAGATTGCTCTGTGCTTTTATCCCTGGAGCCATATGTTCTTTCCAAAGAAAAACAATGTGTGACAATTTAGCATTATTTTACACAGCTCAAAGAGGGCCTGAGAATTCCCTGTAACAGCTAAATAAAAGCATTTACGAAATTAATGTTGATACATTTGGGTTTTATTTTCAAGTTTTGTTCAATTTTATTTAAAAACAAATTTATTTTAAATTTTTTTCAAGAAATATTCTGATATTGAGGATCAGAGGTAAGAAATATTAAAACGTTTTATCTATCAGAAACAAATTATTTTAGTGTTTTTTGAAATAACCTCTTTCAGTAAACTGCAAGGACCTTGAGGACAAAAAGAAGAGTAAATTTTGTTTTTACAGTGTGCTATATCTCTCTGCCTTATCTGCTCAGTAATTATATTATACATATATAATTATGATATTATATAGTATATAATTATATAGTATATATAATTATGATATATATACTATATAATTATTTGTATTATATATTTCACATAAATCTCATGAACATGTTTAAGAATATTCGTAACACCTCTTTCACCATCATCTGTCACATGCTAAGCAACTCAAGTCATCAGATCCAATTGTTAATTATCCACGTTCATCACTAATATTTGTTTTTTCTTCTTCTAGGTACAGGATAGAATTAGATTTTTTTCACTCACTTCAAGTTAAACTTGGTCATGGTCCTTGCTTTGGGTAATGATATGAGAGCAAAAATAGCACGTGGTACTTATGGACAGAAATGACTGAACAAGCATGTGATTCTCCATGTGCTCTTTCCCCGACTATTTTCATGTGCTCTTTCCCCGAGCTACTCAGGACGCTGAGGCAGGAGAATGGCGTGAACCCGGGAGGCGGAGCTTGCAGTGAGCCGAGATCGCGCCACTGCACTCCAGCCTGGGCGACAGAGAGAGACTCCATCTCAAAAAAAAAAAAAAAAAAAAAAAGAAGCCTGCATGAGTGTACCTTTTCTGACCAGATTCTAAATGAAAACCTATCCAAATGACCTTTTAAAAGATTGCAAACCAATGCCTTCTCTCCCTACCTCCTCGATCCTTTCATCCTGCCTCACATTTTTTACCATAGCACATATTATCTTTAATAATATTGTTTACTCACCCATTTGTTCTTGGAAACCTGCCTCCCTTAGGTAGAGGCAGGCCCATGAAATCATGGATCTTTTGTTCACTGAGGTATTCCAAGTATTTTGAATAGAGTCTGGTAAATGATAGACGTTGGAAAATTACTTATTGAGTGAATGAATAAAGAATGAATAAATATATCAAACTACTAGTCACATATAGTAAGATCACCAGAAACATTGTTGACTATTGGTATTGGTAAACACTTCTAGATATTAACCCTCAAAATTGTCTTTATGCCCTTTGCTTTAACCTTAATAGCTTTTAGAAAATAATAGTAGATTGAAAATGGATAATCAAGTAATGCCTATTGAATCTAACAAAATTAAGTTCATATATTTGTAAACCTGGTTAGTTAGGTATTTTTTGCATGTCCTAATCATTGGACTATTGGTCAGGATGATTTATGGGGTGCTGCAGTAACAAAGCCAACATTTCAGAGGTTTAAAGTGAAAAGGGCATAATAATTATCAATTTTGTTACAAATTGATCTCAGATTGGCAGGGGCTCTGATCAATGTCTTATCTACCCAAGGACGAGCTAACAAAGCCTCTGCCATCTTAAACGTCATTGATTGTTACAGTTCACGCCATTCTCCTGCCTCAGCCTCCCGAGTAGCTGGGACTACAGGCGCCCGCCACCACACCAGGCTAATTTTTTTGTATTTTTAGTGGAGACGGGGTTTCACCATGTCAGCCAGGATGGTCTCGATCTCCTGACCTCGTGATCCGCCCGTCTCGGCCTCCCAAAGTGCTGGGATTACAGGCGTGAGCCATCGCGCCCGGCCACACTCATGTAGGCTTCTAGAGGGAGTAGGATGAAGGAGCTATTTGTAGAAATGTAAGCAATGTTAAGGAATGTTAGAGCACTTGGTGTCTAGCGACAGCAGAAAACTGGCACTATCCTAAGACCTGAAGGTAAAAGGTCAAAATATTGTTAACTCGAGCCTTGGGAGGGCTGGAGCCATGTAAAAAGAGTCAAGCTGCAGAATTGTAGTTAGAGAAATACACTATCAAAACTACAGGTAGAAAAGCAAGGGAGAGACGGGAAGAAATGCCCCAACATCTCTCTCCTGATCCCCAAGCCATAAAACAAGCAGTAAAGGGCAAAGGACATATCCGAGAGCTAGAAGTGATAGAAAATAACTAGCATTGTGGGCTTTATGGAGAAGGTGACATTTGAGGAAGGTTCGAATGAAGTGAAATAATAAACCATGTTTATATCTGGGGGACAGAGTATTCTAGGAAGTGGAATTAGTCAATGTAAAGATCCTAAAGGGGAAATAGTTTTGACAAGTTTGAGGAACAACAAAATGAGGATGAGAAAGAGAACATAAAGAGGAAGGAAATAAGAAGCAAGGTGAGAGAAGTAGCAGCAGTCCAAATCATTTGTGGCCTGATTGGATTTTAGGATCCACCCCAATGAAATCAACAAAGAGTTTGCCTGGCCCAGAAATGGGGAGAGACTGATCACAGTGTTGCAGAGTCTGGGAATGAAGGACTCTAAAACTTGATTGACTAATGTGCTGATGACTTGAAACAACATTTGATTAAAATACTAGAAACTCAACCGACATGTAAATGGCAACCGATAAATGACACTGTAAATTCCTACTGTCTGCCTCATGTCCCAGCACCACATTCTGTTATCAAACGTTTTACTTTTGGGTTTTTTTTTTTTTTTGGTTCATAACGTGGCTTTTTGTTCAAAGGTGTTGGTCCCTTGAAGTTAGTTTAAGTTCTGTCCTTTAGAGTGTCATTCTCATCATTGAGGTTGTGTTGATTGAGTGTGAATTCCTAATTGATTGATTTTTCCTAGTCATCTAGATCATCTATACCTAGTCGAACACTGAAGTTAACGTGACTAAAATAGTATTTAGTCCCTAAATTTATCTGTTTATTTATTTTTATTAAACACACATGTTGTATTCCATTGTACACAGGCAAGAGGAAAGCCGGAAGTACTGATTTTATCTGAAGGTGTGATACTGCTTTCCCAAACTTCCTTCCTTCCTTCTTTCCTTCCTTCCTTCTCTTCTCTTCTTTCTTTCCCTCTCTCTCCCTTCCTCCCTTTCTCCCTTTCTCTCATCCTCCCTTCCTCCCTTCCCCCTTTTCTCCCTTCCTTCATTTCTTCCTTTCTTCCTCCTTTCTTAAATACTTTTGAACATTTTCATTGTGCCAGCATAGCATTAATAGATGACACACTCTGTACCCTAATGGTACCACCTGGGGAAATGGTGCAAGTTATTTTAGCATGATCACTCTTACTCTTTTATCAATATTTCATTAGTAATCTTCAAGAATATAACTACTCTTTCTCTAAGTCAGCCAGCCAGGTAAATGGCTCTAACATCGCTATTATTAGACTTGAGGTAGACCATCTAAATTGTCTGGAGACTTCAGAGATATTTCTTATCTCCATCTGCCACTCCAATTGCAGTTGTCTCCTCAAAAGCAGGGGCTGCATATCTCAGAAGCCTGTCTTTTATGTAATTAAGAATAAAGTGAAGAGGGTCAGAAGGCAGATTTCTTATCCTAACTGGGTGTATTAGTCTTCTGGGGCTGCCATAAGAAAATACCACAGCCTGGGTGGCTTAAAAAATACAAATTTATTTCTCACAGTTCTAGAGGCTAGAAGTCCAAGATTAAGGTGTTGCCAAGGTTGGCTTTTAGTGAGTTCCCTCTTCCTGGCTTGTAGATGACCACCTTCTTGCTGTGTACTCACAATAGGCTTTGTTTTGTGTGCGCAGAGAGAGACGTCTGTTGTCTTTTCCCTTTCTTATAAGGACATCAGTCCTGGGGTCCCACCCTGATGACCTCTTACCACTATAAACCTTACTTACCACTATAAAGGACCCGTTTTTTAATATAGTTACATGGCAGGTTAGGGTTTCAACATATAAACGTATTGAGGGGAACACAGTTTAGTCTATAGCATTGAGCCTCAGGCTCGTCTTTCATTTTATTTTCTCCTGCATAGCGTTTTAACATTAACACCGTTGGAAGCTCAGGTAGTTCAGTTAGCTGGGACCTCACCAATACACCGTGTCTAGTGGAGGCTCCCCGGATTTGGTGGTGAACCTGATGTAAACATGACGTACCGCTCACATTCCAAGCTCCGAGTGCTGGATTACTCACTCTGCAGAGGTTTTATAGCTTTTCAAAACCTTTTTTTGTTTTACTAGTCTCTATTTTTAGTATATTTTCTTCTGCTCTTGAATCCTGACAAGGACTCATTCAAACTACTAAGCCATATATACAATGGAGGTTTAGAAACGTTGGCTTCAGAGAGCTCCGTTATTATCGTCACTTGATCTCACATGTCTTCCCTCAGGCTTGACTATTTGTAACATGTTAGGGGCTTTAGGATCCTCTCACCACCGTTGCCATTATTTCCTTTAACAGCTACCATTTTATTGTGTCCTACTTTTCTATGTTGTCTTTTTGCATTCCTCAGCTTTTTGCTTTCAATAAGCTCTTCACTTATTAAAATTTCCTTAAACCTCACTGTCACATCCACTCTGCCTTCTCTTTCATCCTGTTTATGATTATACAGAAATTCAAAGGATAATCTAATTTTACTGGGTCACCTGAGAGGGTAATTATTGTAGACAATTGTAACTTATAAGAGAGAGTAAACTCTGATGCCATACTAAATCTTATGATAGTCAAAAAAAAAAAAAAAAGAGAGAGAAAAAAAATCCAAGGACACATAAAGAACTTTAAACATCCATAAATTGGTTCTGTATCATGAAATTTCTAGAATTTCCTCTTCTACCTAAACTGACTCGAACTGTGAGTCATTCACAATGTCTTTGATGGTATTAATCATGTGATACAAGGATTTCAAAATGTTAAAAAAGCAGTAGGGCCACAGGAGATGGAGAGTTGCCAGAAGGAAACTTCTGAGGAATAAAATAAGAAAACCTAAGGTGACCATGGCAAGTATATCAAGATAGAAGACACAGATATCTGAGTCAAAAGATCAAAGACTTAGATGAGAATGTGATTAAGAAACATTGCCCCCCCCAGTGCCATTGAAGTTGTGGGAGGTGTGGAGAGAGAAATGGTTTTGTTGTCTTGACTTACAGTAACCAAATTAGAGCTTATTTTTTCCATGCCTGAAAATAAGTCCAAGGTCCTCTAAAAAGGAGTAGCTATGGGGTGAAGATGAAGTTTCTAAATGAAGTTTACACAAAAGGGATTATTTTATCTAAATTTCTACATTTGTTGAACTATCTTTGCTGTTGTCATTGGAAAACTAAGCAAACAAAAAAAATGCATTTCATTCTGCAGAAAGAGTTCTGAAGTGCTTCCCTCATCAAGTAATTTAAAAAATGTCCTCCAGGCTGGACATGGTGGCACACGCCTGTAATCCCACCACTTTAGGAGGCTGAGGCAGGTGGATCATGAGGTCAGGAGATCCAGACCATCCTGGCCAACACGGTGTAACCACATCTCTACTAAAACTACAAAAAATTTAGCTGGGCCTGGTGGCAGGTGCCTGTAGTCCCAGCTTCTTGGGAGGCTGAGGCAGGAGAATCGCTTGAACCTGGGAGGCAGAGGTTGCAGTGAGCGGAGATCACGCCACTGCACTCCAGCCTGGAGACAGAGTGAGACTTTGTCTCAAAAAATAAATAAATAAATAAAATAAAAATAAATAAGAAAAAAATGTCTTCCATTAGCTCAGGGCTCACTCCCATTAATAATAGTAATTTGGTTTGAAATAGTGCCTCTTACTTAAGGAGGTCAAAATTTTTATACATATGAGTTAGTTCATCCCAGGGCTTTACATATAACCACTAAAAATGAAGCACTGTAGAGAAGTTAAAAAGCATTGCACATTTAGTACTTTTGTGATTTTGTGTGTGTGTGTGTGTGTGTGTGTGTGTGTGTGTGTATGCAGTGATTTATATAACAAATTTTTGGCCTCCAGGTAACAGTTCTGACCTTTAGAGGATCCACTTTAAGATACATAAATGCATTATTATGCCTATATACCATCAGTTTAAAAGAACAAGAATTTATACCCTATCTCCGATTTATCCTATCCATTTCTTAACCCATAATAAGCTCCATTATGCTTTCATAACTCTCATTCTCTCAGATTCTCAGCACCCTCCTTGTTCTTCAAAACTAAAACATTCTACCAATATACTTCAATATAACTGTCTTATCTACAAATGTCTGCCGTATTTTGCCTTTCTACACAAGAAGCTTTAAAATGTGAGTCTATACATTACCAATTTTACAAAACTGGGATGCATAACCAGACCCACCTAAGCCACCAAATCTTTCTTAAGGTCATAGAGCTAGAAAGTATTAGTAGAATGGGACAAGATATCTGCCATTTGAATGTAGCATCTTCAACTTATCAAAAGATGATGCAACATTTGTGTTCTAAAAAATAACCAGCAGTAAGTATGGTGTATTTTCATTTCTATGGTAAAGAACGTTTGTTCAAAAATCATATATAAAAGATTTCCAGGTGCATTCTAATTCCAAAATTAACCATAGTGAAACTTTCTACTTAAAAGCGATAGAAATCTCATTCTAGTTAACAAGAATGGGAAGCCAGTAAACAAGATAATTATTTTTTAATGGCATAGTTAAAAGAAAAAAAAACTGATTAAAAAACATCAAATTTTTAATAGGAGTATAAAGCAAAACCAAACAACCCCACCCCCACAAAAACAGAAAGAAAAAAAACAGAAACAAATACTTAGTTTTGTGAACTAGTTTAACTAAGATGTTGAGTACTGACCAGTCTAATGTGAAAGCAAAATTGAGTGGGATTAGAGGGAGCATGATTCCATCTGGCAAATTCAGGCCAACTAAATTTCCCAGCTCCATGGTCATTTAGACCTCTCTGAAATAGATTATCTTAGTAAAGGTTAATGAATGTCAGAATGAACACAACTCCTTTGGAACACAATGCCATTTTTTTTCTTTCAAGCACTTTTTTGAACTAATAACATACAATTTAAATTTAGTTAAAATAAAAGATAATAAAATTTCATATTTTTAATTAAAGTGATGCACCTAAGAAACCCACATATGCCCCCAGATGTCTTCTTGCAATTGAACTGCACTTTCATTAATTAATTTTCATTAATGTAAGATTAGAGAAAAGCTATATTTTATTTGCCCTTTCAGCACAAATGGAGACCCATGGTCTACTTCTTTTAAATTGGCATGCTAAGTAATTACATGCTGATTAATCACATATTTGAATCTTTGCAAATGGCCTTTAATGATAGTCTGCCAAAATGTTTAATAACTTTAGAAAACTCTATACAAATAATCATTTACTCTCTATATTTCGTATATAGAATTACTAGCAGAAAAGTAGCAAACAAGAAGTTAGAAAAACTGGATTCCAGCCTTTAGTCTCTCATTATTTTTGGAGGTATGAGCATCATCAAGTGCATTGAACTCTCCGTAAACCTCCATTTTCATATTTGCAAAGTAGAAAAATTAGAATATGTGACAAAGCCTGGCTGGTTTGCTGATCACTAAGTCCATCTACTGGGCACAGCTAGATGATATTCCACTGCCTCCCTTGCAGTTAGGTGTGACTACAGAACTAGTTTATGACCCAAGAAATGTTGGCAAAAGTTACGTAAGCCAGTTTCAGACTCTGCTCATAAACTCTTCTCATGAACAATACTCAATAATTGTTTCCTTTCTGTGGCCATCTTGGAAAGGAATTGAAAATGGTGAAGCATCAAGATTGAACAATTCAGGATTTCTAATTTAAAGATGTTAAGAGAGATTCATGCAGATCATAAACACTCATTTTGAACTTTATATAAATTATATAAGTGGCTATTGTGTTATGTTGTTATTTTGATCTATTACAGCAGCTATTATTAACTCAACTAATGCAGATTGTATCAACTCTTAGGTCTATAAATGCTATTATTTTGTTATTCTATGCCATAAAGACTGAAAGCCCATAGTTTGGAAGACAAAATTAATTTGCTTCTCATTTGTATTTCAGAATGTCAACAGTAAACATTTGGGTGAAGTGCTTTGGCTTCATTAAAGTCACTTATTTCACAATGAAACAAAACTGTCTTTGGATTTTACAATGTAAATTCCACACAACTTATTATTTTTATTTGTATGTTTTCCTCCAACTTTTGTTTTAGATTCAAGGGGTACAGGTGCATGTTTGTTAGATGGATAAATTGTGTGTCACTGGGGTTTGGTGTACAAATTATTTTGTCACCCAGGTAGTGTGCATAGTACTCTATAGGTAGTTGCTTGATCCCCACCATCCATCCTCCCTCCACCTTCAAGTAGGCCCGAGTGTCCATTGTTCCTTTCTTTATGTCCATGAGCTTTATAGCTTTGTGTCTTTAGTGCCTACCATTGATGACAAAGATGTTTAATTTTAGAAGAAACCTAGACTAAGAGTCATGTATTACTTTTCCATCAGCGTGTAACAGATTATCCCAACATTTACCTCAAAAAAAAAAATAGGTTTATTGTCTCGCAATTTCTAGACAAGGCTTAGCTGGTCCCTCTACTTCATTGTCTCTCAGAAATTAGCAATCAAGGTGTCTGCTAAGTCTGGGGTCAGTTCCAAAGGCTCTCCTACAGAAGGATCCACTTCCAAGCTAACTCAAGTGGCTACTGGCAGCTCCTCAAGCTCCTCAAGATTTGTGAGACTAAAGGCCCTCCATTCCTTGCTAGCTATTGTCTGGAGCCTCTTCCTCAGGCCCTTGGCACGTAGACCTCTCCCATATGGCTACTTGCTTTATCAAAGCCAGTGAGAGAATGTCTACTGGAAAGACGGAAGTTACCATCTCTTGTGACCTAATTACAGAACTGACAGTCCCTCGATGTTGCCACATTCTCTTGATTAGTAACAGATTATTTGAGGATAGGGAATTATACAAGGCTATTCATATCAGGAGGCAAGGTCATTGAACACTATCTTACAGGACTGCCAGAGGTCATCTTTAAGGTTATTCATGATTATTCCTCACAAGTAACAATCTGATGTCTTGGTGAGACATTGGTAAGGCTTTCTTTCTTCCTGTTTTTATTTTTCCCTATTGCAATTAGCCAGTTTGTGGAAAAAAAGACAGAGAGAAAACCAGGGAAGAAAAAGAAGACAGGGAGAAAGAACAGAAAAAGAAAAGGAAATATGGAGAAAAAAAGTTAATGAAAAAATATTAATTTTTTCTGGCCAGGCATGGTGGCTCACGCCTCTAATCCCAGCACTTTAGGAGGCTGAGGTGGGCAGAACAACAGGTCAGGAGTTCGAGACCAGCCTGGCCAACATAGTGAAACCCTGTCTCTACTAAAAATACAAAAATTAGCCAGATGTAGTGGCACGTGCCTGTAGTCACAGCTGCTTGGGAGGCTGAGGTGGGAGAATCACTTGAACCTGGCAGGCGGAGGTTGCAGTGAGCCAAGACCATGCCATTGCACTCCAGCCAAGGTGACAGAATGAGACTCTGTCTCAAAAAAATAAATTAATTTCTATGTATTTCAGTTTTCATAACCTGATTGTGTCTATTTGAATGAGCAAAATAATAGTTACTATGTGGATGTCAAAGCAGTATAAACCCTTGAGAGGGGATGACAGGGCAGAACTGGCTTAGAAACCTGGAAGATTTATAATGTGAATGTTTACATTGAGAGTTAGAAATATAAATAGCTATGAAGAGAATAAGAAGTGGCACTTTAGTAGCAATCAAATAGAATATGAGTGAACTATTTAGGAGTACAGTAACAATACATCAGATCCTGAGAGTACTAGTATATGATCTTGTCAAATTGTGATGTGATTTTTTTAATTGCTCTAATAAATCTCACTTCATGTCAGCCTATTCTAATGATGAGGTCTGATGTATGTGAAATAACAATGCCTAAAATTTATACAAAATTTTATAAACTTCTTTCATATGAAGGATCTTATTTGATATTCATAAACTACCCCCTTTTCAAGATATACAGATTCTTCATGTAACCCCACTATTAAAATCTTCCTTGGCTGGAGGATAAAGTCTAGACTCCTTAGCCTAACTATAAAGCTATTTATGAGTGACATACAACAGCCTCACCATTCTCCTTCCTCCCACTCAATCCCACATCTAGCCACCTGAAACTACCTGTCCCCTGTACATGCTGGTTCAGGCATTTGTATGTGCTCTAGATTAGAGTTTCTCAACATGAGCACTACTGACATTTTTTATGGTAATCTCTTGTTGCAAAGTCTGTTCTGTGCATTGGAGGACATATAGCAGCATCCCTGGCCACTACCACCTAGATGCTAGTAGCAATCTCACATAGTTACAACAGGTAAAAATGCCTCCAGACATCACCAAATGCCCCCAGGGGGTGGGCATCATCCTCCCTTGAGAAACAATGCTCTATGTATTTTTTAAAATTCTGTTTTCTTGGTCTGAAAAACCCTACTCTAGTTTCTACTATTGACTAACTCTGACATTTTCTTTAGAAGTTACCACTGTTGCAAAGTGTTATGGACTTTGTGCACCCCTCCTCAAATTCATATGTTGTAATCCTAACCCCAATGTAATGATATTAGGAGGTGGGGCCTTTGAGAGGTAATTATGAAACAGTAGCATTGCCCGATTCCCCTCACAAGACATGCGACAGGAGTGTGGCTTGCCTGTTTGGTCACCCCCAACTGCAGCTCAAACCTTTATGGGAAGCATGTAGATGGGCAGGTGCAGAGGCTGGGGCAAGTGCTTTGGGCTCTTGGCCCTGTGGTAGTGTTTAGGGGTGGGTGCCTGCAACCCTAGTGTTACCAAGCTCTTTCAGCTTTGATGTCTGCAAATGACTTGTGTGTTAATCAGCTAAATGGACCCTGGGCCTTATTGCAAAGGCAGAGGGCCAATGTGACAGCCTTCTGTAACCCAAGCTCTTGCCCAGTGTCACAAAAGAATTAAATCACATGCAGACTCAAAGGATGAGTGCAATGTTTTGTTGAGGGGTGGAAGTGGCTCTCAGCAAGATGGATGGGGAGCTAAAAGAGGGGATGGAATGGGAAGGTGGTCTTCACCTGGAGTCAGGCCACTCAGCAGCCAGATTCTTCTCTGACCACCCCCAGCAGAACTCGCCTCAGTGTCCAGACATCACTCCTCTGTTTCTCTACTGTGTCATTCCACCATTGCTGGTCTGCTGAACTGCTGGTCTGCAGCCTGGGGCTTGGGATTTTTATGGTGGCAGGACAGGGTGTGTGGCAGGCCAAAACGCAACATTTTGGGCATGAAAACAGGAATGCTTGTTCTCATTTAGGGCCACGGGTATCCAGGCTTGAGAGTGGGGCCTTTGCTGGGGAACCACCCGCTTCTTCTCAGCATTTTCCTGTCTCCTGCCCATATCAATTAGGCCAAGAGGGTGGAACCCTGATGAATGGGATTGGAACCTTAGAAGAAGAGACATAGAGCTTGCTTCCTTTGTGTCTCTCTGGCTCTTCACCATATGAAAATACAACTAGAAGACAGCCATCTACAAACCAGGAAGCAGGCCCTCATTAGATACTGGATCTGCTGGCACTTTGGTAGTGTATTTTCCAGCCTCCAGACCTGTGAAGAATACATTTCTGTTGTTTAAGCAATCCAGTCCATGGTATTCTGTTTAGCACTCCGAACAGACTAAGACATAAATGGGTACCAAGAGGTGTGTTAATGATGTAAAAAGTGGCTAGGAATATGGAAGAGGTGTTGGAACTGGATAATGGGGTAGAAGCTGGAAGAGATTTGATGCATATGTTAGCAAATAATGATTTTGCTGTGAAGAGGTTTATAAATTCTGATTCTGATTCTGGTGAGTACTCCAAAAGAAAAGCTTGGTTGAATTGTGTTTGTGTTCCTAGTGTTGTGTGGAAGGTAGAATTTGTGAGTAATGAAATTGTCTGTTTATCTGAGATTTGTAAACCAAGCACTCGTAGGGTGTTTTGCTTTCTCCTAAGTTCTTATAGTAAAATGTAGAGGAGAGAACTGAACAGAAGATAGAGCTGTTAGGCAAAATGAAACCAGAACTTAAGGATTTGGAAATGTATCAGCCTGTCCACATTATAAAAAATAAAAATGAGAAAGTCCATTTGAAAACGAATACTAAGGCTGTGGTAGAGTGACCATTTAATAAGATTAGTGTGGTTGTGAACCATAACCTAATCAGCCATCTCAACAGAAGCCTGGCATAGAGATGGCATTACAGCTGAAGAAACATTTCTAGCTGGAACTTAAGAACAGAGAAAACAGGACAAAATGGAGAAAGACTGTTGGAAGACCCGACGGGAATGGATCATAAGGGCTATTCACCTACAAACATACAACTTTCTTCAAGATAAGGGAAGAAGGACCCTGCACATAATGCCGATATCTTAGGACTGCCACTTCCACTGCACATCCAGAGTGCCTGGGGGTGGGGGGTGCAGGGGTGTCTCCACCTCAGTTTCAAAGAGTAGGACCAACACCCAGCAAAGCCTTGGGGGCAAGGCCACCTGACAGATCCACAGAAGCACAACCTCTACCTGGCAGAGTCACAACATGTGATCCTTGCCTGTAGAGCCACAGATGAAGAACTGCTGCCATAGTGGGTCTTGGAGGAGGCTGGACTGATGTCCCGGTGAGTCTGGAAGGAAAAGCATTGAATCAAAGGGAATTCTTCTCAAGATTTATAACCTCTTAGCCTTTCTAGGTTTTTGGCATTCTTGGGACTTGTGACCTCTCAGCCCTTCCTTCTTTTTCATTTCTCCCTTTTGGAATAGGGGGGTCTATTCTATGCCTGTTCCATCATTGCGTTTTGGAAGCATGTAACTTGTTTGGCTTCACAAGTTCACAGCTGAAGAAAAATTTTACCCCAGAATGAGTCATACTTGGAGTCTCACCCATATCTAACTTAGACAATATTTACATGAGAATTTGGCAGCCCTAATAATATCTACATCATCTACAGGGCCTTTCTTTCTTTGTCTTGAAGACAAGTGTGTGCTCTTTAGAGTTGATGCTGAAATAAGTTAGGACTTTGAGGGCTTTTGGATGAAAGGAATGTTTTCCCTTCATCTGAGAAAAATATGAATTTGGGAGGCTGGGGTGGAATGTTATGGACTGAATATCTATGTTCCCAAATTCCTATGTTGAAATCTTCACCCTTACTGTGATGATTTTAGGAGGTGGGGCATTTGGAAGGTAATTAGATCATGAGGGTGGGGCCTTCATGAATGGGATTAGTGCCTTTAGAAGAAAACACAGAAGGAAGCTTGCTACTTCTCTTTCTCTGCTTCCTGTCATGTGAGGATACAACTAGAATATGACCATCTGCAAACCAGAAACCATATCCTCACCAGACACTGGATTTACTGGTGCCTTGATCTTAGATTTCCTAGTCTCTTGAACTTTGAGAAAGAAATGTATACTGTTTAAGCCACCAATCTATGGTATTTTCTTTTAGCACCCCAAACTGACTTAAACAGAAGTCTTCTCTTTATTCCATACAGCCTCAAAGGGATGACTTTCTTGGTTCCTCTCTCTATCTGTGCACCAGGCAGAGTGCTCAGGATTGTTTAGATCTTGGTTTCTGCAGACATTAGCTGTATGAACATTGGTATTTTACTTAGTCTGCACACACCTACTTTTTCTTATGTATTGAATAGGGCTGATAATATTTACATAATTTACACTATCTGGAAGATACTCAGTACTCAATATATGCTAGTTAATATTATTACAATTGTGACTTCATCAATTTTTTGAATTGAAACATTGTGATTTCTAGTTCATTAGATATGATACTATAAATTTGTAAATTCAAAGTTGATATAATATCGTACAGACAAATCTACATAGTAACTGAATTCTTCACTATTTTATATTTCTCTTACAACATGGCCACCCTGCAGAAGGGGGATCCCCTTGATTTTCTAAAGGATGATTTTTGTTTAGTTGGATAGAGATAGCTAATGAGTCACACTGGGGCTAAATTTGACCCGTAAAGATAAAATATCTACTGGAAAATGGATTTAGTTTATCTAATCATAAACCGATTTTGTAAGGAGGGTTTAATATGGAATTCTTGAGTGCAAAATATTTATATCAAACAGTAGAAAGACTACAAATGTCAGAACACACATTAAAAATATCTGTAAATCAGCATCTTGTGTTAACATACTAACCAAATTAGTGAAAACACATGCATAGAGTAGCAAAACTGGGAAGCATTCACACAGACAAATTCCTGAAGAAGTATGAGTAATTTGTAAAATATATTCTTATTTAAAGGAGGTTTGAAGATATGAGTAACTTTTCTTTATTGATAACTCAATTGAGAGTAGCCTTTGAGAATAAGCAGCTTTCAATTTACTTAAAAATTCACCTTCAAAATTAGATAGATTGATGGATGAAAAGAGATCAATGGGAGGCATAATAATGGACCACATCCTTATTCCTGGAAGCTTTGAATACATTACATTACGTGGCAAAGGAGACTTTGCAGATGTCAATAATTCAAGGATTTTAAACTAAGGAAACTATTCTGGGTTATTCTGGGTTCAACATTATCACAAAGGGCCTTAAAAGATGGAAGAATAAGGAAGAAGAGTCAGAGAAGGAGATCTGGCAAGAGAAGCAAGGGTCAGAGTCAGGAAAGATTTGAAGATGCTACACTGCTAGATTTAAAGATAGAGGAAGACACCACAAGCCAAGGAATGTGAGTGGCCTCTACAGGCTGGAAAAGACAAGGAAATTAATTCTCTCTCAGGGCCTACAAAAAGGCCTGCCAAAGAAATGCAGACCTGCCAACATCTTGATTTTAGCCCACTGAAATCCATTTTGAACTTTTGACCTCTAGAACTGTAAATTAATAAATTTGTGCTGTGTTAAGCTGTGGTGATTTGTTATAGCGGTGATAGAAAAAAATGCAGACTTAAATGATACTCAAATGTTAATTATAGAATAAAAGTTATGGGCATATGGGTAATCACTGTATAATTCTAATTCAGCTGTATGTTTAAAAATTGTATAATAAAACATCTAGAAAATAAATGAGATTATATCAAAATATATTTAAAAAATAGTGCATTGTGAAAAAATGTATTAAAACTGGGTTAATCGACAATACTTGATAAAAATTGTTTCATGAATAAATTTCTGCATGGGTAACTCATTTGTGTTGCAGAGAACAGCATCTCACTCTCAAATCAATTTTTCTTCTTTTTTTTTTTTTTTTGAGATGTACTCTTGCTCTGTCGCCCAGTCTGGAGTGCAGTGGCTCGATCTTGGCTCACTGCAACCTCTGCCTCCAAGATTCAAGCAATTCTCCTGCCTTAGTCTCCCAAGTAGCTGGAATTACAGGTGCCCACCACCACACCTGGCTAATTTTTTTTGTATTTTTAGTGAAGATGGGGTTTCACCATGTCAGCCAGGCTGGCTTCGATCTCCTGATCTCAAGTGATCCACCACCTCGGCGTCCCAAAGTGCTGGGATTACAGATGTGAGCCACCACACCCAACCTTCAAATTAATTTTTCTAAGTAGCTAAAGTCACATGCATAGTTCAGATTGTTAACACTCAATAAATGCTAAATAGAATATAATGCAATAGAATATACACTCAAAATGGAATTAAATTGCATATCTTATCTGAATTCTGGTGAATTAACCTATGATTATGGATAGTAAAGGTATCATCAGAAGCATGATGTAAGTATGATTCCTTCTGACTTCCAAATACTAGGTTGAAATTATGAAATCCCACTCCTTTATTACTTTCTGAAAGATTCTCATAGCATTGTCAGTACTAATCACTAGTCATTGTATAGCTAGTCACTCTGAGAAATAGAAAGAAGAAATCAAGTTCAGTATCTTTTATTATCTTGATATGGATTTGAGAATTAAGGACACAAACCAAAATAAATAGGCTTAATTTGTTGTTTCTATTTTAATAGATGTTAGCATGTTTTATATGCCAATTAGTGCAGTGGGCTTTTTTACATTTTGATATAAAAAATGCACAAAAAGCTTTGCCCTGATTTCTCCCTGTAAAAATGGAAACGTTAATAGATCTCTTTAGCAGATACTTCCAGTGTCCTGCTCATCCCCTTTGGCATGTAACCTGACTTTCGCTACCAAAATGAACAATGAGAACACATGGACACAGAGAGGGAAACATCACACACCGGGGCCAGTTGGCGGATTGGGGGCAAGGGGAGGGAGAGCATTAAGACAAATACCTAATGCATACGAGGCTTAAAACCTAGATGATGGGTTGATAGGTGCAGCAAAACACCATGGCACATGTATACCTATATAACAAACCTGCACATTCTGCACATATATCCCAGAACTTAAAGTAAAAAAAAAAAAAAAAGTACAGGTTTTATACCTGAGAGCTTCCTTTAGCCACCACTTGGCCTAGGACAGGATTGACTGGGAAGTGCTGGGAACTGAAACTCCCAGGACAAATCATTAACCAGTAACATCGGAAGTTGGTGGATAATAGCCTAGCTCCCTGATCCCTCAAATGGGATAACTGCAACATGGTTGGTTCAGAATACCTAAATTTTCCATTGAGTTGAAGCTCCAACTATCTGCAGTGGTAATGTCCTTGAGAAAGCCTCCTTGATTGGCTTCATCTCATTCTCTGTCTCATTTCTCCAAACCCTTACTGATGATTTTCTTGGATTACCTCCCAAATAAACTCAGAATCCCCCTGCTTTGAGAAAATTCAAACTAAAAAGTCCCCCACCCTCAGAAAGGGAATAAAGAAATACAAACCATATTTATAAAAGTCCTCAAAAGATTTTTAATATACTAATACACTCTTTTGGAAAAACTTTTTTAATTGCCTAAGATTTTACTGTCTGCAAAACCAAATATCACACAAATACTTATATTTTGATCCAATGAAACCGAGTTCTAAAGCCACCATTTTGTGTGGGTGTTCAAACATCTGTCATCAGCAAAACAAAACAAACAAAAATTTAAAAACTTTTTAATGTCTACCTTCATTTGGACAATGGAGCACATGGCTTTAGGCATAGTTCAGTGGGAGAGTTAACTGTGACAACTCATGCATCTTATCTTAGTGATTACAGGTAACAGTGTTAGAAATTTCACACCCACCATCTACCATATCAGTGAGGTTTTCTTTTTCTCTATGTACCTTGGCTTGGCACAGATGACATCGAGTGGGACTGAGAGGTTTGGTCCAGCTGAGACTGATTCTCCTAAGTAGTGTTTATTGCAGTGCAGATGGGAATTCTGATGTGTCTATGTCTCTGCTGCGTGGCCTGTTTCATACAGATGGAAACTGAAGAATCAGGATAATTGAACTGCATGGCTCTTTTCAGCTTCTGTGATATAGGAGAGGAGGGAAGGAAAGGAAGGAAGGGAAGGAAGGAAGGAAGGAAGGAAGGGGAAGGGAAGGGAAGGAGGGAGGGAGGGAGGAAGGAAGGGAAGAAAGAAAAGAGGGAGGGAGACAGGGAGGGAGGGAGGGAGGAAAGAAAGATAAAAAAACACTTGAAAATATACTTAATTTTTATATTACTTTCTATTATCTTAGAAAGCTTTCAGCAGTAGGAAATAAAAGCTTAAAAAGTATTGAATTTCATCAATGGTTAATATGAACCTAGAAATGACTTTTATTCCTGTATCACAGATTACAGAGGCTTGTCCATGAATGGAGAACAGTCCTATCCTTTATTAGAGGGTGAGAGGGCTCCTGATGCTGTGTTCTGTCAGAAAAATGCTGAAGTGGATAGACACACAGGTCATGAAATCAGCTTATTCTTTATATACAGGAAATAGTCATTGGGCCTGAAGGATATCACTCATTGACCCACTATATTTCTTCAGATACATCTTTGACTTACTTTCTGGCTTTAAATACATGAGAGTGACACAGTATCAGGCTTTAGAGTCTTAATAAACATTGATTATTTTGGCCTTGCTAGGCATTCCCTTTTTCTCTGATAAGAGGAAACCAGCTTTCATTTGGGAGATTTTTCTAATTTCCTTATATCATTATTGTGTGCTGAACTGATGGAATTTGCAGTTTAAAAGCGTTCATTCACCTGTGGTTGGACAACGTAGGCTGATTCCATATTCGCAGTAGCCAAGATATGGAATCAACCTAAGTGCCCAACTACGGATAAAGAAAATGTGCTATATATACACAGTAGAATACTATTTATTCATGAAAAGAATGAAATCCTGTCATCTCCAACAACATGGATGAACCTGCAGGACATTATGTGAAGTGAAATAAGTCACACATAGAAAGGCAAACATCACGTGATCTCACCGCATATGTGGAATCTTAAAAAATCAACCTCATAGAAGTAGCAAATAGAAAGGTGGTTACCAGAGGCTGGGGAAAGGAGGGGAGGGCCATGGCGAGTCAGTCAATGGGTACAAAGTTACAGTTAGAAAGGAAGAATAAGTTCTGGTGTTTATTGCACAGTAGGGTGACAGTAGTTAACAGTAAGGTATTGTAGCTCTCAAAATAGCTAGAAGAGAGAATTTTCAATGTTCCCATCACACACAAAAAAAGAGAGGTGATGGATATGCCTATTGACCTGATTTGATCATTACATGGTGTATACATGTTGAACATCACATCGTACCTCATAAGTATGTATCATTATGTGTCAATTAAAAATAAAAATTAAAACATGCTTAAAAGTGTGTATTTTAAAAAATCCATCCTCTTCTTCCCTCCCTACACTTCCCTAGCCAAGTGCATGACCCAAACAAGATCACCAATGGATTCTGCTGAAGTAATGTCTTCACCAGTCTTCACTAGCTCATGTCCTAGCCCCTGCTAGCCCTGGCTTCTGTAATTCCCATGCCTGTTTTATTTCAATTTTGCAAGTTAACCATTATTCTTCCCACACATTGATCAGATCATCAGAGTCTATTTATGTCTCTTGAAAACGGTAAGTCCTATCTCTCATTAAGGTGTTTTTTTTTTTCTAATATGCGACCTGATGTTTCCTTTTATTTGGCCAGTAATTTGGTTTTAAAAACATTTTTTACTTTATTCTTGTTTTTGTGTTACAGGTAAATATCTTCTAATTTTTCCTCATATTTAAAAAAAAGATGAAAAGTAAATGAATAGTTGCTCTTTGCCAAGAGCTGTAGTCATTTATTTATATGTTATTTATATATATTTATATATGTTGTTTTAATATAAAATATATATTAATATGAAACATTTTAATGTATATATTTACGTATTTTAATATCAAATATTTTTAATACAAAAATATATAATATATGTGTTATATATATATATGAAATATATATATAAGTTCCTTTGGTCTTCTCCAAACCTAAATTGATGTATAATATTTTGTTTTAACATGTTTTTCTTATTTTATTTTTATTTCTTATTTTATTCTTATTATTCTCTTAATAAAAGGCTAAGTACAAAGCGTAAACTAGAGAAATAGTTAAAGGCACAGAAAATACATAAGGTATAATCAACATATATGTATTTGTATTTATATTCATTTATTTCAGTACTTTCTGTGTTCTGAACATTCAAACATGGCAAAAACTAAAGATATTGTCTGCATTACTTAAATTAATATTAATTTACCTTACTCTCCAGATCAATAAACTGATACTCAGATACAGTATGTAGTTTGTCTAAGGCCATCTATGTCATATAGAGACCAAATAGCAGAGTGAGAATTTGAACCCAGGTCTATAGGACTACAAAACCAGTCACAGGTCTATCTAGTTCTTACAAAAGAACCTTCTGTAAAGGGCAGTATTCTGGAGATATTTATTACCTTTGGATGTGCTCATGAGACATATTAAAATATGTCTAATTTTCATTATAGAACTATTTAAGCTTAAGAAAAACAGGAAAGAAAAAAACTGTTTATAAATTCTCAATGACCTTTAAAGCAGAAACAGCTGCTGGGTTACATTGATCTTGAGTGACTACAGGCAGCTCTCTCAGGTGGACGGACATTAGATTGCACATGCATTGTCATCTCACCCTTTGAAAGAGCATGAAGAAAGCTGTAGGAAATAATTTATTTCATTTTCAATACAAATAAATGTCATAATGCAATATTTAATGACAGCCTTGATTGCATTCACTGATAAACCTGGTTCCTGAATTTCTATTAATAGTTACAAATGACTCCAATGAAACTTTGTCCAGGTCCTCACCTTTGAATACTGTTTTTGAAATAATACATGGATACATTTTGAGGACATCCACCCATATACCCCTAATGTTGACTTAAATCATTTTAATATACTGTTATACAAACAAATGTAGAGATGCATCTAGTTTTAAATGTCTTATGCTTATCATTCTTATGTAACCAAAAAACAAAGAAATATATAAACATTAACTCCAAGCCAACCTACAAAATCAACACTTTTCAAATTAATAACATTAATGTAATTCAAGGGATCGTATAGTTTTAGAGAATTTAAATTGCTGCCCAAGTGTGACTATGATAATATTGTAGTTAGACGGAATTTTGAGTTTGTTTTGTGTTTACCACTTAGCACTGTGTGGGCATAACACAGATTTTTCATCACTTAAAAAAAAATTAAATTTCTAGGAAACTTCAATTCAAATATGGTATGAAGTCATATATTCTATCACTTTTCAATATATATCATGAATATAAGTCTGCTTTTAAATTGATTAATTTGCCTTCTATAATTTGATGGAACCATTTAGCACCAACAATATTTTTAATAATGAGACGCAATGTGTTAGTTTCAGTTTTCCCAAAGCAGACTGATAAAGGCTAACATATTAATGGCTTATTCAGAAAAATGATTTCAGAGAACCAGATTAAAAGGTGTTGGAGCAAACAGGACAAGACAAGAAGTTCATTCAAAAATGTGTTACTGATTGGCCACCTCAAGAGAAGATAATTTGGTTAGCCCAAGAAAGTTTCTAAGAAGCCTTCTGGTATGTCTCAGAACCACCCACCACAGAAGTAAAAAGGAAAATCATTTATCTGTTGGTTCAGTCTCCAACACATAAGTGCTGCACATGCGTGATTGCCAAATTCTTCATGAGGAACACCCTGTGTCAGAGGAGCTCTGGGCAGCAAGTCAGAGGACCTGCTGTGCATTGTCAAGACACTGTCAGATCACACTTGTGCCAAGCTGCACAAAGCCTCCATGGAATTATGCATAACAGCAATGGCTGAAATAAGATATAAGGCCAAGAAGATTTGAAGCCATACACAACAGAGTTTTGCATTCACTCAGTCACTGAAACATTAAATAACCTGTAATATTATATGTTTATATGATTAAATCAGTCAGGAGACATTAAAATTTTTTTTTCAGACAGCACACATGGACACCCTGTTGAGAAACATTCTTGGTATAGCTTATTCATGGGTGTTTCAAATGATCACTCTATCATTTTAACTGTAATTCTAGGATTATCTGTACTACAGTTACTTTGTAGACATTTTTCAATGCAAACTCTCAAAAACTACAAAATTTTTTTCTAAGTAGCTCATTCTTTTAACTAAATTTCATGTATTTTGTCAAATTATCTTTTGTGTGTTGTGCTATACTCTGAGAATTCAAAAAGTGATCAAGTAACAAACAATAGAGTGTCCCACAATTTTATTGGAAAGACAAGCACCTACATCAAAAATTGTAATTGGAACTAATAGGATTCTATAGTTGACACATGTTCAAAGTTGTTATGAGACCATAATATTTGTTTTCTACATATAAAGAGTGTATTTCAGATATATAATTGGCCTTAAAAGATAAGTGGGTTTATTTCAAATATATTACAACAACAACCTAGATGTGCTACCCTTGGGAAAATAATATAAATTTGCATGGTTAATCAAGGTTGAAATTTTTATTTGTGGCCCCTGAAGTAGTGAGAGGGAGAAAGTATTCCCTTGACCTAATTAGCATAATAAGTCCAGGCATGCTACATATGGTTAGGGCAGGGAAACCTCTTCTTAGCTCAAGATTTAGTCCACTTGGTGTTGCTATAACAAAATGGCACCAACTTGGCAATTTACAGAGAAAAGAAATGTACTTTTTATAGTTTGGGAGGCTGGTAAATTCAGTTATCAAGCTACCGGCATCTGGTGAGGGCCTTCCTGCTGTGTCATCCCACCGCAGAAGGTAGAAGGGCAGGAGGGAGAGCAAAAGTTAAAGAGGCTAAACTCATTTTTATAACAAGCCCATCTTGAAGATAACTAACTCATTTCCACAATGATGACATTAATTTAATCATGATGGTGGAATCCTCATGACCTAATCACCTCTTTTTAGGCCCCACCCATTGACACTGCTGCATTGGGGTTTAACTTTTCTATGCATGAATTTTGAGAGACACATTCAAACCATCACAGCTCAATGCAAGTTAAATTAGATCACGAGAAATGGCATTGTAAGCTTTTAAACTCATGCTTTATCCATATTTTCCACATAAAATTAGATGAGCTTGAAAAAAGAGACTCTGAATTTTTGCCGGAATCATTGTTTTCTGACATTTTTAACCAGATAAGTGTCATTCTAGATTTCTAGTATTAAAACCACTTTCAGTAAAATGAGTTAATAATATTGCTTCTCTACCAAATTAAAAAGATATTTTCTACCATAGTTATGTTTGACCTTGCCAAAATATAAATACATACACACACACACACACACACACACACAATAATACAAATACATATGTATAGCTATATGTATAAATATATATGGTTGCAGGGAAGTATTTCCAAGCAGTAATGAGTATTAAGAATAAAAGTGCTTTTTGGCATCTAATATTTTGCAATAATTTCAAAAAAAAAATCAATGAAACATTCTGCCTCCTGGCAACATTAAAGACTAAATCCAAAGCCTAATGAAGCATAATATTATTGAATAAATTACTTCTATTTGTGTTTTCTTTAATATGGCTCTGACAGCCAACTTCTTTCAAATATAGCCATTTGTTCTCACTATGTTACTTTCTACAAATAATAGGGTGTTATTGCTATCACTCTTGTGCTTCTTTGGTGGCATTTTTGATGCATGTAAAATAGTCTTGATCAGAATAAACTTCTAAGACATATGTCTTAATTACAGAAATATTAAACTCATTAAATTGCAAAACATTTTATGATTTCTGAGGTGAGAATACTGAAGCCATTGAAATGTGGCTTTATATGTCAATGTTGCCCATCTCTGTTTCAATAATTTAAAGGCTGCAATGATTTAACTTATTTTCAGGTAATGCAATTTATTTGTGTATTCACTTCCATCTTTGCCTAAATTGAAACAAAACAAAACAAACATAAAACAAAAATAATTACCCTTTAATGCATCCTGTCTTAGTCTGTTGGGCTGGCATAACAAAACCCCATTAGGCTCGCTGGCTTAAACAACAGAAATTTACTTTCTCACACTTCTGAGAGCTGGAAAGTCCACGATTAAAGTACCAGCTGATTTTATTTCTGGCCAGGGTTCTCCTACTGGCTTGCAGATGGCTGCCTTCTTGTGTACTCACATGCCAGAGAGGGAGAGGTCTGGTGTCTCTTCCGATTCTTACAAGGGCACCAGCTTCATCAAGTTAGGACCTGACCTTTATGACCTCATTTAACCCTTATCGCTTCCTCCCTTTCTCCAAACACAATCACACCTGGGATTAGGGCTTCATCATAAAAATTTCAGGGGGCATAATTCAGTCTCTAGAACTTTCTTAAGTCTGAAATTTATTTTTAATAAACTCTGCAATGCTTACCTCCTATTCCACATAGTCCACGGCCATTGTGACCTCTTCCCTCTTCTCTAGAAAACTTTGTTTTAATAATAATTCATCTTGTGGAAGATAAAGATTTTGATAATAGTTAGGAAAATGCACCTGAATAGCTACGATTTATTTAGCAACTATATATAATATGGCAATTACCCTGTGTCCATTGCCTCATTCAAACCTCGTTGCTTCTCTATGACATATATTTTATTCTGTACATTTTCCAAATGAAGGACCTGAGGCATATAGAGGTTATTGACTTTTGCATAATCTGAATCACTCTTCCAGTGATCTTTCCTCATTATTTATTTCTAACATGTTAAAAACAACGAGAGCTCTCAACAATGTTTACAACTCTCTTGGGGGAAATTATCTGCCATATTGTTACATTTTTCACTTTCAAACTGATGCTACCAGTGTGATCATAGTCCATTTTAAAGATGCGAATATGTATTATATCTTCAATATGGAAGTTTTAGAGATCCTTTTTTGTATTATTTTAGTTATTTAGTATATATAAAGAAAGTGAGAGAGAGGTGGGTGATATTTGACCGTCTTCTATTAAAACATATGTCTATGTCTAAAGTTTAAAAACTCTGACCTTGAACTTTCTCCCAAGAGGCTTTGGTTTCCAGGAATATGCTTCTGACGGTTCCGCTTATGATGTGGTGAAGTTGAATCATTTTCAGCATCAATATGTGCCCTGAGATAAATGGCTTTTCTTTGTTTTAAGACAGTAGAACATGGCTTGTTGGTTATTATTTCTTTTGGTGAAATTTTTTTTTTCTATTCACTGGCACTTCTCCAGTGATTCATCCTTCAGGAAAAGAAAACTTGCCAACTCATTTTTGATCCCTGTAGTTTCTACTTTCACTCCCAAATATAACAGTTGACAACTTACATTGGACAATTGTACATCCATAGGATACCGAGGCTTGGAACCCACACCTCAGTAGAAAAATCAAGCAAAAACTTTTCAGTGTAGGTGGGATTAATCACAAATGAAAATGCAAGTTTTGAAATGAGTCACCATGACATTTAGACCCATCTTGGTACAAAATAAGGTAAAAATAAAAATGCAATAATTTTAGTACCAAAAAAAGAAAAAATAGATGCTACCTACTAATTTATAAAAATTGACTACTTTTCTCATTTTCCAGAATTCAATTATCTTGAAACTTTAGGGCTCTTTTCCTCTCAACATAAATCTTGTGATACACTATGAAAATCCTGTAATGAGTTGAAATACAATTTTCTAAAAAGCTGGATGCATAAAGTTAAGTATTTTCTAGTGCAATGATTAGACTTGGTTCCTAGTAATGAAGTGACCTTGCCTATTGGCTTTGGTCTACATGCCCAGGACAAAACAACAACAACAACAACAGAAACAAAACAAGGAAACATAAACAGAATAGAAACCGCTGTATCTCAATAGCCGCATCAATCTGCTCGAGCTGACATAACAAAATTCTTCAGACTGAGTGGCTGAGACAACCGAAATGTATTTTCTCACAGTCCCAGAGACTAGAAGTCCAAGATCAAGGTGCCAGCATGGTTAATGTCTGGGGAGGTCTCCTCCACAGGGTTGCAGATGGCTGCCTTCTTGCTGTGTGCTCCTGTGACCTCTTCTTTGTGCTGTAAAAGAGAGCAAGCAAGTGAGCTCTCTGGTATCTCTTCTTACAAGGACTCTAATTCTATCAGATCACAGTCCTGCCCTTATGACCCCACTTAACATTAATTACATCATTAGAGGTGCCCTCTCCAAATACAGTCACACTAGGAGTTAGAATCTGAACATATAAATTTGCGGGGAAACAAATATCGAGTCTGCAGCAACAATCAATGATAAAATGCGTATGTCCTTCATTTAGGAGCCATTCACTTTGTCTATTGTATCCGCATGCAATGTTCTGTGCTCACCATGTATACTTAGATGCACATGTGCAATCAATTCACCTTCCTACAGGACAGGAGAACAAAAATGATTTTATGTCATATGAACAACCACTTGATAATTTATAGACAAAACTACCTTTGTAATCCTAGCCTCTCCGAGAACTCTCGGGGATTTTAAACAGCTGCCTCTGTCTCTAACTTTGTGAAGGTGTGGACAGCTATATTTGTCCTCTTAAGAAGTAAAGAAAATCATCATTTTTTTTTTCAAAAGTGTTTACAGCACAGATGCTTCTAATAAAGAGGTTTATGTTTACAGTTGGCCTGATGGCAGGCTAATATTTGGTTTGTTAAGGAAACAGAAAGATGGCTCAAGCCCTGAGCATGGGAAGTAATGATGGGAGGCATCTTTTCTGAGAAAGTATAGTTAGATTCAAATCCTACCTTTTTTCTAATTAATTGGGGAAACATTTCTTTAGTTTTCGTGATTCCTCTTTTGTTCCTATACATGCTATTCTCTATACAGCAGCTTGAGTGATCCTTGAAAAATGGACATCAGACCATGCCATTCACCTGCTCACTGGCCTCCAATGTCTCCCCATCACTCTATGACTAATATCATTATTACTGGCCTTTGATCCTGCTCTGGTCTGGTTTTTGCCTTTCTCTCAACCATGTCCACTACCACTTTTACCCCTCCTAACTTCAGTGTCGACACATGCTGCCCTGCTATTTCTTGAATATGTGAAGCTTCTTCCAATCTCAATCTTATCTGTCTTCCTTCTTAGAATATAAATAGCGAATTCCCTAGCACCTACTAATATTCAGCCACCATGTATTAAAATGAATGGTGAAAGAGCAGTATTACAAATGAAAAATATTGAAACCAAAGCTGCTATCCAAATGTTACTATCATTATAATGCTTTAATTAGAAAATTTCATTTAGGAGCCATTCACTTTGTCTATTGTAGCACAGACATTTTGTTAACCTCCAGCTGAAATAAATATATATTTGAAGAAAGTGTTTTATTTGCCTTCTATTATTCTTTAAGTAGAAAATGAATAGGAGAAGACATAGATTCTATTATTCTTTAAGTAGAACATGAATGAGAGAAGACATAGAATGAATCGGTTCCTTTACATATTGTATTTTATCCCAGAAAATTAGATAATAATACCTCAAGAGAGATTGGAACTTGTTTACATATGAATCTATATTAACATCAAAGAAACTGCTGAGAACTGGAGGTTGCTTGCTAATAAATGACAGTCCAGATCATTACTCATGGCCAAATCTTTTCAGTCATGCTTCCAGAAGAATAAACCAGTATTAGGAAACAGGACATTTTGATTTCATCTTGCAGATGCCATGCACAAAAATCTTAGTTAACATTGATACCAGCCTGGATAGCCATGACAACACAGCTAACCGAATCTATGTGCTTTTTGACACTTGTGTGAGCCTTGTTTTGGGATGTGCAGCCTAAGCCTTCCTTCCACTAGGTAAAAATAAACTTTCCTGACTGGCTGGTGTTTATGGGTATCTTCCTTTGGCTGCTTAGATTCCAACTGATTTCTTCTCCATCTCCTTAACTACTGGCTAGCTTTTATTGGAAAAGTTGCCTTCCTCTCCTATATCCTATTTCCTCTCCTGATTCTGTCTCCACCCTTTTCTAACCTACTCTCTGTCCTGACTGTGTGGACTATACCCCTGGGGTCTTTTATCCTTTGGTTCCCTGTTGGGTTCAGCTCACTGGAGGAAGAGAAAAGAATAAGAACTTGACCTGTGTTTTCCCACACGCTCCCTGCAGGCCACTGGTTCTGGTGCTTTTCTCTGCCAGAGGCTACAGTGGTGGCCAGACCATCCCCTTCTTTTATAATTTCCAATAACCCCACGGCCCACTTAACTTCTTCAGCCCTGTGAATAGAAGTAGCCATGTGTGGTGTTACAGCCTGTTTCCATCTAATTGACTTATTAAATTATCCTTAAATTACTCAATTCTAGTGTATCTACAGTTTTCTACTAGGATTATGATTACACATTTACTCATCACCAAGGAAAAAAAGGTAATTTGCATATATCTGCTCCAAAAGGGCATATAAATTTGGAAAAAAGCATGATGGCCTCACAAAGTAACATAGCAAAAAGGTTAATAGTGTACCTTCAAATCTTTGTTCGGTCTTTTGTTAGTCATTTAAAATTATGCGTATTGTTTTCCTCTCTAACGTCAGTTTCCTCACCTGTAAAATGTGGAAAGTAATAATTTAATTATTCTATCTAGATATCCAGCCTAACATCTAGATAGAATAATTCTATCATGAAATTATTCTGAAATATGACCTATATAAAATATATAGCAAAATGTCTGGCAAATACTAATTGTATAATGGTAAACTACAGCTTTAAATTTTCCTGATCTTACTTTGCATTAGAAGCTCAAAAAGCTAAAAAGTTACTTCAAAATTTACCAGAAAAATAAATAAAATAAAAGCTGAATTGGAATTTGTGAGCTAGGGGTACAGAGAACTGTATTTTAAAAATGACCCTCCAGCTGGGCATGGTGGCTCACACCTGTATTGCCACTTTGGGAGACCAAGGTGGGAGGATTGCTGGAGTGCAAGAGTTTGATACCTAAGTGCAATAAGCTATTTGATCTTACATTTGTCACCTCTTCATAGCAAGATAATGGCCCCAGTTCCAAGCATGCCAATTACATTTGAATAATAAAAAAGTAGAGTCAAGCAAAGATACAGAACTTCTACTATAAGTTACCCTCTCCTTTTATCAGCGTAAGAAAACATTTCAAAAAGTCTCTTTGTTGACTTCCCCTAAAACCTCATTGCCTAAAATCAGTCTCATGGCCTTCTCTCATTGCAAGGCAGTCTGGAGAAGAAATTGCCAAGCAATTAGAAATGGGAAGATCATGAGAGGCTTAGAAAATTCTTTATTTATCAGTGCATGTTCTGGGGCTACCCACATTAATACCGTGAGCAAATCAAGACTCTGTAGTAGAAAGAAGAAAGGAGATGGAGAGAAATAATATCTAGTAGGTAATGAATCATGTTTTCCACAGTCACGTTATGAAAAATAAATGTGATTTTATATAATGTGCATAGCATGGTACCCTTTAAACAAGAAAATGATTTAAAAAATCAAGAATCCATACTTTGTAAATGAAATTGGTCATTGAAAAAACACTTCTGAGAAGTAAAGCAATATACATTTTAAAATAAATAAACAATGACAATATCACCAAATGTGTTCCATTTACCAAATGCACTTAGCAAAGAATGAGCACATGGTAAGTATAAAATACAAAGCACTGTGCTAGGCCTTTAAGATATTTGAGCTGATTTATCCTCTCAATGCTACTATGGCATGGGATGCTGTTAACTCCTTTTACAGAGGAGGAAATTGGGAACAGTGAGATTAAGTAACTTGCCCAAAATTGTAGAGCCAGTCAGTAATGGAGCTAGGATTCAAACTCAGCCTGATCTCAGAATCTCTGTTCATACTTCTACTGATACGTCGTCAATAGTACTCTGTGTTGAAATGAACAAGGACGGTAGAAATAGATATGAACAGAAGAGCATAATAATCATAATGGAATTTAGGAAAATGAAAGTTGCTAGACAAGTCTTTCTCACGTCTACGGCAGTCGTTTCTGGAGATTGTGCCCTGAAGCAAGGTGGTTACCCATTTTGTCACTCTAAGGAACACTAGGTAGTGGGATCTAACTAGTATCACTACTCTGTCTCTATATTTATAAGCCCTCAGATTTTTATTTTGTTTTCCCTGGAACTGTATCTCCAGAAAAACATGGTAGCTTATGGTCATTCTGCACGTAGGCCAGTTATATAACTAATTGAAAAAGCATTTTCATATTTATGGATTAAATTACGTTGTTTTCAGCAAGGTGTCTAAGTTCTCCAGAGACTGGGCTGATAGGAAGCTCTGTTGCCTAGAACTTTCCTCAAAAGTTCTTTCTTATCACCCATGACAGGATACCTTGTCATTTTTTTTAATGTCTCATTCCACATTTCTTTTTTCTTTCTTTCTTTCTTTTTTTTTTTTTTTTTTTTTTTTTGAGATAGATTCTCACTCTGTCGCACAGGCTAGAGTGCAGTGGTGCAATCTCGGCTCACTGCAACCTCTGCCTCCTGTGTTCAAGCGATTCTCCTGCCTCAGCCTCCCGAGTAGCTGGGACTACAGGTGCCCACCACCACGCCTGGCTAAATTTTTGTATTTTTAGTAGAGATGAGGTTTCACCGTGTTAGCCAGGACGGTCTCGATCTCCTGACTTCATGATCCGCCCACCCCAGCCTCCTAAAGGGCTGGAATTACAAGCATGAGCCACCGTACCCGGCCTCCACATTTCCTTTGACTCATACAGTTAGAGTAATTTCAAAGTTGTAATTCTGACTTATCGAGTCCTGTTCTTCCAGTTGGAGTACATGACTGCATTGCCCATGGCATAAGCATCTCTGCATTTTATTACACAATGTGTGGGCTGGGCTGGAAGTCAAGTGCTTTCAAATCATCATGAAGTATGTCATTATGAATTTACAAGTCTTGGGTTTTCATACCTTTCCAATAAACTTGCTTTTGCCTGTGTAAATGTTAAAACTTGGAAAGAAAGTGCATCCTAGAGCTTATAATTTACTAATGCTCAATCAAATCTGCATATTTGGGACTGAGATCATCTAATCAGATGCTTCCCTAGTGTCATAGTTATATAAATACACATCAATTAGAAAACCACAGTCTTTATCCATCTATATCTCAACATCTTCAATATTACTTCCCACTTTTCTGGAGTCTGTGAAATGCATTTTTTGGTTCCCATACTCATTGCATTGGCAACTTTGGAGGGTGGTTATGTCTAATTGCTTTGCTTAACATTGTTGGCCAAATTTTTAATAAGAAAATCTGGCACATCTTGACAAATCATCTCCTTTTATGGTACCAGCTTTCATGGTGCAGCTGGACAACACTTTTCCAGCTGCTGCTTCCCACTGCAGAATTCAGTAGTGAATAAAATGCTTCCTAAGGGCAGTGTCCTTTAAGCATCCTTTAGTAGGAAAATGCCTTCATCATCATTACTATTAAAGCAAATCTATGTGAAAACTGAGTGAAACTCACAGAAAACACAGCTGGCTCAAGAGTGTCAAGTGTCAATAATTTTTTTATTTTTATTTTTTCTGATTGTGCACATTGTCAGTGATTTGTTTTCTAATTCGACAAGATTTACAAAACTCTGTTTCATCATAAACCTATCTGCTTTGAAGTAAGTAGAAGATAGCATTGTCCTCACTATTAAAACCCATTTCTTTCTTCTTTTCTCTATCCAGGTCAACTTTACCCAGACTGATGAAGTGAATACTATAAACAGAGAGCCAGGAATACATCCCGGAGCTGCTCACTCTCATCTCCATAGTCCTTTTGGGTCCTTCTCTCTCAAAATTATTTGATTACTGATGAAATCCTCTATAAATGGCAAGTTCCCTCCAATGAGAGTTTCCCTTAAGTGCTGAGCCATCAAGTCAAATCCAGTAACAAAATTTTATAAGTGTAGTTTTCTATCAGTTTTCATTTTAATTGATAATAGCAAAATAGACTGCAATTTTTAAAAATTACAAACTATATATAATTTTAAAGTTATTCCATTTTTAAGGCCACACCTGTATATTTTAACAGCATTGATTCTGGCATGCCCATTTTGTCATGTTTTGGAGAACCATAGACATGGCTCCTGCATATGTATACTATAGAAGCTTAAAACATTGAACTGTCTGTGCTGAGAGAACGTTTGGACAGCTACTCTCTTCCCATTTTAATTATCAATTTATTCAATTATATACCAATTAATATTATTTTTAAGATATATTGTAAAACATATGGATATTTGTTTTAAAATGTATTGGTGAACAGAGGAGGGCACTGATGAACAGAGGAGGTTATTGTAGAGGTAGAATCATCACTTAACCTCTGGCTTAAATAAAAAACTATCATTTGGTTTTTCCAAAGACTTTAACTAACTTGAAAAAAGAACCAATTACAGAAGTCCTGAAATCCCTTACAGTTTTTCTTGTGTTTTACAAAAACATCTGTAAACCCAATAATTGTTCTAAGAAAATAGAAGGTTCATATATAGATTTTGTAGTCAGATAATCAAAATTCTAATCCAAAGAAGTGTTTCTAATGCTCTCCGGGTGGCCTTTGACAGGATACATGACCCTAAAAATTGCAAATATTTTGATATTTCAGTGAGATAAAGTGTGTCGTGGTTCATTTTATGTGTCAACTTGACTGAGTTGAGAGATGCCCGGATAGATGTTACAGGGTCATGTTTGCTGTGTCTATGAGGATGTTTCCAGGAGAGATTAGCATTTGAATCAGTAGACTGAGTAAAGAAGTTTCACCCTCACCAGTACAGGCCTGCATCATCCAACCTGCTGCAGGCTTGAATAGAAAAAAAAGGCAGAAGAAGGGTGAATTATTATCTCTTCTAAAAAGGCGACATCCATCTTCTTCCCCACTCAGCTATCAGAACCCCAGGTTCTCTGACCTCTGCACACAGACTGAATTACACCACTGCCTTTCCTGGTACTCCAGCTTGCAAACAGCAGATTGTAGGATTTCTTAGCTTCCATAATGACATAAGCTGATTTCCGTAAGTTTCCGCGTAAGTTCCCTCTAATGTCTCTATCTATCCTTCTATATATGCAGTCATCTCTTGGAATTTGTAGTTTGCTTCCAGGAATATCCCATGGATAACAAAATCCAAGGATGCTCAAGCCCCTTATATAAAATGGTGTTGCATTTTCATATAACCTATGCACAACCTTCTCTGTACTTTAAATCACCTCTAGATTTTTTTTTTTTTTTTTTTTTTCAGAGACCCAGTCTCTCCCTGTTGCCCAGGCTGCTCTCAAACTCCTGGGCTCAGGCAGTCCTTCTGCCTGGACTCCCTAAGTACTGGGATTATAAGCGTGACGTACCACACCCATCCAGATTAATTATTCAATTGAATACCATGCCTACATGTTATTTCTTTTGTGTGATATTTAGCACATGACAAATTCAAGTTTTGCCTTTTGGAAATTTGTAGAATTTTTTTTTTTGAATTTTTTTAGAGCCTGTTAGTTGAATCTATGGATGTGAAACCTGTGTGTGTGTGTGTGTGTGTGTTTGTGTGTGTATCCTATTATTTCTGTTTCTCTGGAAAACCCTGATGGACACAAAGTGCATAAAGTAGCTACCATAGTTACTGACAAAAAGTAGGTACTTAGAATGAGTATTTTCTCTGTCTTCCTTCTAAATTAGAACCAAAATAAGCAGAGCTAACTCTAACCAATGTTATCTGGAAGTTGCTAAGTACATCAGTTATCAAAGATATGAATGAAAATTTACAAGCATCATCATCCATGAAAAATGGACACTCTCTCCATTTGCTCTGAGTCATTGTAACAGAGACAAAGCCCTCTAAATCTCAACGTCTCAGGCAGCAGGTCCCTTGGTATCCTGGATCATAGGGAAATGTAGAAATAGTCATCTAAATTACCAAAACGTGAACATATCCTAAAACTGCTGGATTAGTTTTGCAGCTCAATGAAATTTCACCTTTTTGACTCACAGCTACTTAGAAAAGTTTTTCATTGCTGTTTGTATTATTTTGGTGGGAGATGGTGTTTGTTATTTTTGTTTATTTGTTCTCAGGTAAAAAGAAAAACTGAGTTAAATAATATTATAAATTCAGGACTAGAGGAGTGATATGACGTATGTCTGCATCTGTAGTTTCTTGGTGGTCCCAATCTTGGAAAAAATCATTTCTGTAAATAAAAATAATCTGAAACAGATTATAGGGAAGTACATCAGAAAAATAAATACAGAGTGTCTGGTATGATTTGAGGATGTTCATTAGCGGAGCTGTACTGAAAATATGGTGGGAGAATTGTTTGTTTTTATGTAATTTTACACAGTTGTGTTTTTGTCTAGTTTGATCAATGCTAGTCTTGTATCCTATGTCTCAGTTTCTTTGCCTATCAAGTGAGTCATTGACCATATGGCTTCAGCTCCTAGTTTGGCTGCTGAGGAGTAGGAAAAAAAATAGTCTTGATAAACATGCAGACCATTTAGAACATAAGGTTGACATAGCTGATCCCTCCAGCACAGTTTCAAGAGAACTGGAACTTTGAATCTATTTTATTGAAAACCAAATGTACGCTTTCCTCACTATGTGCCTAGTTCATCTGCAGGGCCCTTCAGTGCCAAATTAAAATTGCTTACTATTTTGTTTGCATTGCTTATATAAGTGTTGCAATGATTTGTTGTGTTGGGAGAAGACATCTGTGTATCCAGGGGATCTATGCCTTTCTGTCTTTACTCTACCCAATAATTTTACTGGGCCTTAAACACTTTTCTCAATATCTTTGTAGTTATTGTTCTGGTAATTTTGCAAGGCATATTGTATATATTGCATTACTTCTTCCTTCTTTGGGATTTCTGACTGGCTTCATAACAATATCATCCTATTTCAAGGATTACATTTTAGATCTAAATGTTAGAAAGGCATTAAAATTCTTGCTTTTTAAAGAGGTGGTAAAATATTACATTGGTATTATGGAAACTACTATCTTCCTTCATGAGGTTTCTACTCACATTTTTGCTGCTGTTTGTAGTTTAGTACATTTAAGTAACTAAATTTATATTATTATTATTTTATTTTATTTTATTTTATTACTTTTTTGAGACAGAGTCTCGCTTTATTGCCAGGCTAGAGTGCAGTGGCACGATCTCGGCTCACTGCAACCTCCGCCTCCCGGGTTCAAGTGATTCTCCTGACTCAGCCTCCCGAGTAGCTGGGACTGTAGGTGTGTGCCACCATGCTCAGCTAATTTTTTTTTGCATTTTTTGTAGAGAGGGGTTTCACCATGTTGGCCAGGATGATCTTGATCTCCTGACCTTGTGATCCTCCTGCTGGGAGGATCCCAAAGTGCTGGGATTACAGGCACGAGCCACCACGCCTGGTTTATTATAATTATTTTAAAATTAGTGATTTTTAGTTGATTAAAATGATAAACATTGACCAAATTAGAGGGTGATTCTGCTTCTGGAAAACTAATTGTTGAATTGGCAGAGCAGAAAATTAAAAAAAAAAAAATGTTTTCTATTAACTCTTTCACTGAGTTTTTCTTAACCTTGAAATAACCAAAGAGGACTAGTCACATTTTAAAGACAAAAGAGGCAATAGCTCTCTGAATCCAAATATTTTCATTTCTTCTACCAGATCATATTTCATTTGTTGAACATTTTTGAGTGTAGTTGATTTTTTTCTTTGCCTATAGTAAACTTCTGTATGAAAAATAATGTTTTATTATCTTTGTATAGTAAACTGTATCAAATTTTGTAGTTGTTGCTTTGAGTCACAATTAGGAAATACCTCACTCCTATGTTACAAAAGAGTATAGCATGCTTTCTTTGACTATTTATTTGAGGTTTTTGTTCATTTGTTTTTATTGTCAGATATCTGATACATTGGAATTTATCCTGACACGTTATTTGAAATTTGAACCTAGTTTTATCATTTTTCAAGTTAATATTTGGACACCACTTAATATGGTTTGGTTGTGTCCCCACCCAAATATGATTTGAAAACGTAGTTCCCATAATCCCCACATGTCATGGGAGGGACCCGTGGGAGGTAATTAAGTCATGGGAGTGGTTACCCCCATGCTGCTGTTCTTGTGATAGTGAGTGAGTTCTCAGGAGATCTGATGGTTTTATAAGGGCTTTTCCCCTTTGCTCAACACTTCTCCTTCCCGCTATCATGTGAAGAAGGACGTGTTTGCTTCCCCTTCCACCATGATTCTAAGTTTCCTGTGGCCTCCCCAGGCTGAACTGTGAGTCAATTAAACATCTTTCTCTTATAAATTAACCAGTCTTGGGCAGTTCTTTAGAGCAGCATGAAAATGGACTAATACACCATTTATATACTAAAAAATTAGCCCAATACTACCCTTTGGTTTGAGATTCTAATTTTAAAATATCTTAAATTGACATATACACTTGGATCCATATCTGGACTCTTTGTTATGTACCATTGGTCTGTTCATGATCCAGTAAAATCACTTAGTGAATCGGATGTGATGACTCATTCTTGTAATCCCAGCACTTTGGGATGCCAAGTCCAGCAGATCACTTGATGTCAGGAGTTCAAGACCAGCTTGGCCTACATGGTGAAACCTCGTCTTTTCTAAAATTACAAAAATTAGCTGGATGTGGTGGCACATGCCTGTAATCCCCGCTGCTTAGCTACTTAGGAGGTTAAGGCAGGAGAATCACTTGAATCTGGGAGGCACAGACTGCAGTGAGCCAGCATCACACCACTGCACTACAGCCTGGATGACAGAGCAAGAGTCCATTTCAGAAAAAAAAAAAAAAACTTAGTGAAGCAAGCAGTTGCTCTAAGTCCCACTGTTACCAACATGAAACATTTAGCCAATACAGGTATATAAATTAATCATCAATTAAATCTTTGACGAATGCCAGAATTATAAAAAAAAGTAATATTCTAAATCCTTTAAATTACAAAGGTACTTATATAAGTCACAAAGCAGAAATATGAAAATTAATGCTTCCAGAATATCCTAACACATTGAAATTTATTAAAATAAATGCTGAATCCAGTTTGTTTGGTCCTATCCAATTATCTCCCCAAATTTCACAATTAAGGAAATATACATAATCTGTCTACATTCTTTTGTATGCCTATGTACTCAACAATGCCTATAGTATGTTTTTTAGAAATAATTTAACATATTTTTAAATTTCTATAATTCATATATTTAAACTGCATTGAATGTACACAATGAATTTTGTGAGATGGTTTTTAAAATAACAAATCTGATTTTTGTGTACATAGCTTCTGGAATTCATCACATTTCCCATTTCTTATTTGTTGATTTAATGTTACCATTATCCCCTTCAACATTCTTCCACTTTTAATTTTATTTGGTTAAAAAAAAATACAGCCATAGGAGATAGCACCTACCAAAAACCACCTATCAGCTGTAGGAGATAGCACCTACCAAACACCACTCATCAAACTTGGTTATATGTGATAATATATGTGTATACATATATATTATATACACATATATAATCACATATAATCACACGACATATCACACATATCACATAACACAATATACACATATATAATCACATAGAACTACATACATGATATATTTAATATATATAATTTATATAATACATTTGCATATACTATGTATATAAAGTATATATGTATATATATTTGTGTACACATATTTATATATAAAAATATATATGTGATACATAAAATATATAGTACCTAGTGTTTTCCAATATACTAGTGCTGCACATAGGTAGATATGAGTCACCATTCCAGCTCTTATCTCTAGGTTTGTTCTGCCTTCCCTTGTTTGACTCAATTGTAGGTGATAGGAGTCAGTGATTTTAGGTTACTTCCCTGGTCTACCCATACATACACACACACACACACACACACACACACACACACACATACATATACACACCCCTTACCCTTTGTACCAGACACTGAACTATTTAAAATAAAACCTATCATACACTGGGAATACTAACTTTAAGAGAAGAAGCCTGCTGTCGCCACTCTATACCTTCTGAGATACAATGTTGTGTATATTTCTTCTCACTCCTCTCTATCTACACTTTAACCAGGATTTATGTCCTGTGAGCCAGAGGGCAGAACTGGCAGGCTGATCTACTTAATTTCAATGGCCCTGTACATTATTAGGTTTATGATCCCCTTAATTTTAAACTTTGAATGTCTTTAGGTAGGGCATAGTCTTTCCATTCCTTGTCTTATGTCAGTCTTCTTCACATATTTATTTAACTACTCTGACCTTAATGTCATCTGCATTTTTTAAACTTCTGCTGAAGCTTGTTTCCTCCTGTCCATATTTTGTAGTTTTAATCTATTTACATTTAAGTGTGTGGTCAAGTAGGATGACGATCTTCATCCACCAAATATACCTACAAACATACATACAGTGTGCTTTTTTTTTTTGAAGCTGTATTCTATCCCAGCAATCCTCGCTTTAATGCAGAACCATGACTTCAGGCACAACTGACACCCAGATCTTCCTAAAAGCCTCATCACTGTGGCCCATTCCATTATGTGGACCAGTCCCCCCAGTCTCATCTTCAGCACCTGTCTAAGTCTTTGAGATCTGAACACCACTTTGCACACTGTTGGTCACTGGTACTGTTTCGATGGGAACGATAATCTCTTCTGTTCTAATTGCTAAACCTTAATCATTTTAGTTTAGTTGTGACACTCAGACAAGCCACCTCCAGAGTGCATTGCTTTTAGGCCAATGTGTAATGAACAGATAATTGGGTTTAAAGTGAGAAAAATGAAAATTAAAAAAGTTTCTCTTATCATTTTCATAAATTGCTGTATTAGTCTATTCTCACACTGCTATGAAGAAATATCTGAGGATGGGTAATTTATAAAGAAAACAGTTTTAATTGACTCAGAGTTCAGCATGGCTTGGGAGGCCTCAGGAAACTTACAATCATGGTGAAATGGGAAACAAACATGTCCTTCTTCACATGGTAACAGGAAGCAGAAGTGCTGAGCAAAGCGGGCAAAGCCCCTTACAAAACCATCAGATCTCGTGAAAACTCACTCACTATCATGAGAATAGCAGCATGGGGGTAACCACCCCCATAATTCTATTATCTCCTATTGGGTCCCTCCCATGACACATGGGGATTATGGGAACTACAATTCAAGGTGAGATTTGTTTGGGGACACAGCCAAACCATATCATTCTGCCCCAACCCCTCCCAAATCTTACGTTCTCACTTTTCAAAACACAATCATGCCTTTCCAACAGTCCCCCAAAATCTTAACTCAGTCCAGCACTAACCTGAAAGTTCAAGTTCAAAGTCTCATCTGAGACAAGGCAAATCCCTTCCATCTATGAACATGTAAAATCAAAAGAATGTTAGTCACGTCTAGATACAATGCATATATAGGCATTGGGTAAATACACCCATTCCAAATGGGAGAAATTGGACCAAACAAAGGAGCTAGAAGCACCATGCAAGTGTGAAATCCAATAGGGTAGCTATTAGACATTAAAGTTTCACAATGATCTCCTTTGACTCCATGTCTCACATCAAGGTCACACTGATGCAAGAGATGGGCTCCCATGGTGTTAGACAGCTCTGATCCTTGGCTTTGCAGGTTATAGCCTCCCTCCCAGCTGCTTTCATGGCTGGCATTGAGTGTCTGCAGCTTTTCCAGGTGCACAGTGCAAACTGTCAGTGGATCTAAAATTCTGGGGTCTGGAAGATGGTGGTCCTCTTCTCACCTCTTCTCACTAGGCAGTGCCCCATTGGGAACTCTGTGTGGTGGTTCTGATCCCATATTTCCCTTCTGCATTGCCTTAGCAGAGGTTCTCCATGAAGGTTCCACCCCTGCAGCAAACTTCTGCCTGGACATCCAGACATTTCCATACATCCTCTGAAAGCTAGGTAGAGGTTCCCAAAAGTCAATTCTTGACTTCTGTGAACCTACAGGCTCAAAACCACATGTAAGCTGCCAAGTCTTCAGGCTTGAACCCTCTGAAGCAATAGCCTGAGTTGTACATTGGCCCCTTTTGGTCTGGGCTGGAACACAAGGCACCAAGCCTCAAAATGCACAAAGCTGCAAGGCTAGGCCTGGCCCACAAAACCATTTTTTCCTCTTAGGCCACAAGGCCTGTGATGGGAGAGTCTGCCATGAAGTCTTCTGACATGCCCTGGAGATATTTTCCCCATTGTCTTGGTGATTAACATTTAGCCCCTCATTACCTGTGCAAATTTCTGCAGCCAGCCTGAGTTTCTCTGAAGAAAATGGGCTTTTCTTTTTTATAGTGTCAGGCTACAAATTTTCCAAACTTTTATGCTCTGCTTCCTTTTTAAACATAAGATATAAATTCAGATCATCTCTCTCAAGTTCCAAGTCCCACAGATCTCTAGGGCAAGGGCAAAACACCACCAGTCTCTATGCTAAAGCATAGCAAGAGTCACTTTTATTCCAGTTTCCATCCATTCCTCATCTCTATCTGAGAACACCTCAGCCTGGATTTCATTGTTCATATCACCATCAGCATTAGATCAAAGCCATTCAACAAGTATCTAGGAAGTTCCAAACTTTCCCATATCTTCCTGTCTTCTTCTGGGCCCTCCAAACTGTTCCAACCTCTGCCTGTTCCCAAGTTCCAAAGTAGCTTCCACATTTTGGGGTAAAAAAGCAGCACCCTACCATCTGTGGAACCAATTTACCATATTAGTCAGTTCTCATGCTACTATGAAGAAATACTCAAGACTGGGCAATTTATAAAGAAAAGAGTTTTAATTGACTCACAATTCCGCATGGCTGGGGAGGCATCAGGAAACTTACAATCATGGCAGAAGGCACCTCTTCACAGGGTGGCAGCAGAGAGAAAGAGTGCAAGCAGGGGAAATGCCAGATGCTTATACAACCATCAGATCTCATGCGACTCACTCATTATTATGTGAAGATCATGGTGGAAATTGCCCCCAAGACTCAATTACCTCCACCTGGTCCTCCCCTTGACCCTTGAGAATTATGGGGATTACAATTCAAGGTGAGATTTGTGTGGGGACACAGAGCGAAACCGTATCAATTGGAAAGGTTATTTAAATTTATTCTGCCTTAGTTTCTTTCTCTGTTTAATGGAAATAATGCCCATATGTTCTAATTTTGTTGAGAATTAAATGACACTGAGCAGTCGTATAATAATATAAAAATAACAACCATTTATATTATACACCATTATGTTACAGTTGCTTTACATTATCTCCAGGCCTAAAACAACAATAAAAGCCATTTTTTAGATTACATATTTTTGCAAATGCAGCTCAGGAAATGTAACCAACATTTTCCAGTCTCCCATCAGTACTTAATGCCAAAATAAGGATTTAAACTAGAATACCTGGCTTCAATGACCACAAGCTACTATACATCATATCATCCTGTCTTTAAAAGTTGGGACTTGTCACATATAAAATGCTCAATAAATGTACATTTTTATTCCCATTATATAATATGAATATTGTAGTCACAAAAAATTTTTAAATGTCTGCATACTATCAAAATTATGAATTCTTTGAGAGCAGGTATCTTGACTTATTCATAATTACATCTCCCAGAAAATTAAACACAATATCTTCCATATAGCTGATGTTCAAGAAATATGTTTTGAGTTGTTCTCAGATTCTGACATTCAATTTTGATTGGACAATAACATTTAATCCATTAGTGTGTGATTTTACGTGCATAAATTCAGAAGAATGCTTGACGAAGAAAATATTTTAATAAAGAGTATATAATCATGATAATCTGGATAAATTTAATTTGTCAACTGTTGTTAAATAATTATTTATAAGTAGTAATTAGTAATACAACCAAAATGTAATTGAATTTTTTCAACAACATCATTAACATTAAATCCCAAATAAATATAAAATTCATATAAGTCGTGGTTAGAGTAACTGTTTTTTATTCTCTATCACTTTCTTTCAAAGCAATTCAGTAGTTAACTTGATGAGATGTGGGAGATGCTGTGTGGGGGCATGGAAAAGTGGGACCTGCTGTTCTGCTTGATTTTTATAACATTCATATACCTTTGGAAGAAGATAACCTCACATATGGCTTCTTTCTATGATAAATAGCTGTCACAATAATGACAGCCAATGAGCCAAAATTCCAGCCACAGCCAAAGTCTGTGTAGATGTGTTGCTGAACCAGTCCTCCTTGGGACAAGTCACTGAATGACTTCATAGACAGGGCAGTCTTACTGCAGAAGTCATTTCTTTACGAAAAGCTATCCATTCACAGTGGGCTGAAGATGATGACTATCAATCACCTCAGTGAGCTGCTATCACAGAGGCAAATTTCTACCCAAGTAATGACACATATATATTCATTCTCAGATAAATGTAATTGTGATTCTTTGCCTAGTTATTATGGAGGTAAAATCCCCTGGTGATACAAAACACATTTAAAAACATAAATCTTAAAATCAACAGCAGTTCCCCCTAAAACATCCCTACTGTATATTTGTACAACCTTGAAAGACAGTGAGATGATGGTGACTTTTCTTAAAATCAACATTTTTTACTGTTTTCATTCCTTTAATGCACATACTCATCATTTATTTGTATATCTGGTAAAGATATCTGCATTGAATAGAAAGACAACATTAATTTCATCCTCTTTAATTAGTCTGATTAAACAAAAGAAACTACCAACCAGTCTGTTAGATGGAATGTGTCGATTAATAGAATTTTAATTAGTATAAATAACACTTTAAAGAAGAAAAAGAGAAATAAAACGTTTTGGATTTACAGAACCCTTTTCAATCATAAAGGCATTTTCCAATCAGTAAATCCATCTACAAATGTTTGTAGAGACAGCATATATGATGCTCAAGACAACACGATAGATGATGCAAGGAATACAAACAATTACACTCTGTGTTACTATATATGATGTGGTCACTAAGCTAAGGACAATATAATGTAGTTTGTCCATGGTTAGAGAGTAGCTGATAGTGCGGAAGTAGTAATTTAGATTCTGAGTATCTACTATATGTCAAACACTTACCCATATACTCATATTTTTTTCTTTTTCACAGTAAATCTTGCCCAGTGTACATCATTTCTGTTTTTGAGATGAGGAAACTCAGACAAAGAAAATGTTAATGCCTTGTCTCAACTTGCACACTGGTCATAGGTGGAACCAATACTTTAATGCAGAATTTTATTATTTTAAAGTCCATATTCTTGCTTCTACTGTATCTCATTTTGTGGTTGTAAAACACAATGGATGAAAATATTAGCATACCCAAAAGTCAATGTACCATGATATTCTATGTTAGGAGGAAAAATGAGGAAATGTATTTTTTCCTGGCTAAAATGAAGTCCTGGCGAATCATAACATTCACCAAAGCATTCCCTTCTCACAATTTTTTGCCTCTTTGCTTCCAGAAAATTCTTCTAAAATCTGACAGGCAAACCTGTTTAGTAGGTCACACCTATATATGGACATATCAGCTACTGTCTGTGAAATTTTAGAGTTAATAGAGATCCCCTGCCATATTCAACTTTGTAGACTCTACAAACTGCATCAGGATATTCGCAAAGATTCTGAAAAGCAACTAATATTTTATTATAAGTTTATATTTCAACTTAGAAAAGTACTGGATAACTTAAAAAATGAAAGACAAAAAATATAATCACCCATAATCCTTTCATTCTTCTTTGTACAATCACTTTTACATTATGCTGGGATATCTGATATGTTTTTATTTTTGTAGATCTGGAACATTCCAGTGGATCAGCAGTTGTTTAGCCTGTATTTTATTTTTTCCATTTTTTTTTGTATTATAAATAATGCTGTTGGAAACATCCACACACAGACTCCTCACCCCATCATAGCTTCATATATTGGATCATTTCTTAGAGAAGTTTCAGAAAAATAATTACTGAGGCAAATGGACTTATAAAGAACTGGAAACTTATTTAGCCTCATGGTTACTTAAAAGAATTACACAATTTTGTCAACAATGTATGAAGGAATCAACTTGATCATAGCATCCCTATGAAACAAATTATTGGTGTTATAAGCACTGTTCTTCTACTTATATTTTATCATCATGTATTTTTTCTCCAACCCTCTTTTCTTTTTATGTAGATCTGAGTGTCTACTATGAATCACTTTCTTTCTCCCTGAATCACTTCTTTTAACCACTTTTGAAGTGCAAATTTGCTAGCTAAGCATTCCTATTACTTTTTGCTTGTCTGAGATTGTATTTATTTCTCTTGTACTTTTGAAATATAATTTCACTGGATATCATATTCTAGGTTGTTGAATATTTTCCTCCAATACTTTAAATATTTCACTTTATTTTCTCCTCACTTCTGAAGTTTCCGAGACATCTAATATAATTCTCATCTTTGCTCCTGTAAAGGTGAAGCGTACATTTTTCACCTCCTCTGTTTTTCTTTCAGGCGTTCTGTTTGTCCTTGGTTTTCTGCAGTTTGAATATGATATGCCTAGGTGCAGTTTTTTGGTAATCATCCTGCCTTGTACTCTCTGAGCTTCCCCAATCTGTTGTTTAGTGTCTGTCATTAATTTTGGAAAGTGCTTGAATAATGTTACTTCTAACATTTCTTTGTCTCTTTTATCTGTTCTTCTGGTGTTTTAATAATGTATTTATTACACCTTTTGAAATGTCCCACAGTCTCACAGTTCTTGGATATATTGTTTTTTAGTTTAGTGTTTTTTTTAATCTCATTGCATATAAGTTTTGTAAGTTTCTATTGACATTTCTTCAAGCTTACTGATTCTTTTCTTGGCCATATTGAGTCTATCAATGAGCCTATCAAGGGCATTCCTCATTTCTGTTTCAAAGTTTATTTAACATATTAATCATAGTTATTTTACATTCTTTTCCTGATAATTCCAACATCCATATCATATTTGAGTCAAATTTGGTTCCTTCTTTGGTTATGTAGAGTATATTTTGGCTTGCCTCACTCAAATTCCTTATTTTTATTTATTTGTTTGTTCATTTAAGAACTAGGCATATTATTTCAGATAATAGGAACTTAGATTTAGATAATTAATCCTTTATTGATAGAGTTTACTCTAATCTGGCTAGCAGTTGGGCTATCTTTAATGTTAGCTGTAGCTTCAGGTGCTAGAAGTTTTAAATTTATTTTGTGTTTTTGTGTTTTCTCCTCTATCAATTTTGGACTTCCTTTAGCACACCTTCCTATAATCTTGAAGGTATTTCAGCTATATTCCATTATCATTATATTAGGTCCTTTTTGGTATAGTGGTGATAAGGTATGAGGGAGAGAAATTTATTATTAATTTCATTCCTTTAGTTGGCTTGTGTTTCTAGGCCACGGTCTTTACAAGTTTTGGTTTTTTGTTTGTTTGTTTTGTTTTTGTTTTTGTTTTTGTATTTAAGCTCTCTCTCCCCTCCCTTATGTGAGGCAGGATGGCCAAAAGGTCTTGACTGGATAAAAGGATATATAGAGAGAAGAAAATTGCAACAGTAAGATTGATAACAGAGGTGAACAAAACACAAAGCCCTTGACCTCAAGGATCTGCCATTATGGATTAGTATATTTATGTATATTTAGTATATTTTGTTCACATAAAAGCCATTAGCTATTTGATTGCTAGATAAAGGCATCAACTAATACTGACATTGGTTCTAAGAATAAATGTTATCTTCTTGGTTGGTTGAGGGGCAGTTATTATTTTCCTACACTCTTTCCCTGAGCATAAGTCTTCAAAGCTTTAGAATAAATCAGAGCCATGTGAGAGGAGGTTGAGTCTTGAATTGTCATATGAAAGGACCACTCACCAAGGAGAATCACCTATGGTACTGTGACCTGAGGAAAAAGTACACTTAAGCTATTGAAAGTTGGAATGTTTGTTTCAACAGCTAATGTTACCTTAAAAAAATATGATGTGTTGAACAAATTGCTGTCATCAGCTTTATATTTAATTTTACGTGGATAAATATTCCAAATTTTCAATACAGATAGTCACTTTTCAAGACCTATGTACTAGCATTCAATGTATTAATGAAGCATGCTTCTGTGTAAATTTTAACCTGGCTGTCTTTCTTTGAGGCAATCTTTGGTGACAAAGAAAATGGAAATGCTATACGGAAAAGCATGCTAGAATCAAGAGACATGATTTCTGGCCTAGGCTTTGTACTTACTGTCTGTGTGACATGGATGAACTAATTGTGTCACTGGATTCAGTATTCTTAATTAGGAAATAAGAATTCCAATGTCCAAAAATACAATTATCTATTAAAGAATTTTTAGAAACTATAGAAATAGAAGGTATTCTTGAGATATTAATAACCTAGGCATATGAGTATAGGCTTCACCTAGAATCTTTGTTTCCCACTTTGTAAGTCTAATATAAATATGACCTAATTATATATTTTAGGAGACAGAAGCATTAATAGAAAAAAAAAGTCTTATTTTTTTCACTTTTTGGATTCTGTCTGCCTGCCTGCCTGAATATTTAGGTCATTCTGATGGACAATTTCATCCAAAGACTATTTACATTTAATAGATCATGTAGGAGTTAATCAGGTTTGGAGGCAGAGTTCTTAGGAAGGAATTCTGGTAGTAGGAGAGGCAATAAAACTCTATTAAAAATCCAAGTGTATTTTCTAGGGAATACATATTTAGCAATGATCACTTATTTTTATCTCAGCTGCAAACATCAGGTACATATCAGGTGAGTGCCAGTAGCCAAACTGGATCCAGAGGGAATGGGGCTAAGAACGGGTTTGTTTCACAGTCCATGGCATGAAAGATCAAGGTACCACGTAAACAGATTTTGTGCCTTTTAATTATTATGTTTTCTTATCCAAACATAGCATTGGGAAACATTTTGTGTATTTTCATTTCGTTTAAAAGCCCCAGTGAAGTGTTTCTGACATACTGCTCTGTGAATCTTCTTAGTCATTTGGAGTAAAATAACTATTTTTCTCTGCAAGTAGCATCTTGTAATGTTTCTGAATTTGACATTACATTCATCATCCTTTTTTCCTATCTCTTAAACACACACTTAAATTCATATGGTCTGTTTCAGTTTTTAAAAAGCACAACAAACAAATTTAAAAAAGGAAATGCATTTTTAATTTTATTTCAGAAATGAAGGCTCATGTGATGCATTATAATATATTCATTGTCTATTGTTAGGAGAAATATCTAGTTTATTTACTCTAGGTAGATGGCAAGTAAGTGTTAAATGTGTATTTTTTTATTTTTCAAATAGCAAAGAGACATTTTGCTTTTTTAAAATCATTGTTTTTGTATCCACTTCCTGCAAGCATGAGCTCAGGAAGTGATAAAGTTGACACAGTTGCTGATGGATTTCTTACTGGCTCATGCCAAGTTGTTTCCTGGTGCCAAACACAATGGATCAGGAAATATGGCACGTGACCAGAAAAAATCTTATTGTTTTACATAAGTTTTCTCTTTCAACTTATGGCTCCAGACAAAAATGTCCCAGAATATTTAAAAATTTCTTCTCTGTGATAAATGATCCAACAAATGTTCAGATAATGATCTTCATGCATAGTTTTCTTATTAGCTTAACACTTTAAAGAACCAAATTATAAAATAGTCCAAGAAGTCCATGATAACACTTTTCAGAACAGATTAAACAAAGCATATTTTAGAAGAAGAGATTTGATCAAATAGAAAAGCAAAAAAGGCTCAATATTATTCTCATGAATTTAATTTGATAGAAGTAATATTTATTCAATTCACTTATTAATGTTGTATTAATGATGACAAACCATGCATTTTCAGTGGATCTAATAGATCTCCAGGGTTTTGCTTCTAAGAAATACTTTGTAGAATGCTAAATTAGCCATCTTTTTCATATGACCAGTTGATGCCAAACACTGCGTTTTCTTCCCATCCTTATCCCCACAGATTTAGTCATTTATAAATAGTATTTTCTTCTTCTGCAAAGGTCCTGAACTTCCATGGCTTTTTGCCTGTTGTCTTATAGTTAGTATCAATTTGGCTTACATATTCACACAGTATTTTTTTTCACACATTGGAATTAAGGTTTTTATGGGAACACTAATCAACCAAGTCAGCAGCCAAATGCAGTCTTTAAAATTATTATTCATGTTCCATAAGGGTCTTTTCAAGTACAAAGACCACATCATTATTTCTATGTGAGCTGTTTAAATGAACATTTTAAAAATCAACTCTGTTGGCTTAAATACTAAAACTCCATTCTCAGCTGTCAAGACATAAATTTATCATGAACTGAGTTGGAAAGACTTTGGCCTCTCCTTGAAGAAACATACTACATGGATTATCCTCTCAAACAAACATGTTCACTGAACAACCATCTTGTAAATGTTTAGGGCTACTAACTACTCAACTCCTGGGTACAGGCTGCTTTGAGAAAATAGTGAAAACAAATAACCAGCAAACAAACAAACATGCCAATGGGTTAGTTATAGCTCTGCTGGCAAGGCTGAACAGTAGTTCAGATTCACAAATTTCCAATTATATCCTGATATTATTTTTCAAGAAGTGGAGTGAAAACAGATAAGCAGAGAAACACAACAAGAAAACTACTTTAAAACTGAGAATTTGGCCAGACATACTGGTTCACACCTGTAATCCCAATGAAGCAGGAAGATCACTTGAGACCAGGAATTTGAGACCAGCCTGGACAACATAAAGAGACCCCACGTCTACAAAAAATTGCTGAACATGGCAATGTGCACCTTTAGTCCTCGCTACTTGAGAGACTGAGCTAGGACAATCACTTGAGCCCAGGTGTTTGAAGTTGCAGGCAGCTATAATCACACCACTGCATTCCAGCCTGAGTTACAGACAGAATGAGACCCTGTCTCTAAAAAAAATAATAGTAATACGGAGAGAGAAAGAGAGAATTTAGGGAAAAGATGATATATGATGATGATAAGTGGATAAGTAATTGGGCTAATTTAACAGAAAAATCTTTCTGTTGGTCTGCTCTGAAATCTAGCTTTACTATGAAATAACTTTTACAACAGAGGTATTCAAAAAATCAAAAGAAAGGATTATGAATTAACAATAATAATGAAAAAAGGAAACAAGATAGACAATGGGGACATAAAAAATGACAGGGAGAGATAGGAACAGGAAAAGAGACAAACAGGGGAGGGGGGAACTAATATCCTCTCTTTTTATGTTTTTCTCTTGTTCTTTCAGTGACTCAGATAAGATTCCCCATTTGGCCAAACAATTGTGTTGATCAGCAGCTGATGATGGTGACCTAGAAATGACCGAACTCCTAGGTAGATACAGATTATTGTCCAGAAGAATTATGGGCGATCAATCTAAACAGATACACATCTTTTTTGTTTTTTTTTTGTAACCAAATAGATTCATAATTTTAAAATTCAACAAGCAAAAGGAAAACAAGGACATTTAAAAAGTAAAGCAAATAAGCATAAAACCTCATTTTAGCTGGTATTCTTTGAGAAGACAAGAGATTATGCTGATAAGGCCAAGAAAGAACTAAAAGGGAAAAGCTAACCTTGTGAAGTGGAATCTCAACTATGACAATAGGCTTGCAGTTTGTTTCAACAAAATAATATGAAAATGTAACTCTGGTGCAGAATTATTTTGGATCCCCTCCTCCAAATAGACACCAGATTATATTGTTTGCCTTATTTTAAACCTGGAAGCTTGTCATAGGGCACAATTTTTTTCCAATGAAATACACTAGATAACTTATTGTCATAAATTGATCCTTTCAATTATTTTATTTTAGCAACTCCGTTGGCTCCAATGCTTGAAAATCTATGGAATGACTCTCATCACTTATAGATGGCAGAGGGATGAGTCACAATGTTTAAAGCCAAGCTAGATTTACACAGAGAAAAAAAATAGACCCTCTCATGAATCTTAGGAATCGTTTTACTGTCTTATACTCAAATAATAATTTTTTAACCATGGGTCTAAAATGGTTAAAAAATAAATCAAATTCTAAAAGAATCCCAAAAGCATAAAGTCTTTTTTTTTTTTAATCAAAAGCATCTCTGGATCTCTACAATGTAGATAGTTTTATATAGGACTTAGAATTTCCACATTTTCTGAACCTTAATATTTGATTCTTCACATTTTAATGTTTTATATGTTGAGAAAATTTTTTCATTGACTTGTACATTGAATATAATCTATCTTTTATGGAAAAACAGTTAAGTCTGTGTGATTCTTAAAGTAAAAAAATTACAAAATATAATCTATAGATGAAATAGTAAATTATAAAATAAAATATAGGTAAGAATTAAGTGTATTATACTTTATTATTAATATCAAATTCACTTATACTATTAACTCATAAACATGAAGTTAGTAGTAATATTAGAATTACTTTTATATCAAACACAAAAATAAAAAAAGTTTACAGCATGTACCTGGGTAACTCCAGCAAATTTCTTAACATTTTTCATTTAAGCAAAGGAATTCTTCATGTCAGAGTGGAGATTTGGGGAACTTTTTCTCTGCCTCCATCAAAACTTTGAATCATTGAACACGACTTAAATTTTTATCATTCAGATTTAAAAACCATGATTCCTAACTGCTTTGCCTACTGGTAATTTTCACAGAGACAGAGGAGGGTGTAAAAGTCCGGAAAATGTTGAGCAATATTTATCTGGAAGGGAACTTATAAAAGTAGTGAATACAGCAAATACAGCAGAACACCCTGCACAGCTCAGCTCTCACTAAGGAGAAAGTGGCCATGGCCTTAAACAAAGCAGAGATCACTGACAAAGAGCTCCGACTGTAGAGGTTGCATCTGTTTGCCCCATATTTTAACTTTATTTTGGAATGCTGACATTTGGAGTGACTCTGATTGGTCTGGAATTAGCCCTCTTATCGTGTGAAACATCTGTACTGTATTGTTCCAGGGGATTAGCTGCCCCTGGGGATTCTGTGAAGTCAGGACAATGGAGGTCATTAAAGGTGCAAACATTTATTTTCCGGCCTCTGGTTCTGCAGGAGAAAGCCAGTCAGCCGCCGATGGATTTCTTTCTTTTTTTCTCTTTTAATCCAAAGCTCAGCATTCTTGCAAATAACAACGAAATAACAGTGAACCCAACTAGAGTTGTTACACTGGAATTGATGACTTTAGGAATTTAGGATTATTTCCAGGCCAAAGAAGAGGAGAGAGAAAAATCCCAGAGTCCGTGTCAAAAGTTTGGAGTTGAAAGGAAATGAGATCCTGTCTGTCAAGAGTGGTGCTTGAGAGGATTCTGGGTGATACAATGGGACACAGCCTTAGGTGGAATTGCAATTAAATTATTTTCCTTCTGAAGTTTCCCTACTTGAAATCAACATTTTTTTCCCTTTCATCTGGTATCACTAATTTCATCAATAGTCCTCTCTCTAAATCTTCTGAGAGTAGACTCATATCTGCTAACACAGATAAAACCTGAGAGGAAACAATGTGTGCAGAAATGAGATTCCTAGTGTTTTGGGTTGAATTGTGTCTCCCCCAAAATGATATGATGAAGTGGTAACCTCCAGTACCTCCGAATGCAACCTTCTTTTGAAGTAGAGTTGTTGTAGATGCAACTAGTCAAGATGAGGTCATACTGGAGTAAGGGGGGCAGCTAATCCAATATAATTGGGGTGCATAGGAAAATGGAGCCACATAAAGCCAGAAACACACAGGAAAAACACTGTGTAATGATGATGAAACAGATTGGAGTTATACAGCTGCAAGCCAAAGCCTGCAAAGATGGCCAGCAAACCAGCAGAGCCAGGAAGAGGCCAGGAACGATTGCCGTAGAGATTTCAGAGGGGGCATGGCCCTGCAGACACCTTGATTTTTGACTAAAAGCCCGTAGAGATGTGAAACAATAAGATTCTGTTATTTTAACTCCCAGTTTGTGGTCCTTTGTTAAATGGGACCTAGAGTTAAATTCAGGTTACCCTGATTGCAAAAACGACCTGTCTGTACATCCTTTTACCTTATAAGTTGTTGTATTAGGGACAAAGTATGGGTAGAGTAGGTATGATAAGTGGTGGTGGTATTGAAACATAAAATTAATTCCTCAAACAAATATGGCATCTCCCAATTCTCTCTGCATATTAAAGGACATTCTTTAATGATCTATCCACTAGTCTGCTCTGAACAGCTCTCTAAATAATATGAGCCTACCACCTTTGGAAGATTGACTGCTTTCGAGCTCTGCAGGGTGCATTAGTTAAATGCCAATTACATTTACTAGACCAATACTTTTCAAACTGTGGTTAGTGACCATTAATGAGTGATAAAATCCATTTAATGAGTTATCCTCTTCTGCCACCCTGACAAAAGAAGGAAACCAAATAAAGTGAAACACAATAGCAATTTTGAAGTGCACTTTTACACTCTCCAAGTACTACTTTGGAAATATTTATGTCTATGACTATGTGTCCTGGGGGCTGGGGAGTAGGAGATATTATGTCTGTTCTAACTTGTGATATAAAATGCATTTCTTATTATGGGTCACAGAAAAACATATTTGAAAGCCACAGGGTTAGGCCATATTTCATATCTGAATACTACTTTATTACATTAAGAAATCTAGAATAAATGGAAGTAAATGTAATGTTTTATAGAAAGTGTTATTAATGATGCAGTGATTCCTAAGATGTTGATTATTTTTACAAATCATATAAACCTGTAGATTTGTAATGAGAGAAAAAGTTTCCATGACTGTCAAATTGCTGTTTCTCCAATCCCAGGACTTGCCAAAAAGTGTAAAATGTCATGAAATTTTATATTTGCTTTTCAGATGAGTTTCCCTAGTTATTCATGCCTCCTGCTCTAGAAACAATAGGACAATAGGCCTGTTATTGTAAATATTTTCAAACCTTGAATATACAATATCAAAAAACAGAACAAAAACAAAACATCAGCAACAAATAACACTCATAAACAAAATGAGAACTTTCAAAATAAAGCATCTAATAATGAACAAATAAATGGCTGATTGTTTAACTGGATATTCTCCTCTGCCTAATGTGAAAGAATCTATTGTTGGTCCCTCAAAGGTTATCTTGTCAATTCCTTCTAGGGCGAAGTGACAGGTTTAGCAGCCCACAGAAATGAAATGTCTTACCAAACAACACAATCTCAAAGAAAAAGCCAGATCTTATCTTGGGGCCCTAATTCCCAGACTTGTCCTCCTGAGGCTTGAATTTCTTTCTTATACAACATAGCCAAATCAATAACTTTTTTGAAAGAGAGATACAAATTACTAAAATTGATAAAAGAAGAAATAGAAAATCTGAGTAGGGTTATAACAAGTAACACAAATAAATTAGTTATTAAAACTCTTCCTAGAAAGAACAGGTCCATTCCACATGGCTTCACTGGAGAGGGTCCTAACAAATGTTTAAAGAAGAAATATCAGTCCTTACAAAGTATTTCAGAAAACAGAGAAGGAAATACTTTACAACTCACTTTTGAAGATCGGTATTAGTCTGATACCGAAGTCAGATCAAGACATCACGAGAAAACTACAGACCAATAACACAGAAGCAAAAATCTATGTTATTTCAAAAATATAGACAAAATATGTGGCCATTAACAATATTAGCAAATAGAATCTTTCAACATATAAAACTATGATATATCAGAACTAAATAGAATTTGTAATGGGAATGAAAGATTGGTTTAAAATTTTAAAAGCACTTAATGTAACACACTATTTTAACAAAATAAAGAACAAAATAATCACACATTTATTTCAACAAATATATTTAGAAATACTTGAGAAACTCAAGATCCATTTCTGATAAATGGTCTCAACTACTAGAAAGTGAAGGCAACTTCCTCACCTTAATAACAGTATCTAGAAAATCTACAGTAAACATCACCTTTGGTGGTTTAAGACTGAGTGTAAGGTTAGGAACAAGGCAAAAATAACTGCTCCTGACACGTCCATTTAAAATTGCACTAAAGATTCTAGCCAGTGAAATATGACAAAAAAAAAAAAAAAAGAAAAGAAAAGAAATAAAAGTTATACAGTTTGGAAGGAGATATGAAAACCGATTTTATTTTCGGGTGATGTGGTCCCGAATGCCAAAATCCTAAAGAATTCACAAAATTCCTGCTAGAACTAATCATTGAGTTAAAAAAAATGACAATATACAAACTCAGTACACAAAAATAAACACTATATTCATACTATAGCAATAAACAATCATTAAATAAAATTTTAAATTATAATAGCATCAAAAAATACTTAAGAATAAAATTAACCAAAAAGCGTAAGACCTGTGCACTAATATAAAACATTGCTAAAGATTTAAATAAATGGAGACATCCCATTTTTTATATACGTAAACACTAAATTATGAAGACGGCTCTTTTCAAATTTTTCTATATATTGAATGAACCCCTATTAAAATCCAGCCAATTTTAAAATAGAAATTTATAAGCTGATTCCAAAATGGTCATGAAAATGAGAAGGGTCCAGGATAGACAAAACAATTTTGAAAATAACAAAGTGAAGGACTTACACTACCTGATTGCAGAAACTACTAAAAAGCTACAGTAATCAAGACAGTGAGGAAACTGATGAAGACACAGGTACACAAATCAATGAAGCAAAATTAACATCCAGAAATAAACTCTTACATTTATGGCCAACCAATTTGCACCTAAGATGCCAAGGAAATTCAATGGGAGATTTTTCAACAAATGATGCTGTGGCAATAGAAATTTATTATATAAAGGGATGAATTTAGTCCTAAATGCCATAATTTTTTTTTCTTAAGTTCGACTTAAAGTAAAATGAGTGCACTGCAACAGACAGCATTTCAACAAGTCACAAACTGCAAGGAAATATTTATAAATCATATCACTGATAAAATACCCATGTCCAGACCAGCTCTCACAACTCATGGTATGAAAATAAATCACCCATTTGGAAATGAGCAAAAGATGTTCTACAGTTTCCTAGTATTGATAAGAAAGTACCACAAACTAGGCGGCTTAAAACAACAGAAGTTTATTGTCTTGCTTTTCTGGAAGCTGTAAGTCCAAAATCTAAGTGTCAGCAGGGCCATGCTCCCTCTGAAACTCTGAGTGGAATCCACCCTTGCCTCTTTCTAGGTTCTTGTGGTTGCCCTCAATCCTTGGCGATTCTCCACTTGCAGCTGCATCGCTCCAACCTCTTCCTCTGTCCTATATGGTAATGTCTGCTAAGTCTGCGTCTTCACATGGCATTTTCCTCCCTGTGTGTCTCTACTCTTCTGAAGGACATGAACCACATTGGATTAAGGCCCATCCTATTCTAGTACAACCTCCATCTTAACTTATTACATCGGTGAAGACCCTATTTCCAAATAAGGTTATATTTCTAAGTACTGTGTGTTAAGACTCCAAAATATCTTTTAGAGGACACAATTCAACCCATAGGACATGTAAATAGACATTTCACCAAAAATATATAATCAATAAGCACATAAAATGATGTTCAGCATCCTTAATCATTAGGGTAATGCAATTAAAACTATATTAAGATATCACTTCATACACATTTTACTGGCTATAATAAAAATTATAGGCAATAACAAGTATCAGATAGAATGTAGAGAAACTATAAACTAGCTACATTGCTCCTAGGAATGTAAAATTATAGAAGTCTGGCATTTTCCAGTAACCCCTCTCCTAGATATCTATAAAAGAGAAAGGAAAATATATAACCACACAGAGGTTATACATAAATATTCATAGTAACATTAAATATAATCACCAAAAATCTTAAACAATTTAAATGTCCATTGATTCGTGAATGGATAAACAAAATGTGATTTATCCACAAGATGGTATACCATTCAGCAATAAAATCGAACATGCTATAACATGGATGCATCATAATAACATAATACTAAGGGAAGGAAGTCATATTTGAAATGCTATATATTGTGTAATTCACTTTAAATGAAAAGCCCAGAAGAGCTAAATCTCTAGACAAAAAAATCAGTGGTTTCCTGGGTTAGGTGTCCGAGTGGGAATTGACTGCAGAATGGAATGGAGGTTGGGGTGATGAAAATGTTCTAAAACTGGACTGTGGTGATGCTTTTACAGCTCTGCAAATTTACTAAAAAATATTTTTGTGTATTTAAATTAGGGGATTGGCATATACATTATGTCTCAATAGAACTATAAAACATTTACCAGAGAGGGTAGGTGGTGGAGCGGTATAGACGAAATCAGCTTGGGAAAAATACTGACAATCATTGAAGCTGGATGATAACTAGTGGGGACTAATTATAGTATTCTTTTACTATTGTGTGAAATTCATTTCGCCTAGTAATTTTTAAAGAAAAATTAATGATATAAGCTTCTACTTCAAGCTCCTACTAGGCAAAACAACAAGTTAAAAATAATGTAAGCATTAAAATGCAAATAAGGCCAGATGTGGTGGCTCCCACCTGTAATCCTAACACATTCAAAGCCCTAGGTGGAAAGATTGCTTGAGGCCAGGAGTTTGAGACCAGCCTAAGCAACACAGCAAGATCTCATGTCTATAAACTAAAAAAAAAGAAAAATTTAATTAGCTGGGCATGGTTGTGTGAGCCTGTAGTCCTGGCTACTTGAGAGGGTGAGGTGGGAGGATTGCTCCATCTGAGGAGTTTGAGGCTGCAGTGAGCTAGAACCATGCCACGGCACTCCAGCCTGGGCAGCAGAGCAAAACCCTGTCTCAAAAATAAGTAAATAAATAAAATAAAATAACAAATTTAAAAAGAAAGCAAATAGTAAAGATAAAACAATAAATCAATAAAATTGAAACCAGAGACAAAACAAAAGACATTCAATAAAGCCCAAAGTTGATTCTTTGAAAAAGTCAATAGAATTGATAAACTCCAAATAAGTGAGAAGAAAAAAGGAAAAAAAAAACTATAGTGGAGATTACTACAAATTTTACAGACATTAATAAGGATATAAGACATTATAAAAATATCATGTAATAAATATGACAGGGTACACAAAGTGAACAGATTCTCTGAAAAACACATCTTATAATACTTGTCCAAAAAGATACCAGAAATCTCAATAGTCGTATAGCTGATAAAGAAAATGAACCTATAATCATAGGTTCATTAGAAACCATCCCAAGAGGGCATTTCACTTAAATGGCTTCACGTGTGAATTCTTCCAAACATTTAAGAAAGAAATAATATTATTCTACCAACGTTTACAGTAGACAATAAGGAAAAGCTCATATGCATATAAATGCATATTACATAATATGATATGACATGATATGATTACAGTATTATTTTAGTTATAAAATCAGCATAAACTTATTTTAGAAAATTAGAGAATAGAGGCTGGGCACGGTGGCTCACGCCTGTAATCCCTGCACTTTGGGAGGCCGAGGCAGGTGGATCATGAGGTCAGGAGTTTGAGACCAGCCTGGCCAACATGGTGAAACCCCGTCTCTACTAAAAATACAAAAAAAACTAGCCGGGTGTGGTGGCGGGCGCCTGTAGTCCCAGCTCCTAGGGAAGCTGAGGCAGGAGAATTGTCTGAACCCGGAGGCGAAGGTTGCAGTGAGCCGAGATTGCGCCACTGCACCACTCCAGCCTGGGTGACAAAGCAAGAATCCGTCTCAAAAAAAAAAAAAGAAAGAAAATTAAAGAATAAAGATAAATATGATAAAAAGTAAGTAACTCAATTTCTCACTTCCTAGACATTATTCCTGGTAACTTTTTTTATTTTTTAATTTTTGTAATTTTTATGCATGATCTTCATATAGGTAAAGTCATAAACTTTATGCACTATTTTTCTTTCTTTTTTCACATAATAATATAGTCCTTTTCTTGTGATTATAAAAAACATAATGGAATACTCTCATTCTGTTACAGATGTAATAAGAGTAGATCACTTACAGGATTATATACACAATGTTCTAAGAGCATAACTATATCACTTCATTTGAGTCTCACAAAATACTATACAGTTGTGTATTTACAGGTGTAGAAAAATGAGGGACGCACAGGTTAAGTAATATGCCCTGAGCTACACAGCCAGTTACTGACAGAGACACATTCTCAACCACCATACTAGACTCCTTTCTAATTTACTCATCCTCTCCTCTAGTGTAGACACTTAGTCTTGACTGTCACGTGTAAGGCTGTCTACAGCTTGGATTGAGTGTGTTTCTTAGTAATTAAATTTTCTTCTATGTTCTAGGAATTTCCCCTGTGGGAAAAATCCATCTTGAGCAAAAATAGTGAGTACATTTGTATCACTCTGTGAGATCCTTTGTCTCCTTTTTTAAAAGGAGCTTCTTTTGAGCTTCTTTTTAAAGGAGCTTCTTTTGAGAGCTAAGTGTCCCTGAAATTATGTACTAGAGGAGAAATAAGCAAACCACCTCCACCAAGTGACAGTTCAGTTTATTTAAAATAAAGTATTGTAGTTACAAGCAATTTTTTTGTTTCACTTCTTACCATCTGATTTCAAAATTAAGTCACTTAATTTTTTTCTTTACACCTTGAATTATTTGTCACTATAGAAACAGCATAGCTGACACAAAATTGTTTAATATATGTCTGTTTAATTTTAAAAAATATTTTTTGCCGGACTACTTTTTAAGTAATTTATATTGATTTTATTTCTGCCACTTGGAAATATATATTACACACACATATAGACATATATATATATACACACACATACCTACACACACACAAACACATATATATACACACGTATATGTATTACATATATAAATCAGAATTCATATTAATTTGTTTAAATTTTCATCTGAATTATTTGGGGGTAATTGAATAAAAAGTATTATTATTGAAAGTTTATTGTAGGCCAAGTACTATGTCAAATAGTTGGCATGTTGTATTATATTAATTTATTTAATATTCTTTATAATATTGTGAAGTTAGTGTTACAATTGAGAAACCCAGGTACCCTTAAGTAGCTTGAGATTTTAGGTAAATTTTTCAAAGTTGCAGAGTCAACTCAGTCAGAATTCTAAACACATGCTTTTTGATTTCAAAGCCTATAACCAGTACCTCAGGACAATACTGTCATGGTGGAATAGATTGTCAATTGGCAATATAGTCTAGAACTGTTTGCTAGATTAACATACAAACTGAAATAAGTGTTGTAATACGGCAGTTGATCTTAACTCTGGATGCATTTTTGAATTATCGGGGAAGCTTTTAAGATACTGAAGCCTGGGCACCAACTCACATAAATTAAATCAGAAAGCTAAGACACCAAGTTTAAATATCAGTACTTTTAAAAACCATTTCAGTGTGAAGTCAGAGTAGATGACTATTAAAATAAAACATAGTGAGTAAGTAAACACTTCCTTGAAGTTTGCAGACCAAGGAGACACTGTTTTCTCTACTTCCAATAATAAGATTTAAAAGTTTCCATTTTAGAAACAAACCATCTGCTATTATGACATCATTTATTTAATTAAGATCTGTGAGTAATTTTATTTGCAAACTCTGGCTAAATCTACTTAGATAAAAATATCATATTAAAGTCTCAAATTTTTTCCATAAATAGTGAGCTATAGCAGTGCAGTTATTAGGGAATAGATTCACAGCAGGGTTGGGTTATAAGTATTGTTAGATATTCCCAACTGAGACATTTGGAAATAAGTTAATAAGTAATGAATTAATTAACAAAATATGTAATTAGACTAAATAAAAGTTTCCAAGTCCAGAGACTCTTAGATACAACTTTCAGAAACAAATAGTGGCAAAGTAGTTATATAAATGAAAATAAGCTAACCATATGTCATTTATTATTGAAAATGACAGGTTTTGAAAAGCAGTAACAACATAGTCAGTGGTGTGGCTTGAATGTTTGTCCCCTCAACAACTCTTGTTGAAATTTAGTTACCAGTGTAATAGTATTGGGAGGTAGGACCATTAAGAAGTGATTAGACCATGAGAACTCTGCCCTCATAATTGGATTTAATACCTTTTTAAAAAGTCTTTTTGGAGTGGGTTATCTTTCTTGCCTCTTTCACTTTTCTCCCATGGGAATAACAATGTCCCTCCTGTCCCTCCCCTTAGAAGGTGGCAGCATTCAGAAGTGGAGATCAAGCCTTTACTAGACATCAAATCTGCCAGCGCTTTCATCTTGTATTTCCCTCCCTCTAGAACTGTAAAAATTGTAAATTTCTGTTCTTATAAATTATCCAGCCTCTAGTGTTCTGTAATAGAAGCAAAAATGGACTAAGACAGCCAATAAATCAAATTGCAAAAAAACAAACAAACTAAAAATGGGGGGCAATATAGCATGCTACAGGCTGGGAGCAGTGGCTCACACCTGTAATTCCAGTGATTTGAAAGCAGGAGGCAGGAGGACCACTTGAGACCAGGAGTTCAAGGATGCAGTGAGCTATGATGGTGCCACTGCACTCCAGCCTGAGGGATAGAGCAAGATCTTGTCTCAATAATAATAATAATAAATATGGTACAGTATATGAACACAGTGGAAAGTGGCAAAGCAATTATTTTTGGGGTGGAGGGTAAGACATGACAGCAATTGGTTAATGCACTTCACAGGTAAAATAACTTCTATGGAAGAGCATCACGTAGTTGATGGGTCCTCTCATTTTTTATTAGTTATTTATATGCAACCAAACTTCGTATTCATTCCTAAGTGATAAAGGGAACTTAATGGCTCATAGTTTCAAACAAAAAAGGACAAGGAAAATGGAGAAAATTTATCATGGGCAAATATATTTACATAAGAGAAGTAATTTGGAAGGCTTAGAAGGTTGAAATCATAAAAAAATGAAGTTTGATAAGAAGTAATGTTGTCATATTGAGAAGGAAAGAAACTAAGCTGGAAGAGTTTTTATGATAAATTATGTTATGGAGTAATTGTCCATTCGAACAGGCGAAACTCTAATTTGGTACAGCGAAGATTGGAAAATCACTCTACGATGTATTATAGGAGGTATCTGCATAGGCTAGGACAGGTGATCCAATGGTATTTAATTCTAATTATGTACCTTTGAACTTATTTATATCAAAATTAAGCAAATGTATTCTGTTTAATTGTAGCTATTCTGAATAAAATTGCCACACTTTTCATGCTTTCATCCTTTTGACTAGATTTCATATGATGCTATATAGAAATAACTCTCATGTAAGGAAAACTGCAGAATTACCATTTTGTAGGGCTTTTCATTGCCAGATATGATTGGAAGTGTTGGAGTGAGGCTAAGGTACTTGCCTTGAAGCTGCTTTGGAATAGCAAGGACAATATCTTCCGAAAGGGTCTGTTGGTTGTTTAATCATCCTACGTTGGGTCTGCATGAGGAAAAACATAGCCAGGAAATACATGGTCATTGGATCTACTGACTTCAAAGAAGTCACCTTCAACAGGATGACTAAGGTAGATTTGACTCAAGGACCAGAGATGTTGGTGATGGGGTTTACTATGAACATTTTCCTAGAAAAGTCGGTAGTAAAAGATATTGAATGCTCTTCAAAACATCAGATCTGGAAGATGAATCAGGGCCACCAATGGAAGGTGGAGCCAGAGCCCAATATTAAAAACAGACTGGACAGAATGAGTCTAAAGTTAGAAGTATCCTGGAAAACATTCAAGAATAATGCTGGCTGACTTAAAACCATAGGGATTATTGCAAGCCCACTTTTGCCACTTCCCAGGACAAAAATCGAAAACGAAATTAAATAAACACTATATTCACGGAAATGACTACCTGCTGGGGAAAGGAAAATTAAAGGAAGAAATATAAGCATATATTCATATGCAATGACATTCATAACGTTCTATTTCTTATAAAGAATGGTGAATTTATAGTTGTTCACTTAATTTTCATGCTTCATCACTTGCATATATGCTACAAATGTTCTACGTACATCATATATTTATTAATAAACATTAAATACTAATTTGAAACTTTATTTGTATAATGATGACAAAAATAATAGCATATTTACTATCTAGGGAACTGTCGTTGTGCATTTTATATTCATTTGCTCGTGTAGGTTTTCTTGCAGGAGTTGGGAATGAGAAAAAATGTAGAAAAGGAGAAACAGCATCTTTAATGACAGATTGAATTTTCATTCTAAGGGCAGGAAATCATAAGATATTTGAAGAAGTTTATTCAAAAAATAAAAGTTGAAAATAATATACACAGCATTTTGTTTGGAAAATCGTATTCTATTTTTTTTCAACTTTTATTTTAGATTCAGGGGATACATGTGCAGATTTGTTACCTGCACACTATTGCATGATATTGAGTTTTGGGGTACTAATGATCTCATCACTCAAGTTCTAAGCATAGTACTCAATAGTTAATTTTCCAATCCTTGATCCTCTTCCTCCCTCCCCTCTCTAGCGGTTCCTAGAGTTTCTACTGTTGCCATCTTTATGTCCGTGAGTATACATTTTTTAGTTCCCACTTATAAGTAAGAACGTGTAGTATGTGGTTTTCTGTTTCTGGATTCATTTGCTTATGATAATGGCCTCCAGCTGCATCTATGGTGCTGAAAAGAATATGATCTCATTGTTTTTCACAGCTGTGTAGTATTCCGTGGTGTATACGTACCACATTTTTTAATCTGATCCACTGCTGATGGGCACCTAGGTTGACTCCATGTCTTCCCTATTGTGAGTAACACAGTGATGAACATACAAATGCATGCAGGTTTTTTTTTTTTTTTTTTTTTTTGGCAGAATGATTGGTTTTCTTTTGGATATATACCCAGCAATGGGATTGTTGAGTTGAATGGCAGTTTTGTTTTATGTTCTTAGAGAAATCTCCCAACTGCTTTCCATGGTGGCTGAACTAATTTACATTCCCACCAACAGTGTGTAAGTGTTCTTTTTCTCCACAGCCTCACCAGCATCTCTTTTTTTTTTTTTAACTTTTTGATAAAAAGCATTCTGACTGGTGTGAGATAGTATCTCATTGTGGTTTTGATTTGCATTTTTCTGATGATTAGTGATATGAGCATTTTTTCATGTTTATTGGCCACTTGTGTATCTTATTCTAATAAGTATCTGTTCATGCCTTTTTGCCCATTTTTAATAGGGTTATTTGTTTTGGGTTTGTTGAATTATTTAAGTTCCTTATAGATTCCAGACTTTAGACAGTTGTCAGATATATAGTTTGTAAATATATTTCCCATTGTGTAGTTTGTCTGTTTACTCTGTTGATAGTTGCTTTTGTTGTGCAGGATCTCTTTAATTTATTTAGGTCCCACTTGTCAATTTTTGGTTTTGTTGCAATTGCTTTTAAGAACCTTAGTCATAAATTCTTTCCTAAGGCCAATATCCAGAATGGTGTTTCCTAAGTTTTCTTCTATGATTTTTATAGTTTGAGAACTTACACTTAAATCTTGAGTTAATTTTTGTGTATGATGACAGACAGGAGTCAAGTTTCATTCTTCTGCATATGTTTAGTCAGCCATCCCAGGACAATTTATTGAATAAAAATAAGCAGTGGTCCTTTCCCCATTGCTTATTTTTGTTGACTTTGTTGAAGATCAGATGGCTGTAGCTGTGTAGCTTTATTTCTGGGTTCTCTATTCTGTTTCATTGGGGATACCCATACTGCCCAAAGCAATCTACAAATTCAATGTTATTCCTATCAAACTACTAATGTCATTTCCACAGAACTGAAAAAAAAAAACTATTTTAAAATGTATATGTAACCAAAAAAGAGGCCAAATAGCCAAAGACACCCTAAGCAAAAAGAACAAAGCTAGAGGCATCACATTACCTGACTTTAAGCTATATTATAGGGTTACAGTAACTAAAACAGCATGATATTGGTACAAAAACAGAAAATCATGTTCTTATTCATGTTCTTATTATTTATTCAGCATGTCTCACAATCCTATTGCAAATAATCACTCGGGAAAATTTTGAGATTCTATATTTCTCAGGAAATTCAAACAAGTATTCATCCCTGTTTAAAAGAAATGCAGGGAAAATCAGCATTTGAAAGTCACTTCTCATATCTGACTTTAAGTAAATTTAATTTACAACACCCACGTAGTTTCTGCAACTTCACATATTCAATCCCCTTCCAACACAATCATATGCACACTTACAGATCATATGAGTGAAATAACGAGAGAATGGTTCAAATTTTCTATCTGATCAGAAATATAGGTTCCATCATAGGGCTTTCTCTATTTTCAGGGGATAGGAATCCACAAGCCTCTAGAGAGAACTGCAAAAGTAAATGAAGACCAAATATAGGAACAGTATCTCTAGTTTACCAAAAACATCTTGTCACCTACTGGGATATCTACTGTTAAAAGCAGCAGCTGGAGAATCCATCTCCTCCCCATCCTTTCAAAGAGGAACATACCTGTTAAAGCTCAGGAGTCAGGTGGCTAGCTGCCAGCTGTGCTTGCTGAGGTGGCTTCATCCATACCATTCAGCCACATAAATGAGAGAGATTCCTTTTCACTGTGGCTCATTTCTACAGGGTGGGTAATGCCAAGAGGCCCTGTGATTGCCTTGGCAGGCATTTCTTCTTAATAGTGATGTTTCCCAGCGGCTGAGGGAACAGGTTGCTCCTAAAACACTAATAAAATCTCTCCCTGTCATCTCTTTTCTTGGATAAGGGAATAAGAATTTGTAAAATAGAGTAAGAGATAAAAAGAGTTTTCTCTTTTTCCTTACCTATGAATTCATCATCCAAACAGGCCTTGAATCTGTCCATTTCTCCTGGTTCACACAAAGCGACTTTAATTTGGGCCATTTTGGTCTTTCACCACAACCGTTCTCTCTGCCTCTCACGTAGTTCTCTTCTCAGACTGTGGCCTGAGCAATCTTCCTACGCTTCAAGCGTAGACAGTAACTCTCCCACTGATACCATTATAACAGTTCTTCGTCTGCTGAATGTATTCATTCAATAACATTCTAACTCCTTAAGTGATTGGCACATTCGTTGAATCTCAACACTGCCCAGCTCTTTCCTGTAGCCTTGCTTCCCGCCTCTCTTATTCTTCAATCTTCTGAAATGCTTTCAGTTCCTGAGATACCCAGTGCTCAGGAATGGATGCCATATGCTCTCTCTTGCCTCCTGGTTGTTTTCAATGCTGTTCTTTTGCCAAATTTTCTGCACTCCACCTCCAGAATCTTTCTCCCTACCACATATATTAAAAAATCGGTGATTCTACTCTTGCTAATAGTTACTGGCTTCCTTTGAAGTCTCCATAATCTTACTTTAAGAGGCAGCTGTTAATATAAAATCACAAAAAGATGCAACTTTATACTCATAAAATTTACAAAAGTGATAAAATCTAGTCATTCCAAGGGCTGGTGAGAATGTGAAGTCAGGTGAGGTATCGTATATTGCTAGTGGGAATATAAACGAACTCAACCACTTGAGAGAATAATATAGCATTATTTGGTAATGTAAGGATAGAAATACTAAGCCTCTGCAATTGATCTGTTATGTAGGTATATATTCCTAATGATGTTCTTTTATGCCCCAGCAGAAACAGAAGAAAATTGTTCACAATATAATCATGGGTAAAACATAGTTTATTTATACAACAAAATGTACCACAATTCATTTCATCAATAGAAATAAATACAATTTCAGGCCGGGCGCGGTGGCTCACGCCTGTAATCCCAGCACTTTGGGAAGCTGAGATGGGATGATCACTTGAGGTCAGCAGTTTGGGACCAGCCTGGCCAGCATGGTAAAACTCCATCTCTACATAAAATACAAAAATTAGCCAGGCATGGTGGCAGGCACCCGTAATCCCGGCTACACGGGAGGCTTCGGCAGGAGAATCGCTCAACCCAGGAGGCGGAGGTTGCAGTGAGTCAAGATCACACCACTGCACTCTAGCTCTGGGTGACAGAGCAAGACTCTGTCTCAAAAAAATAGAAGAATAAATAGAATTTCCAAATGTACAGTGAACTTTCAATATTAAACATTGAACACAGGTACATTTCAAAAATAAATTATTGAATAAAACTGAATTCAAAGACTGACTGTAGTGAGTCAAAATTACATAAAACTGCATAATATACTTAAAATTTTGTTATATACATCCTATTTTTTAGCTATTGACTTATGGAATGAACTTATAAGGAAAAGTAAGAGAATTATTAACATGAAAACCAGGATGGTTACCTTTGTGTGGAAAACATCATGTAATTATTGGGGAACATACTGAGGGCTTCAAAGCCTCTGAGACGTTCTGTGTCTTAAGTTTTGTAGTCTGCATATGGAGTGTCAATTTACTCTTATTTAAAATAGCACATATAAAATTATATATACGCTTTTACATATGATATACTTTCTAATAAAATTATAAGCAAAAAGGCTGAAATATCTAAACCATGCCATAAGTAAAATAGAGCTTTATAGATGATGTTATAGCGCAAAGACTTTCATAGATCCACCGTCTGGACAGAAGTACTTAAGAGGTGACAAGGAAAGCTAAAAGCTACTGAAAATGATTCTTCTTCTAAGTGCTTTATCAATAAGAATGAGCCTTATGGGGATGCTAAAGAAAAAACATGGTCTCATGTAGAAACTGCATTCATAATAGGTTAAGATATGTATAGGAATTACCTTAGTATTTCTAATGAATGCAAACTCAAGATTCATGAAAATTGGATATCAGGGGCTGAAAAATCTTACCAAGATAAGTAATTATCTTCTTATTCATGATTTTATTGAAATACATAAATTGGACATTAAAATGCAAGATCATGTTCAGTTTGTCTCATGCACCATTAATTCATTTAAAATAGGGAAACCTTCATTACCATAGTATAGTTCAAAGAATATGTGTTGAATGAATGCATAAAACTTTTTAAAATGTCAGTGTGATCTTTAAAAATTAAAAGCAAATGGGAGATGTATAATAAAATTGGGAACAAATAAATATATTTCTGATGCTTTATGAATTGGAGAAAACTGATTTCTAAAGCTAAAATTTAAGGAACTTGACATTGCTTCTCAACAAAATATACATATTGCAAAATACATTTTATGTAAACAATTCAAAAAGAATATTATCGTCCTCAGCAGGCAACAGCTATTGAATAAGAGGAATTTATTCTGAACATCAATTTAGTTGGGTTTCAAATGGGCCAATACTCCGAAAGATATTAGTAACAATTTGAGAGGTAGGCTCTAACCTGTGCTTAGTCAGTCTCTGTGCACAATTTTTACTACAACTTAACAATATATAAAAGCTATATATTTGTACATGTTACCATGCTTGCTTTGACAGCAAGTAACTTTAATAATGACAATGATAATAGTTAAGATTTTTCAAAAATTTTCATGGGCCAGGCACTAAGCTAAAGGTCCACATGCTTCATCTCATTCATGAATAGTTACTATTATCATTCTTCTATCATAGATAAATAAACTTAGTGAACCAATTGCCTTGCCCACTAATACACAGTTAAGTGGCAGAACCAGACTGGAATCCAGGCAGCACACTCCAATAGTGCAGGTACTCTGATTTGATATACACCTGCTTCCTAGATGTCAAAACATTGGAATAATCAGCCCAAACAAAGTAAATGCAAAGTAAATAAGTTCCACATACAGATTTAAGAAAATCAGTACACTGTTACAGAGAGAGGGAGAATAATTCTCCACCAAACTTCTCCTTGACATGCTCAAAAAAAGAAGACAGTGTGATATAGTGGTCAAAAAAGGTGAAAATTATTTTTGGCTGAATTAATGTAAAAAACAAATTGTTTCCTGACATATGAATGTAACTTGGCATCATATTCTGTACATGATTACAGCACACCTAAAATTCTGTTGAATTCTGGATGATTTTAAGAAGTATTTAATACCTGGTTAGAGAGACTAAGATATAAACACATCTGAAAAGCATATTGTAGGAGGGATAGTTGAAAGAATTTGAAAAACTTCACTGTAAAAGAGTTTTGGTTGGACACAGCAATTTTCTCAAAATAGCAGAGGACCACATAGAAAAAGAAGAATTAGACATTCCATGCAATTCTTTGTGCAGAACCATACCTGGTTTAGTAAATTGAACTCATCTCAATATGCTGAAGAAGAGTCCATTAGGACCTGTCCAAATGGCATATGTGAGCTAAGGAGATACTTAAGAGTTGAAGTTGAAGATGAATGAACACCTATCAAAACTATTATACTGGTCCTTTCTGCACTGAGTGGGAGGTTGAACTTGATGAACTCTAAAGTGTCTTCAATTTCTCAGATCAAATCTTATATGTGCATTTTAATTAAAATAAGACAGAGGAAAAGATTATCACTTTTCTTCCCAATTTTATTCTGCACTAGCTAAATAAAAGTGTAATTCAATTTAAATGGCTTACAACCCTTCTGATCTCAAAACTATATTCTGTACAGTATATGTATGCCACATGGAGTATAGGCAAAACAGCCTGCATTTTAGTTTTAATGAATAAATAACTTTAAAGGACCAATATATGCATGCATATTCCCTATGAACAAGATAGCATTTATAGACTAAACATTAGGTGCCTAAAAATACAGTTTATAAAGTTTTATTTAGCAGTTAGAACACAGTTGTGAATTATTAATTTTGTTTTTAAGTTTTACATAAAGCATTACTAATTTTACCCATTAGCAAGGAAGAAACTGCCTAATTGGAGGTCTTGGGAGTATTGCATGCATAAAGAGACAGAATCATGCACTGTCTGCACATTTGCTCACCAGATTGAGCAATGTCCCTCCTTATGGGAGATGCTTATCTTAGGAACTCTCTGTTGCAATTCATCATTAAAACAAAGATGATATGCTTATCTCTTCCAAAGCCCAAATTTCTCAATGCTGCCTTTCTGCTGAAGTATCTTCCTATAATATTAACCATGAGTAGTGTGGGTGTTTGTTAATTTTGGAATCTGAAGGAGTGTGTTTCTGACCAGCCTTCACCATAAGCTTGTTGTGTGACCCTTGATAACCTGTACTGATCTCTTTGGATGGACTAACAGAAATTATTCAGTTTCCCAATTTACCTCACAAGGACATTGAGCAACTCAAAGTTATTCCGTCGAATACTTGTTATTTGCTGTACATTTAGCTAGCTCCAGGGGAACGGGGGGTATAAAGTAAAGACAGTGCCCTGGAAAACTTCACTAATTTCAAGATCAAAAAGAAAAACATTTTGCAAGTATGAAATATAAACCTCTCAAAGCCAAGTTTCTCATATGTTTTCTTTATACACTGAATAGTGCTTGGAATGTGGGAAGTTCTTGATAAGCCTGAGCTTTTGATATAAATTATCTCAAATAATTTCCACTTAGCCTTGACATCACTATATTATTCACATTTCACACATGAAAAAAAATTAAGCAGAGAGAGGCAAAATTGGCAGAACTGGGATTAAAACAGGTTATCTGCATAATGTTTCTAATAAAGTATATTGTTAAGATATTGCAGACACTATATCTATGTAGCAAAACTCTGAGCGAGCTCTATAATTAGTGAAAGCGTTAATGGAGGAACAATGGATAACTAAGTAATTAATGAATCTGGTAAAAATATAAATGTGATAAAAAGGAGTCCATGTAACCTCACTCAAGTTTTAACCACAAATATTTAAGGCATTATTCTTTGCCTCAGTTTTGATTTCCTTTTAGCTTCACATTCAGTATGAAGCTAAAATTTACTTGTTTCCTCTCCCAAGTTCAAGGCTAGTTCCCAGTGAAAAGTAATCCTGCATTAAGCCTCATGAAACATCCTGACGGTGGAAGATAATTTCCTCCTTTGGGAATTCCCAAGGTTTCCTGGGTCGGCCATATCACAGCTGTTTCCTGCTCACTCAGCTCTCCCTCTTCAGTTCATGGTTCTTTGTGATTTTTCCCGACTTCTGATCTTTTAATTTGAAAAGTATAACTGTCATGAAGGAGAAACTACCCTTCCCAGATTCTGATTTACAATCTCCCTATATCAAACAAGGGCATGCACGTTTTGCTGTGGACCACATACCTTAATCTTGCCCTCAGCATACTTATCTCTGTCCTTTCTTTAATGTCATTGAAACCTCTTAATTTGTCTTGTCTTAGCATTCCTGGTCATATAGCCATTTATTATCCTACACTGGGTTCATAATTTGTGAATTTTCTTCTTTTTCAGGACTGTAATCCCAGCACTTTGGGAGGCCAAGGCGGGCGGATCACGAGGTCAGGAGACAGAAACCATCCTGGCTAACACGGTGAAACCCCATCTCTACTAAAAATACAAAAAATTAGCCGGGCGTGGTCCTGTAATCCCAGGTACTGAGGAGGCTGAGGCAGGAGAATGGCATGAACCCGGGAGGCGGAGCTTACAGTGAGCCAAGATCGCGCCACTGCACTCCAGCCTGGGCGGCAGAGTGAGACTCCATCTCATAAAACAAAAAAAAAAAAAAACGAACAAAAAAAAAAAAGAAAAGAAAAAGAAAAAAAGAAAATGAGAATAGATGAGTCTTTGAAGTGTTAGTAGCAAGAGGGACTATCATCATAGTTACTAGGGCAATCAAAACTAAAACTATGCTTATAAGCTACTTAATTCTCCTGTAGACGGATGATTTCTACTGAACTGCTTTGAGATACTGAAGTACAAGACAGGATTTGCAAAAAAAACAACTCTCTCTTGTTGGCTTTCTCTATTTTGCAAAGATCTCATAATAGAACGATGGATTTTCAGGTAAATACTGTATTTAGTATTCCCTACTATGCATTAAATTTACTTGAATTTCATACCCAGAGTAGCTCATCCCTGTAGGCTCATAACCTGTTGTTTAATAGAAGAAATAATATAACTGCAAATCATCTGCCCTAACTGTTTCAATGAAGAAGCAATCATTTCTATGCTTCTTTAACAAGTATTCAAAGTGTAATCACAACAAGGCTACTTATTCAGAAACTGAAGAAGATGCTTATGTCCCTAAAGATGCTGACAATACGTTAAGACAAAAGAAGACATTCTGGAAGCACTGTCATCCTCCTTTTAGTTTTATACTACACCATTACCATGACAACCTTTCTGTCCACTCCAGTTTGAAGGTAGAAACTAATGTCAAGGGAAATTGTAGTACCACATTTGATTCAGAAATATGGAGAATTTATGCTAGCACAAAAACATGGATTTAGTTCCCTCTTTTGAGAATGAGAACAGCTTGGAAGGAATCCAGTATGGAACTTGGGCTTCTATTAAATGCCATGACCTTCAAACTTTCTCAATAGAGATGGTAGTTAGTAACTGCCTCAGAACATTTGCTGCAAACCTAGATGACTTTGAAATTTACAAATGATGAAGTAAACAAATAACAACAATAATGAAAGCTATAGAATTCAAATCTTTAAAAGCATTTTAAGCTTTGAATTAATGGTGTGTTGTATTCTGTTGTAATAACATATTTAGTATTTGATTGTGTAATCAGAATATTGAGATTATGGCAATAGTATAAATTATTCATTTTAAAGCTTTGGTATATATATTAAAATAATTAATATAGACAAGTATTACTGGGTTTTTAGAAAAATAAAACATATTGAGAGGTTTATCTAGATGTTGTAATTAAAGAAGTTATTTTCTCTTTGAATTCACTGATTGAATTCCCTTCCAGATACTACAAAGCATATTTCTGTTAATTCTCTATCCAAATAATTTTGTTACATTTCTCCCTTATGAACATGTACACCACCACCATCCAGACAGAATGTTTATATTTAATACAATGTTCTATGAATTTAAAATTATACATACATTTTTTGACTTTTGTTACTGCTGTATCAAAGCTTTATCAAATGCTTAAGTCAACTTTCAATCAATCATTACACATTCCTTTTAGTATTAGGAAGATTATCCTCTTGTTTCTTGTATTCTTTTTATTTTGTAAGTGTAAGTTCTTAATGATTCTATAAGATGCAAAATTTATCAAAATATGAAAGTCCAGTTCTGTGATCAGCCAATTTAATGGTATTAGGAAACTATTGTTTTTCTTTTCTGTATATGCATGCATACACTAACACATACACACACACACATATATATATAACATGTATGTGTGTGTATAGCATGCATGTGTGTGTGTATATATATGTATATATATAAAATAATGTTTACATTTTAAGGTTATTCATCTGCATAATAATTAAGGATTAGTGGTATGTGGCGAACATTTATAGTAATTAACCTTACATTTACTTTGTTAAACAATGTTAATAGTTTTCCAAATCTCATGCTTAACCTATGTAATTATAATGCTCTATGGAGATTCCCCTACAGGGAGTGATGACTAGGTTTTCAGTTTTATTGCTCAAGTAAAGGGATTGAGGTAGGATTTGGGGGAAGAGGATGAAGCACTTTCAAAAGCTTTTTCCAAACTTGATGATAAGTTGACACTTGCTGTTCCACCCAGAAATTTCTAGAGCAAAAAAATAGTAAAACTCCTAGGTATCTCTAATCATGGTAGCCATCATTCTAACATGAATATGTTACATAAGATTGAATATAATTAATACTAAAATTACAATCTGTTAACTAATCAATAAATGCAAAGGACTAATATTGGAGCATCCACACTTTGACAGTAAAGTAATGAGGAATTGAGAGAGTAAGTGAGTGAAATGAGAAGAAAGAATCCTTCAATGGGTGAAGAAAAAGGAAATAAACAATAGGACAGTTGCCTATTTTCACAATTTTGAAACAGCCAGTCCTGCTTCTTTTCCATTTTTAATGCATAAATTCAAGCTACCCTCATAAATGCCCAGAGTTTAATAGTAAAGCCATGGACATGCCTTGCTGACATGCAGTTTGATTAGCATAAGAGTGGCAATCTGTGGATTGAGTACCCTACTTTGTATTTGCTTTAAGGCCTATTGCTGCCCACTGAAAAATGGTGCAGCGCCATATGGATGTGCTGAACAAAGACACCATATAGGTGCGAGTTTGAGCAAGGGAAGAGTGAAGAAGAGAGAGAAAGCAACCACTCAGTGTTTCTAGAGCCAGGGAAAGCATTTTACATTTTCCAGTCTGTCACTTTTTTTTTCTTTTTCTTTTTCCTTTCTTTTCTTTTCTTTCTTTTCTTTTCTCCTTCCTTCCTTCCTTCCTTCCTTCCTTCCTTTCCTTCCTTCCTTCCTTCCTTCCTTCCTTCCTTCCTTCCTTCCTTCCTTCCTTCTTTCCTTCTTTCTTTCTTTCTTTCTTTCTTTCTTTCTTTCTTTCTTTCTTTCTTTCTTTCTTTCTTTCTTTCTTTTTTCTTTTTTTTTTTTTGACAGAATCTCGCTCTGTTGACCAGGCTGGAGTGCAGTGGTGCGATCTTGGCTCACAGCAATCTCCACCTTCTGTATTCAAGTGATTCTCCTGCTTCAGCCTCCAGAGTAGTTGGGATTACAGGCATGAACCACCACACTCTGCTAATTTTTTTGTATTTTTAGTAGACATGGAGTTTCACCATGTTGGCCAGGCTGGTTTTGAACTCCTGACCTCAAGTGAACTCAGGCTCCCAAAGTGCTAGAATTACAGGTGTGAGCCACTGCACCCAGCCCAGTCTGTGACTTCTTAATCAGCAAAGTTATAATGAGACTGAAATAAACGGTAGGGAATTTAAACCTGTCCCTTTACCCAGAGATTAACAGTCTTGGTTACATAAACTACGGAATGATTAAATTTAATATACAAAGAAAGGACAGATTCCCAAGAGGAGTAGACATTTAGGAACCATGAAACCAGGTTAAATTAAGCCTCAAAGAGTAAAAACTGGGTCCAAGTCCACAGTATCATATAACATCATATAAGTGGGCAGAAACTGGGTACCCAGAAAGCTGATGTTTGGATATAAAAACAAAAATTAGGCTGATATAGAAAAAAACATGAATGTCAAAATTTAACTTATTAATTTAATAATTAATTCAAGTGAAGTTAAAGCATCAGCAATAAATTACCTGGTGATCATACCTTAATGAGACTGGTATCTCAACCTCATATACTTCCTACCAAAGTGACAAGAAACAGGATTTTCTAAAATTTCATAAGATTTATAGAATTTAGAAAGCAGGCAGACACAAAGAGATACCTTCAATCTCTCTAGATTCTTATGTCAATTATTATAAATAATGAGTGTTATGTGTTTTCTGAAAATACATAACAGAAACTTAATTAGCCTAAACACTTCATTTGTTAGTAGTAAAACAATTTAGAACTAAGGGCTAAAATAACAACAAAATGTCCCATCTCAAGCTAAAGATAATACAATAAGGAAAGCAAATGTACAATTTCTACACAAGTGAAATGAACAAAAGAAAAATACAGCCTCAACCATGTGAAATTATTTAGTTCTGGATCATAGAGACTGGGAAAGACTTTGAGATCATCCTCTATTTGGGATTGATTATACCAATACTTTATGCCTATTATCCTTTTACTTGCAAGTGTGTAGCAGTTCTCTATGTTTCTTTATTTTATTCCACCCTTGTGAAACTAGTGATTGTACTAGATATCTTGGAGAATTTCCTACATACCTCAGTTTGGCCTTTAAGGCTATAGAATAGCTGGATAAGGAGAACTTGAAAATATAAATCTAGCCAAGAGTTAAACATAATAAATCCAAAATTTACAAAAAAATGAAAGCCTAGTTCTGTGACTAGCCAATTCAATAGTATTAGGAAACTATTTTTTTCTCTTTTGTATATGCACACACACATTAACATATATAACACACATATCTGTGTGTATAGCATGCATGTGTATATATATAATGTTTTCATTTTAAGGTTAATCTGCATAATAATTAAGGATTGATGCTATGTGGCTAACATTTATAGTAATTAACCTTATATTTATTTTGTCAAACAATGTTAATAGTTTTCCAATTCTCACACTTAACCTATGTAATTGTAATGCTCTATGGAGATTCCCCTACAGGGAGTGATGACTAAGTTCTCAGTTTCATTTCTCAAGTAAAGAGATTGTGGTAGGGGTGGAGGGATAAGGAGTTTTCCTTGAAGAATTTGAGTACAACACATGGAATTTTCTCTGTCAAATTATTTTACCCAAGCATTGTATAATATTTCTCTGAAATTCCCATGACTATAATAGTGGGGAATAATATAATTGTATTAATTAAACCGTGTGTGTGTGTGTGTGCTGATAGAACTGATGAAAAAACAAATTAGACTAATAAAAACACCATTAATACATATTCATCATAACATATAAGATAGACACTATTATAATTTCGATTTTGCAAATTTGTTAACTAAGCCTCTTAGTGGGCTTTATTAACCAGATTAAGATCAAACAGTTAGTAAATTGTAGAGTTTAGGTCTCTCGTCAGAGAGACTAGCTTCACTTTCCATGTTGTACCTAATTCCTAAATTATTGCCCAGGTATAAAACACAATCAACACTAGAGAGTCAAAAGTACTGGCTAACAAGGACTGTCACCTTGAGAGAGACATTGAACATCTCTGAAGGGTTGGAGTTGGCTAATTAGTAAAGTCCATGGCCGAGCACAGAGGTATGAAAGTCATTTCTATCCATGAGAGAGAAGCATTAGCTTATGCTGTTTTGCTTTAAGATGCCTTGGTGAATTCCTGTTCAATGACAAGAATTGAAATTACATGAGACTTTTAACTCCTAAACCAGCCCTCTGTATAGCAGTATTGGTAAAGTATGGCAAATAAGGTTGGTCATATTATGCCTCATGATGAATGGGAAACTTTATTACAATGAGTGAGGCCTGGAAGTGTGAGATGCTCAAGGTTCAATAGACAATGTGAGCCCTCAAAACACTCATTCCTAGTTGTTTGCAAATGTTATTTTAAAAATTAGAGAAATTCAAAAAGCACTGTTTTAAAAGAAGAAAAATAATTAGAGTAAGACTCAATCTAGCTCCAGCTCTGTAAGAAACTCAAACAGTGACCTTGTATGAATTATCTAAATCTCTGGGTCTTGATTTTCTTATTTTCAAAATGAAGGACTTGCGCTAGACAAACTCTGAAGTCATTAGGGAGAAGGCCTAGCTGCTGTTGTTTGGAAGATTTGTGTGTATCCTCAAAGAATGAAACATTTCCCATGTAAATTTAAGACAACTATTATTCAACATAACAGCTGAAGAACTGGTTCCAAATATTAAAACTCATCTATAATTGCAAAACATAAAAGTAATTTTAAAATAGAAAATAAAAAGAAACTTCAAGTGTTAAATGCCAAATTTCTTTTTTGATGTCACAAATTTTATTTTATTTTTTAACGAATGCATGTGAAATCAATGGAATTTATATAGGAATCCAAAGTAAATCAGAACTAGTTAATATTGAGGTTTGTAATCCAGGTAGAGTGGAATATCATTGCCCAGGGATATAGTTCCAAAAACTGTCTGATGGATACTAAATGCCTCAAATATTCTGGCTGGGATTTTCTTTCTGTGAATGTAGTTTGTCAAGAACTCTCTTCTATTGTCCCATTCCTCTCACGAAAAGTTCTTATAAAAAGCCTTAATTTAATATTCTTTCAACAATGTCTTGAGCTGTTTGGATAATAGGTGCTATATAAATCTAATAAACAAATGGTAAATGTTAGACAATATTAAATGGAGCACATTAAAACGAAGTTTCATTATGCTGTGTTTGGCTTCGGCAGTGTTCATAAACCATAGCTTGTTTAGATTAAATTCATTTCCAATATAACACCAGCTCACCACACATTTTGGAAATGATTTAAAAAATCCAAACTTGGCTTAGAATAATTACAATTTTCCTAAATGTTTTACTCTTAAGCTGCAGCTGAAGAAGTGTCACTTTTAATAATCAAAAATCTTCTTTAAAAGAAAGTCTCATTTTATTTGTAATGTTTGTTAATAAATATTAGGTCATGGGGGTACCCACAATGAAATTTAAGTTACCCAAGTAAAAAAGAGACTCAAGCGTATCTGTGCACTAAGGTGATAAGTCAAAGACATACGATGACCATGTCAAATGGTACAATCCTTTGCTTGAAGTAAGGAATTACATTCATTTCTATTCGATAGATTGCATAATATTTAAGTATTAAGTACAAATGAGACATTTTATTATTTTAAAAATAAGCATATTCAAATATGAGTTGACCATTTCCTAAAATATAGTCAATCACTGAGGTGAAAGAATTCAATTACTTCTTCACCTCCTTAAAAACTTGCACTTTTTCTTTTCTCCTCCTATAAAAAGTTTGATTATTCATGGTTCAACTTTTAATAATCCAAAAACTTCTTTAAAAGAAAGTCTCATTTTATTTGTAATGTTTGTTAATAAATATTAGGTCACTGGGGTACCCACAGTGAAATTTAAATTACCCAAGTATAAAAGAGGCTCAGGGCTCTTTTATATTCTTGAGCTGTATTATCCAAACAGCTCAAGACATTGTTGCAAAGAGGTTCAAATACATGATTGTACCATCACAGACGAAATGCAATGAAGAGAAACCTAATTATCCTCACATCCAGCAACTTGTAGTGGTCAAAACTGGGGAAAAGAGTGCCCACATTACTTAGTCAATTAAATTAACTAATGGCAGACTCATCACCCAGGCCCACATCCTAGAAACCATATATCTCATACAGTATAAATAAGATGGGAGGCCAGCCGTGGTGACTCATGCCTGTAATCTCAGCACTTTGGGAGGCCAAGGCAGGCGGATCACTTGAGGTCAGGAGTTTGAGACCAGCCTGGCTAATACGATGAAACCCTGTCTCTACTAAAAATACAAAAATTAGCCTGACATGGTGGCACACTCCTGTAATCCCAGCTAATTGAGAGGGTGCGACATGAGAATTGCTTGAACCTGGGAGATAGAGTTTGCAGTGAACTGAGATCGTGCAACTGCAGTCTAGCCTGGGTGGTAGAGGGAGGCTCTGTCTCAAAAAAAAAAAAAAGTAAAAATAAAATAAATAAAAATAAAATTCTCCATGAGGTCAAAATGTCTTCGTCTTATCTATAAGATGTCAATAATTCATATTTAATTCCCCCATAATCCTGAGATGCCTCTTCTTAACTTCATTATTATTTTTCTTTTTGTGTGTGGGCCCTGATCACTGAGGCAGGGGAATCACTTGAATCCAGGAGGTGGAGGTTGCGATGAGCCGAGATCGTGCCACTGCACTTCAGACTAGACAACAGAGTGAGACACTGTCTCAAAAAAAAAAAAAAAAAAAGAAAAAGAGGAGATCCCCCAAACCCCTCCTTTATTTCTGTGAGATTGCATGGAATGAAGTGAGGATAGTAAAAGTAGGATAGATTTGAAACAGGTTATGCAATAGTAGAAATTGTGTATGTATTTAGGGAGCCTGTCTCCTAGGCAATAGCAAACAAAATGTTCATTTATTCATTAATAGCAATAAAGCAGAGAAAAGTGATAATGTATGAAGTAGGTGGGGCCAGATGAAAGAAGTCAAAGTGTCTTTGCTCTATGGAAAATTTGGGACTTAAAGGAATGTCTTTAATTAATATGTTGATTAAATGTTGCTCACACTAAACTTAATAAATATATATGCTGAACACCAAGGAACAAGGTTGTAATTTTCACCTCCTGAGACTGAAGAACTAGAACTTTCTAAGCAGGTTGATAGGTAATCCACAGTTTCACCAAAGACCATGAGGGGTTTACGTGTGTGTGTGTGTGTGTGTGTGTGTGGACACACATATTTGAATGGAAAACATTATTATCGTTTATATGTAGCATTTTGAGTTTCCTGCTACAGGTAATATCAGTGTAATAGAGAAAGAGGTAAGTTAATTAGATAGTGCTAGGTGAAGGGCAAAAGCCATCCTTAACCAAAAACCATGAACTTTGACCCGCATCTATGGTATTGATAAAGGAGCACCAAACAAAAGAGATTTTACAGTTTCTGCTACAACTTAGCTAAATTAAAGGCAACATTTTCCAGAGACCAGGGCTTCTACTCTCCTTGAATGCAGACAGAATTCTCAGAATGACTTGAGTTTGTTTTACTTTGGCCATAGTAATTCAGTAGCATCCTTCTTTTGCTTCCCAGTGTCCTGGAAACATAAATGTCAAGCCACAAAAATTTTGAGTGGTTTCTACCTTCTTGTTGAGTCTCTTTTCTTGTAGGGAAGAATCAACACTAGACGATGGGCATGGAAACAACTCTGTGAGATAGCTCTGACACTTATGAAAATCGAAACTTGTTAAGGGAAATGAGAGGATCATATGCATATATACACACAAACACACACCAGAAACTTCATGTGAAAATATTTCTATTTTTATCCTGACCACCTAGAAGACTGTCAGCCAGTTAATACATTATCAATAATTATTTTTAATATAAGAATAATGGAAGTAAGGTTTTAGACTACAATTTTCTTTGCAGATCAGAAAAGAAACATCAATTAGTGAGCTCTAAAGTAGATAGGGACGTCTTCACAGCCAAGACCAGTTTGCCACATGGTTAGATTTACATAAGAAGAGAGATATATTGAGGGCATTTCATGACATGAGAAAAATGTGGGAAATACAGTAAGCAAGACTTGTGTTAAGAACAGTGAGTGCAAGGACCTGACCAGGGGAGTGACTTTAGCTGGCAGTCATTACCCATATAGGAACGTATGAGGTAGGGACAAGAGATAGTTTGACTTTTTGAAAAGACTAATTGCTCTGTTGCAGTCAATGGACTTTTTTCCTTTACATGCAGTGGTTAAGTGGCATACCGAAGATATGAGGTTTGGTGTTTGGGACATTTTTATAAGACATATTTTATTATTATTGTTATTTTTATGCAGAGTAAAGCAAATCTTTTAAGTTAGGTGTGGCTTCATCTTATCAAATGTTTCCAAGCCACTTGTTTATAGACTATAGTAGATATTGTGGGTATCGTACCCAGTGAAATTCCTACTTTTCCCCATCATAAACATTTTATAATTTTATTTAGGTATACACCCCACTCCCACACACCCTTAGACCACGTACTTTGCGGATGTTTACCGTGACTTCTGCAAGAACCTGAATGCTTTGGAGGTGCTTCACTCACTACCTCCCACAATCCTATGCCACAATGCTTTTTTCAAGAATTAATGTCTAAAGTAACCATCAGTTGATTTGTTGGGGTTTTTTTCTTCACTGTACAGCAGGGATTGATTCAAAAATAGCAATATGACACCATGACCTGAATGCTTTTATCCCTCCTAAATTCATATGTTGAAACCTAATCACCAATGTGATAAAATTAGGAGGTGAGGTCTTTGGAATGTGATTAGATCATGAAGGCAGAGGTCTCATGAATTGGAGTAGTGCCCTTTTAAAATGGACCCAAGGGAGCTAGCTCACCCCTTTTACCATGTGAGGACACAAAGAGAGGCGCTGTCTATCAACCTGGGAAGGGGCCCTCCTCAGACACCATATTTTCTAGTGCTCTTTGATTTTGATCATTCTATCCTCCAGAACTCTAAGAAATAGATGTCTGGTCTTTATACACTACCCAGTCAATGGCATTTTGTTTTAGCAGCTCAAACAGACTAAGACAGTGACCAAATTCAGGCAATTATAATAAAGACAATATTTTTGTTATGAAACCTTGGAAAAGACATCTTCTTTCCCTTGAGAGAAAACCATCTAAAGAAAGAAAGAAAGAAGAAAAGAAGGAAAGGAAAGAAGAGGAGGAGGGAGGGGAGGGGAGGAGAGGGGATGGGAAGGGGGGAGGGGGGAGGTGAGGGGAGAGGAGGGGAGATGCTTTCTTTTCCCCTGAATGACTGAGTATGTAGTTGAGAAGCCTAAAACTGCAGCCTTTATTTTTGCAACTACTTAGAAGCAGAACAAAGGCCAACTAAATTAAGCCCAAAGTTAGACTTGAGTCAACTCTGGACTTCTAATATATAAGGAGGGAAGGAAGGAAGGAAGGGAGGGAGGGAGGGAAAAGGAAAGAAAAGAAAAGAAAAGAAAAGAGAAAAGGAAAGAAAGCTTTCTTTTCCCCTGAGTAACTGAGTATGTAGTTGAGAAGCCTAAAACTGCAGCCTTTATTTTTGCAATCACTTAGAAGCAGAACAAAGGCCACTAAATTAAACCCAACATTAGACTTGGGCCACCTCTGGACTTATAATATATGCATCCCTAAATTTTCCTGTGCTTGTAAAGCTTATATCTGATTTTCTGTCACCTGCAGCTGAAGCCCTCCTAATTAAAATATAGAACCTAAAAAAAAACCCACACAGATCCAATTAGAGGATTAAGCATAGATTATGATTTTGTTCATATGTTATTCTATGCCAATCTCTCATAAAACATTTATGTGCAGATATTTTATGGTACAGATTGAACTTTTAGTATCCTAAAATCTTTCTATAATATGACACAATTTCTTGTTAGCAAAAGACAAACTTAATTAACTCTGAACATTCCTGTTACTTTAGATAAATCCAATGGCATGTCCTTGGAGTAAAGTAATTGGCTTCTTAGTATAATGCATATTATACTAATTATAATACAACTTCTAAACATGACAGAATACATGTGCCTTAAATTAACTTCATTTGAATTTAGGGAGAGTAGGATGATATCTTCAAATTTATATTTTCTTTAAAAGTAGACTTCTCCCAATTCTTGTTATTTATCCACTCAAATGAATATGTTTCTCTAAGGTAATCGAAGTGTCAAGGAGAACCACAGGATCTGCAGAGTCTGAGAAGGACCATAACATCAAATTTGATTTAAACATATTTCAAAGCATGAGAAAAATAAATGCTAGTTGCATGCCTTTTTGAAAAATACTTTTTCATAAGTTTATTGAAACATTTGAAGGACTTTTATGGATCTTAGCTTTATGATAAATAAGCTGTGCACTTTGCTTGCACACACTAAAAACCACTTAAAGTGGAAGCAGAACTGAGTAGATATGATGTCATTTGAAAACACAGTGCTTGATTCTCCAGTGTGTAGTTGCTTGAAACCTGCCTTTGTGGTATGGGGAATGATTTTATTTACTTAAAGTAAGTATTATGATGAAAGATTGATTTGGTCCCATAAATTTTGCCTATTATCTCTCTGCCTTAAAAAGGCAAAGTTTATATTTAGTGGTGTTATGATCAGACCAACTGTGTTTTGCTGTTATCATTCCCATCATCAAGAACTCCCATGTTTATGGCAATGATAAGATGGGCTCAAACTGGAGGTTGTTTGAAAATTTAAAATCAAACTGCTCTTACCAGATGGGTCAGCTTGAGGGAAGATGATATGACTTGCCAAAGCCCCAGTTGTTTATTTCAAGAACTGTGACAAAGATCCTGAGTTTCCAAACATCAGGCCAGCACAATTCATCACTACTTTTCTAAACATCCAAGTATATTAGGGCAAAGAAGCTCTGATCCTAAAATAATTGTAATTATTTTAATAAAATCGTTATAGTGTATTACTATTTGTAATAAACTTATATACAGGCTGCACATATATATTGTAAGTTAGTATTTATCAGCTAGCATTTGATGTTAATATTGTGGCAACACATATTACAACCTATGCTCATTGAAGTTTAATAGCAAATATGGCACACAATCAATAAGTACAAAAATATAGACTTGAATCCTGAAATTACTAAATTCATGACCTGCTAGTTAAACCTGCTCTAAAAATACATTACTACAAAAGTTTGGGAGAAGAAGTGAGGGTCCCCAATTTAACCTACACATATTATTTTCCCTGCTTAAGGATCTACCTATCAATCACTGAAAAATTTTCTTTACAAAGACAGCTTTTCTTTCAATATTTCTTAGGGTTTATCTTTCTTCTTTCCCTTTCATGAAGCCAAGGGTCTAGATTTCTTTTGGGATGCAATTCAAAGCCACTTATATTTTATTCTCTGAGCACTGCAGCTAGGCATGTGTTATGTGATGCTAACGATCTTGGGCCACACTTGAATAGATAAAGAAATGACAGACCACAGGTGAGAAGCTTCTATTTTTTGCAGAAAATTTTGGAATATAGACACAGGAGGTTCTCATTAGTCCCTGTTAGGAGGTTGAACAAAGAAGTCAAGGAATGTCAAGTGGCCATGTTCACATCAAAATAAAGAAAGCTGTTCTTCAGGGAGAAAGAAAAAACAAAGAAAGAGAGAATATCTGGACCATGAAAAGCAAAAAAAAAAAAAAAAAAAAAAAAAGAGAAACCACTGGCTGAGAGATGGATAGAATAGAATCACTGGTTCCTAATTATTTCCCAGTTGCAGGTTCAGTCCAGTATGAGGTGCCACTGAATATACATTTCTCTCCTCCATGAGAAATCTCCAAATGCACCCAATAAATTGCCTTTAAGTAAGATGAATACATTTTGTTGCAATAAAAACAAATCATATCTTTTGAGAACCACACACACACAAAAACAGTGACTTTTGAGGCTGAGGTGGGTGAATAACTTGAGCCCAGGAGGCTCAAGTTTGAGGCTTCAGTGAGCTCTGATCACACCACTGTACTCCAGCCTGGACAACACAGCAGGACACCATTTCTTAAAAAAAAAAGAAAAGGGAACTTTTATGTTATATAAATTATACCCCAATAAAGCTTCATAAAAATAATAATACACCTATTAAGTTACGGATCTTGAATATGGACCTATTCTATCTGGCCTTAAAACTGAGTATGCCAATCAACATTAATTTTTATGTAGAGAATGAATTTTGTAGATATATTATTCTGCACCTGTTAATCCTTGCAGTGGCTGTCTGGGTAGCCAGGTAAAAATGATTACCTCAATACTGACGATGAGGTGCAATGGCTTTATGTAAGTGACAATTAAGAAGACAGAACTTTAGTGTTTGGAGACTGTTGGGAACAGGCCCCCAAATCTGGCCATAAACTGGCCCCAAAACTGGCCACAAACAAAATCTCTGCAGCACTGTGACATGTTCGTGATGGCCATGACGCCCACGCTAAGGCTGTGAGTTTACCGGAATGAGGGCAAGGAACACCTGGCCCTCCCAGGGCGGAAAACCACTTACAGGCGTTCCTAAGCCACAAACAATAACATGAGTGATCTGCACCTTAAGTACATGATCCTGCTGCAGATAACTAGCCAGACCCATCCCTTTGTTTCGGCCCATCCCTTCGGTTCCCGTAAGGAATACTTTTAGTTAATCTATAATCTATAGAAACAATGCTTATCACTGGCTTGCTGTCAATACATATGTGGGTAAATCTCTGTTTGAGACTCTCAGCTCTGAAGGCTGTGAGACCCGTGATTTCCCACTCCACATGCTATATTTCTGTGTGTGTCTTTAATTCCTCTAGCTCTGCTGGGTTAGGGTCTCCACCTCAGAGCTCCTCTCGGCAGGAGACAGGAACGAACACCAAGCTTTGCTTTTAAAACCAGAGTGTCTTACTGCTTCATACCACTGCTAAGTAGATTTAGTAGTGAATATATTTTTTGTACTTGTCATTCATATGTTAATAATTTTTACCACTTGGAATTTGTTTTAATAAATAGCAAATTCTTTATTTTGCATGCTAAAGTCTGTGAAAGTGCTTGTGTTAAAATAAAATTTACAGACACATGATGAGCCTACCTACATATAAGATTAATCACAAGTTTATTTTCTGAAAATGACAGCAATTTAACCTCCCTAAGTCACCTAATTCCACATTTCAGTTCCTTAAAAAGAAAGGTTCCTAACAATTAAAGTTATTTAAACATGGAGTTAGCAAAGAAATCAGCATATTGCATGCACACACAAAGTGTGTTCCAAGCTAATGTATTAAACCAATATGGAAGTGTAGTCATGACCAATATATTTTCTAAATATTGATTCACTGGCAAACCAATATCTTTTGCCTATAGTTTTTCAATTCATATGGAACTCATTCATTATCCTAGCCCACATCTACAACACAAACAAATCAATGAGCTGTGTGCACCAACCAATATATTAAACTTGTACTTCAATAAAATTGTTGGGTGCAACTATTTTTTCACATATGTGGCCATCTAATTTTGTCAGGCTCTCACAAATAATAATTTTGACTTTTTAAAAAATGCCATTAAATTTGGGAGATTAAAATTACAATGTAGGCTTTCTCTCCATTTTTTGTGCCAAATATGTACACTGGATGTTAGGAGATTTTCTAGCTCCATGAATTCTTGATAAGTTAGTAGTAGATATGGAAAAACTAACTTTACCAATTTTTAACCCCAAAATATAGGTAAAAATAGTATCAGAAGAAAGCCGGGTATTAGAATGGGCCAGAATATCTATCATTTTCTGGTTCAGACGAGAGCAGCTTGTGAAAAGAAAGTAATTACTGCTTTATGCCACTAGGTTATTATTGAGAGATGACTAATTTCTTTGGTTCTTACACAATAATAGAAGCTCACACTTTCACTTAAAACTAATAGAGATTTTTCATAGAGATCACTAACTTCTTATTTGGTTAGAAATATGCATTGTTCATTAGTGGGGCTGTATTTGTATTTTTCTTTCAAGTTTTTACCACAGTTTTCAAGTTGACTTCATATCCAAGATGAAATTGAAACTAAAGTACAGCTCATTAGAACTCATGCAGGCTGATAGCTTCAATGGTGAAAGCCATCTGCATGATGACCCCATGTAACTTCTCTTCCTGGGAGAAAGGACTCCACCTTGATATTGGGCATGATACCTTCTGCTATCTCCATGCCTAATAAATACACCAGACTTTAGAGGCCACGTTTTGGTACATCTTTTTAAGAGATCCAACCCGCTATAAAAAGTGACATTAACCTTTAATTTAACTTCTTTCTGTCTCTTAGTCTAGACTGCTGGATTTCTCACTCAGTATAAAATCATGCAGCGTGTTATTGGAATGTCATCAGCATGAATAATGGATCCCATGCTTGTAGAGATGAACCTCAGGAAGAAAGGTTACCAATATGGCCTTTATAGTTCACACAGGCATTTTGAATGGAATATTCCAGACATCCAAAGCACTGAACGGGACTGGTTTGAAAAGTTATGACCACACTTTAAAAAATACCACAAATTTCGAACCCTCCAAGGATAGCAAACAGATTATAGGAATATATTAATAAGCATTAGTATGGTTCTTAAAAGTGAACATTGACTTTTCTATTTTTCTGTTAGTGAAATTAAAATGGATGGAGGTTCTTGGCAGTGTATGGTTCCCATAAAAATGGCACCTGCAGCCCTGGTTGTTCTTAAGATATTGGATCTTAGGATATTCGGCTCAAAGTATAATAGCGAATTTCAATTATAAGTGATGTTTCTCAGAAATGTGACATCTACCTGTCACATATACAGCTGCAATTTCCTTACAGTTATTTGTGTCTTCCTAGAATTCTGCTATCGTACTTGCATTTGTTGCATTTGTAAAAAATATACATTTGACTCTTGAATAGAAAGAATATAACTGTTTTACTTTAAATAAATTAGCGTAAGTATTAATCAGATTGTTTCACTATTTAACATGCGTGGTTTTATTTCACTCACTAGTAATGTCATATGCCACAGACTGATGGAAAAATCTAGCTATTCTGTGATGCTTATTTTTAAAATTGCATTACATTATTAGGACAATTTTTGAGAGTTCAAAGAAGAGTTTACATGGTTACTGGCAGCCCGACCTTCAATGGCAGAGGAAAGCCTCCTAACCCAACATGAATTATTTCTTCAGCAGAGGTATAAAAGACTAATGGAAAGTGGACCAAGTCAAAGGAAGGATAGTGTGCCATGCCAGATAGCACAATTTTGTGACTTTTTCAGGAACTTTCCTCCTCCACTATGCTCTCTTTCCTGGAAGGCTGACTTGCAGGGATTCCATGAACATTCTCATACCTTTAATCATTTGGCAGGGGTTCTTCCAAAGAGCAGAAGAACAGAAGAAATAGGCAGGTTAAGTCAGAATTTTGAGTCCCACCCCACCACCCCACTCCCCGCCCAGCTTTTGCCTTTCAAGGGTACCTCAAGCTAGTCCTGTTTGTCTCCCAAAGGGGACTATTCCACTCAAAAGAGTTGATACACAATTCTCTTTGTGATAGCCACTCCCTCTTCCTTACTCTTTTAAGCATAGGAGTAATAACACTTTTGTTACCACAAGCTCTGGATTAATGCACTATTCCTTCTGAGTTTGCTACACCTTTATAAATTAGCCCCATTTGTAAATAAACTTTGTTTTATCCTATTTTCCATAGTCCATCTGTTTCCTGTTGGGACCAAACTGATCTCATAGCATAATTTGAGATCAAATGGTGAGTGGCATTATTCTGCAATTTCTACATAAACTGAAAAATCTATGCAGATTTCTTAATTTAGTATCTGCAGGGTACAAATATCTAAAATATCCATTGAAATGCTTCACTGATTGTGCTTCTTTTTATTTTTGTCTTTTTTGATGAACTTTTTTGGTGTCTCATAGACAAAGTCTGTACTTACACAGAGATGAGAAAAATCCAGTCACAGGAAGTTTCTGGTGTCATTGTCTAATACTATTCTCATGCAGAGACATCCTTTCTAACTGAGAAAGGTTTTAGACGCATATGTAAACTAATTGAATTGAGAGGAAGTCTTTTATTCATAGTCCAACAAAATAAGCTCAGTGCCCTTTCATTTATATTTACCAAGTAATCACAGTAATCATCAGATATATTTTGATTTGCTGCATATAAAGTTAAAAAATAACTGCTGACTTCTTTCTAGTATATAATTTAAGAAAATTTTTATAATTTTTCTCATTAAAATACATTTACAGTAAAATTTTTGTATAATATAAACAAAAGACTTGTCAACCATCTCTTAATTTTGCTGTTTCCTCACTGGCAACTCTTTCTCATTATTATTTGCTAATTCCTTTTTTATTACTGACCTCTTAACATTGTAGTAAACCTTTCCTTATTCATTTAAACATATTCTCTTAGTTTCTGGTACCAATCTTATTACCTTAAATACCTTTTTAAATGTCAATGATTCCCAAATTTATCTCCACCATGAATCTCTTCCTGAACTCCTGATTCATATATCAAAGGGCCTACCAAACAGCTCCATGTGGATATCTCATAAATATCTCAAACTTAACATTTTCCAAACCAAATTGCTGGACTTACCTCCAAATGCTCCACCCAATGCTTTTCCATCTTTCTGGTTACTGAGGGTAAAGTTGGAATTTTTCTTAACTGCTCTCTTTTCTTTATATAAATCCATGTTCACATCTACTCCATCCATAAGTATTAATATATTTTCAAAACGTATGGAGGATCCAACTCTTTCTCACCATCTCCATTGTCACCACTCTAGTCCAAGCTAACATCACCTCTCTTCTTGATTATTGCATTGGTCTTCTAATTGGTGTCTTGCTGGTATATCTCCGTCTCCCCAAACTGTCTATTATCTATACTGTATTCAGAGTAATTAAGTTAAAACTGAGGTCAGATGATGTCCCTCTGTTCAAAATCATCCAATGACAGCCCTTATATTAGTTTTGTAGGGCCGCCTTAACAAATTACCACTAACTGGGTGGCCTAAAACAACAGATATTAATTCTCTCAGAGTTCTGGAAGCTAAAGTCCAAAATCGGGTTGACAGCAGGGGTGTGCTCCCTCTGAAGACTCCAATAAATAATCCTTCCCTGCCTCTCTCTCCTAGCCTCTGGTGGTTGCTGGCAATCTTTTTCTTTTCTTTTTTTTTTTTTGAGATGGAGTCTCACTCTATTGCCCAGGCTACAGTGCAGTGGCATGATCTCGGCTCACTGCAACCTCTGCCTCCCGAGTTCAAGACATTCTCCTGCCTCAGCCACCCGAGTGGGATTACAGGCACCTGCCACCGCGCCCGCCTAATTTTTGTACCTTTAGTAGAGATGGGGTTTCACCATCTTGGCCAGGCTGGTCGTCTTGAACTCCTGACCTCATGATCCACCCACCTCGGCCTCCCAAAGTGCTGGGATTACAAGCCTGAGCTGCCGTGCCCAGCCAGCTGGCAAACTTTGACATTCCTTGGATTGTAACTGCATCACTCCAGTCTCTGCCTGTGTCTTCATTCTGGCTTCTTTCCTGTATCTCCTCTGGGTCTTTATGTACAAAAGTCTTTCCACTTTCTCCTAAAAAGTCACCAGTTACTGTATTTAGTGCTTATCCTAATCTAGTATGACCTCATCTTAACTTGATTTAAATGCAAAGACTCTTTTTCCAAATCACAGGTTCCAGGTGGACATGAATGGGAGTGGGGAGCACCATCTACATCGTGTATTTCTGCATTTTATTTAGAGTAGAGGCGTGTAGTTGTGAGTAATGTTGTTCTCTTGAGGATATTGGTAATTTCCAGAGACATTTTTGATGGTTGTGACCGCAGCTGCTATGGGCATCTGCTAGATACCCACTCTGGGATGTTTTTAAACATCCTACAGTGCACAGGACAGCCTCACAAAATGAAGAATTATCAGGCCTAAAATATTAATAGTGTCAAAGAATAAAATTTCTCTAGTTTGAGAAACCTCACTCTTGGAGTAAGAGTCAGGATACTTACAGTGGCCTAAAGGCCCTTCAGCAACTGTCTCCTCTTCTCTATCCCAATGACATTCACCTTTTCCTTTCTCCAGCACTCCTTACTCCTCCCTTTTTTGGAATACTTATCTTTCTGATACCAGCATCATGAATTTTCTCACCTCCTTCAGGTCTTTATTCAAATGTCACCTTCTTGATGACATCTTCTATCCCAATAACCCCATTTAAATTGTCATGATCTCAAGCACTGCTAATTTCCCTTACCTGGCTCTATTAATTTCTAAAATATTCATCACCTTCTATTTTACTAAGCCATATACTTACTGATTAAGTTTATTGTCAATTTTCTATCATGTCACACCAAAACTGACTTACATAAGAACAGATATTTTTCGTGTTTACTCAGTGATATGTCTCAGTGCTTAAAATAATGCCTGAAACATGGTAGTGCTCAATAAATGTCTGAGTAATCAATAACATATTTGAATATATGAATTAATCAATAAGTGAAAATGCTTGTCATTCACCACACAAAGATAACCACTATATTTTCTAAAAGTGTACAAATAGAACAAAATTGTATGCCCATGAAGTAGACTATATAGAAGTACATGAAGTTGAAGTATTAAGACTTTTTTCCTTCAAATAAGTTGAAATGTTTCATTTATGATTATAAAGAAAAGATACATGATGTTATTTTGAAATTGACCATTAACACTGTAAAGTAGTTATCTCCTGGGGCCATGTGTGTAATTCAGGTGATGCACAATTCAAAGCCTTTCTTAACCTGCTCTTGGGGCTCTGATATTTCTAACCTTATGACACATTATTTTGAACGGCACTGATAGAGGCAAATCACGTTACTCATCAGAACCAAGCCTGCTGAGTAAAGAGAGGGAATGAATAAACCATGTGAAGTATTTAGTGGGACTATAAAGTAACAGATACCTTGGGTAATACCACTACCCATATCTAAATAAGAGTGCTTCTTTAAATAAATCTCTTTGGATCTCTACTCACTTATTCTACTTCATTCATAGTTTATATAATGGTATGAAGACAACAATGGAAAGCTACAGAATGTATCAAGAAGCATTGATACACAGGCTCCAAATGAGAAGTAAAACATTATAACATTTTATAAATAGTGGTAAATAAAAAATACGTAAACACAAATAAACTTACAAATATAGCTAAAGAAATGTGGCAAGTCACCCTTAGTATACCATATGACAAATAGTAGTAAATAAAATATTCAATGGGTTAATAAAGATATATTGATCAATGAGTGAAATTAGTCTGGAATTTATTTTCAAAACAAATACAGCAGCTTTCCTTCTTAGGAAATGGTAATTCTCCTCTGAAAAGCCTATATTATTCTCTGAGAGCCCAGACAATTTCTCAAACAGAAGTACTACCTGCACAGATTCTATATTTTCTTGAAAATGTTTCCCTTAGATTTATCCTTAACAGAGTGACTCTTAATTTGAAATACTATAATAATGCAATAGGTCTGGCAAGTTCCTAATGCTCAACTCATGACACAATGAACAAAAATATGGCATTTTTTGTAAATGTGGGTATTTAATATATCAAGGACAATATTGCCTCAATGGCTTTCAAAGGAGCAAATGATTATAGATTAAAAATTCAGAAGGAATGATTATTAACAATGTTAAATAGTAGCCAAAGTGTTGACCTATTTATGCCAATTTATTTTAGTTCTAAACAAAGTGAGTAAGTATTATAGGAAAGATCATGGGTGGTAAATGACATTTTTTATTACTTGGGACATTAGAAAAATTAACTTTCTGGAAAGTTAGAGTGCTCTTTATGAGAAGCATTTATACTGCCTCATGGCATAACTCAATTCATTTCTTTTTATTTCTACTAGGTAACTGAATGTTGCACTGTTTATGAAATCAAAATACTCTGATTGCTTTGGTCCTTTTTTAGGGTCATTCAGATACTAGCAGCCCATTGAGAAATTTAAGTGGAATTTGGAAGTGAGCAATAAAACATGAAAGACCTGACAGACTTGATTTATGAGTTCAGATTAATATAATTACAGAGTACATATTTTAGGGATAAAAATAATAATCCTAAAGGGAAACTATCATTAATAAAACAAGTATAACTACTGCAATTGGGCAAGATAGCAAATTACATCATAAAGACAGACAAACAATGGATAGATTTGTTAAGAGAGCTTAACACTGCACTGCAAAGAAACATGACAAAGAACATATAGACTAAGTATCAAAAATTATAATCTAAGAGAACCTGTACCAGCTGTGAGACATTCTCCCGAGGGAAGCAATGAGGACCAAAAAGATCTCATGTACTTACAATGGAATGAAACTAAGAAATCAGAAATTATTTTGTGTGTGAATGATTAAGACTGCTTTATACATTTCATTTCATTTCATTTCATTTATTTATTTATTTTCTAACCATACTTACATACATACTTGAAAGTGTTCTGGGCTGAAGCGAAGTTATTTTACCCTGAAGAGAGGATATTTAAATTCCATTGAGCAAAGGTAGATAATAAATACAACACCTGAGCAAGCTGCTGCTTCTTTTAAACAACAAAAAAGAGAGTATTAAAATCAACGTTCTCTTTTTCGTTCTTTTTTTTTTCGGCTGGCATTTTGCCAAAGCCTGAACAAGAAAACCCAGAAATGATCTTTTTAGTAGGTGAGCAGAAAGTGGCACTGGTATGATTAAAGAAAGGACTTGCTCCACCTGCATACATGATCTAACAAGAATTTATAGCTTTTCTAAAAGTGATTCCAAAGATGTGAAATCCTATCGTACCAGATTTCTCTTAACCTTTTCAGAGAAATCTTTCCATCATTCAAAAATTTCAAGCCCTCTTGATCAGCCTTAATTAGGTTGTCTCAAACGATGTGAAAGTTTTTTTTGAAAATGGCGTATAATAACTTAAGAGGGATAGAGTCTTTTAGCTTAGTTCATCCTCTTTCTTCCTCTCTTTGATACTAAGAACATGACACATGATAATTTTGGTGTGAATTTTTGCTTGTCAGGTTTTATTGGGCTGTGGACAATGGCAGAAACCTGGTAACCTGGAACACTGCTCTTCTGAGCAATCCACTGCAATTTGGGAAGAAAAGGGAGACTAAAATAATCTCCACTTGAAATTTTTCATGTAAAATTTCAAATAAAATAGCTTTTGCTAGCTGTATTTTCTTTGCTTTTAAATGAAGAGATGTTCAGCTTCCTCAATGTTTATCAAATTGGAAGAGTTATTTGAAATGAGAAATTAAGTTCTTATCCCAGCAAAATGGTCAAGAGCAGCGATCTCGTGGTGATTTGTGAGTCTTTCAAGACAGGCATCTAGTTCTCAGGCTGAGCTAGTTTCACCACAGATGAAGCAGTGGGTTACCAGAGCTGTCCTGCCCCTTGAGTTTTATGGGAATGGCTTATGCCACCAAAAAGTAGCATTATTTTATGCTTCCTCAAATCTGAACACAAGTTAGTTAGACTGGAGGTATATTGTTGATTCCTTTTCTCCATCTGGTTTTATAGTTAATGCACTTAATGTTCTTAAAATAAATAGTCTCAAATATAAACTTTAAATAGATTAAATTTTTACATTCCTTAGCAATTGAAATACACATGATTTCTTGGAGTTTCTTTTCTCATCTCTTCAAACATTTGGGCAAATTCGATGTGTTCATCTTTACACATGAGAAATAAGGTATTGGCACACATTTCTAATAGGGTCAAAAAGGTAACATCTGGTAAACCAAGACAGATATTATTTTAAAACACTTATTCCTGGATTGGAAATAAATTGTGAAAAAGAAAGTTCAGTTACCTTTGATGAAATTTAACAAATATGTGAACACTAACCTAAAACTGCCAAGTATTAGCACTGAACTTGGCTAAAGATTTATTTCCTATTTTAAGTTTAAATGAGTTTGAGATTTCAGTATCTGTGGGATTCTCTGAGCTTCAAAGTTGTCAAATAAACAACAACAACAACAACAAAACCTCCCATTCTCAGTTTTATCTGTCTCCTGGACTATATTTTAAATCAGTAAAAATGTCAATGATTTAGATTAATTCTTAAAATTTGATAGTGGTCCAGACAGCTGAATTTGCACAATGAAAACTAATAATTGAAATGAGGAAATGTTGGTTTAAGATGGTTTTTATTTTATGAGACCAGGTTCACAAAATCCTGGGCCAAAATATTGTAATCCCCATTGATAAAGTAGGTTACTTAAGCTTTGTTTGAGTTCATTAATGCAAATAATAACTTGAGAAGGGGAAGTATATCTATGTAAATTAACTTATAGTCTCTGATTAGCAAAATTAAAATGTAAAAGTACTATTAGTTATAATGACTCTCTACATTATTATTTCTATCTTATTTTATAAAGATTCTCTTGAAGTATATTGGTTTGACATGGTATTTCAGAAATATGCTCAAGATATATTTCTTAGTATTAACTTCAACCATCTCTATCAGGAGAAACCATTTCTTCAAAGTCTAGGTCACATACACATATACATTATATATATTGTACATAACTAATATATACTGTATATAAAATATATGATATATACTAGAAATGGTATTGTATATATCATATACAATATATAAGTGTATTATGTATAATTTTAGATATATATTATATATAACATATATGAGATTATAAATATCAATTAATCAAATACACATGTGCCCCTGATGTCAGGTATTTTACACTGGATTTTTTATTATCCCTTAATTTAAACCATGGCAAAAAAAAATTTGCTGTAAATTTGACATGAATAATATTATACCTTCAGGAAATAAAATTATATTCAGCATAGCTATAACTTGTGGATGTTATATATTTATAGAAGTCTGTTGCATGATGTTTTTCCACTAAGATTTAATTCAGCAGTTTATTGTTACACTTTAGACTCTGTGTATATCTTTTAAATGAGAGTATTTATACTTAAAAGAATCTACTACCTATGATCGGCACTGAATGGCCATCTCATAACCGACTTGCTACAGCATATATTCTCTGTCTGTCTTATCCTACAACAGTCATGTATAAATGCCTTTCTTTTGGTTCCTTTTTATCTTTTGGTTCCTAATATCCTTTTGACAATAAAGGACATAGTGTTCATGACATTTAAAGTAAGTCACCTATTCACTTCTTGAGTGACAGCTGTAGCCTTGCCAGAGGAAAAGGTAGGAGGGAGGTCCCTCCTTTCCTGAAATGTGTGACAGCGGATGTCAGGAGCACCTCCTCCCCAATACTTAAGCACTAGAATTTGCTTTATGCCCAGTTTTAAAACTGCCATGGCTTCACTTTCTCTGGTGGCTTAAAGGAAATTAAAAAAAAAAAATAGGTGAATATTCATGGCTTGGCTTTAATTTTATCTCAGATTAGAAAGGTGCTTTCAGTCATTAATTCAATCAGTCAATTACTCAATGCATGCTAACTATATCCGCATGCTTATTAGATGCTGGGAACTATCAGTAACCTGACCCAAGGATCTCACAGTCAAGTGCAATGACAGCCTCCACCTCCAGTCTATCTGCATTCTCACCATGCTTTTAAAATAATTTGCAGCCACCACCTATGCTAAGCTTTCAACATTCCTGATGTTTCTCCTTTTTATTCCTTTGTATGTCTGGCAAACGTCTAATAGTTCCTCAAGACTCAAATGACTTATGTCCTCCTCTACAATCTCTATCCCCTGAAGGTCTCAGAACATGTTAGGACTTCTTTGCTCTCTGTTCCATAGCCCCTGCATGCACCCCTGGTAGAGAACACTTACCACATCATTTTGTAGCACTCTGTTTATCTGTCTGCCTCCCCATCTAGACAGTGAGCAACTTGAGAGCAGGATTTTTTCTCTGATCATTGATGTATCACCAAAGCCTGTCTCAGAGTTTGGCAGAAGATATATTGGAAGAAAGAAAAGAAATGAAGTGAAATGAAATGAAATAGACACCCTTGGCAAATGAGCCCCTGGAGTATCCTTGTGAGCCTCCTATTATGGAATTTCAGTTTCTCCAGAGTGCACATGTTGGTAAGTGAGTGGGTGGGGGTTGCTGTCTAAATATTAAAATAAAACACATTCAAATAATTTATTTTACTCCCTTTTTAAAACGCCAAAACACAATGCTTTATTAAAGGTATAAACAAAACAAAGCAAAACAAAAATATATCACCAACAATCATGATTAACATCTGGTATTTGAAATTTCTGCAGAGGCAATTTCCCAATGGAGTCTCGGAGCTAAGCCTACTACAGCCTCTTGAGATTGTCATTTGGCAGTCTAGGTTTAATAGAACAAAGGGGATGATCTATTGCCTGGAGGCCAAATGGTGCTCTTTCAACCTGGTATCTGTCAAGATAGGAAGAAGATAATGCCACTTTACATCATTTACAATGAGACTGGAGCAGCAGAAAGCAAGCAGGTTGCAAGTGTACAGCTCACATAGCTTCCTTGAGGCTTTCCGATTCTCAGAAACAATGCATATTTATTTTAAGATTAGCTGCCTGAATGGCAAAAGAATCACACAAAACACGCACGCGCGCACACACACACACACACACACACACACACATATGGAGCCAAGCAAAGACAGAAAGAGGTTGAAAGTCCTTTGCAATAAAACTGAAGGTAAACTTAAACTTCTTATCTTAACAAAATAACAATATCTTAATTTATTTCAATTTGCAAACATGCAAAAAATTATGGATGAAAAAGGAAATACTATTTTAAGAGGAATCTTTTTAGTGCAGCACAAATCCATTTTATAATATAAGTATAAATTATTTGTAATCTAATCTAACATGTATACACATTTATTCATATCGAATTCATAATCGAATCTAATTTAACATGAATGCACACTTACATACTAATAAAATTAGAATATAATACTTAATTTAAATTATCAGATCAATAATATTTTTTGTTTTATCTTAGTTGCTGAATAAATTTTTTACTGCATCCATGAGCCTTGATTTACTTAGTACATCCTAAGTAAATTATCCCTCATATCCTAAGTAAATTAGGGAAATTGTTGCATCTAATTTGAGTCTGTATTATAGAATCCTGCAATGACCATCCTCATAATACATATTTTGTCTCTTTAGGATAAAGTCCAGGGTTAGAGTTCTTTAATCACAAGATGAGATTATTGTGAGGGCTCTTGTTTTGCACTCGTGTGCTCATTAAAGGCATTGAAATTCCCATGTCAGGAGCACAGGTTAAGTACATCAGCTTTACCAACTCATAGCAATGCCTTTTCATTTTACAACAATGCATTTATTTAATAAATCTAAACAGTTGTTTGATTGCTTATATTTTGTGAGTTTTTAAGTTAGGTATAAATTTTCCCTTCATACACTGTGCTCATGTATTTATTAGTGGATAAATGTTATAGATTGAGTCAAGTCTTTATATAGAATAGATATAAACTGCTTGTAATTTTTAAAGTTTTAGGTATAAATAACTTTTGAATTTGTATATATTTGAAGCTCTCCAAATTTTCTTTGGGAATATTTTCATCATTATAAAGCAGGGAAAATTAAATTTCTCCCCAAATCTGATACATGTTATTTTGCTTTAGGTAGTCTTGTTTCCTCCTATATTTTGTGTTTAATAAAAAGCTTTGAATCCAACTGAAATTTTCTTAGGATAGTAAAATGAATAGATTAAATTTCATTATTTATAAATTTTTAAATTTAAATTGTTAGCCTATTATCTCAGTATTGCCTATGACATAATATTTTCTTGCTTCCTTGTTTTGAAAGTTTATTTTTTCATATACATTGAGCTTTTATAAATTAGTGGAACTATTTATGGCTTTCTGTTGATGTCTGCTTTCATTTTGTGCCAGTATTATATTATTTTAAATATTATTGAAGTTTTATAGGGCTAGTAGTATCAGATTGTGTTTTACCACCATTGTCCATTAATACCCTTTATGAAAATATTCTTGCCTATTTATTTCATGAGACCACTTAAAAAGTACACAATAATTTAAACTGCCATCAAATGGAATAATCCTTAGGAGATGTTCTATTCTGTCCAAGATGGAATCAAGCACCAAACTGCAGTAAACAAATCACAGACTACTTTAAAGTTAGACTTAGATTTAGCTTTTAAAAAAAGATCTGTTTTTTTTTTATCAGTTTTTTTTAAAATATTGAAATATAACATTTTCAGGATTTCTTCTTCTGGATTTTTTCATAGGTTCATAAATTCAGGAGTTTCTTTTTGGAAATGAAATTCAGGAAAAGTTACTTAAGAAAGCCTGTTGTATTGCTTTGTAGTCGTATTTAGATTTTAGTCTGTTTCTCTCTAATTGTTATTTATCTTGATAATTTCATGTAATTTGGCAGACTTAACTGCAAAGGGCTATTTGTTTTTCATATTCATTAACTGTATCAAAATATTATACTGAAGTATATTTGGCTGAACTAGATGTTTCTGGTATATTAAATACAACAGTAAAAATTATTTCTAATCACACATTATACAATCAATAACATACTAAAGACATGAACAGCATAAATAACACAAGCTGAATAACATAAAATACAAAGCTAACAACTTTTATCTATTTTTTTCAGTAATCTGCATTACACTGATAAAGACAAAATTATGTACATGTTTAGTCCTTTAATAGTTAATGTGGAAATGTTCAGACATACAGAACATACTAAAATCTGAAAGTTAAAAAGAGAATCTTTTGTGAGACTTACATTTAAATAAATTTTCTGTAACCTATGAATAGAAATTGAAACACAACATACTTTGACAATAGATGCTTTGGTATTTTCTGTGTTTTCTTCTATGCATGTGTAAAGTACATTGTGCAAGCAACAACCCTTAGTTATTTGTCAAGATGGGTCAGGAAAACAAGCCAAGATAGAGAACTACTTCTTTTATAAGAACAGTTAAAATCATGACAGCGGCAAGAGGCAGACAAATTCCTAGGCAGAAAGGGGCGGGTACCCAGTGAACCCAAGCAACCTTCAAGCCAAAAGACAGCATGAAGCCAGAAAACCAGGCTGCCTGTTCTGGGTAAAGTTCATGACCTGCAGTGAGAACTTCCTTGATGCCTTTTAGCCAAATAAAATGGTGCTTTTCCCAGACCTGCTCTATTAATCTGTTTTCATGCTGCTGATAAGGACATACCCAAGACTGGGTAATTTATAAAGAAAAAAGAAGTTTAATCATTCACAGTTCCATGTGGCTGGGGTGGCCTCACAATCATGGCATAAGGTGAAAGACACATCTTACATAGTGGTAAGAAAGAGAGAATGAGAATCAAGTGAAAGGAGCAACCCCTTATAAAACCATCAGAGCTCGTGAGACTTATTCACTACCACAAGAACAGTATGGGGAAAACTGCCCCCATGATTCAATTATCTCCCAGTGGGTTCCTCCCACAACTCGTGGAAATTATGAGAGCTACAATTCAAGGTGATATTTGGGTGGGGGACACAGCCAAACCATTTCACTTGCCCATGGACCAATTAGAATGTACTCCCAAATTCTGAGCCCATAAAAACCTTGGACTCAGCCACACAATGGGACTACCTGCCTTCACGTAGGGGCTACCCACTTCATGTCCCCTCTCTGCTGAGAGCTGTTCTGTCACTCAATAAAATTATTCTTTGCCTTGCTCACTTTCTAGTTGTCCATGTGACCGCATTCTTCTTGTACATGGGACGAGAACCTGGGACCAATCAAACAGCAGGTGCAGAAGGAGCTGTAACTTTGTAGCCCTCCTGCACTGGTGCTGGGCAGCTGCCCCACTGAAAAAAAGCAGCAGAGGGGCCAGGGCAGCCCAGAAGCCACGGCCTGGAGCAGGGCAGTGGGACCAAACAAACTGGGACATGCTCCTGTTCACCAGTGTGCAGCTGGCAAGAACAAATTAGGTATAACATGAATGAGCCATAACACTTCTTGGAGACCCAGACCCCAGGACTCCCCAAGCCAGAGCTGTGACACACTGCAACACACCCTTTGGAGCTCTGCGGGTGTTGGCGTATTTGATTTTTTCGTGTGTTACCATATTTCCCTTGTCCAGATCCTGGGGCACAAGGCAGAAGCCACCTGTGGTACACCTGGTCCAGCTGCAGCTTCACATGGAGCGAGTGCCTGTGCTGGCGCCTTCAACTGCCCACCCTGCTGCAGCATCTGACACACCTAGCTCGCCCTCAGTGGGCATGAGATCCTAGCTGTGAGCCAAATGCAGCCTGCCAGACTGAGTGAGCTGAGCAAGCTCAGTGGCGAGCCTGGAGCTGAGTGAAGCCTAGGCATGAGTGCCACTAGCCATGGAAACTTCTGACTGGCAAAGTGACACCCAAAAGGATCTTATGTCAATTAGAATTACTGTGCATTAATTATAGACTCATAGAAATGTATAACTAAAATAGACCTATAGGCAACATCTAAATTAAGCCCCACAAATGAAGAGGCAGCTATGTCACAACTAAATTGTTGGAGGCTTTAATGCTAACTAGTTGCAGAACCAAAGTCACACTAGTCTTTCAACTTCTTCAACTTAACACTCTGAAACTGACAATGCTTACTTTTTGTATCTTTACTCATACTTGAATAAATAGCAAATTCCTAGCAAATTATATAAATGAATAATCAGGCCTAAAATTATATTTATGATAAGGTTTATGATAATGTTGCTTAATTGTGTACTTGATAAAATTAGATTTAATCATTAGTTTATGATTCTAATACAATTATAAAAGCCAAACAAATTCATAAATTAAATACAAATAATACAAACACTTGAAATAAGAATTTAAGTTTAATATATTGATAATTTTGTTTCTGAAACTACATCAGCTCTCATTAATTGAATTAACTTGATTTACTTATCTTCAATGCCATGTACCAGATTAATTCAGTTCTACTATCATTTCCATGTATACAAACTGCTTTAAAAACTTTATTCTTAGAGCATACATTAGCACACATGGGTTTCAGTTGGTGCAATGGTGTTGTTTATGCATTTAGTCTCCCTAAATTCATTTCCATTTCCCTGTGATAATTAAGTTGTATATTACTCCACAAAATTTTGAAGAGTTCCAAATTTGGGGGCCTGAAAATGATATGATTTAGGGAGTGCTATAAAAAACTAGAAATTGGGGGCTGGGGGTCCTGGCTCATGCCTGTAATCCCAGCACTTTGGGAGGCTGAAGTGAGTAGATCACCTGAGGTCAGGAGTTTGAGTCCAGCCTGACCAACATGGTGAAATCCCACCTCTACTAAAAATACAAAAATTAACTAGGTGTGGTGGCATGCGCCTGTAATCCCAGCTACTTGGGAGGCTGCAGCAGGAGAATCGCTGAACCCGGGAGGTGAGGGTTGCAATCAGCTGAGATCATGCCATTGCACTCCAGCCTGGGCAACACAGCAAGACTCCATCTCAAAAAAAGTAAATAAAATAAAAATAATTTAGAAATTTTCATGAGCTAAATACCCCACTTAAAAGACACAGAGTGGCAAGCAGAATTAAAAATATAAGACCCAATTATCCAGGCATGGTGGCAGGCACCTGTAATTCCAGCTACTTGGGAGTTTGAAGCAGGAGAATCACTTGAACCCAGTAGGCAGAGGTTGCAGTGAGTGGAGATCATGCCACTGCACTCCAGCCAGGGTGACAGTGCCAGACTCCATCTTAAAAAAATAAAAAAAAACAAGACCCAACCATTTGTTGTCTTCAAAAGACTCATCTTGCATGTCATGGCACCTACGGGCCCAAAGTAAAAGGATAGAGAAGCATATACCATGCAATTAGAAAGTGAAAAAGTGCAGGAGTTGCTATTCTTATATGAGATACAATAGAGTTTAGACCAATAAAAATGAAGAAGGACAATGAAATACATTAAATAATGATAAAGAGTATAATAAAACAACATTTAACTACCTGAAATATACTATATATATATCCAACATTGGAGCACCCAGATTCATAAAACAAGTTCTTAGCCTACAAAAAGACTTAGACAACCACACAATAACAATGGGAGACTTCAACATCTTACTAACAGTGTTAGACACATCATTGAGGCAAAAAGCTAACAAAGAAACTCTGGACTTAAACTCAACACATGACCAATCACACCCAATAAACATCTACAGAACATTCACCAAGCATATACCTTCTTCTCATCTGCACATGGAACCTATTCTAAGATCAACCACATGCTCAGTAATAAAGCAAGTCTCAATAAATTCAAAATAATTAAAATCATATCAAGCACATTTTTGGAACACAGTACAATAAAAATATAAACCAATATCTAGAAAATCTAAAAAATATAAAACAAATACATGGAAGCTAAACAACTTAGCTCCTGAAGAGCTCCCGACTGAACATTGAAATTAAGGCAGAAATCAAAAAATTCTTTGAAATTATTGAAAATACAGACCCAAGTTACCAAAATCTCTGTCGTACAGCTAAAGCAGTATGAAGAGGCAAGTTCATAGCCTTAAATACCTTCATCAAGAAGTTAGAATTATCTCAAATTGACAACCTAACTTTGCAAAAGATCAATATCACCAGGATTTGTTTTTTCAAAAAACAACCTAATTGATAGACTGCTAGCTAGATTAACAAAGAAAGAAAAAAATCCAAACAAATAAAATCAGAAATGACAAAGATGAAATTACAACTGAACCCACAGAGATGCAATCATCAGGAAATACTATTAACTCTATGAACACAAATTTGAAAATATGAAGAAAATGGATAAATTCCTGGAAACACAGCTCCAAAGATTGAATCAGGAAGAGAATAAAACTGAATAGACCAATATGGGGTTCTGAAATTAAATCAATAATAATAATTTTTTAAAAAACCCAACCAACCAAAAAAAAAAGCCCTGGGCCACATGGATTCACAGCCCAATTTTACCTGATGTAGAAAGATGAACTGGTACAAATCTTACTGAAACTATTCCCAAAAATCAAGGAGAAAGTAATTCTCCCTAATGCATTCTATGAAGCCAGTACTTTCCTAATACCAAGATCTGGCAGAGACACAATTAAGAAAGAACACTTCATGTCAATATCCCTGATAAACGGCCACAGAAATACTCAACAAAATACTAGCAAACTGAATTCTGCAGCATGTCAAAAAGTAGGCTTTATTTCTGGGATGCAAGGTTGGTCTCACATATGTAAATCAGTAGATGTGATTCACCATGTAAACAGAATTAAAAGCAACAACCACATTATCGTCCCAATAGATACAGAAAAAGCTTTCAATAAAATCCACATCCCTTTATGATGAAAAACTCTCAACAGACAAGGTATTGAGGGAACCTACTTGAAAATAATACAGTTCATCTATGACAAACCCACAGGTAAAACATAAGACTGAATAAGCAAAAGCTGGAATCATACCTCTTGAGATCTGGATCAAGAAAAGGATGCCCATTCTCACCACTCCATTCAACATAGTACTAGAAGTCCTAGCCAGAGCAATTAAGCAAGAAAAAGAAATAAACGGCCTTCAAACAGTAATATAAGAAGTCATAATATGTCTTTTCTCTGACATTATAATTCTATAATTAGAAAACCTTCAAGATTCTGCCAAAAGGCTACTAAACTGATAAATAATTTTAACAAGGTTTCAGGATATAAATGTATAAAATTAGTAGAATTTCTGTATACCAATAACATCCATGCTGAGAGCCAAATCAAGAACACAATCCCATTTATAATAGCCACAAAGAAAATGAAATACCTAGGAATGAAGCTAACCAAGGAGGTGAATGATCTGTACAAGGAGAGCTACAAAACACTGCTGAAATAAATCAGAGATGACACAAATAAATGTAAAATCATTCTATGCTCATGGACTAGAAGAATCGATATTGTTAAAATGGCCATATTGCCCAAAGCAATTTACAGATTCAGTGCTATCCATACCAAACTACCAATGTCATTCTTCACAGAATAAAAAAAAAATTCTAAAATGTATATGGAACCAAAAAGAGCTTAAGTAGCCAAAGCAACCCTAAGCAAAAACAACAAAGCCAGAGGCATCACACTACCTGACTTCAAACTATACTATAAGGGTACAGTAATCAAAAAACCATGGTACTGGAACAAAAACAGACATGTAGACAAATGGAACAGCATAGAGAATCCAGAAATAAAGCCACACATTTACAACCGTGGGGAAAGGACTCCCTATTCGATAAATGGTACTGGGATAACTGGCTAGCCACATGCAGAAGAATAAAACTAGATCCTTAGCTTTCACTGTGCACAAAAATTAACTCAAGATGGATTAAAGATTTTAATGTAAGACCTCAAAAACTATAAAAATATTAGAAGAAAACCTAAAAAATATCCTTCTCAAAATCGGCCTTGGCAAATAACTTTTGTCTAAGTCTCCAAAAGCATTTGAAATAAAAACAAAAATTGGTAAGTGAGACGTAATTAAACTAAAGAGCTTCTGAACAGCAAAAGTAACTATCAACAGAGTAAACAGACATCTTACAGAATGGGAGAAGATATTTGCAAACTATGCATTTGACAAAGGCCTAATATCCAGGATCTATAAGGAACTTAAATCAACAAGCAAAAAACAATTAACCCCATTAAAAAAAATGGGCAAGGAAATTGAATATGCATTTCCCAAAAGAAGTCACACACATGGCCAAAAACATATGAAAAAATGCTCATCATCACTAATAATTAGAGAAGTAAAAATGAAAACCACAATGAGGCCAGGCACAGTGGCTCATGCCTGTAATGCCAGCACTTTGAGAGGCCAAAGCAAACAGATTACTTGAGCTTAGGCGTTTGAGACCAGCCTGGAAAACATGGTGAAATTCTGTCTCTACAAAAAACACAAAATTAGTTGGGCATGGTGGCACATACCTTTAGTCCCAGCTACTTGGGAGGCTGAGGTGGAAGAATCACCTGAGCCCAAGAGGTGAAGTTTGTGGTGAGCTGAGATCACACCACTGCACTCCAGCCTGGGCAGCAGAGTGAGACCCTATCTCAAAAAAATAGTAATAAATAAATAAATAAATAAACCAAAAACAAAACAAACAAAAAAACACAAAAACACAATGAGATACCATCTCACACCAATCAGAATGACTATTATTAAAAAAATAAAAAAACAGCAGATGCTGGCAAGGCTATGGAGAAAAGGGAACATTTATAGAACATTTATACACTGTTGGAGGGAATGTAAACAAGTTTAGCCACTGTGGAAAGCAGTTTGGAGATTACTTAAAGAACTTAAAACAGACTTACTTTTTGATCCAGCAATTCCATTACTGTGTATATACTCAAAGGAAAAGAGACCTTTATACCAAAAGACACATGTACCTATATATTTTATCATGCTATTCATAGTAGCAAAGACATGGAATCAACCAAGGTGTCCATGAGTGGTGGATTGGTTGAAGAATATGTGGTACATATATGCCACATAACACTATGCAGCCATAAGAAAGAATGAAATTTTGTCCTTTGAAGCAACATGGATGAGCTGGAGCCCATAATCCTAAGTGAATTAATGCAGGAGCAGAAAGCCAAATACCCCATGTTCTCACTTATAAGTGGGAGCTAAACATTGAGCTCACATGGACATAACCATGGGAACAATAGACGCTAGCAACGACTAGAGAGGGCAGGGAAGAAGGGGAACATGGGTTATGCTCACTACCTGGGTGCAATATACTCATATAGCAAAGCTGCACATGTATCTAACATAACATTGAAATTTTAAAAATAGGACATTTTAATACAAAATTAGATTTAAAAGTAATTACTATTAGCGAAAATAAGTCACAACCATTTAGAAATCTGAAAAATGCTGACAAATATCATAAATACAGAAATTCCTGTTAAGATGAGTACTTAGTGTGGGCCCTAATTTAATATGACTAATGTCCTTACAAAAAGAGGAGATTAAAAAACAGAGTGAGAGATATCAGACAAGCTCCCACAGAGAACAAGGAGCACGTGAGGACACAGTGAGGAGGTATCCATTTGCAGGCCAAGGAGAAAGCCCTCAGAAGAAGCCAACCCCGCTGACACCTTGATTTTGGACTTCTAGGCCCCCAAACTATGACAAAAAAATTGTTATTTAAGCTACCCAGTCTGTAGTCTTTCTTATGGCAATTCTAGCACATTCATAAACCACATCTATACCCCAACAAGCCCCACTGCCACTCCATTTGCTACCTGATGTGAAATGAGGTATTACAGGAAAGAAGTGGCAGTAGAAAAAAAATCATGTTAAGAAATGTTTTAAAATACCTTATAGTTGTAAATGTTCAGAAGTATATTGACAGTATGTACCCAATTTCTTCCAAGAGTCATGGAAGTAATCCATGCAAGTTAAGGGACCTGGAAGTTCAATACCAGCTCTTTCGTGAATATGCTCCCAACTCTATCATATAAAGATGTTTCATGTTGCCAAATAAAAATGTCAATGTATTACATTACTTAAAGTCATCAAATTAAAAGATATTGCAACTTCAAATTACCACTGAAAAATATGTACTATGTCTTTATAACTGGCAAATAATTTTGAACATTTGCACTGGAGGAGATGGACATATTTTGTCATTTTATCATTAGGATATGCAAACAAAATGGCAGGCAGATACAAGCTAACAAAACATACTATCACTCTAGGTTGATGCCAGTATAATAAAAATCACAAATGAAAATCATAAAATGGCACTAAAACTGAGTGGGAGTATTAGGTTATAATATGGTTCACCGAGAGGATCCGAAATACGATTATAACATTTTAAAATAATCATCAAAGTAGAAAAGGTAAATTAAAAACAAATACTTATAAAAGGAAATTTGTGGTCCTTGGATCTATTATCTTCCATTTGACAAACATTGCCGTGGATTTTGGTGCTCTACTTTTCTTTTCTAGGCATAACTAATTTGTAATATTCCTTCCTGCTGATAGCTTTTAAAAACTGAAATTTTGTTTTTGTGGCATTTAGGACAAGTCCAAACACCTGGATAATTAAATCCAGAAAGATCATCAAAGCATGTTTACTCAGCTGTACTTTAAGTTACTAAATTTGTCAGCTTTTCTGGAAAGATATATCAGGGATGAGTACTACTACAATTATAATCTGTAAATATTTGTAAATGTGTTGTTTGTAGAACACAGTGTTGTTTCTATAATACTGAGAAGAATTAAGTTGGATTAAAGCTAACAGTGCTTAACAGGATGAGTAGATCCCATAGAGATTATGTTTCTATATGAGACAAAATTAATGATGTTCAAGAATAAAAAAATACGCTCATCATTACCCCCAAGCCCATGATGAGCATATGGCAGTACAGTGGATGTTACCAACATCTATATTTCTGGAGAATAGACAAAAATAATGGACTTATAACATTGTAAGTCATATATACATGTATTTGTTACACAAAATAAAAATAATCCAGATTATAGTAATTTTAACTGTGAATATTATTGTCCTTTTGTAGTTTTTACATTGGTATAGATCTACTTATATATTCAATTAATATTCATTATTACACTGCTATAATGAACTACCTGAGATTTTCACACTGCTATAAAGAACTACCTGAGACTAGGTAATTTATAAAGAAAAGAGGTTTAATTGACTCACAGATCCACATGGCTGGGGAGGCCTCAGGAAACTTACAGTCATAGCAGAAGATGAAGAGGAAGCAAGGCATATCTTACGTGGCAGCAGGAGGAAAAAGAACGAAGAAAGCTGTGCACTTTTAAACCATCAGATCACTTGCTATCACAAGAACAGCATGAGGGAAACCCTCCCCGTAATCCAATCACCTCCCACCTGGTCCCTCTCTCGACACATGAGGATTACAATTCCAGATGAGATTTGGGAGGGGACATAGAGCCAAATCATATCATTCCACTCCTGGCCCCTCCCAAATCTCATGTCCTTTCACATTTCAAAACCAATCATGCCTTCCCAATAGTCCCCCAATGTCTTAGCTCCTTCCAGCATTAAATCAAAAGTCCAAGTCCAAAGTCTCATCTGAGACAAGACATATCAGGGTATATGTTTAAAAAATGCAAACATAGAGATGATATGAAAGTAAAAATACATGCACCACATTTTCCCTCTATTGTCAATACTCAGTGGATGGCCAAGGACCAATGAGCTTAACAGCTTTGGTAATACTCCTTGCTTAAGAAATGTTCTTAAGCTGGTCACTGTGGTGCCTGCCTATAGTCTCAGCTACACAGGAGGCTGAAGCAAGGGGATTACTTGAGCCCATAAATTTAGCTTATAGTGTGCAATGATTGTTCTTATGAACAGCCATTGCTAGCAACACTCCATTTCTTAAAAAACAAAAAAACAGAAATAAAGAATGAAATGTTCTTTAAAATCTCAATCAAAGAAATGCAACCACTTTCAGAAAAAACTAATCAGCCACATACTTTCATTAAAGATATTTTTCACAGTTAATATGTATTTGATGAAATGCAAAGTATCTCATGTAATATCCTCAAATGCCACATATACATATTTTTCTTTCTCAGCTCTCTCTCTTCCACTCTTCTGCCATCTCTTTCCCTCAGCTCCTTTTACTTAAGAACTTTACAAAAAGAAAAAATGGAATGGAACATTTAATAAGGCAAAATATAATCCAAATCAGAAAATACTGCTCCAAGTGGAATGGTGCCCAAGAATAGTGCATACTTGGTTACTTTTAAACTTGTCTGAGTATTTTAGAATTATTGACCTTGTTGCCTTCAGTGGTCATAGTCCCACTGCTGGATTCTTGAACAAATAGATCCATCCTTGATGACAACATCTGCATAGCTTCCTGAAGCACATTGTTGAGAATGATTGGGCAGGATTGTGTCACACTGAAGGAAGAAGCTCTATGATCTACTAATGATGTTTTCCATGGGTACTGGACAGATTAGTTATGTGTTTACTTGTCTATCAACAGGAGATAATAATATTTGTTTTGCCTACTTCACATTGATATTCTAAGAAGTAAATGAACTAAAATGTGATCATAAGAGCAATCTACCTTTAAATAAACAGAGAGTACTATTTGTAAATCTCTTTTACTTCTAAAATCCTTAGCCGAGGACACTAAATTTACTGCATCTGTCCTGAGAATAAGAACAGTTACGACAGGCCACAGTGTTAATGATTAGAAACTGGCATTTGCCTTTGTATTTGTCAGATTTTGTGATTGCTCATGGAGGGAGAAACCTAACTGTAATGGCAGCACATGAGAGTGAAGCTATCCAGCTTTCCCACAGTGTTGTTCTCTCAAGGAGCCTCGATCTCATTTAGATACATATTCATGGACATTCATTCCCTCTGTACGTGTGCTCGAACCCATAGAGAGAGAGGATTCCTATGCTTTAAATTGTAAAGCAAATGATTCTCTCCATGTAACCCTGAATTTAGTATACGCAATTCCTCACAATGGCAATTTTCTTGCCTGCTAAGGAGCAAATGCCAGTGATGTTCAATCACGTTTGAACAAAAATTTTATTTTTGCAGAAGTAGAGCAAAACGTAACATTTTCCTCTATAAATGAAGCTATTGTTTTCATAGCACTAGAGTTTGAAAAACCAAAAGAAAGTCATGTTGTATGTGTAATCAAGGATTCCATTGTGGCCACATAGCCTCACATGATCTCCTTCTTAATCCTCTCTTTTAGCAACCCCCAAGAAAATAAGTCTACAAAAATTCTGATGCTCATCTAATTGGATTAATTATCTAATTGGATTAAATTTACCTAATTTATTTTGAATTTGTTAACATCTAATATTTCCCGGTTAATATAAGCTACCTGAGAGCAAGACTATCATTATTTATCTCTGCCTCATTTTTTTAACTTATTAATTCACTCAGAGGCAACTACACAATAAATGATTCACTTGTTTTTTCAACAAGTGTGTTCTGATAGTCCACTATTTGTGCAAAGTGCTGAGGATACAGTGGTAAATATAATAAATACAGCCCATAACCTCATAGAGGTTACGCTCTTACAGATGCTATGCAGGTATGGGGGTGAACATCTTCTAAAATGAGGCTGAATTAGAAGATGATTTTTAGACAGATGTCCTAAGCTAAGATTATAAACATAAAATAGAGTTAAGAGAACTAAAAATACTGAAGGCATATGTGATGGTTAACATTAGGTGTCAACTTGATTGAATTGAAAGATGCCTAGATAGCTGGTAAAGTATTGTTTCTGGGTATGTCTGTGAGGGTGTTGCCAGAGGACATTAACACTTGAGTCAGTGGACTGGGAGAGGAAGACCCACCCACAATGTGGGTGGGTACCCTCCAATCAACTGCCAGTGCTGCTAAAACAAAGCAGGCGGAAGAAGATGGGATAAATTGGCTTGCTGAGTCTTCTGGCTTTCATCTTTCTCTCATGCTGGATGCTTCCTGCCATTGGACGTGGGGCTCCAGGTTCTTCAGCCTTTGGACTCTTGGATTTACACCAGTGGCTTGCGGGGGGCTCTCAGGCCTTAAGCCACAGACTGAAGGCTGCACTGTCTTCCCTACCGTTGAGGCTTTTGGAGTCGGAATGAGCCACTACTGGCTTCCTTCCTCCTCAGCTTGCAGATAGCCTATCGTGGAACTTCACCTTGTGATTACCTATGTCAATTCTCCGTAACAAACTCCCTTTCATATATACATCTATCCTATTAGTCTGTCCCTCTGGAGAACCCTGACTAATACAGCATATATTTTCTGAGAAGGGAACATCGTATAAAGACAGGTAGACATAAAACACCAGGCAACCTTATACATCTGGAGGAATAAAATGCCTGTGAGGGAAAAATGGCAGGATACACTGCTGACCAGAGCCAGTGAGGGCTAAAGAGTGGGATCTGGCACCAACAGCTAGAGCATTGTCTCACAGGATAGTGGACTTGAACAGTGATAGGCTGAGATCAAAATGAGATACCTCCATAAGCTTATCTGAGCACAGACAAAATTAAAGAAGACTGTAAAAACCACAAAAAGGACCAAACATTACTTTTCTAATTAAGCCAAATGAATGCCACATTTTCGAATTTGTTCTTGTTTTTGTTTTTATTTTTTACCAATTATAGCCTTAGCCCTCTTTTCTTCTTCCCTTTACCTAGGTGGATTATTAAGATACTATGTCAACAAGTTATTTTTGCTTTCTGACAGCCCTCAGTCTGGAATAGATTCTTCCTTCCTTGAAGCTTTCTTCAAATCACATAACACAAGCCCAAATCCTATAACCAGCCTATTCTAATACACTCATACAGAGACGGCCCAGTGGTCCCATGGTGTGTGTCCTCTCTTGTTGCAATGAGTAATTGAACCCCCTCTGTTTGACTATAGCTGTATTCTTGGTTGTCTTTGGCTGCTGAACATGATTTGGTCAACACAATTGATTGGCAACTGTGGGTAGTGGATGTTAGCCAATGATGGAAGACATGAGGAGGACCCCCAGATTTCCTGGGGTACTTTTGTAGTGTTACTGTTCTCTGGGATAGGGTATAAAGATAACATAAAATGTTTAAAGGTATAGAGAAAAAAGGAGGAAGAGAAAATGTTTTTTGATATTTAAGTATTTGTGTCATATCCAGACAGTGGTATACAACAGGTATTGGAGGGTCAGTATAAAATAGGAATCAAATAGATGTGATATCAAATTGTGGTCCTACAATTTCAAGAGAAGAATAAAGTTTATTTCCATTGGTTTTAAATACTCTGTTCTTAATGCCAAGAGCTGAGAAAACAAGGACTATTTACTTAAATAATGCAGCTATAGTCACAGTGAAAATAAGTAGTATGCCTATGACAGATGGCTTGGGAATTAAAACTTTACAAGATAAAGTAACATCTTTTCATTTAAAGCCCATTGATTTTTAAACTGTTTTTAATAATGGCCCCTGCAATTTTACAGATATTCTTTTCAGAAAGAGCTTGAACACAAGACTTAGAATAACCAGAGAAAGACAAACATTATGTTCATAATCAGAAGAAATGAGGAAGAGTAAATGTAAAGACAGAAATAGAGAGACTTCAACATGGCTGAATAAATACATCTGGGACTTCCTCTTCCACAAAGAACCATAAAAGTGAGCATATAATCACACTTCAAATAGATCATCTAAGATATAACACTGGAATTCAACAGAGAAATGACACAAAACACTAAAAGCAAGGAAGGAGAAGGAAGTGAGGCAGCCTGCTCAGCTGAGATTAGCTGTGAACCTGAAGTTGCTCCCAAGTGTGGGGAAAGAGTAAGTAAGAGACCCTCAGTGGTCCACATTTCCACTATAGACTTCTGCAGCCCTAGCCATGGTAGAGCCCCTTGACCCTTGTGTGTCCTGAGGCTGACACAGGGAGCTGCCTGGAGACAGTACAAAGGCATTGCTCCAGAGAGGAAGCTCATATTGGGTCTCACACACCCCTGAGTTCTACGCAGCTACAGCACAGTGCCATTCTAAGAGCAAAACACTCACCAGACTGCATTCTGCACTATGAGACCGACAGTCCCTGCACCTTAACACCGTTGGAGCCTCATTGACATTCCCCACCTTCAGCGACTTCTGCTGCCAGCAGCTGCCACGAGGACCAATGTAAAAGCCATCGATAGCAACCCTGCGCCACCCTAGCAGAGGGGTGGACATGACAAACGGCTGCCTCACCTGCAGCCATTACTGTTGCTGAATGCTGCTGATTGCTGCTGCTGCTGCTGCTGGGACTGAAGAAGAAGTCACTGGAAGTAGCACTATCCCTGCAGCAGAGAGACAACTGCATTTTGATGTGCTCTGAGGGCAAACTTTACTGCCTACAGCTGCTGCTCTTGTGGGCTGCTGCAATCAGGGCCAAAGGGTGAGTAAAATGTGAACCCCCAGTTTCCTGCCTAAGACTGCTGCCACTGAAAGCAATTTCACCCTCCCCAGTGGCAGGGTTGCAGTGCAGATGCTAATTCCCCCATCTGAGCATTCTGCTGGCAGATTGGAAATCATCCCACTCCTTTCCTACCCAGCAAGCACCAGTACACACCACGGGGCTAGGGGGTGTGGTGAGGGAAAGTCTGCCAAGCCAGACTCTGTCCCCCACACCCCTGCCCAATACCTGAGCATGCTCTTTGGGGGATGGAGATGCCCAGAATTCACCACCACTGGAACCTGAGCACTTCTCCCAGAAGTCTGAGGTAGGGCCCACCCGACCTGTTGCTATCACCATAGCTGATACTCTCTCACATGTGCCATCTGCTGGCCCAGGAACTGGCTCACTTAGGCTGCAAAAGCACTGCCAACACCAACACAGTCCACTTAGGACCCAAAGGGCTGTTTGGCCACTGCTGCTGCCATCATCTATAGCATGCCTCCTGCCCAGAGGCTCAAGATACAGTTCCCCCTACTGACCCACTGCTGTCATTTCCTGCACCTGAGGAAGCCACTTGGAGGCCCAAGAATCATTCTTCCTGAACCACTAACACCAGTGGTAGTGTACAATGCTCCAGGGTCCAAGGACAGGCACACTCAGCCCACTACTCCCACAACTGGTGACCAAAGACTGATTAACCTGGCATCTCAATCTCCAGGAAAACTTCACCACAGCCTTCAATAACAACCATACCTAAGCCACTGAGGAAATTGCAGATACCACTAACCTTTTTTACAGCAGAAGAAATCATAGAGACTACAATACTGCACACACTGAGAATCAAAGTCAAAGTGCCTGACCCAACCAACACCATAGATACATTATTAAGAAAAAGTCTTCCTTCATGAAAACAAAGTCAAAAAATAAAAAGAAACAATTGTTACACCCAATGTGCAGATATCAATGTAGGAACACAGGAAACATGGAAAAGGAAGAAAATATAACATCTACAAAAAATATAATAATTCACCAGCAACAGATTCCAATCAGAAAGAAATTTGCAAAATCCTAGAAAAGTAATTCAAAATGTTGATATTAAAGAAGCTCTGTGAGATATAAAATACTAAAAAAAAAACAAAAAAATTGATAGATATACAGATATAAACAAGAAATTTACCGAAGAGACAGATATCACTAAAAAATTCTGAAGCTGAAGAATTTGTTGAGTCAAATACAAAATACATTCAAAAGCGTCAACAATAGACTAAATTAAATAGGGAAAAGGAATATCAGAACTTGAAGACAGGTCTTTTGAAATAACCCAGTCCAACAAAATTTAAGATTTCTTTTCTCTTTTAAGAATGAGCAAAATTTCCATGATGTTTAGGGCACAGTAAAGTGATCAAATATTCGAAGTTTTGGTGTTCCAGAAGGCGAAGAGAAAACAAAAGAATTCAAAAAAAAAAAAAAAAAAACCTAACGAAATAATAGATGAAAACTTCCCAAGTCTAGCAAGAGATTTAGATATCCCAATACAGGAAACTCAGAGATTCCCATGTAGATAAAGTTCAAGGAGTTCTTTTCCATAATACCTGACAATCAAAAGTCAAAGACAAATAGACAATTTAAAAACAGAAAGAGAAAAGCATGTAGTCATTTATAAAAGAACCTCCATTAGACTAAAAGTGGATTTTTCCACAGAAACATTACCAGCCAGGAGAGAATGAGATGAAATATTTAAAATGAGGAAAGAAAAAAAAACCTGCCAGCTAATACTATACCATCAAGGTTACCCTTCATAAATAAAGAGAAAGTCTTTCCCAGACAATCAAAACCTGAGGGAATACGTGATCACTATACCAGCCCTATGAGAAATGGTTTAGAGAGTTCACAACCTGAAGTGAAAAAACAATACATACCATCATAAAAACACATGAAAAATATAAAAACCATTGGTAGAAAAGAGTCAAATAAACAAAATCAGAAATAATACGAATGCATTACAACTGATACCACAAAAATACAAAAGGTCACCACAGATTATTATGAACAACTATACATTAAGAAACTGGAAAACCTAGAGAAAATTGATAAATTCCTGGACATATGCAATTTACCAAGATTGAATCACAAAGAAATAGAAAACCTGCACAGACCAAGAATGAGAAAAGACTCAAATATTTCAAATATTACCACTAGGGAAAGTCACCAAACCAAAATGATAAACAATAAGAAAGGCAAAAAAATATACAAAATAACTAGACATTAATTAATAAAATGACAGAAATAAGCCCTAACATATAAATAATAACCTAAAATATAAATATATTACATTTTCACTTAAAAGATACAGACTGGCAGAATGGATTTAAATAATAATAATAATAATAATAATAATAATAACAATAATAATAATAATAATAACAACATGACTCAACTATATGCTGCTTACAAGAAACTCACCTCATCTAAGTGAGTGAGACTGAGTATAAAAGGATGGAAAAAGATATTCTATGCAAACAAAAATGAAAAACAAGCAGAAGTAGCTTTACCTATACCAGATAAAATAAACTTTAGATCAAAACAGTAAAAATAGACAAAGAATGGCATTGTATTCAGCAAGACAATTCTAAATATATATGCTCCTAACACTGGAACACACAGATATATACAGTAAATATTATTAGATCTAAAGGAAGAGATATACTTAAATACAATAATATTTTGGTACTTTGACACCCTGTTCTTAGCATTAGACAAATCATTTAGAAATAAATTTAACTAAGAAACTTTGGATTTATACTGGACATTAAACCAAATAAACCTAACAGATATTTACAGAACATTTCATCCAACAGCTACAGAATACACAATTTTCTCATAAGCATATGGAAAATTCTTCATGATGGAACATATATTAGGACACAAATCAAGTATCAACAAAATTTTTAAAATTGAAATCATATCAAGCATCTTCCCAGACCACAATGGAATAAAACTAGAAATCAATAATAAGAGGCACTCTGGAAACCATACAAAAACATGAAAATTAAACAATAAGCTCCTGAATTCTAGGGGTCAAGGAAGAAATTAAAAAGGAAATCAGAAACTTATTGAAACAACTGAAAATAGAAACACAACAAACCAAAACCAATGGGATACAGAAAAAGCAGTAATAAGAGGTGAGTTTATAGCAATGAAGGCCTATGTCGAAAAAGTAGAAAGATTTCAAGTAAACAATCTAGTGGTGTACCTCAACAAACTGAAAAAAAACTTAAACCCAGAATTAGTAAAATAAATAATAACGAGAAGAGCAGAACCAAATGAAATGGAGGATAACAAGGTCAATAAAGAAAAGTTGGTTTCTTGAAAAGATAAACAAAATCAATAAACTACTTACTATACCAATCAAGAAAAACAAAAAGTGTCAAATAAAAAAATTAGAAATAAAAAAGGAGACACTAAAACTGACATCACAAAAATACAAAAGGTCATCACAGATTATTATAAACAACTATACGCTAAGAAACTGGAAAATCTAGAGAAAATTGGTAAATTCCTGGACATAAGCAATATACGAAGAAGTAAATAAATAGAAAATCTGCACAGACCAGTAATGAGTGATGAGATTGGATTAGCAATAAAAAATCTCTCAACAAACAAAAGTCAAGGACCAGATGGTTTCACTGCTTACTTCTACCAAAAGATTCAAGAAGAAATAACACGGCCGGGCACGGTGGCTCACGCCAGTAATCCCAGCACTTTGGGAGGTGGAGGTGGGCAGATCACGAGATCAGGAGATCCAGACCATCCTAGCAAACACGGTGAAACCCCATCTCTACTAAAACATGTAAAAAATTAGCCTGGCGTTGTGGCAGGTGCCTGTAGTCCCAGCTACTCGGGAGGTTGAGGCAGGAGAATGGTGTGAACCTGGGAGGCGGAGATTGCAGTGAGCCGAGATCACGCCACTGCACTCTAGCCTGGGCGATAGAGTGAGACTCCGTCTCAAAAAAAAAAAAACAAAAAACAAAAAACAAAAATGAAATAACACCAATTCTCTCCTCTTTCAAATAATTGAAGATGAGGGAATTCTTTCTAGGAAGCCACCACACACTGATATCAAAACCAGACAAAGATAAATTTTTAAAAAAATAAAACGGCAAGCCAACCTCTCTTATGAACATAGGTGCAAAAATCCTCAAAAAATACTAGCAAAATAAGCCCAATAGTACATCAAAAAAAAAAAAAAAAAAAAAGATAACACACAATGCTCCACTGAAATTTATCTCTGAGATGTAAGAAAGATATGCAAATCAATAAATGTTATACATGACATAAATAGAATACAGCACAAAGATCGTATGATCATCTCAATAGATGCAGAAATGGTATTTGATAAAATTTAACATCTTTTTTTAGTAAAATTTTAATAAACTAGGCACAGAAGGAACATACCTCATCATACCGAATGGGGAAAGCCTTTCCTCTAAGAACTGGAAAAAGACAGTCATCCCTACTTTCACCATTCCTATTTGGCGTAGTACTGGAAGTCCCAGACAGAGCAACCAAGCCCAAAACAAAAAAAAGGCATCCAAATTGGGGGGGGGGCAAAAAACCTCAAATTGTCCCTTTTTTCAGATGATATAATCTTATATCTAGAAAAAAACTAAAGATTCCACCTAAAAACTTTTAGATCTGCTAAATAAAATCAGTAAAGTTGCAGGATACAAAATCAACATGCCAAAATGAGTAGTGTTTGTATATAACAATAATTAACTAGCTGAGAAAGTAATCAAGAAGTCAATCCCATTTATAATAGCTACAAAACAAATACCTAGGAATAAATTTAATAAAGGAGCTAAAACACCTGTATAAAGAAAACTACAAAACACATATGAAAGAAACTTAAGAGGACACAAACAAATGAAGAAACATCCCATGCTCATACATCAGAAGAATTAATATTGTGAAAGTGACCATTATGCCTAAAGTAATCTACAGATTCAATGCCAGCCCTATCAAAATATCATTTTTTTCACAGGGGTAGAGAAAACCATTCTTAAATTTGTATGAAATAGGAAGCCTAAATAGCCAAACAATGCTGAGCAAAAAGAACAAAGCTGATGGCATCATACTACCTGACTTCAAAATAGACTACAAGGTTATAATTACAATAATAGCATGGTACTTGTATAAAACCAAATACATAGATCAATGGAACAGAATAGAGAACTTATAAATAAATTCACATACTTAAAGTCGACTGATTTTCAACAAGGGCATGAAGAATACACACTGGGGAAGGGACACCATCTTCAATAAATGGTGCTGGGAAAGTTGGATATCCACATGCAAAAGAATGAAATTGGTCCCCTATCTCTCATTACGTACATAAATCAATTCAAAATGGATTAAAAAACCTAAACATAAGACCTGAAACTATAAAACTACTATAAGAAAACAGGGAAAATATTTCTGGATATTGGTCTAGGCAAACATTTTGTGGCTAAGATCTCAAAAGCTGAGGCAACAAAAGCAGAAATAGACAAATAGGACTATATTAAACAAAAAAGCTTCTGCACAGCAAAGGAAACAATTGACAAAGTGAAGAGACAATCTGAGTGGGAAAAAAATATTTGCAGCTATTTATCCAACAAAGGACTAGTATCTAGAATAAATAAGAAATTCAAACAACTCAATAGTAAAAAATACAAATAATCCCACTCAAAAGTAGGCAAAAGACGAATAGACATTTCACAAAGGAAGACATACAAATTTTCAACAAATATACTAAATAAAAATGTTCAACATCACTGATCAACAGGGAAATGCAAATCAAAACCACAATAAGATATCATCTCATCAAACATAAAATGGCTTATATCAAAAATACAAAAAATAACCAATGTTGGTGAGGGTGTACAGAAAAGGGAAGTCTTACACACTGTTGGCAGGAATATAAATTAGTGAAGCCACAATGGAAAACAGTATGGAGATTTCTTTAAAAAAATAGAACTACCCTACAATCCAGCAATCTCACTACTGGCTATTTATTCAAAAGAAAAGAAATCAGTTTATCAAAGAGATATCTGCACTCACACATTTATTGCAGCACTATTCCCAATAGCAAAGATGTGGAATGTGGAATCAACCTCAGTATCCATCAAGAGATGAATGGATAAAGAAAATGTGGTATGAATACTCTATGGAATCTATTCAGTTATAAAAAAATGAAATCATATCATTTGCAACAACATGGATGGAACTGGAGTTCATTATGTTAAGTGAAGTAAGCCAGGCACAGAAAGACGAATACTCCATGTTCTCACTCATAAGGGAGTTTAAATAGTTGATCTCATGGAGGTAGAGTAGAAAGATAGATAGGAGAGGCTGGAGAGGGTATATGGGTGGGAGAGGTGGATGAAAATAAGGTGGTCAATGGGCACAAACATACAGTTAGGAGGGATAAGAAAAGATAGGATAAGAGTAGGGTGACTAGTCAACAACAATGTACTGTATATTTCAAAGTAGCCAGAAGAGAGGACTTTAATTTTTTCCAATACATAGAAATGATAAATACTCAAGGGGATGATATCACAAATACCCTGACTTTATCATTGCACATTCTATGCATGGAACAAAATAACACATGAACCCCATAAATATGTAAAATATTATGTATCAATTAAACGATAAAAATATGAGGACTGAAGTGACACACTGAGAACACAAGGTTGTTCTGTGAACCTTGCAGAGTGACCCAGCAACCTGCTTTTGACATTCTTCACCCGCTCAAGGCACTGATTTGAGTTGCCTTAGAAAGGAGACTAAGCTAGTTAGCTGAGAGGTGACCTGGGAAGGCCTGGGTCAGCTTCTAGCTGCAAGGAGCCCTGGCAGTGGACAAGATCTCCAGGAGTTTGTGGAGTAGAGGGAAGCAGGAGAAGTGGGCAGAGGGTGACAGTGAGGGGGGCAAGGCAAACAATGTTTCCAGGAAGGGGATGGTGGTGATGTCACATCTGCAAGAATCCAAGCAAGGAAGAGTGTGGTGTCACCTTAGATTTGAATTTGGGGGCTTCCTAGCAGCATGTAACAGCACTACACTGAGGTGAGAAGATTTCACATAAGGGTGCCTTTTATCCTTAAGGAAATATAGGGAGGATCAGTGGCAAAAAAATAAAGGAAGAAAAAAAAAAAGAAAGGAACGAGAAAGAAAAAAAGAAGTAAAAGTGTATGCCTTCCCGAGAACATGACAAAAGACATTGAGGATGCAAATTGCAAAGGGAAAGGATAGTCCTATGTGCTTTAGCAATTTGGAACTTTTTAAGATTTGCCTTGTGTTATAAGAAAATTATTTTCTATAGACCCTCTCTCAGTTCTGCTACAGACTGATGTTTAAATATTAGCCATTCACAAGAAGTAAATATCAATTGATTAAGGCTTAATACATAGGAACATTTCATTTTCGGGTGGTATTTGGTGCCAATTCTCAACCCCCAACTACCCTCTTACCCATGTGAGGGCGTTTTTTTATAGCTATTCCAATTTTACCCTCATCTGTGCTTTTATTAGTTGCCTGGAAAAGTTGTATATAAAATGGTTCTAAGCTTGGGGGATACACAATCGGAGGAAGTAAACTCATAGTTGTATTCTGATCTAGGATAATGATGTGTCACTGAGCCTCTTACAAATATTACCATGCCAATCTCTCAATGCAGCCCATCCTTAATTTTATGCTCCTAAATTCTACACACTACACCCGGAAGACCTGTGCAGTAAAACTCAAGTTCCCCCTTCACTCTCTTTATGACTCTTTAGCCTTTCTGGAGGGAAATGTCAATCAGCTGCAAGTACTATGCAATACTTTGATAAAACATATAAAGAAAAATCTAGAAAAAAGAAATTCATCTCCCTTGTTTGGCAAACTAGTTTTTTTATCTGTCTTTGACACAATTCAAAATAGAATGAGACCTGAGATAAATATTTCTAAATCTATTCACTGTAACAGAAATACACATTTTTTTCCCCTCAAAAAGTTATTTGAGTTGATGAGTAAGCATACCTATTAGGTAATTTTTTTGACTTCCTGTAGCAACACTTCCTGCTACATAATAATGACACAAATAGGCCAAGCGAAGCTTTTCTAAGCTCTTTGTTCTGGGTATGGGTATGGATGTAAGTGTATCTGAATTTTTGGCTGAGCTTACTCTTAAGTTTTTACAGAGTGAAGTCATTTTGGCTGCTAATTCAAAGCAAGGAAAATCTAGACTATTTTGGTTTGGGCGTGGAAGGCAAAGAGGAAACAACGTCTTTCAAGCATTTACAATACATCTTAGCAGGCAACACATTCGAGAAGATTCATAAGTATTTCTTGGATTTATAGAGTAGAAATCAATCATAAAAACATACGCTGAATGTCCAAGATTTGCCAGCTGGTGTGTTTTACACTATTGGAAACATATGGTAAATATACTTTCTTCAATTAAAGAAATATACTACACTCCTTTTGTAGTATGAACATTGATGGTATTTATAATAACTATAATTGAGCACCCATTGTGACCACAGCACTATTCTAGTTGATCTGTTGGTGCCTCTCAGCCTCCGAGAGGTTTCTTCTACCTGAGCACTGACAGAAACAGGGGAGGGTAAATTTATTTCTCATCAAACACATGAGTGTGAGGAGCTCTGTCACTCCTAGAAATGTTAGCTCCAAAATGAAATGTTTTCAAATTCTTTTATTTCAGCTTCTTTAAACTTTAATTCTGCATTAAAACTATTCCATCAAATGTTAGTTTTTTTTGTTTCGTTTTCGCATACAAAGTTTCTTTTTCTTAGTTATTATTAAACATAATTTTAAAAAAAAATTCAAGCAAAATTGAGGCTCCTGACACCATGCCTGATGCTTTTACATATCCCCAGTGTCTCAATTAAATGTTTCCTCATTAGAGTCTTAATTTTTTCCCACAAATTAGATAATGAAAGCTTATAAGCTTATGTGACTTGCTTAAAATTACAAAACAGGTGAGTGGAAGACTGAGAACTAGAAACATCACCTATTATTTTTCTATGTCATTATAGGGTTACCCGAACACAGAGAAATGGGATGAGGAAAAAATAAAGGGTGATCTGGGATGAATATCCTCGTAAGCTGTAATGAGCTGGAAAAATTTTCAAACTAAAATGGAAGCATAGTGGCTGTGATCTATTCTACTCAGACAAAAAGCCCAGATCTTTCTCACCATGAAAGGAAGATGCTTTTCGTATATAATGTTCTGATGCTTGTGTAAAATTTTTGTATGAGAATTAATACAATCTCTAAATCCTATATGTAAATATTTACATAAATGTTCAGGTAAACTGGAACTTTGTTTTATTTACTGCTGTGCCCCCATCTAAAGCCATGTTGAGTGATTGAATTAATGATTATTTCCTTGGTTAATAATATAACATGAGAATAACAGAGCATTTAAATAAACTTACATCTGGAAAGTAATTTTATATTAAGGTTTCTTTTTAGTATTTTAAATATTTTTGGTTATACATGTTCATCCATCCTTACTATTTAATTTACTTGATCTAATCAGCATGAGTAATCAAAAGAGCTTGATTCATATTTATAATCTTACCAGAAAAAAGTGTAAGATGTGCAAAAAGATCAAGTGCATATTGAGAGTAGAAAAACACATTTTCACAAGGTGTTGATTTCATGTAGATGTTTGCAATAAAAGCAGTTATCCCAAATTAAACTGCTCTCAGTCTTTGCTTCTATCCAGATATCTAGGGCAGTAGTTTGAGATTAAAATGCTGGGATCACTCTATCTCTTCTTTGTTTTCCTCTCATCCCAACACAGTTCCATGACAGGTATTTATTAAATATTGAACCAAGAAAAGAGGACAAGACATTCTTAAGCTTCCAAGGAGTACTAAGTATAACTCTAACTCACATCTAGGAGAATATGGTTTTTTAAATGTTCCTATTTAATTTTATTCCTTTAGCTTTCAGGCTCCATTTCTTCTTCCAAACTTCTTAACCCTTCTTCTCATACTTGGTCTCATCCAAAATAATTTATTAGATTTAGTTTTTTAAAATCTTGAATTTTTATGATGAGTTATCACCCACAGATTTTCAGTGGCTCTCTATGACTTTCACAAAATGTTAAGTTCTGAAGTAGAACATCAAAACTCTCCCTAATTTAGTCCAAAATTATCCATGCAACTGTAGGTCCCAGAGCAGCATCATGGAGAACTCCTGGTTCACTGACCCTAGGAGGAGCCTATTATAGTGGCAAAACTCCATGTTTATTCTCACCTGTGTATTTTTTTTACCCTCCAAACATCCTTCATTCTCCCCAATGAATTATCCAAATATTTCAGATCCTCTTTTAGGCTACATTATTTTCATTATAGTCTTTTCAACCATTCCAAGTTACAGCCTTTCCCAGCATTTCAAACTCTCAAAATTAGTTCTCTGTAATATAATTCTCATACCCGTATATGGGCACTAATAGACTACTCTGTATTGTTTTAACTTTGTGTTGATACATCTCAACACCTGTCCAAATAAACTATAGACCCTTTAAAGGAAGGGACATCTTCTTAGTGCTTTCATTTGTCATAGTATTTATTCTAATGTTATGAAGATAGTAGGTCCTTAAATGTTTGTATAAATTTGATCTTTGAAAAGACAGAATAGTATTCTGAAACATTAACCTAATCACAGAATCAACCACTGTGGCAAGATAATGATGGTAGGGGACTAGGATAGAACCAATAAAGAGATTTGAAAACTTGAATCAAGTGAAGGCAGTGGAAATCCAGAGAAGCAGAAGTTTTTGAGAGATATCCTGCAGAACTATAGTTGAAAAAGCAAATGCCTATCTATTATATTTCCAACTACCTTATCTTAATTCCAGGAGCTTCAGTCCTAGTTGAATTAATTTTGGTGAATTTTCCTCAATAAACCACAATTTTACCTTTCCAATATAGCTGTAATATACCTAATTGACAGTATAATTTTGAGGATCCAGTGTTATAATATATGGAAAATTCTCATTACAGCATTTGACACAGCAGAAGATTGTTACAAATACTTGTTAAAGTGGGATCCTAAATTGAGGTAATAGATACAGGTAATAAAGTCACCCAGTGATGTTTTACGTTTCAAAAAAGTATGCTTCCCATTTTCTTCCTTTGTTTCCATCTTATTACTGATTCTAAATTTTAGCTAAATAAGCACATTTCTTACCTTTCTTATCTTTTAGAGTTTACAAAATCTTAACATTGTACAAACAATTTCCTAAATAATCAATTTAAAATATTTCCACTGAGAACAAACCAAGATATAAGATATAAGGAATCTGTAAAGATAATAGGTAGATCAACAGATAAGAGAGAAAGAGATTCTAAGATGGTGCTACATACAGATATTTTAATGAAAAACAACTATATTTGTTTTATATTTTCAAAAGTAGAACATCCACATATGGATGAGGAGGTGGGATGATTGAGATTTATAAGGTTCTGTGTGTAGTCGATACCTGGACTACAGGAGTTAAGAAGAAATTATTTAGGCAGATAGTGAGGGTACAGTAGCCTTTGGTAAGGCTTTTCTCTTTAATGAAAGCAGCCCTAAATAATTTTCTAACAAAGAGCAGCCTGGAAAGTTGAGCTGCAGACATTGACAAGCAAGCTGGGAGCTTGCACCAATGAATGCAGGGAGGAAATAGGGAAAAGAAATGCTCAAGATGGCAGCTCTGGCTTGGTGCAGTGGCTCATGCCTGTAATCCCAGCACTTTGGGAGGCTGAGGCGGGCTGATGACTTGAGGTTAGGAGTTCAAGACCAGCCTGGCAAACATGGCAAAACCCTGTCTCTACTAAAAATACAAAAATTAGCTAGGCATGGTGGTATGTGCCTGCTGTAATCCCAGCTACTCAGAAGGCTAAGACAGGAGAATTGCTTGAACCCAGGAGGTGGGAGGTTGCAGTGAGCTGAGATCTCGCCACTGAACTCCAGCTTGGGTGACAGAGTGAAATTCTATCTCAAAAAAAAAAAAAACAAAAAAAGATGGCAGCTCCATCTTCCCTTCTCTTTGTCAGCCACATGTACTATAAGGAGCAGACAAGATGGCCTCAATCAACTGGAAAGTCTATTTGCATAATAAGATTAGGGTGGGGTAACCAGCCTTCCCTCGCATTATGTAAACATCATACCTGCTTGAATCAATCTGTGAGCCCTGTGTAAATCACACACCGCCTCCTCAAACCTGGCTATAAAATTCGGCACATCAGCTGGGCATGGTTGCTCATGCCTCTAATCTCAGCACTTTGGGAGGCCAAGGTGGGAGGATCATTTGAGGTCAGGAGTTCGAGACCACCAGCCTGGCCAACATGGCGAAACCCTATCTCTACTAAAAATACAAAAATTAGCCGGGCGTGGTGGCACATGCCTGTAGTCCCAGCTACTCAGAAGGCTAAGGCAGGGGACTCATTTGAGCATGAGACCCTGTCAAAAAAAAAAAAAAAAAAAGAAAAGAAAAATTTTGGCGCTTCTGCCACCCAGTGGTCCTTTCCACTCCAAGACCCCGATCTTTCTTGATAAAGAGAGCTGCTTCTCTTTCTCTTCTCTTCTGCCTATTAAACCTCCACTCCTAAACTCCTCATGTGTGTTTATGTCCTACATTTTCCTGGCAAGCAACAACGAACACCAGGGTATATACCCCAGACAACGTAGCTGCTTTAGTACTATGAAAGCCCTAAGCTAAAATGAGAGGAAGGTTTTCTCTTGATGGTAATCTACAATTTTTTAAAAAAGATAAATTACACTAGCAGGACATTCAGCATAAGGAAGAAAAGAGAGAAAGGAAAGTTCTCTCCAAGGGTCTTTTCTATCTATGCCAGTAGCTTATTCTCAGATTCTAGAGGCCACCAGCATTAGTGCCCACCTCTCATTTACAAAAGCAAAAATGATGAGATTGAGACTATTTTATGCTTCCAATCTCTCTGACTTCCACTTCTGCTATCTTCCTGACTTTATTCTGGCTTCTGTGTCTTTTAAGGGGTCTTATGACTACAGTTGGCCTATTGGGATCATGCAAAATAATCTCCTTATGTTAAGGTCAGATAAGTAGTCACATTTATTGCATAGGCAAAGTCCATTTTGTCATGTATGGAAAGAGTATAACATTGTCAAGATCAGAAGATCGTGTGGGCCCAAATCCTCCCTATATCATTAGTGAAGAAGGAGGCCTGATTTTGGAGATGATAATGTGAAGGGAAAGAGTGAGGTAAGAGCAGGAGAATGAGTTGAAAGAAGCTGGTCGGCATGTTCTCTCCCTGTGCTTCTGTTTAAAGAGCAAAAGTCGCCTTTAGTATTAAGGAAACATCTCTAAGGCATGGACTACTGAAGCCTGAAGTCATCATTTTAGGATGGAGGAAAGAGTTTCTCTCTCACCCTGTCTTGTCTCCCAACCTAGAGAATGGCCAGAACTCTTTGGTTTTGCTTTCTTGATAAGCCTTTATTTCTCCTGTTTTTTATAGTTGAGTTAAATGGCAGATGCCCTTTCATGGGGCCTGCTATGTCAGGATGAGATGATTCTGAGGCAGAAGTCAGAATCCTGGAAGGTAGAGAGGATGCCAAGACAGCAGCTGGATGGAAAAATTGACCATCACTGCAGGGTCTGCAGCCAGCAAGAAGCTCAGTCAGCCAGAGTAGGTGAGCAAGCCCTGAGTTACACTTGCAGCAAAACTCAGCTGCAACCGGAACAAGGCGAGAAGCCCCTGGGAAAAAAAGGGGCTAAAACCTAGAAGATGTGTTAATTAAGAACAAGTTGTTTATGAATGTTGCAAGGATACATAACACTTTCTTCTCATACAGTAAATTCACATGTTGTCTCAAGAAAAGAAACAGAAAAAGGAGTGGCTATCTAAAAGACTTTCCCCCCGAAGCCCAGCTAAACATTTCCTGAACAAACAGTTGAAATGATCAGAATACATTAATTTTAAGTTAGTTTGAGCTTTTAAATAATTTGTTCTCCTGGTAATCACTGGGTAGAGGGCTTAGGAAAAAAACTAGTGACTAGCATGGTAAAGCCCAACTCTTAGATTATCTTTAGTAGTCAAGAGTAGAAAGTGTTTTAAAAGGGCAAGGAGGCCAGGTGTGGTGGCTTATGCCTGTAATCCCAGCACTTTGGGAGGCCGAGGCGGGCGGATCATGAGGGCAGGAGATCGAGACCATCCTGGCTTACACGGTGAAACCCCGTCTCTACTAAAAATACAAAACATTAGCTGGGCATGGTGGCAGGTGCCTGTAGTCCCAGCTACTCGGGAGGCTGAGGCAGGAGAATGGTGCAAACCTGGGAGGCAGAGCTTGCAGTGAGCAGAGATCGCACCACTGCACTCCAGCCTGGGTGACAGAGTGAGACTCTGTCTCAAAAAAAAAAAAAAAAAAAAAAAAAAAAGGTCAAGGAATACCTATGCTATCCACAAATTTTAGCACATTTTAGACTAATTGCTGCCACTATACTGACAGTTTTTAGTTAAATATTTATTATCAAAGTTGACATAAAATGGTTCATGAGCCTTATTTTCTAAGTTTTATAAATTTGATGGAGTTCCATTACAGAGGTGTTCCCCTTAGAACCAACATCAAGTAAAAAGTGCCTAATTCAGAGATTGGATACAATATTAGTGACCAATCCATGGACTCATGCTCAAGGGTCCTTGCTACAGACCTTTCTGGATATTGATAGCCTATGAATGTAACAGGGTTGAGTGTATAAAAGACAATTAAGTCAACCACACATCATTAATATCTTTAACTTTATTAATAAGATCCCATCTTAAACATTTATTATTCTATTTAAAAGGCCACTAATTTTACCAATAAAATATAATTTCTCAATCTGCTGGCTGAAGGATTTATAATAGCTCTCTCTGAATTGTGTGCTTCCTGATAAAAAGGGAGAATTAACTCCAAAAGTGTAAATTCTTGATAAGGACAGTAACATCTTTATAATTAAAGCTCAAGATAATCAGTCTGTATGTACTATGAAACTCTGTAACCTGACACATTTAAAGTAAGTTATGAATAACATCACATATAGTCTCTTAATGTGAATTAATCTGAAGATGACTGAAATTGGGTGTTCATGGAAGACCTCTGTGAGATTCCATTAAAAACTTAAATGTAAATTACTAGAAGTAGTTGCAGAATGTGCAGAGTAAGATCTAAATGGCCTGTAGTCCCAGCTACTCGGGAGGCTGAGGCAGGAGAATGGTGTGAAGCCGGGAAGTAGAGCCGAGATTGCGCCACTACGCTCCAGCCTGGGTGACAGAGCAAGTCTCTGTCTCAACAAAAAAGAAAAAAAGAAAAAAGAAAAAAGAAAAAAAAAGATCTAAAAGAATGAAAAATAAGGCAAAAGCTCTAGGCAGAAGCTTATCTTGTTTGGGAAACAAGAAGAAAAGTAAAGGAGAACAGGAGAACATGGAGAAATTAGTAAGGTGGTATGAAAGAAATAATACAAGAATGCAAGGTAGGCTAAATCCTGTAGGAGGACCTTGAAGGCCCAGGATAGAGTTTGCATTTTGCAACAAATGTAATAGAAGAGCACTGGAAATTATAGGCTAGAAATAATATAATATGATTTATATTAATAGAGGATTATTCTGGCTTCTATGGATTGTAGCAAAGTAATATTTGAAAGGAAAAAGTCAATTAGAGTTGGTTGCTGTATTCTAGTGGAGAAGTGATGGTGGTGTGCAGTAGCACAGTAATAGAGGGAGTAGGAAGTAGTAATTTGATTTTGAATAAAATGTAAAACTAACATGACTTGCTGATGACTTGTATTAGGTGGCAGTAAAAAAAGTAAAGAAATCAAGAATAGTTTAATTGTACATTTTAAAATAACTGAAAAGAGTATAATTGTATTGTTTGTAACACAAAGGATACATGCTTCAGGTGATGGATATCCCATGTAACCTGATGAGATGATTACACATTGCATGTCTGTTTCAAAATATCTCATGTAACTCATAAATATACACACCTACTACATACCCACTAAATCAAAAATGAAAGAAATTTTTTAACAGTTAGATATTGAGAATAGTAAGAGACCTGTGTTATTCCTCAGTTAATGCCAGGGAATGACAGCTGAACTGTAATGGATAAAGAAGCTGCATGAAGAAGCAAAAGTGATAATTTGAGTTTGGGATCTATGCAGCTGGATGCTATTTGGAGCATTAATTGAGGTGGGATGTCTGAAAAAGGTGCAGGGCTGGAGATAGGCAGGGATCCAGTATTTTAATTTGGACCTGTTGAGTGTGAGATGCCAATAAGACATCCAAGTGGAGAAGCCTCATATGCAATTGAATATACAAGTCAGATGCTCAGGGGAAGTGGCATAGCCAGAAATGTAATAAAGTAGAGGATCATGGCTTCTTGTCCACTTTGACAAATACAAAACTTCTACCTCTAGTCAGAAATGTCATCCATCTTTATTTCTGGGAGACCTAAGGACATCTTACTTGAACTTACATGTGGATCTCCTAACAGGAGACTTCTGCTCTGCTTAGTTTTCCTCTACCCCACTTCGCATTCCCATTGAAGATACATTATAGGTGTTTGCAATCACCTATGAAACTGGCTCATACCCACCAAGAGTATGCTTATATTCACGTTAAATGTAATGTCTACCCATGTCCCCAAACCTTCAGTACCAGTCTACTACAGCTTCAGGATGAAACTGCACATTGCAATCCATTACACAAGTAAATTATCACACAGAAAATTTTTTACTCTATCATAATTTATTAACATATGTTTGTATATTTCTCAGTATCTCCTTTGACAATTAATAATATTATTTATTATTTACTTTTTTTCTGCAGTTCTTTTCTCTATTAAGAATCAATTAGGATGCCCTCATCTTGCTTGGGGGAGCAAAGATAGGCCTTTTACCACATTCAATGGTTGTCTGAAAACATGAAACCTTTCTGATAATGTTTTATTATCAAAATGTTTTATTCTTTATCTTTCTCTAGTGGCTATTTTGAGTACCATTATTTGTGTTTGAGTATTTATGTACTCTTGAGAAATATTGAAGTTTAATCTGTGGATATTTGTGTGAGGCTATTCTTGTGTTGCTATAAAGAAATACCCAAGACTGGGTAATTTATAAAGAAAAGATATTAAATTGACTCATGGTTCTGCCGGCTGAATATCCTATGCAGCATGGGGCCAGCATCTGCCTGGCTTCTGGGGAGGCCCCAGGGATCTTTCCGTCATGGTGGAAGGTGAAGTAGGAACAAGCATGTTACATGGTGAGAGCGGGAGGAAGAGAGAGAGTGGGAGAGAGGTGCCACGTATTTGTAAACAACCATATCTCATGAAAACTCATTCACTATCACAAGGACAGTTCCAAGCCAGAAGGGATCTTTCCCGATGAACGAAACACTTTTCACCAGGCCCCATCTCCAACAATGGGGATTATGTCTCTGCATGAGATTCAGAGAAGACATCCAAACTATTTCAATACTGTATAGTTTTTGATATGCCTTGAAGCTGGCTTTATGTTCAAAGTACAAAAAAGTACAAAGGTATGTGTAAATTATGTATAATACATACACAAGAAAATAAATAAATTCATTAGGATAGCACATAAATTATATTTTAAATTCCCTGTACTAAAGTAATAAGACCACATACTTTGTTAAATATTTCCTGGAAGACTATATTATTATTTTATTGAGTCAAGTAACTTATTAAGGGAAAAGAGACACTATAATATTTATGGTCCATGATTCATATTTCAAAAATCAAAACTTCATTGAGGGAGAAAAAATATCAAGATATTTAACCCAAGCTATTGTTCAGTTATTAATCTTTGTTAGTTAGAGAAACAACATAAATGCTCCCAGTTAAAATAGCAGAGTCATACACATTGATTTATCAGTTTTGGACATGTTATATTTGAGATGCTTATTAAACATGAATAGGAATATGTTAAGAAGGAAGCTACAAATAGAGTTCGGGTGGGAGGTCTGGACTACAAATATAAATTTAGGAATCATCAGCATATATGATATTTAAGGTCATGAGACTAGATGAGATTAGAAAGAAAATGTGTTGTTGATTTAAAAAAAATAAAAGGAAGAGGTGCAAGGTTTAAGCTCTAGGGCACTCTGGTGTTAGGAGATCAGGGAGAAAAAAAGAGACTAATAAGAAGAATTCAGAGAAGAAGAAGAAAAAACAGATGAGTGTGTTGTCTTGGCAGCCAAGTAAATTCAATGTTTTCTGTAGAAAATTGTGAGGAACTGAATTAAATGCTACTGACGGTTCAAGTAAAATAAGGAGTATTTCAGCTTCCCAGGGTTGATATGGTTACTGTCTCACAGTTCTGGAGTCTAGAGGTCTGAAATCAGGATGTCAGCAGGGCCCTGCTCCCTCTCAAGACTCTAAGGGAGATTCCTTCGTTGCTTCTTCCAGCTTTTGGTGGTTGCTGACAACCCTTGGCATTTTGTGGCTTGTGGCATCATAACTCCAATTTCTGCCTTTATTTTCACATAGCTTTTTCTTCTGTGCATTTTCTGTGTGTCTCTGTTTTCTGTTTTTATAAGAACAGCAGGCATTGAATTAGGGCCCACTCTAATCCAGTATGAGCTAATCTGAAAAATTATATCTTTAAAGACTCTCCTTTCAAAAAGGTCACATTTTGTAGTTCTGGGTAAATATGAATTTTGGGAGGCTCTATTCAACCTAGTATAAGGACTAAAAATTAACTATTGAACTTAGCTAAGTGGAAGTTATTGGTGACCTACACAAGGAAAAATGGAATGGAGTGGAGTAGAGTGGTAGAGGGAAAAACATACGAACTGGTTTGGGTTCAACAAGATAGGTGGGAAGAAATTAGAGAAAATGAGAATAAACAATGTGAGGCAAAGGAGGGCAAAAAATCACACATAACCTAGAAGATCAAATGGAATCACAAGAGTTTTGTTTTGCTTTATTTAGTTTGGTTATGTTTTGATTTTCTTTTAATATTGGTGAAACAATATTTTTCTATCCTACTGAAAAAGATGTGATATTGAATGGAACACCCTTTCTTAAAACAATAGAAAGATTATTGATGAAACAGTTTGCTTGAGTAAGCAAGAATAAATGGGACCCTGTGCTCATGAGGTGGCATGGTCTTAGCCAGGAAGAGAGGCAATGCATTGTGGGCAATGAGAACACATAAGCACAATGACAGGAAAATGGGTAGACGAGGAGATACAGCTTGTGGATATCTCCTCTGATTGCTTCAAATTTCTCAGGAAAATGGGAAACAGTCTACCATCCTTACCTTGAAATGCCTGGAGATACAAGAAGAAGCAAGATTTACAAATATTTAATAAAGACAGAAGGGATACATGTTAGTCTTAGAAATTTACAGACAGAAATTGAGGCATAATAGGAATCGGCTTATGTGTGATAGAAGTAGTTGGGAATTTTCACAACTCTCAATAAAATCTTGAAATGGCTAATGAAGATTAAAAAAGGCTGATTAAGGAGATTAAATAATAAGTAATTTTAAAAGTCCTTTCTAAAATTGCAATCTGAATGCTTTTATATTCCAAATATTAGCATAACAATAGAAATAAAATGAAGAGCTTGTTCATCTCAACCCAAAGAGAATGAAAATATTTACGGGTTTCTGATTTCCAAGATGGTATCAGTAAACATGGGCAGAATTACTCAGGCATCTTAACTTCTTAACATTCTTTGGAATGTAATTAAAAGTATGCAACACAGAGAGAAGAAAACACTTGAACCTCATCTAAGTTGTTTGACTTATTTAACAGTTTTTTAAAAAATTAATATGATAGATCTGTAACATGATCAGAAATACAATAGTTAAATTTGGCCTTGTTAGAATAGTTATTATTACTGAATGACTGTGTGCCCTTAAAAACAGAGGAATACTGTGAAACTTCAGAGCAGGACGACCTCTTAAAACTACTATTGTTCACTGTTCCAAATAAATTTATCATGGAGTTGAGATAAATGTTAGGTCACTAATGGCATACCTAACAATCTGCTAACTGGTAGATGTAATAAATAATATGTCTTTATTAGTCTTATAACAAACATTTAAAAAAACCTATGTTCCACTAGTCTTAAAGAACAGATCACATGCATATTACATATGCATGCATAAATTTGAGTCTCTTATTTTCTATTCTGTGGGCTCAGTAGAAATTATGCAGTATATATAATTACAAAGACACACACATACACATATATCCCACTTAATATGGCTATACAGAGGATTACATAGATGACTTGATATGTGATTGACAAGATGTATATACCTTACATTAATATATGAAGATATAATAATGTAGCTCTGGGTACAAAATAAAAATATAAGTTTAGAGACATATATGGCTACACACACACACACACACACACACACACATATATATACCTACATACCATATGTATATTAATATGTCTTTCCATATTAACTATTTTATGGGCTGAATCTTTGTGTTCCACATAATTATACACATATAATGTGTTGAAATCCTACCACCAATGTGATGATAGTTGGAGGTGGGGCCTTTGGGAGGTGATTAGTATCTGATGAGATCATGAGGGTGGAGCCCTCAGGAATTTTATTAGTGCTCTTATAAGCATAACTAGAATGCTTGCTTCTTCTCTCTGCTCTACTCCCCACCATGTGAGGATAAAATGAGAAGATGGCAGTCTACAAACTGGAAGACAGTCCTCACCTGACACTACCCATGCTGGCACTCTCATCTTGTACTTCCAACCTCCAAAACTATGAGAAGTAAATTTCTGTTTCTAAGCCACCAATGTATGGTACTTTGTTATAGCAACCTCAAACTAAGACAAACTCTTTAAATATATGGATTGAAGACTAAGCTCTGATTTTTTTTTTATCTTGCCCAAATTCCTATTGGACAGGTCTAGGGAGTCATGCCCTATAAACCATAAATTCTCATCAGATGGTTTTATTTAACCCTATATCATGACTTACTTTCCAATCTAACTGTGGCATAACATTATGTGACAAAGAAGAAAGTCAAAACATTTTACCCCAAAACATGTTTCTTTGCCATATTTTGAAACGGCCCTGCAAAGCTGTCCTTTGTGGGGGGAAGATTGCATCTGTAAAGAATCTCTGTTAACATAGCTAGATCTTTTTCTTCCAGGCCCTCTCAATCCTGAAGAGATTAGTTAAGAGCCTAGAACCTTTTAAAGATCTGAATAGGAAACATTTGTCATCTATCATCAGTAAGGGCAGCCACTATAAGACTTCAAAAGAACCTTGGTCTTCATAGTCTTTTATCTTAACCTGAACATTTTCTTTCTAGCTATCCCAAGTCTTTAAACAAACTCAACCTTCCTGCCTTTCTGGACCAAACCAATGTATTTCTTAAATGTATTTGATTGATGTCTTATGCCTCCCTAAAATGTATGAAACCAAGCTGCACCTCAACAACCTTGGGCACATGTTCCCAGGACCTCCTGAGGGCTGTGTCACAGGCCATGGTCACTCATATTTGGCTCAGAAAAAATTTCGTCAAATATTTTACAGAGCGTGACTCTTTTCATCGACAGGATATTAACTCGATGCAAAATATGTCCTTTTTAAAACATGAGAAATGTCAAATAATATGTACTTGTTTTATAATTATAAGGTCATTTCATTAAAAAATACAAATATTTTAAAACATTATGGATGATTTTGTAAGTCAGAGTATTTTGTTATGAAGTCTTATGGGCCAGTGTGTATTTGGGACACTGTGCAGAATATACCCACCAACACAGAAGCCTGTATTCCGAAAAAAATACATGTCCACAAAAAAGTCAATTACCATTTAAAAAATAGTAATCTTATTTTTTAAAGGGGTCATAGGTTTTCCGTAGGCAATCTTTATTACTTTGGTAGTGGGCATAAGGCAATGAGAATTTAGCTATCAGGGACATCTGGACCTTGCTCAAATAACTTATGTTCAACAATGTACAGTACAACAATCAACACACTGAATTTGTGTTGTAGAAATAACCACAAGAAATGTTAGCACTTCAGATAAATTTTACTAAGCTCTTAGTGTTTAACATATTTTTCAGAATCTACCTAGTTGCTTGCTTAGCTTGGAAATTTGTTAGGACATGTCTGATTAATTTATAGAATATACATTAAAATATTTTACTAATGAGCAGAGCAAGTGGGAATAAATGTGTGACACCTGTAGAACATTATGCCATTTTTGTGTGTGGAAAATTGCACAGGATTCTGACACTTTTAGTATACTGTTAAAGAGGTACTTCACACATTATGCCATTGACTTTCCAATAAACCATTAAATACCTTTTTATTCCTAACATAACTATTTAACTGCTAGACCAACATAACCCTGCCGAAAGCCTCAGTAAATTGCGCAGACGTTTCCACCCCAAAGAGGTAGGATTCAATAGCCTGGGTGCAAAGATCATTAGGCAGTGTAGATTTCAAGGAATGTGTTAGTGTCTTCTGAATTGCAGAAATAAAACAATTTTTTCATGTAGTGGTACTGTCTTCACACTTGCCTAGTTATTACAGAATAGGCACAGCCAACTCAGGATTGAGAGTAACTTGAAAGTTATAAATAGAAACAAAATCACTATAATTTCAAAGGAGATGCTACATACTTCATCTTTCCCCATATATCATTGGAAAGACCAAAGAAAATAATATATACAATACAGAAAATTCATTAGTGCTCTTAAAGTACTCTTCTCATCTCTTCCTAATGTAGCCGGTTCATCAGTCTGATTCAGCCACTCCTTCTCTTCTCCCCTATCTACCCCTAGCCTACCCCTAGCATGATGCATTTCACTGTTTGGATTTCTGTTCTCTTTGATTATAGGTAACGACTTCAGAGGACCTCTTATTAATTGAGTGCCTTTAACTATGTAAGCATTAGAAACTCAAAAATGAGTGACAGGCCAGGTGCGGTGCCTCATGCCTGTAATCCCAGCACTTTGGGAGACTGAGGCAGGCAGATGACCTGAGGTCAGGAGCTTGAGAGCAGCCTGGCCAACATAGTGAAACCTCGCCTCTACTAAAAATACAAAAATTAGCCAGGCGTGATGGTGGGTGCCTGTAATCTCAGCTACACGGGAGGCTGAGGCAAGAGAATTGCTTGAACCCGGGAGGTGGAGGTTGCAGTGAGCCTAGACTGCACCACTGCACTCCACCCTGGGCGACAGAGTGAAACTCTGTCTAAAAAAAAAAAAAAAGTGACTATTGGATAAATTAATGAGTAAATGTATGAATACATTAATAAAACATATACTGATGAATAGAGTTGACTCTTAAATAGAACAGATTTTTAACTATGTGGATCCACTTATAGACAGATTCTTCTACCTCTTTCTACCTCTGTCACCCTGAGACAGCAAGGCCAATCCATCCTCATACCCCTGCTCCTCAGCCTAGTCAATGTGAAGACCATGAGGATGAAGAACTTTATGATGATCCACTTCCATTTAATGAATAGTAAATATATTTTTTCTTTTGATTTTCTTGATAACATTTTCTTTTCCCCAGTCTACTTTATTTTGAAAATACAGTATAAAATATTTATATGTAACATACAAAATACATGTTAAATGACTGCTTGTATTATCAACAGGGTTTCTGGTCAACAGTAATCTATTAATAGTTTTGGAGGAGCCAAAAGTAATGCATGAATTTTTGACTGTGTAGGTGGTGGATACCCTAATCCCCACATTGTATAAGGGTCAATTGTAAAGCCAAAAGGGTAGATGGGTTTTTTTTTAAAGTAGAAATATTTATGCTCACAGTCTTGAGAAGTATCTATGTATCCCTTGTTAAATTAACTCTCTCACCACTTCACTTCTTCAGTACCAGCATTTTTCTTTATTGCATCTTTTCTGTATGTTTCCATTAACTTGTGTGTTTGTGTCTGTCTGTCTGTGTGTGTGTGTGTAAATCCAGCAGAGCCAATGGTACAGTTTCAGTCTGAGTCTGAAGGCCTGACAATTAGGATTGCTGATAGTGTAAATTACAGCTTGAGTCTGAGAGTAAAGGCAGGAGAAAACCAATATCCCAGCTCAAATAGGGTTAGACGGAGTTCTACCCCTCTCTCTTCTCTCTCTTACTCAAACTTCTTCTATTCAGGCTTTCAACAGATTGGATGAGATCCACCCACAGTGGGGTAAACAACATGCTTCACTCAGTCTTTACTAATTCAGGTGTTAATCTCATCCAAAACACCCTCACAGACACACCCAGAATAATCTTTAATGAAATGTCTAGGTACTTTGTGGTCAAGTTGATGCAAAATTGTCATCACAATACCTTATCTATCTATCATCTCTCCGTATGTGCCTGTGTGTATGTGTATGTATGTGTAAGATTTAGTCATTGATGAACACATCCTCATCTAATAAGCACCTCATTTGAACATGACGATGATAGGTAAGCATTGCTTCGAATAGGAAAGAAGAAAAATTATCTGAAGCCATCACATCATGAAAAATTAACCATAATATAAATTTTATTAAAAGACAAAATTTATTTCTTTTCCTGTGTACTGTGGCACTAAATTAAAATTTAATTATTCAGTCAAACTTAATAGTACATGTCAGTTACTGAACTAGCTACTGGGAATACAACAGGCAAAAACATAAAGTTGAAAGAATAAGACACCAGTACTATGCACATTTTGTTGTCTTTATATAGTTTGGTAAACCTGGTTTCAATCCTGGGAAAAAAGAAAAGCAGTTGAGATCAGTAAAAAAGAAATCAACATGTATGTAAGTGCCTTTTTTTTTTAATCCAACACTGGGTCTTAATATCCCTTAATGCAAATTCTTAGCTTCAGTCAAATCAGCCTCCTTACTGTTTAGACTATCAAAGAGGTAAACTGTCCTTACACTTATCCTTTTGTTTCCATAGACATTTGCCCTTATTTTGTGTTTAAAACACCTTTATGATATGTGCTAAAAAACCCTAGATCATGAGTTGAAAAGCAGACTACCAATGTAATTACTACTACTGTGCTTTTTCCAGATGAACATTAACTGTCAGCACAGAAAATATAGCCTGACTCAGACCATTCCTTGGCAATGGAAAGTCAAAGTACCGGAACAATGATATCATCAGATAATCCAGTTCTCTTACTTTCTTTTGCATTCTGCAGTGTCACATTGTCCTAATGTTGTAGGAGTTATTAAGAAATTATTTTAAGCAGATAGAGAGGAAAAGGGGTCCTTGGGAAGTTTTCTTTTTTTAAGCATCTCTGGAAAAGTTTCTTGTAAAGTCCCAGCTCTCAGAGCCAGGCTAGCAACTTTTGATATGCAAATGTAGACCATTAGAAACTGGGTTCACCCAACATGGTGATTCCAGCGGCCTTCTTGTCCTTGCCCCACATGTCCCTGGCAAATGGCTGCCTCCACATATCCCCACGTGTGTAGAACATCATGGTGTCCTGCATTTGCATATTAAAAGGCCAGGGTGGGAGGACCAGCTTTTTCCGGGTCATGTGAATGACATGCCTGGTCAAACCAATTCCCTGAGCCCTGTGCAAATCAGACACCGCCTCCTCCAGCCTTTGCATATATACCTGGCTTGTGTCCACTGCACTTGGGAACCCCCTCTTTTGGCTTTGGAGCCCCCACCCCCACCCCCGGCTCTGTCTCTGTACAGGGGAGCTTCTTTCTTCTGTCTTCTCCCTTCCTTCTTGCCTATTAAACTCTCCGCTCCTTAAAACCACTCCATGTGTGTGTGTCAGTATCGTTTTTTCTAATTCGACATGAGGACCAAGAACCCTGGTGTTCCTTCGCACATTGGAGCCGTATCACTGAGCCTGGATCTTAGCCCAGATTTATGATAGGTGCCAGAGTTTCCTGGAGCTACCGCTTTTTCATTCTTATCATGTAGAAAAGTTTAACCTGATTGATCTGGCTGAGAACTCATACCTGCACCTGACCTTATCACTGAGCCTGGATCCTAGCCCAGATTTATGATAGGTGCCAGAGTTTCCTGGAGCTACCGCTTTTTCATTCTTGTCATGTAGAAAAGTTTAACCTGATTGATCTGGCTGAGAACTCATACCTGCACCTGACCTTACCACTGTGACAAGCAGCATGAAGGGACTGACTGGCTAAAGTGACATTATTCACAACACAACAGAAGTAAGAGGTGGTGCCAACTTCTGCACAATCAGATCATCCCCAAATTAATATTTGGGGATGTCGGAAAGTAAAAACCTGGTGGAAAGCAGCTAACAAAGATTGTCAATGTCAGAGACAGGACTGTATTAAAAGCAGGGGGATATGACCCCAAAATTAAATTCCCTAGGAAGGAAATACAAAGCACATGTGATTTGCAGTCCTTCAAATGTGATAGCCAGATTTTTAGCATTAAAAATTAACATCATTGATGAGTTAGTAAACTGCTAATATTCCATATTGTTTATTAGCAGAGATTTGTAGGGTTAGATAAATCACATTTTATAAAAACAAAACAAAACAAAACAAAAAACACATAGAACTTTCTCTGACACAAATCCAGTTTCAAGCATTAGTTTTAAGTATTGGGACAAGCTCATACATGAGACAGTTTTGTTAAAAAATTCTGCTAGTAATAGTCATAATACCTATGATGCTAACAGTTCTGCAAATGCTAACCATAAGCTGTCATAATCTATACTTAACATTTCCCAAACACGGAACCAGTGTACAGAAAAAGTGATAACAAATTTAAACTGTAGCTTAAAAACCTGGGCTCCACAACTGGTTAATCAGGTTAGAACCATCAATTTTACTTTTAAAAACACAAACTTATTTTACTTTCTCTGGCTTTATGTAAAAACAGTTCTATAAACCTCCTCAAGTTAGCTTCTAGACCACTTCCATTTAGACATTCCCTGGAGTGTTTCCTTCAAGAACTCGACTCTGTGGCTATTTTTTCTTTAACAATGAGACTTGATGATATTGAAGAGCCCATCTAAGATTCATGCTTTTTGTTTTTATAAAAATTGAATACCAAAAATTGACAATATGATCCGGGAGCAGAAGGATCTCCAAAGCAAACATATTTGCATATGGGTCTAACAAATCATTTTCTTAGTTTATTGCAAATATACAATAAAATTTCCATGTTAATTCATTCAATTAGTTTTCACTAGGTCCGATCTCAGTCACCTTATAGTAAAGGTCATTCATTGTTTCTGACTACAACACTAAGCAATTCATTTTTATTAAGCTCAGTTAAAGTTTACTTGAAATTTTCTCTCCATTCCTTTCCTCCCTTCTGTTTCCCCTTCCCTTCCTTCCTTCCTTCCTTCTTTCCTTCCAGAAATTCATCCACACAGGCTTAAATAAATTACAGTTTATCTGAATTACATTCCAATAACCTGAAATGTTGCACCGAAGCATACAACCCTATTTCCTTCCACAATTTTATACCAGACATGTTAACATGGCTTCACACTTTCTGTGATCTCATTCTAGGGTAGAAGTTAAACTGCTTTAATGACTGCTAAGTGTGATGAGACCTCAAACCTTTCAATAATCTGAAACATATTGCTTTAGTCTCATTAAGATGTCACTTTGTTCAAATATGAGTATATGTCTTTATTATCTCAATTCTTGGCATATTGCTTTAAAAAACACTGTTTCAAGTTTCTCAGATGACATAGCGTGTTCACATGTCCACAACATCCAGACAAGTTTGAAAATTCTTCCAGACAAACTGATGCACTTTTTTTTAACTGCTAATGACTCATGACCGAGGGCAGAGCTCTTAGCTTTGTTAGTGTTTTCTACACTACACTCAAGTTCATTCAGCATGTCATTTCAACAACATGTGACGTGTCAACTTCAAAAATTAAACAAACCAGAAAACACAACACTTGCACTACAAAGAACTTGTTTTATTCTCAACCTTCTATGCTAGCTAAACTTCTCTGAATTTTGTTCCCCACACATCCCACATCTGGCTCAATTCCAGCTTCTGTTTTCTGTTTATTCATCCAAAATGTATTTTATCAGCTGAACAATGTACTCAAAGTTTTTCTCATTTAAAGATCTTGTCTCTTTATGCAAATATTTTGTTTCTGACCTAGGGGTTACTGAAAATGTAATGTGTTCTTTCCTTTTTCCTTTCAGAAAAATTCTCGTAACATATAAAAAATACAATTGTTCTTAAGTAAATTGAATTATTAGCTACTCATTTCTAATTCCAAGAATTTCATTTCCACATGATGTCTTTAGGTGTAAATAAAAGGTGCATGCCAAAGTTAGAACTGTAAATTAGAGGTATAGTCATCCCTGGGCATCCATGGGGTATTAGTTCCAGGATTCCTCCACGGATGCCATAACCCACGGATGCTCAAGTCCCTTATACAAAATGATGTGGTGTTTGCATATAATGTGCACACATCCTTTCGTTTACTTTAAATCATCTCTAGATTACTTGTGATACCAAATATAATGTAAATATTATGTAAATTATAGTTATACTATATTGTTTAGGGAATAATCACAAAGAACAAAAAAGTCTGTACAGTTTGGGTGCACACACAATCATCCTTTATTTTTTTCCCGAAATATTTTTGATCTGAGGTTGAACTCTTGAATGCAGAATCCACAAATATGGAAAGCTGACTGCAAAGAATAAGTAGTGTACATCTATATATGTACATACAGAAAATGAGAAAAACTTAAAGAAATACATTTAATTTTGAGTATTTATACTTCTCTCTCTACAAAGCAAAAATTTATGCATGCTTAATCAGTGTCCTAACCCTCTTCTGAGGCACAAAATCATAGTAGTAAAAGAAAAGAAAAGTTAAAGAAAACCAAGAAACTGCTGATCCACTAACATGCAGCTGAGTCAGGGGAAATGAGACCTATGAATAATTCAGCTTGGTCTGGATTTGGGAAACAGTGATTATTAGGAACATGAACTTGAATGAGAGACATAGAATCAGCTGCATGGAGAGTGAGCATGGATCAGAAAATTTAAAAAAAAAGATAATTGAGGACATTTTGACTTTATTTATTTATTTATGTATTTATTTTTGAGATGGAGTTTTGCTCTTGTTGCCCAGGCTGGAGTGCAATGGCACGATCTCAGCTTACTGTAAACTCTGCCTCCTGGGTTCAAATGATTCTCCTGCCTCAGCCTCCCGAGTAGCTGGGATTACAGGCATGCACCACTACGCCCAGCTAATTTTGTGTTTTTAGTAAAGATGGGATTTCTCCATGATGGTCAGGCTCATCTCAAGTTCCTGACCTCAGGAGATCCGCCTGCCTTGGCCTTCCAAAGTGCTGGGATTACAAGCAAGAGCCACTGCGCCTGGCTTGATTTATTTTTTAAATGACATTTGCTATTATCATGAAAGACTAGAACAAAGATGTTAAATTTAATTTTTATCTCATGGTAAGTTCATATTTCTTTGACTACAACCTTGTCATGTCAAAACAGGGCCATAAGCAATGAGATATTATTCAGTTTACATATATTGATGTTGATATTTACAACCTTTTAATAGTGGTTACTTCTCATGAGAAAGGTTTAGGAGAAGTGAAGGTAGATTTCTATATTTATTCCCTGCATTATCATATAATGAATATTTTTAGCAAGTATGCATTACTTTTTACAGCTTGAAAATAAACAAGCACATTTTCTACAAGTTATGACACTACAACACTAATATTTTGTTGCTCTACTTGGCACTTATCATTTAATAATGAGATAAATATTACTTAGAATATAATAAAGAATAGCATTAGGAAAAAATATATAATTTTGAACAACTCTATTGTAGCAAATTCTAAGAATTTTCACATTATCCCGGAGCCACTTGAATTTCAGCTCACAACACCCCCACACATCTACCCAAATAAAGTATTTCATAAGAAAGTCTTTTTGACCTGGTTACATCTCACCCTTCTTGCAGTGCTGGCATTTACCATGATAATTTAGCACTATCCCAGTCCATTTTGTACCATACCTCAGTCCTGCCAAAAATTCTCAAGCTTGTAATCTGTCCCCTGAGACTCTCAATCTATTTTGATTCCAAGATACACTTTATTTATTATGTAAATCCTCATGAAAAGTTATTAGGAAGAGTCTCAGATGAGAAAGATTGAAATATGTTACTGAACATGTAAAAAAGAAAATCTAGTAACAGATACTTTGGGTATTTCTTCCTCTTTATTTGGGGAATTCTCATGTAATATTGATTCCAGATACCAATACTCAAATACACATAGACATTCAAACATTCAAATAGAGCTTCAGTACCTGCTACACTGATCATGATAAAACTGAAAGAGCTCTACTGTAGAGAAGTAGCATGTCCCTCACTACAGAGAAAGCAACACAAACCAGCCTTTTGTTTTTTTTCCAGTTGCTCCTTATTACAAGAACAAATTAGTCATTTTTATAAAGATATATATTTAAGTAACTTAATAAAATTTTATGTCTAATCTCAATACTGTCTTCCAGACGTGCTTGAAAATTAGAAGTCAAAAATCCCCTTTCTCTTACCTGTGAGGTCGATCTAGTATAGTGTGTTTCTCCGTATTTCTTTTTAAAAATATGATTTAGGCTGAAAGTGGAATTAGAAATCTTGGTAACAGATTAATATCACAAATAGAATGGACTTCCCAAATCATACAACAAAAAGTAAACATATGGTTATTTTCATAAATGAGGATTGTAATCTTATGCCCAATAATGCAGACAATTGCTTTTTTTAACATGCAGAATAGTACGTTAAACATAGTAGGTATCAATATAATTTTTCTGATGGATGACAAAAGTTTAAATCCATTGTTATTAGTCCATTCTCATGCTGCTATAAGGACATACCCGAGATTGGGTAATTTGTAAAGGAAAGAGGTTTAATTGACATAGTTCCACAGGGCTGGGGAGGCCTCAGGAAACTTACAATCATGGCAGAAGGGGAAGCAAACACATCTTTCTTCAAAAGGTGGCAGGCGAAAGAAGAATGAGAGCCCAGTGAAGAGAGAAGCCCCTTATAAAACCATGAGATCTCGTGAGAACGAATTCACTATAACAAGAACAGGATGGGAGAAACTGCCTCCATGATTATCTCCACCTGGACCTTCCCAAGACACGTGGGGATTATGGGAATTACAATGCACGATGAGATTTGGGTGGGAACACAGCGAAATCCTATCATCATTTCTGAAAAATTGTCAGATAGAATGAGTTTCCTTGCTGACAATAAAAAGATTAAAACCAACAGAATACAACCCAGAATAGAAAAAGAGAACATCTTCTAATGTGAAATCTCCTTAAACTCAGTTTCTCTTATGACATTCTTGTTCATTCAACACAAATAAACAAAAATCCTATATGTGAATACCAGCACTCACATGGCTCTTTCAAGACTAAAGCTAGATAATGAATGGGACAGTGCTTGTAAATGGAAAATACCACTCTTAAGCATGCAATATCGCTATAATAACACTGAACAATAATGAGAATTGGTATAATCATTTTCTCAGACATCAAACTTGCAGATGTGCTTCAAAAGTTCCAGATGCCTAAAACAACCCATCTCTGCATTTGCATGCCCTTTGTTCAAATAATGCATCAACCACATTTTGAACATACTCTAAAAATTCATTTTAGTGATAATTTTCAAGAGGTGAAACTTTCTTTGGAAAAAATAATATTTATTTTACTAGTTCATAGTTTCATCTTCTTGTGAGTTTTAATTTCTAGTGTTTTAGGCTGACTTATGAATCCTTAAATTTTATATATTGAAGCCCTAACCCCCAGTACCTCAGAATGTGACTGTATTTGGATATAGGGCCTTTAAAGAGATGATTAAATCAAAGTGAGGGTTTTAGGGTGGGCCCTAATGCAATCTGACTACTTCTTTATAAGAACAGGAAATTTAAGGACACAGACAGGTCAGGGTGTATGCTCATAAAGAAAAGGAGACAAAGGTAAGCCAAGGAGAGAGGCCTCAGTAAATACCAACCCTTCTGACATCTTGTTCTTAGACATCTAGCCTCCAGAACTACAAGAAATTAATTTTTTGTTGTTTAAGCCACATAGTCTGAGGCATTTTGTCATGGCAGCCCTAGAAAAATAATACACAGATTTTTAGGAAAAATAGTTGTATTCATATCCATAATGAATCTACAAGCTGTAAAAATATTTTATGTCTACACTTGCTTCTTGAAACAGGAGAATGTACACATTTTAGCAAATTGTTCTAGTTTAAAATTTAAGAGTCACATTTAAAGTTAAGCTTAGATCCAAGGTTTCTGTGTATTTCACCAAGAAGACATGAGTTACTCACAAAATAAGTCTTTAGAAACCTCCACTGCATTCGCCTCTGATGCAGTCCACACAGGACATGACTTTGCTGTAGCCGATGGGCTAAGAAGGCCTTGAGAACAACAGACTCCAGGTTCATTCCACTCTTCTGCCACAGCCCTCGAGTAGTATTGTTACTGAGTAGTCAGTAACAATACACCAGATGATATCATTCAAAAGTTCAGAGACAAATTACTCCATGGGTAGGTGCATTGATAAAGCTATACACAATAGTCCCCTCTTGTCCATGGTGGGATGTCTTCTAAGATCTGCAGTGGATGCCTGAAACTGCAGATAGTACTGAACTCTTTTCTACACATACATACCTACAGTCAAGCTTAATTTATAAATAAGGCACAGTACAAGATTAACAACAGTAATTAGTAATAAAGTAGAACAGTTATAACAACATTCTATCATCACAACTCTTACAATCTCAGGCTTGTATTAAGTAAAATAAGGATGACTTGAACACATGCACTGCAATATCATACTGGAAGAGTGTATCTGATAATTGTGACAGCCCTTAAGCAACTATATATCTAGAGCGTGAATTCAGGGTGTGACAGAGCAGGGAAACTTGAGGTTTTATCACATTACTGAGAATGGTGAGCAATTTGCAAATGATGAATTCTTTATGAAATATTCTGTTTAATATGTTTGGACCTACGGTTGACCACAGACAGGTAACTGAAACCGCAGTGAAATCTCAGATAAGGAGGGGCTACTATATTTACTGGAATTACTTATAATTTCTCATTATTATTACACCTGTATCTTTAAGCATCTCTAGGTTTTGTCTGAAGGGAAAATAAAAAAGATCTTTTGCATTGTCAGGCTTTCCACAGATGCCTTTTATGAGTTGATGGGACCTTCTTGGTATTTTATTTCATGGTCATATCTCACATAAACAGCATAAATACTTGCATCTCTGGTCAATGTATATGTATAGGATGTGTTCTACTATTTATCTCCTCCTTCATCCAAGGTCCTAATTTTTTAGGGTGATAAAATTCAAGCAGAAATGTTTGAAAGCTTCATCCTCAAACTTAATTAAAATGTCTGTTTATCAGCAAATATAACAAGCCATAAACTATATGGATGTTTTCGTTTACTTGGTTTTGCAAACATGTCACTTTGATCAATATAAATTTGGTTTCACTCATATATAGGAACAGTGCCGAAAGTGACAGCTCAATGATATATATATATCATTTTTTTTTTTAGCCTGACAGAATGAAAGAAGTCTTAGAGGGAGAATTGTCAGTTGAGTCTAACTAGGAAGTTTAGAAACAAGGTAGGCAGGTCCCAACTTGTGTTAAAAAATAAAATAAAATAAATTGTAAGAGTTTAAAGTAGGATAAAAGATTATTGCAAATTTTGGATGGACATGAACTTCTGCAATTTATATTGCCATTTTATATCACAAAGAAAAAGTATTTAAAAATGATGAAGAAATAGTAGATTTTTATTTACGGGGAAAACTTCACAGAAAGCAGGTCTGTGTATTTTCCGAAAGAAAATCAAAGAAGGATTATATGGCCATTGCTGAGAGAGAGATATGAAAATACTGAAGAAAAAAATAACATAAACAGAATGCTTAAAAAAAAAAACAAAAAACCTGGCCTAATATTGAAATTGGAGGTAGAGAAGATAACAAAATAGAACCCTCCAGCAATCAGCAACCCCACAGCAGTAACACCAAATTGAACAACTATCCACACAAGAAAGTACCTTCAGAAGAGCCAAAAATCAGGTGAGTGATCACAGTACCTAGTTTTAACGCTGTATGAAGGAAAGAGGCATTGACAAGTGTAGCAAAGACAGTCTTGAATTGCCCGTGCCACTAGTCCCCCATCCCTTACAGTAGCAATGTAGAGCAGAGAGAGAATCTGTGCTTGTGGGAGAGAGAGCCGAGTGATTGTAGGACTTTGCATTGGAACTCAATGCTGTCCTGTCCCAGTGGAAAGCAACATGGGGCAGAACTTAGTGGGAACCCATAGAGGGAGCATTTAGACCAGCTCTAGCCAGAGGCATATCATCCATCCCAACAGTTGGAGCAGAGTTCTGCAAGCCTTGCCACTGTGGGCTAACATGCTCTGGGGTCCTTAAGAAACTTGGTCGTTGCAGGCCACAGACACTGCAATTCCTAGGCAAGTCCTGTGGTTTTATTAGACTCAGATCTAATGGACATGAGGTGCATGCAACCTAGTGAGACACCAGCCGAGGTGGCTAAGGGAGTGCTTACATCACTTTTCCCCAAACCAAGGCAGTGCAGCTTCAGGAGAGACTCCCTTCTTCAGCTTGAGGAGAGGAGACAGGAGAGTTAAGAGGACTTTGTTTTGCAACCTGGATATCAGCTTAGCCATAGTAAAATATGGCATCGGGCAGAGTCCTGAAGCCCCCATTCATGCCCTAGCTCCCAAATAACATTTCTAGATACACTGTGGGTCAGAAAGAACCTGCTTCCTTGAAAGAAAGGACCCAGTCTGGGCAGGATTTAACACTCTCTTACTAAAGAGCCCTTGGGCCTTGAATAAACATCAGTGGTACCCAGGTAGCACTCCTCATGGGCCTTGGGTGACACTTAGTGCCACACTGGTTTCAGGTGTGATCCAGCCCATTTCTAGCTGTGGTGATCACAGGGAGAGACTCCTTCTACTTGAAGAAAGGAGAAGGAAGAGGAAATGGGACACCATCTTGCAGCTTAGGTACCACCTTGGCTACAGTGGGGTAGAATATTAAGCGGGCTTCTGGGGTTCCTGATTCCAGCATTGGCTCCTGAAGGATATTTCTGAACCTGTCCTGAGCCAGAGAGGAAACCATTGCCCTGAAGGAAAAACCCTAGACCAGTCAGCATGCACCAAAAGCCAACTAAAGAGCCCTTGGGCCTTTAGTGAACATTGATGTTAGTCAAGCGGTACTTGCTGCAGGCCTAGGGCAGTGGTAGCCATGAGGAGGGATTCTTTTTGCACGAGGAAAGAAGAGGAAAGAGTGAGAAGGACTTTGTCTTGCAGCGTGGGTGCCACTTGAGCCACAGTAGAATAGAACACCAAGTCCATTCCTAAGGTTCCTGACCTTAGGCCCTGGCTCACAGATGGCATTTCTGGAATGGTCCTGGGCTGGGGCGGAAGGGAATTCACCACCCTGAAGGGAAGGACACAGCCTAGCTGAATTCACCACCTTCGTGTGCTGACTGAAGAGTCCTTGGGCCTTGAGTAAATGTTGGCAACAGCCAGGCAGTTGCTGCTGTAGACCTTGGGCAAGACCCAGTGCTGTGCTGGCTTCAGGACCCCCAGAGTACCAATGGTTGTGGCCACAAAGGTGCTTGTGTCACTCCTCTCACAGCACCAGGCAGCTCAGCATGGACAGACTGATTGTTTAGGAGAAAATAAGGGAAGGGAATAAGTGTTTCTGCCTGGTAATCCAGGGAATTCTCCCAGATCTTACCCAAGACCACCAAGGTAGAACCTCTATGAGTCTGCAAGAGTCACAGTATTACTGGACTTGGGGTGACTCATAATGCAGATATGGCTGCAGAGACCAAATATTTAGATCACAGCAATTAATTTCCTTTGAATACTTTGAAAGCCTTTCCAAGAAGGATAGGTACAAACAAGCCCATCATGTGAAGGGTAAAATAAATACCTAACTCTTTAACGCCTAGACATTGATGAACATCCACAATCATCAAGACCATCCAGAAAAAATGACCTCACCAAATAAACTAAACATGGCACCAATGATCAATCCCAGAATGACAGAAATATGTTACCTTTCAGACAGAGAATTCAAAATAACTGTTTTGAGGAAGCTCAGTGAAATTTAAGACAACACAGAGAAGGAATTCAGAATTCTATCAGATAAATTTAACAGAGATTGAAATAACTGTAAGAAATCAACAAGCAGAAATTCTGGACCTGAAAAATTCAATTGAAATACTGAAGAATGCATCAAAGTCTCTCAACCATAGAACCGATCAAGCAGAAGAAAAACTTAGTGAGCTTGAAGACAGGCTATTTGAACATATAGAATCAGAAGAAACAAAAGGAAAATGAATGAAGCACACATACAGTATCTATAAAGTAGCTTCAAAAGGGCAAATCTAAAAGTGACCTCACCAAATAAACTAAATATGGCTCCACTGACCAATCCCAGAATGACTAAACAAATAGTCTGTCCATGCTGAGCTGCCTGGAGTTGTGAGTGGGGTGACACAAAAAGAACACAGTTGGAGGCATCACATTACCCAACTTCAAACTATGCTACAGGGCTACAGTAATCAAGACAGCATGATACTGGTACAAAACCAGACATGTAGACGAATGGAACAGAATAGAGAGCCCAGAAATAAGGCCACATACCTATGAATGCCTAATCTTCAACAAAGCTGACAAAAACAAGCAATAAGGAAAAGACTCCCTATTCAATAAATGACGCTGGCATAACTGGCTAGCCATATGCAGAAGACTGAATCTGGACCCATTCCTACACCATATGCAAAAACCAACTCAAGATGAATTAAACACTTAATGCAAATTCCAAAACTATAAAAACCCTGGAAGACAACCTAGGCAATACCATCCTGGAGAAAGGAACAGGCAAAGATTTCATGACAAAGACACCAAAAGCAATCACGACAAAAGCAAAATTGACAAGTGGGATCTAATTAAACTTAAGAGCTTCTGCACAGCAAAAGAAATTATCAACAGAGGAAACAGAAAACCTACAGTTTGGGAGAAAATATTTGCAAACTGTGCACCTGACAAAGGTATAATATCCAGCAGCTATAAAGAACTTAAAAGAATTTAGGAGAGAATAACAACCCCATTAAAAAGTGGGAAGAAGGCATGAACAGACACCTTTCAAAAGAAGACATATATCTAGCTAATAAGCATATGAAGAAAAAGCTCAATATTGCTGATCGTTAGAGAAATGCAAATCAAAACCACAATGAGATACCATCTCACACCAGTCAGAATGAATATTATGAAAAAGTAAAAAAATAACAGATGCTAGAAAGATTGCAGAGAAAAGGGAACACTTATACACTGTTGGTGGAAGTGAAAAGTTGTTCAACCCTTGTGGAAAGCAGTATAGCAATACTGAAAGGGCTAAAAGCAGAACTACCATTCAACCCAGCAATCCAATCCCATTACTGGGTATATACCCAGAAGAACATAAACCATTCTACCATAAAGATACATGCATGCAAATGTTCATTGCAACACTATTTACAATAGTAAAGACATGGAATCAACCTAAATGCCCAGAAATGACAAATTGGATAAAGAAAATGTGGTACATATTCACCATGGAATACTACGCAGCCACAAAAAGAATGAGATCACGTCTTTGCAGGAACATGGATGGTGCTGGAAGCTACTATCCTCAGGAAATGAATTCAGGAACAGAAAACCAAATACTTCATATTCTCACTTACAAGTAGGAGCTAAATGATAAGAACTTATGAACACAAAGAAGGAAACAACAGACACTAGGGTTAGTTGAGGGTGGAGAAGGGTGGGAGGGAGAGGAGCAGAAAAGATAACTATTGGGTTCTGGGCTTAATTCCTGGGTGATGAAATAACCTGTACAACAAGCCCCCATGACATGAGTTTACCTATGTAACAAACCTTCACATGTACCCCCAAACCTACAATAACAGTTAAAATAAAGTTATTGGCCTTAAAGTGGAGGGTGAGAAAGTGATTTGAGTAGAAAGTTTATTCAAAGGGATAGTAACAGAGAGCTTTCCAAACCTAGAAAAAAAAATCAATATTCAAGTACAAGAAGGTCAAAGAACACCAAGTAGATTTAATCCAAATAAGATGGTCACAAGGCATTTAATTATTGGACTCCCACAGGTAAAGGATAAAGAAAGCATCCAAAAAGCAGCAAGAGAAAAGAAACAAATAACATACAATGGAGCTCTAATATGCCTGACAGCAGACTTCTCAGTGGAAAACTTACAGTCCAGGGGAGAGTGGCATGACATATTTAAAGGCTTGAAGGAAAAACAACAACTTTTATCCTAGAATAATATATCTAGTGAAATATCCTTAAAACATTAATGAGAAGGTGGGGGTCTGGGGGAGGGATAGCATTAGGAGAAATACCTAATGTAAATGACAAGTTGATGGGTGCAGCAAACCAATATGGCACATGTATACCTATGTAACAAATCTGCATGTTGTGCACACGTACCCTAGAACTTAAAGTATAATAATAAAAAAATAAATAATAAAGGCCACAAAGATGAAAAAAACATTAAGGAGAAATAAAGACATTCTTAGACAAACAAAAGCTGAGGTATATCATAAACATCAGACCTGTCCAACAAGAAATGGTAAAGGGAGATTTTCAATCTGAAAGAAACAGAGGCTAATGAGCAGGAAGAAATCATTTGAAGGTATAAAGCTGACTGGTAATAGTAAGTACACAGAAAAATACAGAATATTATAACATCATAATCGTGGTCTATAAACAACGCAGGTCTTTGAGTAGAAAGACTAAAAAGATCAGCCAATGCAAAATAATAACTTTAACAACTTTTCCAGACATAGTATAATAAGATATAAATGGAAACAATAAAAGTTAAAAAGTGGGGGGATGAAGTTAAAATGTAGAGTTCTTATTAGTTTTCTCTTTGTCTGTTAGTTTCTTTGTTTTTGCAATCAGTGTTAAGTTGTCATCAGTGTAAAATAATGGGCAATAAGATATTATTTGAAAGCTTCATGATAACCTCAAATCAAAGAACATATAACAGGTACATAAAAATAAAAAGCAAAAAGCAAGATATTAAAACATAACATCAAAGAAAGTTATCTTCACAAAAAGAAAGACTGGGAAGAAAGAAGAAAGGAAAAGAAGACTACAAAACAACCAGAAAACAAATGACAAAATGTAAGAAGTAAGGCCTTATTTATTAATAATACCATTGAATGTAAATGGACTAAAGTCTTTAATCAAAATACAAAGAGTGGCTGAATGGATTAAGAAAAACAAAGCAAAACAAGATGCAATGACCTGTTGCCTGCAAGAAACACACTTCACCTATAAAGACACATAAGACTAAAAATAAAAGGATGTAAAAAAGTATTTCATGCCAATGGAAACTAAAAAAAAGTAGGAGTGGCTATCCTTATATTAAAAAAAATAGATATCAAGCCAAAAACTATTCAGAGACAAAGAAGGTCATTATTTAATGACAAAGGTGTCAATTCAGCAAGAGGACATGGAAATTATAAATATATATGCATCCAACACTGGACAACCAAGATATATAATGCAAATATTATTAGAGCTAAAGTGAAAAATAGACCATCATACAATACAGTTGAAGACTTCAATACCCCAGTTTCAGCATTGGATAGATCACCCAGACAAAAAAAAAAGAACAAAGAAACATTAGATTTTATCTGTACAATAGACTAAATTGATCTAACAATATTTACAGAACATTTCAATGGCTGCAGAATACCCATTCTTCTCCTCACCACATGGATTATTCTACAGGATGGATCGTATGTTAGGCCACTAAACAAGTCTTAAAAAACTTTTTTAAAATGGTGAAATCATATCACGTATCTTCTTTGATCACAATGAAATAAAACTATAAATCAACAACAAGAGAAACTTTGTAAACTATACAAACACATGGAAACTAAACAATATGTTCCTGTATGACTAGTGGGTCAATAAAGAAATTAAGAAGAAAATTAGGACATTTCCTGAAACAAATGAAAATGAAGACAACATACCAAACTCTATGGGACACAGCAAAATCAGCACTAAGAGAAAAGGTTATAGCAATAAATTCCCACATTAAAAGAGTAGAGAAACTTCAAATAAACAACCTAACAATTCATCTGAAAGAACTAGAAAAGCAAGAGCAAATCAAATTCGAAATTAGTAGAAGAAAAGAAATAATAAAGATCAGAGAAAAATAAAATTAAAATGAAAAAATATATATCAAAGGTTAATGTAACAGAAAATTGTTTTTTTTGAAAATATAAACACAAATGACAAACATTTAGCAGGACAAACTACAAAAAAAGGGAGAAGATCCAAATAAATAAAATCTGAGATGGAAAAGGAGACATTAAAATTGACACCACAGAAATTCAAAGGATCCCTTTTGGCTACTACGAGCAACTATATGCCAATTAATTGGAAAACCTAGAATAAATGGATAAATTCCTAGACATATACAACAATCTCTACAATGAAAATTATAAAACATAAATGCAGGAAATCGAAGAGGACAAAAAAATGGTAAAGATATTCCAGGTTCAGAGATCGGAGGAATTAATATCATAAAAATTTCCATACTACCCAAAGCAATATACAGATTGAATGCAATCCCTACCAACATACCAATGACAATTTTCACAGAAATAGAAAAAATAATGCTAAAATTTATACGGAACCACAAAAGACTCAGAATAGCCAAAGCCATTTTGAGGAAAAATAACAAAACTGGAGGATCACATTATTTGACTTCAAATTATACTACAGAGCTATAGAAACCAAAACAGCATGGTACTGACATAAAAACAGACACAAAAAAATGGAACTGAGCAGAAAAACCAGAAATAAATCTATGCATCTACTTTGAGCTCATTTTCAATAAAGGTGCCAAGAATATGCACTGGGGGACAATCTCTTTAATATGTAATGCTGGAAAAATGGGATATCCATATGCAGAAGAATGAAGCAAGAACTCTATCTCTTGCCATATACAAAAAATCAAATAATAATTGATTAAAGTCTTAAATCTAAGACTTCAAACTATGAAACTACTACAAGAAAACATTGGGGAAATTCTCCAGGATATTAGTCTGGGCAAAGATTTCTTGAGTAATACCCTAAAAGCACAGGCAACCAAAGCTGAAATGAACAAATAGGATCAAATCAAGTTAGAAACTTCTGCACAGTAAAGGAAACAATCAACAAAGTGAAGCGACATTACATAGAATGGGAGAAAATATTTGCGAACTATCCATCTGACAAGCGATGAATAACCAGAATATATAAGGAGCTGAAATGACTCAATAGGAAAAAAAACTAATAATCTGATTTTAAAATGGGCAAAATATCTGACTAGACATTTCCTAAAGAGGACATACAAATGGCGAGCAGGTATATGAAAAGGTGCTCACAATCACTGATCATCAGATAAATGCAAATCAAGCTATAATGAGATATTATCTTACCCCAGTTAAAATGACTTTTAACCAAAAGACAGGCAATAAGGAATGCTGGTGAGGATGTGGAGAAGAGGGAATCCTTGTACATTATTGGTATGAATGTAAATTAGTATGGCCACTATGGAGAATAGTATGGAGGTTTCTCAAAGAACTAAAAATAGAACTACCATATGATTCATCTGTCCCACTGCTAGGTATATAATCCCAATAAAGGAAATGAGTATATTAAAGATATATCTGCACTCTGAATTTTTGCAGCACTATTCACAATAGTCAAGATTTGGAAGCAAGCAAAGTGTCCATCAACAGACAAATAAATAAAGAAAATGTGGTACATATACACAGTGGATTACAATTCAGCCATAAAAAGAAGGAGATCCTGTCATTTGCAAAAACATGGTTGGAACTGGAAGTCATTATGTTAAGTGAAATAAGCCAAGCACAGAACGATGAACTTTGCATGTTCTCAACTTATTTGTGGGAGCTGAAATGAAAACGAGTGAAATCATGGAAATAGAGAATAGAATGATGGTTACCAGAGGCTGGGAAGGGTAGTGGTGGTAGGAAGGAAGGGAGTGGGGATGGTTAATAGGTATAAAAATATAGTTAAATAGGATGAATAAAAAGTAGCACAACAGAGTGAATAAAGTCAGCAATAATGTATTGTATATTTAAAAATAACTAAAAGTATAATTGAAATGTTTGTAACACAAAAAAATTGTACATACTTGAGTTGATGGATACCTCATCAACTTGAAATGATGGATACCTCATTTCCCTGATGTGAATATTACACATTGTATGCCTGTATCAAAATATCTCATGTACCCTATAAAAACCTACATCTTCTATGTATCCAGACACATTTAAGAAAAAGAAATTATTATTGAATAAATGAACTCTCTCTTACAACTAACCCTAAAGTTTATGTCAGTGTTTGTTGGACAATGGGTAAAATTTTTTTTGAATAACTGAAAAATCTCTTATTGAAAAATTCTAAAATAGAATTAAATTGAGCATTTGCCTGCCTTTGCTGAGGAAAAGAATATATAACTTAAGTAAATTTTCCTTTTCAAGATTCTCAGATTTGAGGTGGTCAGTATAGATTTCCAAATAGCTAAGAAATACGAAAACCTCCTTTCTTCTTCACAGTGTAAAAACATGATTTAAGTTGTCTGGATTTCATGAAGTTTGGCCTGCAGGTATAGAACTGGTATGTGCTAGGGGCCACAATTTGTTTGAACTTGGCAGTCTTTATTGCCCATTTTAATTAATTTTCTTTGTCACATTTCATATATTTCCTTTACTGCATTCAGGGGACTGACTGTATAGAGGTGCCCCGGGGTGGCTAATTTAACACCTGAAATTTCCATTATTATTTTTTTTTATGTCTCAGATTGACTTGTGGGCAATGATGTGCTTACGTATGGTAGAGAAAATTTCCATAGCAGGCATTCTGTTTTGGATAAGTTTGCATTAAAAGCTCTTAATAGGGACAGCATATTTCCTTTGAAGTTCCTGGACAAGACCTACTGTAATTCCTGTCTTGCTTTTATTTAGCCAGAGAATATAGCTACCCTGATGTCTGTTCTTGGTTCAAATCTCATTAGCTTGGTGTTTGCATTCACTACTTGTGCAATGATGAATAATTTTTTATTTGAATAAGGCCCCTGGGAACATATACACATGTGCATGTACATGAGTTGATTAGAAATTCTCTGTGTAGTTATGACTGAGAAGCAGAGAAGTGAAGACATAATATTATATCATTCTTAAGTTCCAGTCCCAGTCTCTAATATGGAGCTGTGATCCTAGGGCAATCACACAATAGGCCCTCAATTTCCTCAGATATAAAACTAGGAGAATGATAGTTCTTTGCTTACAGAGTTACTATATTAATTTAATTTAAAAATAGGTAGAAAATAATCCAGTAATATAAACACATTACCTGTGTTTTTTTTTTTGTTGTTGTTGTTTGTTTGTTTGTTTTGAGACACAGTCTCGCTCTGTTGCCCAGGCTGGAGTGCAGTGGCACCATCTCGGCTCACTGCAAGCTCCACCTCCTGGGTTCACGCCATTCTCCTGGCTCAGCCTCCCAGGTAGCTGGGACTACAGGCGCCCACCACCACGCCCAGTTAATATTTTTGTATTTTTAGTAGAGACGGGGTTTCACCCTGTTAGCCAGGATGGTCTCGATCTCCTGACCTTGTGATCCGCCTGCCTCAGCCTCCCAAGGTGCTGGGATTACAGGGGTGAGCCACTGCACCCGGCCACCTGTTTTACATTGAGAAAACCAGTTGATATAGTTTGGCTATGTCCCGCCCAGATTGTGTCATGAATTGTAGCACCCACAATTTCCATGTGTTGTGAGAGGGACCTGGTGGGAGGTAATTGAATCATGGGGGCAGGTCTTTCCTATGCTATTCTCTTGATAGTGAATAAGTCCCACGAGATCTGATGGTTTTATAAAGGGGAGCTTCCGTGTACAAGTGCTCTTCTCTTGTCTGCTGCCATGTGAGATGTGCCTTTCATCTTGTGCCATGATTGTGAGGCTTCCCCAGCCATGTGGAACTGTGAGTCTGTTAAACTTCTTTCTTTTATAAATTGCCCAGTCTTGGGTATGTCTTTATCAACAGTGTGAAAATGGACTAATACACCAGTAAAGCAGGAGGTGTTGGAGACAGACCTGGATCTGAAGCTCCCCTCCACCACTTACTAGCTATGTGACTTCTCACTGCCTGGGTGTTCCTCATCCATAAGATGGGGACAATAATACAGTCTCTGCTCATGGCTTACTGTGAGGACTAAATTAAAAATTCATTGCATAAGGCGTTTATGCAATGTCATGATAAAGTAAGTATGCAATTAATTATAGTTATCTTACTTTGGGGGTAATATTTGTGATAGATTATTTGTTCCTCTGATACAAGTTCTTGTACCTTTGACATCCTGTGTAAAGAAGCCAAAGCTCCTTTCCATTTAATTATTAATAACTTCACATGGTAGGAAAGGCACTTCCTTACCTCTCTAAACAACCTATTTAACAAATCCAGCAATCACAATACAGGGAATTCTTTTCTTTACGATTAACATGTGTCATGTCAGTACTTGAGTGTTAATATAAGAGGACTTAATGAGAGAGCTCCCTCTTTTAGGATGTAAACCACTGCTTAGTTCCTAAAAACTGAGGCAGAAAAAAAGTAGCCAAATACATAAATAAATTTCGTCTGATAATAGCCGTAATTTGTCAGATTAGCTGAAGCAGGCAGCACAGAACTGAGAATATATTAATAAATAAATAAATGAAGGGATGGATGCATAAATCAATGAATGAGAAACAGTTTGATACACTAATTATAAAAGCAGATACTAGGTGAAAAATGATTTCAGCAAATGGGAAGTGTTAAGAATAATTTCTGTATGCAATTGTCAGACATGTAATAGAAGGGAGAGGAACTCAAGTAAGAGAAATGGAACACTGGGAGGTGATGGAAAGAATTAGACGTGGAGTTAAGGTGTCTCTTTCCATTTTTGTAGCATTTTCAGAACTAGTAACCTAATTTCAGGGCTCATCCAAATTCCTCTCATCTTTGCTTTGCTTATGGCCACTTCTCCTACCTTACTTATAAATTAAGCTATGATAACAAACAATCTTCCAAAAGTGATATTTAAAATAAAATTGAGTAGACTACTGAGCACAATCAGATCTATTAGAGGTGTCTATTTAAAAAGAATAATCAATTAACACATACACATTTAGAATGTATCATGTGTTAAGTGAGATAGGAACAAACTCCAAGGAGTAAAATGTTACCTATAAAAATGCAGCAATGATCTAATTGAGGACACAAATATAAATTTTTTAAGTATAAAAAAGAGGATTGAACCTAATAGTCAAACAAGAAATGGGGTGTTAACAAACTATTTCTTTCTCGCTCCTTTAACTTATTAAGTTCCTGCAATTTTCCTACTATACTCCTGGACTGTGGTAGACAGTCAACTTAGTCAGGGAAACAGGAAATTGGAGAGAGTCCCATTCAACAATCAAAAGAGCTGTACACACATCCATCTCTGTACAAATTTCCCATGCTGATTAGCATAGGCTCTACTCATTTTTCCTGCAGTTAGAGAGGCAGTCATTTCTGTTTCTCCTCTCTCCTTATGTGCCAATCCAACTCTTATTCCCATGTATGGTCTTTCATTTAGCCAAGTGTAAGGCTTTCTCTTTCAATTTTATTCAACCTTAGCCTTCTCTAATTCGACAGAAAAGTTGTGGGGAGCCAAAAACAATCCAGCACATCATGGAAATAAAAATAAAACCACTCAATATTGTTAGAAAAATAATTCACTACTGAGCAACGAAAATCAATAGATAGACTCTGTTGTCATCTTATCTACCTTCCTAATAAACTCCGGACCTATCTTCAGCAATAGATTAAGAATCCCTCTTTTCTATGACTTTTGCATTTACCACTGTATCTGTGAGGAATGCTCCTACTCTCTCATTTTATTGTTTGTTTTTCTTTGCCTTTAGAATTTTTACTTTAACAGTTATGTCCATATTTTTATATGAATTAAATCACTTGTGGGTAATTATTATTTGTCTTCACCCTATAGCTGACTGTCCTGAAAGTGAGTGCCAGCATGAATTGTGAGGGTCACTGAGCCTATGTATTTGGCTGGCACAGCTAACTGTTGTTCTGAAAAATTTCAGAGGCTAAACACAAAAGCCTCATTTCTCACTCATGTAACACATCAGTGCCAGTATTTGATGGTGAGTCGAGTACCCTAGTTCCTTCCATCTGTGAATTTATCATGCCCTAGGGCTTCCTAATTCTCTCCTGGATCTTTGCATCCAACTGGAAAAAGAAGAAAAAGAGAGTGGAGAGAATAATGAAAGAGCATTTATGGGCCAGGCCTGAAGGCAGTGACCATCACTCCTACTCTCAATCTAATAACGAAGACTGAGCAACATAACAGAAGGGAAAGGTAGCTGGAGCACATTGGGAAAGTGAGACATAGTTGATGAACAATTAATCAATCTCTGCCTTGGTCTGAACCTTGGGAAACAATGTTCTACCCATTCCTACAACATAAAATACACATATCCAAAATTCTATCCATTCCTACAACATAAAATACACATATCTTCTCCTCAAGTGAGCTAATGTAAAGCCCGATTTATTGATTTATTGTGTCCACTTATAAGTCCATAGATTATGGACTTATACGCTCCTCAGAGTGTAATGACTCCTCAGAGTGTAAAACAATTGTAAAAACAATTGTTTTTTCCAAAGCTTTAAGGGTCTTGACAGTAATGTCAAGGTAATGACATATGAACTAAAAAGATTTCTACCACTCACCAGCACCCAATATACAATATTAGAATAGGAAGGAAATAACTCAGTAAGGTTCTACATTTAGAAAAAGGAGTAATGCATAGTTCACAAATGTTTTCTTCCATTCTGTAGGTTGTCTGTTTGCTCTGTTGATAGTTACTTTTGCTGTGCAAAAGCTCTTTCATGTAATTAGATCCCATTTGTCAATTTCTGGTTTGCTGCATGTGGAATTAGACAAAAATTATTTATGGAGGCCGACATTGAGATGGTTTTCTCCTAGAATTTTTATAGTTTAAGGTCTTACATTTAAATGTTTAATCCATCTTGAGTTAATTTTTGTACATGGTAAAAGGCAATGGTCCAGTTTCATTTTTAAGCATATGGATAGCCAGTTATTCCAGCACCATTTATTGAATAGGGAGTCCTTTCCTTATTGCTTATTTTTGTCAACTTTGTAGAAATCGAATAGCTGTCAGTGTGCAGTTTTATTTCTGAGTTCTCTACTCTGTTCCATTGGTCTATGTGTCTTTTTGTTTTTTGTACCGGTACCCTGCTGCTTTGGTTACTGTAGCCTTACAGTATAGTTTGAAGTTTGATAGTGTGATACCTCTGGCTTAGAATTGCTTTGGGTATTACAGCTTTTTTTTTGGTTCCATATGCATTTTATAATATATTTTTTCTAATTCTGTGAAAAATGAAATCGGTAGTTTGACAAGAATAGCACTATATCTACACATTGTTTTGAGCAGTATGGTCATTTTAATGATACTAATTCCTCAAATCCATGAACATGGAATGTTTTTCCATTTATTTGTGTCATCTCTGATTTATTTCGGCAGAGTTTTTTTAAGTAGGAGCTAACACACTGAGCACACATGGATATAAATAAGGGAATAGTAGCCTTATCTAGTAGTCTGTGGACTACTAGAGATGAGAGGGAGAGAGGAGGTGTGGGTGGAAAAACTACTTATTGGGTACTATTTTCATTACCTGGGTGAAGAGATCCATACCCCAAACCTCAGCATCATGAAATATACCCAGATAACAAACCTGTACTTGTACCCACCTACCCTGTATCTAAAATAAAAGTTGATTAAAAAAAGAAAGGAAGGCTGGGTGCTGTGGCTCATGCCTGTAATACCAGCACTTTGGGAGGCTGAGGCAGGTGGATCACGAGGTCAGGAGATCAAGACCATCCTGGCTAACACAGTGAAATCCCATCTCTACTAAAAATACAAAAAGTTAGCTGGGGGTGGTCGTGGGTGCCTGTAGTCCCAGCTACTCTGGAGGCTGAGGCAGGAGAGTGGCGTGAACCCGGGAGGCGGAGCTTGCAGTGAGCCGAGATCGAGCCACTGCACTCCAGCCTGGGCGACAGAGCAAGAAGCCCGTCTCAAAAAAAAAAAAGGAAAATTAAAAAAAGAAGAATGACAGAAAAGAGTAGACATTAGTCCATTCTGATTCTGAATCCTGTTGAATACAATATAAAATATATAAAATATACAGAATATGTGTTAATCAGCTAATTATTGGTGAGTCTTCTGGTCAACCTATTCGTATTAGGTTGGATCAAAAGTTATTGTGGTTTTTACCATTAAAAAACTGCAATTACATTTGCACCAACCCCAACATAATAGTCAAGTTTTTTCAGAGTAGATTTTCAACTGTAAGGGTTGGTTAATACTCCTAATCCCTGCAGTGCTCAAAGGTCAACCGTATTTGATTAAATCATTCATTGCCATATGCAAAATGGGTATTGGGGAATATAAACCCTTTGGAGTCTATGATGTTTTCCAATCCTAATTCTTACCTCTGACATTTTTGGAACCTAAAGATTGTTTTTATGCTTGAGCAATCAGATGATGTTTGGGGAAGAGTATGGAGCTAGAGTAGATGGTTTTTTTTTGAAATACAATTCCCTTTAAAACTTTCAGTGTTTCTAATGCAATTAGTTTATGCATGAGAAACCTCAACCAAACTTATTTTCTAAACATAATTCTTAAGCTGATTTATTTAACCAAATGAATGCTCACTACCTCAAGGATATTTGAAAAACTAAGCTTAGCTAAGAAGGTAGGACTCTAGGTTACATACTTGGCTTTTTTTAGCTGAGAAATCTTTCTGGGTCTTTGGAATTCAAGACCTATTTTAGTCTTACCTCTTTCTATTTGGCCTCCAGAAACACTTGTTTTTTCCAAAGCTTTAAGGGTCTTGATCTCCAGACTTTCCCCATTTTCTCCAATCTCTTGTAAAAAATCAGAAAACTCTAACCTAAGAGCATCTCTTTATTATTATGTCTTAACAGGAAAGCCAATATACAGCATCAATCTGATTCTTCCCAATGACTTACTAAGACTGTAGGCTCAGTAGCCTCATTGTCTACAAGACTCCTCTACATGCAGATGCCTGTGTTTCCTTGCTGGTGGCTACCCACAATTACACCATGCCACGTATTTTAGGCTTTCATTATAGGATATCACACTTGAAAATACTGATTTCCATATTAGTCAGGGTAGGCTAATTGCTATAACAAACAACCCCAAATGCTCTATGACTTGATGGAATAAAATTATTTCACTCACATGTACAGAACAATTCAATGTGGTTTGTTATTGGACATCTTTAAATATAACTCAGGCACTGGCTGCTCCCATATTGGGTTTCTGCTGACCTCCAGTTTGTTGGAGTTCCCTAAAACTAACCTATAGGCAGGAGAAAATAGAAAATTACATGGAAGCTTTCATCATCTGGGCCTACTAATTATGTGTATCACATTCAGTTACATTCAATTGATAAGAATTCAGTCACATGACTTCAACTAACTAGAAAGATAGTGAATAAAGTGATAAAACTCTGAACCCAGGAAAAAAATGATAAATAATTTGGTAAACAATGAAACCCATCTTTATCATAATAAACGTGTGACAGAGCACAGTTTTTGTTGTTGTTGTTGTTGTTGTTTTTAAGACGGAGTCTCCTTCTGTCATCCAGGCTGGAGTGCAGTGGCACAATCTTGGCTCACTGGAAGCTCTGCCTCCCGGGTTCAAACGATTCTCCTGCCTCAGCCTCTTGAGTAGCTGGGATTACAGGCATGTGCCACCACGCCTGGCTAATTTTTGTATTTTTAGTAGAGACGGGGTTTCACCATATTGGCCAGGCTGGTCTCAAACTCCTGACCTCATGATCCGCCCGCCTCAGCCTCCCAAAGTGCTGGGATTACAGGCGTGAGCCACCGCGCCAGGCCAGAGCACAGTTTTGTACATTGGTCTTTAATAATAAATTTTATAGCTTTTCTAAGTTCCTCTACAATTTCACCCAAAATCCAGCAACTCTATCAAGTCTTTCTTCACTAAAAATATTAGCTGTGGTGAAACACCACAGCCCAGAAAGGTAAAACTTCAGTATTTAAGCTATTCTTTTCTATTTTAGTCTTTTATAATTATTTGACTAATATTTGGTATCAAAAAGCTACATGTCCCTGCACCACATCTCAGGAGGCAACAGCCCTCTAGCTAATATGTCCACCTGAAAATGTACTTGATTCTGTTACCTGTGAAATAGAACTGCATAGACTTGATGTCGATTTTATATATATTACTAAATATCCATGCAGCTTTACAAAATGCAAACCCATTCAGAAAGATGGTTGTTTAAATTTTTAAAACAAACTGTTCAGAAGCATTTAAGACATTATTCTAAATGTTACAACACCAAATGGGGTTAATTTAAACTAGAAGGTTTTAGAGAAGATTAATGAGTATATTTACATGTTGATATGTTAACCTCCACATCTTTTCATATTTTTATTTAACTTATGATATTCTGTATTAGACATCTCCAATAAAATGTTCACTAGGGTGCATTAATAAAACTAATTTAAAGCAATAAACTATCTTAAGTAATCTAGGTGATATAGGTAATATATATTTATTGCTAAACATTATAAAATGTAAAAAAGACTTACATAAGAAAATTCAAATCACCTTTAACACTATATTTTATAAAGAAACTCTTGGAAAAAGTAGGAAATAAATATAGGCATATTTTAAATAATTTAGGTATTATAATCATATATTATCTATACTTATTATCATGTTGTTAATATTCCCTATGGCATTAAATATTGTTAGAGGTGAAAATATTTTATAACAACAGCCTTTTGACAAATGGGTATAGGCTTATAGATTTTACTAAGACCCTAAGTTTGGAATTGTAGATGGTTTTTATATTTTTATTCTTATAAATTATAGTACACAATATTTTACTTAAATCTTTCTGTGTATCTGAATATATACTCTGTATAAATATTTAAGGTGCAATATTCTTATTTTTCAAACTTTTATTTTTAACCCGTAATGCTCTTGGGTCTACAAATCAACGTATATTTTTCTTTCTGCCTTAAATTAATTTTGTAGTTCCCCTATCTAATTTAGATACACTGAGTTCTATAAATAATTATACTACCAGTTAAATAAATCTTATAATGGCTTGGTTGGTGATTGAGCCCTTTTTTATCTTAGGCATACTTTCAACCTAGCTTAATATAATTAATGAGTTTTCTATAATATTCCACTGGTAGTGAATGTTTAGTGTTATAGTACCCAATGGTACCAATTAAATATACAACCAAAGCTGTTGAGTTTTGTGTGTGTGTATATATATATATATATATATACACACTCACAGATAATCTAAATATCATATATGTAAATATCAATATTAAGATTTAAAATATGTTTCCATTTATATTTCAGAAATGCATATGAAATGCATACATTTTATAATAGCTGTTATATATATGCATATACACATATATGTATGTGTATATCTTTATATACATAGAGGTTATTTTCTAAGCCTAGATATGCTCATATTTAAATTGTTAATACATAATACATCCAAAACTATATCTGCATGCATTATAACATAAATTACATGTTTACATTTAAGTCTTTAATTTTTTTGAAACCCTATAGGTGCATGAACACATACATATTCCTTAATTCAGATTCACCTACATGAGTTAGAAAAAGTGATAATTTGAAAGTAGAATAAACTTAAAAATTAATTGTTTTATTTTAAATATGCATCAATAATTTTAAGTGATTAATCAAATTGTGCCAAATATATTTCCTGGTCTGCATAGTTGAACTTTATAAACTTTGATTCTCACACATGATTTGTATTTAATTAATACAAGTTTCATTCTTCATACAGTGCAGTTTTACTGCATTCCATTTATGTAGTTGGTCCTTATAATAGGCTAAATATCTTCACTAGTATGGGATGAAGTTTTCTACACATAATCTTTAAATTTTGGACTATAAACCCTTTATGTTTTGTTCTGCTCCAACATTTTGTTGTATTTATTCTATACTTTTAATTGTTAACCATACTTTATGAAAGTTCTTATTATTTTTGCACTTATTTTTCTTTTGTATTATCTGTTTGTTAAGTATATTTAAGGAGCATTCCAAGCACTAGATTTAAAGAGACAAATGCTTTAGCACAACTTTCATAAGCACTCAATTTTTCTTTGTAGACCTAATTCCTTTTTATGAATTCTCAGAAATACTTTGTAACTTTTCTACTGCCTTGTTTCTTTGCTATGCAGTTGCATAGAATTACTCCAATTCTCTAATCTATCATGGGCTTTTTTATCCAGAAAAAGCCAGTTCAAAAATGCCACCAAAGGAAAGTACTGCAACAATTATTCCAACCTATACTAAAAAAATACTTAGTTTCAGTGTGCTAGTCTCCAAAATGGGAATAATCACAATTACCTCCCAGAAGGAAGAAATTCTCATGTGTCTAGTAGCAAATATATCTCATTTTGGGCAGTGTTATGGTTACATATTCTTATACTCATCAATCTTTAATAGTAAGTCTTCACTTGCTATACATTATTATACTGCAGCTTAGTTTGTGACATGCCTTCCTTCTCTAGTAGAGTGTAAGCTTCTCAAAGACAGAGAAGGTTTCAGTCATCTTTTATTGCTGTATATTTCCTGAGAAAAGTTCATGACCTTAAAGTATTCAATAAATGTTGAATATATGAATAGATGAATGATTGAATGAGTTAGCAACAGTGAGCATTTGAGTTAGAGACTTTCAATGATCTTGTCTACATACTGATTCTATGTATTATTTCCAGTAAAATAAATTTTTTTCTAGTCTCTTGCTTAGAATAGTAGGTATTTGATTAGAAGGATAAAATGAAATAGCACGCCAATTTTCTTCATCATTTTAGAAGAGAAAAAAACTTTTGAGTACATTTGCTTGTGGGTAAAGAACATTTAGACTTGAGGTGGGAGAGGGAACAATTAGAAGAAATTATAGAATGACTGACAGTTCTTCAAAGTGAACAGATAAATCTTATTACAATCTAGAAAAACTTCAGCCTTAAGATCATCTAATTTGGGGTGCTCCATATTTTATCAATGCTAATAATTCTGAAATTTCTCTAATTCAAATGTTATGTCTAAAGGCAACACAAAAGATGTTATCTAGAGAATAATTTTGCTGAGAAGTAATTCTCCAGTCCTTTTATTCTTCCCTACTTTAGTGTGAAAAGTTCCAAAGAGTAGAATTCATATAAATTTTCGCTCTCTTAATTGTGCTATGATAAATATTTAACCTGATTCAGTCAAAAGAACACAATATGATAATTTTAAAATATTTTTAAATAAACTGAGGTTGTTTAACACCAAAGCTGTATCTTGTAGCCAAAGTTTAAACCATGTCTAAATGGATGTATACAGAAAAATGAATTAGCATGAACAGTTAACTTATCTTGGTTTTCCAGGAAAGAGCTTGCATTTACAGGGTCAGGTGCTTATAGTTCACATTCATCTGAGACCTACAACACATTAAGAAACAACGTTATTAGGGAGATCTTAAATCTCATTGGTTTTACAGTTTCCAAGAATATTGTTTAAAAGCTCAGCTGCCCTAGAAAATCCTTTTGGATTACTCCTCTCATCCTATGACCCAACAGTAGTTTTATGCATATTTTAATATGAACTTATGAAAACAGTATCATAGAAGAGACAAAGTCATTGCTTTACCAATCTAATGAAGATTGTTACCTCGGTTTACCACAATTCTAGTATATTCTAAATTCTCAGTACAACTTAAATATTGACAGTAATTAAATTATAATACTTAAGAGCATGAGATAATTTTTAAAACAATTAAAGAGGCATGGGAGAATTATCACAATGGGGAATTTCTCTTGTATCTGCTGTTATAATAAAAGTTATGCAGGTGTTACTTTCAAATTTATACCCTGGAGGGTATAGCCTATATATTTTTTCCATTTTGTGAAAGAAGATAATGTAGCTCCAAGGTCGTATGTTTAATTATTTGCAAAGGTGAGTTATTTTTCTTATCCAATTTTTCACAATGTCTGTGTTTTCTATGTTCTGTTTATGCTTTTATCTCATCTATAGGTGGACTTTCTTCTCCATAAATTGGTAATCTAATCCAGGTCAAAGCTTGAATCCCACTCAAATACTGTTACTTTCCCAGTACTAGTACTCACAGGGTTAACACTTTATAAAGAAATGAGAATTTAATTATTAAAATGTGAGTCAGGAAGAAAAAAAAATATTTGAATCTTGAGCTTGTAGAGTTAATCGAATCAAAATATTCTGAACTGCATGGGTATGAGAAAGAAAAGCATTAATGGTGGCATACAGTCCAATAATTCATTATCATGAATCATACTGATGCCTCCGTATATAAGACAAAGATGAAAAGTGTGTTGCTAAAATTTGTTCATATATCATTTCTGTTCAGTGAGAATGAAAATGTAATATCAGAAATACTAATCTTCCAACTGCCAAAGATTAGCAGTTTCAGATAGAACTGAAATAAAAGTATTTTTTCTCTTAGGATCAACGACCTCTCATTTTGACAAAACTACACTTCAATTTTCATTGGGAAATTTTAAATGCCTCTTGCAGCTGCCTTTTGAAAATTAAGCCTAATTAAAGAAAATGGCAAGGGAATACTTGGCTCAACTCAAGCTAGGCCGTCCCAGAAATTTACTTTGCAACAATACGATCAGTATTTTGGGAATATTCACATGTATGTACATGAACGCAGCAATTATTATCAGTCCTGAAAGAGCTCACAGTTTAGTTGAGGACATAGTATCAATATCCAGGAAAAAAAAGAAACTTTTCAAAAAAATGGGATAATAAGGCTGCAAATTTTCAGGGAAAAAAGATGATAAATCAATGTGGATTGGACTGATTTGGATGACTTCATGTAACTTGATCTAGCTTAGAAGTTGAATAGAGTTGGGAGAGATACAATATTGATTCATTTCAGACAAGGATGGACACAAGTATATAAGCAAATATACAAAATATTTTAAGAAATACCAAAAAGGTCAATCGCCTAAGATGTATAAGCAGTTTCTTGAGAAAAAGGAAGTGAAATATCTGCCACCATTTATATAATGTCACATGAAATATACAGTTTCCTTTCAATTACATTGAGTGTTAGAAAAAGGAAGAGATTTGAAGGAATGAAATTTAAAAGGCTACGTTGGGAAAAGGTGAGACCTAGAGTACTAGGCCTGTGTTCAGTACTACATATTAATGAGATTTGGGGGTGTAGTCACCCCTGAGTTGAGTAAGGATCAGAGAGATAAATTGCTTTGCATAATATAGTGAAGTTGATCAAGTTTCAATATAAGCCCCATGAAAGAAATAAAAGGGAGGCAGTGAACCACATGGCAGGAAGCTTGTGAATTACAGCATAAGTTGGCCATTAAAATTTCACAGTGGCAAGTTTCAAAACTTTTAAAAACAGCGATGCCAATATTCAGTTTTAAAATGCTGTAAAATGCCTCCATCTCTCCAATGAAGTCTGCTACTCACGAAAATTGTGTGATGGTATTTTTGAAGAAAACCACAAAAAGGTACTGATTTCCACGTACAGATTTGTTCAGAGCAGAGGGGAGACCATATACACAAGATGCGATTAAGATAAAAGGTTCAAACCTATCAGAGGCTGTATATCTGGTATGGATGCTATCATGGGATCATAATTCAGAGATCTTAAATCATTTGGATGCCTACTGTATCAGCAATTAGATTCTTAAGTTGAAAGTCTTACAAGAAAAATAATGATACACTGAAAGCAGCACTTCAAAAGTAATCATGTCTTAGGCTTCTCAAATAAAACTTGGAAATTATTTGCTGAAACTCTTCATAAACCTTTTGTTCAACGTCACTGTTATTCCAATTCCAATAAACCTTACAATTTTCTTCAGGCAGTGCATTTCTTTCTTCTTTTAGTAGTGTGTTGAGGATACTTTGCTTTCCATTATTTGCATCTCTATACTATGGAACAACATAAAACTAAATAAATGGTTATTTTTCTCCTCAAAATGGCAAATTGTTAAAAATGGAGAATATTACTACTGTGGACTTCCCTGTTTTTCTTTCCCAAAATAAAAAACGTTGGTTTTCTTCATTTTTATTTTGAAGGGTATGTTGTTTAGCATCCTCACTAGCCTGATATTTTCTGTATTGAATCAGCTACTTTTTCAGTACTCCCAAATTCTTTTTTTGAGTGATGCTCAGAGTTTACCACAGTGGCAGCATAAACTAACCAGGGTGGAAATGTAAGAAGAGAGTGTCAGCAACATGACACACAGACAAACAAGGATACCTCATTTTACTGTGCTTCCCTTGGTTATGCTTCACAGATACTATGTTTTTCACAAATTGAAGGTTTATGGCAACCCTGCATCAAACAAGGCTGTCAGAGCCCCTTTTCCAACAACATCTGCTCATTTCATTAGAATATTTTAGCAATAAAATATTTTTAAATTATAGTATGTAGATTTTTAAGACATAATGATATTGCACTGTTAATAAATGACAGTATAGTATAAACATAAACATCATAGTACATACTTATATGTACTGGGAAACCAAAAATATTCATGTTACTCACTTTATTGCAATATTCACTTTACTGTAGTGGTCTGGAACTAAATCCAGAATATCTTCAAGGTATATCTGTAATCCAATGTGATGAGATGTAAAAGATAAAATTTGATGAAGAATAAAGATTTCAGAAATTGCTACGAAAAACAAATAAAAATTGGGTCTACAATTTAACACTTGGTATATAAAGAGCACTGACCACAATTACTCTAATATCCTTAAAGAAAAAGGATACCACTATCTGTCTTAGTTTGTTTTATATTGATATAACAGAATACCTGAAGCTGGAAAACTTATATAGAAAAAAGGTTTATTTGGTTCATAATTTTGGTGGCTGGAAAGTCCAAGAGCATGGCAATGGCATCTGCTCACTTCTGGTGAGGGGCCTGTGCTACATCAGGACATAGTGAAGAAGCAGAAACATGAGTGGGTGTGTGCAAAGAGAAAGTGAACACCAGGAGGAAACTTGCCTTATAACAACCTGTCTCTCATGATAACTAATCCACTCCCTACAGAGAGAGAACTCAGTCCTGAGTGGCAGCATTAATTTATTTACGAGGGCTACACCCCCCAAACATCTTTCACTGGATCCCACTTCCCAACAATGCCACAATGGAAATTAAATTTTAATATGATTACCCAAGGAAACAAACCATACTGAAATCACAGCACTGTCCAACAACTTTAAGTTTTACATTGGCATTAATATGCTCAATATTTAAATAAATTTAGTCAATTATATGAAAAATCAATCTTCTTTTAATTGCCATGAATCATATACTCCAGATGCAAACCATGTGCAAAGGTTGATTAATACGATGTAAGCAAGTATTAACTATTAAGAATAAAGCAATTTGATTCAAAATGTGAAAAACTATCATAGAAAAAGATGACAACATGTGTCAGGTTAGGAAAGCACCTAGTGAAATAACTGCCTATCCCCTTTATTTCGACTAGGAAGAAGCCAGTGTTATATTGGTTAGCAGCAAAACTTGCACACCAAAAAATGCAACCAAATTTGGAAATGTTATGTAATATTACAAAGAAAAAATTTGGGAAATTTTCCAATACTACTTCACCACAAGTGAGAAAAAAAGTTTTAATTAAAAGTGAAGGAGGACTAGATGTTTGAATCATTCCAAGTTTCATATATATATTTAATTAACCAAACTCAATAACACTTGAAAATTTATGAACCAGTTGCATATCAAGCATTGGTTTTATCATTTTGCAAACATTAACTCATAATGTAATACCTATAACAGCCCTATAAAGAATTTTGTATGTATGATATTTATGAGAAGATGAACTGTTACTCTTTAGTTAAATTTACAAATGCTTCACTAAAACGTATCTATTTAAAAAGATCTTCCCCCAAAATAACATACTGGATCATCCTGCAATACCAACATTTCATCTAATAATCCTAGTTTTGGGATTAATATAACTGTAATGTTCCTTGGTATCTAGGGAAAATTGTTTCAAGGACCCCATGAATACCCAAATTAGAAGATGCTCGAGTTGCTTATATGAAATGGCATAGTATTTGCATTTAACCTATGCGCATCCTTATCCTTCTGTACAACTTTATATCATCTCTAGATTACATATAATACCTAATAAAATGTAAATCCTTTGTAAATAATTGTGATACTATATTAAGGAATAATTATAAGGAAAAAAGTATGTACATGTTGAGTACAGACAAAGCCATTTTATGTTTTTCTGACTATATTTGATCTGCAGTTGGCCGAATCTGTGGATGCCAAACCCATTAATAAGGAGGGCCAATTGTATATTGAAACTACTTGGACATATGAAATGGATGGATTTTGATATATAAAGCAGGGATTGTATAGAAGGGACCATGTTTAAGCCAAGACAATGGTCAGAGGGGAAGAATTAAATCCAATATATAGTAATGTTAGAGATGTCAAGGAAGAAGTATGTTTAAGTGATGTGAAACACATCAGAGATTAACAATATGAAGGGGAGAAAGGTCTCTGGAATTAGCAAGAAGAAAGCCATTTGAGGTCTCTGAAGGTGGAATTAGCAAGAAGAAAGCCATTTGAGTTCTCTGAAGGATCTGTTTCAGAAGAATGATGGGCCTGGACTGTAGATAGCAGTTTAAAAGAGGCCCTAGGTAGATAGGAGTTTCGTGCAATGAGTGTAGATTAATCATGGGAAAAAGAATGGCAGAGAATAAAGGACAGAAATTCCGTGGTAGATGAAGTAAGCAGCAAGGTCATGTAAAGGTTTATTATCAATGATTATTGTTATTATTTGGTTATCTTGGTTGAGTCTCTAAATATTTAAATATGGACAGAGAAGAAGGGCTTAGGAAAAAAATGAGAAGAAGAGGCAGACATGTTGGAAACCAAGATGAATTAAGGGACCAATCTAACAATGGTCATGAACAGAAAGAATAAAGTGTGTGGGTATCAGACAATCTTAAGGATGCTAAACTTATCCAAGTTTGTGGCTTAGGAAATTCTTGTTTGTTCAGTAGAACAGAGTGGCTAATACAAATGGGTCTTGATTTGGTACTCAGTTTCACTTCCTTTTAAGGTCCTTTGGAAATTCCTTTGTGATGAGTCATATTATCAATGGGCCTAACTTTCTCCAGGGGTAACATGCTTTTTATTTTTTATTTATTTATTTTTTTGTTAGTATTCCAGCCACTGAATAACTCATGATTCCTCCCATTTTCAGAATTTAGTTTTCACTGTTTTATTCCAAAGAAATAAACATAAAATATTCCTAACAGTTGTTTGCCACACAATTCTGCCAAGCACTAATGTAATTTCCAAACTGCAGTATCCCAATCTACTGGGAATACATTGCAATGTTAAAAGCATGATGCACCATCACCAACTCTTCTGCTGAAGTCCTTCAAGAGATAGCTCTGCACCCCCTCCAGCTTCATCCCACTACTCATCACAAAGGCCCTCAGCAATAGGAAACAACTGTTCCTTCTTCCAGCACAATATGCATTACAGCCCCTCAATCTGTAATTATTTTTTACTCCTCTGTCTTTTTTATGAGCTTTGAAAACATATCTAGTAATGGAACCTTTTTTAACTGTTCTAACCAGGTTACTTATTCTCTCTTTTGTGTCGTATTATTCTACCAAACATAATTATAATGAATTATTGACATATTTGTGTCTTATATGAGACAATAAGACTCATGTCCAGAGACTAAGTTTTCACCTTGGCATTGCCCTCTCTTAGCAGTTTACTTGACTAGAACAAAAATTCGTGAAGGAAAAAAGGAAGAAAAGAAGAAAGAAGGGAGGGAAAGAAGAATATATATATATATATATATATATATATATATATATATATATATGATAATAATTAAACAATTATGTAAACTTGTCAGAAATTTACCTCTTTACTTATAGCGGGTATCATATTTTCTGTCATACCAGAGCAATTCTCAGAAGAATTTGACCTCTTGGAAAAAAAAGGAAACGATATTTTAAACCTTCTTGTCTACCTAGTAGACACAAATGTCTCCCCATAAATGTCACATTCTAAAGGTGTGATCCCCCTGTTTTCTGAGATCATCAGCAGACACATGGAGATCAGCAAACATCCAAAATAATTTAAATGATCCTCAAGTTGCACACTCAGAATTAACTTTATAGCCACTTCTGGGAATAAAGTGTTTTCACTCCTCTCCATGACATGAAAGACAGAAAGTTTAGAAATTTGATGTTATAATAACCACCTACCAAAAACTGCAAATTTTCAGCAAAAAAAATTAAAACCCCATGTGTATCCATTTACATATGGTAAACCTAAATATTATATATATTCTGAAATCAGGCATGCTTAATTCTAAAGAACAAAAAATATATACAAATATGAGCTTTAAAATAATTCATTATAAAAATTCACTGAGATTTATATTCGAATAATAATAATTCAAATGGAAATGAACTCAATGTATGTATAGCACAACAGGATATTTTATGAATACAAGAATTTAAAGCAACTATCATTATTGAGTACTTTATATGTAAAAGTCATTCTCTGAGGAATTTGCATGCATTTTATTTTCTAATCATCATATTAACCTACGAGGTAGAATTTTAAACTTTATTTCACAGATTAGAAAATATAGCTTAAGGAGGGAAAGGATGTTTACTGAAAATCAAGCAGGTAAACTTAGGATTCAAATTTAAATCCATCTGTGTCAAAGCCTGGGTGCTTAACGAATGTTTTACAAGGGCAGTTCAGGGGCTTCCTCAGAACACCAGAAATGTGATTCAATGATGAAATATTTAAGCCATTCACTTTTCAAAAATCTAATTCATGAAATTATTATACAGTGGTTTTACTGTAATGCTTGTTTTGAAAAGAGATTTCGTTCTGACACGTTTGACATATTAGGGAACAACTTGAGCATAACAGAAATTTCACATTAGTTGTGTGCAATTCCACCCACGATGAAAACTAGGTGAACACAGAAAACTGCACTCAGTTTAGCCCAGCTGCATAAAAATACACAAAATACACACAAGTCTAACATCTAACAGCTACCTCACTCCACTCCATGTGTTATGAGCCAAACTAATCCACATCTGGTGTTACAAATTTCCATTTGATTTCAGATAACACTCTTTCTACCAGTTTATACTAGCCAATGAGAAGTAACTCTTTCCATATCCACTTCTATAAGCAAACTTCAGGTCTTTCTCAAGGTGAAATGCTATATTTATTATACTAATAATGTATTTCTTAATTATTTAACTTGTGCTTACTGTCTTTTTTATTAAGCTCTTATTTTTTAACTGGTCACTGATGATGTTTTTGAGTGCTGTGCCCTACTCCGTTTTTTTTCATTAGACTTGTGGATATCATAGTGTAATTTTGTGCAGCACAGTGATCACTCAGAATACATATATAACATAACAGCAGAACTGACTGTATAGTATTGTTGAATAAATGATATCCCATGGACCATTTAGGTATCTTAGACACTTTTTTCTCTGAAGAGTTGGCTATTATTAGTCAACACATCGGTTACAATTGGGACTATACATCAAAGATATCAGATATCAGGGTGATGTCAGCAAGATGGCAGGATAAGAAAGCCCCAAAACCTTGTTTCTCCCATGAAAATACGAATTGAACAATAATACATGGATCAATTCCCTTTGTGAGAAATCTAGAAACCAGTTAAGAGGCTCTTGCACCTCAAATGAGCACAAAAATAACTGCATCAAAGCCAGTGGAAAAATACATGGCACACTTTCGCTATAGTTCTTTCCTTGCAGATCACCACCTAAACAGGAGGAAACACAGTTTCTGGCTTGTCCCTCAGAAGAGAAGGAGATGACTGAACCATATGTTCAATATTCTGACTTTGGGGGGACGTTGCCCATGAGACTGGCTTCTGTCTCTACTGTCTTGCATAACTGACATGACCTGACATATTCTAGGATGCCTGGGGGATACTGAGAACAAAAACAGATCTGGGTAGTGTGCTGCCGCTTCTTTTTTTTTTTTTTTCTTTGAGATGGAATCTTGCTCTGTCTGTCAGAGCTGGAGTGTAGTGGTGCAATCTTGGCTCACTGTAAACTCCACCTCCGGGGTTCAAGCAATTCTCCTGCCTCAGCCTCCCGAGTAGCTGGGATTACAGGTGCATGCCACCATGCCTGGCTGTATTTTGTAGTTTTAGTAGAGTCGGGGTTTCACCATGTTGGCCAGGCTGGTCTCAAACTCCTGACCTTGTGATCTGCCCACCTCAGCCTCCCAAAGTGCTGGGATTACAGGTGCGAGCCACTGCTGCTGCTTCTTAAAAGGACCCGAGATTCAGCAGACAGACACCAGAGGGAACAAGAGATTACACACTCCTGAAAACAGACACATGCAAACCCTTTTAAGTAGGACTATATATTTATATATATATATATATTAATTAGGAATTAATATATGTATTAATTAGGAATATATATGTGTGTGTGTATATATATAGGAATATATATGTGGGGGTATATATATATATATATATATATATATATATATATATATACCCACAAAGCCAGAAAGGACACACAGAAAAGGTTTGAGAGGACCCAAAAATTTCTAGCCATGCTGGAAGACCTTCCCTGTGTAAATCTAGTTTGAAAAGACAGAAATTGGTGGCTATGTTTTCTGATATATGGATATCAACACAAAGTTACAAGGAACACGAAGAAACAAGGGGCAACCCAATAATAGAAACCAAATAAATCCACAGAAACCAATTCTAAAATAAAAGAGGTATATAAATTAGCGACAAAATAATTGAGATAATAATTTTTGGATGAATTTTTTAGGGGAAATTAAGATATCATCAGGTACACAAAAGCTCAAGGAAATCTGTTACCACCAGACCTGTTTTGCAAGAAATGCTAAAGGGAATCCTGCAAGATAAAATGAAAGAACACTAAACAGTAACTTAAAGCCATATGAAGAAATAAACATCTTAATAAAGGTAAATGCATGGCAATTATAAAATCTAATAATATTGTAAGAATAGTTGGTACCTTTACTTTTCTTCTACCTGATTTGTCTAAAAAGCTAGTATTATTGTAACTGGTTTATAACTTTACATTTTTATTGTCTACACAATTGAAGAAACTAATGCATTTAAAATAATTATTAGTTTACGTTTTGGAGCACACAATATATAAAGATGTAATTTTGTGACATTAACAACTGAAAGCAGAGGAAGGGAAGTGTAAAGCAGAGTCTTTGTATATTATTGAAGTCATGCTGGTGTAAATTAGGGTGTCACAACTTGAGGATGTTAAATGCAATTCCCACGGTAACTACATAGAAAATGGATATAAATGTATTGACATAAATTAAGAGATAAATTTAAACATTTCACTAAATGAAATCAGCTGAGCACAAAAGAAAACAGTAATGCAGGAAATAAGGAACAAAAAAGCTATAAAGCATGTAGAAAACAAATAATAAAGTGACAGACCTAAGTCACTTCTCACTAGTAATTACTTTAAATAAGAATAAATTAAGCATTCCAATCGAAAGACAAAGATTGACAGAATGGATAAAAACATATGATCCATTTATGTGGTATCTATATGACACTCAACTTAGATTGAAATACGCAAACAGATTGAAAGTGAAAGGATGAAAAAATGTATGTCATACAAATAGTCAAAGAAAGGAGACAAATTATACTTTAAAATAAGTTTCCAAGAGACAATGAAGGCATTATATATTAATAAAAGGTTCAATACAGTAAAAATATACAATAATAACAATTGTAAACATTTATGCACCAAATGACAGACCATTAAAATATATAGGCTGGGCATGGTGGCTCACATCAGTAATTCCAGCACTTTGGGAGGCTGAGGCAGGCAGATCACTTGAGTCTAGAAGTTCAAGACCAGCCTGAGAAATATAGCAAAACCCCATCTCTACAAAAACTACAAAACTTAGCCGGGTGTGGCGGCACTTGCCTGTAGTCTCTGCTTCTCAGGAGGCTGACATGGGCAGACTTCTTGAGCCCGGGAGGTAGAGGTTGCAGTGAGCAGTTATCACACCACTGCACCCCAGCCTGGGCAACAGAGCAAAATCTTGTTTCAAAAAAAATTATATATGTATATACATTTATAATTTTGATACATGCATGTATATATATTCACACACATATGTTTTATATAATACATACATAATTTTATATAATACATATATGTGTGTATATATGTATGTGCATATGTATATATATAAACCAAAAACTAACAGAATTGGAAGGAGAAATAGTCCTATATAATAGTTAGAGATGCCAATACCCCATTACTAATAATGAATTGGAAAACGAGACAGGAGATAAGCAAGGAAAGAGAGGGCACAACCAACACATTAAGCCAACTATATCTAAAAGATATATACAGAACACTCTACCAACCAACAACAGCAGCACAAACATTCTTCTCAAGTGCACATGGAATATTTTCAAAGAACAGTCAGATTCTAGGCCACAAATTGAGTTTAATAGACATGAAAAGATAGATTTTATACAAAATATCTTCTCTGACCACAACAGGATAAAGTTAGAAATCAATAACACAAGTAAAACTGAAAACAAAATTGTAAAAATTAAACAACATACTCTTAACCAATTAATTACAGAAGAATTAATAAGATAAATCAGAAAATGCTTAGAGAGAAAGGAAACCAAAACACAACCTACCAAAACTTATGGGACAGAGTAAAAGCAGTGTTTAGACAGAAATTGATAGCTATAAATGCTTACATTGAAAAAACAAAAAAAGTCTCAAGTCAACAACCTAATTTTGCAACTTAACTAGAAAAGGAATAAAACACAAAATCCAGAAAAAACGATATAATAGAGATAAAAACAGAGGTAAATGGAATAGAACAGTGGTCCCCAACCTTTTTGGTACCAGGGACTGGTCTTGAGGAAGACAATTTTTCCACGGATGGGGATGGGGGGATGGTTTCAGGATGAAACTGTTCTGCCTCACATCATCAGGCATTAGAGTCTCATAAGGAGGGTGTAACCTGGATCCCTTGCATATGCAGTTCACGATAGGGTTTGCACTTCTATGAAAATCTAATGTCACCACTGATCTGACAGGAGGCAGAGTTCAGGTGGCAATGCTCACTCACTCACTCACTGCCCACCTCTTGCTGTGTGGCCCAGTTCCCAACAGGCCATGGACTGTTATCAGTCCATGGCCCGAGGGTTGGGGACCCCTAGAATAAAAGATATAGAAAGAATAGAGAAAATCAATAGAACTAAAAGTTGTTTATTTTAAAAGATCAACTAAATTGATATATTTAGCTAGATGGATTATGAAAATGGGGCAATAATCAAATGATTAAAATCAGAAATGTATGTGAGAATATTACTACTTCTTCTATAGAAATTAAAACAATTAAAATACTAAGAACAATCGTATGCCAACAAGTTGAATAAGTTAGAAGAAATGAACACATTCCTGAAACACAAAACCTACCAAGAATAAGTCACAAAGTAATAGAAAATCTTAATAGACCTATAAATAGTAAGGAGATGAATCAGTAATAAAATACATATCAACAGAGAAAAGCCCTATGTCTGCTAGGCTTATGGGCAAATTATACCAAACTTATGAAGAACTTACACCAATTCTTCTTAAACTATTTTTAAAAATTGAATAATAGGGAATACTTTCTAACTTACTGGATGAGGTCAGTAGTTCCCTGGACAAAGACACATTTTAAAAAAAGTCAAATATCATTTATGAAAATTGATCAAAAAATCCTCAAACAAAACACTAACAAATCAAGTATGACACCATTTTTAAAAGATTATACACCATGACCATGTGGAATTTATTCTTGGAATATAAGGGTGGTTCAACATAAAAAAATGAATCAATGTAATGCACTGCATTAACAGAAGGGCAAAAAATAACACAAGATCATCTCAATTAAGACAGAAAAGCATTTTCACAAAATTGTACATCCTTTTATGATAAGAAGACTCAACAAACTAGGAATATAATAAAACATCATCAACATAGTAAAGGTCATATATACAAAACCCACAGCACACATCATACCCACTGGTGAAAGAAAGAAAGCCTTTCTTCTAAGATAAGGAACAAGGCAAAGATGTTCATTTTTGTCACTTCTATTCAAAATAGTACTGGAAATTCTAGCCAGGGCAATTAGGCAATAAAAAAAAAAAGCATCCAAATTGCAAAGTAAAAAGTAAAATTATCTCAGTAAATAATATGATTTTATACATAGAAAACTATAAAGATTCAACAAAATTACTAGAACTGACAAATTCAGCAAAGCTGAAGGATACAAAGTCAATGTGCAAAAATCAGTTGCATATATACTAACAATGAGTAATCTGAAATGAAAATTTTGCAAATAATTACAATTGCAATAGCATCAAAAATAATATGATACTTAGTAATTGCCTTAACCAAAAGAGGGAAACACTTGTACCATCGTATCTATGAAACATTGCTTGAGAAAATTAAAGAATCCATAAACAAATGGAAACACATCCCATGTTTGTAGACTAGAAGATTTAATATTATTAAAATGTCAACACTACCCAAATGATCTACAGATTCAAAGCAACTCCCATGAAAACTCTAATGACATTCTTTGCAGTAATAGAAACACACATTCTACTATTCATATAAAATCTCGGGAGACCCTAAATAGTCTAAACAATTAAAAAAAAGAAAAACAAAGCTGGAGAACTCAATTTTTTTATTTTAAAACATATTAAAAAGCCAAAGTAATCAAAATAATATGGTAATAGCATAAATAAAGATAATAGTCCAACAGAATAGAATAGACAGCCTAGAAATAAACTCTCAAATACATGATCAAATAATTTTTGACAAGGGTGCCAAAATTATTCAATGGAAAAAAGACAGTCTCTTCAACAAATAGTGGTAGGAAAACTGAATATCCATATGCAAAAGAATAAAATTGGGCACTTACCTGATAAGATATACAAAAACTGAAAATGGATCAAAGACCTAAATGCAAGACTTAAAACTATAAAACTCTTAGAAGAAAATATAGGACAAACATTTTACGACATTAGATTTTGCAGTGATTTCTTGCATATGACACCAAAGGTACAAGCAACAAAGGAAAGAAATAGACAAACTGAATCATGAAGAAAAGATTTAAGTGAATCAAAAGACACTGTCCACGTACTAAAAAAACAACCCACAGCATGGGAGAAAATATTTGCAAATTATATGCTCATATAAGAATTAATATCTAGAATATATAGAAAACTCCTAAAACTCAACAACAAACAACCTGATTAAAAATGAGCAAAGGATTTGAATAGATATTTTATGAAAGAAGCAATACAATTGGTTAATAAGCACAGGTAAAAATGTTTAAAGTTACTAATCATTAGAGAAATGCAAAATTACAATGACATATAACTTTATACATATTAGAATAGCTACTATCATGCAAACCAGAAACTAACAAGTGTCAACAAAAATGTGGAAAAATTGAAATTCTTGTACACTATTGGTTGGAATGTAAAGTGGTATATTCACTGTGAAAAACAGTATGGTTGGTTGCACATTATGAAGGTATGATATACCACAATACTGTACCCACTTAAAAATTATAAAGATGGTAAATTTTATGTTGGTGTCTTTAGTGCAATAAAAGCATAAGAAAAAATGAGGAAAGCTTAAGGGAATTATGCAATAACATCTAGTGGACCAATGTATGTATTATGGATAGCTCAGAAGTAGAAGACACAGAAAGAAAGGGGAGAAACACCTATATAAGGAAATAATGATAAAAAACATGCCAAATCCAGGGAAGGAAAGAGTCATCCAGATTGATTTTGCTGATTCAAGAAGCCTAATACATCCCAAATAAGAAAAACTCAATGAATTTCATGACAAGATGCATTATTATCAAATTATCAAATATCAAAGACAAAGAGAATTTTGCAAGCAGAAAAACAAAAGGGACTTGTCACATTCAAGGAAACCTCCCTGAGACTATCAGTGGATTTCTCAGTAGAAGCTTTGTAGGACAGGAAGGAGTGAGATGATAAATTTAAAGTGCTGAAAAGAAAAAAAACTACCAATGTAAAATACTATATCCAGCAAAATTGTAATTCAAAAATAAAGAAGAGATAAAGGCTTTTCCAGTTAAACAAAAGCTGAGGGATTCCCTCGATACTAGATATGTTTTACGAGAAGTACTAAAGGGAGTCCTTCAAGTTGACATAAAAAGGCACTAAACAGCAACATGAGAGTTTATAGAAGTAGAAAGCTTACTGGTAATGGAAAATGTATTTGCAAATACATAATACTATAATAATCTAACAATGGGAATTTAAATGTAAAAAAAAAGTAAAGGTAAAAGATTGTACTCTAAATGTAAAAACAAAAACCTACACTCCTGAATCAAATGACATAGAGTGGATGAATGAGTAAAATAACAAAATCCAACTTTATGCTATATAACAAAATCTAAGTTTGGCAAAAAGAGATGCACTTTATGTTTACAAACACACATAGAGTGAAAGTGAAAGGAAAAAAACAGTTATTCAATACAAATAATAAACCAAAGAGAATAGGGGTGGTATATTTATATCAGACAAAATTGACTAAAAGTCAGAAATTGTCACAAGAGACAAAGAAGGATATTCTATACTGATAAAAGATCAATTCACGGAATACTATAGCAATTATAAATAAATATGCTCTCAACATCAGAGAATCTACATATGTGAAGCAAACATTGACAGAACAGAAGGAGGAATAAATAGCAACACAATAACAGTAGAAGATTTTAATATTCTACTTTCAATATTTGATAGAACATGCAGACAGGAGATCAAAAAGGAAACAGAAGACATGAACAGTCCTGTAGATAAAATGGATCTAACAGACATACAGAATATTTCACCCCAACAGCAGCAGAAGATACATTCTTCTCAAGTGCACGTGGAACATCTCCTGAATGGATCACATGTCACATGTCAGGCCACAGAGCAAGTCTTAATCAATTTAAGGAGACTGAAATAATATCAAGTATTATTTCTGACCACAATAAAATAAAACTAGAAATTAATAGCAGAAGAAAAATTGAAAAGTTCACCAATATGTGGAAAATAACAAACTTGTAACAACCAATTGATTAAAAAAAACAAAAAAAGTGAAATTAGAAAGTATCTAGTGGCAAATGTAAGCAAAAATAGAATATACTAAAACTTATGGGACTTAGCAAAAGCAGTACTGAGAGGCAAATTTATATCAATAATTGCTTACATCAGTAAGAAAGAAAGCTTTCAAATAAAAACCTAACTTCATACCATAAGAACACAGAAAATGAGCAAAACAAGCCAAAATTTAGCAGAAGGAAGGAAGAAATATTAGAGCAGAAATAAACACAATAAAGGATAGAAAAAAATTAATGATGGTGTTTTTAAAATTAGTTAATTTTTTGAAAAGATCAACAAATTGACAAATCTTTTCATAGTCTAGAAAAAGAAGGCTCATTAATAAAATCATAAATCAAAGAGGAGTTATTACAACTGATGCCAAAGTAATCAAAATGATCATAAAAATCTACCATGAACAATTACATACCAACAAATTGGATAACTTAGAAGAAATTGATAAGTTTCGAGAAACATGCAACCTACCAAGACTGAGTCACAAAGTAACAGGAAATTTGAACAGATCAATTACAAGTAAGAATATTAAATTAGTAATAAAAATATGCCAACCAAGAAAAGCTCAGGAGCAAATGTCTTCACTGGTCAATTCTGCTAAGCATTTAAGAAGAGTTAGTGCCAATCCTTCTCAATCTCTTAGCAAAAATTGTAGCAAGAAACAAACAAATTTTTTTCTGAGGCTAGCCTTATACCAAAGCCAGACAAATAAATGAAGAGAAAAAACCTTACAGGCCAACAATTCTGAAAAACAGAGATGCAAAAATCTTCAAGACAGTAGCAAACCCAATTCAGCTGCATACATAAAGGATTACACACCATGAACAAGTCAACATATGAAAATTAATCACTGCAATATACCATAATAACATAATTGATTCACACAATTATCTTGATACATTAAAAAAAAACATTTTACAAAATTCCACATGCTTTCCTAATAAAAACACTCAACAAACTAGGAATAAAAGAAAATGACCTCATCATGGCAAGAGTCACATATGAAAAGTCCACAGGACATGAGGTTGGAATGATCGTAAATGGGATTGGTGATTTTATAAGAAGAGATTAGAGAGGGATTTTTTTTTTCTGCCATGGGAAGATGCAACAAAAAAGGTGTCTGTTTGCAAAACAGGAAGGGAGCCGGCCTTCACCAGAAACCAAATAGGCCAGGACCTTGATTTTGAACTTCCCAGCCTCCAGAATTATAATAAATCTTTTTGTTTATGGAATTTTTGTTAAAACAGCCTAAACTGACAATGACAACAGTATCCAGAACTTCTACAAATCTATAGCAAAAACAATAACAACAACACCAAGAAAACATTGAAATAGACAAAAACTTTGCTAAGACTGGATATTTGACCCCACAAAATCCCATGTTGAAATTTGATTGCAATTTGGTGCCCAATGTTGGAAGTGGGGACTGATGGGAGGTGTTTGGGTCATGGGGGTGAATATTTAATTAATAGATTAATGCCCTCTCTCGGGGTGAGTGAGTTCTTGCTCTACTAGTTTCCATGAAAGCTGATTGTTGAAAAGAGCCTGTCACCCTCCCTCCTCGTTTCTTCCCTCACTATGTGCTATCTGCATACATCAGTTCTCCTTTGCCTTTTGACATGAGAGAAAGCAGCCTATCAGATGCCCAATCTTGAACCCTCTAGCCAGCAGAACCATGAACCAAACCCTTTTTCTTTCTAAATTACCCAGGTTCAGAAATTATAGTAACAAAAAGTATACTAAGAAAGACTTGAATAGACATTTTCTTCCAAAGGAGACAATGAAATGGCCAACAGGCATGTGAAAAAAATACTTGACGTCACTAATCATCAGAGAAATACAAGTCAAAACCACAATGAGATATCACCTTACACCTGTAGGAGGACTACTATCAAAAACAAACAAACAACAACAACAACCAAAAAAGAAACACCAACCAAACAACAACAACAAAACAGATAATAACAAGTGTTGACAAGGATGTGGGGAAATTAAAAACCTTTGTGCCCTTTGGTGGGAATATATAATAGTACAGTCACTACGGATAATAGTATGGAGGTTCCTGACAAAATTCAAAGTAAAATGACCACATGATTGAGTCATCTCACATCTGTGTATTTATCACAAATAGTCAAAATCAGGATCTCAAAGAGATATTTTCACTTTGATGTTCACTGCAGTGTTATTCACAATAACCAAGAGGTGGAAACCATCTTAATGTTCCTCAATAGATAAGTGAATAAAGAAAATGTGGTTTTATTTAAGTTGATTTATGCTGCTATAAAAATACCACAAACTTGGTAGCTTATAAGTAACAGAAATTTATTGCCCATGGGCAATTTCCTGATCTTGGGAAGTCCAAGATCAGGCACCAGAAGATTTGGTGTCTCATAAGCCTTGTTTCATTGTTGGTTCATTGATGGCCTTCTCATTACATCCTCACATGCTGAAAGAGGCAAAAAAAAAAAAAAGAAAAAATCAGTGAGGCTTCTTTCATAAGATTACTAATTCCAGAAAGCTCTGACCTCCTGATTTAATTACCTCCCAAAGATCCCATATTTTAATACTATCACCCTAGCACCCTAGAGTCAAGATCTCAACATACGAATTTTGGGGGCACACAAACATTCAGACCATAGAAAGTATATACATAAAATGGAATATTATTTAGACATAAAAAAGAAGCAAATCATATCATATGGTACAACACGGATGAACCTTGAGGACATTATGCTAAGTGAAATCAGCCATTCACAGAATACTGCATGATTCCACTTACATGAGGCAGTTAAAGTAGTCTAATTCATCAAAGAAAAGAGTAGAATGGCGGTTGCCAGGAGAGAAGGGCATAAGAAGTTGCTGTTCAATCAGTATAAAGTTTCAGTCCCACAAGATGAAAAAACTTGTAGCGAGCTGCTGTACAACACTGTGCTTATAATTAACATTACTGTATGATGCACTTAAAATTTATTAAGAGGGTAGATGTCATGTGTTTTTCAATCCAAATTTTGAAAATTCAACTTGAAAAGAAGTATCAGTAATATTGACTGTTTTGTTGATAAACAATAAGTAATCAGAACACAAAGCCAATTGCTACTGACATCTATAGAAATTAAAGGCTAACTGGAAGTGGTGGAAGATGCTATTTCTAAAAATCCACAGTATTTCCCTCCTTGTTTGCCAAAGTTTTAATGTAATTGTTTGAAAATACCAGTGCTGATGTTTTCAGTGAAAATATGTTTGCTTAAAAAAAAACACAGCTGTTGGTCATATGGCAAGTGTTTCACAAGAAATAATCTGGAAAACCAGTAAAGACCAATATCAACCTGATTAAGATACCTTCCAGAAACTTCAGATTAGAAGAAAACATTTTTATTCTTTGGATGAATAAAATCTGATACAATTTATCTACACCATTTTCCAGAAGGTCAAATTTGAGAATATTCGCAATTTATTTAGTTACCAAGGGGTATAAATGAGCCTTTGTGTTCAAAGCAAGAAAACTGTACTCAGCCCAGAAAAACAATTTGCACCATTTCAACATCAGAGAATTCTTGTGTCTTTTGTCTTAACATACCTATAAACTGGCATGGAAGTAGGGGTGATACTCAAAATATTTAGCAACTCATATGGCAATGGCACTGACCCAACAGAATGAGTATCAGCCACATAAAGCAATAATTTTATTCTAGGGTATACTGACTAAATGTTATTCTGCTCTGGGGAAAGAGATGGGAAAGGTATTATGGCCTGTCAGGTGCCAGATTTCAATTAGACACACAAGGATAAAGGTGAAGAACATTGACAATATTTTTCCTTATTTGTTTCAGAAAATAACCAGGGGCCCTTCTTGGATATATTCAAGTTAGCCACAGTTATTAAAATAGTCTACTTCTTTACTGTACTTTAAGCTATTTTTTGGCCTTTTCAAGGATTATTTATTACTCTTCTTAGTACATTCAGCAGGAACCACTGTCCTGACCCTTATAATTAATGAGTGTAAAAATAAGCATGTGAGTAACTACCATGGTTTGGGAGCTCACTCTAAGTCAGAACTGGGTTACATATTTATAGGTGGGACCACTCACTCCTACAAAACCCAGAAGGTAAGCACAATTATCCCCATTTCATAAGTAATGAAACCAAAGCTTCAAGATGGTTGTTGTCTTGACTTAGGCCACAGTGTCAGATAGGTGTTTAAACCAACTTACATCTGTTCCCACAGCTCACGTTATTTCGTATGTGGAGAATACTGCAAATTGATTTCATTTTGGTTGGATTGGATTAAATCTCTTCCTCTCACCCTGACCTTTACAAAATCTAACTTAGTCTTATTTCTTAGATCAAAGGAAATTATTCGAAGGTTGCCATTTAGCACACATAGAGAATGGAAACATTAAGAGGCAAACATATCTTTGTTTCCAAATTGATTTACATATCAAAGCTTTTTGGAGAAGGCTGAAATAAACAGTTCAGTTTCTGGAAACTTATTTAAATCAACTTGCACATTCTTTGGAGCAGTTAGCCACAACATTTTAAAGGGAATTTATAAGCATCTTGAGCTGGCATGAAATTCGTTCACTTCAGTGTAGCTAAACACAGCACCCATTTTTTCGTCATGACCTCACTAGAATCTTGGTGGCTAACACTGCACAACTTTCTCATTTTAAATCAGTCATTCATGTTGGCTTTTTTTTTTTCTTACCTTCAGACTTAAAAAGTTTAAACGTATTGAATTTACTCTGTAGAAAGTGTGCCAGATACAAATGTTTTGCATATGATCCTTTTGAAGTCACATTTCTTAGAATAAGCCATTTACCTTGAATAACATATTAAAGGCAAAAAGTAAATCAGTAGTTTTCAAAATAAAGTCTATAAGAAGGTTTGTGTGACAGCAAAAAAAAAAAAGCAATATTTTAACCCAAGAACTCTAGAAAGTGGTACCGGCCCTACTACTATTTAGATGTCATTTAATATTTCTAGGATTTAATTTCCACCACCATGTAATATGTAAGAAAGATCATCTCTATATTTTGAAGAGCATGAGTTCTACCCCAGTACTATGGATATTTGCACCTAATAGTTCTACCATTAGAGAGTAAAGAACTTCAATTTGAACTTTCAGTCTTTCCTCTGCCACTCTTCTCAAACCAGAAGGTTTTAAATTTTCTCTAAGAAAAATTCTGAATTTCCTGTTCCATGAAAATTGTAAAATCATAAAGTCTATCATTTAGTCCAAGCTTTTCAATGCAATTGGGTTAAAAAAAATTGGTCACAACCAAACTTTGGTTGGTTGTTTGATTTTTTTAAATTAAATAGAAAATAGCAAGGTGATTTGCATTTAGCAAAGTGAAGTTTTGTTATGTCAAAAAGTTTTGTTTTAATTTTTAAATATATATGCATATATATGGATTCTGTGAGTGATGCTGAACTAATAAAATGTTTTTATTACTTTGATTCTAGAATAAGTATTTCTAAAAATCATTTATGTGCCTCTATACCTGGCTCTTAAAATAGAAATAGTAAATAAAGTAATTTAGGTAATTTCTTTTTCTACAAGTAAATTTTGAGTGTCAGGAATATCATTTTTGAATAGATTTAAGTATGCTGTCGACTTTGATACCCAAAGCTGATCACTGTCCTAATTGTCCTAAGAAGCATCTACACTCTTGCAGCAACAAGCCTCACAGCTTAGCATTGGAGATGGAAAGTTGGATATGCACATAAAATAGAACAGTAAGAAAAGTACGTTTATTTAATATGGTTTTGAAGTCCCTGATATATATTTTAAATACTTTTACTAGATGAGAAAGAAAAAAAATACTATGTGTTACTTAACTAAAATTTATCACAGGCAAGAATCATTTTGGTATAAAAATCAATATTATCCTAAGAATTTAATATAATATTGTGATAATATTTTAGTGTAGTTTTAGTATCTATTGTAAATTCTTAATGCTTTTTTGATTTTACATATTGTTTTTTATTTTATAAATGACTCATCTAAACTCTATTAATAAATTTAATTTTAAAAATAAAAGGAATTAGTCTGGGTGCAGTGGCTCATGTTTGTAATCCCGGCACTTTGGGAGGCCGAGGCGGGCAGATCACCCAAGGTCAGGAGTTTGAGACCAGCCTGGCCAATATGGTGAAACACTGTTTCTACTAAAAATACAAAAATTAGCCAGGCATGGTGGCGGGCAGCTGTAATTCCAGCTACTCGGGAGGCTGAGGCACAATAATAGCTTGAACCCGGGAGGTGGAGGTTGCAGTGAGCCAAGATTGCACCACTGCACTCCAGCCTGTGTGATAGAGCAAGACTCAGTCTCAATAAATAAATAAATGGAATTGTCATACAACTTGAAATACATGTTTTTTTTTTTGTTCTCAGATGGAACACTAAACACAAGTGATTACTCCTCCCTTCTTCCAAAAAATTATCAAAATGAAAGTAGAGAAGTACGTCCTTTAATATTACTAGAGTTTAATTTCCAACACCATACACTACATAATAAAGATCATCTTAAATACTTTGAAGAGCATGAGTTCTACCCCAGTATTGTGGATATTTCTACCTTATTAATCGTAAAAAACACAACTGGCTTTGTTATATAACCTTCTCTTCTATTTGATCCCAACTGAAACTACAGGCTCCAAGTTACCTAATTGAGTTCCCAGGGTTTTCTCGAGGTCCTATTGGAACTTCCCCCACATCCCCTGTCACAGAAGCCCTGGGACATAATGTTAGATATGTCAGGGAGCTGATGCAAGATCCGCTCGAATCAGTCTTGTGAGAAACTGCTTGCAGCCTGTAGAAAAGAGGCTACCACAGCAGTTCTGTACAAAAGGAGGTAAGGCCGGCAAGGTGGGAAGGGCTATAGAAATCAGTCAAGAACCAGAAGAGCTATGGTATACCACATGTACGAGAGAAACTGGAACTTGGTGAAGAAGTTTTCAGTTTTCCACAATGGAATTTTCCAGAACTGGCAAAATTTACAGAATCAGAGTGTGAGGAAGGGCCAACACTCTAACAGGACAATAGCACATAGATCAGTGCCTCCACCTCCCCACAACCACCTCTACCTACCCCAAATTAAGGTGTTGGTCTCCCTTCCTCAGGCTGAAAGTGGTCAAAGGCTTTCTAAACAAATTTGGTAGCCTCCTAGCTTGTGCCCACTCTACAAAAACAAAAATGAATCTTGTCATTTAGGACATACCACCCATGGATATAGTTTGAAATTTGTCCTGCTTTTCAAAGAAATGCTAAGGAAAACTGAGGTAACCTATATAAAGTAACTATTGTAATATACCTAGTCTACAGAAAATCAAGAATGAATACATGGGTCAGTCAAGGTACTCTAGGAAGCAGACACAAAGATAGGAGTAGAGGTGTAAGGATTATATTGGGTTAAATATCCATGAAATATAAACTTGAGGGGAGCAAGAGAAGGCAAGAGAGCCTTCAGTTTGAAATGCAGGTCTGAAAACTTTTGGAAGAAAAGAAGGAAGAAAGAAAGATTGGGAAGAAAGAGCATGAGATGGTAGTTCAGCTCTGAGACACTCAGCCAACACTTAAAGAGTTCCCCAAGCCAAGACTGCCCGGTAAAGAAGTTCTGCATTGGTTGGGATTGGTCTAGTTGTGCTTACTCTGCCATAGTTAAACGTATGTGAACAGCCTTGGGGCTGGCCTATCTCTGAACACTGTAATGGATCCCAAAGGTACAGCAACTCGATCTAGTTAGCCAAATATACTCTCAGCAGCAGATCCTCTTGAAGAAAGATCTCAGAGTTGCAATGCCAGGGCTACCACACAAGATATATGATAACAGCCAGCAACAATAAGAAGAAAGACTAAGATGAGCAAAGAAAGAAACTCACCCTCGGAGAAATATAGTTATTTCTGGAAAGATTAAGGAACTTTAGAAGAATTATAATTAGTATTTTGAAAGATATTTGATAAGTGCTATAAAGGGATGATACTGAAATGGAATGTAGATTTTTAAAACTAATTTAAAATGATTGGATAAATAAAAGGTGATGTTTCATATTTTGAAGAATTCCTAAATATACAAAGCTAAAATGTAAAAATATTACATTTTAAATACAAGTGCAATTTTAAAACTATATGCATAGTTTGGTCTGAAAGCTTTATTTGTCTTGAAGAATAAACTGTTACTATTAGAACCGAATAATTTTTAACACTAAGGAATGTAAACAAAATAAAAGCAATTTACCAAACATTCCAGAAAAAGTTACTCAGAGACAGTAGCTTGTGATCAAAACTATTTCTTGTATAAGGACAACTTTTATAACTATAAGTCTATCCTCAAGTTGTCAGTGAAATAACATTTTAGAAAATACTAATTTGTTGCTGCTAAATAACAGAATTCATTTCAAATAAATTAGTATAGTGAGACTAAAAGTGAGCCTGTCAACTTTTTACAACATAAGCTACTTACAATAAAAAATTTAAAAAAATTAAATAAAAATCTTACATTGAAACTGAACTTTTAGTATCATTGAAAATTTGTTAGTGCATTACTCATGAGTGTAAAACTTGCAAATTTGGGGAAAAGCTTATGAAATACTTTCCTATTGACATTACAGCTATCTTCAAATAGTAGGTTGCTACGAAAACATAAATTAGAATGGTATAGATAATATTCCAGGGATTTGGATCCCATATACTTTATAAATTAGTTTGAAAGCCGAGATTATGTCAAAGCTTTAAATGTTTGCTGAATGAGAAGATGGACATTACAGATTTTGTAATTTATTTGGTTTTGTATGACATGCTCATGAAAGTAAATATGGAAAAAAACTTTTTTATTGCTTTATAAAACACATATGCATAAGAATATTTTAGGCATTTACATACATTATTAATATAGTATTAAATTAACAGGCAAAGAAACATAGATGTATACTCAGAATTAAATATATATATATGAGTTATACATATTGAATAAATATACTAATCATAGCTTGAATTGAAATAAATAAGAAAATTATACAAAACACTCCAAAAAGCTGCTGTTTTATAATCACATTCATAAGGTTGATGACCTCAAGACGCATCCAACTCTTAGGCTGCTATGACACCAAAGGCAGTATTTGGGGTCTGCATTCTGGTTATGATTTCATGTCCTTATCTCAGAGAATAAAGAATTAGTTCTATCCAGCCTCACAATCCTATACTTCTGTATTCATCCCCCAATCTAAACCATTAGGGGCTCCATTTTCTTTTATACATATCCTTTCAATACATGCTCTGAAACTTCTGGTTTGTATTCAGCATATTCCTTTTTCCTCAGCACTTTCCTAGGACAATCTCTTAAAACCTGTTTGCCCTAGGGGTATCCTAGCATTCCTCTTGGACAGACTTATTTTTTTTTCCACTCTACCAGATCTTCAGGGTCATGAAGTAAGGTCTATATGTCTATTTTGCTAATAGATCATTACTTTCTTTCTTCTTACAAAAAAAAGTTTCTTGATAATTAATCCATAAAGATATAATTCCCTCCTGTCCTCTCCTAATTGCTGTTATTTACTAACATATTAGTTGCTCCCTTTCATTCACTATAGACTATAGTTTATTGCAACCATCTTCTTTTCTTGAAACCTCTTTGATTATACTTAGGGACACAAATATCCTCACAAATAAAGCATCCAAAAGCCTACGTATTAGAATCTTGTAATCTTCACCAAACCAGTCAATTTTAGGCAAACACTCCCATGGCTATGCTCTAGATTTGATATATTAGACCTTTTGGACAACTTTGCATTCTTTATTGCACATAATCCCACTTTGCAACCATCATTTCCATTTGGATTAAATTGCTCATGTACCTCTATTGACAGAATTACTTGACTCTTCAGTACATCTTCTTTCCCCACGTCATTCCTCACCCTTGGCTCCATTTATATTCTTTTCCAGCCGAGTTCACATTTTCCATCACTTTAATCATTTCCTTGGTCATTGAGTTCTTCATTGACAAAATCCCAATCATGAATGAATACTTCACTTATTTTCTCCACATCAGAACCAGAGCTATCATATTTGATGTAAGTAATTACACAATCAACGAGACTTTTTTACAACCTTATTTTTAACATAAACCTCAAATTTGTATTAAGTCATGCCCAGGAACTGTCTCTAGTGGGCTAATTTTCTCATGCCATCCGGTAACAGTTGCATGTCTTCTGCTCAATTGTTCAAGACCTTGGCAGATGATCTTGCATTACATTTATACATCTTATTCATTGGATAGAAATTCCTTTCTCTTTCTACTATTCTCCTTCCTTCCTTTGCAATGCATGAGGTATCTCTCCTGCTATAGAAGATCGTTTCTCTTCTGTACTCAGAAGCCTTGCACTCCAGTTTTTCACAAACTGCTGCTTTGGTTATCCTCTCACTTTCCTGCATCATTGTATCCTTTCTTCCTTCTTGGCTATTACCAATGCCTTCAAAGACCTCTAAAAAGTATCATCTTTTAAAATCCCACATTTACTTCCCATTACCCCTTAGATATCTTATCTTTTCTTGGATCTCATTTGTTGTCAAACTTTCAGAAAGCTGCCCAGATTTAATGACTCTAATTTGTCACCTCTTATTCTCTCCTCAGCACAATCCAAAGAGTTTTCCACTTTCAAGTATTTAATGAAAATTTTTTGAATTCCATTACATCTTCACTTCAAAGGACTTATTATATTTTATTTATATTTATTATATAATATTTACTTATTTTTTATTTAACTATTATTGGTCCCTATAAGTTCCATTAGGATATGAACTCTAATCTTTCTTGCTTACCATTATATCCCAGTGCCGAAGCATGCCGGTAAATAAGTATTTGTTAACTAGGTACATGAAATAGCTACATTGCAAAATGTCATTCAAATAATCAGTTTTAACTTTAGATGGTGCTTAACATACACATATTTGAAATAGATAACAAAATAAACCATTATGCTGTTAAAAAAATTTTCCAATATTACAAATTGTGACCTACATGTGTTATTCTGTGGGGATTGGAAGAATTCTAATTTATTTCATTTTTTACTTTAGTTATGACATTAAAGCACTGTACATCACCTAAATTGTGTTATAAATGTTTGTGATACCAAGAAATTATTGCAGAACTGTATAGGCTTTGAAATAAGACACACGAAAACCAATATTTTGCCCTTTTTTATTTTACACACACCCTCAGACTCCATACTACTGTTTTCTAAACTTAAAGCCTGAATTTGACATTCATTCTAACTTGAAGTTATCATTAACATATAGCAGCTCTGTCCAACAGAAAGAAAATGCAAGTCACATATATAATTTTAATTTTTTTAATAGCCACATTAAAAAACAGGTGAAGTTAACTTTAACGATATATTTTATTAACCTATATATCAAAAATATTATCTTGTAACCAATGGTAGAATTATTAATGAGATATTTTACATTCTATTTCTCACATCAAGTTTTAAAACCCAGGAGAATATTTTATGTTTATTGTACTTCTTAATTTGGATGCTAAATTTTTGTCTGAAATATTGACCTAAATTTAGATTTTATTTCATTTATATTGAAAGACTAGATTCATCTATTCAAGTTATTCCAAACATGCTTAAAAGTTTTCAGGAACTGAATTACCTATTGTTTTAAAATTTATATTAATTAAAATTAAACTAAAATTTATATCCTTAGTCATTCTAAACACATTTCAAATACTCAATATTTACATTTGACTAGTGGATACAATTTTGGACAGCACAGCTATATAGAAATGAATGGGCAACATTTTGTGGCCTTTCCCTACAGGGGCTTTTATCCAAATTAATTATTGTAGGTTTTAAAATATGTATTGACTATGTAAGTTTAGGTCTGTGTCTATAAACGTACAAAGACACAGATATTTTGAATATCTAAAAATATAGTAACACTCAAGTGATACCTTATTAATATATTTTCAATAATTTTTATTTGAGCCTCATAAAATAATCCTAATTAGCAGATGTGGTGATTAATTTTAGGTGTCAGCCTCACTAGGTCACATAGTACACACGCATTTGTTTAAATATTATTCTGGGTTTATTTGTGAGGGTGTTTCTGGATGAGATTTACATTTGAATGTATAAACTGAACAAAGCAGATTGCCTTCCCTAATGTGGTTGGGCCTTATATAATCCACTGAGGGTCTACGCACAACAAAAGGCTCAATAAAGAAGAATTTGCTTACTTTTCCTGACTGACTTTGAGCTGAGACATTGGTCTTCTGGCTTCAGACTTGGACTCAAACTGAAACGTACCTTATTCTCCTGGCTCTCAGTCATTTGGACAAAAATGGGAGCTGCACATATCATCAGCTCTTCTGGGTCTCCATCTCCCCAACAGCAAGGTTGTAGGGCTTCTCAGCCTCCCTAACTGTGTAAGCTACAGGCCATTCCTCATAACCTCTCTATGTATGCGGAGAGAGAGAGAGAGAGAGAGAGAGAGAGGGAGAGAGAGAGAGAGAGAAACAGAGAGAGACAGAGAGAGAGAGAGAGAGAGACAGACAGAGACAGAGAGAGAGAGAGACAGAGAGACAGAGAGAGAGACAGAGAGAGAGAGAGACAGAGAGAGAGAGAGAGAGAGAGAGACAGAGAGAGAGAGAGAGAGAGAGAGAGAGAGACCTGTTGGTCCTGTTCCTCTGGAAGACCCAGACTAATACAGTAGAATTGTGGTGGGAATTGGTGGGTTCTTGGTCTCATTGACTTCAAGAATGAAGCTGCAGACCCTCGCGATGAGTGTTACAGTTCTTAAAGGTCGCATGTCCTGAGTTTGTTCCTTCTGATGTTCACATGCGTTCGGAGTTTCTTCCTTCTGGTGTGTTCGTGGTCTCGCTGGCTTCAGGAGTGAAGCTGCAGACCTTCACAGTGAGTGTTACAGCTCTTAAGGTGGCGCATCTGGAGTTGTTCGTTCCTCCGGGTGGGTTCGTGGTCTCGCTGGCCTCAGGAGAGAAGCTGCAGGCCTTGGAAGTGACTGTTACAGCTCATAAAGGCAATGTGGACCCAAAAAACAAGCAGCAGCAAGATTTACTACTGAGAGCAGGAAACAACAAAACTACCACAATGTGCAAGTAGACCTGAGCAGGTTGCCACTGCTGGCTCAGGCAGCCTGCTTTTATTTCTCTTATCTGGCCCCTCCCACATTCTGCTGATTGGTCCATTTTACAGGGAGCCAATTGGTCCATTTTACAGAGAGCTGATTGGTCCGTTTTGACAGGGTGCTGATTGGTGCGTTTACAATCCCTGAGCTAGACACAAAAGTTCTCCACTTCCCCACTAGATTAGCTAGATACACAGTGTCCACACAAAGGTTCTCCATGTCCCCACCAGAGTAGCTAGATACAGTGTGTCAATTGGTGCATTCACAAACTCTGTGCTAGACACAGGGTGCTGATTGGTGTGTTTACAAACCTTGCGCTAGATACAGAGTGCCGATGGGTGTATTTACAATCCCTTAGCTAGACATAAAGGTTCTCCACATCCCCACTAGATTAGCTAGATACAGAGTGTGACACAAAGGTTCTCCAAGTCCCCACCAGAGTAGCTAGATACAGTGTCGATTGGTGCATTCACAAACCCTGAGCTAGACACAGGGTGCTGATTGGCGTGTTTACAAACCTTGAGCTAGACAGGAGCCCAGCTGGCTTCACTCAGTGGATCCTGCACTGGGGCTGCAGGTGGAGCTGCCTGCCAGTCTCGCGCTGTGCGCCCGCACTCCTCATCCCTTGGGTGGTCGATGGGACTGGGCGCCGTGGAACCGGGCGCGGCGCTCCTCTGGGAGGCTCGGGCCGCACAGGAGCCCACGGAGGGCGGGGAGGCTCAGGCATGGAAGGCCGCAGGTCCGGAGCCCTGCCCGGCGAGAAATCGAGCGCAGCGTTGGTGGGCCGGCACTGCTGGGGGACCCAGCACACCCTCCCCAGCCGCTGGCCCGGATGCTAAGCCCCTCATTGCCCGGGGCCAGCAGGGCCGGCCGGCCGCTCTGAGTGCGGGGCCCGCCGAGCCCACGCTCACCCGGAACTCGAGCTGGCCCGCAAGCACCGCGCGCAACCCCGCTTCCCGCGCGCAGCCCCGGTTCCCGCGCACAGCCCCGGTTCCCGCCCGCGCCTCTCCCGCCACACCTCCCCGCAAGCTGAGGGAGTCGTCTCCGGCCTCGGCCAGTCCAGAAAGGGGCTCCCACAGTGTAGCGGCGGGCTGAAGGGCTCTTCAAGCGCGGCCAGAGCGGGCGCCAAGGCCGAGGAGGCGCCGAGAGCGAGCGAGGGCTGTGAGGGCCGCCAGGACGCTGTCACCTCTCAGAATGGCAAGTATTATTTCATATTATTCCAGTTTTATAAATTGACCAAATCTAAATAGTAAAGTTGACCTCACAATGTCCACCTACATTTCTTTGAAAAGTCACTTGATGTGGTAACAAAGAAAGGCAGCCTCCATTCGAATATTCTCCATCCTTACTCAGTGTTATAAGCACATATATATAATTCCATATCCCCAAGTGTTCTTGAAGGGTCTGCTTTGTTCTACGATGTGCATGTAGTGGTAGTGGACATTAAAGAAAAGCGTTTCAAAATTTTATTAAGGAAACTCACATATATGACTTAGACCATTTCATAGAGTTCTTTTTTATTAATTTCATTTTTCCCCTTGAAAACATTTATTAGAGGAAAAATCATTGGAAAAGTTAGGCTTAAAAATACTTGGTCATTAATAAAAGACATTTTAAGACAGTTCTTTTGGGGAAAAATGCAGTCTAGGAAAAGAGAATACTTTTTATATACCTGAACGGGCAAAAATGATTTAATAGTCTCCAAAACTTAAACAATTTATTGGCTTATAGGCTTAGAGCAATAAAATGTTATAACATTGTGTATTATTATTCCTGGAATAGGAAATGGGTGGAGTATGGTCTATTCCTGTGGAAAATGAGTGCAGAGAAAGACAGGATGGGGTTGTTTTAAGAGACAATGTAAGAAGTATGCAGATGACTTACATTTGCTTCCAATTAATTTTTATTTAGCTTCTTCCAATATTTGGACTGTTTCTCAAACATTTGATTATAAATCTCGGCTATTTATACAGAAAATATAAACATGTCAATAAGTAATACCTGTGTGTAAAAGCATTAAATGACCTAGGCAACACAAACACATTATAGGCTATTGGGGCTCCCATTTGGAATTCATTACATATGTGAAAAGAGGGAAGGAACTCAACTATGTACTATTGCCTGGAAGGAAACTTTATATAACTTCGAGACTTGAAATAGAGAGTGGAATGTGTCAGGGGTAGGGAGCAGGGGGAATGTTTGGCAAACAAGATACTCAAAGAAGCTGGTGAAAAGAATTCAGGAAAGACAAAAAGGAATTGTCAAAGATGTTGCTGTGGATTACAAATTAAATCTCCTTTAATGTTCTTTGATAGTTGTAAGTGAAGACAGGAATGTTTTGAAAGTACTTTTGCTTGCTGGATTGTATTCCTTTGACTATTTCATGCTGAGTCAAAGCCATGTGGGGGTTATAATTTACATACGCTGAGGTTAAATTCTGTAGGGTACTGCTATGGTAGATAGCTAGTCAGGTATAAGCAGGGCGGGAGAGGGCTCCCCCAACGTATACCAGGAGGGTCAGATGACCATTAGGTGATGGTCACACGGTTGTTAACTGTCTCTCCAAAATAATAATTGGTCACAGCCAGTGCCAGGGACACACAGTCTCCTAACAGAAAACACCTGAAACTTGTGATCGGCCACTTCCCCATAAGATCTCAGGTGTTGGGTAAGTGGGGAGAAGTAACGCAAGACCCCGAAACTATGCCAACATAGAAGACCCCAAGTCAAAAGAGGTCAGGCCGTGCACTCGATCTCTCAAATCACCCACTTGGACCTCTCTGAAGAGTACTTTACTTCTTTTTATTCTTGTTCTCAGGCTTTTTAATAAATTTAAACTCATGCTCTAAGATTTGCCTCAGTCTCCCACTCTGCCTGATGCCCCTCAGTCGAATTATTTTCTCTGAGGAGTCAAGAATGGAGGCTGTTGCAGACCCATATGGATTTGCCTCCGCTAACAGTACAGCTCATGATTTTGAACCTGAAGTATTTGGATCCAGCTAAAAATATTTACTCTGAACCTGAGCCAAGTATATGTTCACTCTTATGGCCTAACTGTTGAAACCCTTCCTGTAATGGAGAAGAATCAGACAGGAGCCACGACAGTAGTTCTTAGAAAGCTGCATTGATGTCACAGAGACAATATGCACATGACACTAAAATAAAAATAGGGGATTTTTGTAGAAGAAAGATAGGCTTATGAGATATTAACTGAGTTTACCCCACTGGTGAAATCTGAAAACCCTCTGGTGAGAATGATGATCTCAGCAACCTCCTGCACACATCCTTTCTTAAAAAATTACATGCCCTTGGCCAGGTGCGGTGGCTCACACCTGTAATCCCAGCACACTGGGAGGCCGAGGTGGGTAGATCACAAGGTCAGGAGAGATCGAGACCATCCTGGCTGACATGGTGAAAGCCTGTCTCTACTAAAAAATACCAAAAATTGGCCGGGTGCGGTGGCGGGCGACTGTAGTCCCAGCTACTCTGGAGGCTGAGGCAGGAGAATGGCGTGAACGCAAGAGGCGGAGTTTGCAGTGAGCCGAGATCGTGCCACTGCACTCCAGACTGGGCAACAGAGCGAGACTCTGTCTCAAAAAAAAGAAAAAAAAGAAAAAAAAATTACATGCCCTTTCAACAGCAAGGAATGGTCAGTGATTGACTTGTGAGGGTTGGCTTGAAGAATCAAGACTCCAATACCAAAGAGCAGACACCCTTCACTACCGCGTCTGTGGAACTGATGACCTGTCAAGGCTTTTACCACCCATAGTAACTGGAAAAACCCAGTAGATCAAAAATAGTTTCATCACCTAAGAACGGGTCGACAAGTGAGTGATGTATAATTAATATTAGCACTCCAGGTGGGGGCATTTTCAATGTTTATCTGGAGCATATAAACCGCAGAGAATCACATCTCATTGTTACAACCAGCTCTTCAGAAACAACTGCTGTTATGCTAGAATAAGCATATAATCTACATGTTTCACTTTACAAACCTATTATTCCCATAGAATTGTATATTAAAATCTAGTATACAAAATGATCGAAGCGAAGGGAAATGTTGGCTGTTCAGTCTCTACTCTGCCTCATTCTCTTTCCAACACAGACATTAAGGCACCTCAAAAAACTGCTTTGGGACCCAGTTAAGCATATTTTGAAAATCACAGGTCTAAACCATTCCCTTCTAATTTTCTGAATACCAGTCATTTGGTGCCAAATTATTAGGCAAAGCCCTAACCTCTCATTTAGTAAGCTGACTTCTCCTGTGGGAACAAACATATTTTTCATTTAATTATTGTGCTTCTTTCACTAATTAAATGTCTTCAATCATTAGAACAACAGTTCCCAATTACTGAGCGCATATTATTTGCCTGCCAGTCCTCAAAGTCCTGATCACATTATCTCATTGAATCTTCACAACCTATAAAATATGTAATACTGTTATATTATAATAACTTTTCCAGTTTTCCAGATGAGACAAATAACTCTCAGAGAAATTATGGCAATTATGCAAATAAATAGAACTTGCGATGTTCTAATTCGGTCAGGGTTTTCAATCCAGGTCTTTGAAACTCTAGCGCCCACCTGTATAACCCCCACCTGCTGCTGCCACCACCTTTGTTATAGTTTCATACTTGGGATACTCATTTCTAATTTCTGAATTGGGATTTTTGTTCTTTTCCCCCATATGCTGCTGTTTTTCCACCACTAATTTTATCTTAATATATTTATGTTTACTCTTGAAAATTCGAACCGTAAGTAACACACCCCAAATATATCCTCAGAATATGTTAAAGGCCACTTGGGTCAAATCATAACTCAGCACCTTGATGTCTGCTGATTAGCATGAGTGGCTGCCACTTGTCTATCTTGATAAACTGGTTCCTATAAAGGATAGGTCTGTTAATGCACAAAGCACTCTGGATATTGTTTGGCCTGGGCAATCATTACTTAACTTGCGACACCCATGATCTTTCCCAGCTTTCATGGAGAAAAATATACACATTTACCAACTTTTTGCCGCCCCAGCAAAGCTTGCTAATCAGGTGCAGGTTTGGCTTGTTTTCTGGCAAGCTGGAAGCAGACTTTGTGAGTTCTCTGCATTCCTCAGACTCACTGGAGGGTGCACCTGGCCTTAGTTAATTGGGTGAAGGAGTTTTGCCTGTGAGGTGAAAGGAATTAGTGACAGGTTTCCTATTCTCTTGACCCCCTGAGGTGGGATAAAAAGCTTGACTGGCTCCCCAAGTTTACAAGACCAATTGGGGAAAGACATAATTAAGGTAAAGATGGTGTGGCGTGAAGTTTTTCTCTTGCTTTGGGTTGATAAAGGTCAAGTAACACAATTTCAGACAAATGTTGGGTTAGCTGGCTTTATTTTTAATATTAAGCTAGCAAGCAGTAGAGACAACCAACTACATCATTTAGCACCACTGAGTTATAAATTTGCCATTATGTGATTTAGTTGAATGATGTTGAATAGGTCTTATAAAGTTTATTGGAGTTCAAGAAAGGAAACCATCACACCTGGCTAGCTCTGACATAAGGGAAAGTGCCTTGTGGGAGTTGGTTAGACCTTCTAATATGATCAATGGCCTGATGTTACTCAGCAGAAAGAAATAAAAGACTTGACTTGGAAAGTGTGTTAATTCTTTCGGGCTATTTAGTATAATTTAATGCACCGTAAAGCGCCCCAGGGTATTGAAAGAGTTAAATTCCCTAGACAAAAAGAAGAATTACTCCCTTTTTTCCTGGAAAAATCTGGCACACATGTATAGAAAGAACTTTATTAGCATGGGTATTAAAATTGGTTTCACTATAAGTGATTTTCCTAGGCCCCATTTCTGTGCCATCTGTCTTTTTTTTTTCTTTTTTTTACCAGTAAAAGCAATAAAATGTACACATTCACTAAAAAGAAAAGAGTAGGGTTTTATGGCATTCAAGGGTAGTTAAAATTCTGCTCTTTTACAGAATATAGCTTGATCTTTCTGAATACTGTTTTAATAACTAATTTCTAATATATCTATTGCAAATTGTCCATAGTTTATGTTAATGGTCACCCAGACAAATTGGGTAAAAACCATGAACAAAACAAACTCCAAGTAATGTAAACAATAATTACCACTGTGAATACAAAGGGCACTTATAGTTTTGATATAGAAAGGCGAATCACAACAGATGAAACACGGACATGAAATAGTGTTAACCTTGCCTTCATGGTCTACTTATAGTAAAGAAAAAAAAAGCACTCAAATTAATGGGAATTGAATTTTGCCAAGAAAGGCTGCGAACTTCCTGGCCTTGGGGTCTAATCACAATAGAAAATCACTGGCGATAAAAAAATGAAAAGAATCAATCAGCCATGACCATTGACATTGCTTTTTGCTAATAAAACACCCCCCTTAATTCAGGCCAACAGGCCTCCTACCTCTCCTTATCTGTGCCTTTTCCTGGCCTTCAGTTTCTTTTATGGAGTTTTCTTTTTTTCTATACTTGCTTATCTTTCAAATTTGTAGCACATATCCTTTTAAACTCTGTAAGAGTGGCCCAGTTTTCTTTTGACACTCATTATAGTATCCTCTAGATTTGTTGCAAAATTATATTAAACACTACCATGAAGAAATATACCCTACATGAAGAAAGAAAGAAATGAATTGGGCCCATTTCTGTTTAATGTTAAAGATTTGATCCTCAGATAATTTGGATATGTCATTTGCTAAAATCTTGTTGCCTAGAATATGTCATTCTGTGATGCTAGTATTATTCTGAACCAAACCCGTTTAATGCATTGATCCCAAAATCATTTTTTAAATAAATAAGGAGCATTACGAATGTTATTCAGCAGTGAAAAGTCAAGGGCAGAAAACTTAACTTTCCTTCCTGAAGATGTTCTTTGAATAGGAGATAGTCAAAGGTAGAGCTTAAAATAACATATTATTGATTTTCCTCTGCCATTAGATCACAAGTATTTCATTCGACTGCATGTTTCACGATTTACCAGAATGCAATGGCATTCTGTTTTTAAAGCCTTTGTGCTCGATTACCTAATTTGATCTGCAGAACAGATCTGTACAGTCAGTTTTTCTGAACCTCAATTTTCTCTGTCCTAAATAAGCATGAGTAGCCTCCCACGCCTAAAAACTTGTTGAACTGCTGAGCAAACTCATGGGTCCAGAAATGGCCTTTCCGCTATGTTGCGCTGTTAGAACCACAAAACTAATAACGTGTCTTGATATTTTAAAAAACAATACTTAGAAAAAGCCAATTTAATTTTTTATAAATAGCATAGGTAATATACAGCTATTGCAAAATAAATAGAGAAAGCAGAGAAATAAAAGGAATAATCATCCCCATATGTCTTCATCGAGACACAACTACTGTTAATATTTTCTTTCTATTCTTTCACCTGTGCATTTGTGGTATGTGACACAATGGTATATTTTCATTTTTGTATTCTGATTTTTTCCACTTAACATTGTAATAGAACTATATTATGGTGAGAAAATCTGTTTGTAAATTTTGTTTTAACTGCAACTTAGTAATAACAAGCACATATATCAATGTCTATTTCACAATTCTATATTTGGACACATAAAACATTTTTGAGTTAAGTACAATAAATGAACACCTTTGTTCACATAGTGCTAAATAAATTGAAGGGTGATTGCTTATAATTTTCTAGGGGTAAATTTTGCCAGTTATGAAAATAAACTTTTTAAGTCTGTTGATTTTCAAAATTGTAAGACAGAGTAATCGCTGTCTTTTAAGGCTTACGTTCAAATCTCAATTCTATCTCTTATTCTTGTAGAACTTTTACCAAAATACTTAATTACTTTGTGCCTCAGTTTCTTCATGTGTAAAGTGTTGATAATAGAGATCATATAAGCCATAAGAGATCATATAAGCCATCACTATACAAGTTAATACAGGCACAAGACTTAAAGTGATGCTGGCATCTATCAAGTGTTCAATAAATATTACATAGTATGTACTCCAACAAGTTTATATAAAGACATTTATTATACATTCCCCTTGACATCATAGTGCTTGCTATTTTGAATTAGGATGTTAACGTGAATGTTGTATCTCAGTCCCAAAGTAAAACAATCAACCAAGGAAATACTAAAAGGTACACAACCCCTATAAGCATCTCACCTTTATGAAGGGAGGTAATACAATTGATATTCAATATCGACTTTCTCATATGTCAGATATCTACATTTTTGTGGATTGGTTCCTGGCTTTCTAGTCTGTTTAATTGGTCATTCTGTTTTTTCCTTTGCTATTATCACAATCTTAATTGTAATTATTATTATTTAATATCCAGTGTAATATTTCACCTCAGCTTTGAGAGTTTCTTGGCTCTTCTTAGACCTTAGTATTTCCATATTAAATTTAGAATTAGATGCCAAGTTTAATTTAAAAATAAATAAAAGTACAGAGATTTGGCTGAAATTGCATTTTGTAAATAAAACAATTTGGGAATATTTGAAATATTTGTGACAACAATCTTCCCATACATGAAGAATTTACCGAAAACTTAAATAGTAAGTTGTTCATCTATATTGCTCTACTAGAGAAAGGTTATTAAGCTCTTATTAATTCTAATAATTATATTTATTTCTACTTAATTATATCATGTATATATAGGAATCATGATAAAACTTTAGTTTCAATCTTCATAACCTTTATGTATGTTTCTTGTTTTCTTGCATTGGCCAGTCGTGGAAGAATAGTGGTTCTAAAGCAAATCCTTCCATTATTTCTTATCTTAAAGAAAATGCTGCCCAAGATTTATTATTACAATACCCAACACCACTAGACTGCAGACAACCTTTTTGGATTAAGAAGATTTGCTTCTATTCATACTTTTCTGTGCTATTTTAACGTTAAGAAAACTTGAATTTTATCATATTTTACTGTCTATTTAGATGATCATATGATGTTCCCCTGTAATCAATTTGTCTAGTGAATTATATTAATAAATTGCCCTCTCTTAAAGTAATCTTTCATTTCTTGGACAAACTCAACTTGGTTACAGTAGTTTATAAAATTAAGAACACTGTTATTGTACTTTTTGTCAGGATTACTTCATTGCTTGAGAGAAATTTGCTCCTAATTTTTCTTTCTCTTCTGTCTTTATTGAGTTTAAAAAATTATTATTTAAATGTCAATGAAATAAGGTTAGAAGCAAAAAATGTTTAGTATCTGTATTAGTCCGTTTTCATACTGCTATAAAGATACTACCTAAGACTGGTTAATTTATAAATAAAAGAGTTTTAATTGACTCAGTTTTGTATGACTGCAGAAGACTAAGGAAATTTACAATCATGATGGAAGGCAAAGGAGAATCAAGCACCTTCTTCACAAGGTGGTAGGAGAGAGAGAGTGCAAGGAAACTGCTACTTTTAAAACCATGAGGTCTCATGAGAACTCCCTCACTATCATGAGAACAGTGTGGGGGAAACTACCACCATGATCCAATCACGTCTGTCCCTTGATATGTGAAGATTACAGATCCTTCCCTCGACACATGGGGATTACAATTTGAAATGAGATTTAGGTGGGACAGAGCAAAACCATATCAGTTTCTTCCTGTGTTGTTATTGTGAAATAGTTTCTGTTCAAGTCAAAATATCTATTTTGTAAATGTTTGGTCGATATTACCACTAAAAACATATGATTTCCTCAAAATATGTATAGGGCCATTTTTTGTGCCTTTTTATTTGTTTGGTTGGTATTATTTTGTTGGTGAGAAAATATTTATCTATTTTTCAAATTAATATAGGGTTTTTCAAATTTCTCAACTTTTCTTGAAACTATTGTAGTGATTAATGTTTGGTGACTTAGATAAGATTCTTATATGTTACCAGATTATTTAAATGTTTTGCAAAAAGTTGTTCTCAATATTTGCTTATTAATTTTTTTAATAAACACATCTCCTATAGTTATATCTTTCTGATTTAAATGGTTCTTTTGTTCTCGTCTTCTTTTTTTCTGAACAATTATCAGAAGTTTTTCAAATTTATTAGTCCTTTGAAAGAACCAACAGTTGGTTCTGTTGGCTTTATTTTACATTTTTTTTTTTTTAATTTCAGTAGTTTCTCCTTTTTTCCGAGTTCTTTTTGTTATAAATTTTAAGCTTATTTTCATTTTGGTCAGAAGCTTAATCAATATTCTAGAAATACAAGAGAATATTAAGAACAGAAGATGTCACTCATTATTATTTGCCAGAAAATCAGTATTGAATCTAAAAGGTAATTTTGCATAGACATATTAGGTAGTGGTACTAATTAATAAAATATATTATTGATCTATATATGATTTTATGTTATTGTCTCAGTGCTACAAGCATAGATGTAGGTGCTATGTCCTCATTTAGTATTTCCTTGGTTGATTGTATTTCGTTGGTTGATTGTTTTACTTTGTGACTGAACTACAACATAAGAGAAAATGAAGACATGATCCCTGATTTGAAGACACTGATCATCTTGGCTGCCTATTATTTGCTCTACCCAAAGGCCATATCCCACTTTAGGCAGAAATAATAAATGGTGGTACACTCCAGGGAACCTTCTCCCACATCACCTACCTGGCCCCCTGTATGGTCTATGTGTCTAACAAGGTCTTTGATTGTTTTTAAGCAACCCATTCCTAATTATGTAAAGGATGGTTACTAATCCACATTTCTGTTTATTTTTTACTGTATATTTTTGAAATTAACACGTAATTCAGGCATGCCTCATTTTGTTGTGCTTCACTTTATTTTACTTAATAGATGAGACATTTTTTACACATTACAGGTTTGTGGCAACCCTGAATTGAGCAAGTCTCTTGGTGCTATGTCTTTAACAGAGTGTGCTCATTTCATGATTCTGAGTCACATTTTGGCAATTCTTGAAATATTTCGAACTATGATAATTTGTGACTGGTAATCTTTGATGTTACTATTTGATATAGTTTGGCTCTGTCCCCACCCAGATCTCATCTTGAACTGTAGTTCCTGTAATCCCCTCATGTCACAGAAGGAACCCGGTGGGAGGTAATTGAATAATGGGGATGGTTATCTCCACACTGTTCTCATGATAATGAGTGTGAGTTCTCATGACATTTGATGGTTTTATAAGAGGTTTTCCACACCTTTGCTCTGCACTTCTCCTTGTGCCTGCCATGTGATGAAGTATGTGTTTGTTTCCCTTTTCACCATGATTATGTTTCCTGAGGCCTCCTAAGCCCTGTGGAACTGTGAATCAACTATACCTCTTGCCCTTATAAATTACCCAGTCTTGGGTATGTCCTTATAGCATTGTGAAAATGGACTAATACGCTATTGTAATTGTTTTGGTGCACCAGCAACTATACCAATATTTGATGGCAAACTTAATAAATGTATGTGTTCTAACTTCTCCACCAACCAGCATTTCCTCTATCTCTCTTCCAGTTCTTGGGCCTCTCTATATTCTAAGACATAACAATATTCAAATTAGGCAATTTAATAATGTGACAATGTCTGATAAGTGTTCAAGTGAAAAAGACAGTCGCATATCTTTCACTTTAAATCACAAGCTAGAAAAGATTAAGCTTACTGAGGAAGGCATGTCAAAAGCTAAGACAGGCCAAAAACTAGGCTTCTTGTACCAAACAGTTTGCCAAGTTATAAGTACAAAGAAAATGTTCTTGAATAAAGTTAGAAGTGGCACATCGGTAAATACACAAATGATAAAAAAGCGAAACACAAATGATAAGAAAGTTTGTTGTGGCTGGTCTGCATAGAAGATCAAACCAGCCACAACATTCATTAAGCCAAACTTAATCTAGGGCAAGGTTCTAACTCTCTTCAATTCTTTGAAGCCCGAGGGAGGTGAGGTTGCTGCAGAAGAAAAATGTGAAGTTAGCAGAGGCTGGTTTATGAGTTTTAAGGAAAGAAGCAGTCTTCATAACATGAAAGAGCAAGGTGAAGCTGCAAGTGCTGATGTAAAAGCTATAAGAAGTTACCCAGAAGATCTAGCTAAGATAATTGGTGAAGGTGGCTACACTAAAAAATGGATTTTAACATGGATAAAACAGCCTTCTATTAGAAGAAGATGCTATCTAGGACTTTCATAGCTTAACAGAAGTCACAACTGGCTTCAAAGCTACAAAGGACAGGTTGACTCTCTTGTTAGGAGTTAATACAGCTGGTGACTTTAAGTTGAATCTACTGCTCATTTGCCATTGCCGTTCTGAAAATCCTAAGGTCCTTAATAATTATGCTAAATCTACTCTGCCTGTAACATGGGTTGCTGAATATTTTAAGCCCACTGTTAAGACCTACTGCTCAGAAAGAGATTTATATCAAAATATTTCTATTCATTGATAATATCTGGCAACCCCAAACTCTGCTGGCATTGTAAAAAAAAGATTAACATTATTTTCATACCTGGTAACACAGCATTTATTCTATAGCTCATAGATCAAAGAGTAATTTTGACTTTCATATCTTATTATAGAAGAAATACATTTTGCATGGCTATAGCTGCCATAGATGGTGATTCATTCGATGCATCTGGGTGAAGCAGATTGCAAATCTTCTGGAAAGGATTCACCTTTCTAGATGCCATTAAAAAGTTTCATGATTGGCCAGGAATGGTGGCTCATGCCTGTAACCCCAGCAGTCTGGGAGATCGAGGTGGGTGGATCACAGGAGGTCGGGAGTTGAAGACCAGCCTGGCAAACATGGTGAAACCCCGTCTCTACTAAAAAATACAAAAATTAGCTGGGTGTGTTGACACATGCCTGTAATCCCAGCTACTCCAGAGGCTAAGGCAGGGAGAATTGCTTGAACCCAGGAGGCTGAGGTTGCAGTGAGCCAAGATCATGCCACTGCACACCAGCCTGGGTAACAGAATGAGACTCCATCTCAAAAAAAAGAAAAAAAGTTTATTATTTATGGGAGGAGGTCAAAATATCAACTTTAACAGGAGTTTGGAAGAAGTTGATAACAACTTTTTGGCATGACTTTGAGGGGTTCAAAACTTTAGTGGAGGAAATAACTGAAGATGTAGTGGAAATAGCAAAAGAAGTAGAATTAGAGTGGAGTTTGAGGATGTGACTGAATTGATGCAATCTCATGATAAAAGTTGAACATATGAGGAGTTGCTTCTTATGGATGAGCAAAAAAAGTGTTTCTTGAGATAAAATCTACTCCCGGTGAAGATGCAGTGAACATGGCTGAAATGACAACAACAAATTTAGAATATTAAATAAACTTAGTTTATAAAGCAACAGCAGGGTTTGTGATAACTATTTTTTAAAGAAGTTCTAATGCTATCAAACAGCTTCACATACTACAGGGAAATCTTTCTTGAAAAGAAGAGTCAATCAATGTGAAAACTTTAATTGCTGTCTTATTTTAAAGAATTTCCACAGAGGCCTCATTCTTCAGCAACCACCGCCATGGTCAGCCAGCAAGTGTCAACATCGAAACAAGAGCCTCCAATAGCAAAAAGATTGCTGCTTGATGAAGGCTCAGATGATCTTCAGCATTTTTTAAAAATAAAGTATTTTTAAAGTAAATAATATACATCTTTTAAAGGACATAATCTTATTGCACACTTAGTAAACTGTCATATAGGGTAAATAAACTTGTATATGCAGTGGGAAACAAAAAAAAAGTGAGACTTACTTTATTGTAATAGTCACTTTATTTTGGTAGTCTGAAACTGAATCCACAATATGCGGAAGGTATGCCTGTAATTGTAAATATTTACAGGGTACAGTGTGATATATCAAAACATGTATACAATATGTAAATATTGAAACAGGGTAATTAGCATATCTGTTACTTCAAACCTTTATTATTTCTTTCTGTTGAGAACATTCAAATCCCTCTCTTTCACCTATTTGAAAAAATACAAAAAATTGTTGTTCTTTTTTATATTTACTTCAATCGCTACAACTTATTCTGCCTGTCAACCTGCCTAACCAATCTCTCTATATCTCTTCTTCCTTCTACCCTTCCCAGCTTCACTATTCCACTCTCTCCTTCTATGAGATCAATCTTGTTAGATTCCACTTATGAGTGAGAACGTGTGGTATTTATCTCTTTTTTTGTTGTTGTTGTTGTTGGTTATTTATGTATTTATTTATTATACTTTAAGTTCTAAGATACGTGTGCAGAACGTGCAGATTTGTTACATAGGTATACACGTGCCATGGTGGTTTGCTGCACCCATCAACCCATCATCTACATTAGGCATTTCTCCTAATGCTATCCCTCCCCTAGTCCCCCAACCCCCGGCAGGCCCCAGTATGTGATATTCCCCTCCCTGTGTCCATGTGTTCTCATTTTTCAACTCCCACTTATGAGTGAGAAAATGCGGTGTTGGGTTTTCTGTTCCTGTGTTAGTTTGCTGAGAATGATGATTCCAAGCTTCATCCATGTTCCTGCAAAGGACATTAACTCATCCATTTTTATGGCTGCATAGTATTCCATGGTGTATATGTGCCACATTTTCTTTATCCAGTCTATCATTGATAGTCAATTTGGGTTGTTTCCAAGTCTTTGCTATTGTGAATAGTGCTGCAATAAACATATTTTTGCATGTGTCTTTATAGTAGAATGCTTTGTAATCCTTTGGATATACACTCAGTAATGGGATTGCTGGGTCAAATGGTATTTCTGCTTCTGTTCCTGGCTCATTCCACTTCGAAAATGTCCTCAAGGCTCATCCATGTTGCTGCATAACACAGGTTCTTATTTTTTTAATGGCTAAATAATATTCCATTTTATATGTCTACCACATTTTTTAAATCCATTCACCTGCTGATGGACACTTGGGTTAATTCTGTTTCTTGGTTACTGTGAGTAGTGCTGCAATAGTGATGGAAGTGCAGATATCTCTTTGACATGGTGGTTTTCTTTTCTTTGAATAAATTCCCAGGAGTGATATTGCTAGATCTCATGATAGTTCTATTTTTAGCTTTTTGAAGAAACTTTGTACTGTTTTTCTAATGGTGATAGTAATTTACATTTCCACTGAAAGTATACAAGAGATTCCTTTTCTCCACATCCTCAAAAACATTTGTTAATTTTTGTATTTTTGATACTAATTGTTCTAATTGGGGCAAGATGATACCTCATTGTAGTGATTTGCATTTCTCTGATAATTAGTTATGTTGAGCATTTCTTTCTTATACTAGTTGACAATTTGTGTGTCATCTTGTGAGAAATGTCTATTTAGATCGTGTGCCTATTTTTCAATTGGATTATTTGTTTTTTGTTATTGGGTTGTTTGAGTTCCTTGTGTATTCTGAATTTGAGTCCCTTATCAAATGAATATTTGCAAATATTTCCTCCCATTCCTCATGTTGCCTCTTCACTCTGTTGATTGTTTCCTTTGCTGTGCAGAAATTTTTTAGTTTGATATAATCCCATTTGTCTGTTTTTGTTTTGGTTGCCTGTGTTTTGACATCTTAACTGTAAAATCTATGCCTAGCTTAAGGTCCTAAATCATTTCTTGTGTGTTTTCTTCCAGTAGTTTTGGCATATCTGGTCTAAAATTAAAGTCATTAATCCATTTTGCATTTTTTGAATATATGCTGAGAGATAGTGGCCTAGTTTTATTTTTTCTATATGTAAATCTAGTTTCCCCAGCACTATTTATTCAAGAAATTGTCTTTTCCCCAATGAATGTATTTGGCACCTTTATCAAAAATCAGTTGGCCATTAATATGTGGATTTATTTCTTGATTTCTCTATTCAATTCCAGTGATCTATATGCCTGTCTTTATGCAAATATCATGCTATTGTCATTACTATAGCTATATTGTATATTTTGAAGTCAGGTAGTGTGATGCATCTTGAATTATTCTTTTTGCTGAGGATTGCTTCAGCTATTTAGGGTCTTTTGTAATTCCATGCAAATGTTAATTTAAAAAAATTCTGTGAAGAATGTCGTTAACATTTTATAGACATTTCATTGAATCTATAAATCACTTTGGATAGAATGATTATTTAAACAGTATTTATTATTGCTATCTATGAACATGAGGTGTCTTTCTATTTTTATGTATGTGTTATTTTCAATTTCTTTTATCTGTGTTTTATAGTTTTCATTGTAAAGGTCTTTTACCTCCTTAGTTAAAGTTATTTCTAGGTATTTTAATTTTAGGAGAGCTATTGTAAATGGACTTATATTTTTATATCATTTTTAGCTAGTTTGTTATTGGTATATGGAAACACTACTGATTTTTTACGTTGATTTTGTCTCCTGCAACTTTCCTGAATTTATTTATCAGTTCTAAGAGTTTTTGGTAATCTTTAGCTTTTACTCTATATATGATTATGTTGTCTGCAAACATGGGTAATTTGACTTTTTTCTTTGCAATCTGGATGCCTCTGTTCACTTTCGTCTGATTGTTCTGGCTAGGACTTCCAGCACTGCATTGAAGAGTGGTAAAAATGGGCACCCTTTTCTTGTTCCAGTTCTTGGAAAACTTTCAACTTTTTCTCATTTATTATGATATTGCATATGGATTTTTCATATGGTTTTATTATGTTTAGGTACTTTTTTTCAATACCCAAATTACTGAGAGATTTTTATCATGAAGGAATGTTGAATTTTATCAAATTATTTTCCTGCATCTATTAAGATAATGACACATTTTTTGTTCTTAATTCTGTTGATGTGAGATCACATTTATTGATTTATGTATGTTGAATTATTCTTGCATTTCAAGAACTTTCACTTAATCATGTTATATAATATTTTTAACATGTTGTTGAATTTGGTTTGATAGTATCTTGTTGAAGATTTTTGCATGTATGATCATCAGGGAGACTGGCCTGCAGTTTTGTTTTGTTTTATCCTTGCCTGGTTTTGGTATCAGCTTGAAAAAATTTCCTTCCCTTAAGTTTTTTGAAATACTTTGAGAAGGATTGCTGTTAGTTCTGCTTTAAAAGTTTGGTAGAATTCACCAGTGAAGGCATCAGTCCTGTATCTTGAGAGACTTTTTCTTACCAATTCAATCCCATTACTCATTTTGGTCAGTTAAGGTGTTTTATTTCTTCCTTGTTCATCTCGATAGGTTGCACATGTCCAAAAATTTATCCATTTCTTCTAGGTTTTTCAGTTTGTTTGTGTATAGTTGTTCATAATCGTCTCTAATGATCTTTTGTATTTCTGTGTTATCAATTGTCCTGTCTGCTTTTTCATTACAGATTTCGTGTCTTCTTTTCTTAGTTCATCTAGATAATGATTCTTCAATTTTTTCTTTTCATGAAACAACTTTTTGTTTTATTGATAATTTGTAATACTTTTTAGTTTTCATATTGTTAATTTCTGTTCTGATAATTATTATTTCCTTGTATTAATTTTGGCTTTTTTTCCTGCTTTTCTAGTCCCTTGAAGTTCATCACTAGGTAGTTCATCTTTCTACTCTTTTGATGTAAGTATTTACTGTTAGAAACTTTCTTATTAGTCCTGCTTTTCTTGTATCTCATAAGTTTTGTATGTTATATTTTTATTTCCTTTTGTTTCACGATTGTTATTTTTTTTTATTTCTTTCTTGACCAGTGCTCATTCAGGAGCATGTTGTTTAATTTCCATATTTACAGTTTCCAAAGTTTCCCTTGATATTGATTTTTTGTTTTATTCCACTATGATCAGAAAAGAAACTTGATATGATTTCAAATTTTAAAACATTTGTTGAAGTTTGTTTTGGAGCCTAGAATATGGTCTTTCCTAGGTACTCTTTCATGTGCTAGTAAGAAGAATGTGCATTCTGACATTGTTGGATGAAGTGTTCTGTGTCTGTTAGGTCCATTTGGTCTACAGTACAGTTTAAGTCTAATGTTTCTTTGTTAATTGTTTATCTAGATGATCTATCCATTGCTGAGACTGACATGTTCAAGTCCCCATCTACTATTTTATTGGAGTCTATTTCTCATTTTTAATCAAATACTTGTTTTATATATCTGTTGCTCTGGTGTTGGGTGCATATATATTTACAGTTTTTTTCTCTATTTGAGTGTATCCTTTTATCATCATATAGTGACCTCCTTTGTCCCTCTGTTTACAGTTTTTTGACTTAAAGTTTATTTTATCTGGTGTAAGTATAGCTCCTCCTGCTTTTTTGTGGTTGTGGTTTTTATTTGCATGGAATTTTTTTTTTATCTCTTCACTTTCAGTCTCTATGTGTCTTTACAGGTGAAGTGAGTTTCTTATAGGTAGCATGTGGTTGGGTACTGTTTTTTTATTCATTCAATCAGCTTATATTTTTTTAAATGGAGGAATTTAATCTATTTACATTCAAGGCTATTATTGATAGTTAAGGACTTAACTCCTGTCATTTTGCTAGTTGTTCTCTGGTTGTTTCGTATATACACTGTTTCTTCCTTCTTCTGTTTATCTTTGTGGTTTGGTGTTTTTCTATAGTGATAGATATTGATTTATTTGTCTTTCTCATTTGTGTATCTGCTCTATCAGTGAGTTTTATTCTTTTGTGTGTTTTCGTGGTGGTGGTAGTTTTCTCATTTTGCTTTCAGATGTAGGACCTCATCAAGCATTTCCTGTATGGCCGGTCTAGTATGATAGACTTCTTCAGGTTTTGCTTGCCTTGGAAAGACTATTTCCTTTCATTTCTGAAGAATAGCTTTGCTGGGTATGGTATGCTTAACTGGCAGGTTTTTTTTTCTTTTCCACTTTAATAATATCACTTATTCTTTCCTATCTTGTAAGGTTTATGCTGAAAAATCTGCTTTAATCTACTAAAGATCCCCTTATATGTGACTTGACACTTTTCTCTTGATATTTTCAAAAATTCTTTGTTTTTGACTTGTGGTAGTCTGCCTATAATGTGCCTCAGTGGGGATCCTTTTGAAATGAAACTGTTTGGAACTTTTAAGTTTCCTGGATCTGGATGTCCATAGCACTACTAATACTTGGGACGTTTACAGATATTATTTCAGTAAATAGGTGTTTTTTTTTTTTTTTTTTTTTTTTGCTTTATTTCATCTCTTCTCCTTCTTAAATTCCCATAATGTTAAAATATATTCACTTAATGACATTCCGTAAGTCCTATAAGTTTTCTTCATTCTTAAAAATCTTACAACTTTTTTTGGGGGGAGTGCGGGTTGGATTACTTTAAAAGTCCGGTCTTCAAATTCAGAGATTATTTCTTCTGTTATATCTAATCTATTGTTTATACTCTTGATTGTCTTTTACATTTCATTCATTGAATTATTTAGCACCAAGATTTCTGTTTGGTATTTTATATGATATCTATCTGTTTGTTGAATTTCTCATTAAGATCATGAATTAATTTTCTGATTTTGTTGAATTGCCTATCTGTATTTTTTTTATTTTACCGAATTTCCTTAAGATTATTATTTTGAGTTTCTTTTTAGGCAATTACAAAATTTTTATTTCTTTGGGATCAGTTACCATAGAAGTATCATTCATTTGGTGGTGGTATCTTATCTTGCTTCTTTATGTTTCCTGTATCCCTATTCATCTGGTGAACCTGTTCATCCTGTTCACCTATTCATCTGGTGAACCATTCACCTCTTCCAATTTTGTAGAGTGGTTTTCATAGGGAAAGGTTTTCGCCTGCAGACGTGTCTTATGATGTCAGCTGGTTTGTGTGTGTTGGTTTTGTTCTGGGTGTGTGCAATGGTGTAGTCTCTGCAGTTTCTTCAGTTATTACCAAGCCAGCAATTCCTGCAAGTGCCTCAGTGGCTTATACTGCAGAGATTTGTGTCACTGGTCCACCTACTTGAGCTCTGCTCCCCTTGGGAGCAAGACACCAGGCTGAACCCTGCTCCAGGGAAGCACAGAGCTGATTGGCTAGCAAACTTGCTCTGGCTGTGTTCTATGGTTATGGAGTGCATGGCTAGATTGCTCTCTGGGGAAGAAGCCTAGAGATGGTTGGCCTGAGGCTCGGCTCAGACACTGGTTCAGAGGCTGGTTCACACTCTGGGGAAGTGAGGGTCTGGTGAGCTGGTGCCTCAGCTTGGTTGGTGCTCCCATAGGAGCAAGGCCCTGGCTGGTCTGCACTCAGAAGCATTATGGGACTTACTGGCCACTAGCACTGCTACTGTGAAGGTGGTGTGCTGGGCTAGTTTGCACTCCAGGGAAGCACGGGGCTCATCAATCTTCAGCTCAACTTGGGGACTGCTACTCTGTGAGCAAAGTGCCAGGCTAGTCTTCATCCAGGGAGGCTGGGGTTGTCTGTCTTGTGTCTCTGCTCAGACATTACTCTCAGGGGTTGGGCTAGTCTGCACTCAGGAGAAGAATGGGGCAGGTCAGATAGTGGCTTGGCTCACGTGTTGCTCCCCTGGGGGTAGAGCTCTGAGGCCATAGCTGTTCTGCTGGACCTACATTTCAGGTATCCAGCATTGAGGTTCTACAACACCTGGATAGAGAAGACAGAGGTGGCGCCTTATAGCATCAGTTTGGCTCATTGGGGGCACAATAAGAGCTCCTCCTCTGGAGCAGGGCAGCTATGTAAACTCCCTAACATCTCCCCAGACTGTGCTCGTGCCGGTGAGAATCGCAGATTCCTCAAGAGCAAAAACTGTAGGCGTCATGGCATTAATTGGGGCTGCTGGGGGCCTCCTGCTACTTTCTCCTTGCACAGGAAGGTCCCTTCAGGTTCTAAGCTGATCTTGACTAGGGAGATCGGGTGGCATCTTCAGGGTGCCTCTCTCCATTGTCTATGTTGTCATCCTGTGTCTTCATGTTACACAGTGTCTCAACTAGCCCTCTGCTGCCCCCCACCTCAGACACTGTGTTCAAAATAGAGTTGTTTATTCATTGTTTTGGTTCTTTTTAGCAATAATGGGGGGACAAGCACCAGACATCATTAGTCAGCCATTTTGCTGATGTCACCCTAGTTCACACTTGTGTGACAAAAATTTACAATCTTCTCTTAAATCTTTCACCTAAACACAAATTATATGTGTAGCCATGCATTTTCTTTGTTACTGTTTTGTCTTGAATCTATATTCATCTTTAACAACATTATTTTTAACATTATCTGAATTCCTTTGTTTTGGTAATTTTGATACATGAATAACTTGTATGTGATTCTATACAGTCATATAAACAAAATGTCTTAAATATATTTGTGATTTCATTATTTTTCTCATGCTCCTTACTAAATAAAGTATAGCATGGCATTTATTTTTAAATGAATGTTGCCCTACTACTTCACTCAATATCTTACTCGGTGCATCTAGTCCTCCACTGAATGTTTGGATTATTCTTATTAAAAATAACAGCTGCTTATATAAATGTACTTGCTTCCTTGAAATGTAATGCATATTTAGTGGCAAATGTCCATTTTAGATATGATTATGAACTTTTTAATTTTTACCAAAAAATTTCATTAAGTTTAGAGGAAACTCAGATAACCCCTTTGAATGATTACTTTTCATTTGTGTGTGTGTATATGTTTCTCATCATAAGTTTATTTTGGAACAAGAAGTGGAAAACTGAATGGAAGAATTCACTGTGGAATGTTTTCTCCAACAGTAAATGCTAGAATCTATATGATAAAATCCATCCTTGAAAACTTTCTTACCGCTTTCAACTGACCCTAGAGGGTTTCTTCTGTGATAAATGTGGGAACATTTTTATAGGCTGATTTCTAATAACAGAAGAATGTGTCTTACTGTCTGTACTAACACAAGTACTTGGCATAACCCTATGAACTTCTAAGTACCTTTTTGTTGACCGACAAAGGCATTTCAGTTCCTTGGACAAGTGAATTCTGATACTTTTAATCCAGATTCCTAATCTAAATTATGATGGAAATGGTTATGGTGTTCAGGAACCATAATTATCCTGTTAAAAAAGTTAAAATTAACAACAAATGATAAACAGCTAAAAATTGAAAATGTAAAAGTTACTGCAAAAAAAGAGAAATATAAATAAAGACCTTCAGATATCATATAGGCAGCAACAGAGGCAGCATTTGGTAACACGGTATTGTTTTTCTTAGTGTCAGTGTCTTCAGTAAACATTGCCAAATTTCCATTATAGATCAAAGAAAGAACAGAAAGCCACAAGATAGTGACAAGAAGAGTTGGAGGGTTTCCATGATTTTTCTCATGTAACTTAAAATTATTTAATAGAAAATATGCTGAAGTAGACTTGTCCTTTTTGACCATAAAAATTATTCTGTTTTAATTTGAAAACTGATATTTTTATGAAGCATTATTAGATTTGGGGTGTATATGTGAGGTGGGGGGAGATGTTCCCATCTGACTACAGATCACATCTTTTTCTTTTTCCTTCTGATTCTTGAGGTTATGAGGGGTCCAAATACAGACACGCAAAGAAAAAATTATAATAATAAAATATGTAATAGAAACCAGGAACTTGGAATTCTCTAAGAGCTTGAACTTTTTACCCTTCTAACACCATTTTTTCCCCATTTCTTTTTCAAGATGTTGATCTATCTACTTCTTTTTTTTCACCTAAGTCTTTATTTGGCTCTAGAAAGAATTTGCATGAAAATGAGCCTGTATGGCAGGTACAGAATGTACTTGGAGACTTGAACTTGTATGGATGAATTTATTACATTCAACATATTTAATTTTATGCCTTCTAATTCTAAGATGCAGAAAAAAAATGAACATGATTTTATTCTCTGCCAACATTTTGGCCTCTGAATGTATTTGTTATTTGAATTTATGTACATGGCAAAGGAATGGTCAATTTGAAAGTCATTCTAAACTGATTTTTTTTTTCTAAAGGGCTCCTTTTTTTCCTGGACTATGTGGTTATATGACTAAAGTCACATGACCTGTCAATCACCACTAAATCCTATGAGGATTTTTAAAACTGTGTATATGTGTGTTTACATCCTACTGAATAAATTAGAGAGTCTGTGCAAATTAAAACAGAAATGTATACCACTAAAATTTAAAGTTGAGACATTTGTCCTTCTTTTACTTATTTTTTTCAGTCTCATTCTGTACTCTCCTCATTTACCCAATAGTTGCCTAATACTTTAATCTGTCTCTCTTACTCAAGATGCCATTCTGCATAATCACTACTGATATAATCACTACCTTTTGTTGCTATGCTTGGCACATTGAACTTTAACCTTTTCATTATTAGACAAAAGGGCAAATGATATCCCTATGTAAACACTGAAATGTTTGTATGCATTTCTAGCACTCTAAATAACTAGTTCCCTGGAACACTTGACAAAGGTCTACATATTATTTTTTTCTGTCTCAATTTCTGTATTGGACTATTGCTTGATTAAATTGTAAATCTGATAAGACCTAGTTCTTATATCTCCCCCTTTAATGATAATATCTCCATACTTTATATGCAAGTTGCATTGTAGGAACTCCACAAGATTGATTCTTCTCCCTCAAATTTTATATTTTGTCCTTGTCTTTCCTCATGAGACTAACACAAATAGAATGAATTCTGAGAAATAAATAGACCAAAGTTTAGATGTTTGTGGATTTAAGTTTCTATGTTTGGAAATTGAAGTTTCTAGACATTTCTTCTTTTATGCAATCTTTATTTCTTATGGTCATCTGAGCCTTCAAATACTAATTAATTCATGTGACTTTTCATTACTTTTAAGTTACTTTAAATTCACAACTTTCTTCACTATGTTTAAATATTATTACTTTGGCTTTGTTTATAACTGTATTATTCATAATTATTTCTTTGTTTCATTAATTTACTTATTAGTAATGATAAGTTAGGGTTTCAGCATACAGACAAAATTTTCAAGTGCAAGAAGTGTCTTAAAAATGTTGTTTTTTATTAAGTTTTCAATAACTTTAGTAGTGAACACTTCCATGCTTCTTTTCTGCATATTTGCCTGATGGCACTCTCAAATTAACACTGGAAATAAAACATAATTAAATATTTACAATGAAGAAGACATTTTTAAGAAAATAACATGTGTTCTCAGAAATGTGGGATAATCTCAAGCGTGAGTTACAATGAATCAGTAGCAGTACACCTTTCACACTGAATAACATTGCTTTTTTTTAGCATTTTGTTAGTATTAAATAATTAACCTTTAAATGGCTGTGTCTCAATTATGGTTTATATTACAATCAAAAAGTGTATTTTTAAAGGTATGAAACACTTACCTGTATCTTTACATAATCATAAAAGTAGCATATTCAGTAAGTATATTTTAAGTAAATCAAACCACAATCATGAATTGAAATAATATGAAAGTAAAGATCTGAAAATTATCAAAGCTATGATACACAAAGACTGTTTCCTAAATTTTGCAAAATTTAAAGCATCAGGAAAAAGATGGTCATGTTGTTATTGTGTTTTTGTAAACTGTAGTTGGTATTTACTTTACTAATATCTAGCTAATTACTTCAAATATGTAATTGTATCAAATTTTTTAGAAATCTTCAGATGCCAGTTATACCTCTGTATCAAATCATCAATATGAACTCCAATTGAGATATTGCTGCCAGCTACTTTAAATAGGTTTATATTATTTGGATGATTAGAAAGATAATTAAGTTTATCCGATTTCCAGGGAAGTAATTTAAGTAGAGAGAGAATTAATGAATGTTAAACCTTCAAATCAGGAGTGTTGAAATGTTGAAATCATAAAGCGACAATTAATTTGAGGTTAAATATGATAATAAACGGAGAAAGAATCCATAGTAAGTAAAAAGTAGGTTGAAGTTAAATCATTGAGAACATCGAATTCTAAGGTAAATATTGGAAACTTTAATTTGCTGGTAAAGGAATCTATTACATCTTTATACCATTTTTCTTCTGCTACATACAAAGTGTTTTTCTATATGCATTGATAATCTGATATAAAAATAATTGAAGATATGATATGTGTTTCCAATGAACTTACTATCCTTCTTAGAAGATAAGAAAAATACTTAAAATACTTAATGCTTAAAAGCAGATGAATAATTGTATACACCCTTTATGCAATGAGAAAATAGGATAGTGTTCTGTCCAAAAATACATAGTATTTGCAAATTATATTATTTTTCTTCATAGAAAAGTACCAAAAGTCTATAAACAAATTTCTAGAAGTAATAATAGAATTTAGCAAGATAGACAAAAATCACAATCCAGAAGCAATAAAATCCAATGGCATTTCTACATTTGAACAAAAAATAGATTTAATTAAAATTACATCTTGTAATTTTAAAAAGATGTAATTAAAAACATTTGGATCATTTACCAAAGCACCACAAAATATTAGAAATAAATGTAATATAATAACTAAATATTGTATAAAAATTATAAAACTTTACTTAAATGTATTAAAGAATGCCTGAATTAATAGAGTCATATCTATACCATTTTCATGAATACAAAATTCAACATGATAAAGATTCTAATGCTTGCCTATTGGTCTATGGAGTCAGTGTAATTCCAATAAGAAACCAACAAGATTAGTTAGCCAATGCTCAATTTTATATGGAAGAGTAAAGGACTAAGAATAGCAAAGACTTGTTAGTGAACCTTATAATTAAGGATTAGTTAATAAGGATTAACTATTAAGAGACTTTGACTTATTATATTTCATATTACAAACGTTTTTTAAAAATTTAAATTTTAAAAGGCATGTTATTGGCTCAGGGATAAATAAGTTGTTCAATACATAGAGTAGGGAGTCTGGAAGTAGAACCAAACACAATATCAAAACTTGAGACATGAAAGGAGTGGCACTGTAGATCACTGAAAAGAAATACATTATTTAATATAAATTTATGGGCAAATTAAATCAGTATATTAAAATATGTAACCAGAATAATAATTCATATCATACACAAAATTTTTAGGCATAGGTATAAAAAGCCAAGTTTAGAATTCTAGAAGAAAACATAAGAAAATATATGAATTAAAGCTAAGGGATGAACTGAACTTAGACAAAATATTGATTAGTTTCACTAAGTTTGAATTTATCATCAAAGACTAGTATTCAGAATAAATGTCTTAAACATAGCAATAATAAAAATGACAATTCTATAGAAAAGTGAGCCAATATAAGAACAGATATTTTGCAGAAAAATACTAAATATTATCACATAAAAAGCTTGTCAATTTTTTAGATATAATCAATTAATAAGATCCCATTTTCAACCATCCAGGTTAGCAAAAATTAAAGTCCGACAATACTAAATGTTTTAGCAATAGAGTGCAATACAAACTCATAAACTACTGATGGTATTAGTAAAAAATGAAATTTAGCAAGAAAACTTGAACGTGTATATATACAGGAATTATGCTTTCCAATAGAGAAAAATCACCCAAAAATATCAGGACACATGGTATTTTTAACAGCATTATTTTAGTTAGGGGAAAAAATAAAACTGTAGAGAAACAACTAGCCATCAGAATAATGTTGATCAATAAATTATAGCATATTCATTAAATTGACTATTTCAAAGTGATGTAAATAAATTAGTCTATAGATAAAAACATGTATAGCATTTTTTGAAATAGGGTTGAATAGAAAAAAGTTATAAAAGATTAACTACAATTTGATTCAATTTTTATAAAGCTCAATGCAGAATTAAATAATATGGTGGACTTAGTGTCCGATAGAGGAAGTGAGGAGGAATGCAAACAGATAGTATAGAATTCGAATTTTTGTTTTAAAAAATCTTCTTTTCAATTTGGCATTGATTTCACAAATTTGTATTCTTAATTTTGGGCATCAAATTCACATATAGATAACATATAATGTTTTCTATGTACCAAATTATACTAATATAAACTTCAGACTTAGCATTGACCATGTACCCACCCCCATAGAAATATAAGTATGGATGAGTATTAGTGTTAGGGAAACTGGATGCAAATGCTAGTCTGCCACTTTCTAGCTGTGTGGACTAGAAGAGCATACATAACATTCTGAAATAGCAAAGTAATATTACCTCTCTCTAGTATTTTCAAAGGAACAATTACATAATGTCTATATAATGCAATTAGCACAAAAGTTGGAATATGGTAACCACTTAATTTCATGTATCTATTATAATTACTGTTTACCATGATTAATACATAATACGAAACAGTTTCAAATTAGTTTACAACTTTGGTGTGTGAAGATGTTTTGAAGATCATTTTTAAATTTGAGTTTGAAATGCATAGTAGGTTTGAATTGGCAAGAGGAAAATTTTATCATGAAAAGGTAAATATATTAAAAGATGAAAAACAAGAAAGAAGAAAGGAGAGAAGGAAGAGAGAAGAATAATGCATAGACAAATAGATATAAAATTTTAATTTGAGAAGGAAGTTCTAATACATAAAATAATGTGAAAAGATATTTGAGACAAGGTTGGGAAACTGAGTATATTCATTGGAGTAGACAAAGATAGTGGAGATTGGGGCATGGTTCTTATTTTTAACTAAAACATCTCAAATTACATCACAGCTCTCATCTGTGAGTGCATTGCACATGTGCTATAAGATAGTAATTATCTTCCGAATGGTCCTCTATCCCTCCCTCCCTCCCTCCCTCCCTCCCTCCCTTCCTTCCTTCCTTCCCTCCCTCCCTCTCTCCCTCTTTCCCTCCTTCCTTCCTCCGTCTCTCTCTCTGTCCTTCCCTTACCTTCTTTCCTTTATTCTTTCCTACCTCTTTCTTCCTCTAGCCTTCTCTTTCTTACATCTGTCTTTATCAATTGTTTTGCAAGTGTTGTTAAAAACTAACCAAATGCTAATTCAGAAATAATGATTGGAAGATAGAATCAAATATTTCAATGAAGAGAACTTGGATATTTCAGAATTTAGACATTTATTATTAAAAGATCTTTGTCATATGTACATATAAATCATATTTTTATTTTGTACAATTTCAAGAAATTTAATTGGAGAATAGTATTTCAGTTTTATATTTTGTTTACCCAATGCTTAATGCTTTAAAATTGTCGGTGCAAATTAATTTAAAATATTCTTAAAATTATCTATATATTGCTTTCCTTTGATACTCTTAAAAAAACAGTAAAGAAACAAGAACTTGAGATCATGTAGTTTACAGAGGAGGTGATTTCAGGAGGTAAGTATGAGGGAGTGTAGAGAGTAAGACAGGGAAAGAGACAAGCCTGTACAAAATGGTGGAGTTCAATTGTCCCTATGGACTGTTTCTTTCAGGGTCTCCGGAGCATTTCACCAGAGTCCTTTTAGCTTGCCTATCCAAAGGAGGGAGACTAGGCATCACCTTCTGCTCCCCAATCCCCACTGGTTGCAGGTGGCCCCTGGAATATGTCAATGGTACTTTCCTGTGCTTTCCCAGTTTACGTGGTCTTGAATCTAAACGGTTTTCCTTGTTTTGAAAAAGATCCTGAGGCAGAAAGCCCTAAGGCGGTATGTTTGAGGTGTCGCCTTGCCTGAGTGAGGTATGCTTGAGCTCCAAGTGGAATCTCTCCTGCACCCCTGCAGCTGTGGCTAAAATCAAAATTGTGCCCTAGGAATGTAATGTGAGGCACGAAAGACATCTGCCAAACACTTGAATTGAAAAATCAATCTTTTGAAACCATAAAAGTCAATAATTGCCTTTATCATGTAATAGATACTTTAAATATTATTAAAAATCTGTATTTTAGCTCCAAAGTGGGCAATAATTTGATTGAAGCTATAAAGTCATCTAGTGTATAGAATAGTCTCAAAAAGTTTATTATGAATTAGAGAGTATAATGAAGATTATACTATCAATATACTATATTATATATTATTCATGTTTACTATCATTCTCTATCTCAGCCTAAACCTTTTACTCTTTTTGGAAATATTTTTGAAATGAACAATATTGCTAAGTTAACTACCCTAACACCTTGCTAAACAAAATATTTATATGGGACAAAAAAGAAGTTTTCACCCTTTTAAGTGTCTGCAAGTATAAAATAAGAAATAACTCTCATGAGATTAGTTCCAGCAGTATGAGATCATACTAAAGTAGCTAGTCACAAGCTCACATAAGTAATTACAAAATCCAAAATGCTCACTTGCTACAGAGTGGCTATTCTACTATCTTGCATAAACTAATACCCAGGCTGGTGTTGCAGACCAATGAAGCAAAGGAATAGAAAAGATACTATTTTGAATAATGCATTGCAGATATGTTCAATGACATATGGCAATATTGATTCAAAAAATGAAGTAAAAGATTACACTAGTTAGAATCCATGAAGATAAATATTTTAGAAGAAGATTCTATTTTATCTTCATAGAAATATCATACTATATAGGACAAATATCCAAGTGGAAATACACATTTTTTAGACGATAGGACTGTAAAAAAATGATCATATAACCACACATGTTACATGCATATATGTATGGATATGCAAAGTCCAGTTACCAAGACCCCTATTAATGTACATGCATCTCAAGATTGCCAAGAGAAGAACTCGCTCCTATCATTAATTTGTTGTGTGATCTACCTTCTTTGTCTTAGCCCCTAATTTTTTACATGGAGAAAGCAATACATCTCACATCACAGATTACTATGAGGATTATGTAAATTAACATTAGTAATATTAGCAAGTGTTACTTATATTAGTAAATTAGTATTAAGTTGACCCAAGGCACTTCTTGTTTATAACTCTTGCAATACCTTAATTGTTAATAATACCCATTTACTCACAAAAGTGTCTTGACTGGGAAAATTACTTATATGGGTTGTACTAATATTTATTCTGAAAAGTCTAAGGTAAAAATAATTTGTTATTTAATTCACTGAGAAAACCTTTTGCATCATAGTCTTGCTCATAAATTTCATTCCATATTAAATGAAATTAAAGAATGGTGATTCTAAACAACTTAAGATACTTTTTCAGCTCTATGCTAACTAGTATGAGATTACTTTCTTTTATACAAAGAGCTTTTGCTGCACACAAAAAAAATGTTAAAAGTTTATGAGCTAAAACAAAAAATAGAAAAAAGTGAGAAATTATTATTGTGGATAATTATTATTTTGCAGACTGTTGAAGAATAATTATTGGTTTCCAAAACAGCTAACTTTGGTGAAATTTAGGAACACCTTGAATAAACATATTTTAATGCAAAAACTTCATAAATTATATAATTATGTGTTATATCAAAAATTTAATTATGGAAATGTATGATTTAAAATGTTCACAGATATTGTTAACCTTTTAATTTGAATCATACAGAATAATTGAATAATTGTTCTTGAAACTAAAAGATTTTATCAATATTATGAAGCACAAAATATAAAAATGTTTAAATTCAAAATCCATCTGCATTACTATAACAAACTGACATTTTATTTGTCAGCAGTGTAAAAGAAAGAGCTGATAGATTTAAACAGTGATTTCACATTTGGAATCCAATTTAGAGCTTGACTACTCTGAAATCTTGTTAATACTTACAGATATTTATTTCAATTGGCACAAAAGGTAGTAAGTTATCTTTTGCCATTTGCTACTACCTATACATGTGAATAAAATTTCCTATTAAGACATTCAAACAACTAGAGAAACCAATTTTTGAAAATTTTGATTACATTTTCAGGTTAAAGTCTAAAAATAAATCATTTCAGAGGCCAGATTAAGTTTCTTTTTTTACTTTTTTTTTTTTTGTGAGACAGAGTCTCGCTCTGTCGCCCAGGCTGGAGTGCAGTGGCGCGATCTCGGCTCACTGCAAGCTCACCCTCCTGGGTTCACGCCATTCTCCTGCCTCAGCCTCCCAAGTAGCTGGGACTACAGGCGCCCGCCACCAAGCTTGGCTAATTTTTTTTATTTTTAGTAGAGACAGGGTTTCACCATGTTAGCCAGGATGGTCTTGATCTCCTGACCTCGTGATCCACCCGCCTCAGCCTCCGAAAGTGCTGGGATTACAGGTGTGAGCATTTTTTTAAGTTTTTTTTTTTTAACTTCTATAAATTTATAGGGCACAGGTGCAACTTTCTTACATGCATAGATTGCATAGTGGTCTAGTAAGGGCTTTTAGGGTATCTATCACCTAAATAACGTACATGGTACCCATTAAGTAATTTCTCATTATCTATCCCCCTCCCACTCCTCTCCCTCTTGAGTCTCCGTTGTCTATTATTTCTCTTTCTATGTCCATATGTACATATTTGTTAGTTCCTACTTATGAATAAGAATCTGCAATATTTGTCTTTGTCTGACCTGTTTCAGTGAAGATAATGACCTCCAATTCCATTGAAGTTTTCAGAAAATACATTATTTCATTTCTTTTTATGGCTGAATAGTATTTCTTTGTGTGTGTGTGTTTGTGTGTGTGGGTGTGAATCACATTTTCTTAATCCAATCAACCAATGTTGGACACTTAGGTTGATTCTGTATCTTTGCTATTGTGAATAGTGCTGTGAGAAGCATCCAAGTGCAGGTATCTTTTTGGTATATTGATTTCTTTTACCTTGGGTAACTACCTAGCAGTGGGACTGCCAACTCAAGTTTCTTATTTAAACTTTTGAAAATATCATATTGAAAATTTTATTAAAATTTGAAATGTAATACCCATATTGATTTATCTCATTTTCCTTTTAATTATGTAAAATAAAAATAATGCATTTCTTCACTAAGCCCCATACAGATGCATCCAGATGGCCTCCATTTGCCCCATCATGTTGTATAAGGATCATTTTCTACATGTACCATGCCATGAAAACTTTGGGAAAGCAATTCATTTGTCAATAAACAGTAATGAGAGAATCCATTGCTAGAGAATAGTAAGACAAAAATATTTATCTGAGCAATTTGCAGCTTAGATTGAATGACTGGGACGTGGGTTGTTCAGGAAACTATCACAGCAGTGATCACATGTGGACAAATTCTTAAACTAGGGGGATGCTAGTGGACATGAACAAGGTCATGGATAAAACCCATCAAATTTGGAAATAGACTGACTCTGTTGGAGGCCAAGAGTAAAAGTCATTCGAGTTTTCAAAGTTAGATTGCAGATATTTAGTTATAATGATAGCTATAATCATGAATATAAACAATTCTGTCCTGACCCTCTTCCTAAATGTCTTCTGTTTTTATGTTTACATTTCAGGTATTGCATTATTTTATACAAATTTACGCACCTAAATTGTGCGGGTGTTTTTTGGGACAGAAAAGTCTGGGTAGTACCAGAATAGACTGCTACATGCACATATGTGATACATCCAGTGTACTGCAATATATCGTCATCATTTAGCCCTTAGTATCTACTCAGTTTTAAGGTGCAATAGTCTCAATGTGAGTACTCCAAGGATTGCCTTTAAGGTTATTTTCCATTTTGCATTTCATTTGTAGTATGCACTAACTATGGCTAAAAGTACTTCCCCTCCTTCCAAAGAAATAAATTACAAATGTATGACATTTCATAAAATAAAGTTGCAGGAATTACCAAGCTTACCTTGACAGTTTGTCAAATTTATCTCAAAGATTTTGTAAGTGTATAGCTTGTGACCTCAAATAGTAAGCTTACAAAGGGCAGAGAACACATTTGCCAAGATTCGTGAATCACAGCATATAAATGTGAAAATTCTGAAAAGGATGGTGAAGGCCAGTATTTGACCTTGAGCCTCACCATTTACTATTTGTATAACTACAGGATGGTTACCTTTACTCTCTATCTTTTTTCTATCAAGTGTAAGATAAAGATGCAGATTTAGACCCCTCTTTTCTCATAGAATTACTAAATTCACCAACTTTGGTAGTATACTTCAAAGCCCTATTAAATTACCAAGAACTTATAAAGGAAATTTACATATAAAGGAAATATGTATTAAATAATATACACATTTTCCATACTTTTTAATCAGATGAATTTAGTATAAGATATATAAAGTTAAATAGTTTACTTTCACATTTTGGTCTCTTCAATCCATACTTGCAAGAGAAATAATTAAATCTCTATATTTTTAACTTCATAAAAACAGATTTGTTGTTTGGACAATCTACAGGAACTTGCCAAATAAAAGGGAGTGCATGTTCATATAATAACATATAACACAAGGTTACCAAAACATAGTCACTTAATAGATATTTCTCCTGCCTCAGTTTTAGCCAGATCTCAGGTCCAGGACTTCAACCTGTAATAAAGTCTGATAAGGAATATAGTTCATTGGTGACATGGACAGTAAAACTTTCAGCTTGTGAGGCATTGTGAATCAGTAAAATAACATATTTCAGAGAACATGCCCAAGTCAAAGAGCAAAAACACCCCTCTTTAACACAACCTTGGGCAACTGTAAAATACAATCTGCAATAACAGTTAAACATAACTGTTCTTTGGGGACTTATATAACAATGTATAAAAGTAAATGGGTCACCAGCTCTCCAAATGTGGTTTGCCTTTGGAAACCAAAGCAATACTCTAGGAGGTGTGCTAGAGGAAAGCACAGACAGTCTATACATAGGCATTGTAACTTTTTTTTTTTTGTTTTGGTTTTTCCAGTTAGAGGCATTGCATGGTAACTCCATCTACGGTCTCATTCTCTTGATTATTAAACAAGGGTTAACAAAGGACCAAATAATGAGGGGCTTTAGTAACAAGCTCCCTTCTTCTTCATTGAGTTTTATAATTTAGTGCTCTATGAGAACTGCAGGTTTCTGATTATTTCCAAAAATATATGTCCCCTTTTTTAACTGAGAAAATAATTTACTCTGCTGCTTTCATGCTTTTAATGATTGGAGGTTTATATTCCATCAGAAACCAGAAACAAAAATAATAAAAAGTACATAATCACACTCAGATGCTAATTGTGGATTATTAGGGGGGCATAAAATATATCAAATTACTTTCTGTGTTACCTTTAACAGAAGTGTTACAACTTTCTTACTCCAAGGATAATGTAGACAAGGATTCACACCAAGGCTCTTATCTGATATCTGAATGGAAAACCTCAAATCTATCTAGAGATGGCTTAGAGCTAAAGGGAAGAGAGGGTGAAAGTTTATTTGGTGTTCACCCAGATAATAGAGTGTCAACATGCCAGCTGGTCAATTCATTAAACCAGTAATTATATCTGCACCACTGAATGTAGCACTTGGCAGTACATAGTCCTTCTATTTTTTCATATATGTGTATATTCCTGGGGCTTCCAGCCTGTGGGAACAAATGGTTCACATTAAACCAATACTGAAATTAGCATGTCTATTTAGCCTCCTACTATAGCACCAGCTGATCTGAGAACCCAGAGAGTGTGCCCTAGCAGTACCCTGAGAGATAGCTCCAGGTTTCTCACAGTGATTAGTTATGAATTGCCCCAAGTTCTCTCTTTTTTGACAAGACCCCCCTGACTCTGCTGTCATTATAAAGCATTTTTGATGAGTCACCAGCAGAGATTGTCACTGACTCTTTTCTCTGCTGGCACAAAACTCCAATACATCTTCTTAGAGGACAGTACATCAGAAATGTCCTCTTTCATTCAGCTGAAAATGGAAAGCTCTCTTTTATGGTAACTCAGTCCAAGAGCCACATAGACAGGGCCTCCACCAAGCCCTGCTATCAATGCTGTGTCACAATTTAAACTCAGTTGAGACCCCTTGCTATTCTAGCATCCTCCGTATTTTCTTCCTCTTTCACCTTCACTCTGTATGTTTAAAAGGCAGATTTTTAAGGGTAGGGACATAGCATATATTTATTAGCGTTATCCATTCCTACTAATTGAATGTTGGGAGTCCTATGGAATGCATTTCTTTCTTTCTTTCTTTTTTTTTTTTTTGAGATCGAGTTTTGCTCTTGTCGCCCAGGCTGGAGTGCAGTGGTGTGATCTAGGCTCACCGCAACCTTTGCCTCCCAGGTTCAAGCGATTCTCCTGCCTCAGCCTCCCAAGTAGCTGGTATTACAGGCACGCTCTACCACGCCCAGCTAATTTTGTATTTTTAGTAGAGATGGGGTTTCTCCATGTTGGTCAGGCTGGTCTGGAACTCCTGACCTCAGGTGATCCGCCTGCCTCAGCCTCCCAAAGTGCTGGGATTACAGGCGTGAGCCACCACACCTGGCTGGAAAGCATTTCTTTAACAGGTGCTATGCCTCCAGCTTAATTTGTATCACCTAATATACATTTTGACTTTCCTATACAAGAGTCCTAAGTCCTAGGAATCTAGGTGTGAGAAAAATTTCCAGATTCAATTGGGTAAGGAAGCTTAAACAATGAAAACAACCCATATTTTCAAAGTTTCTGTGTCATGGTAAGAGAAAGTTCTGAGACAATAAACAAGAGATTACATAGCACTTCAGACTACTGGGAAATAGATCTTTTAAAAAAAAGTTTCTATAGTAAATTTATTATCAAAAGATCTTTATTGGCCTTGGACCATTTCCATTAACGAGTGTGAAACATGCTCAATTAACAGTGACACACATGTATAGTATTTTTCCCCAGAGAATTGTAACTCACCATTGGACGGAGAATATGCATCCTAGTGACAATTTTCCTCATGAGGACAGAGTCTGATAAAAGGTATGTAAATATCATTTGTACAAAATTTTCTGGTATGTTACCACATGCCAAAAGACATATCAAATTCCACAAGAAGAAAAGAAAGAATAATAATTTGGTCTAATAGAATTGTATGTAGTTTAGTTTAGCTTTAATTTTTAAAAGAAAAACAATGGTAGGAATTTGACATGAAAAACTGGATGAAGGATTCCAGAAAAAGGCATTTTGGTTAATACTTTAAAAGAAGGATGACTTCCTGAGAGCTGTAATAGTTCTAGTCCTGATGAAACTCCTCTGAGGTTGTTAGAAAATAATGATATGCACACTGCAGCCCAAAAGGCCCACTAACCTCTGGGCTGGGCAAGGAATAGGAGAGTCACACAATAAAAAAATGTTAGAAAAATAAGTTATTTTCATCATTTAACAAAAAGTCTCGTAAACTTTTGAGAATGATGTACTAAAAAATCCTTTTCTTATCATTCAGGTTTTACTGATTATGCAAAAGGATGATAGTGCATATGTGAAGAGAATTGATAAAATAGGATCATTTTGGTTGATCATTAGATGTGTTTCCTCATGATAAGATAATGAAAAGGAGAAGAAAAACTTAGAGAAAATAGAGATGCAAACTGGATTAAAGTAGACATTACAAAATAGGATGATCTGCATTACATGTTGGTCTTGTATACTTTGTGATTTGCATTTATTGCACATTTTTAAGTAACTATTTGTTTACATATCTGTATATGTACTTTTAACCATCATGGTAGGATGTGAGTTTCATTAATCTTTGGATTTCCCATTCCTAGCTGGTGGTGTTCTAAATAATTACAAATGCACCCAAGTAGTATCACACCAACTCCAAGTTACCTCCTTTTGAGCAGAGATGTCTGCCTTTTTTTAGCCACTGTAACCTTAGTCCTATTCCTTGCATTAGAAACACAGTAGACAGTATGTGAATATTTACGGAAGGAGTAAATGAACGAATGAATTCTGGCCTTCATTGGAGGAGGTCATAAGTGTCTGTAATAAAGTAATAAGACATAAAACATGAAGGCTCATAATGTTAATTGAGTGACTTGAGATGCGTACATTATGGTCCTACGCTAAGACAACATGGACCCTGCTCCTATTGAGAAATGGAATCAAAAATCAAAGGAAACCAATCCTATTCATGCTCACCATGCTCCATCATTATATTCTTGATTTCTCTCATCTCATGGACAAATGAATGAGTAAATGAATAACTGAATCCCTGCTTGGAGCATTTTTCTCTCTCTATAGACATGTTATAGGAGATCTACATTGTGGCTACTGTGTCTTCAGTAATCTGGGTAAATTGTTGAGCCATTTTCCTATTTGCCAAGACAAAGCATGATGAAAGTACTGAGTTTTGGAGGTTTAGAGATGGATTCCTGCAAATGAAGGAAAAGATTGTAGACATCAGTTTCCTTTGCTCTAAAATCAAACAAAACTTCATTAAAAGATTGCCTGAGTTAGCAAATAAAAACCTACAGATCTACCTCACTCAACTGAATATTCCCTTCATTTTTTTTGTTTTTATGTTGAATATATCATACAACATATGGTGCATCAGTTAGCTGGTGTGCTGGTTAGAAATATAGGAGAATATGAACCCAAATATCAACTGTCAGTTACATTATCATTTTATTTCCTCTCCTTTTCCCTTCCCTGTCCATCCCATTGTTGCCTTCTTTTGTCTGTGCTTCAAAGTGTGGCATATACTCTTAGCAATGAAGATAATTTCATTTATTGATCCATTGACTTCAGGCACTTGGACAAGCAGCTCCATTAGTAGCTGCAACTGGGTACTCCTCTGGGCCCAGGATTCTAAAGAGGAGACATTTTAGGCCTGACATGTAAATTGCTCTCAGGGAGGCAAGAGTCTGCTGCATCCATTACTCCCATTATTGGCCAATTTGTCAGCAACTCAGAAAGCAGGGCAGCTCCATTGCAAGTCAAAGGAGACACAAGATCATCCCTAAGGCAAGAGGAAAAAGAAGATGAATTGAAAGAAATTGATTTGTGACGTCCTGCCAAATGACCAACTTACATAGCAAAGGAAGAGCCCTACAGGCCTCCAAAAGGTGGGAGGGAAGCAGGAGAGAAAAAGGAAAAAAAAAAAAGCATGTTAATACCCATAAATAATGTATATATGGAAGCTTCTTTCATCTTATTGTGTTTATGTGGGTGCATGTGTGTGTTTTGATCCCCGCAGAATTGCTGTATAACTGATCTTAAGAAAATTCAGCTGAAGCTTTTTGGTTCAATGACTCAAGAAATGGGTGAGCTGCATTTAGTTTTGATCTTTGACAACAGCTACCAACAGAATATCAGAGAGAATGAATTAAGAAATCCTGCTGAGGCTGAAAAGCATGCACAAGCACACACACACCCGCACTCATGCATGCACCCCATCATATACACCTGGAATTACCCAGTTGCTATTAAATCAAAACTGAAGTCCTCCCCTCATTATAAAGAAGCTCATGTCTGCAAACTAGTCTGCTTGCCCACTCCTTGTTTTATCTGGCACTGGTCCCCGAACAAAAATCAATCTCCAATTCCCTTTAATGTTTAGCACTAAATCCAGAAAGCAAAACAAAACATGAGAGTCTCACATTTATTATGGAACCTCTTTTATCTGGCTGGAGGGCAGCCTTCTAATCAAGGGAATGAATAAACAGTCATTTACTTACTTTCAGGGAACAGAGGAGACAGCTCAATCTTCTTGAAGGCCAGCAGAACCAAAGGGGCCCTCCAATTTGTAAATCAAAACATTAGCAGCTTGTTAATTTAGCCTGGCAATTATTAAGATGTAAAGAAGTTTGTATTACTGTGTTTATTGATGGAGGTTATAGGTAGGAGCAAAACTATTTACTTTCTTTGTGGAAGAAAAATATCTGGTAACTGAGACTAAAAGGCTTTTTTAATTGTAGACATTTAGTGACGCTTTTAAAAAATATGTACTTTCTTGTTTCTCAAATGCTAAGAAAAAAAAAAAGGAAAATAAAAGCCAGCAACCTAAACTACAAGAGCATTTAGAATGTTGCCCCATCATGTGTTTGGAGGTATGATATAGTAAGATTGATCAAAAGCATAGTATTGATGGAGGTTTTCACATCCGAGCTGGGTAGTATAACACATTGTACTTGTCAGAAGATGGAGAGAACAGACACACACACACACACACACACACACACACACACACACACACAAATACCCTGGGTAAATCTAGAGAGAGCAATTTCTTGTGCTGACGTTTACATTGAATTACATTCTTTTCTTTATCCACAGCAGTAGCTTCATTGTATCTGCTGCTCCACCTACAATTCAAATTCACCAAAGCAGGAAAGATTCTCTATCCTGTAATGGAGAGGAAATGTACATCTTTGTAGTTTTTGTGGTAGAAACTGAGGAAACAAAATATTTTGAGGTAACCAAGGTGATATCCAGATTTTTTGTTTAAAATACCTTCCTAGAATAGGTTTTTGAAATTTTTATGTGGTTATTTTACAAACCTCAATCAAAATAGTTGCACATTGAATCTTACCATCTTTTTCTTTCAGTTTTCTGAAATTATTTTACTCAATGGAAGTGAAAGGAGGGTGTGGAATGAAGATGTCTGCTTTACACATTATCTGGCAATTTAAAAAATTCTGAAATTGTATGGTTTGGAAAGATGCTAGAAGAAAGCATAAACAAATATTTTTATAAATTTATGGTAAAGAAAGACTTTATAAACATAATTTTAAAGATACAAGCTAAAATGGAGAGAGAAAAATGTAGTAGGTTTGATGAACTGGGGAAAAAAATGGTCCACAAACACTTGTAAAAGATAAATAAGCTTAGAAAATGTCTGCAACATGTAAATATTTGTAATATCACATTGCTTTTCTTAATACAACAAAGGCTCTTTAAATATTATTTTTTAAAAAGTGGACACTTCTGCTATGATGTGGTCTGTAGGATTATTGTTCATTATTCTGATATACCATGGGGATCCTGCTGAAATCATGGGCCAGAATTATACCCCAGGGAGTAAACAAGGAAATACAGCAAGGATGAACACTATCAGAGATACAGCTGATCAGTGTTCTGGGCATAATTGCTGAAGTAGTTAAATAAGGCAAAAAATAAAAAAATGAAAATGAAGTTAGCAAATTATTATTTTGCACTTTGTAGAATCATATGAATATCTGTAAAACACAGTTGAACTTTATTTTCTCTTAACATTTACAGTCGGTCACCTTAGTTTATACTGTAAGCTTTTTTCTTTCCCCTCTGTAAATCCACTGTAAAGGGTGGTTATGTGACATTTTAATAGAATGATGTGTTGTTTTATTCTTCTAATGGAGATGTTCCTTCTGGTGGAAATGTTCCTTCTTAGATTACTAGACCTCTAACACAGCAGCAGCTATAACTGCAGAGATAGGCCACAGATATTTTGTATGTTGGTTATTGGGCATATTAGTGTAGCTCCCTTCTCACTTCCACCCTGTAGGGCCTATATTCTGGGTATAGCGGAGACTGCTTCAATACATATATTACTTCGTAATAGAAAACATCCCAATCCCGGCCGGGCACAGTGGCTCACGCCTGTAATCCCAACACTTTGGGAGGCCGAGGTGGGTGGATCACGAGGTCAGGAGATAGAAACCATCCTGGCTAACACAGTGAAACCCCATCTCGTCCCTACTAAAAATACAAAAAATTAGCCGGGCGTGGTGGAGGGTGCCTATAGTCCCAGCTACTCAGGAAGCTGAGGCAGGAGAATGGCGTGAACCCGGGAGGGTGAGCTTGCAGTGAGCCGAGATCGCGGCACTGCACTCCAGCCTGGGTGACAGAGCGAGACTCCATCTCAAAAAAAAAAAAAAAAGAAAAAAAAAGAAAACATCCCAATCCCAAGTGTAGTATTATCTTAGAACTACATTGTAACTAAATCTTCAGAACAACTCCAGTCTATAAGGTTGCTGCTTCTGATAAATGTGTACATGATAACACCAGTGAATCTCACTGGCCATGGTCCATCAATTAACATGGTTTCCTAAATGGAATTCCTTGGTTCTGTAGCAATATTGTGTTGATACCATGGCAGTAGGGTAACACATCCCATAACTCTTCAAATAATGATGGCAGCAGAAGCAAGGGAAAAAGGGAAAACAAAGCCCTAATGAGAAAAAGTACTCCCTCTTCCAGTATTTCGTTGAAATCAGTTTGCCACTAGGTGAGCACTTGGTGGCAAGTTGGATATTGCAGAACTTTGGGGTCTCAGAAGTGGTTATGGTTGATGGCACGTTTAGCATCAAGCAGTGGCAGTGGGACCTACTAAGTCAACCATAGTGAATTCGAAGTCCATGCTTTTGAATCCATGTATAACTTCCATTGTTGTCACTAGCGATATTTGTTCATGAGGTCTTTGTGCAAGCAGTTGAATGGCAGGAGGAAATTAAATTCATAGAGGTTCATCTTGCGCATGGATTTTTGGATAATACAGTCCACAGTGATGCTTTCAGTGTGTGTGTTTATATGTGCATATGTGTGTGTTTAACATTTAAATAAAACACAATTATGAAACTCATATTCTAAGACCAATTCTCTTCCAGCCTTTAACTATTTTCTTCCTTTGTTATTTCTACATAAATATCCAGGGAAATAATCAGCCATTGTTCATGGACTTATGTCAATGCTTACTCAGTTGACATCTCCATTCTGCATGATGTTCTGCGAACTGGATGATTTTTTTCTTCTCATTGTCCTTTAAGAATGACCTTAGGAGAGTTGGAACATGTCAGATGCCGCATGCCACACAATACTGTCTTTAGACTATACACCAGACCCAACTCACTCTTTTCCTCAGTGGACTGGCCAGAGGAACTACCTTGTCTATGTAAGTGGGTGTCGAGGAGGCAGTAGCAGTACTGCAGAGTCAAACACACCAGAAGTGGAAGTCAGCTGCTCATGTGGTGTTCTTGCTTGAAGGCTTATCAGCTTTCTATAGAAATGCCGTGGAATAGGGCATGGGTTTCCACCACCTGAGACCTTCAATGCTGTGTTTTCTTAGCTTGGACAAATCTGTTTTAGTCTCTTTTCCCCTGTTTTTGTCTCTATTTTTACCACTAACAAACTTTATATGATCTTTTCAATAGGCTTATACATTAAAAATAACACAGGTTGCCCATTAGGAGAAATACCTAATGTAAATGACGAGTTGATGGGTGCAGCAAACCAACACGGCACATGTATACCTATGTAACAAACCTGCACGTTGTGCACATGTACCCCAGAACTTAAAGTATAATAATAAAAAAAATTAAAAAAATACAGGTTTCAAAGGTAAGAAAGACTGTTTTAGCCAACTTATGTTCTTTACCCAACCACACACCTCTCCTTAAGACAAGAAAGAAGTCAATTATCTGCTTGTGTAGAATGAGAGCAAGGGAGAAAAGACAGAAAGAAAGAAAGAAAAAAAAAAAAACTACATCACACCTTATACCAAAAATGATCTTGTATGTGTATTTTCAGTGTTCATAATTATATCCATATTACATTTCAGAAAGAACAATTGAGAGTCACATTTAGCTATTTTTATTGTCTATTTATTTCATACATTCAGCAGCGTTATCCTCATTAATATATAGCTGTGCATTGCCTCTCAAACAGGGTCATGATATAAGTATGCAGTATTTTGTCTTTCCATTATGAGTTAGCCATTTGCAAAACTGTGGACTATGGAAAGGGCACACCCGTAGAGTCATGTCTTGCTCTTTTCAGTGCACTTTGACTCTCTTTTCCCAGACACCTGCTCTTTTTCTCTCCTCAGTAGCACCAGTGTGTCATAGTCCCTTTTGTTTAATAAAGGAAAAAATTCTGAATACATTCACACTAAAATATGATGTGAGTTAGTATTTATTTCTTTTCCACGCTTGCTTAGGAAGGCTAAGGCATAGCTGAAAGTCAGAAATGTTTACTGAGTGCTGGATTTGAGGCACAGTGGCACTTGAGAATGTCATTCTACAGTCACAGTTTTGCAGCCCTCCACAATGGGACACAACTGTGTATTTCTGAAGGCACTATCTGTTAGAGAAATGTGTTGAAAAATCAAGTTCCTGGCAAAGGAGAAAGCTGTGTCTATTAAGCAATGATTCCCAGCAAACCTTTCTCCAGGCTGATAAGTAGGTTTGGCTCTTTGAAAGCCTTCTCGTAGTCCATTAAGCAGCATGAGCATCCTCTAAGGAATAATGTTCACTGATGATCACATTGTTGATATAATTAAGGTCCCTATACATAAGGACTTTAAATACCTATTGTTGTGTTTTGTCGTTTCCTGAAATTTTTCTTTTTTGATATTTTTCTAAGCATAGGGTTCATGAAAAGGTGAATGTTAATCACAACATTTGAGAAAAGTCCCTTAGCTCATTATGTGTGATGGATATGTGAAAAATAAGCTTAAGCTATAGTCACAAATGTTTCTTGTGACTTTTTAGTTAATTATGATAACTTCCAGAAAAAGAAAAGAGAGAGTAACTTTGAATTTAGTGCTTTTTATAGGAAACCATGCACTTGCACATTTAAACATTTTGCGTTTTCCTGATTTGCATACCTATTAAAGCTTCAATTTAGCAATTTTTTTTTAGCATTTTATTATTAACAAAGCTGACAATCTGGATAAGTTCACACCTCATAGAAGTCAGCAGGGACTTTTAATGCATAAAGTATCTAAGGACTCAATTTGTGATTAATTTTTTTAAAAACTTTTTTTCAAATGTATTAAAAGGAACATACAAAACCTTTATTTTTATGTTATCTTCCTTTATTTTAAAATCCATACACAATATAAAAAGCCTAGTGCAACATCAATTTAATTTGTATAAGTTGTATGCCAAAGAAATTATGAGTCAAAAAAGATAATTTTCTTCAAAGACAGAAAAACACATGCTTAACTACAATTGCATTTTAAATACTGGAAGTTCCATTCATCTTACTCAATAGTTTATTTGCCTTTTAAAAGATTAAGATATTTAATTATGTTCATATTAACTTTGTATAGCAAACATGCATGTGATTAATGATTTTCAAAATAAAAAACTGAATTGGGGCCTTTCAACCTAATACAAACTTATTTTTAAATAAATCATTTCTTTTATTTTCTAAGGAAACTTTGTCCAATATATACAATTAAATGAATGCATATGCAATTCCGAATCAGTAATAAGTTTTGTTTTAAATAACTTTGGAGATAATTTATATATTATACTCAGCTTTCTGCAATTGATTAGATTCTACTCTAGTTTGGGAGTAATGTGATACTAAAGATGAGCTAAATATTCGTTTGTCCTGAGGCAGAAACTGGTTGAATACACAATTTTTTTTTTTTAGCTTTTCAATAACTGTTTAGGCATTGTGCAGATAGCTTAACAAGAGCTCAACTGTTTCAGCTTCTGCGGCAGCTTTGGCTACTCCAAGGGAAAAACAAATATAGTAACACAATCAAGGATAATGCATTACGCATTTCAATCTATTGTTTTAGCTTTTGTTGGCCCTCTCCTTGCCAAAGTCAACATAAAGGAACTTTAAGTCGTCAATGAAGTGCTGACAGAGAACAAATGTTGCCCCGAAGTGCCAACATATATCACTGTTTGTATATGTAAAGGCAAGCTTCTCAGTCTGTCGTTTTCATGTTGGTTTTAAGTCTGAGGCTGAACATGAACTAATACACTAGGAAATGTCAAAAAGAAGATGCTGACACTTCCACCCCAATGGCAGGCACAGAGCAGGTGCTCTCCAAATACTTACAAGTGCTGTCTTTACATTTCATGATATGTCATCGATATGCATTCTCATGTGTATAAGTATTAAATCTCATCTTTGCTTGTTATCCACAGTGCATAGAAACAGTTCTTTATGCATAAGCCACACTTCTCCTTCCCTAACATTGTTTTGCTCTTCAAAAGCCAGCATCTGATCCACTGGCCTACTTTTCCATAGCTACATTTGGAACATACCTCTCCTTGGCTCTTCAGGAAGCTTTTGGTTTTGCTCAAAACCAGCTCTGAGAGAACTGTCATCGCGATTTCCTGGGTAAGATTAATTCTAGGGCCTGCTGGTCTCTTGGCCAAGTTTATTACTAATAATAAATCACTATTCAGATACCCATTTTCTCTGTCTTACCTCTTTTTCAGTAGTCTAAGGCAATCTTCTTTAACCCTCACTGACACGATGCTCAAAATTTAATAGGTCTTGCTCCTGCCTCATCTATTCTGAGAACTCCCACTAATTTCAGTGTACATGTTCATGCCCATATAGAATTGATCGAAAGATTTTGAGGTGTTAGCCCAAGCTGGAAAATTAATGGAAGTTGAGCAGACTTTTGTGAAGGAATTAAAACAGTTGTCAACCAAGAAAAGGTAAAAGACCAGACTGCAAAGCAGTGAGGCAAGGCATTATTCAGGTTTTAGGAACTGTCATTTGGGAGACACAGATTCAGCCAAATTGTGTTCCAGAGAGAGAAAGGGGAGTAGGGATTTTATGTATGTATGTATGTATGTATGTATTTATTTTGAGATGGAGTTTCACTCTTGTCTCCCAGGCTGGAGTGCAATGGCACAATCTCGGCTCACTGAAACCTCCGCCTCCTGGGTTCAAGCGATTCTCCTGCCTCAGCCTCCTCGGTACCTGGGATTACAGTTCCCTGCCACCACGCCCAGCTAATTTTTTGTATTTTTAATAGAGATGGGGTTTCACCATGTTGGCCAGGCTGGTCTCCAACTCCTGACCTCAAGTGATCCACTTGCCTCGGCCTCCCAAGGTGCTGGGATTGCAGGCATGAGCCACGGCGCCCAGCGAGTAGGGATTTTTAAAAGGAAGCTAAGGGTGATTACACAAGTTGTTTTGAAAGACTTATCACTCATTGGTGGAGGTGGCTGGCATAGTGCATAAGTCCATAATTCATTATTTGTTGCTATTCAGGAGTCACAGCAGTGGTGAAATCCACCTGTTTTCCAGGATGTTGTGGTTGTGGCAGTTTTTCCCAGTTCAAGGGTTCACGACAAGTTCCTGGTCCCCTCCCCTCCCTTCCCCTCCCCTCCCTTTCCCTCCCCTCCCCTGCCTTCCCCTCCCCTCCCCTGCCTTCCCCTGCTCCCCTCCCCTTACTTTCCCTTTCCTTCCCCTCCCTTTTTTGCTTTTCTGGTAGAATTGCAGATCGTGTCAGTAGTCCTTTTCAGGATGGCTTCCTGACCTCCTGATTCAATTTTCGAGCTCTGAAACGGTGTCATTTTGTAGATCACATTTCAACCAACAAACAAACCAATACAAAAATCAGTCATTTCTTGGTGTGACCTACTTCACATATATGTAAATTTTAGAGCCAAATAATTTCATTTTGAAACTGTCCTCTCATCAAAATTTCTAGTTTATATAGACTTTGACGTGCAGGACATCGTATATTGTCTGAGTTTTGTTAAGTACCATTATATCGACAGACTTTAGATTGTAAAGCAGATGCTTGACCTCTTTAGAGCTTCCATGGGTTAGAAATGTTAGTAATCTATACAGCCCTTGCTTGTCTCGTTTGCCTGTCAGCTGGTGTTTAAGCCATTGCTCCTTACTAGCTCTTGATGTGTTCTTAGAGAAGGAAGTTTTGCCGACCTGAAATTACAAATGCAAAGAAGCACCAGATACAACATCACATAGTTTAGAATAAAGCCTTTTTTTTTTTAAATCCTGTATTTGGGATTACCAAGTCAGTTTCCCCTTGTTTTACACCAATCAATTAAAAGCCAAATACTTTGGTTTGGGGCTACACTAATTAACATTCTTGTCTATCCAAGTGCAATTCTGCTCATTCTTTATAAGAGCAACCTGATTTAGTCTAAGTTAAACGCAATATATTTAGGGAAGATATCTACTTATCTTCCTCCTCTCTTTTCTCCTAACCATGAATGATACGCCTTGATTCATCTGGCCATGCAATTCCACATTTCCAGTGATGGTGAAGAGATGATCTGCTGGTGCAAATGAAACTCGAGACAGCCTGCTGAAGGCTTCTGGGAGGATTATTCTTCTTTATAGGAAAGAAGAAAAGTGAAGAGAGGAAATGGGAGAGAGAAAAAGAAAGATGTGAGGAGAAATTACTATTTCTACCTTCTTGTTCTTCCCTTTTTCTCCTACATTTTTCTTCCTTGGATAGTGGGCCTAGCATCATCTAACTGGTGAATTAGCCAATCCAAGGATACTCCTCCTTTTGCACATCTTGTCATGTGGTTTTTGTTGTTTGTGTTGTTATTGAAACCAAAAATATGGTTTATATGGAGACATAATATTTAAAGACCAATCAAAAGTTAAGAGCTTCAATGTCTGCACAATTTATCTGTGACAAACGTTCAAAGGTTTATGAAGCATAATGCAGAGGAATAGACTTTTCTTACAACATATAAAGGCTGGCCTTATATAAATCTACCATACAAAAGAATTATTCAGGCTACATTAGTCTAAAATACAGAACAGTTTACCCCCTGCGTGATGCCATAGTGTTTGACTCATGCTTTTATTACAGAACTCATCAAATGTTTTTATAAAGAACAATATCTGTGTCTGTCTTCCTTGCTAGTCTGTGAGCTACTTGATATTTTTATATCTGAAGTATCCTTCATATGGTGTATACTCAGAAATTGTTGAATGAAGCTGAAAAGTGTAATACATATATACATATAATACAAAAGTTATGTACATATATATGTAACTTTTTGCAGCCTTTTCCCTCCCCAGTTTTAATTACTCATAAGAGACAGGAGATAGTGCCTAGAATTAACTAATATGTATACACACATGTACACATATAAATGTATATATTCAGTGTTATTGCTTAAGCCCCACTTTATCTTCTTTTGGAATTTAGTAGGCAAGGATTGGAACTCTTCATTTTGATGAAGCCATGGGCATTTTTGTTGATCACTGACTTTTAAGAACTCCTTGATTTAGCAATACGAAATAAAGAAGCGAGGATAAATTGATTGCAAAGCTCTAGATTGTTTCTACTAATATCTTAATTGAGAAATAGAAGGATTCTCAGTAAACAAATGCCATTCTTTCTAGCGAATCTGATGAATTCTAATGCAAACAACTACAACAAATTCAGTAGCCTCAAAAGACATTCCAACAGGCCTCTGGACCCTTCTGATTTTCTTTATTATCTTGTTCACTTTCACATCATTTTCACTCAGCATGCGCTCAATTCAGTCTCATTTTAATGGATTTCCAGTTGGGAAAGTATAATATTCAGAGCTATCAGAAGCAGGTCCTTTCAGAGATACGGCTGTGGGAAGGTTTCATTTATCATTCCCTAATCATTGAAATATCAATGAGAATGACTTAAAGTCCAAGTGACAGTTATACTTTCTGTGTCTCTTCAGGGCAAAGTGAACTGAAACTCCATTAGAGAAGAAAATAAGGGCCATTCTCAGCCAGGGAGTTCATTACCATGATATTTTTCTGTGATGCTTCTAAATTGTTTTTGTGGCTGGACTTGAATTCATAAGCTCTTTATACAGCTCTAGTTCACTTTAGTTATTTCAAATCATTTCTAGCATAAGGGTCTCAGTGAAGGCCCACAAAATATATTCAAATAAATGAAAAGTTTTGGTTACACTGTTTTATTCAAATATATACCCCCTAGGGAATTTTAATAAAGATAAACTAGAGAACGCAGCCTTTACGTGGAAACGAATATAGTCATTGTGATTAGTTTCCTGACTCCACAAAACAAGTTACTTATAGTTTTCAGATCCTCAATGTTCTCATCTGAAAAAAAGGGTCATACTATTTATTTTAGAAGATCATTTTGAAAACAAAGAGAAAATACCTACAAAGAATTTTTTGGTAGGTGATAAGTATGTACTTCATAAAAGTAAGCTAAATATTAATATTTAGACTGTTTTAAAATAATTTGGTGGACCTTCCATATTCCAGGTGGATACATGACTGTATTTTTGTAGGCTGTGTGAGTAAATTTATTAAAAGACCAATCATTATTGGGTAACTCTTTAAATACTCTGAATTATCTGATAATAATTTTTTTGGTTAAAGCTAGTTAATGAGTTCATTCCTCTATTTTTATTGAAATTGTGATTATCCTTAGCAAACATACTACTTTTTGAGCTATGGGTTATAGAAATATATGAAGATAGATCTCCTGACCTCACAGTTTATAAACATAACAAAAAAAAAACATATAAAATAGTTGTATATAAGTAGTAAATAAACTAATAGAGAAGTAAAGTTAGATACAATTAAATATAATAAAAGACTTAATGGCATATCTCCTGCAAGTGAGGGAATCACTAAACAGAAAGTATGTATTGTTTTTTTTGAGACAGAGTTTTGCTCTTGTCGCCCAGGCCGCAGTGCAATGGTGCAATCTCAGTCCACTGCAGCCTCCATCTCCCAGGTTCAAGCGATTCTCCTACCTCATCCTCCTGAGTAGCTGGGATGACAGGCACCCACAACCATGCTGGGCTAATTTTTATATTTTTAATAGAGAAAGGGTTTTACCATGTTGGGCAGGCTGGTCTTGAACTCTTGACTTCCGGTGATCCACCTGCCTCGACCTCCCAAAGTAATGGGATTACAAGCATGAGCCATCACACACCCAGCCCAGAAAGGACATATTATTGTTCAATTAATTATTTATTGAATTCTTAGCAAAAGTTAATCTGTTAAGATATTATTGAGAATCTTCAAAAAAGATTACAAACCAATGTGCAGTAAAGGAGTGATACACAGATTAAAATGAGTACATTGAACTGTATAAAAATTAAAGAAAATAGGAAATTTGAAAAAATATTTTAATATATATAGTAGATATTGGAACAAGAAAACTTTTAAGAAACAATAAAAACAATACATTTTTTAAAAAAAGCTCTGAAAGACAAGTGGCCAGAGGTCATAAATGAAAGACTTATCAAATAAGTCATAAAATGTAAAATTAATCACATGAAAAATTTCAAACTATATAATAAAATAGCATTCTATTTTACCTATTAAACTAATAGACACATTTATTTTAATAATAATATCATATATTAATGAAGGCTCAAGGTAAAAGGAAGCGTCACAGATTTGGTAGGTGAGATAAAATTGCCCTTTATGAAAAAAATTAATTAATGTTACCAAATTACTTCATATTTTCATCCTAGTCCAAGCAATATCAAATGTAAGAATTCTTTCCAAGCAACTTACTGTGATTGTTTCCAAGGTATCTTATTCTTAAAGGTGTTCATTATACTGTCATTTAACAATGGAAAGGTGGAATTATTAGAAATATATTTGAGGCAGGTCTATTAAGTTCAACCTTAGGGAGATCAGCAATACACAGAAACTATAATATAAATAGGTACTCCCAGAATTTTGCAAATAGTGGTTCTGATCTTAAAGACTACTTATATAAATTATATTTAATATATGTATATATATATATACACACACATATATAGGCACACATAATACAAATTGCTACTGATAAAAATATTCTTAACAATATGAAAATGTATGAATGATCTATGAAATGAAAAAGAAGCAGTTTACGAGGTAATAGACATTTAATTTAAAAATGAAATAAATACACATAAAACACACACTTCCAGTATAAAAATCTAAAAATAGATACATATAACTTTTTAAAACATGGGTGCTAGATTTGTTTTACTTATGATTGTCTTCATTGTTAGGTGAATATTCTATTCATATAAAATTCTTAAATTATGAAAGCCAAAACAAGTGGTCATAGAGAGGAGCATAAAATAATCCAAATATGTAGCTTTTTTCTTATCTACACTACAGATAATGAACTTGGAATTAGTACAATATCAATTGGAATGAAAATAGGATATGTGTGAGAAAGATTATTCTGAAATATCCTCTTATAAATGTATAAGATAATCTAGAGTTGGCAATCTACAGATATATAATTCCTTGTTACAGCATGTTATGAGTTTTCCCTAGAACTTGCCAGGAGTTCACTGGAATCCAAAATAGAACACGTCAATCTATAATGGTTTTCTTTTTTTTTTTTTTTTTAATTCTGCGTACTGACATGTTGTCAGGTCAGCCTGGGTGAATATTTTAAGTCTATTTACATTTTTAGAAGAGACGAAACTAGAATTCTACATTCTTGTGTTGCCTGAAAGGTTAATATTCCAAGTTCACCACCTCAGCTTACAGATAACAGAGGCTCTTGTTCAATCCAATCAGTGTGCAAATTCTATTACCTTTGATGTAGTGGTGTCACAGAGGTAGAGACCCTCACTGAATAAAATTTCCCCAAGGGGATCTCAATTAGTCTTCTCAGAAAGCCCTAATAAAAGTCAAAGAAGAATTCTCTAATTGTAAATTTAAATCCTCCTGACAAGCCCTTCAAATATAAGAGGTTGTGTTTCCTTATGCTTTAGGATCATCACCATTTCTCTCAGTCTTCAAGTTACCCGTCTCAAAACATACAAGTGTCTCTTGGAGTTAGTTTTATTTGAATGAACATTTTTATAAGGCGATAACCTAAGAATCTCATTTTTCTCCAGGTGCCATTGCCCACCCCTGCCCCTAAACCCACCCCCAAAACATACACACAGACTTCATATGCCAAACAGTTTAAATTTTCTTTGCTTGAGCATCTATAATTCACTGGAAAAACAGTACTGCAAAGCATACTTCCCTTTTATTTTAGAGCATGATGAGATATTGCAGTAAAACTCTATGTTTGGTATTTCTTTTATACAAGTACTTTTTTGAGGACGGTAAAACCTGAGCTGGAACACAAATATACTTTGTAATGTAGGAAATAACCTTGATACAATGGTAGTGTCCAAGTACACTGTCAAACAAACTATCCTAGAGTCACAAGACAGAAACACTCAACAGACAGAAATAAAATGCTGTTGTTTATGATTTATTTAACCCAGTTGAAATATATGCTAAGATAATGTAGGTGAAAAAAGATGAGGTAAGCTAGCATATGTAAGGTACAATACAAACAGAGCAGAAGGGTCCCACGACCTGAATCGTGGGTTATACAATGCTCAGATGTCCTGTGTCTCTGATAGTGTGGAGGATGTTTGCAGCCAAAGACACACAAGACACATACTTTCTCTCTTTTTTTTTTTTTTTTTGTCTCACAGGCTGGAGTGCAGTGGCACAATCTTGGCTTACTGCACCCTCCACCCGGGTTCAAGCGATTCTCCTGCCTCAGCCTCCCAAGTAGCTGGGGCTACAGGCCTGCACCATCACGCCCGGTTAATTTTTGTTACTTTTGGTAGAGACGGAGTTTCACCATGTTGGCCAGGCAGGTCTGGAACTCCTGACCTCAGGTGATCCACCCCCCTTGGCCTCCCAATGTGCTGGGATTACAGGCATGAGCCACAATGCCTGGCCAACATATACTTTTTCTGTCTGAGAGATAGAAAGGCAGTCAAGTCAGTCTGGTCAGAGCTGTAGCTCACCAATTAGCTGGCCAAGCAGCACTGAATTTTGTGTGCTTTTTAGGGAGGGGACACTTGGCACCCGATTAGAGATCACCAATGGGAGCTTAATTAAAACCTCCTGATCATTGTGTGCCTCATGTGCCTTATTTCTATTTAGTGCATCGTAAATATTCAGTGCCTTAGGTGCCTCATGTATGTTTAATGCCTGATGACAGTAGGAGCCTCTGATATTTAGTGTTGCATGTATATTAAGTATCTCTTTGTCCTTTCCTCTCCTTCTATGTTCACATATATGTTCTATGCAATTACTACTTATCTGTTCTAAATCATCTTATTCCTATCTATCTTTTTGTCCTCTATAGCAAGCTTGAATATTCACAAGCAAACACAACATAGGCACATTACAGATTAAAAATAATATTTGTATTTGCTCTATGCCAAAATATAATAAAAGGCTTCTTTTTCTCAAAAGTATCTTAAAATGTAATGAGAATATTTTGAAGTCTTTATAGTATAGTACTTTCTAAATTTTGCTTTCTGTTGGACAACAAAACCTTGTTTGGTGAAAAAAATTGCCAGAAAAAATATAAAGTAGCATTAGTTTGATGTATTTATGAAGTTTATCTGAAAAATGTGTGTTCGTATGTGTATATACATTACATATATAGAGAGAGATGTGGATGATTCAGAACAGCTTAGCATTTAGTAACAATTCTGATTATTGGGGGAGTGACATCTGTATGAGATGTCAATCTAACTCTATTTTTTTAACAGGCTTTACAAAGAAATATTAGGTTGGTGCGAAAGTAATTGTGGTTCTTGCCATTTAATACAAGTCCTTTCATTCCACAGATCACAAATATACAACTACAGGGTGAATGAGGGGGTAATGTCAACATATTTTGCTAATGAGAATTCATATATTTGAACAAAAATTATTAGTAGCAACATCATACACGGTTTTTAAAATGCTGTATCTCCAAAAATTTTAATAAAATTAGAGATATTGTGCTTGGAACAACAGTGATAATAAAATTTAAAAAATGGTTATAGTTCAGATGAAAACGTCAGTGTCCGTTGTCCAAGATTCACATTAAAAAGTTAAAAAAAAGTTTTATAATCTGAAACTATCAAAATAATTCCAAATTATGGCATATAAGGTGTGATCTTATACATTTTTTAAAGACTAGAATAAATATTATAAGTGAACATTTGACGATTTCATCTGCATTCTTAACGTTTATATTCCAGTAATAAAAATGGGAGATACCTTCATATTCAAGCTCACCTTAAAAATCTACTATCACAGCTATTATAAGAGTAATACCTAATCATTATAGAACTTGAGAATAATATAAAAAAATAGCTTCTGAAAGTGTTTTCACCCATTAGTAAATATCAATATTTTGCAGATATTTTTCTAACCCTATTTACATTTATAAAATTGATATCAAATTTGTGCATATGTATATATATGCATGTGTATATCTATATACGTATTTAAATAATACATTTTCTCCATTTAATGCAACTGGTAATTAAGTTCATCTTGTGTAAAGATAAGGCCTTACATCTTACCACAAACAAATCATAAAAATGTAGTTTGGGGCCGGGCGCGGTGGCTCATGCCTGTAATCCCAGCACTTTGGGAGGCCGAGGCAGGCAGATCACGAGGTCAGGAGATAGAGACCATCCTGGCTAACACGGTGAAACCCCGTCTCTACTGAAAATACAAAAAATTAGTCGGGCGTGGTGGCGGGTGCCTGTAGTCCCAGCTACTCGGGAGGCTGAGGCAGGAGAATGGTGTGAACCCAGGAGACGGAGCTTGCAGTGAGCCGAGATCGCTCCACTGCACTCCAGCCTGGGTGACAGAGCCAGAGTCCATCTCAAAAAAAAAAAAAAATGTAGTTTGGTTTTTGCTTCAATATTGCAAAAAATGTATTGCAAAACTTTACCCAATACTTTATCTGCATTTCTCAAAGTATTGTTGACTTCATGGGTTTATTGCTGTCAATATGATTTGATTAAACATTTTTCTGGATAACTTTTTGTCATATGTACTTTTATATTCTAGGCAAAAAAAAGTATTACAATTTTGCTAAATACATAAAACATTTATTTCAAAGTTTTTATGAATAGCAATATTTGTATCTCAAAAATATTATGCTAAATGTCCTCAGGAAATTTCAGCAAATAAATTTGCTGCTGATAATATGTGTTCTGTATCTAAAAAATTTGAATATATATATTTTTAAATATCAGAATATAGGCTGCACTTTCAAGTGGTTATACTACCAATCCTAAAATTAAAAAACAACTCTACTCATCAGTTTAATTTTAATGCACACAAATTACAGACCAAGTAATAATAATCCTTCTCTGAACGTTACTTTTTGTTAGGAATTAGATCCATCTCCAAACGCCATTGTTTTGTTCCATATTATTAGCCTCAGGCTACACATAAACATGTGTCCCCAAGATTTATAAAAAGTGCTGAAAACTCCCACTATCCTCCAAACACATACCAGTATACACCTCATCTGGGGAGGTATAAGTGTCAATAAGCATTTAGCCTCTCAGAAATAAATACCTGTAACTGTTACTTTAAAACCCACAATAGCATGAGATTTGGGAATAAAGGAGAAGGAATATGTTAAAAATCGGTGCCCTCCCTTTTCCATTCCAGGAGTCTAAAATCATCAGTATATCCATGTCAAGGATTATTGTCTCTGACTTTTGGCCATGAAGCAATTCTGAACATCATTAAACCATCATACATTCTGGCACAACTGCCATTGTCTGCTCCAACAAGGCCCGGAGATGAAAAAAACTAAAACTTAGGTCACTGATGCTTCTAATAGAGAAGGCAGAGGGAGCTGTAAAAAATGCTTTTCTGCCATGTGACTAGCCTGTGTGGCAGCCACTGATATTGTTTATCAAGGATGATTCTCAAGGGTGTTCAGAAAACGAAGTGACATTTCGGATATTTAATCAGCCTCTTGCACTGCCGAAATGAGTTAGAAACTGCTCAAGGACTTTCTCAACTGTTTGCAAGGAAAACCAAAATTTTTCTTATAAATGTGGAAGGTATGAATCATCCATGGCAGATGCTTTGTAAGGAGCTTCTCTGACAACTGCTACTGTAATGCCAAAGTAATTGTTCCAGTAACAATTCCACAACACGGCAAGTAGTTTGAAACTTGCAGTTTTTCTAAGGAAGTTAAAAGTGGAATTGGCTCATTTGGTTTGATCAAAAGAATCAGAGCATAATGTTCATTTCTGTAGTACAATGACATATGTTCATCTCTCCAATTCTCTCTCGCCCCCATCAAGGTGTTGGATATTCCTTTGTGAAAAGAAAGTAAGTGTAAAAACTCATACCAATAATTGCATGAAGCCATGGGTTACTCCTCTTTACCTCGATCTCCCATCAAATACAAATGTTTAAATCAGTTATTAGTGAAACTGGAGTAGGCAGTAAAATAGGGTTAAAACCATAAATTGATGTTAGATTCCTACAGTTCTCAAATCGGCCACTGCTAAATCACGAAACACTGAAAAAATGTAGAATTATGCTTAACAATGGTATCCCGGTCTTGTGATTAATAGAATTAAGTTTCTGTACATATAGCATCTTTAAAATCGTGTCTGCTCATAGAAGGTGCTCAATCAGCATTTTCTGTTTAATTAGTGAAGTTTATATTGAATTAGCTAGTTTTGCAGCTTTGGAAATGTGTAGTTTAGGGAGTGGATGAGTTTCATTCTGCTGTTCAGTCTACAATCTTAGTGAACTGTATAAAAATTACTAAGCAATTATAGCATAACCACTCAAGAAATGTAAGTAGATAGAATCATTAAATCAACATATCGAAGATTTGAGCCAGCCTGACCTGACATGGATGATCTGTCACACAATCATATATCTGCAACAACTACGGGTGTGCAAAAGTCCGACATAGCCTGATATTGAACCAACTATTGCTACATATGCTGTGTTTATAAGCAGCTGAGAAAATGGTAACCTTACATGCTGGTATTTTTATAGTTATGATTATTGGGCTGGCTTATTATAACTCAAAATAATATAAATGTCATAACAAACATCAAGCCACAAGGAGCAAAGATCCAGGTGATTAATCAGTATTGCTGCACACAGGCCAGTTACAATTTGTTCAGTTCTCAGTATTAGAAATTCATCAGTCTATGAATTAATATTTATATTTTTTAATGGAGCACTTTCCAAATATTTAGCTTCTGCCAGTTGATAATAATGTTGGGGAAAATGTTGGTAGCACAATTTCCCACCAAACAGCTAACAATCTTGCTAAAAATGTGTGTTTGACCACATGTTCTCCCTCATAAGTGGGAACTGAACAATGAGAACACATGGACACAGGGAGGGGAAGATCAAACACTGGGGCCTGTTAGGGAGTGGGGGGCTAGGGGAGGGATAGCATTAGGAGAAATACCTAATGTAGATGACAGGTTGATGGGTGCAGCAAATCACCATGGCATGTGTGTACCTATGTAACAAACCTGCACGTTCTGCACATGTACCCCAGAACTTAAAGTATAATAACAATAATAAATGTGTGTTTGAGACACCTGCCTGATACCTAGTTCAGAAAAAGAAAAAAAAAAAGTTCTACCCCCATCTTTGCTTAAATCTTAGATCTACCATTAAATAAAGTCTTGCCAGAAGTTCTTACATATTATTAGAGAATGACAGTAAAATTAAGACATTTTTGGACAAACAAAAATCGAGATTTATTACTCTTACAAATTCAATAATTCAAGCACCAAAGTTGTCAACATAAGAAATTTGACACAAATGGAAGAATGTAATCTTTCCTCAAATAAATGGATCATCAAATAAATTGGTAAACAATATAAATGAATCCAAATAATCCTTAACAGTAAAATGATGTGAAAATAGCCACAATGACTCTATTGAGGTTTAAACAGAAGATGAGGTGAAAATATTAGACAACAGTAGCATGGATAATGAGAAACTGTAATTCAAAATAACCTGTAACAATCACCCTGTATTGTTTGTAAAGGTGAAAATAGTATTTAATTGTAGGTATTAATACTTTTGATAATTGCAAAATAATTTTTTTGACATTATAGCCAACTATCACAAGATTTGACAAAAAGTATCCTCCTAGAAAAAATAAGTCTGAATGAAAATTAAGTAGGTATCTATCTACAAAGATATGGGTTATCGCAAAACATCTTAGAAATGAATCATATTTATCTTCTATAATTTTAAATATAATTAATGTTGAATCAATTTAGAACCTTTTTATGGCTGAAAAATAAAAATAAATATATAGAATTTTATAACATTTATAAAAATAGTCCAAATACATAATTTCATATACTTGTATCAATTTTAAAAGGAAGGACGGGCTGTTCATGTTATTTGGGTATTAGGAACTTAAATTTTACAGAATTTTCTAAATTAAAGTTATTAATTTATAGTTTATATTTGAACTCATTTTTTTGATTCCTTAAAACACATACACATACAAACACTGAAGACTCACTTGTAAAAACTAATCAAGATTAAAAACAAACTTTTTAAAGGTCCACTTGATAAATACCAAATATCACAATTATTTGAAAGAAGAAAACTAAAGGTCTATACATTTACTCAGGGATTCTAACATTACCCAGAGGATAGTTTTAACATTGGAAATATAGCTGTTGTCCCCAAATACTGTGTTAGAGATGAAAAGCAGATTAACAAATATCTTCAATGCCAGAGTAAACACTTGTTTTTTATATTTGGGTAAGATACCTAGTCTTTCAGGGAGTGTATGTAACTGATACATAGGCACATTATCCAAGTAATTACAATGATATTGAAAAATGTATTTCTAGATATAGACAGAAAAGGGCAATGTAGCTGAAGGCTGACTTTAAGAAACTTATAACCAATGCTGTGATAATAGTTGGCAAAGTCCTCTAAAGAAAAAGCAATTTGTTGCCTTTTGTAAAATCTGGTGAAATGTTTTAGTTACTGATTCAAAGAAAAGCATATGGAAAGTCAGAGGGAGTGAGGGAGGGAAAGTGGCAAGAAAAGAGAGAGGAAAGAAAAAAATTCATAAGAATAGCAGCTGTCTTCCAGTTTTTGTTGCTTTTTTTTTCACTTGCCTCCCAATGAAAGCACAGAGTACTAATGAGAGTATTTAGGATTACTCTATCAATGCCCCACAGGAAGGGAGGCACGAGGTCCTCTTCTGTATGGCCAGTGTGCCTAGGCGCGCTCTATGTGTACTTCGTTACATGACACTGTCTCCAAACCTAATAGAATGGCTACAGAGCCACAGAAGCTGGTTTAAGGAGACAACCTGATTTGCTTCACATTCCACTCTTGCTAGTAATCAAAAGCAGCAACACCCTGTAAAAGCTCAAGGGAAGGGAACTACTGAAACGCCGAGCTACTAATACCTCTGAAAGGACATGCTCCAGTTGGGATGCATTCCCAGGAAAGCAGCTGACATTTGTGATTCTCACTTTAAGCTATATTTACTTATTAAATATATTGAGTTTTCCATGGAGAACTCAAGAAACCTCACATAAGAAGCAAAAAATCACCCCTTTAGAGTGATTTTTAGGGCCTGACAAAAAGCAACTGGCTAGGAAACACACAAGACTGAGCTCCCAAATGAGAAAGTGATGCCCTTCTGAGACATGGTTAAAATGAACATTAAGAGAAGTTATCTTTACTGAAACCTGAAGCATCTCTCTTGTACCACTTTATCTTACCACCTTTTCAGTTAGAAAAAAATATGCTAATCATTGCTCCAGCCTGCATTCTCACAAAAAGGGGGATAAAGCCCCTTCTACAACCACCCTATCCCAAAAACTCATCAGTCTTTTTCTGAATTGTTTTTCCTTTGGCATTACATTTAGGCTGCTCTTTAGCCCTTTCTTTGCCACCCATCCTATTTAAGAAGTGTTCTAAGGCCCCTACAATCCTTTGTATGTGGGTATTTTGTTACATTGACTTTGAGGTTTTTTAAATGGCTTATATACATTACTTTGGGGTATATAAAAAAATGTGAAAACTTCCTCAACTATTGTTCCCATCACTTTGTGCCAAAGCTAAGATGGTGGTTCTACTATTCATTCAACAAACATGTTACAATTAAAGACAAAGCAATCTTACGCTGGATGAAAGCTGGGTGAGGTATTTTCTGTGAAAATATAAACTATAGTTCTTGTGCCCCCCAAATGGACATGGTCTTGTGGGAAGAAGACTCCCAAATGGACAAAAAGAAACCAAAACAGTAATATAAGACAGGCTATCATGAGTATATTTTATGTCAAAGTGAATATAAGTGTATAAGCATTCATAATACAGACAAATATTTATTTGCTTGGGTCATCAGGAAAAACATCTTTAAGAAGTTAGTATAGGCAAGAAGGTTCAATAAGTCGAGAGATTTCTTATATTATTTGAACTGTGAACCAAAATAAAACAAATATTTTTGGGACCAGGTCCTGTGCCAGGCACCCTATACATGTTCTGATTAAATATCATTATCAACCATATGAAGTAGCATTAACTAATTTTATGTACATGAAGACTAGGCAAAAGGGATAAATAACATATCAAGTATCAATCCCTCATAACTGGAAGAATTGCCAGTTGAATTTAGGTCAGTATTCTTCATTATCTTTTTACCAAGCCACAACATGTTCGCTTTTCCTCATCTAGGCCTTTTGAACTAAGTAACATGGTATGCCTAGGAAAAGTCCTCAGTGTATAAAATAAAATAACATAAAAGACAGTGGCCTAACTATATCTTGGAAAAAATACTTATTTTCTACATTTACTCTAATATTAAGAGACTTTATTGAGCAGGACAGTCATAACTGTCTGAATTAGGAAGACAACACAGTTTCCAAGAGCAGTCTGCATAGTTGCTCTAGGATGGCAAAGAATTGTGACAGCAACTCTTTAGCCATGTCTGTCATTTTCTGAATTGCTTATCTCCAGTTTTCACAAAATGAGGCTGACATTACCTCTTTTTATCCATTTGTCATCAGTTACTTAAGGTTAATTTCCCCTGAGGCAAGGAATTCTTACATTGTGTAAGAAAGAGTACCAATCTATAATAATTAAAGAGAATTCCTTATGATTTGCTGTTTTCACAAAGAATCCAGCAAAAGCAAAGCTCTTTTCCATTAGAAAAATGGAATATATCACATAAAATGTTCAAGAAATGATCACATCTTTTTTGTCTTATTGTTTTATTGATGATTAAGGATATCAAATTTAAACTAATGAAGTCCAGATTTATATGTCTCTATTATTATTTGTAACGTATGAGTATAAAAGAGCAGTTTTTCTTTTGCTTCCTAGCAATATATTGGCTCTAGAATGAATGGATTTCTGCCCAGACACAAGTGGGTCATTCAGCTGGTCAACAAGGATGCTTCTTGTGAGAGCAGATTTTTTATGGGGACAGCTGTCTAGCAGGAAGTATATTGCCATGTGGTCTTTTTGAATTTAGCAAAAGGCTGTCAAATACTCCTAGTACTAACCCACTTAATTTTATAGTCAGTACTTTTACATAGAAGTGTATTAATAATAATAAATCTGGGTCTGGAATCAAGGTTACTATCAGTTGGTTACAGACAAGACCAAAGTATAAATATCTACTGCATAATAAATGACATTTATCTATTCAAATGACATGACTTCTAGTCATTCTGCAGAAACAGGTAACCTTGAATATAACCTCATTTCTTAGAACCTTGGAATCCCAACCTGCAAAGTGCTGATACAACCTTTTTACAATAATTCTATGGTGGAAGAAATGTTCTCTACTGTTAAAGGGAAATGGAGTAATAGAGCAATTTTTATTAAGCTTGCCTGTGAAACTTTATAAGAATCAATTTTCCCTAAGCTACTATAGCAATATTGAGCTCTATTACCACTTTCTTTGAGGTGTAAGCACTGACCTTAAAAAAAGTACAAAGCATTCTAATGTAACCAGTCACAATGAGCCATGACCATTAGGGGAAATAGACACATCTCTTATTTGCACTGCCATCTAGTTCCTTGTTAGAGGAAACTAAAATGATGACTGTCATCATATGAATATTAGTTTCTCATACTGTGTTAACTGTATCAATGTCAACAGCAAATATTAGCACAAAACTGAATTGGATTTATTGGCCTTCCAGTGGTGGAAAAAATCACTTACCTTAAAGGGGATCCATTTGCAAAGTTTGAGAAATCAGGTTCTTAACTTGGCCTTTGTTGCCACTAAACAATTGTCCCTCTAGCATTTATGCAGCTACTCAGCTGATTGATGCCTGAGCTTGCTTGTACTCTGGTGGGACCACAAAACCATGTATACACCATGCAACACATCAGCTAATTGGTCTTACTTTGACTCAGGTCTTGATCCTTGGCCAATTTTAAAATTATTTTAATCATGAAGATGAGCTTTTAACAATGTTTGATGCTTGTGATAATATATACCCTAATTCCTACATCTTGTCAGTCTCACATTCTAAAAGATAGTCATGAAAACACATGTTGCTTGATGTTGTTTATCGGACAAACTTTGACCATTTACATCTCCCCTCTTTCTGCTGTCCTCACCTCCACATGATTGAGTCTATGAATAACTGGAACTTTTTTTTCTCTCTCTCTCTCTCATTCTATACGATGACAAACCATAATGCTGAGCATTTCTGAGAGAATTGGAAGAAAACTGTGGCTGATGGCTACAGAAAGATGCAAGTTTTATGCCAATGACCAATGATTAAAAACAGATGACATTAGTGCTTTGAAGGGACACAGCTTTCGTGGATCAACTTGAGTATACTGTTCATAGCATGACTACCCAACCCTATTTGCCTGAGATAGTCCCAGTTTTAGCACTGAAAGTTACCTGTCTTGGGAAATTTCTCAGTCCTAGGCTAGCAGGGATAGTTGGTAAGCTTAGTTCTGAATCTGACCTATTCAATACATTTCAAAGGTATTTTACTTGTCTTCAAATGTGCATTTAATGGAAAGCCATCACATTCTACCAGGATTACTGGTTCTGTGAAACCTTACCACTGGTTTCAATGACAGTCTTTCCCACTGAGGGGAGTCTGGCTTGTATCTTCCAGACCAGGGCTAATTGGAAAAGGTGTTTTACTGACAAAGGTTTCTATTAGTCAGTCAGATAAACAGAGATATAACTCTCTGATAAATCAAAAGCAATAGACTGTTTGCTGTAGAGTAAAATCATGTGAATACAATAATAATAAATACTAGTCCTAAAAGGACTTCTGTTGTTATCAGCAATTATAACATGATACTCACTATTATATTGCCAGTAAAAATGACCTAATTTATATGCCAGTATAAATTACTAATTCAGGTTGCATGGATGGATAGTTGGAATTTGCTGATTTGATGAAAGTCGTGAGCCTTCATCATTTGACCTTTCTTGAATTCATGACGTATCTTCTATCAATCAGTTTTTAAAAGATATTTGTTAGTTTAATCCTGATCATCTCCTTTTAGGGCTTTAAATGAACCATGAAATGTGAGATACTCACTCTCACTGGGTTTCTATTACTTTCATCATAGCCCAGCAAGCTCTCTCATGCTCAGCCTGATGGATTTACCACATCGTTTATTCTGGTCTTAAGGGCATCTTGTTTTTCAGTTCTCTTTTTTCTTTTTTTTTTTGGACTTTAATCTTGGACAGACACATTATTGTGGATTTTTTACAGTAAAATCTTCTGATTGTTATCAATGTTTTCATAGTTTTTAATTTCAGTTTGGTAAATCATTGTTTTTTTCTGTTCTAACTTATCTTTATATTAATATATGAAGTTGTAACTGCAAAATAGGAGGTGCTTAGGAAGTGCTTCTGGATGAATTAATCACTGCTTTGCTGGAGATATACATTATTAAACATATCTAGGTGGTATAAGAGAACAGATTAGAGAAGAATTTGCTATTTTTGAAAGGTAGCAGAATGTAATACCACAAAAGGAAATATATTTTTCCCTCCCAGATTATATGATTACAAACTATAGTACTTTACTTTTTCTCATCTCTCGAGAATTTTCATTCTTCTTTTCATCTAAATATTAAAGTAAGGCACATAGTATTTTAATATGTTTTAAAATAAAGCCATGGCCATTGAGGATCTGACAGAGGCAAGGATTACTATGCATTTAGAGAAGCTGCAAATCATAGCATGATAGGTATGAATGCAGATTCTGGTATCAGATGGCCTGGGTTTAAAACACACCTCTGCCACTTACCAGCTTTATAATCTTAGGAAAAATATTTGACCTCATTGTGCCTTAATTTACTCATTTGTCAAACTAAAGTACTAAAAATACCTACCTCAAAGGGGTGTTGTGAGTATTAAATAAGTTAATATATGTAGAGTGCTTAGAATAATGCAGCACCTAATAACTGTATGTGTTAATTCTTCTATTTATGATACTGAGATATGCTTCACATCTCTAGTTTTGTGAGAAAATGATGATGTACACAAGGAGTACCCTTACTTTTCTGCCTCTTTAAATCTTTCACTATAGTTTATGAAAATATAGTAAATAAAACTATAAGAAAAACTTTAAAAGGTAAAAGTTAACATGTTAAAGGTTAATTATTTGGAAACTATTTTCCAGTCATCAGATTTTAAAACAACTAACTTAACTTATTGCCTAAGACCCAAACACTGCTCTTAACTATGAGAACAAAGGGAGAATTACAACCAGTCACTATTTGTTAGTTAGTGAAACCTGGTGAACACTGACTCATGGAATGGACTAATGCTAAAGTAAAAGGAAGCTGTCAAATAGATATGATTTTTTAAAATATTCTCCTATTCTCAAGACTGAGGCCTTATATGTCATTGGTATTTTTTTTTTTGCTTGCCTGCCATTATATCCAAACATACAAATAAATTCTTAAAAGTTTTAATTTAATTTTTGTTAACTTTTTAACCATATAAAACAGAAATAATACCCATTTTATAAAAGAGATGGAAAGGTTAAAAAGGGTAATGAATATGGAGCACCTGAAACAGGGACTAGCAGAAACCCTGACATAGACAACTCTTCCCATCTGCCATCCACTAAATGTTTCACATCTTTGGTTTGCTGACTCAGAAATCGATTCCAGTATTTTAGAATCTACTGAACTCTCCAAGAGCTTATTAAAATTGTCCCATCTTCCTCCCTTACAAGCATAGTGGTTTGGTTGTAGATCAAACTTAACTTTTTTTTTTTTTTTTTTTTTTGAGTTGGAGTCTCCCTTTGTCACCCAGGGTAGAATGCAGTGGTGCCATCTCAGCTCACTACAGCCTCTGCCTCCTGGGTTCAAACAATTCTCTTGCCTCAGCCTCCTGTGTAGCTGGGATTACAGGGGCCCTCCACCACACCCAGCTAATTTTTGTATTTTAAGTAGAGACGGGGTTTCACCATGTTCGCCAAACTGGTCTCGAACTTCTGACCTCAAGTGATCCACCCGCATTGGCCTCCCAAAGTGCTGGAATTACAGCCATGAGCCACCACGCCACATGGAACTTAACTTTGAATCTCTCCCAGTGTTGCTATAGAAAAGGCTACCCTGATCATGCCTCAAAAATTTGCTTCCATATTCTGTTCATACCACTCCCTACTACTTATTTTTCTTCTTTTCTAAATACTGTAAATAAGAATAGCTTGTATCTGTTAGAATGAAAATTCTTAGGGTTTTGGGAAACGAATCCAAATATACAAAATTTGAATACAGATGTGAGAATTGTACACAAGGAGATCCAGTATTTAGACAGGAACTACTATACTACAACTTTCAGTAGCATTTAGATATGGAAGTCTTTATTTTACATCGAATACTAACACACACACTCACATACACCCTATCTATTAATGTAATCTATGCCATAAAAATAATATAAAATGAAGCTTTCATTCCTACAAGGTTTAAACTTCTGCTCACAGAAGAAAAAATAGACCAATGAGCATCTAGAAACATATCTTATGAAAGACAAACACAAAGCAAGATATTTGTATATTTCTGATAGCTATATTAGAAGTAAAGAAAATTCTTCATAAAAGAAGGCAAATTAATTCCCTGTTTTTCCTGGTATAGTCTCCATATTCACCTCTAAGCCATTTCTATCCATTAAGAGGATTTTTGTGAACTTAACAAGTTTGAGATTAATTGTGAAAATACCCTTATGCACACATTCAAACTTCAAGTTAACTGAAATATGCTGTAATCTAGAAAACAAACTCTGAATCAAGACACTTGAGCTTTGTCGAAAGTTCATGTTTTCATTGCTTGAACATTTCTAAGTAATCGATTTCTAATCGATTGCCCCATAGCTGCATTTCTGCTGGACAACCTGGTTTCCTTCAACTCCAACTCAACAGATACACTCAGTAAATTTAGAAAAACTTCCTTGCATAAACAACATCCCAAATTTAGTTTGTTCTAATGATAGTTTTGTATGTGTTAAGAACATGGTTGAAAGTTACTTCAACTCTGCTGTGGTAAAGTGTCCTCCATTTCAATATATAAACAGGGTGAACTGTGATCTTTTACCATGTGGTTACAGTCACATTCAATCTGAGTTCATTTGTCATTCCTTTACCCTAGAAATAAAAGTAAACCAAAAGAAGGAGGAAGAACAATAGGAGGAGGAGAAAAATCACACACCAAAGGAACTCTTCCCTGGTACTGTAGAAGTTGATCATCTTAGAAGGCATATGTGTGCCATTCTCCATTAAATAGCAACTCTGCTTCCTCCCTTTTTTTCTTGGCCCCACTCATGTTTCCTTTGTAAAAGATTTCAAGCATTGGGAATTCTTCAAACCATTTCTTGGGGGTTAGTTGAGATTACAGTTCTCTAACTGAAAGTAAATATCCCCTTATATCCTCTTTCACAAATTGAGAAGGTTCACTTTTCCAATTTCTTCTTTACATGTTATTTAAAATTAGTGGAGAGGAATGAAGGAATAAAGGCCCTTTAGTTTTCTGTCACAAATCTTATCTATACTCTTCATGGGAAAAATAAAAGAAATTGAATAGAACTTGCAGTCATATTTTTGCATCATTGAATTCCTTGTTCTGCCTTGAGTCAGAGAAATTACTTTAGAAGTTCTTGAAATCAGTACATGTGAATAATCTTACTCTCTATTGAAGACAGAGAATAAACTAGAGGAGCAAAGAATCAAATTAACCTGAGTTCAGTATATACACTGCAAACAAGGAAACGGAGGTAAAGTGCCACCTTCACATCCATTTTACTTTTAATCAGCTCACTCTCTTTGAGTAGAAAACTATATGTATTCTGTTTATTCATTTTCAAAAATGGAACTCCAGTCACTTGATATTCACGAAATAAATTGCAAGCTATGGAATTCCTATTATGATTTAGTTTTCGGCCTACCCCAGTAGGGAACATATCCATTATCTGATTACCCTCAATGTGCTTATCATCTATTCAGAAAAATTACATTTAACAAACATAGGACAAATAGAGAACAATAGAACATCTGCTGGAAATTTTAAGTAGTGAAACCTTATAAACTCAGAGATAAAAGAGATCAGTGTGGTTCAAAATAGCCATGAAGACAAATGATAGTTGTCTTTGGGATGAATTGGGGGTGTGAGCAGAGCCTGACATAAAGCACAAGGCTAAATGTTAATCTAATTGAATAGAGATGAAAGCACTTTGTAGAAGACCCATGATTGTTCAGTTAGAGCATGCCCAATAAAGGAAACTTTCCCTCTGATAATATCTCAAAAGTTTAAAGGACATATTTGTAGAGAGAAATACACTACTTTCCCTTTTGGGTTGCATAAGCAGATGTGGGCTGGATCTGAATAATTAGAAATATTAATGGAGAAAATAAACTTGTGTGGCACTTATGGACCAGAAATTATATTTTATCTCCTGCAGCAAAAAAGCATAAGATAATCATACATGCATGATTCCAGAGTCCGAGACAAATTCCACTCTTAATAAATTCTGAAGGAAAGGTTTAGAAAGTGAATAACTAAATTAATTAGCATGACTTCATCCAATAGACACAATTCTGAGCTAGAATCCACTGGAACACATTTAAAGATAAACTCATTGCAAAGTTTGATGTATTTTACTAGCATTACTAACAAAGTAATCAGAACACACCTCTCACCTCTCTTTGATATGCTGTGTTTTTCAAGACTGCAGTGGAGAGCTGCCCCTTGTGTTTAATGCCATGTGTCACCTGTTTGTACACGTGGAAAGCTCATAAAGTGATTGGGGTCACTACAAATTTATCACTATGATGTTCCTTTGTTAGTCAGAGGTGGTTTGCACTCTGTACACAACTACATACTCAATCTCATTTACTTCCAAATGACTAAGAGGGAAATGTGGAAAACCCACAGAGATAACATTATTTTATCAAAGGGCAGTGCCTTCCTGGCAATATGTTGTGACAAAGACTATTTTTTTCACCACTTAAGAAGAAAAAGAGATGGCAGGGGTGGAGGTAGAGCATAAGAAAAATGCCCCATTACAGAGTGTGAAGAGAAGAAACTAAGTGATTCATTCATTAGTCAACTGCACAGTGGCAAGCAAATTCAGTGATGTAAGTTGACACTGTCTAGCAAAATAAGCTGTGTTAGACTCTCACTCAAAATATATAGATTTTAAGATTCTTTAAGATGAGGAAAGAGGGAGAGATTGAGGCAGGAGAGGGTCCTTAGACTCTTGCCACTCAAAGCACAGTTCATGACAAGCAGCAGCTGCATTAACTGGGAGCTTGTTAGAAATGTGGATAGCGGCCAGGTGCAGTGGCTCATGCCTGTAATCCCAACACTTTGGGAGGCTGAGGCAGGTGGATCACCTGAGGTCAGGAATTCGAGACAGGCCTGATCAACATGGCAAAACCCCGTCTCTATTAAAACTACAAAAATTAGCTGGGTATGGTGGCACACACCTGTAAGCCCAGCTACTCGGGAGGTCAAGGCAGGAGAATCGCTTGAACCTGGGAGGCGGAGGTTAGAGCCAGCTGAGATTGTGCCACTGCACTCCAGCCTGGGCAACAAAGTAAGATTCTGTCTCACACACACACACACACACACACACACACACACACACAAAAAAAAAAAAAAAAAAAAAAAAAAGAAAAAAAAAAAAGTAAAGAAAGGCAGATAGCCAACCACTTCCCAGGAGCTCCTAAATTTGAATCTGCATCTTTGCAAGATTCCTCCATCATTTATAAAGTTTAAAAATTACTATCTTGGAAGACTGGGAGGGCTAAGAATTGTGATTATAGAGAAGATGGTTAATGAGAGCAGAAATCCTTGAAAGAAAAGAGTTCTGGAAATTACTTGAAATGGTGTCAAGTCAGTCCCCAAGAACACGCCAGACACTCCAAGCCATCTCCTAGAAGCTGTTCTTTGAGTGATTGAGAAAGAAAGGTAGACAGGTTTCAAAAGTTTTGTTGGAAAACTAAGTAAAGCACAGAAAAAGTTAACCTACCACCAAGCGGATGTCAAAAAGAGGCAATCAAATATCAATGCTGATAGCTACAGGTAATTGCTTATAGTAGAAATTTAACCTACCATCAAGCGGATGTCAAAAAGAGGCAATGAAATATCAATGCTGATAGCTACAGGTAATTGCTTATAGTAGAAATTTAAGCAGATCTGAAGAGTTTGTAGATAAAATTTGGGTGACCCTGTAACCAAATCGTTGAGCAAGTTACCTTTGAGTCTATCCTAGGTGCCGAGCATTATGGTAGTTGTACTTGCTAAGCAAGACCAAATCTCCACTTTTAAATCTCCACTCTCGGGGCGTTTACAAGGTCAGGGAAATAATCACAACCAAATCACAACATGGAACACAAATAAGAGGCCTGAAATCACTATATAGACTTTATTTCTAGGCACATGGTAAAGAAGGCATACAAATCCCTTAGAACACACAGTCTTGAGATAACAAGACACACTCGTGTTATACAGATTATAGCCTGTGTGTGTGTGTGTGTGTGTGCACTCATTTGTAAACATTCAGTCTGACCACAGTGCTATGGGTCTCATCAACATATTTCTTAAATCCCTAGTGCAGAATCAAACTCATCTCTTCTGCTTTGGGAACTACCAAGAATGGCCCCAGCTGCCATATTTTTAATTTAGTCTTCCTACGCACATGAGTAGATCAGGGGTGAAATCCGTGCCCAAATACTCTCGCTCAGAGATTTGACATGAGAATAAAAGTTTCCATAGGAGACTCTGTTATCTTTATAATTAATTCCTCTCAACATCATCTGAAATTTTTTAAATTAATTTTTCAAATTACTTTTCACTAGCTTGCTTTTATTTATTGAGTCAGAGTCTCGCTTCTTCGCCCAGGATGGAGTGCAACGGCGCTATCTCGGCTCACTGCAACCTCCGCCTCCTGGGTTCAAATGATTGTACTCCCCAGTAGCTGGGATTACAGGGATGTGCCACCAGGCCTGGCTAATTTTTGTATTTTTCTTTTTTTTTTTTAGTAGAGGCTGGGTTTCACTATTTGGCCAGGTTGGTCCCGAACTGCTGACCTCAAGTGATCCACCCACCTCGGCCTCTCAAAGTGCTGGGATTACAGGTTTGAGTCACCGCGCCTGGCCTGACTAGATTTATTTTAACTTGCACCAAAAAGAATCTTAACCCAGATGCCCAGTGGCTATGCTGATAAGATCTTAACATGAAGACAGCTGTACCATTAGTAAGTAGTAAAGTCATAGAGTCACTGATTAAAAACATAGTACTCCTATCCAGTAATGTTCAAGCAGCTTTAGCCTTTAAGAATGTTTCTTTTTGACGGGATATATCAGGTTGTTAAATCTTAAAACCAGTGTTCACACTTGCTGGTGGCCTTTTGGTTACATCTCAACTCGTTTACAATTGCTCCAAAACAGTGAAGCCAAGTACTTTTAATGCTATACTTGGATTGTGCATGTCTAGTGTTTTAGAAACTTCATTGTCATTAACAGTGTGGTTTGGTACAAAGTCTGGATTCTCAAGCTTTAGTCCTGTCATTTTTAATTGAAATCTGAAGTGGACGTAGGAATGTATATTTTAGCATGTCCCTAGGATGATTCTGCTTCAAATAATCTGGGGAGTTTACTACTACAAACATTTTAGGCTGTGGTTCTTAATTCAGAATTGCTCATAACAATAATTTGAGAAGCGTTTTCAAAACATACATACTGAGCACCATTTCAGGCCTACTGAATCAGAGTTTCAGCCAACATATTTTTGCACCAGAACTCCAGGTAGCTGCTGAAGCACACTTCTAGTTAAAAATCACAGACGATGTACTTAGGGGTGATTGATTCAACTATTCTGTGAAGGTAACCTCTTTTTATTTGGATCTACCCTGCAACATCCACAGTATTTTCTTTGAATGATCACATTTGGTGTTTAAAATTGGTCAAGTCTCAGCTACTCAGACCATAGCTACTTTGACCTATTTTAAAATCAGCTTTTAAATACTGCCCTTCTTTTATCCTCTGATCAGAAGTGCGTTTTTCTAATTTGGAAGCTTGCCTACCACTGTAATTTAAATGGTAAATAACTGGAGATGGAATTGGCTTTAGATATGCTCTTCATTTATTTTCTTCACATTGCAGTGTATCAAAGTTCTAAGGAAAGCCAAAAATCCAGACTTTGCAAAACTAGAAGAAAATTGTATTCTGTCCTGTCCCGCTTCCTGCCACTTTTTTTTACTTTATTTCCAATAAAAACCATATTTTTCATATTAGATTCCAAGATTAGAGTAAGAAATCAAAATCCACAACACTATTATATTAAACTATTTAGCCTTTAAAGGTTTTCTGGTAGAACACCAACAATGAGTTTTAGAGAGCATACAAAATGCCCAAATTTCCTCAAATCTGTAAAGAACGTTGCCATTTTTTTGCAGAAATGAATATACCCTTTCAGGCCCCCTAATACCACCCCAAATCATTGGCTTTTGGGTGAGGTGAGTCCTCATCATTTATTTACAGCTGAACTTTGAGGGAGCCTAAGCTACAGAACTAAAAGTAATAATATATAAGAATATGCATGTGCTTACAAGAATGTTTATGTGTTTGTGCTCTATGTATATTGGGGTAGGTAAATTTGTTTTTTTAGCATTATTTATCATGATCCAAAAGAAAAAAATACATGAAGAAACTAAAAAGACTTCTACTATCCATGTTGAGAGAAATGATTTAAACATTTTAGTATATTATTTTCAAAAATAATACATAGCTATTAAAATATATATTATATCTGTGGTAATTAATCTAGAATAAGGATCAACCTGAAAGATTAAGTGTAAAAAGCAAGTTGCAGAGTGGTGTATATACTAACATTGCTAAACAAAATAACAACATATATACATACCCCTTTATCAGCCTGTATATGTTTACGCAAATATAGATATGAGCAAGGATATACTATTGAAAAGGTATTCCAAGGGATAAGATTGAAAGGGAGTGGTATTATCTTTACACATTTTTATATGGTTTGAATGTTTCATGAACACATAATTTTGTAATTTAAAAAAAATACAAACATTAAAAGTGTAGATCAAGAAAGCAATATGGGAAGTGAAGATGAATAACATTTCATATACAAATAAACAAAAATGGCTAACAAGAATTAAACTCTAAGCATTACTAATAATTAAAAGGGCAAATATAGATAACAAAATTCTATTTGTTACCTCTTAAATTAGTGCACATTAAAGAAAAGAATTATCAATGCTGATTAAGCCACTTTGAGAATAGCACTTCTACACAATGCTGGTATATAATATGGAACGATCTTTCTGGAAATCAGCTTGAAAATATATCAAGAACATAAAGATGTTAATATCTTTGACCCAGTAATTCCTGATTCAGGGACTTGTATTATGTAAATAAGGTGAAATGAGGGCAGGTGTGAATATAAAATGATCTTTACTGTAGTTCCCATAGGAAGTGGCATAAATGATCACACAGTCCATCACATGAACAAAATCCATAAATGGTTTTCTATGATATTTCTCTGTATCTTCCCATCTTCCTCGTACCCAGCAGTTTATACACTTCTTTCCCTTTTTTTATCCACACTGTGTCTGCAGCACCTTGCAGGTCATTTTTACTCCCATCCTTGACCAAGTGGAGGGGCTGGAGCATCACCTGCCTAGAATCCCCTGAACAGCCAGACTCTTCTAGTCTAACAACATTTCTGCAGAAGTCAACCTCAGTGAAACAATGCTGATTAATGAAACCACCAGCCCCATCCCAAAGGAAATAACCTAAGATGCAAATAAGCAAACAGTGTTTAAGAGCTGTATGGATAGTGGTTATAAATCTTTCTTACTAATTTCCTATATTTTATAATGTTTTCAAATGAATATGTGTTGATGTTACAATTAAAATAAAACTGTTACTTGTTCAATTGTTAACTATTTGCAAGCCTCTTCAGAAGCCAGCTTCTTTCGCTTGTGAAATGTACCTATTGTAAGATTAATTATTTGTAATTTGTAAAAACAGACAACAACGAAGCCCTTTCAGACAGACTCAGATACTTGGAGTGAGGCGTAAGAAATATTTTGCAGAATAAGAATGTTATGACTTAATTATATGGCCAGGTGTTTCTCCAGATGCTGTAAGACAATGACTTCTCTGTCCGGTGCGGCAGCTCACGCCTGTAATCCCAGCACTGTGGGAGGCAGAGGTGGGCAGATCATGAGATCCGCAGTTCGAGACTAACCTGGCCAACATGGTGAAACCCCGTCTGTACTAAAAATACAAAAATTAGCAGGGCATGATGGCACGTGCCTGTAATCCAAGCTACTTGGGAGGCTGAGGTAGAAGTATTGCTTGACCCCAGGAGGTGGAGGTTGCAGTGAGCTGAGATCTTGCCACTGCACTTCAGCTGGGGTGACAGAGTGAGACTGTCTCAAAATAAAAAATAATAAAACAAAATAAAATAAAAAAATAAAAAGACAATGACTTCTCATCCTTTTTGGACCCAGTATCCCTGAAGAATTTAATTAATGATATGAACTTATTTTCTGAAAAATATGTATTTGCCTGCTGTAGTAGTTCCCCACAGCTGTCATAACAAAGTACTAGAGACTGTGTTACTTAAAACAGCAGAAATGCATTGTCTCACGGTATGGAGGCTTGGAGTCCAAACTCAAGGTATCAGCAACGTCATGCTCCCTCTGAAACCTGTAGGCGAATCCTCTCTTCCTCTTCTAGCTTCTGGTGGTTGCTGACAATCTCTTGTGATCCTTGTCTTGTAGATGCATAGTTTCAAACCTCCATCTTCACGTGGGATTCTCCTTGTGTCTTCTCATCATCTTCTTTCTGTGTATGTCTATGTCTGTGTCCAAATTTCCCCTTGGCATAAGGACACCAGCCATATTGGATTAAGGCACACCCTAATATCCTCATTTTGAATTCATTACCTCTATAAAGAATCTATTTCCAAATCAGCTCCATATTCTGAGGTACAAGGGGCTGGGACTTCAGCATATCTTTTTTGAGGAGAGAGAGAGGAACACACTTCAACACAGAACCCCACCCATCTCCACTGTGAAATGGAGATTTTATAATGTGATACCATTTATCATCTTGTCTAAGCACCCCAGCTTTAAGAACCTGGATGTGAAGACCGTTGGAACTCTGTTATCTCTGAGCACCCCTCACTAAATCACATAATAAAGTTTCCAAGCACAAATCAGATCAACTCAAAAAGCAGGAAAACCTTTCCACTAAGTGTATTAGGACGCTATAAGAAAAGTCATTTTCTTAACAATTTACCTTCACCTCAATGTCAGAAGTATTGTAATGTAACAATTGAGACATTTGGAAAATTTTGCTGATAGATACTGGCTTCTTTCCTAATGGAAATCTAGGTCACAGTATTTCTCAGCAGGGCTGCAATTATAAACGGACACAATACTGATATCCCAATAGAATGCAAAGGCTTCTGATGTTTACCTGCCTAGAGCAATAACAACTAGTTGAAACCTAACAATAGAAATATTTTATTTATATTTTGCTTTTTATATTACTATCAGAATTGAATTATATGTATGTAATGTTATAGCACTAAATATAACATATGTTAATATCACATAAAATTTGCTTTATTCAGATTCTACTTTTAAAAGTGTGTCATTAGCAATCTATTTCAGTGGTTAATATGAAATCTGAAATCAAAAAGGCATTGATTTTCTAGTTACTAACTGCTTGATGATGGGCACATTACTTATCTTTCCTCATCCTCAACTATCTGGTTTCTAGAACAATAACATCTACTTGGTGGGATAGATATGTTTGGAATAATAATGTCTTTCTTCAAATCCTAGCTCCAAATCTTATTAGCTGCATGTCCCAGATATTTATCCAATGAGTGCATCAGTATATCTATCTATAAAAAGAAACAAAAAAAATTAGGATGACAATACTATTTTATGTTGTACATGTTTATCATTCAAATTAAATGAAGTAGATTACATAGAAAGAAATTTCTTTGTTAGGTATTGTATTAGTCAGGGTTTTCCAGATAAATAGGAAACAGAACCAATAAAAGTTTCGTTCTGTTTCATATATATATATATGTATATATATATATATATATACACACACACACACAGAAGATATATATATTCACATATATAATATATGTATTTATATATACATATATCTACATATACTGAGAGAGATTTATTGTAAAGAATTGACTCATGTGATTATAGAAGATGAAGAGTCCAAATCTACAATGTGAGCCAGAAAGCTGAAGACCCAGGAGAGCCAATAGTGTAGATGAAGTCTGAAGGCAGTCTGCTGGAGAATCCTCTCTTGTTCTGGGAAGCTGGCCTTTTTGTTCTATTCAGACCTTTAACTAATTAGACCACATATATTATGGAGGGCAGTCTGCTTTCTCAAAGTTCACTAATTTAAATGTTAATCTCCTTCAAAAATATCCTCCAAATTGACACATAAAATTAACCATCACACATACTAAGTAAATATTGGATATCCTTTTAAGTCATTGTGCCATTAGTGCCCTGGTCAGGGGAGGAGGGTGTTAGAGAGTTACTAGAGTTTTATTTTAAAAGCCATTAGAAGACATTGTTGACTGTGGATTGAGCATGTAATTGATGATTTGCTATTACAAGTGATGGTACTAGACAGGACAAATTTTCCCATAAATTCAATAGCACGGATCCATTCCCTGCATTTTTTCAGTTCTGCAGTTTGCATAAAATAGGCACTATCAGAGCCAATCAAAAACCTGTTGAATTCCCAAGGTTCCACAGTCTTTTAATTAGTTGCTGTTGCCCAGCCCTTTCTGTGAACATATTTTAAACATTTCCTGCTTATTCACATCCGTATGGTAAATTGAGCTCACATCTTCCTTCATATCTCCAATTAATATGTATATATGAAAGAATTAGTATTGGAATAGCTAGAACAGCCAACAGTTGAAATACTATATGTGGTAGTATTTTGAAGCTGTAAGGATTGTTTATGGGTGCAGCAACAAAAATATAGTAGCCCTTTTCAGTTAAGGTTAGGATAAAGAGTATTATCTGGAGGTGGTTTCTAGTGAAGAGCACTATTCTTTGAGAAGTAATGTGAATGCTTGACTGGACTGTATGTGTGTGTGTGCATGTGTTGTGGACACATTAATGTTAACTTTTCCTTCCAGGATATATTATAATTCTGATAACCACATATTGAGCTTCTATTATGTGATACACTTTTTATGAAAAAACATGTGTAAACCAAAGCAAAGTGCATTAAAAATGTGTGTTCTCTTTAAATTTAATCCTCAGGGGAAATTCATGTAGTAATATGATGACTGTTTATGAATGAGGAAATCTTAGGATCACATAGGTCTATCCATTTTTAAGGCCCTTGTTTATTCCACTAGATCAGGTTTTAGCCAAATTCAGGCCAAATTTTGCTTGCTACCTATTTCCATAAATAAGGTTTTATTGGAGCACAATTATGGTGATACATTGTTTTCACACCACAATGGCAGAGTTCCCTAGTTGCAACATAGGCCGCGTGACTGGCAAAGCCTAAAATATTGACTATTTTGCTCTAATTATCACATATAGAAACGTTTTCTGACTCCTTGTCTACCTTATACTATCTGCTTCATGTTGGGCTGTTTTCAAAAAAAGAATATGTCTAGATTTTTCCTTTAGTATGATTATTAAGGCCAAAAAATAAGACATAGGCTCTTATTCCTGTTATAATTGCTCAAATAAGTGATTCATAAGGTTTATACATCTCCACTTTGGATTTTTTATTGTAAACAAAATAAAACAACTTTGACAAAATTAAGTCAAGGCTATTTTTGGATAGGTGATTGCTCCCAAATCAAAAGAAAGATTGGAGAACAAAGCTTTCCAGAGGCCAAAGATGGTGGGCTATGCTAAAGCCCTTGCCAAAAGGAATCCTCTGCTTGAGACTTGATTTTTGTGCTGTCATCCCTGAACACTCCGAGGCAGCATCCAGGGCTGAAGATCACTGTTCCTCTTTCTCCTCCACACAGAGAAACAGTCTCCAACCAAAGCTATATCTTCTACATCATCTCAAGGTCTGAAGCCCAGGAAGAGCATCTAAATATTTGTGCTTGGATAACATGACTCTCTGGTTACCAGGGGTGCAGAGGAGTGTGTATTTCCAACACCACCATTTCCATCAGCCTATGTAGTAGGGGCAGAAAGTATCATAGGATTTCTCCCCAGTCAGAGGGTTATTCAAATGCTGAGCTGGAGATATCGTGAATGTGCATTACATGATCCATTCTATGCCTTATATTGATTGTTCTAGTCATCTATTAACTACGATCCAAATACCTCTATCATGTACTTTCTAGCCTGTGGACATAAATAATGTAATATTAATCTTATGCCCAACTTTTATTGGTTGTGGAGGTAGAACCTCAGTACCCTATATGATCATACACACACACACACACACTCTCTCTCTCTCTTCCAGATTCCTTTCTTGTGGTAACTGGAGATGCTCCCAGGGAAATTACAGTGCATTCATGAACAAGTGTATTGCCTTCTCCTGCAAGTGATTACAAAATTGCCCGAGTTGACCTCTGTGCTGATGTTTCATAATCCCGTGGTGACACTATTTTGTTACTAGGTTTCTCCAGGACATGCTTCCTTCACTCTGTTTCTTCCTCTGAACTAACTTTAAATTCTTTCTCCACATGCCCTTGGCCTTCCTCCACATGGCTGCCATCTGTCACCTTGGGGCCATGTTCTAGTGGCTCCACCCAAGCTGCCACCTGCACTGCTAAAGACTCCCTGCCTTGAAGCCTCCTCCGACATCTCCTGCTGGTTTTTGCTATTGGGCACATTTTCCTAACTTACCTCTCTTTGCTGCATTTAATCAATGGTCCACTGGTGGCCACTGCTCATACTCTCTCTTTGAACCTTCCTTTAAACAGGAAAAAAATTCCCTTCTCTTATACAAAGCTTTGAAATGGCAAGCGCTTAGATATCAGGGTTTTAGAACTCTCAGCTTTGCATTTTCCTATTGCTTTTCCTCTAGGGTGTGCGTGCTATGTTCTGTGGCTAAATAGAGTTTGATTCAAGTAAAGATGAATACACAATGCTCAGACCCATTAGCCTACTCTGATCTTCAACCTCTGTCGCTGACTCCAGCTTGTGTTGAGTTCTTCTCTAAGAGAGAATTCTCTTCAGAGGACCCTACAATTTTCTGCTGAAATTTCCTCCATCAGTTAGTCTTCAGACCTAGGATGTATCTAAAGATATATGAAACCCAATCATTTACACTACTCAAATTCCATTACTGGGAGACTCCATTGCCTCTCTGTATATATGAAATTAATTCAAATATACACCATGCATAGCGATAACTCTGAATCACATAACCAATCCCTGTTACTTCATCACAAAATTATTTTTAAAATCTCATATCTATGTTGTCCTTCATTGAAGCTTTAATTATTTCTATTGTATCTTTCTAAATATAAATAATATAAACATAAAAGTTTTTTCATCTTTTACCACTTCCACTTCCTTCCACTTACTCAGAAATGAAAAATTATTAATTAGTATATAATAAGTTATTAGAGAGCACTTACTATGTGCCAGGAATTATTTTAAACACTTTACATGTATTGCTATTTTAACCATCCCCACAACACCGCACTTTATGACCTAGGTATTATTACCATCACGCCATCATCACCATTTTGCAGATGGAACAGCTAAGGTATGCAGAATGTACAGGACTATTCAACATCACACAAATTACACACAGGAGTCAGAAATTAAACCTGTACAGTCTAACTCCAGAGTCCATGTTTTGAAAAACAATATCTACTGTCTTTAATAATAGCTACTTATTAAAGGATAGAAGTAAAGATGAAAACCTGTTTTTCCATTTTTAGCTTAGTTTAATGTTACTTCTTTTTTAATATTAATGATGAAGATGCAACTGTTGATATAATTAATAATATTTTCTTCTGTACTTAGTGTTTGGTATTTCATAGTTGTTTGAAAAGTACTCTGATTTGTATTATTATTTTTGTTTACTTGCATTTTTATATATTATTTGTTTATTCTTTACATATAGATAAATTCTGAAACAAAGTTTGGTTCAACCAAACCTCATTGTGTACCTAGTTAACTGTTGAAATCCCAATGCCCAACACAGTGCCTTGGCATTTTTGTGTTGAATCAATATTTGTTCAATAAATATATTCACTAATTAATTAATAGGCATTAAGTTATTTGCTGAGATTAAAAAGATAAATGAGATGTTCTTAACTCTAAAGAATATCTGAGGCCAGGTGTGGTGGCTCACCTGTAATCCCAGCATTTTGGGCGGCCGAGATGGGCAGATCATGAGGTCAGATCGAGACCATCCTGGCTAACATGGTTAAACCCCATCTCTACTAAATATACAAAAAAATTAGCCGGGCATGGTGGCATGTGCCTGTAGTCCCAGCTACTTGGGAGGCTGAGGCAGGAGAATCGCCTGAACCTGGAAGGCAGAGGTTGCAGTGAGCCAACATCGCACCACTGCACTCCAGCCTGGGCGACAGTAAGACTCTGTCTCAGAAAAAAAAAAAAAGGACTATCTGAAGTAGAATATAAAAGATCATTATCTGAAGTAGAATATAAAAGATCATATCAATAGAGTGTAATAAATGTTAAAACAGGTAACTCAATACTAGGGAAAATACTAGGGAACACAGAAGGCTGAATGCAAATTTGTTTGTCCTTCTATATCATTTAAAGAAGCATCAATTTTTTTAAAAAATGGAATCATAGAACTTTAGTTTCTGTTTGGGCACACAACTTCCTTTTTCTTTGCTGTTCCGAGATGACCCTGCTAATGGTAGGTACCACTGTAATGTCTGAGAGTAACTAAAGAGAGATGGATTTGCCCTGATATGCTATACAAAGTAAAACATAAGTGGCCAGTGTGTTGTCTGTTTAGTATCTATAGCCACAGTCTGGGGTTCCTTGGATCTTCTAAGCAATGACTAATTATCCTTTAACAGTCAAAGAAAAACTCTATTACTAAAAGAATGTTCTACATGCATTTGAGCTTGGTTCACACTTAAGCTTTGTTATCTCTCCCTGCCGCCAGTACTTTGCTGCCTGGCTTAATATTGGGTATTTTGTTCATTCAGGCCATGCTGAGTTCAATTAAAGGCAGATCCTCACTCCTCTCTCTGCAAAGATACATTCTGCTAGTGTATTTATTAATTTATTTCCAATGAATATCCTTTACCAAGTACCTACATTGTTTTGTGATAAAGAAGAAACAAAATTTGGCTCCCATTTTCAAATAATTGAAATCTCACTACAAAAACAAAATTTCTATCTAGGGAACAATTGCAGAAAAATAAAAGTAAATAATCAAGAGGTAAACTGTGTGGGACATTTAATGCACATTATAAGGAAACCTTTTTATCATATCATAGTTAAACTGCTAAAAAGTGAAGACAAATAAAGAAAATAAAACCTTGAAAACAACCAGAGGAAAAAATACATTACCTATGGGAGAGCAATGATTTGAATGCCACAAATTTCTGATTAGAAATCATGAGTCAGAAGGAAATTGCATGACATTTATAAAATACTGAAATAAAATTTAAATATCGTCAACACAGAATTCACTATTCTGCAAAAATATCTTTCAGACATAAAGGTGAATTAAATATTCTCTCAGTAAAGGAAATCAAACCTGCTCTAAAATAATTGCTGATGGAAGTTATTCAAACAGAAGCATAGTGATTCCAGAATAATATTTGAAACCTGAGAAATGAAGGCAGAACAGTAGAAATGGTAATTATCTAGGTAAATCTAGCAGACTATTTTTCTTCTCTTGAGTTCCTTAAGATATATTTGACAGTTGAAGAAAGCGAAAGTTAAAATATTTCCTCTTGGAGTTTTTAAATGTACAGAGATATAATATGTAACATAAAGGGGAGGGGTTAAAAGGACCCAAATTGTAGTAAGGTTTTACGTTCCCACTAGAAATGGTAAAATATTGAGTCTAAGTAGAATGTGAAAAGTTAAAAATTTATATATTATGGTCCCTAGAGCAGCCATGAAAATAACTATTAAAAATGATGCAGTAAAAAATGCACTAGAAAATCTAAATGGAAGACAAAAAACGTTTACGTAACTCCCCAAAGGCATGAGAATGAACAATTAGAGTACAAGTGGAAAACAAATAATAAAGTGGTAGACTTCAATTTAAACATAGCAAAAATCACATTAAATATCTAAACATACTAACTAAAAGACAGAGTATTAGAATGGATGAAAATGCCTCCATTATATGCTGTATACAAGAAACTCATCTCTAATGTAATTACGTAATTAGAATAAAGATGAAAGTATAGAAAATGATACACCATGCAAACCTGAATGAAAGCTCACACCCCTGTATTAATATGAGACAAAGTAGAATTCAGAGGAAGGAGTATTAGTAGTATCAGAGGGATTCTTGCCTAATGATAAAAGACTCATTTCACAAAAAGACATGGCAATTAATATATAATAAACATATATGTACCTAGCAACAGAGATTCCAAATACACGAAGTAGATCTGATGAAACGACTTCACAAAACTATTTGTTTCTCATCAGGTTAAATAAGTATTCACTTCATCATCTAGCAATCTCACTCCTGATTATTTACCCTAGAGAAATAAAACTTATGTTCCCATGGAAATCTGTATAGGAATGTTTATATCAACACCATTCGTAGTCACCAAAAACTGGAAACAGCGCAAATGTTCTCCACTAAGTGAATGGATAAAGAAACTGTGGTATATCCGTTAAGTGAAATATCACTCAACAATAAAGGGAATGAACTGCTGATACCCCAAATAACTTGGATGAATCTTGAATGTATTGTGCTCAAATGGCTGCATACTGTAACACTCCTCTTATATGTCATTCTTGAAAAGGTCAAAATATAGTAGTGAAGGACTCACCATTGATTCATGAATTTTAGGCCAGGAGAAAGCATGACTCTAAAGCAAGAGTGTAAGGCAAGTATGGGAAAGTGATGAACTGCTTTAAATACTAATTGTGATGGTCGTTACATGAATCTATACATTTACTAAATCTCACAAAACTTTTCACCAAAAAAATTAGTCTATTTCACTGTATGATACACTATAAATAAAATAAAATGCTGGCCAGGCGAGGTGGCTCATGTCTGTAATCCTAGCACTTTGGGAGGCCAAGGCGGGTGGATTGCCTGAGCTCAGGAGTTTGAGACCAGCCTGGGCAACATGGTGAAACCCCGTGTCTACTAAAATACAAAAGAAATTAGCCTGTAGTCCCAGCTACTCTGGAGGCTGAGGCAGGAGAAATGCTTGAACCCGGGAGGTGGAGGTTGCAGTGAGCTGAGATCGCGCCACTGCACTCCAGCCTGGGTGACAGAGCGAGACTCCGTCTCTAAAAAAAATATATAAAATAAAATAAATAAAATAGTACAGCATTAATATTTTTCAAACTGTTCTTAGGCCCATGGATTATCCTACCCCCACCCCACATGCATTACATGCCCAGTATTTCCAGGATGTGTTATCTCCATTTCTTATCTACTGATATGGGAACTAGGCATTTTCTCTGCCTAGATTCTTTTACTCTCCACTGATCTCTTTTCTCCACCTGACAAATATTGAAGTCAGAATAGGAGTTATCTTTTGGGAGAAAGGGAACATTTATATATGGGAACTCTTGAGGCTTCTGGAGTGCTGATAATGTTTGTTATCCTCATCATGGTAGTATTTAACACAGTTGGGTACATTTTCTATAAATTCATCAAGTAATCTGTGCTGTTTTCTGTATGCATAAAAAAGGCATCAAGTGAAACTTTTAAAATAGCTCTTATGCAGATTGTGAAGCCACCTAAAATGTTAAAACCCTTTAAGCCTTCCTCAACTCCCTGAAGAGTTTTGTAACTCTGATTTTAGCACACTCCTAGCAGTGGGATTGTGTCTCAGTTCTAAAACTTGTCATATATTAGGATATTTATACATGTGTACACACACGTGTGTGTGTGTGTGTGTGTCCCTCTTATGAGCTTAACTATAAGGAGAGGATTTGATCTTTCAGTTGCTGGTGCTGTCCTACCATAAGGCTGGCACCAGTAAATGTGCACTAAATAAATATTGGAAAAGAAAAGTATGTAGGACTTCCATGTTTAGTACTGCCCTACCTAGGCAATGGTTTGTTCCTCCTGGCATCTCACCCCTGGTCATCCTTTCTTACTTTAAAAATATTGGATCCTTCATTTTCCCTTTGTTTTTCTATTTGACTGCCAGTTACACTGATTTTTTTATTAATATCATGAAACTAGCCCTAGTCATATGAGATATGCACAGAAATTCATCCTGGCAGAGGTAACCCATAAGATTCTTGACATGAGAGCTCTGGTGGAGCAAACATAATGTTTCAGTATATCACAATTTTATAGGCCAGGTCACTAGAATATCATTAAGTTGTTTTTGATCTTCCATAGCTTGTTGAAATGGACTTTCTTTAGGTGTCCACTTTGAGCAAAATAATGTATTCTTTCTAATCTTACCTAAAAAGTGAAGTCATGAATTCTTAAAAAGCGTAGCCCAGTTCTTTGCTGGGATTACTGTAGTATTTTGTGGAAATATCCTGGTATTAATTAATTTCACCAACACCCTCTCCCCACACTGATTCATAGCCATAATTAATCCTTGCAATGGTCACAGCATTCATTTAGTGATTTTAGAACCAATGATTATATTTGCCATATTAATTGTAGTTAATATAACAATGTACATTTTTCTAGTTGTTTGAGCCCTGAAAATCATTTTTTGGAACAACATCAGTTGCAGAGAGGAGAAGAAATTAGCTTGAAGAAAGTTGTGTGCTTGTCTGACTACGAGAGAGGAAAAGCAGATTAGATTCATATGGACTCTATTTTTTCCATTAAAACTAATGCCCCTTGACCCTTAATTATTTTATTCTTCTAAAAATTAATGTTGAGATAAACTTTTTCATGTGCATATTGACTCCAATCCCCACTGAACCATGAAGTTAAAAAGTGTTAAGCTTTCAGAGAATACGAGTTGAGATATTTCAACGAACTTGAGGAGTCACACACTGTAAATTTACCTTAGAAGCTGTATTCAGGTTTGTTCTCAAGCCCTGATCTAATGCCCACAAGTTATATAAAATACTAAGCTACAACTGAATTCCATGTAGAAAGCAAAGACATACTTCAAGACTGAGTCACCTGCATTTTTGTATTAAAGTGAAGGAAATAGAAGCTTGCTACTAAGCTGGTTAATATGTACAGTGGTTTTTTTTTTTAATGAATGCTTAAAAAATAATAATAATTAGAATAATAATGCGAAGCTTTTAGAAAATGCTTTTTATCTTCAAAGCATTTCATAAAAGAGTATGTAGTTAATCTCTGCACCCTAAAAGCAACTTGCCAAAATATTTTGTTTTATGAGAGATGCATTTCAGAAGAGTTTCACTCATCTTTACATTTTCTTGGCCATAACTCTGTATGTTTAAAAAAAAAAATGGGCTGTAGAAAATAAAATCCACCAAAGCCTTTCTTTTTAATGCAAATAAGCTTCTTTCTATTCTTTCTTGAGGAAAGAAATGTTCAGCTGAAACTGACTATAATCCCAATTCTTTTGAATCTGTGTAATTAGGGTCATTTTGTGTAGGGCTAAGTGAAGCTCGGCTAGTCTATGTCTCTGCTCTGGTCCAAGCAAATGCAAACAGGCTTAAATGGCAAAGGGCTAGGTAAATGTATTTTTAGACACTGCCGTACAGGAATTAAATTCACTTAAAATTAAAATTCTTACTAAAATGTACTAATTTAGTGAAACCAAGCTGAACCTTATTATTTTGATAGAGCTGAACTCCTTTTTCCAACTGCTCCTGGAAAAGCGTTTTCAGATAAACCCAGAGCTGACCTTACAGGAAAACACACAAATGTAAATGGAAGAATCAGAGCAGAAGCTGCCTGCAGCAAACTCCCGGGAAGAAGGTGAACTGTCCGGCACGTCTGCTCACTGTCTTATTACCCTGCATTTAATGAGACTCAAAATTAACCCCTGTCCTCCAAACTCAACAGCCAGCCCGGCACTGTCGCCCAACACTCCCATTCTTTTGTTCTTTTCTTCCTTTTTATTTTTAAGATGACATCAGCAATGAATGTTAATTGCTTGAAAAATTCAACTGAGAGAGGTAAATAGGGAAAACAAAACAATAACAACAAAAAAATGCCTCCCTCATCCCCAGGAGAGTAACACTACTGACCCCTTCCAGACCTTTCCAATAAAAACATGCTTTATTTAACAAAAACAAGTGCTCAGGATACTTGCGTAATTTAACCATTTTTAAAAAAGTGATTATATATCTTGATAGCTTTTCATGACAATACAAAAATAAACATCGTTGTAATTGTTATATAGCATTTTATTTCTTAACATCATTCAATAAATGTAATGATTCCAAAATTTATCAGATCATGAAACTCACATAGGGGGTGGTTTAAAAATATACAATCATGAGCCCTATTCTGGATTTACTATATGGTGATCTCCAGCAATGTGTCTTAGGAATCTTTATTTTGAACAAGCTCCCCAGGTTATTAAGAAAACACTGATTTAAATCTTGTGTTGTACATTTGTTTAATTCCAACTATTTTTTGCTATAATAAATTACTCCAAGTCATTATATCTGTTCATTGTGTTCTGGCCTGATTCGTTTCTTAGTTTGAATTCCAAGTGGAATTACTTGCTCAACGAGTGTGTGCATTTTAAATCTTTCACCATATTGCCAAACTATTCTCACTAAAGGCTCTAATAATTTATATCTTTACAACTGCACATGGTACAACACTAGCTGTCAGGATCAAAGGTGATTGGATGCAAGACATTTGTGTGCGCTCCTTGTTGGTGGCATTGTGCTTCCAGAACAAGTGATGAGCAGGACTTTTCACCACCAAATCAGTTATGTTTTAACCACTGCAACTAGCAGTAAACATTTGAAGATAAATTCTAAGGCAATTTCAACGTATTTTGTAGAAAGTATTAAGCAGTAAGCTAGAAAATAATTCCTTGTTCACCTCTTCCACTCTTCCAAATGCTATACTGTATTTTAAACCATCACTGTTGTCAAAGGTGTTTGAACCAGAGCGACTCCATCTTGAATAAGGGCTGGGTAAAATGAGGCTGAGACATACCGGGCTGCATTCCTAGGAGGTTAGGCATTCTTAGTCACAGGATGAGATAGGAAGTCAGCACAAGATACAGATCACAAAGACCTTGCTAATAAAACAGGTTGCAGTAAAGAAGCTGGCCAAAACCCACGAAACCAAGATGGTGATGAAAGTGACCTCTGGTCATCCTCACTGCTCATTATGTGCTAATTATAATGCATTAGTATGCTAAAAGGTACTTCCATCAGTGCCATGACAGTTTACAAATGCCATGGCTATGTCAGAAAGTTACCCTATATGGTCTAAAAAAGGAGGGACCCTCAGTTCAGGGAATTGCCCACCTCTTTCCTGGAAAACTCATGAATAATCCACTCCTTGTTTAGCATATAATCAAGAAATAACTGTAACTATAATCAGTTGAGAAGCCTATGCTGCTGCTCTGCCTATGGAGTAGGCATTCTTCTATTCCTTTACTTTCCTAATAAACTTGCTTTCATTTTACTCTATGGACTTGCCCCAAATTCTTTCTTGTGTGACGTCTAAGAACCTTCCCTTGGGGTCTGAATAGAAACCTCTTTCTGATAACACTAAAATTTGGAAAGGAGAAATTTGACAACTGTTCTAGTATTTTTAAAATTTGGTTATTTATTAAGCCATAATTTAAAAAAAAAAGATTTCCAAGCTCACCTGAATCAGTGAAGGGAGCTTTCTGGAAATGTGCATTTTTCTAAACCTTCTTAGACATTCCTTCTGCACAGATGGGAAAATCTCTGTCTAGGCCACACATTGTACTTTGTAGATGAGAAAAACATCTAAAGGACATTTCATAATTTGGCTGACAAATGACTCATTTGACTGGTGAGTGACAAATCTGTGATTAGAAATCATGTTTAAGTCTGTGGACATAGGGTGCCTTCTGGTATTTCACTTTATCTATGATTAGGTCTATGAATTTACCCCCAAAATATGCCTTTTTATTAGTGCTGCAAATACAAGTTACTATTTTATAAACTTAATTTTACTTAGATATAGAAAATGTCATAAAATAGCTAATGTGACTTTAATAACCAATAAAATAGCACTTATCCTAATGTTTTGGGTTTTATAATAATGTATAGGTTCTCTGGTGATGGAAAATAAAGACAAATATTTCAGAACTTTATCCAAAAATAAAGTGTTTCATAACAAATGCCCACTTTCTCTCCAAATAACTCCTATTTAATATTTGTGTTTTCAATTCTTTCAAATATATCTGTGGGGAAGCCTCATTTCTCTGCTAATGGTCTTCAAAGATTTTCTTTCATAGCTAGTCAACTCCAGCTGGAGCACATGGAATGATCCCGGAAGATCAGGCAGGAAGGGGGCAACTGAAGGGCTTTAAAGAGCATCAAATATTTTAAAATTCAACTTCCAAGCCTGAAATCTTTAAGGGTTTCTCTATTCTGGATTACCAAGTAAATTTATTCTCAGTGCCTACTCACTTTTTCTTATTCTTCCTTATCTTCCAGACTTTAAAATATATATGATTCTGGACTGAGTTATATTACTGAGTTAGGTAGGTTCCTAAACAAATACGTATAATTATTGTTTCAAGAAAAGCTGTAAAGTTACATTTAGTCTGGATAAGCAATTTGACCTGTTCGCTTGGGATTACTCAGGTGAAACTCTCTTTTCTACGATATACATCTCATTAATGTTTCAGCATTTTAGGAGCATTTCAATTTTGAGCCAATATTTCCATTACTTCTATCTTTCTCAAAAGATTACTATTCCGAATTGGAATTTCTCATGGTTGACATCATCCTGACAGATTACTGGCTCCTTCTGAGTGATAGGAATGGTAATAAATAGTATTTTTTTTATTTTTTACCTGTGCAAAATATTTCCCTAAAGTTTTTACATGAATTTTACCAAATTTAACTTACTGAAGATACAAAATGTTTTCCTTTATTGAAGTTTAAATTTTTAAAAACAATTACTTTCATTAAAATTGTATCTGTGTGTGTGTGTGTGTGTGTGTGTGTGTGTATGTGTGTGTGTACACAGACAACAATAAGAGAAAGCAATTCTTAGGGAAGCTGGCCCTTTACATATGCATGCTAAGTAATTTCGAATTCCTACATGTAGAATGTGCCTCAAATAAATACATATATGCATATGTATGTTTGTAAGGTAGATAGAGTTAAATAGATTACATAAAAATTGTTCTTGAAATTGAAATGAAATATTTTGAACACCCAAATGGACTCAGGTATATCCGGTTATATGTTGTTCATGCACCTTAAATTCAGCATGTTAAAAATTGAGTCCTACTTGTGGCATCACAACCAAATTTACCTTTTGTATTCTTATTTTTCTGTTAAAAGCATCATTTTTGTTCATCACAGCATCCTCAATACTAGAGAGTCATCAAGACCTGAAGATTTTAACTCGTAAATAACCCTCATTTCTAGGTTTTCACCTTATTGTATTCCAAGGAATATGAATTTTGCAAATAGGTGTTATTTAACATTTTAAAAGGCCAGCATGGTGGCTCATGCCTATGATCCCAGCACTTTGGGAGGCGGAGGCAGAAGGATTGCTTGAGGCCAGGTGTTCGAGACCAGCCTGGGCCACATAATGAGACCTTGTCTCTACAAAACGTTAAAAAATTAGCCAGGCATGGTGGCATATGCCTGTAGTTCTAGCTACTCAGGAAGCTGAGGAGGGAGAATTGCTTGAGCCCAGGAGTTTGAAACTAGCCTGGGCAACGTAGTGAGACCCCATCTCTACAAAAATTTTTTTAAAAATTACCAGACATGGTGCACATACCTGTAGTCCCAGCTACTCAGGAGGCTGAAGCAGGAGAATCACTTGAGCCCATGAGGTTGAGGCTGCAGTAAGCTGTCACCACACCACTGCACTCCAGCCTGGGTGATAAAGTGAGACTCTGTCTCAAGAAAAATTAAAAAAAAAAAAAAAGGAAGAGGAGGAGAAGAAGAAGGAGAAGAAGATGAAGAAGGGAAAGTGGGAGTGGAAGAGAGAGAGGAGGGAGAGGTGAGGGAGAGGGAAGGGGAGAAAGAGGAGACGAGGGGGAAAAGTAGTCTGTGGTAATTTGGAGAATACTGCTTTAAGCAAATTAGACATATTTCTTAATTTCAAGCTTTGATGCAGAAGTCACCATTTTTAAATTCATATGATCGAACGACCATTTTAATGAAAAGTCTCAGGAAACACTGTGTAGTCTATTCCCCTATAAACCCTATCCTCACTACCACTCAAATCCTCATCATCCTTCACTTGGTTTGTGCTGAGACCTGTTTACCCTTAAGCTGTTCCCAGCTAATATCCCCCAGGCCTGGTTCTCATTCCACTCTTCTCAATGCTGTCAGGTTGAACCTTCTGCAATTGAATCTGCACTTAAAATGTCTCCATAGCATCGAAGACAAAGTCCAGATTCCTTAACATGAAAAGCAAGGACCTTCATGGTCTCTGCATCTTTGCTTCTATTCTGGATCCTCTCCCTCTCCCCAGCACTGCTCGAAGCTCCCAGCCCCATAGCCTCACCTAACTCTTCTCTGCACCAGAAATACTCTGTGCTCTTTTATTCTTCTCACATGTTTCCACATGCTGCTCTGTGGTTTCTCCATCCACTGCCTGGCTAACTCATGCTCATTCCTTATGAATTGCCATCCTCATCTTCTCTCAGGGGTAAACACCCTGAATCCCTCCCAGTACTCCCAGATCTGAGGTAGGTGTTCCTTCTCCATGTCACTGTCATGCCACACCCCATTCTCTCCCATAGCATTGATCAATGAGTGACTTTAATGATTGATACACTTATCTTTTCCCCACCAAGGAGTTTGCCATTCACCTTTGTGTCTACAAAGTGTCTAACATCAGTACATGGTCAAAAATGATTAACTAGTAAATTAATTTCAGTAACATCTAATACTCTCAGCATCCGCATCCAAGAATTCCAGTGTCAGTAAACACTGTGGGGACAGGCAGCATAGCCAAGTGAGGGAAGGCTCTGGAGATAAGCTGCTACTTTTTACAGCTCTGCCATTTACCATGTGTGAAGTTTGTGACTTCAGGTTGGTGACCTGACTTATTGGTATCTTACTTTATTTTTTTCTTTTTTTCATGATTTTTAGTTTACAGGTAACATTAGTACTTAACTTTTAATGTATATATAAGAAATAAATTAATTAATAGAATAATACCTGGAACATAGTACTTATTAAATTTTTGGAGTTTCTGCCTCCTTCTGTACTGGATATTGATAGAGAAAGAATGGGAAATATGCATTCCTTCTAAGAACACACACACACACACACACAGACACACACACACACACACACACACACACACACACATACACACACAGTGGCTTAAATAGTTCCCTAGAATTGTATCTTCACTTTTCTTATATGAACTTCCCCTTAGATATTTTTCAGGGCTTCCATTTAATCGTTTTTCCCATGCATGTTGGTTAAAGACACCAATTTCAAATCTTCAGGTGGTTAGGTAGTGGGGCCGCACAGGACTCCAAACTTTATAAAACACTCCAGGTCGATTTTTACTTGAACTAACATTTGAGAATGGCTGCATATCTGTGAATCTGATTTTTAACCATCTCCTCTGCATTTAGTCATTGATCCACCTATGGCTCTGGAAGCTTCTATCTGAATCTGTGTAAGCGTTAGTTCAGAGGCCAAGCAGATGTTTTTCCTTTATCATCCACCCAGCCCAGGATAACACCCCAGGCTCATTACTGTGACCAAGGCTTTTGTTTTCTGGAAACAGATAAAACAAAGTATCCCTAAACTTGTTTTAAATTTTTCAAAATATCCCTTCTTCTCATCAAATTGCATACAAATAAGGCAACTAACACCTCTTTTTTCCCCTAAAATATTTATTTATTATGAAAATAAGATTTAAAAAAAAAGGCTGGGTGCAGTGACTCACGCTTGTAATCCCAGCACTTTGGGAGGCCAAAGCGGGTGGATGGCTTGAGGTCAGGAGTTCGAGACCAGACTGACCAACATGGTGAAACCCCATCTCTACTAAAAACACAAAAATTAGCTGGGCGTGGTGTTGGGCATTGGTAATCTTAGCTAGTTGGGAGGCTGAGGCAGGAGAATCACTTGAACCTGGGAGGCGGAGGTTGCAGTGAGCCGAGATCACGCCACTGCACTCCAGCCTGGGCGACAGAGCGAGACTTCATCTCAAATAAAAAAAGAAAAAGAATTTGAAAATCGTCACTCTGTCACACTTTGCCATCTAGATAAAGAAAACCTGATAGAAACAACATTCTGATTTAGTTAGAAGCACTCCCTGTGATGGGATACTGGCAAAGTTACTCATCTAATTTTGCTCCACAATGTTTTAGACATGGATAACTTGGGGAGATTCCTGACACTGACTAGGATCAATGGAAAGGTCATAGGTCTAGTGTCACTAGATGTAACTGTTTTTCAAGATTTCCCTTGCGATTCAACAATTGACATGCCCAGTAAGAGGTTCCCTTCTGCATTCTAGCCTGGGCGTGGCCTGGTGCATTGGGTTCTGTCGTGTGATGTCTTTTCCTTCAAGAACCACTCTGCTTTCACTTTACAGCAAAGGGTCCACAAGGAGCCTACACAGGGCTCAAAAAGCTTCCTTGTAAATTTCAGGTAAGTATTTAAGGGCCCTTTCCAGTTACTCATTGGCTGATAAATCTGTCAGATGATCAGTTGCTACAACCAAAGGCAAGAGCAAAGTAAGATAAAATTAAAATATGGATTACTTAATTTGGCACAGATCATTGCGTTGTGCCCCAATATCCATTCTTTCCTTTTACAGATTAGTACGACTTCTGATTTATGGCTAGGTATGTAGCTGCCAAGAAACTAGATCATTTCCTTGCTTCTTTTGCAGTTAAATGTAGTCATCTAAGCTCTAGTCAAATAGTCAAATGGTTATGAATGAAAGTGTCATGTGGGGACCTTTTTAATGAGAAAATTGATTTGCCTCTGATTCTTTATTCCATCATATTTCCTGATGGCTTTAAATTGGATGAAATAGCTGGAGCTCTGGTAGGCATTTTGTACAGTGAGGTTAAAATGGAAATGGAAGCTACACATGACAAAGCAACAAGAATAAAGAAGTGTGAGCTTCTTATTTGACAATGCAACAGTGTTGATTTCATCAATGTGAAAGAAAAGTAAATTTCTATTTTGTTAAGGCACTGTTCTTTGGAGAAGTCTTATAATCTGTAGCCAGACCTAATTCTGAATAATACACTTAGGAATTAACAAAATATTTTGGAAAAGAAAAATTACAGCTGACAAAGAAAATAGAGGCCTGGAATAGTAAGAAAGCCTTGCAGATTTTGATATGATAACTAACTGTTAAAGTTCCATAACAGAGGAAAGTAAAGAGAACAAATATTTGTTAATCCCCCACTATGTGTTATACTTGTAAAATATGTTTTATATTCTTTCTCTTTGAAAAGCAAATGCAACTTCTATTACCAAAATGCTTAACAAATTTTAATACTGAAATCAAATATTTATATTGCTATGTAACAAATTTAATGAGTCTAGAATATCATTTTTTGTAATTTTTCTCTAGAATTTGCCTTATATTGCAGCATCACAGAAGCTTCAAAGTGAAAAAAATCTTAATTTTCTCCAGAATGAAAAATTTGATTTAGATAGTACCTAAATGATGAAGTAGCAAACACTGGCTAAAAAAAATTCAGATCAGCTGACTCTAAGTTGTCGTTATATTTCTTCTTATCATTGTATAAAATACTAGGGTAGGAAATAGATATAGAAGCATCTGAGCAACTTGGAAATAACTTTTCATCACATTCATACGGTTTTAATGATATCTATTTCATTTTTGTCCCGTGGCGTGTTTTCCTAGATGCTTAGCTGCTTATGAAGTATCTGCTTCTGCATATCATTATAGCGTTTGTTCCAGGCTTCATAGGTTTGATGTTAATAACAAATGGCAAGTTACTTGAAAAGTCCACAATGCTAAGACTTCTGAATCCCAGGCATGTGAAGTCTAAGAAAACAATGCCTTTAGGTAATTAAAATTTCTCTTAATTAATTGGCCTTTTTTCACTCTTGCCCCTGCAGATTATATTCAACCCAGCAGCCATAGTGATGCTATTCACACTGAATCTCATCATGTCACTCCTCTTCTAAAAATTCTCAAATGGCTCCCAATATCAAAGTTAAATCCAAAATCTACACTAGGCCTGTAAGATCCTATACGGTCAGTGCCCCTCCACACACTGCTCTGCCCTCAGTTTATAGCTTCAGTTTGCTGGCCTCCTCCTCATTCCCTGAACCCAGGAGGCTGACTCCAGGAGCCTTCTATCCATCTGACAGCTCTCCCTCATATACCCTGGTGAAACCCTCCTCTACCTCCTTTGTGATTGTGCTTTAATTCCAAATTCTCAATAAGACAACCACTGTATTTAAAATCCAGTCCTTCACATCCCAGATTTCCATTATCTTTCTCTGTTTTCCTCATAATATTTGAAATGACAAAAAAAAAGTACAAATTAACTCTTATTGTTACTGTTTTTCCCTCCCTCCTAGAAAGTAATTTCCATGAGAACAAAGATGTGTATCTATTTGGTTCCCTGTGAGCCAATTCTTAGAACCATAAGTGCTCAAAATACATTTGTTGCTTATGTATATTCATCCCAAGTCTTAAGCCTGTCTGTGTAGAACCTGATATTACTGAGAAATGTGTTAGAAAAGAAGTTTGAACACATGTTGTACCTAAACCCCTGGGATAGAGATTTCTAATTTTAGCAGACATCTCTTTGTGCTCTAAAATATCTAAAAATTTGAGAATGAGAGCAATTTGTAATTAAATGAAAAGAGATACAGCAGATGCAGCAGAATTGGGTGACTCATTGCTATAATTTCTCTCCCCTTTCTAGAAGTTGTGTTGAATCGACATTCTAAACATCTCTTGAATTTATTTCTTTCAAATCTGAGATCAATGCCTTTGGTCAAGCTGTGCTCAGACTATGTTATATCATACTGCCATAGGCTCGCCTAGGATCTTACTCCTCCTTGAAAATATTTATCCCATCTTATTGGGATCATTGGTCAGTTTCATCCAGCCTTTTAAGGGCTCTCACTGCATCTGTCTTGCTCACCATGTTATCCCTGTTGGCAAGCACAGCTTCTCATACAGAGTGATGAATAAATATTGATTGAATGAAGGAAAATCTTACCTAACTCTTTGCAATAACCTTCCATCTGCTCCCTTTGACTTCAATGTCTCCCCTGTTCCTTCCACCTAAGGACATTGTGCAGCAGTAGCACTTTTCTAAAAAACAAAATGTGTTCATTTCTCTTTCTTGTTACAACCATTTATTACCTACAAGAAGAATCCAAATCCCTTAAATGTCTCTATAATGTGATTCCAGACTCCCTTTATGGCTTTCTCTCTAGTGATTCATTCTACATTCCTTATATTTTGGTCACAGCCCAAGCACCATTTCTTAAATAATGTCTATATCTTCATACCAAAATGTTTTTACACATACTGTTTTCTCTGTTTGGAAGGCAGTCTAGTTATCTTCTAACTACTTTGGTTTTGCAGAGATTTGGGGATTGACTGATAACATTAGAACAATAAAAAACTCACTCTTTCTCCTTCCACCTGCCCATGATGCCATGTATGACAATTCTTATAATACACCTGGGAGCTTATGTTTTACAGCTAGTGAATGTGGGTTGAATAAAGCAAAGCCAGGAAGAGAAAATTCCCACCCTACTGCCACGTCTTAGTTTTGAACTCCTATGGAGAAGAAGGGAGGTTAGGATCATATTTGCTTGAATGATTCCTGAGAAAATTTGTAAGGCATTGGTGATATAGTTTGGAAATTTTTCCCCACCCAAATCTCATGTTGAAATGTGATCCCTGATATTGAAGGTAGGCATGGTGGGAGGTGTTTGGATTATGGAGATGGATCCCTCATGAATGGCTTGGGCCATCTACTTGGTGATAAGTGAGCCTTGCTCTGCATTCACACAAGATCTAGTTGTTTAAAAGTGTGTGGCACCTCCCCTCTTTTCTTGCTCCTATTCTTGCCATATGATGTGACTGCTCCCCATTTGCATTCCGCCATGATTGAAGACTTCCTGAGGCCTCCCTAGAAGCAAATGCCGCTTTGCTTCCTGCACAGCCTGCAAAATCATGAGCCAATTAAATCTGTTTTCTTACAAATTACCGAGTCTCAGGTGTTACAGGAAGGGGGTCCCAATCAAGAGACAGTTTTGGATCTCACACAAGAAAGAATTCAGGGCGAGTCTGCAGAGTAAAGTGAATGCAAGTTTATTAAGAAAGTAAAAAAAATAAAAGAATGACTCTATAGACAGAGCAGCCCCCGAGCACTTCTGGTTGCTCAGTTTTATGGTTATTTCTTGATGATATGCTAAACAAGGGGTGGATTATTCATGACTCTGCTTTCTAGACCACATAGGGTAACTTCGTAATGTTGCCATGGCATTTGTAAACTGTCATGGCACTGGTGGGAGTGTAGCATTGAGAACCACCAGAGGTCACTCTCGTGGCCATCTTGGTTTTTGTGGGTTTTAGCTGGCTTCTTTACCTCAACCTGTTTTATAAGCAAGGTCTTTATGAACCGTTTTTTTGTGCTGACCTCCTTTCTCACCCTGTGACTTAGAATGCCTTAACCATCTAGGAATGCAGCCCAGTAAATTTCAACTTCATTTACCCAGCTCCTACTCAAGATGGAGTTGCTCTGGTTCACACACACAGAAAATTTGGAAGCAGCTTTGGAACTGAGTAAAAGGCAGAGGTTGGAGGAGTTTGGAGGGCTCAGAAGAAGACAGAAAGATTAGGGAAAGTTTGGAACTTCTTAGAGACTGTTAAATGGTTGTGTCCAAAATGCTGGTAGTAATATGGACAGTGAAGTCCGGGATGATGAGGTCTTGGATGGAAATGAGGAACTTATTGTGAACTAAAGTAAAGATCACATGTGTTATGCCTTAGCAAAGAGTTTGGCTGTGTTCTGTTTATACCCTAGAGCTCTGTGGAAGTTTGAACTTCAGTGTGATGATTTAGGGTATCTAAAAGAAGAAATTGCTAAGCAGCAAGGTGTTCAAGAGTGGTGTGCCTGCTATTAACAGCCTATGGTCAGATGTAGAACAAAGAATTGACTTAAAGTTGGAAACTATATTTAACCAGGAAGCAGAGTAAAACTTTGAACAATTTTCAACCTGACCATGTGGCAGAGAAGGAAAAAGGTTTTTAGGGAAAGGAATTCAAGCTGGCTGTGGAGCAACCACTTGCTAGAGATATTGGCGTAACTAAAAGAGGACCAAGTGCTAATATCCAAGACAATGGAAAAAAAAAGACCCAGAAAGCATTTCGGAGATCTCAGAGGCGGTACCTCCCATCACAGACCCGGAAGCCTAGAGGAAAAGAATGGCTTCTTGAGCCAGGCCCAGGACCCCATTCCCGTGTGCAGCCTTGGGACACTGGTTCCCACATCATAGTTGCTCCACCTCCAGAACGGGTTTAAAGGTGCCCAGGTACAGCCTGAGCTACCACTTTGGAGAATGCAAGCCTTAAGCCTTGGCATCTTCCAAGTGGTATTAAGCCTGCAGGTGCACAGAGTGCAGGAGTTAAGGAGGCTTGTCCTCCACCTAGATTTCAGAGGGGATATGGAAAAGCCTAGGTGTCCAGGAGGAAGCCTGTTGTAGAAGCAGAGCCCTCACAGAGAGCAGAGGCAGTGTTGAGGGCAATTGTGGGATTGGAGGCCCCACACAGAGTCCCCACTGAGGCACCTCCTAGTAGAGCTGTGAGAAAGTGGCCACCATCCTCCAGACCTGAGAATGGTGGGTCCACAGGCAGCTTGCACCATCAGCATGAAAAGCCGCAGGCACTCGGCTCCAACCCATGAGAGAACCTGTCGGGGCTGCACTCTACAAAGCCACAGGGGTGGGGCTGCCCAAGGCCTTGGGGCCCACCCTTCACACCAGAGTGCCCAGGATGTGGGACATAATGTCAAAGGAGATTGTTTTGGAGCTCTAAGATTTAAGGACTGTCCTGCTGTATTTCAAATTTGTATGGGACCCATAGTTCCTTTCTTATAGCCAATTTCTCCCTTTTGGAACAGAAATGTTTACCCAATGCCTGAACTCCCACTTTATCTTGGAAGTAAATATTTTGCTTTTGATTTTACAGGTTTATAGGTGAGAGAGATGTTCTTTGTCTAAGATGAGACTTTGGGTTAATGCTGAAACGATTTAAGACTTTGGAGAAATGTTGGAAAGACATGATTTTATTTTGTAATGTGAGAAGGACATGAGATTTGGGGAGGGGGACAAGGTGAAATAAGAATATAGTTTGGATTTGTATACTCACCCAAATCCCCTGTTGAAAAGTAATTCTCCATGTTGGAGGTAGGGTCTGGTGGGAGGTGTTTGGATCATGGGGGCAGGTCCCTCATGAATGGCTTGGCCATCCCCTTGGTGATAAGTGAGCTCTTGCTCTGAGTTTCCATGAGGTCTGGTCATTTAAAATTGTGTGGGACCTCCCCCTACACTCTCTTTTGCTCCCATTCCCACCATGTGATGTGCTTGCTCCCCCTTTGCCTTCTGCTATGATTGGAAGCTTTCTGAGCCCTCCCCAGAATCTGCCATGCTCTTTTTTTCTTGAAAGACAGTCTCCCTCTGTCACCCAGGCTGGAGGAGTACAGTGGTGCAATCTTGGCTCACAGCAATTTCCACTTCCGTGGCTCAAGCAATCCTCCCATCTCAGCCTCCCACATAGCTGGGACCATAGGTGTGTGCCACCACACCTGGCTAATTTTTATATTTTTGTAGAGACAACAGGGTTTCACCATGTTCCCCAGGCTGGTCTTGAACTCCTGAGCTCAAGTGATTCATCCACCTTGGCCTCCCAAAATGTTGGGAATACAGGCATGAGCCACTGCACCCAGCTTGCTATGCTTCCTATACAGCCTGCACAACCATAAGCCAATTAGATCTCTTTTCTTACAAATTACCCAGTCTCAGGTATTTCATTATAGCAGTGCAAGAACAGCCTAACACCACTGGTAAATGCATAGCTTTGATCCTACATGCCAGAGAGAATAGATAGCCCATCATCCCCATCTGGCATGTCACATAAGCTTCCTCTCCACATGTGCATTTATGTTCTCCATCATCAGGTTCAGCAGTAAATATTCACATAGTGGCATTCCAAATGGAGACTGAGACAAGGATTAGAAAAGCAAGCTAAGGCAGGACAAATGTTTCAGCATGACTGTAACTAACAGAAGAGTATCAGGGGATGTGTGAGACCTATTTCTTGGGACATCAAAAATGACCTTACAACCTAAAACAGTTGAATGTCTGATAATCATCTGGATATTCTGACAGGGAAAAAGGTGACAGGTACTCTGTCACTTTGATATAAATACAAAATGGCGGCATATTGTAATGACAGGCTTGTCAGGCCAGGGCATTTAGAAAATAAAGACACTCATTTAAGTGTTACAGAAAATCTTCCCTGTCACAACCATGATCTGTCTTTGCAAAATGCTTTTTATATGCCACTGTTTTAGTCCTAGACTCTAGGCACACTGGCTTCCTTGCTGTTCCCAGACAAGAAACCCTGTACGCTCAAGGCCCTTGCACGTGCTGTCATTTTTGCCTTAAACTTTCTTTCCCTCAAGGAGCTGCGTCATTGGCTCCCTTGCTTCCTTCAAGTATTTATTTAAAAGGCATCTAAACTGAGCACAGTTGTTCATGCCTGTAATCCCAGTACTTTGGGAAGCCGACGTGGGCAGATTGCTGGAGCCCAGGAGTTCAAGACCAGCGTGTGCAACATGGTGAAACCCCATTTCTACAAAGTTTAAAAAATTTGCTGGGCATGGTGGTGCATGCCTGTAGTCCTAGCTATTTGAGAGGCTGAGGTGGGAGGATTGCTTTAGGCTGGGATATTGAGGCTGCAATGAGCTGTGATTGAGCCACTGAACTCCAGCCTGAGCAACAGAGTGAGACTCTGTCTCACTCTGTCTCAGAAAAAGAAAAAAAATAAATCATTAACAAAAAAAGCATCTAAGTGAGGCCTTTTCTAACCACCTGCCTAAAATTTTCATACTCTATTGTATTTCCATACTTTTTTTTCCCTCATAGAATTGAAGCTCCATTGACAGCAGAGATTACTTGTTTCTGTTTTGTCTCAGTGCCACATCCCCAGTGGCTAGAACAGTATCTGGCACATAGGACATACTCTACAAATGTTCCTTGAATAAAGGAAGAATCTGTGTATGTCCATTTGGTCAACTAAGCAATGAGCCTCTTTTAGATGAAAATGGGGAGGTGATGGCTCATTTACTTCTCATCCATCCGCCTACCATAGCCATTGCACACAGCACACCATGATGAATGTTTGGTCTTTGGGGCTGCTTTGTCTCAATGAAATCCTTATCAGGACCCTGCAACTTTCTTCATTGTGTAGACTGTTTTTCTGTCCTGACACTTTGTACAATTATAAGTGTCCTCTTTGATTTTTCATTAAGCTTTTGAAGTACTGAGTGTGTGAGGAGGAAATTATTATCCTAATTTCACAACCATAGAGATTAAGGCACATGAGAAATGAGACCCATATTTAAGTCAGTGACATGGTCAGGATTATAATTCAAAATGTACTTGTTGCAGGATCCCCTGAGTCATATCTTTCCAATGCATTACCCCTGGATAAATATGCTAGAGGAGAAATAGATCCTTTTGTTTTCATTAGGGAATCTATTTGTTGACATTTGTCTTTTCAGAGACACAAGGAATGTGTATGTGCTTTTTCCCTTCAAGCTAAAGAAAAGAAAAAAAATTATTATCACTAGATATCTTTGAAAATTAAGTACATTTAAGAGGGCAATCAATATCTAGGTGTCATTTCCTTAATTCAAATTACCGCAAGTCATAAAAAGAAAATAAAATACTCTTAGGGACAAACTTAGTTCAAAATTTTGGAGGCATGCTTCAAAATTTCCTTACAAAGAGAAATATAGAAATTAGAACTATAACTCTTTGAAAGAGCCTAAAAATTTAGCACCCATTTCAGACATCTATGTGTGAGTCTACTCAGAAATCTTTCTTAAGTAAATATTTGTGAATAAACATTCAAATTTCTGTCTGAATATAAGATATTTATTTATAAGGTAGGAGTCTTTTTCCTGTGTGCTGTTGTTGTAGGATGGTGGATGGAAGAAACAGGAGATGAATTGAAGTCAAAGAGAACAGATGGGAGACTATTGCAAAGGTTTAGATAAGGATTTCATTCACTCCATCAATTTTTATTCATCATTCACTCTGTGTAAGGAACAGTACTTGCCAAAAGGGATATTTCGGTGGGCAAGACAGACCTAGCTGGGCTGTTGGAGGACTTGGTGAAGCTGACGAGGGATTCTAATAAGAAATGATGGATACGGCACAAGGAAGAGGAAGGTACTATGAGGATATATGGTCATGTGATCTAATATAATCTAATATGCTTTGACCAAAAGCAATGGTCCGAGACTTGAGAACAAGAAATAAATATGAGAAATGTTTAGAATGTAAAACCAACACAATCTCTAGAGAGGGGAGAGGAGGCTAGGTCTTACAGGAGTGTGGGAGAGGAATGTAGAGAGATGAATGCTTCTCCTTAACATTATAAGGAATATCCTGGATAGCCTCACCACCCCTAACTTGCATTACTCCTCCTTCTTATGTATTTTCCAACAATAAGCAACTTGGTCTATGTAGAAACCCACATCTACATCACTTTACTCGTCTTCCTCTTACTGGGCCGCATCTCCATTTTCTTCTCCTGGCTACATCTTACCAGTCAAAGATTCATCTGAGCTATTACAACCTTCTAGACATTTCTCCAAGTCAGATAAGGGATAGAGGATATATATATAGAGAGGTGTTGGAGCTGTAATGTGACATTTTCTAGCCTCAGTTCCTTTCCTTGTGCTGTTGTGACTTTTCATGGTCATTTCCTATCCTACTGAATCTACTTCCTTTGTGAAAAATAGAAGAGGATTAATTCCTGGGTCAATCAACAAAACCATTCACATATTCCTAGAGTTGCTGCTATACTAGAATCATTAAGCTCTGGGTTGTGAGTGTTTCAAGCACTACCAAGACATGGCACTTAATGTCAATTAGGAAAAACTGACAAAGTTGGCATCTTAAATGTTTATTCAGTAACTTTATAGCAAGTAATTCTACTTGAGTAAAGAGGGTAAAATGTAAAAGTTTGCAAATAAAAAAGTTAATATACAATTAACAGCTCAATATGACAAGTTACACTTACATAATTTAAAACTAAACCCCAATGAATTCGTAATTTTTCTTAAATGTCTACTTTCTGACATACTTAAGCTTTCTTGATTAAAATAAAATATTCAGGAGAACTTTCCTAATTTTTGATATTTTTTATGAAATGTAAGTGAACACTTTAAAGTCTCAAAACAATAAAACGGTTATTTACACACATGCATACAACTATATACAAAGAAAAGCAAACCAAACCAAACCTCTTGTAACTTCACTTTTTATTTGCTACTTTTAAGTGTGATTCATATAAGATTTACATAGGCTAATAATGTTACAAAAATCTGGGCTAAAACCACATATGGACTAATCAGCTTCAATATACGTGAAAAGTAATTATGAAATTAAGCGGGTGATACTAGGGCAATTGTATTGAAAAGGTATATAGCATTCATAGAGTTTTGCCTCACAATATTCTTGTGTAGATTAGAAATAAACCAGCTAATGGTTTATATTCTGTTCATAGTGGTAACTTTCATGCGCGTCCGTGTAAAGAGACCACCCAACAGACTTTGTGTGAGCAATAAAGCTTTTAATCACCTGGGTGCAGGCAGGCTGAGTCTGAAAAGAGAGTCAGTGAAGAGAGATAGGGGTGGGGCCATTTTATAAGATTTGTGTAGGTAAAGGAAAATTACAGTCAAAGGGGGGTTGTTCTCTGGCAGGCAGGAGTGGGGGTCACAAGGTGCTCAGTAGGGGAGCTTTTGAGCCAGGATGAGCCAGGAGAAGGAATTTCACAAGACAATGTCATCAGTTAGGGCAGGAACAGGCCATTTTCACTTCTTTTGTGGTGGAATGTCATCAGTTAAGGCAGGAACCGGCCATCTGGATGTGTACGTGCAGGTCACAGGGGATATGATGGCTTAGCTTGGGCTCAGATGCCTGACATTCCTGTCTTCTTATATTAATAAGAAAAATAAGATGAAATAGTGGTAAAGGGTTGGGATGGCGAAAATTTTGGGGGTGGTATGGAGAGATAATGGGCGATGTTTCTCAGGGCTGCTTCGAGCGGGATTAGGGGTGACGTGGGAACCTAGAGTGGGAGAGATTAAGCTGAAAGAAGATTTTGTGGTAAGGGGTGATATTGTGGAGTTGTTAGAAGAAACATTTGTCGTGTAGAACTATTGGTGATGGCCTGGATATGGTTTTGTATGAATTGAAAAACTAAATGGAATAAGAGAAGGAGAAAAACAGGTATAAAAGGTCTAAGAATTGGGATGACTCAGGACATCTGATAGAGAGTGCCTAAGGAGATTCAGCATAGTCCTGCCAGCAAAGATTATTTATTTACTTCAGAGTGGCAGTTTGGCGATAGCACCAGGAGATATCAGCTGTGATGACTTGGAGAAACAGTGTAAACCGGCAGTGTAAACAAGAGCAGGGCATGTATGAGTAGTTGAGAACGTTGAATAGGAGTATGACTAGACAGAAGATAGTAGGGATGACAAGTTTTTTTGGGGCACAGTCTAAGTTGGTCTGGTGTCTGGAATGAGACTGGGGCCTAATAAAAAGGAGCGTCTATACAGGAGCTCAAATGGGCTGTACCTTGTAGCATTCTGAGGACATGTCTGACTTCTGAGAAGGGAAAGTCTTAAAAGTATTGTCCAGTCCTTTTTAAGTTGGTGGCTGAGCTTGGTGAGGTGTGTTTTTAAAAGACCTTTAGTCCGTTCTACTTTTCCTGAAGATGGAGGACCGTAAGGGATATAAAGGTTTCACTGAATACTAAGAGCCTGAAAAACTGCTTGGCTGATTTGACTAATAAAGGCTGGTCTGTTATCAGACTGTATAGAGGTGGGAAGGCTAAACTGAGGAATTATGTCTGACAGAAGGGAAGAAATGACTGCAGTGGCCTTCTCAGACCCTGTAGGAAAGGTCTGTACCTATCCAGTGAAAATGTCTACCTAGACTAAGAGGTATTTTAGTTATCTGACTCGGGGCATGTTGAGTAAAGCTAATTTGCCAGTCCTGGGTGGGGGCAAATCCTTCAGCTTGATGTGTAGGGAAGGGAGGGGGCCTGAATAAGCCCTGAGGAGTAGTAGAATAGCAGATGGAACACTGAGAAGTTATTTCCTTGGGGATAGATTTCCATGATGGAAAGGAAATGAGAGGTTCTAAGAGGTGGGCTAGTGCCTTGTACTATAGCATAGCCTGCCTTTGCTGGTGTGTGGCGATTAGGCCTGGTGGAACCGCCATCAATAAATCAAGCGTGATCAGGGTGAGGAATAGGAAAGAAGGAAATATGGGGAAATGGGATGAATGTCAGGTGGATCAGAGAGAGACAGTCATGGGGGTCAGGTGTGGTATCAGGAATAATGTGGGAGGCCGGATTGAAGTCCCGGCCAGGAACAATGGTAATTGTGGGACTTAACAAAGAGTGACTACAGCTGAAGTATCCGGGGAGCAGAAAGTATTTGCGTCAGGTATGAGGAAGAAAATAGATTTTGGAAGTTATGAGAAATGTAGAGAGTAAGTTGAGCATAGTTTGTGATTTTGAGGGCCTCTAAAAGTATTAGGGCGGCAGCAGCCACTGCATGGAGACATGATGGCTAGGCTAAAACAGTAAGGTCAAGTTGTTTGCACAGAAAAGCTACAGGGTGCGGTCCTGGCTCTTGTGTAAGAATTCTGACCGTGCTAACCATGCCTAGGAAGGAAAGGAGTTGTTGTTTTGTAAGGGATTGAGGTTTGGGAGATTAATTGGACATGATCAGCAGGGAAAGCAGGTGTGTTTTTATGAGAATTATGCCGAGATAGGTAACAGATGAGGATGAAATTTGGGCTTGACTGAAGTAATGGGGGCCATCTGTGAAGCCTTGCGGCAGTACAGCCCAGGTGATTTTCTGAGCCTAATGGGTGTCAGGGTCAGTCCAAGTGAATGCGAAGACAGGCTGGGATGACGAGTGCAAAGGAATAGTAAAGAAAGCATGTTTGAGATCCAGAACAGAATAATGGATTGTGGAGGGAGGTATTGAGGATAGGAGAGTATATGGGTTTGGCACCATGGGGTGGATAGGCAAAACAATTTGGTTGATAAGGCATAGATCCTGAACTAACTTGTAAGGCTTGCCTGGTTTTAGGACAGGTAAAATGGGGGAATTGTAAGGAGAGTTTATAGGCTTTAAAAGGCCATGCTATAGCAGGTGAGTGATAGCAGGCTTTAATCCTTTCAAAGCATGCCGTGGGATGGGATATTGGCATTGAGTAGGGTAAGGGTGATTAGGTTTTAATGAGATGGTAAGGGGTGCATGATCGGTCGCCAAGGAGGGAGTAGAGGTATCTTATACTTGTGGGTTAAGGTGGGGGAATACAAGAGGAGGACGCAAAGGAGGCTTTGGATTGGGAAGAAGGGCAGCAATGAGATGTAGCTGTAATCCAGGAATAGTCAGGGAAGCAGATAATTTAGTTAAAGTGTCTTGGCCTAATAAGGAACTGGGCAGGTGGGGATAACTAAAAGGAGTGCTTAAAAGAGTATTGTCTAAGTTGGCACCAGAGTTGAGGAGTTTTAAGAGGTTTAGAAGCATGGCTGTCAATATCCACAACAGTTATGGAGGCAAGGGAAACAGGCCTTTGAAAAGAAGGTAATGCGGAGTGGGTAGCCTCCGTATTGATTAAGAAGGGGACGGACTTACCCTCCACTGTGAGAGTTACCTAAAGCTCGGCGTCCGTGATGGTCTACGGGGCTTCCGAGGCGATCAGGCAGCGTCAGTCTTCAGCCGCTAAGCCGAGAAGGACTCAGTCAGAGAGCCTTGGGCCAGAGTTCCAGGGGCTCTGGGAGTGGCTGCCAGGTGAGTTGAACAGTCCGATTTCCAGTGGGTTCCCGCACAGATGGGACGCGGCTTAGGAGGAATCCTGGGCTGCAGGCATTCCTTGGCCTGGTGGTCAGATTTCTGGCACTTGTAGCAAGCTCCTGGGGGAGGAGGTTCAGGAGGAATGCCTGGCCGCTGCAGTTCAGGCGTTTGGAAGTTCTTGTATGCTGGAGATGTGGCTGGGATTTGTCTCACAGTGGAGGCAAGGAATTGCAACTTCTTTCTATTATTGTACACCTTGAAGGCGAGGTTAATTAAATCCTGTTGTGGGGTTTGAGGGCCAGAATTTAATTTTTGGAGTTTTATTTAATGTCGGGAGCAGATTGGGTAATAAAATGTATATTGAGAATAAGACGGCCTTTTGACCTTTTAGGGTCTAGGGCTGTAAAGCGTCTCAGGGTTGCTGCCGAGCGAGCCATGAACTGGGCTGGGTTTTTTATATTTGATGAAAAAGAGCCTAAACGCTATCTGATTTGGGATAAAGAAAAAGGAGCATTAACCTTGACTATGCCTTTAGCTCCAGCCACCTTTTTAAGAGTAAATTGCTGGGCAGGTGGGGGAGGGCTAGTCATGGAAGGAAACTGTAAGCCAGACCGGGTGTGAGGAGGGGAGGTGATAAAAGGATTATAGGGTGGAGGAGCAGAGGCTGGGGAAGAATTGGGACCTAGCTCGGCCTGGCGAGGAGCAGCCTGGGGAGGAGGGGAGAGGTTAGATGGGTCTGTAGAAAAGGAAGATTAGAAAGACTCAGCAACACTTGGGGTTGGGACTGAGGGGACAGGTGGGAGGTAAAGAAGGAAGATTTGGGATGAGTTGCACTGGGAACAGAGACTAGAGAGGGACCGATGTGTAAAAGAATGCCTGGATGTGAGGCACCTCAGACCGTTTGCCTATTTTACGACAAGAATTATTTAGATCTTGCAGGATGGAAAAATTGAAAGTGCCGTTTTCTGGCTATTTGGAACTACTGTCGAGTTTGTATTGGGGTCAAGCAGCATTGCAGAAGAAAATAAGATGCTTAGATTTTAGGTCAGGTGAGAGTTGAAGAGGTTTTAAGTTCTTAAGAATACAGGCTAAGGGAGAAGAAGGAGGGATTGAGGGTGGAAGATTGCTCATAGTGAAGCCCAGAGAAAAGATAGTAGAGACTCAGAGGGAAGGGGTTCGGGGGTTCTTACCCTCCAGAAAAGCGGGAAAGGGGTCGGGGCACAGAGATATGAGGTCAGGGCGCGGAAGTAAGGGATTGGGGTGCAGAGATATAAGAGGTTGGGGTGCGGAAATAAGGGATCAGGGCGCAGAGATATGAGGTTGGGGCATGGAAATAAGGGATCGGGGCACAGAGATATAAGAGGTTGGGGTGCGGAAATAAGGGATCGGGGTGCAGAGATATAAGGGGTTGGGGTACTTGTCCCTCCCCCAGAAAAGTGGTACTTGCCGCTAAAGGTGAAGGAGAAGGGGTTGGGGGTTTCTTGCCCCCTAGAAAGAGAAGGGGTAGAGACACGGAGAGAAGGGATTGGGGTACTTGCCCCTTCCCCAGAAAAGCGGGACTTGCCGCTAAGGGTGAAGGACCAAGGCAGGCATCCCTGTGTGGTCTGACACCTCTGAAACCTGGGTAAATAATCAGAGAGGCATCCCTGCAATGATTAAACACCAAGGGAAGGCTGCCTTCCCTAGTCCGTGACCGGCTCCGGAGTTTTGGGTCCACAGATAAAATGTGTCTCCTTTGTCTCTACCAGAAAATGAAAGGAATTGAAATTAAGAGAAGGAAGAGATTGAAGAGTGGAAAGAAGAAAGTGGTTGAGGGACAGTGAGAGAGGTTCGAGAAGAGAGTAAGAAGAGGCCGCTTACCCAATTTAAAATTGCTGCTATGTTCCTTGGGCTGGTTGGTCTGAGGACCTGAGGTCATAGGTGGATCTTTCTCACTGAGCAAAGAACAGGAGGACAGGGGATTGATCTCCCAAGGGAGGTCCCCTGATCTGAGTCACAGCACCAAATTTCATGCGCATCCGTGTAAAGAGACCACCAAACAGACTTTGTGTGAGCAATAAAGCTTTTAATCACCTGGGTGCAGGCAGGCTGAGTCTGAAAAGAGAGTCAGTGAAGAGAGATAGGGGTGGGGCCATTTTATAAGATTTGGATAGGTAAAGGAAAATTACAGTCAAAGGGGGGTTGTTCTCTGGCAGGCAGGAGTGGGGTCACAAGGTGCTCAGTAGGGGAGCTTTTGAGCCAGGATGAGCCAGGAGAAGGAATTTCACAAGACAATGTCATCAGTTAAGGCAGGAACAGGCCATTTTCACTTCTTTTGTGGTGGAATGTCATCAGTTAAGGCAGGAACCGGCCATCTGGATGTGTACGTGCAGGTCACAGGGGATGTGATGGCTTAGCTTGGGCTCAGAGGCCTGACAGTTACTTTGGTCATTTCTAGCTGATTCTCCAGGAACAATTTAAAAAAGGATTAGTTTTGCTAGTATTTATTGCTGATTTTTTTATTCTCCCTAAAACAAACCTGCTTTGGCTTACACATAATCATAAAATGTCTTTTATACTTTTATTATAACCAATTTACTACCCCATTTAGCAAAATCTAAATTTGGCCTAAAATTTTAAAACTTCTCAAATTATAAATAAAGCAAATTTGAAACTGAGTTTTCAATTTTTTAAATCAAAAAATTTGGGGGAGGGGGAGTGGAGGGGTAGATTTTATATATATAATAGTGCAGAAATTCAGGGGGAAAATGAAATAACTCAAATTTGACTTGCACTTGGAGAAACACTTTTCTTGAATTTTCTGCTTTTGGTTGAATACTGATCCTCTTGATCATTGGGAAGAACATTTAGATCTGTGAATATACTCCACATTTTCTCTTTCTTTTGGTCTGCAGTGAAGTCCCTGTCTTTCACCCAGAATACTCTCCTCTGGCCTGTTTTCTTCAATTATCTTCTCTTGTCCTGTGTCAAGCTTGTTCTTATTTATCTCTTAGATACCCTGTGCATCAATACTTTGCCCGTAAGGTCTTCACTGGCTGCCAGGTTTTGGACACCTTTAAATTCTCCATCAAAACACTTGTTCACGGATTGACTTGGCCATTTTCATGCTGGCCTCCACAGCTAGTATCTAAGTTTGAGAAACCAAGCCCCTTGACCATAGTAGTAACCACTGCATCTCTACCATTTATTGAGCTGAGTCCCTGTAGGTAGTAAGTGCTCAGCAAATAGCTGATGACAAACAAAGATGTTAATACTTGATTTTCATCTCATTTGAAATGCCAACTATCTTTCATAATAAACACACTTGTGCTTTCAGTGGACTTTTAACAACTTTCTTTCATGAGAATAGATTCCTCCTGCTTCCATCTTTGAGTCTTAGCTAGATTCACCCGCAAGTGGAATTGAGAATAAAGTAGAATTTTTCTTTTTATATTATAATTTCTTTATCCTAGTGTTGCATTTTTTACTACTTCCCAGGACTACTTACTTATCCTACTCTACTTTGCCTTACTCCCACATTCATCCCTAACAATGCTGTCTTCTGGCTGGGTGCGGTGGCTCATGACTGTAATCTCAGCACTTTGGAAGGCCAAGGCAGGTGGATCACTTGAGGCCAAGAGCTCGAGACCAGCCTAGGCAACATGGAGAAACCCTGTCTCTACAAAAAAATACAAAAATTATCCAGGTGTGGTGGTGTGCGCCTGCAGCCCCAGCTACACAGGAGGCTGAGGTGGGAGGATCACTTGAACTCAGGAGGCAGAGGTTGCAGTGAGCTGAGATCGCACCACTGCACTCCAGCCTGTGCAATCGAGCAAGACTCTATCTCAAAAACAAAAATCACAAAACTCTTGTGTTTCCTGTATTTCTCAGAGTCTGAATAGAATATTGATTATCTCACCTGTGACCTGCGTAGTAGCTATCAGGAATTGAGAAAAGGGGAAATATTTTTCGAAGAAAAGCAAGCCAATTATTTCCAATGATGGCTTCCCCATTTCTCAATTCTGGTCCTTTGACTATTTATTTAACCTCTATAAACTTACTCTCTCTATATAAAATAGGTATAATTAAACATCTTCAATGAGATTGCTGTGAAGATTAAATAGGTATATATGTGAATTATCTATACCAATTCATCTATTATAGTAGATGATTGTTAGATACAATGATTTTTGTTATTAACTCTATCACAAGCTAGAAAAGAATATTACATTAATATCACCTGTAAATTTGTATTAAAAAGTACAACAATATATTTTCAAAATTAAGTGGCTGAATAGATTAATTCAGTCAAATAGGGCTTTTGAGAGTCTTAAAATGAGCTCACATTTATTGACACATACTTTATTCCTTATTTTTTTGACAATATTATATGCTCTTCTTTCAGTAGCACTCTTTCAACATTGTACCCATTGCTTATCTAATTTCTACCTTCTAGTTTCCTTCTATTGCCACATAAGAGAGACAGTTGAAAGAATATATTTTTACTTGAAGTTAAAGAGGTTGTAGAATAAAATGATATTCCATAACGGCAAACTTGCTGTAAGCACAATACACCAAAGAAGAATTAAATAGGCAGAATTCAATAGTACATTTGAAGGATTCAAACGAGAATGCATACCATTCTTTACTTCTTGCCTTACAAATGTGGATGAGTATGCTGGCATCATTAGAAGAAGCCTCCAAATCTATTATTTTAATTATGATATAAAATATAATTTACTTTTTGCAGAGAAATGGTAAATAAAATGTATTTAATCCTGCAATTATTTATAAAGTAAAAATTTTTGTCATATTACTCCTTTTCCAGAAAATTAACAGTATTACCTAAAGAGCACCTCAGATTTATAATTTTTGAAGAGGTTTTATGTTTTAAATTAATTACTTTTTTGAATATGAAATACATATAGAATAATCATCATACATAGATATAGATAGAATAAATATTAAAATAAAAAAAGATTGTTACACTGGATTTAGAAAAATGAACATCTGAACTATAGCATATATTGACATACTTTACATATAATTATACAGAAATGTCAAAAGGAAAAGGAAAAAAAATGTATGTACTACCAAGCAAATAACAACCAAAAGGAAGTTAAGTAACTATACTATTCGAAGAATAGTATCAAAGAATGTAGAATTTAATGCAAGATAATCGCTAAGAAACAACTTTTCATAACAATTAAGACATCAATCAATCTATGTGCATGCACCTAAGAACATAACTTCAATAAATGTATGAGTTGACAAAACAAAAAGAAGGTAGTAAGAATAATGAAGATATAAATAATATGATTAACATATTTTACCTGAAACTACTATGCTGTAAATCAATAGATTATATATTATTTCAGTTATCCCTAAAACTTTACTAATACTGATCCTATGCTGAGCCATAAAACAGTTCTCAAAAAAGCTCCAAAAAATTAAAAATAGCCAGGTGCAGTGGCTCACACCTGTAAACCTAGAACTTTGGGAGGCCCAGGCAGGAGGATCACTTGAGTCCAGGGGTTCGAGATCAGCCTGAGCAACATAGGGAGACCCCCCATTTCTACAAAAACTACAAGAAATTAGCCAGGTGTGATGGATCATGCCTGTAGTCCCAGCTACACAGGAGGCTGAGGTGGGAGGATCACCTAAGCCCAGGAGTTCAAGGCTACAGTGAGTTGTGATTGTGCCACTGCACAGCAGCCTGAGTGACAGAGTGAGACCCTGTCTCGAAAGAAAGAGAAAGGAAAGAAAGAGAAAAAGAGAGAGAAAGAAATAAAAGAAAGAAAGAAAGGAAAGAAAGAAAGAGAAAGAGAGAAAGAGAAAGGGAGGAGGGGAGGAAGGGAGGAAGGAAGGGAGGAAGGGAGGAAGGGAAGGTAATTTAGAACATCTCTGACCACGAAGGAATTAAACTAGAACTCAGTAAAACAAGACAAATAGAAAGCATTTCAGATATCTTGAAATTACACAGTACACATCTATATAACACCTGGGACAAAAGGAAATTAGAAAATATTAAATTGAATAACAATGAAAATGCAACTAACCCCATGTTTGCCAAGAAATATATAACCTAAAAGGCTTTTTTTTTCTTTTTTCTTTTTTTTTTTTTTTTTTTTGAGACAGGGTCTCACTCTGTCACCCAGTCTGGAGTGCAGTGTCCTGATCTCGGCTCTCTGCAACCTCTGCCTCCCAAGTTCAAGGAATTCTCCCACTTCAGCCTCCTGACTAGCTGGGACTACAGGCATGTACCACCATGCCTGGCTAATTTGTTGTATTTTATGGTAGAGAAGGGGTTTCACCATGTAGGCCAGGCTGGTCTTGAACTCCTGACATCAAGTGACCTGTCCGCCTCAGCCCCCTGAAGTGTTGGGATTGCAGGTGTGAGCCACTGTGCCTGGCCTAGAAGGCATTTTTACATAGAAGAAAAGCTATATATCGGTGATCTAAGAATCTGCCTCAAAAAGTGAAAATAGAGTAGCAAACTAAACCCAAAAATGAGGGTGTATTAGTTTCCTAGCACTGCTGTAACAAATCACTACAAACTGGGTAGTTTAAAACAACAGTTGCATTCTCTCACAATTCAGGAGGCCAGAAGTCCAAAATCAAAGTGCTGGCAGAATTTGTCCCCTTCTGGGGGTTCGGAAGGAGAATCTTTTTCATGCTGTCTTTCCTGTGGCTTCTGGTAGTTGCTGTCATTTTGCAGTTACATTAATTCTAATCTCCCTCTATCATCACACGACTGTCCTCCCTCTGTGACTGTCTCTGGGTCTTTCCTCCTCTTCTTAGTAGTACACCTGCCATTTTGGATTAAGAACCCACTCTACTCCAGTATGTGTCATCTTAAGTCTAATTACATCCACAAAGGACCTATAAGCAAATAAGGTCCTATTCACAAGTACCAGATATATAAACATCTCTTCTTGGAAAACACAAATCAACACCAAACAGAGAAAAAAGCACAACAGAAAAGTATCAAAGTCAAAGTTTGGTTTTAAAAAGAAAATAAATAAGTAAAATAGAAATATACAACTCTAAAAATGCTCAGAAACCTCTGGCAGGGCTGATAAAGAAACATGCACACACATACACACACACACACACACACACACACACACACACACACTTAAGGTTGGAAATACCCTTTATTTCCTAAGCAGATATTAATTTCCCTTCATACTCTATTTTAATTTGTATATATTGAATTTTTGTTGATTAGTGTTAATTCATATACATTATATATAATAAATATGAAAAACAAAAATGAGATGACTGTGATGTAATTGAACAAACACTTGTTAAAAAATACAAGATAAATGATTCAAGCCTCAGATCTATGATTTGTGAACTCCAAACCCAAGACAATCAGTGAAACTCTAGGAATTTATTTTTTCTCATCTGTGGACTGTGAAGAGAGAGACATAGTTACCATTATATTGTGTTGGTTTTAATGGCAAATATAAATCAAAGCATTTTACAAATTCAAATGGTAGCAAATATAAGCTTAATGTGATAACAGAAAACATACTATAAATTTACAATTTAAGGCCAGGTGTGGTGGCTCTTGCCTGCAATACCAGCACTTTGAGAGGTGGAGGTAGGGGGAGTATCAGTTACGCCCAGGAGTTTGAGAACAGCCTGGGCAACATGGTGAAACCTTGTTTCTACAAAAAAAAAAAAAAAAAAAACTAAAAAAAAATAACCAGGCCTTTAGTCCTGGCTACTTGGGAGTCTGAGGTGGGAGGATTGCTTGAGACTGGGAGGTCCAGGCTGCAGTGAGCTGAGCTGCGATCAGGCCACTGCACTGTAGCCTGGGTGAAAAAAAAAAAAGAAACAAAAATTACAATTTACCCTCAGTAATTTAAATACTGTGTAAATTATACATGGTTCTAAAAACCTCCATCTTAGAGGTTTTTATTTTACTACCAATAAGTTGGTAGTAAAGTTACTCCCTCACTTTTAACCTTGATTTCTAGAAATTCTGTCAAAATGCATATTATCAGATTTTAATTTCGTATTTCTGAATAATGTTATTTCTATTAATTTGGTCTTTGGTTTTCTGATTCTGTTAGTTCACTTAGGATAATGGCCTCCAGCTACGTCCATGTTGTTCCAAAGTGTGTCTGGAATTGGTGGGCTCCTGGTCTCACTGACTTCAAGAATGAAGACTCGGACCCTCGCAGTGAGTGTTACAGCTCTTAAGTTGGCGCGTCTGCAGTTTGTTCCTTCTGATGTTCGGATGCGTTCGGAGTTTCTTCCTTCTGGTGGGTTCGTGGTCTGGCTGGCTCAGGAGTGAAGCTGCAGACCTTCGCGGTGAGTGTTACAGCTCTTAAGTTGGCGCGTCTGCAGTTTGTTCCTTCTGATGTTCGGATGCGTTCGGAGTTTCTTCCTTCTGGTGGGTTCGTGGTCTGGCTGGCTCAAGAGTGAAGCTGCAGACCTTCCTGGCGAGTGTTACAGCTCTTAAGTTGGCGCGTCTGCAGTTTGTTCCTTCTGATGTTCGGATGCGTTCGGAGTTTCTTCCTTCTGGTGGGTTCGCGGTCTCGCTGGCTCAGGAGTGAAGCTGCAGACCTTTGCTGTGAGTGTTACAGCTCTTATGGCAGCGCGTCTGGAGTTGTTCGTTCCTCCCGGTGGGCTTGTGGTCTCGCTGGTTTCAGGAGTGAAGCTGTAGACCTTCACGGTGAGTGTTACAGCTCATAAAAGCAGTGTGGACCCAAAGAGTGAGCAGTAGCAAGATTTATTGCAAAGAGCGAAAGAACAAAGCTTCCACAGTGTGGAAGGGGACCCGAGCGGGTTGCCACTGCTGGCTCTGACAGCCTGCTTTTGTTGTCTTATCTGGCCCCACCCACATCCTGCTGATTGGTAGAGCCGAGGGGTCTGTTTTGACAGGGGGCTGATTGGTGCGTTTACAATCCCTGAGCTAGACACAAAGGTTCTCCACGTCCCCACCAGATTAGCTAGATACAGAGTGTGGACACAAAGGTTCTCCAAGGCCCCACCAGAATAGCTAGATACAGAGTGTCGATTGTGCATTCACAAACCCTGAGCTAGACACAGGGTGCTGATTGGTGTGTTTACAAACCTTGAGCTAGATAGAGTGGCGATTGGTGTATTTACAGTCCCTGAGCTAGACATAAACGTTCTCCAAGGTCCCACCAGAGTAGCTAGATACAGAGTGTCGATTGGTGCATTCACAGACCCTGAGCTAGACACAGGGTGCTGGTTGGTGTATTTAAAATCCCTGAGCTAGACATAAAGGTTCTCCACATCCCCACCAGACTCAGCAGCCCAGCTGGCTTCACCCAGTGGATCCCACACCGGGGCTGCGGGTGGAGCTACCTGCCAGTCCCGAGGCCGTGTGCCCACACTCCTCAGCCCTTGGGTGGTCAATGGGACTGGGCGCCGTGCAGCAGGGGGCGGCGCTCATCAGGGAGGCTCTGGCAGCACAGGGGCCCACGGAGGGGGTGGGAGGCTCAGGCATGGCGGGCTGCAGGTCCTGAGCCCTGCCCCAAGGGAAGGCAGCTAAGGCCGGGTGAGAAATTGAACACAGCGCCGGTGGGCTGGCACTGCTGGGGGACCCAGTACACCCTCCGCAGCCGCTGGCCTGGGTGCTAAGCCCCTCATTGCCTGGGGCCGGCAGGGCCAACTGGCTGCTCCCAGTGCGGGCCCGCCAAGCCCACACCCACCCAGAACTCCAGCTGGCCCGCAAGCGCAGTGCGCAGCCCGGGTTCCCGCTTGCGCCTCTCCTTCCACACCTCCCTGCAAGCTGAGGGAGCCGGCTCTGGCCTTGGGCAGCCCAGAAAGGGGCTCCCACAGTGCAGCGGTGGGCTGAAGGGCTCCTCAAGTGCCGCCAAAGTGGGAGCCCAGGCAGAGGAGGCACCGAGAGCGAGCGAGGTCTGTGAGGACTGCCAGCACGCTGTCACCTCTCAAAAGGACCTGATTTCATTCTTTTCTGTGTCTGCATAATATTTTATGGTGTACGTGCAACACATTTTCTTTATCCAATCTATCATTGATGGGCACTGGGGTTAATTCCATGTTTCTTTTATTGTTATACAAATAGTACTTCTCTACGTATTTTTTAAAAAATACATCCGTATTTTATGTGTGTTTAAAAAACAGCTATGTATACTTTTAAACCAATATCATGTTGGTTAAAAAAAAAGATGTGTTTGATGTCTTCTACTTCTATTTTTTCTCTCTTCATTTTATTTCATTTTTGGCTTTAAAACTAAATCATAACATGTTGGTGCTATAATATTTGATTCGTTAAGCTTTTCATGGTGGATTATGCATTCATGGTGGATTATGGATTATGAAACAGAAAAAAAATTCTCTTTGTTTGTTTGTTTAATGATTTCTGCCTTGATTTCTACTTTGTATGAAATTATTCTTACCACGACCCTTACCTTGCTTGCTTTTGCCTCTTATGACTTTGACCATTCTTTTTATTATTTATTTTAAATTTTTGTGGGTACAAAGTAGATTAATATATTTATAGGGTACATGAGATATTTTTAAACAGGCATACAATGCATAATAATCACATCAAGGTAAATGGGGTATCCATCACTTCAAGCATTTATCCCTTCTTTGTGTTACAAACAATCCAATTATACTCTTAGTTTTTTTAAAAGAAACAACAAATTTTTGTTGACTGTAGTTATCCTGTTGTGCTACCAAATACTGTATCTTGTTCATTCTGTTTAACTATATTTTTTAGCTCTTTAACCATTCCCACTCCCCACTCCTCATTACACCTCCCAGCCTCTGCAGAAGTTCAGTTGTTTTAATGTTTTAGCTCCCATAAATGCGAACATGTGAAGTTTGCCTTTCTGTGCCTGTCTTATTACACTTAACATAATGTCTTCCTGTTCCGTCCATGTTGTTGCAAATGACAGGATCTTATTCTTTTTTGTGGCTGAATAGTACTCCATTGTGTATATGTATCACATTTTCTTTGTTCATTCGTCTGCTGAGGGACGTGTAGATTGATTCAAAATCTTGGCTATTGCAAATAGTGCTGCAAAAACATGGAAGTGCAGATATCTATTTGATATATTGATTTTCTTTCTTTTGGATATATGCCTAGCAGTTCGATTGCTGGATCATATGGTAGCTCCATTTTTAGTTTTTAAAGAAACCTCCAAACTATTCTCCATAATAGTTGTACTAGTTTACATTACCACCAACAATGTAGGAAAGTCCTTTTGTCCACATCCTCACCAGCATTCCTTATTGCTTGTCTTTTGGATACAAGCCATTTTAACTGGGGTAAGATGACATCTCATTGTAGTTTTGATTTGCATTTCTCTGATGATCACTTTTTATGCACTTTTTATATATCTCTTTGCCATTTGTATGTCTACTTTTGAGAAATGTCTGTTCAGATCTCTTGTCTATTTTTTAATCAGATCATTTAATTTTTTTCCTATTGAGTTGTTTACATTCCTTGTATATTCTGGTTATTAATCCCTTGTCACATGGGTAATTTGCTCATACTTTGCCCATCCTGCAGATTGTCTCTTCACTTTACTGATTGTTTCCTTTGCTGCACAAAAGCTTTTTAACTGGATGTGACCCAATTTCTCCTTTTTTGTTCTGGTTGACTGTGCTTTTGGGGTATTAGCCAAGAAATCTTTGCCCAGTCCATTGTCCTTGAGAATTTCCCCAATGTTTTCTTTTAGTAATTTTATAGTTTGAGGTCTTAGATTTAGGTCTTTAATCCACTTTGATTGGATTTTTGTGTATGGTAAGAGACAACAGTCTAGTTTCATTCCTCTGCTTATGAATATCCAATTTTCCCAGCACCATGTATTAAAGAGACTATCTTTTCCCAAATACATTTTCTTGCCACTTTTGTGAAAAATGAGTTCAATGTAGGTGTATGGGTTTATTTCTGGGTTCTCTGCTTTGTTCTATTGATCTAGGTGTCTGCTTTTTATACCAGTGCCATGCTGCTTGGGTTACTATAGTTCAGTAGTATAATTTGAACCCAGGTAACATGATTCTTCTAGTTTTATACATTTTGTTTTAGATAACTTTTGCTATTCTGAGTCTTTTGTGGTTCCATATAAATTTTAGAATTGTTTTTTTCTATTTCTGTGAAGACTGTTATTGGTATTTTGATAAATATTGCATTGAATCTGTACATTGTTTTGGATATCATAAATATGTTGACAATATTGATTCTTCTGATCCATGAACATGAAATATCTTTCCATCTTTTGATGTCCTCTTCAGTTTTTTGCATTAATATTTTATAGTTATCATTGTAGAGATCTTTAACTTCTTTGGTTAAACTTATTCCCAGGTATTTTATTTTATTTGTGGCTATTACAAATGAGATTGCTTTCTTAATTTCTTTTTCTGGTTGTTCGCAGTTGGCATATATAAATGCTACTGATTTTCGTATGTTTCTTTTGTATACTGCAACTTTAATGAATTTGTTTACCAGTTCTAACAGTGTTTTGGTGGAGTCTTTATATTTTTCCAAATATAATATTACATCATCCCCAAGTTGATATATGATATGATATGATATATGATATGATCAGCTTGTAGATAATATGATCTTATATTTGGAAAAATATAAGAAAAAGTTTTTTAAGGATTATATATTTTTAAAAGTATACTTGAGGATTATATTTGAAAAAAACAGTGGGTTTTTTTTTCTTTATTATGAAGACATGTTGAATTTTATCAGATTTTTTTTAGGATCAGTTGAAATGATCATTTTTTTTTTCATTTATTCTGTTGATATGATGTATTAAACTGATTGATTTGCACATGTTGAATTATTCTTCCATCCCTGGTCATCTCACTGGTCATGACAAATGATCTTTTTACTGTGCAGTTTTGTCACATGGTATTTTGTTGAAGATTTTCACATTCATGTTCCTCATGGATATTGGCCTGTAGTTCTCTTTTTTTTTCTGATGTGTCTTGTTCTAGTTTTAGTATTAGAGTAATACTGGTTTCATAGAATGAGTATGGAAGTATACCTTCCACCATTATTTTTGGAAATAGTTTGAGTAGGATCGGTATTAGTTCTTCTTTAAATGTTGGGAAAATTCAGCAATGAAATCATCATATCCTAGGCTTTTCTTTATTGGTAGAATTTTTACTACAGCTTTGATCTCATTGTTTGTTATTGGTCTGTTAAGGTTTTGTATTTCTTCATGGTTCAATCTTGGTAGGTTGTATGTGTCTAGACATTTATCCATTTCTTGTAGGTTTTGAAATTTATTTGCATAGAATTGCTCATACTAGCTTCTAATAATATATTAAATTTCTGTAATATTGGATGTAATGTCTGCTTTTCCATTTCAGATTTTATTTACTTGGGTCTTCTCTCTTTTTCTCTTCATCCTGTTAATGATCTATAAATTGTATTTATCTTTTTCTGAAAAACCAGTTTTTCACTTTGTTGATCTTTTCTATTTCTCTTTTTTGTTTAAATTTCATTTATTTCTGCTCTGATCTGTATTATTTCTTTTTTTTTTACTAATTTTGGATTTGGTTTGCTCTTGCTTTTTTAGTTCTTTAAGATGCATTATTAGGTTGTATATTTGAAGTCTTTCTACTTTTTTGATGTAGGTGCATATTTCTATAAACTTTCCTCTTTGTACTGCTTTTGATGTATGTCACAGTTTTTGGTATGTTGGGTTACAATTTTTGTATGTTTCAAAAAATTTTTTTAATTTTTCTTCTTAATTTCTTCATTGACCCTCTGGTCATTCAGGAGCATATTGTTGAATTTCCATGTGTTTGTACAGTTTTCAAAGTTCCTCTTCTTATTGATTTCTAGTTTTATTTCATTGTATTCAGAGAAGATACTTGATATGATTTCAATTATTTAGAATTTTTTAAGACTTATTTTGTGGTCTGTGATATGGTCTGTCTTTGGGAATGATCTATGTGCTGAGGAGAAGAATGTGTATTATGCAACCACTGGATGAAATGTTCTGTAAATATCAATTAGGTCCATTTGGTCTACAGTACTGATTAAGTTAGATGTTTCTTTGTTGACTTTCTGCCTGTATGATTTAGCCAATGCTGAAAGTGAGGTGTTGAAGGTTCTAGCTATTATTGTAATGGGGTCTCTCTCTTGTTTTCTAATAGTATTTGCATTATATATCCGGATACACCAGTGTTGTATGCATATATATTCATGAGTATTATATCGTCTTGCTGAATTGACTGTTTTATCATTATTTAATGACCTTCTTTATCTTTTTTATAGTTTTTGTCTTGAAGTCTACTTTGTCTGATACAAGTAAAGCTACTCCTGCTCTTTTTTGGTTTCCATTTGCATGAAACATCTTTTTCTATTATTTTATTTTCAGTCTATTTGTATCTTTATAGATGAAGTGTGGTTCCTGCAGCAACAGAGCATGGGGTCTTATTTTTTGTCCTCTTTGTCTTTTGATTGGAGAGTTTAGTTCATTTACATTCAATGTTATTATTGAAAAGGACTTACTCCCACCATGTTGTTGTTTGTTTTCTGGTTGTCTTTTGGTCTTTTCTTTCTTTCCTTCTTGTCTTCCTTTTAATGAAGATTTAGGTGGTATTATTTTATTTCTTGCATTTTATTTTTTGTGTGTCTGTTGTATGTTTTTTTCATTTAATGTTACCATGAAGCTTGCAAATAATATAACCCATTATTTTTGACTGACAACAACTGATTACAAAAACAAACAAGGAAAAAGAAAACTAATAAAAATTCTACACTTTAACTTCATTTCTCCCATTTTTAAACTTTTTGTTGTTTTTATTTATACCTTATTATACTATTTCTTGAAAAGATGTTACAGTTATTACTTATGACAGGTCCATCTTTCAGGTTTTTACTTAAAATGTTAGTGGTTACACACTACAAGTATAGTGTTATAATATTCTGTAATCCTCTGTTTACTTACTATTACCAATAAGTTTTGTACTTTCAGATGATTTCTTACTGCTCATTAATATCATTTCTTTCAGATTCAAGAACTCCTTGTAACATTTCTTGTAGGACAGGTGTGGTGTTGAAATAGTTCAGCTTTTGTTTATCTGGGAAAGTTTTTATTTTCCCTTGATGTTTAAAGGATATTTTTCTCGGATGTACTAGTCTTGGATAAATGTTTTCTTGAAGTACTTTGAATATGTTATGCCACTCTCTCCTTGCCTGTAAAGTTTCCACTGAGAAGTCAGCTGCCATACTTTGTAACAAAACATATTTTGTAACATAACATAGTTTGTTTTTGTTATTTTCCCTTGCTACTTTTAGAATCCTTTTTTTTTCTTTTTTTTTTTTTTTTCGTCCTTGACTTTTGGGAGTTTGATTATCAAATACCCTCAGGTAGTCTTCTTTGAGTTAAATCTGCTTGGTGTTCTATAACCTTATTGTACATGAATATTGATATCTTTCTCTAGGTCTGGGAAGCTCTCTGTTATTATCCCTTTGAATAAACCTTCTACCTCAATCTCTTTTTCTCTATTTTATCTTTAAGAAAACTGTTAGATTTGTCTTTTTGAGACTATTTTCCATATCTTGTAGGCATACCTCATTCTTCTCTATTTTTTTTTCTTTTGTCTCCTCTGACTATGTATTTTTAGTAGCCTGTCTCCAAACTCAGTAATACTGTCTTCTGCTGGATCAGTTCTGCTAAGAGACTCTGTTGCATTCTTCAGTATGTTAATTGCATTTTCAGGTCTAGATTTTTTTCTTGATGCTCTTTAATTATTTCAATTTCTTTGTTAAATTTATCTGATAGGATTCTTAACTCCTTTTCTGTGTTATATTGATTTAGTTGAGCTTCCTCAATACAGTTATTTTGAATACTCTGAAAGTTCAAATATCTCTGTCTTTCTGGGATTGGTCACTGGTACATTATTTAGTTCATTTGGTTGAGGTTATGTTTTCCAGGAGGGCCTTGATGTTTATGGATGTGTATCAGTGTCTGGGTATTGAAGACTTAGGTATTTCTTGCAGTCTTGCAGTCTCAGTTTGTTTGTACCCATCCTTCTTGGGAAGGTTTTCCAGGTATTTGAAGGGACTTGGGTGTGTGATTTAAGTCTTTGGTGACTGCAGCTCTATCTGCTTTAGGGGGCACCTTAGGAGCAGTAATGCTTTGTGGCTAGTGCAGATTTGTGGGGGTACTGCCTTGGTGGTCTTGGGTAAAATCTGGGAGAATTCCCTGGATTACCAGGCTGAGATTCTTGTTCTCTTTCCTTACTTTCCTCTAGATAAATAGAATCTCTCTCTCTCTCTCTCTCTCTCTCTTTCTGAGCTGCCTCAACCTGGGAGAAAAGTGACACAAGCACCCCTGTGGCTGCCACCACTGGGACAGCACTGGGGCAGACCCGAAGCCAGCACAGCTCTGCAAATTGCTCAAGGCCCACAGTGACCACTGCCTGGCTACCACCTTTCTTTACCAAGTCCCAAAGCATCTACAATTAGCAGGTGGCAAGTCTAGTCCGGCTTGTCTTTCCCCTCAGGGTGGTGACGTCTGGAGATGCTATCTGAGATCTGGGGCCTGGAGATGGGAACCTTAGTATTCTATCTGGTACTCTATTCTGCTGTGGCTGAGCTGGTAACCAAGTTGCAAGACAAAGTCCTTCCCACCCTTTCCTCCACTTTGCTTTATCAGAGGAGTCTGTCCCTGTTGCCACCACTGTCCCAGTCCTGCAGCAAGTACTGCCTGGCTATCGCTGATATTCACTCAAGACCCAAGGGATTTTCAGTCAGCTTATGGTGAATGTTGATTCTCTCCCTTCATGGCAGCAGACTCCTATCTGGCCTAGGATAAGTCTAGAAATGCCATCCAGGAGCCAAGGCCTAGAACTGAGTATCCCAAGAGCCTGCTGGGTGCTCTGCCCTCTGTGGCTGAACAGGTACCTAAGCTGCAACACAAAGTTCCCTTTACTTTTCCCTTTCCTTTTCTCAAGTAGAAATGTTCTTCCCTCTTAGCGATCATAGCTAGGGACGTGTTGGGTTGCACTTGAATCCAGCATGACTCTGGGTCTCACCCAAGGTACATGGTGAGTATTGCCTAGCTACCTTTGTGCTACTACTATACCTTCAGGCAGGACTCCTTAGCCAGCCGGTGATGGATCCTGCCAGGTCTGGGTCCTTCCCTTCAAGGCAGTGGGCTCCTTTCTGGCCCATGGTGTGTTTAGAAATCTCTTCTGTGAGCTAGAGCCTAGAATGGGGACCTCAGGACTCTGCTGGGTGCCCTATTTTGCTATGACTGAGCTGGTATCCAAGTTGCAAGATGAAATTCTATTTACTCTTCTCTCCACAAGGGAAAGAGTCTCTCCTGGACCTTCAAGCTATACTGCATTCCCTTGGCTACCTTGGCTGGTGTCTCACTAGATTGCATGCAACCCAAGTCCACTGGCTCTAAGCCCAGAATAGCAACAGGACTTGACCAGGAATTGCACTCCTTGTGGCCTAGACTGCTTTTCAAGTGTTTTTAGGACCCCAGAGCACTTTTAGGCTGCAGTAGTGGGGCTTGCTGGAACTCAGGTTCCAACTACTGGAATGGAAGATTTGCCTCTGGCTAATAGTGGTCTAAACACTTCCTCTGCGAGCACTAGCTGAGCTCTGCCTGCATTGCTTTCCTCTGTGACAGGGTAGCAGTGAGTTCCAATGCAAAGTCCCACAGTCCCTGAGCTGCCCCTCCTTCAAGCACACAGTCTCTCCCTTTATGCCACATGATTACTGCACAGGAATAAGGAAGAGGGGGTGTCAATAATTCAATACTGCCTTTTCTGTCCTCTTCAGTGCCTCTTTCCTTAATATGATGTAACAATAAGGTATTGGGATTACTCCCGTGAGTTCTGGTTCTTATGAAGTTACTTTTTTGTGTAGGTAGTTGTTCAATATGATTTTCCTGCAGGGAAGGACAAGTGCTGGAGGCATCCATTCAGCAATCCTGTTCTATCTCCTCCCCTACATTTCATCCTTTTTATTTTTTTGTGATATTTTGTTAGGCATATTTTTTGCTAGAAGCATATAGTTGACTTTTGATTTTCAATGGAAAAAGCAGTTGTATGTTAATAGGAGATGCTGGTCCTTACCCTTTTTTTGTCATACCAGATGCTTGCTCTTCTGTCATCTCACTTTATGAATTGTGTCATTTATAGCTTTGCTTTATTTGTTTCTACAGGCTGATTTATGTAATACTTTCTTTTTGTTGTTAATATCTTAGTTGACCTAGAAAGAATCCAATCCCAGATCAATTTTATAAATAAGAATAAGAAAATAATTCTTGAAAGCAAATTACTGACCCTAATTTTTCCTTCCATCTCCCTGTTTTTAACCCATTCATCAATATAAGTTTACAGGTGTAGAATAAGCACAATTTCATGTGTTTCTCAGGCTTTGCAATATCTGCTGAAACTGTATTTTATTGTATTGTATTATTTTTTATTTATTTTACATTTGTATTTTTTGAGACAGAGTCTTACTCTGTCACCCAGGCTGGAGTGGAGTGCTGCCATCTCGGCTCGCTGGAACCTCTGCCTCCTGGGTTCAAGCGATTCTTCTGCCTCAGCCTCCTAAGTAGCTGGATCAACAGGCACATACTACCATGCCAGGCTAACTTTTGTATTTTTAGTAGAGATGGGGTTTCACCATGTCGTCCAAGCTGATCTTGAACTCCTGACCTCAGGTGATCCGCCCACCTGAGCCTCCCAAAGTGTTGGGATTATGGGCGTGAGCCACCATACCACGCCTGTTTTTATTATATATTGTTAGCAGGCTTTTCCCCTGGGCAGACTGGAGCAAATTTGACATTTACCAGATATTGCTACCTAAGAAACGTAGGACTGAATACTTCCCGATTATTTGTTGTAAGCTATCCTCCAAGAAAGACCCAACCTGCTAAGACAAAGGTTCCTGAAAGAGAGTAGCATTGACTGACAGCCTCTCCAGTGTTTTTGAAAAACAAAAACCATGACTATAACAACTGTGACTAAATAAAAACTGCCTGGTACAGAAAAGGAAGAAAAAAGCTGATATGCATCCAGGAGAAATAAGTATACCATTTTCTTAGTTCTGGACATATATCCAGTTTGGTAATGTGCAGCTTCCTTGGGTTTCCATGAGATTTTTCTGTTGAATCTTTTCATTCAAAAAGGTATATAACAATGGGTATGTTTTTACAACAACAAGGGTCATTTTCCCCATTTAAACACCATAGACCTTTCCTATGTTCTTCTGTTATCCACTACTGCAGATACAAGACTATAATCAGCCTGGCTACCTTATATACATTATTACAATTTTTATCTATCTGAATTCTCATGCAGATTTTTCATTGGCTTGTTAAATCATATATGTTTTTCAAAATGGGTTATAGTTGAGTGTCTCTTTTCACTGTGATAGTCTGAAATTACAATGAAGTCTGTAAATTAGCTTGTCTGTTACTTTTTATAAATTACCCTTAGCCACATGTTTGATTATTACTTCTATGCCATATGTTCTAATTTCTCACTTTTGTGCATATATAAATGCTATCCTGGAAATACATTTTCTTAATGCCATTCATACCTATCATTTTAAGTTACTTTTACCTGCATTCTAGGCAGTTTCCTCATGGTCAGATTATAGTGGTATATATCGATATATAGTGGTTTTAGGTTTTTTGGAGTCAGTTTTGCTCTTTAAAACTTTCCATGAAGTTTTAAATTTTGATATCATAATGTTAGGTTTATTAACACCACATCAGAACTAAAACATTTTTGAAAATTTGAATACTTATCTCTGGAGAGAAACTTGGAGCACACAGCTATTAAAAAGTTAGAGAGAAAGCTAATAAGAAACAGATATCTATACACTGCTAATGATGAATTGGATATGTCTAATTGCATAGGAATTGAGAGGCATCTGTAATTTATCTCAATTCTTTAAGATGGCTGTGTTCAGTTTTTATCATACTTTTTAAACACAGTGTCCATATGTCTGATTTACCAAACTCAAGACCCCAATACATAACGTAAACGCACTTTTTGGCTACAATCACTTTATTTCCAGAATGTAACCTGAAATTTTAGTGGTGTTCTCAACGTATCACACCATATTCCAGATGACCGTGACATTATACAAAACAAGACATCTGGATTTATTTGCTCAATTTGCCATTCACCCATTCATTCAGGTAACTCATGCATCAACATTCTGTAATATGTGATACTCAACTGATTCTCAGGCATACAGATATGTAGAAAAGTTAAAAAAATAATAACAGCCAGCACTTTGTTGCAGCTCTCAATGAATTCATAGTTTCCTTGTGGGAGATGATGAAACTAGCTATATCATCATCTTATAAAAGGTAAATTGGCAATAGGAACAGAGAGTGGTTGGAGAATAGAGTGAGGAAGATACAGTAACAATATGATATCAGCAGGGACAATGAGTGAGCTGTCTCTGTGGCTGGCCACTTCCGTTACTAGATTCTTTAATTTTTCAGAGAATAGTACGTATGTTCATTATGTTTAAATGCTTGCATCATCTCTAAGGTGATATGCAACTGAGTTTTTAAAACTCTTGACTAAAAAAAACTTTCTAGGGAGTTATCATACTCCTGATCTGTGGCACAAAGAAAGATTCTATGTAAAATCTATGTCAGAGTACTTAATGCAGTAGGAAGGAATGCATTTCTGCTATGAACTAAACAAGCGAAGTCCCCTTACTGAAAAGTACATCCTCCATTTTTCAGCTGTAAGTGACAATGTCTGATAAATATTTTCAATTTGCGTTCCTTCTTAGCTAATTTAAATCCAGAGGGAGACACTTGTGCACAAATGAGTGGATAATGTAAACTGTCTTTATCTTAATTTGCTGGTACCTGTTTGAATAATCTTCTCTTTTTCATCTCAATTTAATGAACATGGATAAGGACTAAATGTATGTAAACATGATAAAGAGTGAAGGGAAATGTAAAACCTACAAGGGGAAGAAATTCCACTGGCTCCATAAGAAAATTGAGGAGACAAAAATCAAAGGAAAAAGAACACGGCATAATAGAAAAGCAAATTAAACACCAATCTAAGCACTGGCACATATTTATATATAAAGTGTTTGAAAAATAACTGTACCTTTTTTCTTTTCCATATTTAAAATATTATGTGTTTTCTGTGCATTTGGTGATTTTTTTAGGTTTTGTGAAAAGAGATTAATGTAATTTTACAACAAATACTATATATCAAAGTGGATACAATGATAAAAACAAGCATAGATTCAAATTCTGGCTCTTCTGTATGTAAATTGGATGACCTAGGATAAACTAAGTAAACTAATGTTTGAAATAAAAATGCTCGTATTATCTTACAATAAGAAAGCATTGACTATTTTCTGCTAAGTGTTTACCCATATGCCTGGTAGAGATAACAATCAATATTGGTTTCATCAAATAAACACACACACAAATGCACACACACACAAATGCACACACACACACGCGCACACTCGTGTCCACACACAGGCAGCCCCTCCCAGATGCCCTTTTTTATTCTAGACAAAGTTTCTTTTCTAACTGACTTTCAATGCCATGAGAAGGTACTACCATTTGGAGAACTAACTCAATTGGGAGCTGCAGTCTGATACTTGCTCGTCTGCTATGGGGCCTTATTAAAATTTTTATTTTCTAAATAATATGCAAGGCATATATTCAAATTTTGTAGAACTTTTGAGGCAAAGGTGATACTTTCAATGCAAACAAGACAATCACATCTCATCAGAGAGTCTTTTGATTCTTAATTCAAAACAAAGGAGCATTTTTTTTTCTCTTCCAGAGGTAAAAATTTGAAAACACACCCTCAAATCACAATTAGAGGTCGAGGAATAATAGAGGCAAAGTAAAGTTGGTAGATAGGTATGTACATAGGTAGGTAGATAGATATGTAGATAGATAGATAGATAGATTGGTAAATACATAGGTAGGTAGATAGGTAGATAAGTAAGTAGATAGGTAGGTACATAGTTAGATAGATGTGTAGATAGGTAGGTAGATTAGATAGGTAGATAGGTATGTGGGTAGATAAGTAGGTAGGTAGGTAGATAGGTAGATTACATAAGTAGATAGATAGGTAGATAGGTATATAGGTAGATAGATTACATAAGTAGATAGGTAGATTAGTAGGTAGGTAGGTTGGTAGGTAGGCAGATAAGGAGATAGATTGGTTGATAGGTAGGTAGATAGGTAGGTAGATTAGATAAGTAGATAGGTATGTAGGCAGGTAGGTAGATAAATAGGTAGGCAGATAGGTAAATAATTAGGTAGATAGGTATGTAGAGAGATAGGTAGGTAGGTAGGTAGGTAGATAGACAGGTGGATAGGTAGGTAGATAGGTAGGTAGGTCAGTACGTAGGTAGGTAGACAGGAAAGTTGTAGGTTGATAGGTTAGGTAGATTAGATAGGTAGGTAGGTAGATAGATAGGAAGGTAGACTAGGTAGGTAGATAGGTAGGTAGATACCTAGATACATAGGTAAGAAAATAGGTAGATAGGTAGGTAGATAGGTAGATAAGTAGGTAGATAGGTAGGTAGACTAGGTAGATAGGTAGTTAGGTACATAGGTAGATAGATGGATAGGTAGATAGATAGGTAGATAGGTAGACTAGACAGGTAGGTAGGTAGAATACATAGGTGATAGGTAGGTAAATTTTGAAATTAAATTTCTTATGTAGAAATTTCCAGATCTATAGGGCAAGTAATATCTTCTCTAAATCTCATTTTGTTTCAGACTTTGTTGCTGAAAATTTTATATACACAGAAATGAATATATGGCATGTATGCATATGTATATATATATTACTTTGCATATGTACATATATGTACATGTATTTCTGCTTTAACCCAACAGTTTCTAAAACAAAGATTAACAAACTCAGACTTCAGTAATGACAGAATATCATCATTCTAACAAGTCTCACTTCCTTCTGCAGACACTGATGTATAAATTCCAGATATGACAATCTCCTAAAATCCTGTAATCTTCTCATATTCCCCCAATTTTTTGAAAAGTATGTTTGTTTTTCTGGAATATAACTCTTTCTCTATAAAGTAAAAAATGGTGAGTAACTAAAATCTAAATAAGAAAAAATACAAATTCATTAGTACTTCACTATTTAAAAACCATTATAAAGTAAAAACACAGAATATCATGAGTATGCAAAACATTTAAATTTTGCTTAGCTGCTTCCCAAAGGAAAAGCAGACTTAACACTGTAGTCTGCTGAAAAAGGATAGTGGATAGAAAAGAAGAGAAATAAAAAATAAAATAATTATTTGGAGAAAGAAGCAAAATCTGAAAAGATATGATAATGACTTACTGAAGTATATATGATAATGTGACCACTATATTTATCTTCTTTATACATTTTGAGATATAAAATATGTAGATAGATATATTTTCACACATACATCTTGTGTAGTGGGAAGAAAGAAAGAGCTTTTGATATTTGGATAAAAAGCATTTCTGTACTTCTGTGTCATTTTGTGCACATTCCTAAGGTAACATCACAATGGACTATTTGTTTATTAATATGTCTTTTATTTTGATTGTCACTGCCCTAAGAGCAGGTAGCAGAATTTCTTATTTCTTATGAAATTGCTTATTATCTCCATGCTTGGTATCCATATTAAATACCTATTAAATAAATTATTAAATCAATGAATACCAACCTGTCATATAGGAAATATTTCTTAATCCTAAATTCCTCTCAGTAACGGCCCATTTATATATGCATATTTTAAGAAAAAGACATCCGATTAAGAGAAAATTTTGTATCTGGTCTCTTTGAAGTCAGCCTGGCATGAAAGCCTCTCTGAATTGCATGTTCACATTTATGATTTCCTAAGGAGGAAGTTATTCTATTGTGCTAACCAGACTTTGCATAGCTACTGATTATTAAGTAGATCCCAGATTGAGCATGATATTAATTCTTTTTACAAAGAACAATAATTTAATTTTATTGGGCAGAGATCTTGGCATACGTATCACATCCTATAGAGCAATAAACAATATAAAAAATGTCTTTCTCTTTTGATTAGATTTCAAAGGACTGAAAGCATCTTTGCTTCTATCGCCATCATTTGTTTATCATTGTCCTATTTTTATGTGTAAAAATTAGAAATCTATGAACCAAAGATTGCATTTATTTTGAATTAAAGCAGAAGGGGGCATCTGCTCTATGACACCATGGAGTGCCAGACACAAACAGCAACCTAGGATATTGAGAAGAGCAGAGGATTTTGTCAGTGAGTTGATACAAATGCATTTTCTGATTTCTGGTGTTTACCAAATGTTCCTGCTATGGCTTCTTTGTCCTCTCCAAGCCTCATGTTGGAATTTGATCCTAATGTTGGACATGGGCCAAATAGGAAGAGTTTGGTACATGGGAGAGGATTTCTCATGAATAGATTAATGTCATCCATTAATGGTGACTGAATTCTTGCTCCATTATATTCGCATGAAAGCTGGTGGTTGAAAACTGCCTGAAACGACCTCTGTCCCCACTTCCTCTCTAGCCACGTATCTCTGAACATGCTGGCCCCTCTTTACCTTCTGCCATGAGTAGAGGCAACCTGAAGCCCTCAGCAGATGCAGATGCCAGTGTCATGCTTCTTGCACAGCCTGCAGATCCATGAACCAAATAAATCTCTCTTCTGTATAAGTTACCCAACCTCAGGTATTTGTTTATGGCAACACCAAGTAGACTATGGCAGCTCCTTATTCCTTTTTTTACAACCATATTGTCCACACTGGCTGAGTTGTCATCCTATCTTTCCAATTGATTAACAATATCCAAAATGAGAACAAGGTCATTACACTGCTTGGAGTAGATGCCAGAAACCCACAGTTGAATTCCAAATGTGCAAACCTCTGGGCTGACAGAGATGCTCATAGACCCATCTTTTTATGGTAGTTGTGCCAAAAGAAAAATCTAAAGAAGGCAGAGGAGTTCTGTTGAAACACTCACAGGAGTATGTTTCTTTTCTCCGGCAGAGCTTTTAGCTCTTTGCTGTGGTTTCTTCTCTGCGCTGATCTCATAAAATTTCCTTGATCTTTCTAAACCATTTAGAAAATATTGCTTATTTAAATCTTCAAACCTGTCATGTCAGGGACTGTTTTCATGATATGTGAGTATAAAGAAAAGTGTGATGTGGATGTGTATTTTTGTGCCCTTGTGCGTATGAGTATGTCAGGGATGGAGAAGGAAAGTTAGGTCAATAAAAACCACACTTTTATTAGGAGTGAACAAGCCTATCCTGTGGTTGCAGGTAAGGATATTTTACCATTTATCAGATTTGGGCCTCTTCTAGTCACAGGCCCTCAAACATTACAATGAAGGAATTGGAACAGAGCAAATCTATTATGGATTTCAGTTCTGAACTTCTATAATCCTAACACATAGATACACAGTAAACCCTATTTTAAACTATTTGACTCACTAAGAATTTTTCAGAGCTGATATTCTAGTAAGCTTACCCTTCAATAACATAGAGTTGAACTGCATGGGTCCACATTTACACAGATTTTCTTCCACCTCTGCTCCCCTAAAGCAACAAGATCAACCTTTCTTCTTCCTCCTCCTCTTTAGCCTACTCAACATGAATACAATGAAAATGAAGACATTTATGATGATTCACTTACACTTAATGACTAGGAAATATATTTTTTATTTCTGATTATATTTTAACAACATTTTCTTTGATCTATCTTTACTGTAAGAATACAGTATATAATATATAACATACAAAATATGGTTATTCAACTGTTTATGTTATTGGTAAGGCTTCCAGTTAAGAGTAGGCTATCAGTAGTAAGTTTTTTGGGAGGGTCAAATTTATACAAGGATTTTCAACTGATAGGGGTTGCTACCTCTAAGTCCTGCATTGTTCAAGGGTCAACTGTATTTTCCTGTAACACATCAATCCTAAGTGTCTACATGATTCAGACTGTGGGACTTGAGTAACTATGCTTGTTAGAAATACATTACTTGTCATTCACTGCTCTCTATGTCCTACCTTATAGTCATTTGTAAGCAATACTGATGTATTATTTGTATATCAGTGAGAATATTAACTATGCCTTTTTAATATTCATGCCTTTACAAACCTCCCTCTATTCCTGTGTTTGTACTTAGCTGAGTAGAAAAAGCAAGCTGCGCGTGGATGAAATTTTATCACCTGGTAGAATTTGAGAGGTGGTATAGTCAGGGTAGGAATTTTTGAAATCAGAGAGATCTTGGCTTGAAATTTGCTATCCCACTCATTGGTTGTGGGGCTTGAGAAGATTGCCGATAGCATTGATATTAGGATTCTATGAAATAATCTAGGTATATAATTTATTTACCTGCATGGTCTGTGTGGAGAGCAGAACAAGGCTAAAGTTTATTGAACTAAATCGGAAGCAAAAAAAACAACAACAACAAATAAAAAACAATCCCTGCTTGCATTTGTCTGCAATGTGCAAATTTTATTGGGGAAATTGGAAAGGTCTGATGCCAAATTAAGGCAATTGGAGCTTAGAAAGGAGAAGAGCTAGGAAAAAGAGGACACTATTAGGATAATTTCTGCTATAGATTCAGTCAATATAAATGGCTCAATTCTTTTTCATTAAAAAAATCTGCAAAGGTTGTATTGTATTGATGTCTAAAGCAAATACATGGATCTTTTTGCAAATGGTCTCTGTGAAGGTTTTTACAAATGTTCTTCATTTTATCAATATAGAAACCACAAGAGAAATTCCAAGGAAGGAAGCAAGGACAGGGTAGACATGCAAACACTCAGATCTCACAGTAATACAGCAAGTGCTTTTTTAATACATCAGACCTATAGCCACATGAGAAGAAGAATTCTAAATGCAAAATATATATGTGAAAGAAGAATAAATAGAAGCTAGCAGGACTTCTAAGACAATATACGATAAAATATCCTGTCCTACTGTTTATGATTGTATACAGATACAGGGATTTTATGTGGAGCTGTATTAAACTAAACAACATTTTTAAAGCTGAAATAAAAGCAATGTTGTCTTATTAAGGGCTTATCCCTCTTTTACTGAAAGGTGTATGAAATAATACTTAACATCTGGATTTCTCCCTTAATTAGACTTTCTGTTGTAGAATCTTCCTTTCAGAGTTTGGGAAAGAGGAGAGCTCACATAAGCAACTTTAAACGCTAGGGTTGTGAGATCTCTAATCCATTTCCGTCTATTCGAGAATCCACCAGATTTATGGGATGGGGTGTTGATCCAAGTATTTGTACTTTAGGTTCATCAGATGTAATGGAGGCATCATTTAAAGCCAGAGAAAATCAAATCTGACCTCAGAGCCTCTATAATCTGCTCTAACAAGTACAGCATCCTCATCATTTAGATTTCTTAAACTTCAAGTTGGAGATAAAGCAACCTTCTCTAGGACATAGTATGTCAAACACATATCTGGTAGCATAGTACTCATTCTATATGATCTATCTGTTTAATTTTCTGAAGCCTCATAAAAAATATAAGTGGTGGGGGGCTCATACCCAGTACATTATGCCTTGGTATACTTTGGCTTCATTTCAGAAAATTATATATAACAAAAGAAACCATCTGATGGCCATTCTCATTCTCTTTGGTAAATGATTTTGACCATCCACTGTAGTCTATCTGCTCAGACTTGCACACACTCTATTATTTTAAGTTCAAAAATATCTTGCACATTATAGTCATTCTTATGTTCACTATGTTTTTTCCAGCACTCAGAATAATGCCTATCACACAATAAGCACTTAGCAAATATTTTTAAATTCAGGTATACTTGATTTTTATAATCTTTCTTAATGTGGACTCTGAAAATCATGACCAGTTGAGTTTAAGCCCTAGACCAGATATTATATTGGACAAGTGACTTAACTTCCCTAAGATTCTATTTCCTCACTAGTAAAACAGTGACAATAAATGCCATCTTCCAAGACTTGTTGTATATAAATAAGTTAAAGGACATAAGACATTTCCATAGTACCTGAGAAACAACTGATTCATCAATAAGTGTTAACTATTATTACTGTATGTTTTTATTTTTATATCTCCCATCACATATGTGTTACAGTTAATATCAGAGACAGATCAATATATGCTTTTCTTGAAAGAAGAGAAAAATAAAGAAAATATAAATATCACCTTTTAACATGAAAAATTCATAGAACTTTAGTTTTCCAGTGAAAGGTGGTATTTCTGAAAATACATTAAACTAGGAAGAGTTGGGACAGGTAATTTTTTTCAGTGAATACAAGTCAATGGTCCTACAGAGAAATAACACTTACCCAATTCTTCTCTAACAAATAGTAATAAAAGGAGAATTTGTGCATTTAAAAGTTGTACACTTAACTCCAAGACAACAAAAAACCTACCAACATTCCCTCCAAGAAACAGTGATAATTACCCAAGGCATTATTTTACTAAGGAGCTTAGAAATAACCTTGAGATGTTTCTAATACATTCCTGAGAACCAGCAAAAAAGATAAAACCTATTTGCTATCTAGGTCTGGTCTTATTTCTCCAAGTAGAGAATGTACGCAATTTGATTGTGGCCTGTAATTTTGTTTGCTCAAAATTAAGCAGAATATATCTTTAACTTTAAGCTGGATTATATAGGATCATTCCAGAAGTGAATCAATGTTTGTGAAAATAATTCCAGACCTTTAATCTGATCTCAAGTTTTCTTTTCTCTTATCATTTCTGGTTATTTTTATGAGCATCAGCTGACCGGTTTAAAAATGCAAGTCTCTGTCTCAAGGTTTTGATTTGAAGATGTTTGTCTAATGACTTTCTTCATTCTGTTTTTACTCTTAGATGATAAATCACAGTGATAAGCAAGATTTTTGTCATCACTCTGGAGTATTTTGAACAATCACTTAAACAAGAGCATAAATAGCATTGTGCGCTACAATATGTGCATTTTCGTTTTAAAATCATTGTGAATCATCTGATTGTTCATATACTATGATTGTGTATTTTAAGAAAATCATTTACTTGCTGTCACTTGCATTTTCCCATTGATTTTGAAAGCTGGTAATGGAAATGATGAACTTGCTTTCTTTAAACTGAAATTAGAATGATGACACTTGTATGTGCGACTATTTTGGAAGAATGGGTAGTTTTTGTTAGCTTCTAAATTGACGAAGTGAAGACAAAGAACATTCTAGCACTAGCTCAGCATTCGTTCATTCAGTTGTCAGTCATCTTTTCAAATTTTTCAGGACCATATTATGCCACAATATTTATATTTATAGACTTGTGATTATGTCACCACACTCACTGTGCCCTTTCTTATTTTATTTTTCAAATTGACTTGTAGAGGTATAGTCACTGAATTGCATTGCTGCTTTGTTTATAGCACGAACTTATATCCAAGATGTAAGAGATTCTAAAATCTATCTTAATTCCGCAAGCAATATAGATTATCCTCAAAGTAGTATCATGTTAACATAAATAGCTTAACATAATTGGTTCTTGTATTTAAGACCCTGAAGTGTTAAGTGTGAAAAACCTCAAATCCAGATTTCTATAGATATTTATTTTACTCTGTGTCATATGTGTCTATATTTTAAGAATCTACCTCATGTCCCTTTCCCTTTGCATTTTTATGTAAATAAATTCTGAGTGTAATGTGTTTATGAGTATTAAATGCCATGTGCTGGTCTCCTGTGCTATAATAAAGTACATCCATGCCTTCCGAATTTCTCTGGCAACTGTCTCCGCATTCACTGTCTTCCAATCAGCATCTGCAAATGTAACCACTTAAATCTGATCCCCCTGTCTGAATCAGTTATTCAGATAAAAGGCAGCCAAGATCTAAGCTCTGCTCCATGTGGGACCCTCTTAATACTTCCCCCCAGAATGAACATGGTTTCTCTTACCAGGAGTGTCTGTTTTTTGTTTCTTCCACTCATTCTTTATCTACTCCCATGTCTCCTCCTGGATTCTTGCGAGCTTTGTCTTAAGCAGGAACCAATTATGCAGAATTTAACCAAAGGCTTTCTGAAATTCAAACAGTCATAACATATGTACTGTCATTCTCAACACTGCTGGTACCACTTCAGATTGGAAAAGAAGTAAAATAAGCAGATATGTTTTCTAAAACTAAACTTATCATTTCAGTTCTATTGTCTGGGCAAAAAATATATATATCAGTTAAATTCATGTGTTTTCAATCTTTATATATATACATACGTATGCTTTATAATGCTTAAGAGAATTCAGTAGAATTTTAGAACATTTACTTGATTGATTTATTTTCTTTGAATCATCTTTGAGCCAACAAACTATTCCGTTTTGTCCACTTTCTGTCAAAGTGAAATCTTAATAGCTGTATACAAGTAAAATTGTTTAAAAATGTTAATGCTCCAATACTGGTTTTTATGGTTACAGAAATTCTGAGGATTTACTTGTGGCTACTCTTAGAAATAAGCCAGACGTTTGAGTTAATACGCGTTCTTTGAAGCTACATTTTTTTCAACTCATTCTACTGTACCTCATTATTCTACTGTATAGAAAGCATGGACAGTGTTCATTTCATTCTTAAATGAGTTAGTAAGACTTTATTTGGTATCATTACAATGGCTACATTTTCTTAGCTTGAATTTGATTCAGGGACAAGAGTGGCATGTAAGCTTATTCTGTTAAGTATTTAACAGATTTCTCAACCAACGACATGGAGCTGTTAGTGAGCACTTGATATGTGCATTATGAACTTTATCTACAATATCATATTTATTTTTATCCTCACAGTCTTTTCAAGCTGATGTCATCATTTCAGATGAAAAACTGAAATTTAGAAAGTCTTAGTAACCTGCATCATGTCTCACACAGCCAAAGTATTGAAGCTTGGATTCAAATACCAGAATCATCTGAATCTAAATGATATTCTTAACCACTCACTCTACACTGCTCCAGAAAATAGATACACATACAAGAGCCGAAAAGAAAGGTAGCCTCTCAAGAAAAATCTCAGTCATGAACCCCAAATTCAGAAACCCTGCTCTAAATTAAAGAGAAAGTTAAAGGAGACCTTGAGATTTCTTTTGGGTTCGCCACCATAGTTTACAAGGAAAGGAAAGGACAGGAAATAGGAAACTGAGACAGAAACTCGATCTTGGAAATTATCATTGTTTTTTTAGCTAGAGAAGATGTTGACAACTTTTTCTTAAGCCGTATAGTAAATATTTTAACGTTTGTGGATCATGATGTAGTCTCTGTTGGAACTACTCAGTTGTGCTGTTTTAGGTGAAAGACATAAACGAGGAAAAGAATGAGTGTGACCAGATTTAACCTGCAGTGGTTCCCACTAGCTACGTTTGCTTACCCTTTGAGTACAGCATACAATATACTGCATTTTATAGGACCCCAGGTTTTGTAATCAGAATACAGGAGCAGGTGCAGGAGAAAAATCATGGTTATAGGCTTACTGCTTACTCTCCTCTCTGTTACAGTCTCTCAATTATTATTTATTAATATGTTGTATCAAGAATAAGGGTTTCTTAAGGGAGCTGTGTTACCATCATCAGAGATCATACTATGACAACTAAGTCTACTCTGGTGAGGAAGATAAGTATCAGTTACTAGATGGTAAATGTAGAGCTTCTCAGGTACTAACAGTATAATATTTAGTGTGAGTGCTGGGTAGTGACAAGTTCTGGAAGAAATTAGTCACACAGTTGCAAGGTCATTATTAGATTTTTGGAAGGAAGGATAACATAAATGTTCAAGTAAAGAATTCCACGTGGAGATGTAGAAACGTTAGTGGAAATATTAGAAATTATACCGTGAAATGGTGTTTGACAGTAGGGTTTTAAAATGGTCAACATGCAGCCAGTAGAGAAACAAAAAAAAAAAAGTTGAAATAAAGATGTGAGACCCAAAAATGGCAAGTGAAGATGACAATTCTTTTTTAATGTAAAAATGTTGTTATATAAAATAGACATTTTAAGTAATTCACTTTGAATGAAGCATCTTAAGAAAAAATGCATATGTTTAGTCTTTTCCACCTCCAAATGTAGGTCAAGAATAAAGTATTTGGTGATGGGAGGGTAGGAGAGATGGGATAACCATTGCATAAAATTTACACATGCAAGAATGTTAATGTGATAAAACTGTTACACAATACCAGTCTCTTGTTGCTTCACCAAACCTTATCCTGACTTTATCCATTTTTATGGCCTCCTCCTCTTTTTCACCCAATCAGATCTCTGGTCAAATGATTGTGAACATGTTATAGGTTTCTCATTAGACTTAATTAGTTTCCCTCAAACTTATGAATACTGCCCAGGCATCTTCTGTATTATTTGGACCCAAAAAGCAGAAAGGGAGCCACATCCCTAATGTCTTTCTGGTTTGTCATTAATATAAACAAAATATTCAGAACTATTATTTTTAGTGGGGGTTCATTCAGATGTTCAAGAACATAGAGATATTTCCATTTTACCTAAAGGAAAAAATATATCTGCTATATAATACTAAAGATAGAACTTAATTGAGCCTATCAGATGATGATGAAGAAACAGTGCAACATTTCAGATGATTTAACTGCATGCTTTGTGCTCAGCCTTTTTCCCTCAGCACCCTGTGGATTTCTTCTACAGCCATTCCCGTCTTTGAAGTCAGTGGGAGCTCTGAGCCTAGAAATGTCACCCAGAGTACAGAAAGGCACAAGGACAAGTCTATTTGACTTTGTGTCCTCACAAGGATCATGGAGTGGTTAAATTAGTAAGCAGGAGGAAAAAAAATTCCTAAACTTAGTCAAATGCAAAACAAGCATTTCTCTTTCTTCTTCTTTTTTTTTTTTTTTGAAGTTCAATGTTGTTTCCTTTACTTTTTTTTACATTATGTGTTTTTACCTTTGCCCTTCCTGTTTCCAACAGTGATTAGAAGTACTGAAAACTCTTCAGAAAGTATGTTCTGTTGATATTTCTAACAGGGACTGGAGCAAAAAGTATGACTTATGAACCTCTGCCCCTTTGATGCGCTATCACTAAAGCTGGGAGTGCAAAATGTGAATGTCTCAAGCTTACATTAGCTCTCAAGGGATTGCCAAGACCAAGCAGTCATTGATGGGATTTCAAAAGATGAATAACCAAGCAGACTCCTTTAGTATGCATTAGCACTAATAATTAGTAGAGATCTTTACCCACGCTTTTCTTAAGGCAGAAACATTTAATGTCTTCCTTTAATCATGTATGATTTTCAACAAGTATCATTTATTAAAATATTTTGAATCCTTAAATAAGAAAGATGTCTTATAAATACTTAGCATATGGCCCATCACTACATGTTAATAAGCTGTTAGTATTTATTAAACATACGATTACTGCCTTATTAAAATAAAAGTTAATGCCAATTGGAGATAGTTAATTTAATGTATTACTACTTTGGCTAGTTAATATCAACCTCTCCCATGCGTTCCAATAGATGAATAAGAAATTTAATTACTGTATATTAAAATTTTCTGGACAGTTTACTTTTATTGCACTATAGGATTTACTTTCTCTTTTAATCTTCTTTGACTTTCCTAAACCTTTATCAATTTACTTGGTAATTTTTCAATCACATAAGCACAGGATATTTTCTTTGGCTATGCAGTCAAGGAAAACACCTGGTGCATAGTGAACTGATAGGTGGATTTTGATGGGGTTCAACTAAATTTATTTTAATTCAATAGATGTTATGAACCTTGTTTACATGCAAGAAACTATGCTAAACATTTTGGGGATAGAGAAAGAGACCTGAAAGGAGCCAATCAACTTTTCTGGTTTGCTCAGACCTCATGGGTACATAGATATAGAAAGTTAGTGTTAAAACAGAAAATTCCAGGCAAACCAGGATGAATTTTTTTTTTACCCTGGAAGCCTATTCTTAGACACTTACCTCAAGGAGAAAAAGACAATACATGAATAAAGAATATATGTCATAACATGAATTTTTACCGAATGGCCCAGGTATACATTACTTCTGGGTAAGCAGTCAGGCAGATACTGCTACAGCTGTTTTGTCAATATTGATAATAATAATCACGATTTTGACTTTATGTTTTAATGCAAAACCATATAAAAATATGATAATTATGATACTCTTCTGAGAATTCTGAAATGCTGAGTAGCTAAAAAAGTTGCACTGCGTTTTCCTTATCTGTAATTTCTTGGTGCAGAAAATTATAAACATTAAGAAAACTTGAGTAACATCTTTACTGCCTAGTGCTTTATGCTGTTTAGAGAATTTCCTTATTTAATTCTTTTAGTGATTCTGCAGGTTATACATGAATTAATTCATTCAACTACAAAACCACAAGAGAGGTCCCATTTTTATTTCCATTTTACATATAGGAATGCTGAGACTTAGGAAAATTATGTAATTTGTCCAAGGTCAAACATGTAAATCACAGCCAGGATTTTAACTTGAGCAGTCTAGCTTTAAAGCCCAAGTTCTTAACCATAATATTCCTGCCTTCCTGAGGCAGTGCTCGAATTGGCATTACCCAATTTAATTAGAAACTCATCATCAATAGGGTTATCTCATCCCTATATCTAGAACTGGCACAGCAAACTAGTTACAGGAGGGAGCTGGCTTTTCTAACTTTTAGTCTGATTATCTTTCTGTTATCCCACAGTATCTCTTTAAAAAAAAACTTTACTTTTTCTCACACCAAACATAATATTAAGCCACATAACAACATATTATTTATCCATTCGCTAGATTATAGACAAAGTAGTGTTGGGTAATAAAAAAGGACTTTTGGAAAATATCACTTTCTTGGCATTGATAATGTGGCAGGGGGGAGGAAGTGTTTGTTTGGATTCATTTTATTTTAGATTTATTTTTTTTGGAAAGCTGTAGTATATAGACATAAGCTTCATCTAAATAAAGAAAAATAAATAAATAAATAAAGGGTTGTCGTGCCAGTTGAAGCAGGTGAGCAAGATTTAGGTCTCCAATTGCTTGATGTCCCTGTTTCTTTTTATTACCCGGAAGGTAGAATGACCTAGAGTTCTGACCAGCATGGCTTAAGAACCATCCCTATAAATTCTAGAGACATAACATCTATGGTTCCATCTCAGTGAAATAATGGAGAAGGAGCTCACAGATCTGACAGGATTTGATTTAGGGATTAAAGCATAGCAGTCTTTCATTAATTCCATATAGGACAGTCATTTTATTATGTGTGGATGGCCAGCAATCAAAGCTATTGAACAGAATCAGGACATATGCATTGAGTAATCATGACAGAGATAAAAGGGTGTGAGATTGTAGACGACTGGCAGGTGACATCATTTCTTATGGATTTCTTGCCAAACAATATTTGCTATAAACAGTAAACCAGAGGGAGAAAGCTTGGTTAGTCCTCGAAATAGGCACAACACACATGAAAGTTGGTTTGCAAAGAGATGTAAATGATGATCACATTTCAAGTCTTTGCTCAACTCTAACGTACTTGACATAGATACTTGTCTTGATCAACTCATAGATACTTGACATACACCTTTGAACTATAAGAAAAAAAGAATTGAAACATTTGATTTTATTATCTTAGAAAATTGTATGGTCCATTCAAACCACTTGGTATAACTACCTGAGAATTCACATAAATGTATAAAAAGACAAAATAATACAAGATATTGTTAAGTGACATGGCATCTTGATGATGTCTGCAGATTTCTGTGAGTTGTCAACAGCAGGTAATAATGTGACACAGATACTTGTATAATAACCACTTTATTTAAATAACAAAGTCCCCATTAAAGACTCTAAATGAGTTCAGCATGTATCATCCAAATCCCAATTTATGTCTCTGGTCATTATCCAATCATAGCTACCAGAGTAGGTAACATCAAGGTTTTTAGGACAGTATAATTATTTTTTACTGGGTTACATTTCTTAACATTAAGAAGACTAAAATTAAGTAGGAAAATATTTAAAATAATTTAATCTGGGATATTTATATTTGGATTTTAGAATATTCTATATATATTTGGTGATTTCAGGATAAATCTTGTAATTCTGTTTTTAATAATGTTGAGCAATCTGATATCAACTTTATGTTGAAGTCTAATAATGTGTGCATATATATAAACATGAGTTAAGAGAATATCAAATTATTCATATCGTATCATATAAATTCATAAAATTCACTTAAGTACATGAGATGATCTATTTTCAATTAGATAATGTAAGTATTTAATAAGAAAATAGAATGAAATCATTCTATTAAGCCAGTTTAAAATGTTAACATGTATATTTAAATGTGTTTGTAAATAAAACAAACATTTATCAAGGACTCTTAAAAGTTATTAACATTTGCAAGACTTAATAATAAAAATTTTAAAAAATGATTGGCTTTAGGACGTTCAATTTTAACAAATTTGATATTGAATAATTAAAGTATTTATGAACAGAAAACCACCATTGAGGTTATCAAAACTCACATTGACATTAGGGAAATGAAATACCTTCTCTATAAATACAAGTGCCTTCTATAGTACTTAGTACTTATGGAACAACTTCAAAAGATGCAGAGATAGCTATACTGAAAATATGAAAATAACAGCTGGGCATGGTGTTGTGCACCTGTAGTCCTAACTACTCAGGAGGCTGAGACACGGGATCACTTCAACCCAAGGGTTCAAGGTTACAGTGAACTATAATCTTGCCACTGTACTCCAGCCTGAGTGACAGAGAAAGACACAGTCTCTAACAATAATAAAAAATTAAATATAAATAGGAATATTTTAAAATATAAAGCTATTCTGCGATTTAAGTCTCCATGAAAACTAAGTAAAGGTTGTGTATTTAGAGATTTCATGTGACTCTATGCATGATAATTTTTCAAGCATCTTCTTCTTTGAACAACTAGGAGATGGAATTATGAGGGGAGTCAGGGTGAATACAGTTGCTTGGAAGACGTTTCCATGGCTTAATGGACTACTTCACACACTGCATAACAAACGCCCTTGTCTGTTTTTCACAATTCTCATGCCACCTCTAAAAACAAAGTGATTGAGATATTTCACACTGTAATTAACAAGTGGATGATGATTCCAGCCTTAATTTCATTTGATTGAACAGTTATGGTGCTCATGATTGAAAGTAAGTGTGGGCCATATAGTTAACACTAGATTAGCATTTTGTCCCACTTGAGGAGTGAAGTGGGAGGGAGGGACTAGTGTCTGGCTGCTTATATTACAATCATCTGTTATTCCTCAAGACTGCCAGGAGAGTAGCAGTTCTAGGATACTGTGAATGATTGAATAATCATCTATCATTCTTAGAAAGATTCATAAAGGAGATGTTTGGGGCTGATTTTATTAAGCAGCCATGTACACTACATGGCCTAATAGTATAATTTGACAACCAAATTTGAAAGTCATTTTGTTTCCTGAATAGTGTGGACCTCTCTGGAGGCAAGCAAATCCTACACATTCGTAGCTACCACAGAGGCAAAAGTACTCATTTGTGAGAACTACATCAAGGCAACCATTGGGGGTTTTCTTGAAAATGAAACATTTGCAGCCAGTTGACATTGCAGAAGGTTGGGTTGAGCAAACTGTATCAAGAGAGAAGTGTTTGCTGACAGTTTGACAAAAGGACATGTTGCTTTTGCTTTACCAGAGGAGAGGTTAGGCGTTACAGCACCACTCCCAATGAGACCTTGGGGTATTGCATAGCTATCCATTCACAGCTTTCACAGTGATGAATGAGGTCTTAGCAGATGCCTTGCAGAGAGGGTTAGAGAGGAATAGATTCCTCATATGTCGGCCCTTTTCCCCTCAGATTGGGTGAGGCAGATGATTAGAGAAAGTAGAGTCTGGGTAGTTTAATAAAACCCATCTGCTTTAGCTTTTAATAGAACAGCCTTGCAGAAGGTCTTGAAAAGTAAAAGCAATTTAATTGTAAGAAATCATATATATATGATACATATATGACATATATGTATCATATATATGACACACACATACACATGCATAGCAAAATATGTATTTATATTTTCCAAGGATAAAGCTTTCATTGCCTTTTTGCCTGCAGTCCCAGTTGAATGGATATAGAGTTTTTCCTACATCCAACATGGGCTCCTGACTACATAGTTATGACATCAATAGATGGTTGTGTTGATTAAACGTAGAGGAAGCAGAAACAATGAAGATCCAAATCACTTTAAGTTGCTAAACAGCATGGGGAATTTTATAGCAAAATGTAATTTACTGTAAATATCTGATGTACTGAATGTATAAGGTACCAAAATCCTAATGAATTCTTCCTTTCTCACAATGCCTCCAGTACCAGCTCTCATGGAAGATCTCACTGAGGCACCTGAAAATCTAAACAAAAAAAGGGAGAAGTCATTACTTCAACCTATTCACTTCAAAATTTTGGATGATATTTGAAAAAGATTTTATTCTATAGATACTTATTTGGAGACTTTTACTGCATCTGCTATATTTTTTGTTTGAATGATGGTTATATCAAAATTAAGTTAAAAATATTTCTAAATGTGTTGAGCATTTTGTATATTAACAACATAGGTAAATAGTGATATATCATCCACGTATGTATGTATATATCTGCTCAGGAAAGAATAAAACTTGCAGAGAAACACTGGTAAAATTAAGTGAAAACATTAATTTTGTTGAATACTTTCATACTGGAACTTTAGAGTGCTCAATACTTGATGACATTCCTTAAATAGTTAACAACAGAGCACATGGCTTCCAGACAACCAAAACTTATAAAGAGAGTGAGGAAGGGCTGGTATATTGTAAATAAATTGAAATTTGGGGGACTAGCTTCTAAAACAATTCTCATTTTATTAAATTTATTTTTATTGAATATATTCTTTATGTAATAAAACATTTTATGAAAAATATCTAGTTCTATAAAAATCAGAGCAAACATTTTTAAATATTTATGAAGAATAACTATTAGCCTAGCCTAGTAGTTATTTAATTTATAGCAAAATAATTATTTTAAACTATTTAAACAGGATGCTTATTCTTCTTCATAAAGAAACACCTCTTAGCTTCAGTTTTTTAATATCAACTATCATGGACTTTAATGAATATGACATAGCTTGTTTAAAAAGAAAATAAACTGAGAACTCCCATGATTATAAAAACTTTAGGAGCCTTAGTTTATAACCATAGCTCTCAAACTTTAGAATGTACCTGAATCACCTGAAGGGCTTTGTAAAGCAGACTGCTGGGTTCTGTCCCCAGAGTTTCTGATATGACTTTTTAAGAAGTTTCCATGTGATGCTGATAACTGCGGTCTGGGGATACCTATGAGAACCACAGGTTTATACTATCAACTTACTCCTCCAGTGAAAATCCATGGCCGCTGGCGAAAACAGAAATGTGAAATGATGAGGTAAGTCAATCATAAAAAAAGGAGAATGTGCTTTCTTCTCTTTGAAGAAATGGTGGTGTGGGTTTTTTTGTTTATTTTTTTGTTTATTTTTTTTGCTTCTTCTTCTTCAGACTTGTCCAGAAAACCAAAGAGGAACCAGAAAATTGAAGGAGGAAACAAGAATAGGCAACTTAACTCTGTTACAGCAATTTGAACTTGGCCGCAAAAGAATTTTCTAAATCTTCCTCAGCCTTCTGAAGTCTTGAGGCATCCTTTTATCCCTTTTCTGTAGCTTCCTGAGGTGCTACCTTATGGTATTTTATATTGTTGTTTTATCCTTTATAGTTTTGTGTATTTTTTATACCATTACTCCATAACAGAATAAGCTTTATTATCACAATAAGCATTATTGTAGTGATGTAACTTTTTGCAAAATCCCTTTCTTTCTTTATGGAAACATTATTTGTCTAGAGTTATTAAGATATCCCCAGCTCTCTAAGCTGTTTATATTTCAAATTTATATAGACCTTAAGGATTGTGGCTTTTCTTGTTCAATCATATCTGGAATCTCCAGGAACTGCCCACAATTGCTTTGACTCTGTGGGCTTAGCCATTCTTGCAGCTTTATGACCTAGAACACCAACAATAGGCATCATGTGTGGGTAACAAGAACATGCTTTCACACCTGGTCCACAAACCAATTTAAATGTGTTTCTTTAAGTGAGAGCAAGAACTGCCTGTTTTTTTTGCTCTCTAACTGCACCTGAACTCAGGCTCCCTCATGACAATAGAGTAATTTTCTGGAACCCTGCATTCCCTAATTCAGTTCTTACAATAATATTAACAATCATGAGGAAAGTAAACACAAGAAAACAGGAATCCTCATCAATGTCATGGCATCATTTTTATATAATCATTTCATTTAAAAAATCATATCTTTTCCATGTTCTTGTTGGCAGCATCTTGATTTACAAATGCTAGCTAGTGGCTAATGTGTAGCCTTGGAAATGTCTCTCAACTTCTTAGGAACTTAGTTTCCTTCAATGGATGAATCTAAATACACTCTCAAATGTTTTCAGCTTTCAATTGGAGCAGCTCTTAAATGGGAAGAGTCTGATGCCAAGTAAAAGCAGTTGTTGCAATCACAGAGTTCAACAACTCATTTGGTTTGAGGTCAAAGCTCTTTTGTCCTCCTTTAGCACTGAGCATAAGCACACTAGATACAAATCGCAATACAGAAGCAATGCATAGAAAGAAAAAGTCTCAACCTAAAAAGAAGTTCACTTACTTTTACTTTATACAGTATCTCACTGGCTGCTTTTAAAATATTTCCTAAGCCAGTTTGAGGACATCTTGAAAGATGCTAAGCTCATCCTGGCCTTTGCACATTTTGCTCCTGACAAGAAAACAAAATGATGTTTTTGTTTTTGCATCAGAAAATTTATTTTCAGCAAGAATGTCCTCAAACTTCCTCCCAAATACACTTTCTTAAAATGCTGGCAAATGGTCATTTCAAATATACGTGTTACATTGTGGTAGCTGTCTGTCTGTTTTCCCCTTGCTGTCTCTTGTTTTGGTCTTTTGATACGAGTAGACACTCAGCAGCCACAGTCACTTAATGGAAGTGAACGGCATTTTGAGAGACCCAAAATTTTCATCATTGAATCTATTTAGGGAGGCTGCACAGAGCCATTCTTCGTCTAATCTCCTACTGATTTTCAATGCAAATACTGCCAGCCTTGCTCATGGCCACAGGATTTAGTTATGCACTTGACTGAAAACCATGTCAATGCAAATTCAGAGGATAAACCAGCATGCAAATCCCCAAGGCTTCAGCAAGTTACAATTCAGCCACAGTATTAGCAAAACAAGATAGCAATTATGCAAGGAATCAGCTGAAAGGTTATTTTTAATTTAAAGTTTTTGCATCTTTACAGCGAGAAAAATGAAACCCTGCCTATTCTTTCTTGTAAAACCCACCGGTAGAAACCAAAAGACATATGGTACATTATCACACCCATGTTCTAGTATGAGTCACACACACACGCACACACACACATATGTACACTCACACAAACTGCTTCAAGAAGGCAAGAGAGACTTCTGATGAGGTTAAATTGTTATATTTTCTTCCAGTGTTTAATTACTGATATTTCAGAGACCAACATATAATTAGCATCCATTAAAATCTTCATATTTGAAAGTATCAGCCCTGAGCAATTTGCCCTCATTTCTAAACTCTTATCTCTGGTCTCACCATTCCTCTTTCATCTTACTTCTGGGTGCTGTTGCTGAGGTATATTTTGCTAAGATGGGTAAAGGAAGTTGCTGGGGTATCTTTTGCTAAGATGGGTAAAGGAAGCCTTTCATCACAGTTCAAGGATCTACACTGTGCTCAGAAAATTCCAATTTGAATTTATGACTGCTGGAGCTATTTCATTTATTTAAAGTCTAGAAATATTAAAGCCATTCTATAATGTACTATCTCTAAAAAGGCATCAACCATCTCTGTTCATGATAACCTGCATTTCTCCTGAGTCAGGGGCAGACAATGCATGTTTCTTTTGCGGTATTTTCAGGAGTCCAGAAAAGCAGGCACAATTTTGAAAAGATGACAGAGGAACTGTGTGGTCAAATTTAAGAATGACTGTAGTTGACTAAAGCAAATAGCACACTTGAGAACTCAGGGCAAACCTGAGTCTCAGGGTCAGGGTTAGAATCCAGGGTTTCCTTCTAACCTGTTGGGTAAACTGGACAAGTTACTTAGCTTCCCAGCTTTCCTGTATTGTCTCATAAATGTCAACCCCTTCCTTCTCAAAGTGTGACCTGTGGTCCAGCAGCATCGACATCACTCAGGAGCTTGTTAGAGAATTGTAGAATCTTACCCCAGCCCACCCCAAACCACTGAATCAAAACTTGCCTTTTAGTAAGGTCTTCAGGCGATTTGTATGACTGTTAAAATTTGACAATCACTGGTATGTAATGCAATAGGTCTTCTGTAAGTGGTAATTTCATTCATTTATTGAGTGTCTACTATTTCCAGGATTCCCAGTGGACATAATAGAAAATAGACACTAACATTGACCTTTGTTCTCATGGTAGGAGAAACAGACTTGAATCTCACAAATTAAAGTCTATTTGAAGATTGACAAGAGTGCCCTGAAAATCTTGAATGAGGCCTTATGATCACAAGAAAATTGACCTGGTCAGGGGTGTCAAAGAAGCTGTGTTATTAAAGTGTGTCCAGAGCTGTGTTCAGAAAGACATTTGTCATTTCTCCTTACCCGGAACATTTCAGTTTTAACAACTTAAGTATTAACCAATCTTATACTTCTGAATATATGTTAATTTCTCTTAGGATTATACATTCTTTTTCTCTTATTTGACATCCAGTCCTGGACTTCCAAACAACTATGTGTCTGCATTAACTCAGCAGACATAAATCCCTCACTTTCTTCCTCGGTGGGGGTTCTCTCCAAAAGGGTATTTAGCCTGGTAGGGGACATGTATCTTTCTACTAGCTAAGACAACAACTGGAGCATCTGCTGCTACTCATGGGATCTTGAAAGGTCAAGCTCCCTCTCTGGACACGTTATATTATAATAATTACTTTCCCTTGGTTTCTCTCCCTTTAAGTACTATTCTCAGACTCCACCAAGTCCTGACCTGCCCACCCAAGCCTGCTGGTTCCTGAGTTACCATATTAAGAGTAATAGAACTGCCACAGTAAATAGTAACAAATCGAGACCCAGAGTGACCAGACTTCCAGAATCAAAAATAGAAAAGAAGTCCCAAACCCAATTCTATCCACCAGCTGCTGATACTTTGGTGCGGAAGTAGTCAGTATTAGAACAAGGACAAGTACTTACGAATTCTAATTACCATGCCATAGAATATGCATTCTAGAAATATTTTATTAACTCATATTTATAAAAATCCTTTTTCACTGATGCTTATTCATCTTGTTCAGCAAAGTTACTTTTAAATATACATCTGACTGTATTACTGTCCCCTGATTAAAGTGTGTTGATGATTCCCCAGAAAGTCACTTTCATGAAGTTCAATCTCCTATACGTCCCTTCATTTCCTATGACCTTTTCACCTGGTACTCTACACTCCTACCATCTCAAAGACAAAGATTTTCAAATATGCCTTCCTCTCTCAGGCAACTAAGCTTTTTGTCATTTTCATTATTTGATTGGAAATCTCCTTATTATTTCATTCTCCTGAAGAGTCTCCTTTTTCATTCTGTAGCTACTCATATTTCCTTGATGAGGCCTGCCCTGACTCCCTGTGTAGAACGAAGCAATTCAAAATTCCCCCAAAATGACTTCCATTATCTATTTTGCTGCATCGTATTTTTATTACACAGATATTTCTGGGATTCTGCATCCATTTTCGTATGATATTGTGATGTCAAGAGAAGAGACCCTTCCTTTTGAATTGTATATTCCCAGAGTCTAATACAGTATCTGAAGCAGAGCATACCCTCAGGGAAAATGTGTTTAGAACAAAGTCAAGCAGAAAATGAATGAATGCATGCACAGGGGTCATAGGCTATTTCCATCCATAATTGAAAGCAGAACAAAATTAAAAGCCATATCCTTGCACATTGCTTGTTTTGAAATCAATGCTGAAATATTTGTAAAATCAACAAAGAGAATATGCAGAGGGATACATAAGGCCAGCTCTACCTCTTCTTTCCTGAGTACTGAAATTGTACCATTTGCTTACAATAACCCCCTAAGTGTACATAGACAATTTTCAAGCATTTCAAATCAAATGTGAGGTCAGGAAAATATTTTTTTTATTAGTAGGACAACTTTCATGTTTCTCAAAGCAATTTATAAATATTATCTCATCAAATCTAGGGCAGACAGGCTGAAAATATTACGCTTATGCTCCAGATGACAGAGGCCAAGAGAAGGGCATATGTGAGCATGTGTATGTAAATGTGTGAGTGTGTGTGTGTGTGTTGGGTAAAAATCAGCCTCACTATGCTAGAGTCTGCTCAATCTGTCCCTCTCAGCTCATTGCTGGTCAATGAAGATCACCACAGACAAGATGATCGGACTAGAATGTGGATCAATTATTTAAACTACTCTTCTACTAGCTTTTCACATACTGTGTTCATTCTGTGCCATGCTAGAGACTAGTCAACAGTGAAATTTCTGTCTTCCTTTAAATCTTTGTGTCAGTCTCTCTCTTGTTCAATAATGGCTTTCCACAGTACTTCCTGCCTCCAGATTGGGGAAAAACTAAAATGTATAAGGCATGCACTGTGCTCTCAGAGAATTCACCATTTGATAGGCTGCCAAAACTTGTTTTGTTTAAGTCATTGTTCCTTTATGAATGACAATAAATACACAGTCTAAAATGCACAGGGAAAATACAAGTCAAGACAGTCTGTACTATTTGAGAAAGCACCTACTCTATGTTCTTAAACCCTTCAGTAGCAGGACTGCATCTTGGTTTTTCCAATCTAATTTCATGCTACCCTCCAAGGAACTCCAATTATGCTGTTGGTCTCATTTACTGTCACAGTTTTCATTTCTGTATTAACTCATTTTCTTTCTTCTACTTAAACTACCTGCACTTTCTGCCTTCTCCATATACTCAAGTTCTACCCATGTCTTAAGATCCATATTTACCTCCCCCCAGTAGAAATCTGGTTTCCTGGTTATTCTGTTCTATTCCTGAAGATTTAGTAAATATTATAAAAGTAAGCATAGAAGTACACATTGATTATATTGTACTCTATTTGTTCCAGGTATGACCATCTTGTTTCCCCAAGGATGACCTATGTTTTGACTTTTACAAATACCATATCTTAAATTAATTTGTATTCTCCAAAGACTGAACAATAACAAATACCATATCTTAAATTAATTTGTATTCTCCAAAGACTGAACAATAACAGGGATTCAATAAAAATCCCTTGCTTCAGAGTTGGGATTAAAGTCTTCAATCATTTATTTTTCTTTTGCTTATACCAAACACTCACAGCTCCTTGTCTCTCTTTATGCATTTCTCTATGCCTGGAGTTCAATTTTCCCACTCTTAAACTTGGAAACTCTTAGCCCTCCTTTAAGACCCAGGGCACAGAAGAAATTCTTGGTCATTTCCAGAATTGATCTGTTTTACTCTCATGCTTCTGTGATACTTTACACAGTGCTCTATTTTAACAGTAATTACATTTCCTTATTTTAAGGGTTATAAAATTGTCAAACTCAATACCATTTGTGGTACACTGAAAAATATCACCAAAACATATCCATCTCCTAAGCGAAGTGGGGAAGGGAGTAGGTCATTGAGGATTTGATTACGGATCTTGAGATGAGAGTATTATCCATGTGAGTTCTAAATGCAATCACATGTATTGCTATAAAAGAGAGGCAGAGGGAGATTTGATACAGACACAGAGAAAAAGGTGACATATAGATAGAGCAAAGATTTGAAAATACTATCTCCTTTGAAGATTGGAGTGATGAAGCTACAAGCCATGGAATGGCAGCAACCACCAGAAACTGAAAGAGGAAGGAAAGGATTCTTTTCGAAGTGTCCAGAGAGAATATTTCAGCCCAGTGATACTAACTTCAGATTTCTGGTCTCCAGAACTAGGAGAGAATAAGTTTCTGTTGTTGAAAGTCCCATAATTTGTGGTATTGTGTTACAGTGGCCATAGAAAATGAACTCACCATGTCTCAATTTAATCAATTTATTTATTTATTCATTCATTTATTTGAGACAGAGTCTTACTGTGTTGCCCAGGATGGAGTGCAGTGGTGCAATCACAGCTCAGAGCAGCCTGGAAATCTTCGGTTCAAGTGAACCTCCCACCTCAGCCTCCCAAGTAGCTAGGACTACAGGTGTGCACCACCATGCTTGGCTGAGTCTATTTTGTATTGTTTGCTCTATGTCCTGTCATTAGCATTATACCTTCCATATAGCAATACATGTAAGAAATGCTTTCTGAGCCCCTGCTATGTGTAAGGTGTTATGCTAGCTGCTTGGTGATTTCATTGAAATAAGCATTTTAAAGGCTACTTTTGATATGATGAGTTTTTATTGCATATATGTATGAACTTAAGTTTTTCCTGAAAGTTCAGATTTGAATAACCAACTGCCTATTTGACCTCTCTACTTGTATTTTAAAACAGTGCCTCAAACTTAAATAATCGAAACATTACTCTTGATACATTCTCTGCAGTTGTATTATCTGGAGACCACACTTTTGCTTCTCTCCAGGTTACTCTATTATTAACCAAATGTACAAGTCAAAAATCTTTCTTTCCTCTCCCTCCATATCCCACAGACCTCAACAAATCTGGTTCCTCTCTCAGAATCACATCTCATATACATTCACTTCTCTCCATCATCACTGCTATTACTTATTTTCACACTCTTAAGAACTAATCAGTTTCCTTGATCTCACTCTTATCTCTACTCTCTATAAGTTCTTCTGCATTTCTTTTCTACAGTGTTCTTTTAAAACCATGAACTAGAGCCAGGAATGATAGCATGCACCTGTAGACCCAGTTACTCAGGAGGCTGAGGTGAGAAGATTGCTTTAGCCCAGGAGTTTAAGGTTACAGTGAGCTATAATCATGCCACTAAACTCAAACTTGAGCAACATAGAGACTTTGGCTCTTAAATTTAAAAAAATAATTTTTTAAAAAAGGAATCCAGTAGGCTTTCTATGTAAAAATATGTCAGTGCCTTACTACTGCATTTCAAATAAAACCCCAAATTCTTACTTCGTCTCATGAAGCCTGTATGTCAGATTTCATTCCCTATCACTTTCTGTTATATTGATTATGCTCCAATATTGTGGCTCTATTTTAGATTTTAATTAGTCAAACTCACTTTTACCTACAAGCCTTTACAATGGGCTTTGAAGTCTCTGAATAAAATGTCATTTCCTCATGTCAATTTCATAACTTATTATTATCTTTTAAATTGGAATCGTAAGTTACTCAGTCCCTTCCTACTATAGCCAATTATAATTCCTTGTGCAATAATCTGCACATTTGTTTGTGTATTTTTTATTGCATCTCACTAATATGTAGGTTTCATGAGAGCAAAAAGACCCTATCTGTCTTATTTATCTCTATCTCCAGGGTCTAAGTCAGTGTTTGCTACATAATGGTTTCTCAATAAACAGCTGTTGAAAGAATGAAATGCAAAAATAAATGAGCTAGTCAATCAACAGCACCCAATCAATGAATGATCTTCAAATTCTAATATAAAAAGTGTTCCCAGGTCACCAGCCTGCCTTATAACAGGGACACACAATAAGATATTAATATAGCATTTGTCTTCCTCAGTTCACAACAGAACCGTGAAAACAATTGCACAAAAAAAGGAGGACCTCTGTATTTCAGGAAGTACCGTCTGCTCATTTCTGCATGTCTCCAAGTTCTATTTACATAGGTGTCTACTTATATCATTTCTTTGTGTCTGGTTTATTCTCCAATGCTCGAATATTTCTCACATTGCTGATTACAGCCCTCCTGCCAATAGTACTACCTGTAGAACACTCTCAAACTTCATCTGTCTTGGACACTCTGTGTTTTATCTGATTGTTTTCTCAACTCCTGGTGGCACCACCACTGCAGTGTCCCTGAGCTTATTATCCTTTTGAACACATGACTCTAACATAAGCCAAACAATTGTATGCCCCCTTTCAACTCTCTCTCCTGCTGCAAGAAGTCCCTATCTCCAGCTTGTACTGCAGGTCCCTGTCTGCCATTCTGAGGATGTCTTGCCTTCCCACTCTGACTACTCACAAAGAGATCAACGCCAGTACCATTCTCATGTTTGCTTCCCCTTCTTTGCTCTTCTTCCTCTTTCTCTTTCCACTGAAGTTGCTTTAGGTGGAAATTTGAGGATTTGTAGACTTGGCCTAATGCTTGTTTAATTATTTAATTAAAAGTTATTTTACTTTTTACAAAAATTTATTATCTGTACAGTTCTTTATTCCCATTTTATTCCACTTAGTACACCCAAATTATTTAAATCTAAATAAATTATATAGAATAACACAAATAATAGATACTCAATAAATAGAAGATATTATCTTCATCATCATCATCATCATCATTATTAAACAAAATTAAAAAAGCAAAACCTAATTTTTATTCTAACTTTAGGAAGTCTTTTGATGAATTCTGCAAAAATACAGTGAGTTATCAACGTTTAAAAATCTTTTTACTTTTTCTTCAAGTCTGAAGTCTATAATGCACCACAGCAAGTTGAAAATAGAATATTCTGTCAGCCAAAAAATTATTCCTGTACATGATGTCAGACATCCGATTAAATTCAATAATTTGATCAATATACCTTTTGAAGTTATGCATACATAGTTTCCTGTGCCGTTTAAGCTTGTAGTTTTTGCTTACAGAAAAAAAGTAAAGAAAGCAGTACCAGCATATGATAGCAATTTTCCTTTGATCATGTCAAAAGTAAGATGTGTATGAAAGATGTGTTCAGGAGTAGTTGATACAGTAAATTCTCTTGCTTTAATTTGTGAATATAGTCTATATTTTATGTTCTCAATATTTGTAACACTGAAATACATTAACTTCCTCAACAAAATGTTGACAAAGAGCATCCCAAAATAGCATGCAGTATCAATAGTTACACTGATTACTTTTGATTAACATAGAAATTTTCATAACATATATTTGGATAAATTATTTGATTCAGTTCTACGCCTTGAAATCTCCAAATTCCAAATAGGAGGGGAATCACCTTTCAGGTTTGTAAAGATTAGTCTTAGATAAACTATATTAAATAATTATGGATAATGCACATTTATTTGACAATAAAGACAAAATAAATCCGCAGGAGGTAAATAAGTATTTAGCAACAGCAATTATCAGGAACCCCAAAATATACTAAGTTGCAAATCACAATAGAAGGAATTGCCATAATAATTGACTATTAGATACATTTCCAAATAATTTCTTAACTATTCATTTTAGGAATCAACAATCAGCCATTAAGTTAGTATTTAAAGGCTAAAGTTACTCTTCCTCTTATATCCATTTCGTGGAGGGAATCTTAGTTTTTGGACTTTGCCAACTCGGTTGCAGGTACTTTCTTTTCTAGCATAGCACGAGGATTTTCCACTAATCCTTTGGGGCATAATGCTGCCAGTCACTCAGAACCAAAACTGTGACTTATTATGTCCAGTCTGCTCTTTTATTTATTTATTTATTTTCTCTTTTTTGAGACACAGTCTCACTCTGTTGTCCAGGCTGGAGTGCAATGGCATGATCTTGGCTCACTGCAACCTCCGTTTCCCAGGTTCAAGCAATCCTCCTGCCTCAGCCACCCTAGTAACCAGGATTACAGGCGCGTGCCACCATGCCTGGCTAATTTCTGTATTTTTAGTAGAGATGGGGTTTTGCCATGTTGGCCAGGCTGGTCTTGAACTCCTGACCTTAGGTGATCCACCCACCTTGGCCTCCCAAAGTGCTGGGATTACAGGCGTGAGCCACTGCATCAGGCAGCTAGCTATTTATTATCTTTAAAATTAGTATGGGCAAGCTGATCATCTGACTTGCTCGGGTGACCAGCCACCTAAGTCTGCTCTTATGTCCCCAAAGTCCTCCAGTGTCTTCCATAATCCTATACATCGAAGAAAGAAAGAACCTGCAATTTTGACAACTGTGTTATTTTATTAAACCAAACATACTTTGTTTTTTAAGGATGAGGAATAAAAATAGTTCACATTGGTTTTAAAGGTGAATCAGCCAGCTTACCTGCAAAATGTAGGTGTCCCCTCTGCGTTGTTCCAGCTGTGGATTCCCTGGAGTGTTCATCTTTACCCCAACCACTGCAACAGAGCCTGTCACACTGCTGGTTGTACAGGGTATCTCTTTAGCCTCACAGGCATCCTGGATCAGAAGGCATTGCAGGGAGGGTTTTGCAGAAAAGCAAGGTGTGAAACTGGGGGATTAGCTGACATGTTGCCTGCAGGAACAGGTGTGCAGTCCCCACTTGCAGGAAGACTAAATGGTCCATGGCAAGAGCAAATGAAGTGTCATTTTCAAGAAAACCAGACAGAGAGCTGGCAAGTACTCTGGGCTGAGTAATATCGAATAACACCACCTCCTTTTCCTTATAGTGGTTCTTCCATCAGCCTGATTCCAGAGACTGCCCAGGAATTAGCACCTCTGGACAATTCCTCTAGTTCAGAATCCTCTACTCTTCTCTTTCTTTTCCAATTTCATTCAGTTTCCTTCTCATATTTTCTCTTTTCTGCTCTACTGAACTATTATTATTATTATTAGTAGTAGTAGTAGTAACCCTATTACAACTCACGTGAATGGTTATGAAGAGGAGGCTGTTATCTCATAATAAAACACACATAACGTAGCAACAAAACAAAGCAAAACTACACAGAGCCAAGAGAAACATAAAATCACTGTTTCCCTTTACACAAGGAAAAGGAGGCTGAGAATCAGACTTTGGAAATAATTTAGTCTGATATCTCCATCCAAGAGGATAGAGAAGGTGATTACATTTTTTCCTGCGAAATGTTGCCACAAGCACAAAAAAGTGACTCTTAATATAGCAAAAAAGAAAGCAAGCAAACAAAAACAAGTGACTTTCTTAAATAATCAAACAAAAAATTGAGGTTTTACATTATGCTGTACCTTTCCAGTCAACCAGTACGCTTGAGTATGTTTTAAAAAATCATTCATATAAAGTATTAAATCAAATTTTAGGTTTCCACAGCAATGATATTCATGAGGCTACTGGTCTCATCATCCAAATGTATTTTAATTCTCTAAATCCCATAGACAATTCCAAGCTTTCCCTCCTGTTTGTCTGATTAACTTGTCATCCAAATAGTTTTTATTTAATTATTTTCAGTTTCTTGGCACTGATAACAATTTAAATGTATTTGTTTCACAAAAAATGCACACAAACATTGACTTGAAAGTCCTAAAATGCATTAATTTCATTATCAAATGCTAAAGCTAAATATAAAAGCTATATAAGCAAAATAATAAAATGTGATCATAAGATCTACAAATATCGAGCTCTACTTTCTACTGCCATGACAATGTTTTCTCATTTCTATTTACATAATCTCCAAAAACACAGCCTTTAGATTTTGAACTGTTTGCTTTAGTATTTTATTTGTAATGAAACTTCTAATGAAATAAAATGATAAATAATAGATAATTAAAAGAAACAGATTCTGGGGAAGTGATGTCTTAGAAGTAAAGCATATGGTTCTTTGCAAGACAGTAAAGAACTTCTCTATGAAATAAGAGCATTGGACTAGATGATTTCTGGGTTTTCTTCCAGCTCTGGGGACTTATGATGTTCGTTATGTATATTGCCCTTCTTTTTTTTTTTTTTTTTTTTTTTCATTTGGTGGCTAGCAGCACCATTCTTTAGTGCGGTGTGCTCTATTTTCACCACTCAACTAACACATCTATAAAGGATACCCTGTCTGCATTACCACAACTTAATGAGTTTCTGTGAAAATATAGCATGCAGAAGCACACTGTGGACTACAAACACTGCAAATGCAAGATGGTGGTTCTACTGTCCAAGACACAAACTGCCTCAAGGAAGTGTAACTTAGGGGTTGAAATGTGTGGCCTCAAGTGCCTAACTCAGTTTAAATCTTTATTTTCTCAAAACCACTGAGTCTCAGTATGTAACTTGGAAAAGAAGGATGCAGGTACCAACCTTATGAGATCACTGGGAGAACGGAATGAAACAATGTATGCACAGCTCACATTACACGGCCTTGAGTGTGATAAGTGTTTAATAAATGCTGGTGACTATTCTGTGTACACTCCTGGCATGCATCTGGGCAGTGATCATAAAATAAATAATTAAGAAAATAAAACAGAGAAAAATACCAAAGTTTACTAATTTCTAAGTGTGGCCTTTTCCCAGGGATTGTTCTAACAAAAAAGGAGGCAGAACTAAGTAAAATTAAAGCTCTTTGAATTGAGGGAATTTAAAATTTCCAACAGAGAAGACAAATGGGCATAACTTTGAGTCTCAGTGTCACAAACAAGTGATTTTTCCATCCACCTTTTCCAGCTTTCTGAGTTTTTTAATATGAATGCCTTTTCCCAGAGTGTACTGGAGCTGGCTTGTGGTGGAGCTGGCACACACCAGCTTGCCAACTGTTAAATTTTCAGGAGTATTATGAGCTGGTTGATAGACTTTTGGTAGCTTGTAATCTATCAGGGTGGGAATATTTACTACAATCAAGGAAACAACCAATAACACAAATTATGAGTATTTTTTAGTCCTGGAGTTCTTGTTAAACATATACCAGCATACCTTTTCAAAAGAACCTGTTGACCATGAAAAGATAGCGCAAATATTGCTCTGGAAAAAGGGAAATCATGTGTTTTCAACAGACATGATATGAATGCTTATGGTGGTCCAGGCACTGTACTGGATTCTAAATTAGCTCTTGATCAGATTAAACTACTGATGCAGGATTTTTCTTGGCCACTTTACCAGGCTCAAAGCAGGGGATACCACATCTACTCAGCTTGTGTCTGGCTTGCACTCTGGCGCATGGCTTCCATGGCTAATGCAACTGTGTGCTTAGCCCCTGGTGGAAGGGAGCATGAGAGCAAGCAAGTGCAGGCTCCGGCCACCCACTCCAACCACAAACAGAGGAGTAGGTTCCTTGTGGGGCCCATTGCCAGACCAGACATATTGTCCCAAGGAGAATGCGGCAGCACCCAGGCAGGGGTGCCTGTGACCTGAAGCCCCAGAGTGGGTGTTACACTGTGCTAATTAGCTCTTTTAGTTCCGCTATCCACAGCCGGTTGGATGGTTGCATGTTAACAGCTCAATGAGCCCCTTACTCCACTCTGGCCCTGTTAGAACAGAGGACCAAGGTTACAGCCTTTCTTGGTATTCACATTCGGTGGGTCCCAAACTCCTGTCCCATGTCCAAGAAAAATGAGGTCACACTGACAATTGAAGGGTAATGAAGGTGGGGAATTGTATTGAGTGATGAAACAGTTCTCAGCAGAGAAGGCACAGGAACATCAGGTTGTCTCTCCCCCAAAGTCAGTTCGTCTCCCTGCAGTGTGGCTGAATCTGGGGTTTTTATAGGCACAGGATGGGGGAGTGCATGCTGATTGGTTTGTGAGTATGAAAAAAAGGTTAAAACAAAGGCACCAGTCAAAGGTGGGCATGGCAGTGTAAAAACAATTTTAGGGAAGAGTAGGTGTATTAGTCCATTGTCACACTGCTGATAAAGAGATACCTGAGGCTTGGTAATTTATAAAGAAAAGGAGGTTTAATGGGGTCACAGTTCCATGTGGCTGGGGAGGCCTCACAATCATGGCAGAAGGTAAAAGATACTTCTTACATGGTGGCAGGCAAGAGACAATGAGAGCCAAGCAAAGGGGGAAACCCCTCATAAAACCATAAGTTCTCGTGAGACTTATTGACTACCATGAGAACAGTATGGGGAAACCACACTCATGATTCAGTTATCTCCCACTGGGTCCTTCCCACAACACATGGGAACTATGGGAGCTACAGTTCAAGATGAGATTTGTGTGGGAACATAGAGCCAAACCATATCATTCCACCACTGGCCCCTCCCAAATCTCATGTCCACACATTTCAAAAACAATCATGCCTTCCCAACAGTCACCCAAAGTCTAAACTTATTTCAGCATTAACTCAAAAGTCCACAGTTCAAAGTCATTGCTCATTATCATTATCAGCATTTTTGTCAAAGCCATTCGAGTCTCTAGGAAGTTCCAAAATCTCCCACATCCTCCTGTCTTCTGAACCCTCCAAGTCTCTAGGAAGTTTCAAACTTTGCCACATTTTCCTATCTTCTTCTGAGCCCTCCAAACTGTTCCAACCTCTGCTTGTTACCCAGTTCCAAAGTCACTTCCACATTTTTGGGTATCTTTACAACAGCATCCCACTCTACCATACCAATTTACTGTATTAGTTCATTCTCATGCTGCTGATAAAAACATATCCAAGACTGGGTAATTTATAAAGAAAAAGAGGTTTAATGGACTCACAGTTCCATGTGGCTGGAAAGGCCTCACAATCATCGTGGAAGGTGAAAGGCACATCTTACATGGCAGCAGGCAAGAGAGAATGAGAGACAAGTGACAGGTACAACCCCTCATCAACCTGTCAGATCTCATGAGACTTATTCGCTACCATGAGAACAGTATGGGGGAAACTGCCCCCATGATTCTATTTTCTCCCCCAGGGTCTCTCTCACAACATGGGGGAATTATGGGAGCTACCATTCAAGATGATATTTGGGTGGGGGCAGAGCCAAACCATATCAGTAGGTATATGTAAAATAGGTGAAGGTGGGGAATCAATCAAAGGAAAACACACCAAACAGGAAGACAGGTTCTCAATCCAGTTCGTGGATTTGATTTGTAGGTTGGCCTTTGGGCTATAAACTGTCTTTGGTATGAAGGTGAGATTTCACTGGGGACCTGCCCCCATCTGTCTAGGCATTTGTCTGCCTCCTGCCACTATCAGTTGCCGCCTCTGAAGAGTTACATCTAATTGTCATTAGGATAGGAATGATGTCCAAGCTTAACTGCTTCCTGCTGATGGGGGCATTGTTTTGGGGAAAATGGCAGTCAGATTTCCCTCCAAGACCTATATAAGTGTCCCCAGTGAAACAGAGCTTCCTTCTGAGGCTCCAGTTGCATGACCATTGGAAGTCTGATGACCTCTAAGTGAGAAAAAAACAAATTTTACAAGGTTAAGTGTGAATGGACCAAATATGTGTATCTAGAAAGAGGAGTTAAAAGGGAAAGAATCTAGTGCTGAAGATAACAGAAATAAGAAGTTAAGCATACTAATACTTCTGAAAACAGTATTGTGGCCACAGCTGTTTCACCCTGGTGAAATAAATTGAATTATGTATGAGTGCAATTAAACTTTAGGAGAGATAATTGTTTAGGGGAACAGATATTCCTATGGGTATTCAGGATTAAGTGTTCCTTGGCAAAGATGCCTCATGATGAGGAACAGAATGAAGGTAAGAACAGCAAGCATAGGCAAGACTATAAAGAGGATATCCATGGAAGATTAATTATTGATACTTATCTTTTGTGATTTTTAGCTTGAGGTCCCCAATTTTCTCACATTGGTACTTTGGATGCTCTTCTGGGTTGACAGAGGTAACTGCTTCAGCTTCCCAGGACTTTACTCAAGTATAATGAATCCAATAATCAATTCCAGTGACCTTTACTGTTGTAGAAGTAGGAAGAAGTACAATGTAAAGTCCCTTCCAATCTGGGCCTAGAGAGGGAGAAAGAACAGGGAGTGCCTTTACCAGTACTAGATCTCCTGGGTTGAATAGAGGTGGCCCTAGTTCTTGGGATTGGGCCTCCGACAGTTTTTTCAGTTCCTGTTGGAAGCAGACCAAATAGGTTATATGTTTAATTAAGTCAGAGGTCTCTTGGTTTAGCAAGAAATCATTGGTGAGAAAGGGTTGTCCTTACATCATTTCAAAGGGATTTAAACTCAGCTTTGAAGGGGTGTCTCTAACACATAGTAGGGCTACGGGAAGAAGAGTAGTTCAGGGGAGATGAGTTTCTTGAGACAGTTTCCTGAGTTGCCTTTTGATAATATCATTTGTCTTACCTACCTCTCCCAAGGATTTTGGTCTCTAAGCACAATGAAGAAGGTATTGTATGGCTAGTGCCTTTGAGGCCTCCGGGTGACAGCTGTTTTGAACAAAGGGTTATCATCACTCTGGAGGTACTTAGGGAGTCCAAAGTGACGAATTAACTCATTAATTAGTACTTTTATCACCTCAGAGGCTTTCTCCGTCTGACATGGAAATGCTTCTACCCAGTTAATGAAGGTATCTACCCATACCAGGAGATACTGGATGCCGCTTGTCTTTGGCAAAGGGGTGAAATCTATTTGTCAGCCTTCCCCTGGGTAGCCTCCCATTCTTTGGATTCCAGTGGGGAGAAGCCATTGATTGAGGAGATCACTCTTAAGGAAAGTCTTGCAAGCATTAACAACCTGTTTGATCACTTGTAGCAGATTTTTACCTGAGAACAACCTCTGGGCCAATTGATAGGTTTTATCCTTACCTAGGTGGAAGGCATCGTAAAATATTTCAAGAACTTTCCATTGGCTGGCAGCTGGTAGATGAAGCTTGCCATCCTCCAATTGTTACCATCCTGAGGACTGAAAGATGCATCCCCAAGAGGTGGCCCATTCTGTTTCTGCAGGAGAATATTTAGTTTTTATTTATGGAGCCCTTTCAGATTAGAGGGGCTTATGGAGCCCTTTCAGATTAGAGGGGCTTCAAGTGGGTCAGAATTCTGAGGCCCTCTTCCTGCTGACTTAGCTGCTTGGTCTGCCAATCTATTTCCTTCAGCTATTTCATCCACCCCTTTTGGTGGCCTTACAATGTATTACTGCCACTTCCCATAGGAGGAAAGCTGAGCATAATAGTCTGTTAGTTTCCTGATAGTATTTAATGGGAGACCCATTAGCTGTGAGGAAGCTCCTCTCTTTCCAGATAGTGGCATGTGCATGGAGGACTAGGAAAGCATACTTTGAATAAGTATAAATATTAACTGCTTTTCCTTTGCTTAATTCAAGTGCCCTCATAAGGGCAATTAACTTGACTAGTGGAGCACTTGTGCCCAAGGAGAGAGATGCACTCACAACCATATCATTTAGGGTAACTATTGCATACCCTGCTTTATGGATCACTTGTTCTACACAGAAACTTCCATGTGTAAAGAGAATCCTTCCTCTGGGAGGAATGTGGCTGGATTTAGAGAAGGACAGGTTCTTAACTGAACTTAAAATTCCTCTAATAGCAGAGCTTGATATTTGAGGGGGTGGTTGTCCGTTAGCCAGAGGCTCCTGTTAGAAGACAGCAGTCCTGCCACATTATCTGGGTTATAAACAGTTAAGTTATTTCCCACAATTAACTTAGTAGCCTCTTGCCACCACTACAACAGTTTGGAGACAAGACCACCATCCTTTAGCTACCCAATTAAGTTCCTTGCTTAGGTAGTCTACAGGTCACAGGGCTGGACCTCAGGCCTGGGTTAGAACTCCCAGGGCCATTCCCTTCCTTCCTGACAAATAAAGATGAAACATTTTCCCTATGGGAAGACTAAGGGCTGGTGACTCAAGCAAGGCTTGTTTTACTTGATCAAAGGCGTTTTTAGCCTCTGGTTCCCAAATAAGGAAGTGAGTTTTAGCTGCCTGAGTCTTCTTTATTAGGTGATATAAGGGATGAGCTACTTCACCGTACCCAGGTATTCATAGTCTGCAGAATGCTGTAATGTCCAAGAATCCCCTCAGTTGCTTGAAGGCTTTGGGGAGGGGGAAAGGAGGAGATGGGCTTAATTCTTTCTTCTCCGAAAGTCCTGGTCCTCTATGACAAGACTAGACCTAGATACTTCACTGAAGTCTGATAGAGCTGAGCCTTAGATTTTGAGACCTTATATAATCTGTTAGCCAGAAAATTAAGAAGAGCCTTACTGCCCTCCTGGGAGATTTCTTCAGTTGGGGCACAGAGGAGAATGTCATCTACATATTGTAAAACTTTAACCTGAGAATAAAGGAATTCAGAGAGGTCTTTGGACAATGCCTGCCCAAACAGGAGAGGGGTGCCTTGAAATCCCTGAGGTAACACTGTCCAGGTTAGCTGGGTGGTCTGTCTTAGGGATCCTCGAATACAAACAAATTTTGGAAGTCAGGGTGCAACAGTATGCAAAAAAAGGCATCCTTTAGGTCCAGGGCTGTGAACCATTTTAGTTCTCTCAGGAATTTGGCTTAGCAGATGTATTAGTCTGTTTTATTCTACTGATAAAGACATACCCAAGACCTGTCAATTTACAAAATAAAGAGGTTTAACTGGACTTACACTTCCACATGGCTGCAGAAAGGAAGGAAGAGCAAGTCATGTATTACGTGGATGACAGCAGGCAAAGAGAGAGCTTGTGTAGGCAAACTCTTGTTTTTTAAAACCATCAGATCTCATGAGTCTTGTTCACTATAATGAGAACAGTGCAAGAAAGACCCGCTGCTATAATTCAATCACCTCCCACTGAGTTCCTCCCATGACATATGGAAATTGTGGGAGTTACAATTCAAGATGAGATTTGGGTGGGGACACAGCCAAACCATATCAGCAGGGTATATGGATTGGAAACCACCAGGTTAATTGAAACCACAGCCTCATTAACAAGGCAGAAATTTTGGACCAGTCTGCATTCCCTATTGGGTCCTTTTACCCCCAATATTGGGGTATTATAAGGGCTGTTGCAGGGTTTGAGGAGGCCCTGAATCCTCAAGTTATCAATGATGGCTTCTAGTCCTTTCCTAACTTCTGGTTTCAGGGGATATTGTCTCTGGTTAGGAAAGGAAGTGGGATCCTTAAGGTGGATCCAGACCGGTATGGCAGTTGTGGCTTGGACAACTTTCCCTTGAGTTTTCCAAACTTCTGGGTTAATATTGGTATCCACTGGGGTAGACAGAGAGTTTGTCCTGGAGCCATCACGATGGTGCTTCCCGTTTGGACCAGAATATCCCTGCCCAGCAGAAAGGTTGGGCTTTCAGGCATGATTACACAGGCATGGGTAAACAAGAGGTCTCCCCAACTACAACTAAGGGGCTGGGAAAAGTATCAGTTTAAAGACCTTCCTGAGACACCACTCATGGTCATGCTGACAGAGGAGAGGGAGAGGAGAACTGAAAGGGCTACTTCAGTGTCCAGGAGGAGTTTCACTTTCCTGTCTTTGATTTTCAGACTCACTCAGGGCTCCTGTATGGTAATGGTGGTCTGGACCACTGTAGCTGGGAAGAGGGTTCCTGGGACCCATCAGTCCTGCTGGACCATTTGGGAGATTGGATTTGTGACCTGCATCTCCAGAGACAGTCCACCCTTCAGTGGTCCCCATTGCAGATTGGACAGGGTGGAGGTGGCTTCCTCATGCTGTCTGGACAGTTTTTCCTAAAATGCACTGACTTGCCACATTTGTAGCAGTTAACCCCAGAGATCCTGGGGTTGGTGGTCCTGAAAGTGGGCCATAAAGCCTCTGTCTTTTTCTAGTGTACCTCTTTCTCTCCTGGGCCTCCTCCCTATCTGTATTGTAAAAGACCAAGGTGACCACTTTCAGGAGGCTCTCTAAAGTACTATGATATGGTTTCACTGGGTCCCCCCTCAAAATTTTATCATGAATTTTCATTCCCATAATCCCCACATGTCATAGGAGGGACCAGGTGGAGATAATTGAATCATGGGGATGGTTTACTCCATCCTGTTCTTGTGATAGAACTCACAAGATCTGATGGTTTTATAAGGGGCTTCTCCCCTTGCTAGGTTTTATAAGGGGATTTTCCTCTGCTGCCCTGTGAAGAGGTAGCTTCCACCATGATTGTAAGTTTCCTGAGGCCTCCCTGGCCATGTAAAACTTTGAGTCAATTAAACCTGTTTCCTTTATAAATTACCCAGTCACAGTTATTTTTTCATAGCAGCATGAGAATGGACTAATACAATAAACTGGTAACACAAAGAGTGGGGCGTTGCTGTAAAGATACCAAAATATGTGAAAGTGACTTTAGAACTAGATAACAGGCAGAGGCTGGAACAGTCTGTAGAGCTCAGAGAAAGATGGAATATGTGGGAAAGTTTGAGACTTCCTAAAGAATTATTGAATGGCTTTGAACAATGAAATTCAGGCTGAAATGGTCTCAGATGGGGATGAAGAACTTGTTGGGAACTGGAGGAAAAGTGACTCTTGCTATGCAAAGAGACTGAAGCATTTTGCCCCTGCCCTAGAGATTTGTGGAACTTTGAACTTGAGAGAAATGACTTAGAGTATTTGGTGGAAGAAATTTCTAAGTGGCAAAGCATTCAAGAGGAAACATAGCATAAAAGTTTGGAAAATTTGCAGCCTGACTATGAGATAGAAAAGAAAATCTCATTTTCTAGGGAGAAATTCAAGCCTGCTACAGAAATTTCCATAAGTAACAATAAGCCAAATGTTAATCACCAAGACCATGAGGAAAATGTCTCCAGGGCATGACAGAGACCTTCACAGCGGCCCCTCCCATCACAGGTCCTGAAGCCTAGGAGGAAAAAATGGTTTTGTGGGCCTAGCTGCAGGGTTTGAGGAGGCCCTGAATCCTCAAGTTATCAATGATGGCTTCTAGTCCTTTCCTAACTTCTGATTTCAGGGGATATTGTCTCTGGTTAGGAAAGGAAGTGGGATCCTTAAGGTGGATCCAGACTGGTGTGGCAGTTGTGGCTCGGACAGGCTGCACCCTGTCTAGTGCAACCTCAGAACATGGTGCCCTGTATCCTAGCTTCTTGAGCTGTAGCTGTGGTTAAAAGGGGTCAACATACCACTCAGGCCATTGCTTTGGAGGCTGCAAGCCCCAAGCCTTGGCAGCTTACAAGTGGTGTTGGGCCTTCAGGTGCACAAAAGTCAACAATTGAGGTTTGGGAACCTCTGCCTAGATTTCAGAGGATGTACGGAAATGCCTTGATGCCCAGACAGAAATTTTCTGCAAGGGCAGAGCCCTCATGGAAAAACCTCCATGATGGCAGTGCAGAAGCAAAATGTGGGGTTGGAGCCCCCACACAGAGTCCCCAGTGGGGCACTGCAATGGAGCTGTGAGAAGAGAGCCACCATCCTCCAGAATCTATAATGATAGATTCACTGACAGTTTACACTGTGCATCTGGAAAAGTCACAGACACTTAGTGCCAGTGCCAGCCTGTGAAAGCAGCCAGGAGGGGGCTGCATCCTGCAAAATCACAGGGCCAGAGCTGCCCAAGACCATGGGAGCCCATCTCTTGCATCAGCGTGCCCTGAATGTGAGATATGGAGTCAAGGAAGATTATTTTAGAACTTTAAGGTTTAATGACTACCCTATTTGATTTCAGACTTGCATGGCACCTGTATCCTCTTTCTTTTGGCTAATTTATCCCATTTTGAATGGATGTATTTACCCAATGCTTGTATCCCCATTGTATCTAGGAAGTAACTAACTTACTTTTGATTTTACAGGCTTATAGGCAGAAGGGACTTGCCTTTTCTTAGATGAGACTTTGGACTTGGACTTTTGAGTTAATGCTGGAATGAGTTAAGACTTTGGGGGACTGTTAGAAGGGCATTGTTGTGTTTTGAATTATGAGGACATGAGATTTGGGAGGGACCAGGGTCAGAATGATATGGTTTGGCTTGGGCCCCACCCAAATCTTATCTTGAATTGCAGTTCTCATAATCCCTACATGTCATGGGAGGGACCAGGTAGAGATAATTGAATTGGGGGGCAGTTTCCCCCATCCCATACTTGTGATAGTGAGTGAGTATTCATGAGATCTGATGGTTTTATAAGGGGCTTCCCCCTTTCCTGGGCACTCATTCTCTCCTCTGCCACCCTGCAAAGGGGTGCCTTCCACCATAATTGTAAGTTTTCTGAGGCCTCTCTGGCCATGCAGAGCTGTGAGTCAATAAAAACTCTTTCCTTTATAAATTACCCAGTCTTGATTATTTCTTCATAGCAGAGTTTGAACAGACTAATACATACTATCTTGTCCCATGGCCTGTTTCTGCGTCTTCCTCCTGATATCAGGGGCTGCCTGAGTAATAAACTTATCCTTTAGGATTAGTTGTCCCCTAACTGAATCAGGAGATAGAGAGGTGTGCATTACCAAGTCCCCTCTTAGTCTTTCCAGGAAGGCAGTGGGATTTTCATTAAATCCCAGGACTATCATGCACAGTTTGGAGTAGTTGAGATGTTTAGTTCTAGTCCTTTGTAAGCCTTCCGTTATACATGCCTGAATGTGTTTCCTACTCCATTCTCACATTTCATCACTGGGATCCCATTTAGGGTCCTCTAATGGTACTGCTACTCTTCCAGTTGGATAAGGCTCATCTTCGTCCCTGACACTATATGAGATACAAAGCTCATCCCCAAATCTCTCTGTCAGTTTCAGGGCAGCCTGCTTCTCAGTGCTAGTCAGGGTTTGATTCAAAAGTAACATAACTTCTTTCCAGGAAAGTTCAAATACTTGAGTTAAATTCTGGAAAGCCTCTCTATACCTGTCAGGGTCATCTGAAAATTTGCCAAGATCCCCTTTAATTTGCCTTAAGTCCAGTAGAGAGAAAGGTACCTGCACCTTACTGGGGCCATATTCACCAGACATCTGTTATAGGGACAGGAGTGAGACTGGGGCTTGTCTAAAATGAGGATTTCTAGAATGGGGCAAGTGAGAGAGAAAAACTGGGTGGAACGATGAGGTGGACTTGGAGTAGCAGGGCCAAAAGGAGCTGGCTCTCGTGCTGAAGGAGCCTCTGCGGTTTCTCTAGTTCCCTGGCGTTGCCCCTTGCAGCCTCTCCTGAGACGGCCAGTAGGGGAGGGCTGTGTTAATCCTACAATGTCAGGAAAGGTCTGAGTTACTCTGCAAGGGAAAGAAAACCTGCACATCGGAGAACTTGGACCATCTTCTCTCCAATTTACAGAAAAGGCCCAGCTCCAGGATGGTGTCAAATGGTCTTCCTGAGGCCAAGCCAGTCATTTCAGCAAATTACAGTTTGGCCAAACTCATGTCCAAAGAGCTATGAGACTTTTTTTTTTTTTTTCTCTCCAGAGTCTGAGGGTCAAAGCAGTCCCAGTGATTCAGGATACACTCCAAAGGAACGTAGACTAAAGATGGTTGGTTACCCATCTGAAAGAGAGGTAAAGATGTTTCCTTTAGTTCCTTTCTCTCTTTCAGTGAAATGCCAGGATGTGTGAGGGAGAGAAAGAAAGGGAATCCCCTTTTTGTCTTCCATCTTTTTATCCCCAAGTCCCAGCAACCTCGTCAGATACTGCCCATGGGTGCCAGTGCAACCTTCACCCATTGGCCTAGAAGGTAGGAATTATTTGCACTCCCTTACCTGCTGCCTATCTCCTCTGCTGTCAGTAGCCTCTGATGTCCTTAGACCTCATCTATGCCATGAATATGAACTTGACCTCCTTCCATGAAGTGGAAACCTAATCAGCAGGAATTAGTCCTAACCACCTATGCCATGCCCCTTGACTTCCGTGTTGCCTGCCTTTGGATACCTCAGATCGTTTTCCTTTCTAGGGCTTCAACCCGAAGCTTGGAATTGAGCTTGTGACAAAATGGTACCTCAGGAGTGTGCATGGGTTTATTTAAATTCAGTCCCAGGTAGCCCTCACCAAATTTATAGCCAGCAGCCTGTGGGGCTGCTCCTCCATTGCTTCCCTATTATAAGCAGAGTGCTAAAGTGAAGCTGTGGAACCAGGCCCTTCTCAAACAAGTGAGGGAAGGGAAGTCCCGTGAATTGGAGACCTAGTCTAGTGAGATGCTTCCCGAAAGGGGAAAAAAAACCCTCTCAACATTGAAAAGCCCCCTGCATTTGCAGGGCTATGTGAAATCCTGACATGGTGGAAAAAAAGAGGAAAAAACAACAACAACAAAAAACAGCTTTAATGCAGGGAGGGAAAGGTGCCTGGGGGGAAGAAGGCTCTTGCTCTATGCAAATTGATTTTTTCAACAGGGAGAACAAAAAAAAAAAAAAAAAAAAACACCTCTTAACTGTTGCTTTCTCCCTGCTTCTAAGAATAGATGAAAACCATGTTGTTCTGAATTACATTTTTGATGACTGTGCCAAGTGCTCATCCTACCCAGTAATATCTGTGTAGTCTGCAACAACACTCTTAACCTTATAAAAGAAGAGATAGGAACCATTATAATCCATGACAGAAGTGGGAGAAATGCCATAGAAAAGTCCGGGGGTCTTGGCCGAAACCCTAGTGGGTGGTCAGGAACTGGAGCCAGTCTGGGAGCCTTCAGAAAACACCAAGGTGTGGCCTTGGCCAGATGCCTTCAGTTGCCCCAAAACCTTATTCCAATCCTGCAACAACTAGACCTCTGTAAAGGGAAACAAAGCCAGGATTCTGTACACCCAAGAGTCACGGGATGGGGGCTGGCAGGGTCCTCCCCCAGCATCCTGTCCTCTGTAACTGCTCCATTTGCTCTTAACTAGCTAATCAGAGGTTTGGTTCTTCATCTGCCTTCAGAGAAAAGTCTGAGGGCAAGAAGCCTCATAAAGAAAAGTGAAGAGTCATAGATTCATGTTCTCTCACCCTTCTGATGAATCCCAGACAAACCCCCAGATGACTAGCTGAAACCTATGGAAAAAGAAAGGGCTCAGACAAAAGCAAGCCAGTTAAAAAGCAGAAGAGAGAGCAACCCAATTGAACAGGACATTTCCAAATTGTTATTCTGCTGGACTGGCATGAGATACTAGTAATTCACCCCTGAGATACATTATCACCAACGTTCACTATTCCCTTGAAATCCCCAGCTTGTAAAAGACTGGTACTGTACTTTAAATATTGTCTTCTCAACTTTGTCATTAAAAATGACAATGTTTTCAATAGATTTCATAAATCACTACTAAATGTCTTTTAGTTTCTTCATATGTATAGTTACTCTGAACTCAATGATTCATTTTATCTAGACGAATAGGCACATTGTGAAAATGTCTTTATAGAAACAAAGAGACAATGTGTTGGCAGTATTCTTTGTCTCATAATATGAAAGATTATGAAGACTTCTTTTAAATTATTTAAAAGCAAGCAGTTGAGACACATGCTACCTTCCTAAAGTAACATCAGTTAATTTATTTAAACTGCTTTCATTTGTACTTTGAGTCACAGAGACTGCAGGACAAGCAGTGATCATAATATAGGACATTTCTATATGCAAAAATAATTGCTTACTTTAGGCCTGAGTCAACTGACATGGTAGAAAAATGACATTATTAAGCAGGAAAACCAGAATGTAATATCAAGTGTTGCCATTTTTTGGCCAGACAACTTTAAGGTATTTAGTTATTAAGTTTCTTGGACACAGTTTTCTGGTTTATTAATTCATACAATAAAATATTTATAAAACGAGAAAGCTAGACAAAATCGGTTTTTGTATAAGTGGGCTAGTTGTCACTGGAGTAAGATAAACAGCACTTATATGGTGCATGAACAAGCATTGAGTGACACTAAAAAATCTGGATCATCAAATGATTGAGGCTTCTCTTGATGTTTTGATGACCACTCACAAAATACCTCAGCTGGGTATTGGAAATTCCCCGAAAGAGAAAGACATTTCAGGTTCACAGCTCTCTTAGGAAGAATATATAAATATAATTAAGTAATACTGTCTTTTTTAATTTGTTGTTGTAATTATTTTAATGGTTATTTTATTTTATTTTATTATTTTTGAGACAAAGTCTCACTAAATCACCCAGGCTGGAGTGTAGTGGCATGATCTCGGCTCACTGCAACCTCCACTTCCCGGATTCAAGTGATTCTCCTGCCTCAGTCTCCTAAGTAGCTGGACCTACAGTTGTCTGCCACCAGGCCTGGCTAATTTTTGTATTTTTAGTAGTGACGGAGTTTCACCATGTTGGCCAGGCTCAGGCTGGTCTTGAACTCCTGACCTCAAGTGATCCTCCCACCCCGGCCTTCCAAAGTGCTGGGATCACAGGCGTAAGCCACCATGCCCAGCCAGTTATCATTATTTTTTAGATAATCCATTATCATTTAATAACATTTCTGAGGGCATATTTTGTTCTATTTCCTGATGCCTGGGAACAATAGCATTGTAGTGTTTTTTTCTCTTCTTTTTATAGATCATTTCCATGTCCCTTAAAAGTGAAATGGGCAACACAAAGCCTTCATTCATTCATTCATTCATTCATTCATTCTTCATTGTGGAAAAAACATGAAATAAAATTTACCATTTTAACCATTTTTAAGTCAATTTTTAACCATTTTCACTTAGCATAATGTCTTCATGTTTTATCCATATAGTAGCATGTGTCAGAATTTCCTTTTCTGTAAGGCTGAATAATATTTTATGGCATGTATATACCGTCTTTTATTTATCCATTCAACCGTCTATGGTTACTTGTGTTGCTTCTGCGTTTTGGTTAGTATGAATAATGGTGCTACAAATGTGGGTATTCAAATAACTTTTGAGTCCTTACTTTCAATTCTGTTGGCATATGCTTTGAAGTGGAAATGCTGGATTATATGCTAATTCTATGTTTACTTTTTAAGGAAGTACAATACTGTTTTCCACAGTGGATGCATCATCTTACATTTCTATCAGTAATGAGTACTGGTTGCAATTTCTCCACCAACATGTGATTTTCTGTTTTTGTTTGCTAATAGCCACCCTAATTGGTGTGAAGTGGTATCTCATTGTGGTTTTGATTTGCATTTCCCTAATGATTAATGATGGTGAGGATCCTTTTATATGCTTATTGGTTATTTGTATATCTTTAGAGAAACGTCTTTGCAAGTCTTTTTCTCATGTTTTAAATTAGTTTTTTGTTGTTGTTGTTGTTGTTGATGTTGTTGAGTTTATTCATTCATCTCCCCAACCACTCAAGAATAAACAGGACCTACATTTTAATGACAGAGAAGCAAATATTAAAGTATTGAAACCTAAGTGGCCTTGCTAAGTTATGTATGGTTCAAGAGCCATGGTGACCACCAAGTTTGGAACAGCTAGCTCTGTTAGGGGTGTAAAAGATGCTACATTAAGAGCAATCACCATTCTGCATCTTACTAGGAATAGTTTGTCTATGAATGGCAAAACAAGGTTGTTTCACAAATATTAAGAAGTAAATGGTTACATGAGTCCAAGAAATTATAATGATGTCATTGCTATGAAAATAGAAAACAGTAACTTGTCACACTACCCTCATTTAAATGATTTTAAATGAACTTTTTAAATTTCTTTAAATTGTCACACACAAGCCATATGCATTGGAAAATACCATCAAGAATAACGTGAAGAATGTTTCTCTTCATTTCAAATGAGAAAGAACAATATCTAGATGGAGGTTTTCTATCTCTATCCTCAAGATACTGATAAATTCTCTAAAAAAAAGAAAAATGAAGGCTGGTGTACTATGCCATCAGACTAGTTTTTCTTTTTTTCTTAATTTGGTTTCCAAACGCTAGCATTCCACATATATTAAACAGAAGTCACATGAGAAATGATTCTGCAATTTAATAAAGTATGGTGGTTAAACAAAGTTAAAAATATTATATTAATATAAACTCAGAATTGGCTGGGTGCGGTGGCTCACGCCTGTAATCCCAGCACTTTGGGAGGCTGAGGTGGGTGGATCACGAGGTCAAGAGATTGAGACCATCCTGGCTGATACGGTGAAACCCCGTCTCTACTAAAAATGCAAAAATTAGCCAGGCGTGGTGGCAGGCGCCTGCAGTCCCAGCTACTCAGGAGGCTGAGGCAGGAGAATGGTGTGAACCTGGGAGGCAGAGCTTGCAGTGAGCTGAGATGGCACCACTGCACTCCAGCCTGGGCAACAGAATGAGACTCCATCTCAAAAATCAAACAAACAAAAATCAAAAAAACACTCAGAATTATTAATAAAATAATGTGCATTGTATATCTTTGTAAAGGGAAGATAGTATAATATAATTTTGAAACATCTTTCTGTTTGGAATCATGTCTTACTAATTTGACTACCCTTTCACTGCTTCATTCTTTGCCTGGAATCTAGTGGGTCCTTAGTCAATGGCCAATGTTATCTGAACAAATGAGTGAGATCTAAGCAGGAGGAAAGGCAGATACAGTACTCAGATAAGTGAACACATATTAAGAAAATTACTTATTGTGCACCAGAAACAGGCATATTTTTTTGTGCTAAAAAAGCAAAAAAACAAACTAACAACAACAACAAACCAGAAACATATCTTTACCAGAATTTGTTTTAGTTGAGAGTAAAATCTGCAGATTGCTGGGTTTTCTATGGCCAACACCATTGCTTCAATTATTTTCTACCCTTTAACATCAATTGCATCATGAACTGAGGGCAGAGAACTCTTCATTTTAGTTGCAATTGGTTTATTTCACTGAAATATGATAAATGATTATTGTTATCTTAAGACAAAAATGCAAACGTTATTAATGAACAATGAAATAAACTACTCAGACCTTTAAATTGTCCAGGCACCAGATTTGATTCTGTGACCTTCTAATGTAGGAAATTTCAAGAGGTGGGATAAATTTACTCTGAAACAATGTTTCTTTCTGTTTGTTGTACATTTAATGGCCTTTCATTTCATCTAAAGTCATCCTGTTCCCATGATCTGGAAAGCATCTACATAAAGAATCCTGGAGGTTTTCCATGACATGTTGAACTCCAGGAAGAGCATTGAATGCCCCTTCAAGAGCCTTTAACTGCTGCAGACATCACAATGGCCCTGTCAATCTGGAGGTATTTCCACTTCCCTTACACACGGGGCACTTGTTTATATCATCATTATGCAACTCTCATCTTCATGTCTCTTTAAAGTTTGTTTCCTCTGCTTGGAAAACCTCATTTCCATCACCCTCTTTCCTCCTTATTTTTCAGGTCTCTTTAAGTTCTATCTTCCACCAGAGTATCTATATCAATCCCGCCTTAATAGGTAAGGAGTCCCTCCTATAAATTTCAACAGTTCTTTGTTCTTCCTCCATTAAACCACTTATGACGTTGCATTTCAAACTGCCTGTGCAGTCATCTGTTTCCCCCATGAGACTTGAAGGGGATTAACATGACTTTTTCCGCCCTTACCTTTTTATCTGTAGGGTCTAAGACAAAGCTGCTAGATAGCAATGGCTAAAAAATATTTGTTGACAGAATGAATGGATGCATGTAGGCGCGTATTCTATTAATAAATCATTCTGTAGATACATATGCCCTGGTTCAAAAGTAGTGAACATGCTAGGCACAGTCTCTGGACTTGCAGAACTCATGTTGGGAGAAGGGCAAAAAACAAGTTCACAAAGAAATATGTAATATTGTGACAGCTGTTTGTAAATGCTAATAAGAAATTTTTTCTGTAAAGGGGCAAACAATGACTGAGAGGTGGGTAGGCTATTACAAAATCAAAGGACAGGTAAATTTTAAATCAAGAGAAGCCACGTATTCGTTCAGAAGAACAAAGGGAGTATATTGAAGAGTAAATAGGTCACAGTGCAAAGAAATTTTTTATAAAATATACTGCGATTACCAAGTTTTATCTGAAAATACATTCACCAATAGTAGTGTTTTATTTATATTTCTTAGAGGCTATTAGTGATCATGAAGGAAAGGTAAAAAGTAAACAACACATAGAATATATAGACATATATGTATATAAACATAGATATACAATGTAGGCATGGATAGAGACAGTCAAGTAAATGTTAAAATTGTATAATGCTTTTCAATAATAACTCAAAGATAACCACGACCCTACCATAGAAAGGGAAGCAAACATTGTATTTAGACATCTTCTTAATTAGGCCTAAGCACAGTCGGGAAGAGCAAGACAGCAAACCAGGACAAGGTCCCATGCTTGGATCTTATTGCAACAATAAACAAAACCATAAATCAGTAAGTAATTTAAAACTGTGATTTTTATTTATTTGGATTTACGACTTTTTCATTCCCAAATTTTGACATATTCTTTACCATAGAAACACCATGAAGCATCTGGTTGGAGTAGCATGGGCTAAATGTACAGTGTAGAGTAGAAATGAAATAATGGTCTGATTGTTGGCTTGGCTTGTTTTAGAGTGTGTTCTGAGTGTGCAAATCTTTCTTTCCTCTTGTTACTTAAGGAGCACCTGAAGCTCAGTGGTTTTTATGATTAACAAAAATGATCAAAGCATTATTTAAAAATTATGTCATCTATCAAGCATTCAAAAGGGGCTAGGGGATTATCTTTTTATTCAAGTTACCGATACTGACTATAAATACTACTTGCATATACGACATACCAGTGTAATCCAAATAACACCTAATATTAAGGATAGAATATTTTCATTTATATAACTTAGATATGAAGGACACAATCTTCATAATAAAATCATCATGTATATGAAAATGAAACAAACAGGCCCACCTTATTATTATTATGCAATAATGATAAATTCACTTTTTATTAATCTTCCACCTGATGCACAGCTATAATTACTAATGCCAGATTATCCTCTCATTTAATAATTGAGGCAGTTGTCATATTTACAAAGATGCCAGGGAAATTCTTGCAACCTTGCTTAGCTTTGACAACTATTCATTTGCTGTAAGATTGCCAGCAACACATTAGATACGATTAAATGAAAAATCATTTCCATTTGAATGATGCGATCTTTGTGTTCTTTCTTTATTAAAAACACACAATACACTTGAAATGTACAATTGTATTCAAATGATTATTCATGGAATACAAAGCACTGTTTATGTAAAAAAAATCACTCTCTATTTTTACATCTAAATTTGCTGAAATGTACTGGGATTGAACACATCTGTTGGAAGAGTTAGATAGGGTCCTTGCAGCAGTCTTCTCTTGTCTAAACCAGCTCACTGGCACTTAAAACAGAACTAAATAATCTTGCTTGATTTTCTTTTGTCCCGGGAGGAGGAGAACTTCTGATTACCTCTTTGGGGAACAAGCACATTTGTTCTGTCTGCAGCTAAGAAGGGAAGGCTACCCACCATTCAGAAATTGTAATTCAGGTTCATGCTGCGAATACTGAAGAATATGTGAGACACAGAGGTCTAAAGGCTTAGTCACTACATCTGAGAGATGTCCATTCACAAATAATAGCTAGAAACAGGATGGAGACAATGTGTCTTCATAATTGCATAAATGAATTTTTCAAGTAGGTGCAGAAATTGAAATAATTAGGTAAAAGGAGATTACAGATCGCCATGATCTGGGGATGAAAATAAATAGGAATGTTAGAGGGCTTGTAAGAATAAGATGTCCCACTATGAGCAATGAGAATTACACATATTTGCTCGTCCTGGTCTACATCACAATTAGATCAATAAAATAGCTAGAACCTTTGAGTTCTATCTCATAAATTCAATGAGGAATATTGTTGAGTTTTGTATGTCTGAAAGGGCAGCAGGGAAAAAATAGAGAATAAGAAAGCTGCATCTCAGACATACAGCAGCCAAAACCTCAATTCTATGTCAAGCTCTCTCCTAGACTAACTTCTATGTAAAAACTACTTGTCTCAAAGAGAAGTTATGAAATAGTGTTTAAGAACTCCAAATTCAAAGACACTAAAACTTAAATGGACAGGTGAAATCTCACGCTAGTCTTCCTTGGACCTCTCCAAATGTAATGTGCATACTTTTTACTCATTTTTAAAATATATTTGTCTGATGATAGATTCCTACATTAATTTAATATTTTGATGTTATGTCTATACCCCTTATATATGTTTGTCTTTATTGGTATGTGTGCTTGTTTTATTTAAGTATACCACCTTAAGTAGAAGTCTGTGTCCATGAATGGTTTTAGGTTAACATATTTTTAAGAGACTCATATTTTAAACATTAATTGATTTGCTATTTAAAGGAGTATTATAGTAAGGTTTTTATAGGATTAGTTACCTCTAATTGATCTCGTGTGTAAGTTAACATTGATACATACTAGGTATGTTTAAGAGAGATTTCTAATGCAGTTATTGGTTACTCATAGGTAAGGGTCCAGTCTTTGTGGTTATCTTTGCATAGAATCAAGCACAAGCCTTGCCATTCAGAGATTGGTCTGTGTAACAGCAGCATCAGCATTCGCTGGAAGCATATTAGAAATGTAGACTCTTACTCTGAATCTGATAAATCAGAATTTGTATTTTAATAAGATCATCTGATGATCATATGCTTATTGAAGTTCCAGAAGCAGTGACCTAAACAATTTTCTTTGTAACTTGTTTTATAGATACTGTTCAAAGAAAAACCTTAGATAAATTAAATTTAACAGGAGTTTAGTTGAACAAAAAATAATTCATGAATCTGGCAGCCCCCAAACCAGAATAGATTCAAACAGGCTCTAGGGCAGCTGTCTGGTGGAAGAAAGTTGATGGACAGAAAAAGGGAAGTGAGGCACAGAAACAGCTGGATTGGTTACAGCTCAGCATTTGCCTTATGTGAACATGGATTGAACAGTTGGCCACCCTTGATTGGCTGAAACTTGGTGGTTGACACAAAAGTAGCATGCAATCTGTTTATACATACAGTTAAGTTACAGTTTACTGTGTAAAGAGAAACCTTTAAGCTAAACTTAAAATATGTAAAGAGGGCTGGGTGCGGTGGCTCACGCCTGTAATCTCAGTACTTTGGGAAGCCGAGGCAGGCGGATCACAAGGTTAGGAGTTCGAGACCAGCCTGACCCACATGGTGAAATCCCGTCTCTGCTAAAAATATACAAAAAATTAGCTGGGCATGGTAGTGCGCACCTGTAATCCCAGCTACTCAGGAGACTGAGGCAGGAGAATCGCTTGAACCTCGGAGGCGGAGGTTGCAGTGAGCCAAGATCGCACCACTGCATTCCAGACTAGGTGACAAGAGTGAGAATCCGTCTCAGAAGACAAACAAACAAACAAACCAAAAAACAAAAAACCATGTAAAGAGGCAGCTTTAGGCTGAACTTAAATTAACAATTCATATGGTGCTAGCCTGGCAGTGATTCTGACAGTGATGGTGATGGTGATGTCAGTGATTGTGTTACCCTCATGGTAATGTGCTAATGGTGGTGGTTTAGGTGGTAGTTGTGGAAGTGACGGTAGAAGCATCAAACAACTTTCCAGGTCCCACTAGGTGAGGACCTAAATATATCACTGCAATACTAAAACATTATTGGAAAAATACTAAATACAAATGCAAAAATTATATTTACCAGAAATCCTGTGGAGAAAATTTTATGCATTTGAGGATAAAACACTGACAGTTCCTTTGAAAGAGAAATGAGATCCCCAAAATTTATGCCAGAGAAGACCTGGGGGTGGGGGTTTTGGCTAACGAGCAGATGATTTTCAGGCCAGAACTGAACTGAACCCAATAGAGTAAATTTGGCCATACCACTTTCAACAAATCTTTCCCAAACAACATTCATTGTTTAAATAAATGCTAACCAAATAGTTAATATAATTTTAAAGCATGGATACATCAGTAGCTTTTCCATAATACTAAATTATTAATACGCTCAATGTGTCCTTATGTCTTAGTTCAGCCCCAATTAACATGAATCTTTGGAAGTAAAAGTTTTCTTGCTTTTTTTCCTCCTTAAAGGAACATTTTAATACAAGAATAATGAATAGTTTAAAAGGGCTGGATAAAGGAAGACCCTCACTTCTGGATAATTTTTATGAGCCATCAGCTCATCCTCTAGCTTTTTAGGCCTGTGGCATTTTCCATGATGCTGTTCTAACTCAATAGGATTAAAGTCTGGGGACTTGTAAAGAAAATACAATCTGCATTTATTGCTTAGTTATAATCTCACTCTGCAGTGCATAATGTTTCTACTGTATGCATTTTGTGATGGGAATCAAATTTTGTCAAAGGCAGTTAGCAATGCGCCATCTCAGCGCACCGAACGTGGCACTCCCGCAGCTTGAGTTAGTGCTTTCATTTGCTGTCAACATGGCACCATCATGTGCTTAGAGGTCATTGAGAGACCCTAGCACAGCATATTTAAATGGTAACTTGGAGCTATTTAGTCAAGGAACTTTCCCTACTGATAATTTTAAAAGAAAATGATAACAAATTCCCACAGTCATTCCGCAACCTAGGTCCTTCTACAATTCTGTATGGACTGGTATCGTATTATCGTATTTGAATGACAGGATGACAAGAACTACTTCTTGATGCAGCACTTCATTCTTAATGCATCATCTCTTTATAATTGCAAAGAGAAAGGCAGATGTAAAATACCATTTTTTCTTTTTTTTTTTCATTGAAAAAAAGCAAAAAAATTAAAATCCTGAAAGAGAGAGGGAAGGGTGGGTGTGTTTATCTTGTAAAGTCATGATATGTGCCATCCTTCACGAAAACAATTTTGAAGGGTTAATATTCACAATACCTGTCTAGGGCAGGAAATTGAACTACGTCTCTGAAGTTCTACTGTCAATTCATCAGGATAAAGAAGAGTCTGCAATCCAGCACATTCCAAATGAGAAACAGGCCTTAGGCTGCTTCTGCCGTATTTCATTAGCAACTTTTCTGATCACAGGGTAATACCTAAGGAAAAATATGTATGTCACATAATGCATTGAGGACCAAAACAGGTGACCAGAAAGAAAAAGAAAAGAAGAAAAAAATCCTCAATCACAGTTTTCTGATTCCTGTAGTTTATGTGAAAGAAAAAGAACTAGATTACAATATAATATATAATAAGTTAATATATAAACAAAACATTTATTCTTTTACTTGTTTGTTTTTAGGTTAGAATGAACTAGAATGAACCATTCTACTTAGGACATTTTTGTTATTGTTTCTTTCATTTTATAGTCACTTATTAAGTGGCCTATAAAATATAAGTGCTTATGTTAAATATTTGAGATGAGGTGGCAATTAAAAGAAGATCATGATCTTTGAGTCCTTCCCGCAAGTTGAAGGGATTTGTTGTGTGCAGTCTGCACTTGAATATTTTTGCACCTTATTTTGATTACAAAGCTTCCAGGTCCCTGAAAAAAAATCAAATATGTACTTTCTATTAATAGGTAAACTTTTGGCATACTCCTTAGTCTTATTGAGTGCAAGTTTTCTTGTTTTCAAAATGGAACATAATCACAACCATAGTATTACTGTGTATAGACTTACTGTGAGAATTAAATATGTGATGTGAAAAATCACATTTTAAGCTATAAAATTGTGTGTAGTTGTATAAACCTGATGCAAAGCCACACTTTTCATTAGACAAAGAAATTACTCAGTAGGAATGGATAGCAGTGATAGTGTACCTGAGATTGATAGTGACAGGACATAGACAAATTCCTAGGCAGACAGGGACTGGTCCCCAGTGAAACCTGACCTTCAAGCCAAAGATGGTTTAAAGCCTGAAAACCAAGCTGCTGGTTCTGGATAGAGCTCATGACCAGAGTGAGAACTATCCCCATCTTACCTTCTCTCTCTTGACTGGTTCTTTCTGGATGATGCCTTTTAACCAATTCAATGGTGCTTTTTCCAAAGCCCACCCACGGACCAATGAGCACTCACTCCCCCAGTCTGAGCCCATAAAAACACCTGCCTCAGCCACACAGAGGGTTACTCTCTCTCAGGCTCCCTCTCTGCTGAGAGCTTTCCTTCTGTTGCTCAATAAAATTCTTCTTCACCCTACTCACGCTCTAGTGTCTGCATACCTGATTCCTCTGGGTTGCAGGACAAGAACCCAGAACTCACCAAGCTGCTGGTGGCAGGAACAAATGAGCTATAACATGCCTCCATTTGCTGAGCTGCCAGTGGTGGGAATGAGAAAGACCTGTAACATTTCCTGGGGGTTCACACCTTGGGACTCCCCTAGCACAAGCTGTAACATCCCTTGGGGCTCCGTGGTTGCTGGCATCTTCAGGTTTTTGGGCACCACCATGTCCCCCTTGTCTGGATGCTGGTGCCCAACACAAGAGCCACTTGTGGCACACCCAAGTCCAGCCACAGGCTTAACATGGAGCCATGGCAGGTGTGGGATTCAGGCCAGTAGAGTGAGTCAAGGCAGCCTGCTGGGCTGAGTGGGCGGAGCGAGGCTGACAGGGCCCAAGCAAAGCCCTGGGCAAAGGTCACAGGAAAAAGCTGCTGAGCCCCATTTCCTCCCACTTGCTGAACTACAAAAGTCACAACAAGATGGCAGAGGAAATGGTGGAAGAGCATGTGGTAATGTACATGGGGTGATATTATAGAGAGCATTGGACATACATTTCTAGATGATTATTAAATTGTGTTGAAGAAAATAAGCTGAACATTATTGGCAAGATTGGGCTTTATTAAATTACCTTTCAAGTTCCTGTGAACTGGTTTTGGAGAAAATCCACAAAAATGGAAAAGGAAATGTAGGCGGAACCACACACTGTGAAGGATACAGCCCCAGACAGCAGTGTCTTCATGTAGAAGGTGAAGAAAAGGGAGATCAAAAGAGGAAAATAAGTATTTGTTTAAACTCAGGTATCTAATGAAAATAGAAAGCTAGAAGAACAGTTGTTACACATGAGATTACCCTCCCTAACTTCAAATTTTCCAAGGAGTGTAAACTTTTTTGTTTTCCTTTTTATTTTATTTGTTTCTGCTGATAAGAATCCCAGGGACTTCCCAACACAGAAGTTCTAAGATACACACACACACAAGGTAATTAAATTTTAACAACTGGAAAAACTTTGTTGAAAAGAATTGTTAACAATATAATAAAATACTTCAGTTTTTCTCATCCTCTGTGTGGTCCTCTGTATTGAAAATACTTGATGTATTCTAAGAGACCACCCAGAGTTTCAATTCTTACTTTCCTGATTGCTTCCATAATAATGTTTACATTTTCTTCACTTTTTTCTGCTTTATTTGAATCTGGATTCATTATGCATCTTAAACATCTCATAAATTGGGACTCACTGAATAATATAGCAGAGGTGTAGACAGACAATTTACCCTGTTTTACTAGAGCTAACCTTTACATGCATTGAATAAATAATTGTAGATCAATCCAAGTGGTAACATCTACAGAAAGGTTGAATAAGATTTATGCATCTCTTGCATAAAAACTCTCAAGCAGTTAAAAGTAATTATGACAAATAATGGTAAGATCAATTTAGCCACAAATGATAAGGATACAGTAGTCATTATGGAGGTAAAATAATTAAAGATAACACAACTTCCTGTCTCTTCAAACACAAAATAAACATATTGTGCAGTGACCAATCATGAGAGGAAAAATCTCCTAAGTATTTTTCTAGACTGACCTATTTATGGTCCAAAACCTAGTAAGTTGTTTGGCAATAAAAATATCACTAAGGTACAAGATTTCATTAATATAAAACTTCTAATAAATCCAATTGTGGTGTTCTTACAGGTGCTTTGAGACTCCATTATTATGAATTTGAATTTGTCTCAATTTATGTAAATCAGCATTTGAAACTTTTGTCATGGCTAAGGATTATGACTATGTCCTCAGTTATAAATTCCTTTTTTTTTAATATTTAAAATAATTTCTATGACAACTTGAAGCAGAGTTTAGTAATACATACTTGTCAGGATTACTGTAAATCTAGAGATTAATAATAGAAACAACCAAAAATTTTCTTCTCTTTTCAATTTCTTTTCTAAATATCTGACTTTTTAAGCCAAAGCTATATCTTTTTATTGGAAGACCAATCCTTTAAAGCTGAGCCTCAGACTTTTAGCTTGTTTTTGTGTTTCCATTTACATCTATGTGATGACAAGTACATGATGTCAGTGTTAGTAATGTGGCTTGAGAGCCTTGGAGATGTGTCTCTTCTGTATTTAAGTGTTATTCCAAGTTCTTCTCAGCACAGAGTTCAGCATTTCATAAGTACCAAGTGTTGCTCTTGAACACACTGGTTTAAAAATGCAAATTATAATTTAGAAAATTGCATATTTTTATCAACTGAAATACTTCATTTTTAATTAAGAGAGAGATGAATCACTCTGGATTCCCAACCAATGTGAGTTAAATTTTAAGAGAAAATGCAGTAGAAATATGAAAACTTTTCAAGGAGATCTTACATTTTTCAAATTATGACAAATCTTCAAATCTTCCTTTTTCAAAGGAAGATCAAGCCTGTTTTGTTAGTGTTACAATGTGGGTGATGATAGACATTGTATACAATACTTTACTAATCAGAAAGGACAGGAATCTGTGTTCACAGCACTAGTGCTAAAATTGATAGGAACAAAAGACAGAATTGAAATTAGAGATTAAAGGATATTTCTCCCTTTCCTGTTCTCCTTAGGTAGTTCTTCCAGCACGGGTTATATCTCCTCCATGGTTCCAGCTTCCATTTAAAAGGTCAGAGGTGGCCTCCAAGTCCAGGTTCTGTTAATGTTTTCTCATCTCCCCATCCCAGGAAAGGTGTCCTACTGTTACCGCACTATCTACTATAGGTCCTTCAGGTCTTCTATCACCTGGCTAACCAGTTCTATCTATTTAGTCCTGATACCCAAGCATTTTCCATTTCCTTGCTAGATCCTGACTGAGAAGTGGTTTTTCAGATGTCTAATTTTTGGTCATATCATTTATGTATTGTCTAATATGATTTTCCTTATAGAGAATGAATATCCAGCAAATTTTTAATGCAGACAGTTAACACTAAAGTTGACATGGAAATCTTGGTATTTGATAGTATGTTTAGAAAGTCCTATATTTTTATGCTTTATTTACTGGAGATACTAGAGATGACAGCATATTTTTGGCCTATGTTAGGAAGTGTAGCACCTTTTTAGGAAAGTCTTGCATGAGTAGAAAATTAAAATGTATTAAGCTGTTCCCCTTTCACTTTTCAGTATGGTGCCTGAGGTGAACTCTTAATGAGTTCATGTATTCACTCCAAAAGTTAAGAGATTTGAATGTTGTAGGGTTGACTAAGTCCTCTCTAGAAGTATTGGGTTTATCTCAAAAGAGCTTCTTATGCAAAATAAGTGACACAAACTGAATATCATAGTCCTAGGGATGATTTTACCTTTCTGAACGCTTGTATGATTGCTTCTTTGCCTGTTTGCCTAATAAAAATTGCCATGTGAGGCAGAATTTGGTCAGGTTCTTCTGTAGTGAGGTTGTGAGAAAGAGCTAACAGAAACCAACCATTGGCAGCTACCATAGTCTACAGAGAAGAAATAAAGATATAACGAGAAAGAAAGAAGGAAGGAAGGAAGGAGAGAGGGAGCAAGGCAGAAGGCAAGAAATGCAAACAGAAAACAAAAACGCCAACTAATATCTATATTGACAAACACTCAGACCAGTTCAAAACACATATAAAATATTTTAACTAAGGTACAGAATTCTGAGATTCTGACCAGCTGGCTTTGGTTAACAATTCAATAAAAGACTGATACTTAGTATGTATTCCCCATCTCACTTTATATCAGCAGTGGACCATTTTTTATCTAGAATGTGCTTTAAATATTCAGAGCAAGCCAATGCTTAAAAATACTAACTGAAGATAATTAATGAAGCACATTAGGAATATATGCAAAGATATTACTGCTTGGTATGTTGGTGTGCATTGTGTGTGTTTATGTTTATCATAATGTAAATCATGATCATCTATCATTTATCAGGACCAATACAATTTCTTGCCAAACAATTAAAAGGATCTGGGGGAGGCTGTTTTAAACATGAATACAATTAGCATAATAAAGACAAAAATACTGAACTCTAAGATTCAATTCCATAATGCATATCTGCCCATATGTGTTTGAAATAAAGTTCATCAACATAGGAGTTTTACTACTGATTTCCATAAAATAAGGAAATCAGAAAGATTGAAAATGAAATATGTAGATATAAAGTATCAAAATACTGCATCCTTTTTAAAAAAAAAATTGTTTCTCAAGTTGTTATCTACTTTAGCACTCTATTCATTAAACTTTTTTCTCATCATGGTCCATCACTGACTATGAAATATAACATATTTGCCAAAAATAAGCCATGAGCCCTGTGATGGAAAAACTGCTCATGTTCAGTACCAAGAATTATTTTTAGAATTATTTTACTTAGTAAAAGAATTAATTAGTAAATAAGTAAATAATTGCTTAGTAATTGCTTAGTACATCACCTGACACAGAGTAGGTGCTCAATAAATGATTATTGTTTTAAACTTTTCTACTTTGCTAGTGGTGTGCTAGAATTATTGTACTACATTTTATATGACTACAAATATTTATATTTATAAAATGTAATATTTTAAATGACGTTGTACAGTATATCCCAGGTATTTCATCACTGTTAGTAATGTCAACGTCAGTTACAAAGCATTCCCAATTCTGAAAAACTAACAAAGGGACTTTGAAATTCTCTAATCTCACTGATATTTTTCATCTCTATTGCAGAGTAGAGTTAGTTAAGTAAAGTCAGTTAAACATTGTTAAAATGGTCATATTACTCACAGAAACCTACAGATTCAATGCTATTCCTCTCAAACTACCAAAATCATTTTTCACAGAATTAGAAAAAAATATTCTAAAATTCATATGGAATTAAAAAGGAGTCTGAATAGCCAAATCAATTCGAAGCAAAAAACAAAAACAAAAAACAAAGCTGAAGGCATCATGTTACCTGACTTCAAACTGTACTATTAGGCTACAGTAACCAAAACAGTATGGTACTGGTGCAAAAACAGACACATAGACAAATGGGACAGAATAGAGAACCTAGAAATAAAGCCACACACCTGCAGTCATCTGATCTTTGAGAAAATTGATAAAAATATGCAATGGGGAAAGGACTCCCTATTCAATAAATGGTAGTGAGATAGCTGGCTAGCCATATGCAGAAGAATGACACTGAACCATATGCAAAAATTAACTGAAGATGGACTAGAGATTCAAATATAAGACCTCAAGCTATAAGAATCCTAGAAGAAAACCTAGAAAACACCATTCTGAACATCAGCCTCAGAAAAGAATTTATGGCTAAGTCCTCAAAAGCAATTGCAACAGAAGCAAAAGTTGATAAGTGGAACTGAATTAAACCAAAGAGCTTCTGCATAGCAAAAGAAACTGTCAACAGAGTAAACAGACAACCTACAGAATGGGAGAAAATATTTGCAAGCTATGGTCTAATATGCAGAATCCATAAGGAACTTAAATAATTGAATAAGTATGAAACAAGCCCATTAAAAAGTGGGCCAAAAACATGGACACTTCACAAAAGAAGACATACTTGTGGCCAACAAACATGAAAAAATGCATAACATCACTAATCATCAGAGAAATGCAAATCAAAACCACATTAAAATACCATTTCATGCCAGTCAGAATGGCTATTGTTAAAAAGTCAATATGTAACATGCTGGTGAGGCTGCAGGGAAAATGGAACATTTATACACTTTTTGTGGGAATGTAAATTAGTTCAGCCACTGTGGAAAGCAGTTTGAAGGTTTCTCAAATAACTTAAAACAGAACTACCATCGAACACAGCAATTCCATTACTGGGTATATATCCAAAGGAAAATACATCATTCTACTAAAAAGAAACGTGCACTCATATGTTTATCACAGCACTATTTGCAATAGCAAAGCAATGAAATCAACCTAGTTGCCCATCAATGTTGGATTTGATAAAGAAAATATGATAAATATACACCACAGTATACTTCATAGCAATAAAAAAGAACAAAATGTTGTCCTTCGCAGCAACATAGAGGCAGCTGAAGGCCATTTTCCTAAGCAAATTTACACAGGAACAAATAATTCAAATACTGCAGGTTTTCACTTCTAAGCGGAAGCAAAACATTGGATACTCATGGACATAAAAATGGCAACAATAGATACTGAAAACTACTAGAAGGAGGAGGGAAAATGCGGGCAAAGGTTGAAAAGCTAACTACTGAGTACTGTGCTCACCACCTGGGTTATGAGATTAATCATACCCCAAACCTCAGCATCACACAATATACTTGTGTAATGAACCTGCATATGTACCCCGAATCTAAAATAAAAGTTGGAGTTACATTAAAAAATGTTGTGTGAAAATCAGAAGAGACTAATACACCATTTGGGGAACAGTTAGGATGAAATTCAGAAAGCATTGCATCTGCAAATGGGCAGAGTGTACTAGGCGCTGGGTACACATAGTTGGAATAAAAATAAAACAAAAGATCCTACAAGATCCCCTACTTTTACATAACTTACATTTCGGTGGTAAGGATATAATTACAGTGAATATGAAAATAAATAGTGACATCAGCTCTTATTAGTTTATAGAAGAAATACTCCGAAAGCCTGTACCCTTACCAAATAATGAAATCTCATATTTTTAAAATCTTTATTGCTAGAATCATCTCAAAGTCTTCCCTATCCCAGTATTCACCCCTGCCTCCCTTCTCCTGCAGTGAACTAAAGCCATAGCTACAAGTGATGAACAAATAGATAAGAGGAAGATTTGAAGTCTGGAAGTTAAGCCTTGGAACAATCTCAAAGTCTGTGAGCTGAACCTGAAATTGCTGCATTTATCTGGGGACCCTCTAATGATGATCAGGTGACCCCAATTCGGTAACATTACCACCTCCCCCACAAAAACGCAAAACATAACTAGAAAAAAATTTCCATAATCTGGGGCCTGAGGAGTATCAAAGATTAAAATCTAACAAATATGAGCTCATAAATGAAAATAACCAAACCCTCAGGGATTTAGTTGCTATAACAGGAGCAATAAAACAAAGTCAATTTGAGACGAAGGGTTTTAAATATTGAAATGATCAAACTACAACGTAATTATACATGAACTGTTAATTGAAATGAAGATGTAACTGTAAAAGTGACCAAGCAATCAAGCAAAAGAACCAAACAAAATTTTGAAATGAAAATGATAAATGTGAAAACAAAAACCTTTAAACGATGGGTTAAAATGAGATTCAGCTGAAGAGAGAATTTGTGGATAGGAAACTCATTTACATTGCAGCAGAGGGATAAGGATACAGAGCATAAAGATATGAGAAACATGGGCTGGGCACAGCAGTTCCCTCCTGTAATCCTGGCACTTTGGGAGACTGGGGTGAGTGGATTTCTTGAAGCCAAGAATTTGATACCAGCCTGGACAACATAGAGAGAACCTGTCTCTACAAAAAAATTAAAAATTAAAAAAAAAAAGCCAGATGTGATGCTGCTCACCTGTGGTCTCAGCTACGTGAGGCTGAGGGTAGAAGGATCACTTGAGCTGGGAAGTTGAGGCTGCAGTGAGCTACAATCATGCTACTGCACTCCATCCTGGGCAACGGAGAAAGAACCCCCATACCCCACCTCTCTCTCCCTTTTTCTCTCTGTCTCTCTCCATATATATATATATATATATATATATATATATATATATATATATACAAACACACACACACATATATACATATATACACATATATATACACATATACACACATATACATATATACACATATATATATACACATATACACATATACATATATACACATATATACATATATACACACATATGTATACATATATATATACACACGTGTGTGTGTGTGTGAGAAAAAGACTTTAAAGAGTGAGTATTAAAGAGGGTAAAACTAAAAGTTGTAAAACATAGTTTAGGTATATAGTTGCTTTTTCAGGTTGGTGTTAAGTTCCTGACTACACAAATTGTCAGGTTCAGGGTTAGGTTCCAGCCCATGCTGAGGTTTGAGGGAAGTGGGCAGATGGCCGAATAGCTGAGAGAACACTCGGGAGGGCCGTAAACAGGTGAAATGTAGTTTAATTCAGCAGCTCTTTCATCAACAGCTCTCTCACACTGTCTGCTCTGTCTTGGCTGCTTGCTCAGGCTGCTCCTTAATGCACAGTTTTGGGGCCGGCTCTCCCTTCAGGGTCAGCAGCTTAACTCTTTCTCTCTCTGGGCACGAGTGAGCAGAGCTGCATCCTGGCTCCCCCTTGTCCATCTGCAAGATGGATAGCTTTGGCTCTCTTGCTCTCTCTCTCTCTGGCCACAAGCGCCTGCACAAGAGCACCTGTACAGTGTCAGCAGGGCAGTTATACCTTCCCCAAACAATAGTGGCTTTGAGCCAAGTATAAGCTTACACAAACAGGTTATGTAACTCGTGGAGGTGTGCACCTATGCACCCATCCCGCTAAGTCATGCAGGCCTGGATGTCTGCCTCAGCCCAATTCTTGACCTAAGCACATCCATGTACCTTACAGTTGGAATTGGCAATCATACCAAAGAAAATGAAATAGGCTATAATCTAGTATTATGGTTACTTAACTTTGTAGAAGAATAACAGGCAGGAGATGCAGTAAGTATAGAAGCTTCATCTAATCAAAAGACACCAAAGCTATGCAAGTCCCAAGGTATCTGGGAGCTACATAGGAGCTGCAGCTCTATTTCCCATCAACCTTGAATGTTACTCTAGGTACTCAGTCCCCGGCCTGCAGGACTCCCACAGTCCATGTGTAAGATTGACATTCATGATTATTTTAACTCTTGGCAAAGTAGCAGTGCTGGGGAACAAGAAGGAATTTTTTTTTTTTTTTTTTTTTTTTTTTTTTTTTTTTTTTGAGACGGAGTTTCACTCTTGTTGCCCAGGCTGAAGTGCAATGGAGTGATCTCGGCTCCCTGCAACCTCCACCTCTCAGGTTCAAGTGCTTCTCCTGCCTCAGCCTCCTGAGTAGCTGGGATTACAGGCTTGTGCCACTATGCCCAGCTAATTTTGTGTTTTTAGTAGAGACAGGGTTTCTCCATGTTGGTCAGGCTGGTCTTGAACTCCCGACCTCAGGTGCTCTGCCCACCTCGGCCCTCAAAGTGCTGGGATTACAGGTGTGAGCCACCACATCCGGCCAAGAGGGAAATTTTCAAATAGGTCTCCATGAGCCAAGGCCTGATGTTAAACATTCACACATATATATTTAATTGGAATTTTAAAAGAGAAAATAAAAATCATAGAAGTAATTTTAAAGATAAAAATGCAGAAAACTTTTTATAGCTAATGGAAGGATTAACTCAGACTTTATAGACCGTGCCTCTATTATGAAAAATAAAAACGAATCCATACCTAGGCACATCATGAAACTGGGAAACACCAGAGAATAAACAAAGTTTTCAAATACAGCCAGAGGAGGGGAAAATTCTCTCGAAAAATGTCAGGAAAGCCAAACCATTATATTAAAGTAAATCTATCTTTGAACTATTTTTCTGTTGTATTAATCCACCTGTTTATCTATATTGCCTTGATCAATCTAGCTTCATAATAAGTCTTGAACTTATATAAATGTGTATAAATCCTTCAACTTTGTTCTTTTTAAAGATGACTTTGAATATTCCGTATTAGTTTTGCAATAGGTTGCCAGTTTTTACCCAAAAAAATCATTAAAATAAAACACAAAAATCAACTGAGATTTTTGAACTTTATTTGATTAATGGATTTAAAAGATTACCCTGGATTCTATGTAGGAAATGGAATCAAGGAAAGCAAGAATAAAATGGGAAGCCCAGTTTGGAGATGATCACAGTGACTGTGAAAACAGTGACGGGCTTCAGGGAAGGCTTTATGGGGAGGGCAAACAGAACTTGCCAATGCATTGGATATAAGGGGCAATAAGGGGAAAAAAGGAAACACAAAAAACTGCTAGGCTTTTTTTCTGCACCCAGTTTGCCACTGGCATTTAATGAGTTGAATTTAATGAGTTTTAGAGAATGGTTTAGAGAACTTATGAATGTAATTCAAATGTGATGTCACAGACAGAAATGTAAATTTTGGAATCATCTTACCTATAAATGAAACATGCATGAATTGGATATGATTATATAAAATCTTCATGGTACTACATTGTTAAATTATTAGGAAAAATGCTACATGCTCTTTGGGGGAATGCTAAGAGGCTAAATGAATAAATCTGCAAAGTAACCTCTGAGTTGAGTTTAAGCACACTGCTCTGTAATTATGACTCTTTTCTTCAATCATCTTATTCTGTGAACCTATTTAATCAGTCTGGGTGTATAATAAGCCAAGATGTCATGTAAGCCTTGTGAATACATTTACTAAGGTTAGAAATCAGCTTTAAATGTGTCTAAAATCTGAGGTGCTAATGGATGGGGTGTGTAGCAAATTCCTAAATTAAAAAGAATTATGTTGAGGATGTAAAGTTGACCTCAGCGGATATGAAACCACCAGGGCCCAAATTACAGAATCTCATATACATGTTTGTCTGTCTGTCTGTGTGAATAACAGTTGGAAGTTGTAGTTGCTCTGTGATTCCAAAAAACAGCATGCTAAAAAAATGTTAACTTGAATGATTTACCTAGAAGTAAGCTATTATAGCAAAAGACTGATGATAGAAATGCAAAGTCATTAAAGATATTCTTTTCTAAAATCTTCAAAAGGAGAAAAAGACTTAACCCTGTGACCCTTTCCAAAAAGCTGAGTCTATATGAGTGTCATTAGATAAAGGCAGGGAAAATTATATTATTCATTAGAGATAAATTATATGAGCCTGTCTACATACACTGTTCAAATTCCTACTTAAACATATCATTTTTTAAATAGTCCAATTAATAAGCCTTTCTTGAATACCTTCCTATTATCTGGGCTTCTAACAATTAGAAGGCTGATTATAAACATCTTTATGATCCTGTTACCTGTATATCACATAAATGCCATAAGTCATAGGAACAGCCTAGGAGCAAGAACATTTCCGATAAATATTACTCTAGTTGAGGTCTTTTTTTCTGGTTCATTGGGCTAAGTTGTGAGGGAAGGAAGGAAGTTTAATAGGGCTATGTTCTCTTAGACATTTATAAAGGCCAAAAATAAATCCACAAATAATTATACTTTGGAGAGCTATAAAGAAACACTCTGATGCCTAATAAGGTCTGCAGTTATAGAAGTGTCACTGTAATACCATTTTCTGTTGGTAGAATTACTCAGTAACAAGACCTTTCCATAGAGAAGTTTCTGATAAAATACAAGTGGCTTCCCTCATCTGTGAGTGATATCTCTGAGGACAGTTTAGCAACCTATGGAAATTTTCATGGAGCTGGGGAGATAGAAGAAATTATTTTTTACTTTGAAAATCCACTAAGAATTTAATTTACAGAGATTTTATCATTTTAACTCAGTCTGTTTAAAAAATAATGTTTATTTTGTTTCTATAGCACACACTAACTTGTGTAGCATGCTGTGGCTCTTGGAAGCAAAGTGACAAAGATAGTGCCTGTCTTCAGGGAGGCTACCCCTTATGTAGGGAGTCTGCCAAGATAACAAAGGCATTTCTCTAACTTTTGAACGTATGGCTGACTCTGATGAAAGTCTACTCAATAACCAATCTCTCCTACTTCTTTTTTAAAATAATCACGATTTTATCTTGGTAGTAATGTGCCCTGTTGAAATATTCACCTTCTCAAATGACCTACAAACGGAAAATACCCACTTGGCCCAGTTCTAGCCATTGGGGTATAAACAAAAGCGTCTCCTATGAATATTCAAAAATGTCATTGTTTCAATGATGAAAAGGATAGATTCAGTTGGCAGCAGCTTTTTGCCATTTGCTCTTTATCTTCTTTCTGCCTAAAATGTGGATGCAACACCTGAAAATGGAAAAATCATCCCATGACTAGGAGAACAAAAGCCACACACCATGAAGCCAGATGAAAAGATGAGAAAATCTGTTGCACTAATACCATCAAGCAGCCACATCCCAGCTCAGGTCTACCTATCTTTGGACTTCCTATTATGTGACGAAATGTAACTGTCCATTTGTTAAGCTTTAGACAGCTGCATTCAATCCTATCTGAGAAATTTGTTCTTAAAATTAATACATGAGTGTTGGCTTTAATTCTAATAAATTATTCTACCATTTATTGGCATTCTACTCTGAGCACTCATCTTATTTATTATTTCACACAACAACCCTATTGGGGTGAATGATGTTATCCACTTTTCCAGGTAAGAAGTTTCAGACTTACAGAGCTTGTGTCTTTCCTGGGACCACGTAGGTAGTTCATGGTAGGGATGGTATTTGTATCTTCTGTTTCACTATACCAGCTTATCAAATTAATATTAATAATATTAGTAGTTTTCTTAATATCTATTACCTAATTTTATTTTCTGTTAAAAATAACCTTTTTACTTCTGGGTGTCTTACAATTCTATAAGGTATTTTAGCTACAATCTCTTACTTGAAGTTCACAGTTCTATAAAGGGAATACGCTATTGTTGTTATTCTTATTTTACAGTTGTGGAAGTTGAGTTTAGAAGCTGGGTTTCCTGAGAAAGGGAAGGAGGGAGAATGTGCTTGGGTTATTTAACCCTGAAATTAATGTTCTAATAGACCTAGTTCCACATTAAACTTATTTTCTCTCTTTCCCTGGTAAAGCTGTCTGATTGGGCATGAAAAAAAATGTTTTGGAAACTGGGTCAATGCTTTGAGTATCTAATAATGTGTTGCTTCTCTTTGTGACTTCTATGGAATGCCGAATAGGAGATTAAAGATAGCTGTTCCCAGAAGGCTTGGAGATCCTCCCAACCCTGAACCTCTACACTGTTGAAATGTTGGGAAGCTCATCAGTGTAGATCCAACTACTAAGTGCTGTGGCACTACTAAACCATTTAGCAACTACTAAATGCTTTGATTAGAGTAATGCAGCCAGAGTACTGACGGCTGCCACAGTGCCAAGAAAACGTACAAATGAAGGTGGTGGATGACACCTGAACAGGCTGTTTCAGTTATGCCTCACATCTTTCAGGGTGAGCCTGAGATCTGCTGGTGGTCCGTCTCACTTTTTCCATTTTGCCAACCGTGTTTGGTGGATTTGGAAAATGAAATATTTATGCACCACGTAAGGCCTGCCAGTCTGATTACCACTGAACACCCTACGGAGGCATATTGTTGAATAAACAGGAAAGCTTTTATCCTGCCAACCTGCTGGGCGCCTTTCTCCAAGGCTGAGTCAACACAGAGCAATGGTTCTATGATATATTTGAAAGCGTGGAGGATGGGACTAATCTTTACCAGATTTATTAGGCAAAGGATGGCTTTCGGGTCTTCCGATTTTATGCATATATAATGCTGCATTACTCAAATTCAAGTATTATTGGTATATAGATTTTATTTAAAATCATGAATTAAATAAATTATATAAAGTAAAGATTTTGGGTTGCTATAAATGTACAGAGAGAGCTGAATTTTATGTAGTCTTTGAATAATTTAAAGGTGAGCACAAATTTAAATTAAGACATCCGGTTCATATGGAGTAAGGGCACGCATTGGTCATGGCTTTCAGATTCATTTTTTACTTTTTAAGAAACATATATTTTCTGTTGTTTCTCCATGGGCATCAAAAGCATCTGGAGTCAGTTACATTTATTTATGTTCTATTCCAACTAAAATGGCTTAGCTGAAAGTATTTCAAAATTTATTTAAGGAAAAAGAAAACTGACTTTAGACTTACATGCCAGGTTTTAGCCCAAAGCAAAGTGCTGCGGCCGATTTCTAAATAAAATGGAAAAACTGACAGACTATTCTGGCAGTGATATAAGGATAACAGGTAAATACAACAGTTTGAGCTAATAATAGGTAACATTTTCCAGGTTTTGCTATTAACAGTCTCTTACAACAAACAAGCTTTATAAAGTTTCTCTGAGAAAAGTTTGCTTATAAGATAAAAAGCCAAAATTCAGCCAATTTTCCATTACAATAAAATGGGATTTGTTTTTTGGTTTTTTTTATATTGTTTGTTTATTTTTGAAAGTTTCCCAGTATTAAAATATATACATTTAGACTTTATCCATTTACTAATAAGAGGCAATATAGATCTCAATAAAATGGAAGTGTTTAACGAGATATTATTAAATTTCCTTTTAATGTGACTCAGGTGTTTATGAGATCTTTTAAAAATTAGCATTTTTTTAAAACAAATTATTCCTTATCTTATTGGTTTTCCATACTACTTCACCTTATAATATTCATGAGTGTTTGCATTTAATTTAAATTCTGAACATGCTGACATTGAAGTTTATATTTATTTTGAAATATCTTCACATTATAATGCATTTGTTGCTTTGGTCTGGTTGGTTTGGTTTGGTTGTTGTTATTAATGTTCCTTGATGAAAAAAAATTAAAACCAGCCAGGAGTTTGAATGCATGAGTTTGGAAGAGGAGAGCCAATGTTTTGATCCCATTTCTGACACACCTGAGCTTTCTGTGGGTACTCTTCTAATTTTTTAAATGGGAGCTAAAATAGTAGCTAAACCAAAGGATACATTTAGAAATTAAGATAGATAAATGGATTAGCACAACTCCTGGCTCACGATAAGTATTCTATAACACTTGGCTTTAATCATTAAGTGTGTGATCTTTTTGTTGAAATAGTATATAGCATAATTTCCCCTCGTGAAACACTAGTTATCTAACCACTATGAATCGATGTGTCCATTTCCATCATTTGGCTGTGCTGCTGCAGTCGTTATGAATTTCCATCCATTTAGGTTCTGTTCCTAGACTCCTTTTTCTATTAATTGCCTGCTCTCTTCAGACGTAGGCACAGGCCTGAAGAAAGTCAGCAATTAAACAGAGACACTGTATTATCATGGTTTTATAAGGTGCTTTGCAAGTAATTGTCCAAGTCTTCTCAACTTGTTTGTTTCTTTGTTTGCTTGTTTGTTTTAAAGAGCATACTGGGGCCGGGCGCGGTGGCTCACATCCATAATCCTAGCACTTTGGGAGGCCGAGGTGGGCAGTTCACTTGAGGTCAGGAGATCGAAACCAGCCTGGCTGACAAGGTGAAACCCCATCTTTACTAAAAATACAACAAGAACAACAAATTAGCTGAGCATGGTGGTAGGCGCCTGTAATCTCAGCCGCTCGGGAGGCTGAGGCAGGTGAATCGCTTGAATACGGGAGGCGGAGGTTGCAGGGAGCCAAGATTGTGCCACTGCACTCCAGCCTGGGTGATAGAGTGAGACTCCATCTCAAAATAATAATAATAATAACAATAATAATAATAATAAATAAAGAGTATATTGGTTCTTAATGGCCCGTTTCCTCTTCCAAATACATGGTGGAATTTCCTCGTGTGAAGTTCTGTGAAGATCTCTGTTGGAATTTGTATTGAAATTTTAGAGTCTTAAATCAGTTTGGAAGCATTAACATCTTTTGAATTTTGATTCTCTCTTTCCCAAAAGCACAATTTTTTTCTGTTTGTTAAATATATTTTTGCATATACATATACATATTCTTGTATTGCTTTCGGCAATACTTTTGCATATTTTTCATGAGCCATTTTCTGCGTGTTAGATTTATTCTATCCATTTATTTTGCTAAAATTTTTGGAGGAATTTGAAAAATAATATTTTATTAAAATACAAGTGAATAGTATTAATGTAGATAAGAATCAAGAATTTTTTAATTAAATGGATATGTAACAAGAATCATAATTCCCCTTAAGTGTTTAATATTCAGATACTACTATAAGAAAACTTTTTAAAACTTACTGTAAGGTAGATGGCTACGTATTTTTTTAAAATACAAATACTTCAAAGTATATAATTTTAATTATTTTAGTGCTCTGTTTTACTCTCAGTTTGGATGTCCTAGTTTGGATAATATATTGTACAGTTACCTTGGTTATAGACCATTATCATAGAAACAAATCAGCGGTGCTTTCTGATTTTTGTATTTGGTGTGTCAGACTTCCAGGAGATTGAACTCACAGACTGAAACTCACAGATTGAAGCAGTGACTACACTAAGGAGCAAGTTGAACATTCCTTGTTCTTCAGCCATAATACTCAGAAATCTAGTTCTCTTTTTTTTCCTTTACCATTTCCTTGAAATTAACAAATAAAAATTGTATATATTTATAATGTACAACATATTGTTTTGAAATATGTATGCAATGCAGACTAGCTAAATCAAGCTAATTAACATATGTATTACCTCACATACTTTTTGTAGGGAGAACACTTAGACTTTTCTTTCTTAGCACTATTTAAGGATACAATGCATTGTTATTAACTATAGTTACCACATTGTACAATAGATTTCTTGAAATTATTACTCCTATTTAAAATTTTGTTTCTTTTGATCAACATCTGCGCAACCCTCTCATTCCACCAGTCCTTGGTAACCTCCATTCTAGTTTCTACTTTTAGGAGTTCAAATTTTTTAGATTCCACTTATTAGTGAAATTATACAGTATTGGTCCTTCTGTCTCTGGCTTATTTTACTTAACATAATATCCTTCAGGTTTATCCATGTTGTTGCAAATGACAGGATTTCCTGCTTTTTTAAGGCTGACTAGTATTTCATTTTTTATAGATCTATAAGTATATATATACACACATACATACACATATGTATACACATACATACATATATACACATATATGTTTGTATAAACATATATATTCTGATGGATACTTAGATTGATTCTATATTTTGGCAATTGTGAATAATGCTGTGACGAGCATCAGAGTGTGGCTATCTCTTTAACATACATATTTTATTTCCTTTGGTTATACACCCAGTAGTGGAATTTTTGGATCATATGGTACAGGTTGAGAATGTTTATATAAACATATATGTATGTGTATATATGTGTGTATGTATGTGCTATATATATATACTATATATATATACTATATAGATACTATATATATATAGCACATACATACACACATATGGTAAAGGAAAAAAATAAGAATTAGGTTTCTGAGTATTATGACTGAAGAACCAGGAATGTTCAACTTGCTCCTTAGTGTAGTCACTGCTTCAATCTGTGAGTTTCTCCTGGAAGTCTGACACACCAAATGCACACACATACATATAGATGGATAGATGGTACACACACCCATATATAATTATATATATATTTATATATAATATATAAATATATTACATATATTATATAATATATATTATATATTTATATAATATATAATATATATTATATATTTATATAATATATAATATATATTATATATATAATATATATAATATATATTATATATTATATATTATATATATATATAAATATATATATTTTGTTAAAAATATTTGTTACCCCACATTTCCTTTATCCTTTCACTTTCTGATGGATACTTAGATTGATTCTATATTTTGGCAATTGTGAATAATGCTGTGACGAGCATCAGAGTGCAGCTATCTCTTTAACATACATATTTTATTTCCTTTGGTTATACACCCAGTAGTGGAATTTTTGGATCATATGGTACAGGTTGAGAATCCCTTATTTGAAATTCTTGCGACCAGAAGTATTGTGGACTTCAGATTTTTTTGGATTTTGAAATATTTGTTCATATATAATGAGATATCTTGAGGATAGGACACAAGTCTAGACACTAAATTCATGTCCTGTATATATATACCCTGTATGCATAGCCTAAAGATGATTTTGTATGTATAAACAATATTTGTGTATGTTAAACCATTAGAAAGCAAAGATGTCACTATCTTAGCCACTCATATGGACAATCTGTAGTTGTAAGTCATCACCATCTTTCCTGACTCCGAATTTACATTCAGTTTAACCTTAAATAATAAGGATTGAATTTCATATGTCCACTTATACTCAGATTTTTTTCAACCACAGGCAGATTGAAAATAGTGTATTTGAGGGATGTGAAAATCATGTCTTCGGAGGATGAGAACCAACTTCTTGTATTTGTAGGATCTGCTGGACCAGCTGCAGGACTTCCATTTGTGTGAATTTTTATATACATGAAGGATCTTGAAACTAGTTTCTTGGGTACACCAAGGGATGACTGCACTACCAATGAGCAATCCTTTTCTTACACTTATTTACATGTAAATATTTAACAGTAAAATATATAGAATAACATTAATACAGTTAAAAAACAATGTGTTGATGGCCGAGCGTGGTGGCTCACGCCTGTAATCCCAGCACTTTGGGAGGCCGAGATGGGCGGATCACAAGGTCAGAAGATCGAGACCATCCTGGCTAACATGGTGAAACCCCGTCTTTACTAAAAATACAAAAAATTAACTGGGCGTGGTGGTGGGTGCCTGTAGTCCCAGCTGCTGGGGAGGCTGAGGCAGGAGAATCGCTTGAACCTGGGAGGCGGAGGTTGCAGTCAGCTGAGATCACGCCACCGCACTCTAGCCTGGCAACAGAGCGAGACTCCGTCTCAAAAACAAAAAACAAAAAACAACGTGTTGGTTGGGCATAGTGGCTGCCGCCTGTAATCCCAGCACTTTGGAAGGCCGAGGCAGGTGGATCATGAGGTCAGGAGATCGAGACCATCCTGGCTAACACGGTGAAACCCCGTCTCTACTAAAAATACAAAAAAGTTAGCCAGGCGTTGTGGCGGGCACCTGTAGTCCCAGCTACTCAGGAGGCTGAGGCAGGAGAATGGCATGAACCCGGGAGGCAGAGTGTGCAGTGAGCCGAGATAGCACCACTGTACTCCAGCCTGGGCGATAGAGCGAGACCCCATCTCAAAACAAAACAAAACAAAACAAAACAAAAATGTGTTCAGGGTAACTAAGCAGCACAGTAGCATCACTAGAAACCCTTTGTCCATTTTTAAACAACAGCATGAACAAACAACTATTAATATATATTTCAGCCTCCACCTATGATGCTGCATTTTGATTAAAAAGTAACTGTACACTGTATTTTATTGTTAATGTAAGAAGAAATATCAGAAGCAGTGGAAGGACCAAGAAGTAGGTCCTCTAGGATTAAGGAGATATTCTAATGGACGACTTTTAAAAATGTTTCTTTCAGAGACATCCGCCTCATTAACAACACTTCTTGTCTTGGAGGTCTCTTTGATGTTATAAACTCAGATGGTTTGTTGTTTTCTTATGAATGCATACTGTGCTAGTTCTTCAATAAGCTCACAGCACATTTTCACCATGTAGTCTAGGTGCAATTGTTCTGCCCTGTTAATGTCACCTGTCTAGGCACTTTATGATCACCTTGTTTCAGAACCATTTTGGCTGTTTGATATGGTCTGGCTCTGTGTCCACACTCAAATCTCACCTTGAATTGTAATCTAAATTGTAATCCTCATGTGTTAAGGGAGAGACCTCATGGGAGGTGATTCAATCGTGGGGGCCGTTCTCATATTAGTGAGTGAGGATCTGATAATTTTATAAGGGGCTCTTCTCCCTTCACTTTGCATTTCTCTCTGCTGCCGCCTTGTGAAGAAGGACATGTTTGCTTCCCCTTCTGCCATGACTGTAAATTTCCTGAGGCTTCCCCAGCCATGTGGAACTGTGAGTCAATTAAACCTCTTTCCTTTATATATTACCCAGTCTCAGCTATTTCTTTCTAGCAGTATGAAAACAGACTAATACACTGTTTCACCATTGGTCAATGAATGAACAATGGGAGCCTCATTATTAATGTTAATGCCACTTTTGATAACCACTTCTTCTAGCTTACTGACAGGTTCTGAAGTTAGATTTTTTTTTTTTTTTTTTTGCATGTGTAAGGAGATTAGACATCATTATTTTTCTCACTTGACACACAGATTTTTTCAAAGTCACACCTCGTTCATCATCATTACAGAACATAGTCGCAGGCCAGAGGTTGTGCCAGGCACATACAATTGTGTCTTTAGGTATTGTGTTCCAAGTGTTGGCAACAGCATATTCACACTGAAATTCTTTTGAAAATCTTTCATACTTGCGCTTCTGTTCAATGCTGCTAGTGTGCTGTTCCAGAAAGTGTTTTTATATTTAGTCTTCATTGGTCTAATGATACCCTGGTAGCATGGCTGAATTAATAAAGTTAAATTTAGAGGACAGTACATGGCATAAATATAATTTTTTTAATAACTTCAACTTTTATTTTGGATTAAGGGGTACATGTGAAGGTTTGTTACACAGGTATATTGTGTAATGCTGAGGTTTGGGGTACAAATGATCCCATCACCCAAGTATTGAGCATAGTACCCAATAGGTAGATTTTCAGCCCACACTTCCCTTCCTCACTCCCATGTCTGGTAGTCCCCACTGTCTTGTTTCCATCTTTATGTCTATGTGTATTCAATGATAAACATTATTTTTGGGAGGATTTCAGCTGGAAGATGAGCAGAACAGTTGTCAAGGAGTAATAAAATCTTGCAGTCATCATCCAGTCCTCCTTCCCTGCAGAGAGCATGAGCCACTAGTGCAAAACGTTTGTGAAATCAATCGTAAAAGATGTTTGTAATGATGCATGTCTTTTTGTTAGCATAACAATGGACTGATACAAAATTCCTTCTTTGAAAACAATGAAGATACAAGATTTTGCCTATCACAGTGATTTTACACTTATGTGTGCCTACTGCATTAGCACATCTCAACACAGTGATTCTGTCCTTTGCATCCTAATTCTTGTAGGGACTGTCTCTTCACCTGTAGTCAGTGTCCTTCTGGAAGAATAACACCAAAATAGTGACTTTTCACTGGCATTATTTACTTGTTTTGGCATCATGATACGGCTTGGCTCTGTGTCTCCACCCAAATTTCATCTTGAATTGTACTCCCATAATTCCCACGTGTTGTGGGATGGACCTGGTGGGAGATAATTTGAATCTTGGAGGCGGTTTACCACATTCTGTTCTCATGGTAGGGAATGAGTCTCACAAAATCTGATGGTTTTATCAGGATTTTCTTCTTTTGCATCTTGCTCATTTTCTCTTGCCACTGACATGTGCCTTTCACCTCCTGCCATGATTCTGAGACCTCCCCAGCCATGTGGAACTGTAAATCCAATTAAACCTCTTTCTTTTGTAAATGACCCAGTCTTGGGTATGTCTTTATCAGCAACGTGAAAATGGGCTAATGTTTAATAAACTCTTCTATTAATTTCCAGTAAATTTATGTGAAGATACTTTCTGGTTTTGTGTAGACAGTAATAATACCCCCTGCAATGCTTAGTATGTTGAATAAAATACTTAATAGGCATGAATAGTGAACACATGTTTCTTATTTCCGATTCTAAAGAAAAAGTCTATTATTTCACCACTATGTGTGATGTTTGGCTTTTGGTAGATACCCTCAATCTGTTTAAAAACATTCTCCAGGGCCGGGCGCGGTGGCTCACGCCTGTAATCCCAGCACTTTGGGAGGCCGAGGCGGGCGGATCACGAGGTCAGGAAATCGAGACCATCCCGGCTAAAACGGTGAAACCCCGTCTCTACTAAAAATACAAAAAATTAGCCGGGCGTAGTGGCGGGCGCCTGTAGTCCCAGCTACTTGGGAGGCTGAGGCAGGAGAATGGCGTGAACCCGGGAGGCGGAGCTTGCAGTGAGCCGAGATCCCGCCACTGCACTCCAGCCTGGGCGACAGAAAGAGACTCCGTCTCAAAAAAAAAAAAAAAAAAAAAAAAAAATTCTCCATTTTTGTGTTCGTTTGTTTTTAGCACAAATAAATATAGAATTTTTTGAACTGGATTATTTGTATCTATTGAGATTCTTATGTGTTTTTTTCCTTAAATCACTTAACTTGTCCAATTATATTCATAAACTTTTCTAAAGTTAATTTACATTCATTTCTGGAATTAATTCATTCAACATACAGTTATTGACAACCTAGTATGTAAGTCCTGTTTAGGTATGGGAGCTAGGCTGTAAACACGACAGATATGTTTTAACAGAACTCACAATATAACTTTAGGGAAAGACTAGAAATAATTATTTTAAATTGAATAAATATTGTGTAACAGAGTAATAAGTACAATGGAGAAAAACCATAAATCTAACTTGTTCACAATATATCATATATACATTTCTGGATTTGTTCTGTCAATTTTTTTAGAGTATTTACAGTCTCGCGAATGTGCTTTTTTTTTTTTTTTCCTGTTAGAGTTTGTTTTGTTAGGTTTGGATAACAAAATTTCACTCATTTACGAAGTGAGTTTGGGAAAGATACCTTATTTGAATTTAGGTTTGTATTCTGTGTTTGTGTAAATATTATACTGACAATTTGCTTATGTCTTCTCCAATCAAACTAAATAATAAATTTCTCTCCAATATGTTCATATATAGAATGTGCAAATTAATTATCTGTTCTTATGATTCATACCAAGGATTGTAATAATTGAGTAAAATTGTGAATTTCTTATTTAATTCAATATGATTTATTTAATTGCATCTGTTCTTATTTTGGTCATTTGATTTTCTCTGTCAGTGCCCAAAATATTGGACATACTTTCTGTTATCATGTTTATATTCTGCATGAAATTCTGCAATAATATTATGAAATTATTATGTTATGGTTTATTACAAGTGAAAAAAAAATATCACATTATTTTTGGAATGATTGTCTCATGTTGGACATGACTTTGCCAAAAACAGAATCTTGTAGGTTATGCATCAAAAACAGCCTGAACTTAAAAAAAAAAGTTAAAAAAAATCATCAGTATGAACATATAACTCTGTTTTTCTATGTTCCCAAGAAACATTCTTTATTTATTAAGCAACGAATGAAAACATTTAAGTACCATTACTAAACTTTTAGAGGACATTTAAATTTCATTTTTTAAATAAATCTTACTTCTCCATGGCCATCCTTAGGTATGTGCTTACAGACAAGAAGAGTGATGTAATAGAGAAAGAATACTGAACAAAGCCTCAGAAACTTGAGTTCTAGTCAAGGATCGACCCCTTAAACATACGGATAATTTTGTTCAAGTCATTATACTTCTTAGATCTTTTATTTTCTCATTTGTAAAACTGGAAAAAATTAAGATGCAAGTAAAGTGTTATGCTTAAAAAACATAATTTTTCTTATTTTTATATACTTTTTGTTATAAAGCACAGTTATTAAACTAGTATTTAAAATTATAATATTCAATTTAGAATGCATAAATGTATTGATGATATACATTTAATTTACTTAAATGTATTGATATACATCTTAATTTAATTTACAATAAATATGTGATAAAATGGCTACTCTCTGCATCCATTCTACTTTTTTCATCAACTCTATTTTATTCCTAAAACATTTTCAATTTAACAAAAATTATTTGAAATAGAACAAAGTAACTAGGATTTGATTTTTTTTACATATGTGAGAAATATGGGTTGTTGTTCCTTGTACATCAAGGTTTAGACAATTAAAATATTGAGCTGGATTATTTTCTTTTTTTCTTTTTTTAAGGCAGAGTCTTGCTCTATTGCCTAGGCTGGAGTGCAGTGGCAGATCTCTGCTCACTGCAACCTCTGTCTCCTGGGTTCAAGCAACTAATGAGCCTCAGCCTCCCGAGTTAGCTGGGATTACAGGTGCCTGCCCCGATGCCCAGCTAATTTTTTGTGTTTTTAGTAGAGACACAGTTTTGCCAAGTTGGCCAGGCTGGACTTGAACTCCTGGCCTCAAGTGATCTGCTTACCTCAGTCTCCCAAAGTGCTGGAAATACAGATGTGAGCCACTGCATCTGGTTGAAGTGGATGATTTTCAATAAAAGTGATCAATAATTAAATATTCAAATTTCAAATATTATGTCAATTTATCTGAATCAGAAACAAAATTTTTATTTAATGGAGTCTTTGCAATATTTTATTTTCTTTTTTACTCTGAATTTCCTCCATTATGATTTACATGAATTTAGAGTATATTCATATTCTATTTTGCTCTCTCTGTGAAGTATCTTTTTCTATAGAATGTCCAAATTAGTAGCCCTAAAGTCTTTTTCTATTTTCTTGCATTTTGCCTGTTTTCTCAAAAACTTTATTCACCAATTCAGAAAATTTTATTTTATTTTCATATTAAAGCTTTCTATTTGTTTTTGATGATTAGTTCAGAAATGATATGTTTATTGTAGTAAGATAAAATACACAAACATTTAAAATAATATCTGCCTTCATGAAAAATGAAAAACTTGCTATAATATAATTAGTGGATCCTTGTGTGTTAATTTTGAACTTATTACTTTACAATGCTTTATGATTTGTTAATAATAAGTGAAAATTAGTCATAACACAGCAATTAATATTACAATAAAATTGTAAATTTACATAAAGAGCTTGTCAATATCATTCTCATACATTAAAAAATTATCCTGTATGACTGCAATGTGAAATAATTTTTAGGCAATGCACTAACACAATTTAAAGATACTCATCAATGCATACATCAAATAATCATCATTTTTTAATTTAAAATAATTGCTAAAAATTGTAGATTTGCTGGTATTTCTATTATTCATCTCATTCCTCATCTGCAAATAGAGGCAAAACAACATACAGTTGGCTCTCTGTAGCTATGTGTTCTGAATCTGTAAATTCAACTAACCGTATGTGGAAAATATTTAAAAAAAAATAATAGTTGTATCTGTACTGAATATATACAGACTTCTTGCCTTTCACTATCCCTAAACAATAGAGTTATAACTATTTATATAGCATGTACATTGCCTTAGGTATTATAATTAATCTAGACATAATTTAAAGTATATGGGAGGATATTATAGACTATATGCAAATTATACAGCAATTTACATGAGGACTTGAGCTTTTGTCCATGTTGGTATCCACTCAGGTTCCTGAAACAAATCCCTAAGGAATACCTACACACAATTATATACTATCTCAATAGTATAAAATTGACTCCCTTTTGTGGAAAATAGCCCTAATGTATCTATCTATTGAAAACTCCATCTGCTAGAAAATTGTTATAATAAATTTATAAATTGTATAATGAATATGAAAATTGTCCCTCTTTGGATTTAATAAAATTATAAAACAACAACGATTAGTTTTAAAATAATAAAGAAGTTCATTCTATGCCTAGTGCATCTTGCAATGTTACACTCATATGCAGGGCACAAGGAGAAGGGCCTTTCATGAGTGCTCCTACTCTGAGACTGGTTAAAAGACCGTTTCTACAACAAATCCATGCATGCTGTTTCAGGAAATTAGATAATTCCTGTTTCAATTTTTCAGAAAAATATCCAGGGTTGGTTTGCATTATTTATCTGGATAGGAGATTAGCCACTCTCTGCAGTACATAAAGCTCAAATATACTCTCTTAATTTTAAAACAAAAAAAAAAGATAGTGTTCTGTATGATTTTTGAGTCACAGAATTGTGGCACTTTGAAAACAGATGATCCCAAGTTCTCAAAAGCTCAGAACCATGTAGCATCGTATAGCTCACCAATTAAATGTCATAGGTTTATACGAAGACTCATTTACTAAACAGATAACTGTTAATGTAGATGTGTTTATAGATGCCATAGAATGCATTGCTACACAGAGAACAAAGATTTCAGTATCCTCCCTGTTTGCCAAAGTTAAGGTTAACATTTTTATTTATTCATTTAAATTTTGGACATGGAGAAAAAGGTATATGGTCAAGTGACCCCCAGTCAATCTTGATGAGTAAGAACCTGAAGATACCATGGAAAGGAAATCAGATTGTCAGTGCAAGTAAGAGTGTGGAATAAAATTGCTGGTGCAGGGCCGGGGAATATATTTAATAACTTTTTCTTCTTTCATTGTCCATTTTTTTATAACATGTTCTTTATCATCGAGATTGTGTCACTCAACTTTGAGTTTGGCACATAAGACGTGAATTTTATTTTCACTAATTAGAGGAAAAAGAGTCTAATGGGAAGAAACAGCAACCACAACAAAAGATAAATCAGCCATATACTATAAGAAAGAAAGCTGGTATAGCCATGCAGATTTCAAATGGAAAATCATTATGTGAGATTAAAAATTTCAAATTAGCAAGAAGTCATAATAAATACATTTTTAAATTAACCTGTTAAATAAGTGCAAATATACAAACAAAATCTAGAAGGTAGAAATTAGCAAATCTGCCATTATGTGAGATAGATATTAATACACAGATTTTTATTGATAATGCATAGGACAAAAGATTTTACATTTAATAAGAATACAGGAAATTTGAAAAATAAATTAGAATCTCAATTTAAGGGATATATATATTCATATATCATATAATCAACTCATTTTAATGTATATTTTAATGTAATTTAATTATGTATATAATTATGTATAATTATATAAATATGTAATTACAATTACATATAATGTAATTGTATACAATTACATTATATACAATTACAAATACATTATACAATTACATTAAATGCAATTTATATACATTAAATTCAAAATACATTTAAATACAATTAAATTTATGTTTTAAAGCCTTAATCACCAGTAACTCAGAATGTCACTGTATTTGGAGAGATCTCTCTCCAAATACAGTGACATTCTGAGTTACTGGTGATTAAGGCTTTAAAACATAAATTTAGTGGTGGTAGGGGCGCACAATTTAGCCCAGAACAAGAAGAAAGGCTGTAAATTAATAAGCAATGTGTCCTACTTAAGAAATTACAAAACAATCAATAATGCTACCTATACAAGAAGTAGAGAAGATAATAAAGTACAGAAAATCAATGAAATATAAATAAAAGATAAATGGGAGACATTTTTTAAAAGACATATCTTTGAAAAGACTAAAAATAGTAAATATAAGTAAACATTTAGCACAATTGTTTGAGGAACACAGATGGCATAAATAAATAACATTAAGAATAAAAAAAGGAACACAAACTGTAAGGAACTTATTTCATCCACACACTTCTGTAAAGTATTGTCCATTAATTATTATTGGTGAATTGCATCTTTGCACTTCAATGAAATTCTGCCTTTCATTTGATAACTAGGTTAGATATTCCTACTAGCTTATTCACTAATCACATTATTATATTATAATTTTCTGCTTATCCCTATTTTAAATAGACCATAACAGATAAAATCAAAGTGTTGAGTGTTTTTACTTTTTTGAGACGGAGTTTCGCTCTTGTGGCCCAGGCTGAAGTGCAGTGGCATAATCTCGGATCACTGCAACCTCTGCCTCTCAGGTTCCAGTGCTTCTCCTGCCTCAGCCTCCCAAATAGCTGGGATTACAGGCAAGCACCACCACGCCCGGCTAATTTTGTATTTTTAGTGGAGATGGGGTTTAGTGTGTGTGTGTGTGTGTGTGTGTGTGTGTGTGTGTGCGCGCGCGCGCGCGCGTGTGTGTTTTATAGCTATCAGTGCAGTATGTCTTCTGTCTTTTATAGTGTCTTCCGAAATGTCCTATTATCTTTAGCTTCACCTCTCACTATTTGCTTGACATTTATGGATTAGTAGAAACCTCTGTTCCTTGGTAAATACATGCCCTGCTCCTTCACAGTGTGGGCCATTTGTTTCTCCTGCTGCTCACGTAAAAGCCTGGGAAAGATGTTCTTCCTTCTTCCTTTTACCAGTTCAATATCACATTCTCTCTCCTCCTTTAAAACCTCTAGGTCCCTCTAATTGCACATTACCTGATAATAGCAACCCCTGTACTTCATTGTTGATGTCAATTTATTATCATTCCTGATGCAGCTTGTTACTTGTTGAGGATTTTACCACTGAGCACGTGACTGACTCCACATTTATGACTGTCCCCATTTTTGGTGACTTCAATTATTGGATGCTCTGAATAACCCACATAACATCCAGTGCCTAAATATTCTAAACCTCATCATGTCCAATGTTCTGTTACTCCACCTTAATTTGACCAACCTCAGGGTCATAACATTGATCTTGTCATAATCATATTACTTCTGAAATATCAGGTCTAAATATTGAAATTTCTCACACCACTCTCTGTTCTTCCACTTTTCTGTCTGCTCCAACAATCTTTCTGTCTCATTGAGAAGTTGTCTCCATTGGCCTGTGCTATTTTTCCATCAAATATCATCCTAAAGTCATTATTTTTTTCTGTACTCATTTCAGATTTTGTAGTGTGTTATTATGATAATGACTTTAATAGTATTCTTAAATTCCTTGGCTTTTTCTTTTTCAACAGACAGCGTGTTTCACTTTGTCATGCAGGCTGGAGTTCAGTGGATGGAATGCAATTGTAGCTCACTGTAGCCTTGAATTCTTGGGCTCCAGAGATCCTCCTGCCTCAGTCTTCCGAGTAGCTAGGACTAGAGGCTCATTCCACTGTGCTTAGCTAATTTTATTTTTTATTTTTGTAGAAACGCAATCTCATTTTTTGTCCAGACTGGTCAAACTCCTGGCCTCAAGTAATCCTCCCTCTTTGGCCTCCCAAAGTGCTGGGATTATAGGCATGAGCCACTGTGTTCAGCCCCCTTTTTCTACCTCTGTTGCATTTACCCAGAAACACTAAATCTACTTAAAGTTCAGTACCTCCTTCTCTGGACCTGTACACAAGCAACTACCCAGGACTAAAGAGACCATCAAAGGGAGCTTACCAATCACAGTTCAGACTCACCGCCTCAAATATCGAATGAGCAATCAACATTGTCAGGCAATCTCATTCCACTCCTTTCTCATGTTCATTCCAAATAATAATTTATACCTTCCAATCTCTCCTAAAATATGAAACATCCCATCTCTTCTCCCCACAATTGGAAGCAATTGGAAGAAATCACTTCTACCTTTTTTCTACCCTACAATCTTACCTGCATTTCCTCTCCCACTCAGAGAATGGGAGAATGAGGGAGAAGTGTTTTCTTTCTATTACAAGAAATGACATTTCAACAAGTGGATCAATGTACAAACTTTTCATTGATATTCTGGATTCCATTACTTCTAGCTTTCTCAAGGTGTTATTACTGTTATTTCCCCTTTGACCTAAATATTGATTTTCTCCATTTTCCTTAGTTCATTCCCAGTGGTACATAAACATGCTTAAGATTTACCATTTTAAAAATAAACAATGACAAAAACTCTACGTATATGCCCATCAACTCTATTATCTCTCTCATCCCTTTCCTAGTAAAACCTTTCAGAGCATTGTTTATTATTGCTACTCTGCTTTTCTTTCCTGTGTCTCTTCTTGATCTCAGCAAGTTTCCATTTAAAACATTCTTCTTCCTGGAGATTCTCAGCAACCTTCAGGCTGCCACATCTAAAAGCCAATTTTTATCATCATGTTTCCTCTATTTGCAGCATTCAATATAGAGACCTACTTTCTACTTCTTTGGCCACATTCTCTCTTACATTTAAAGACAGTGTATGCTTTAATTTTTCCCCTTAATTTACTTTCTTTTCTTTGTAATCCTCTTTTGCTAGTGCTTTCTTTTCTGTTTCAATTCTGAATATGGGACTCTAACAATATCATATTAAAATTGGAATAGTTTATAATGATCTTTAATCCTCCTTTCTTTCCACATTTTATGCATTATCAATAGCAGCAATCATAACAGCAGAGAAACTTCCACAATTAGATAATTTGTCCTATATGTTAGACATTGCCAGTCCTTTATTAATATTAACACGCTCATTCAATCTGTATTTCAGTGATTCCCATCTTATCTCTAGCCACGGTCTGCTGAAGTTAAGTATCATAAATCTCACTTACACTGCCATCTGTATAGGATATTTAGTTGCTTTCTCAAAATTTTGACATTTCTAAGACCCTAACCAAAATCAGACCCTCTACCATTCTTGTTCATATACACAGATACTTAATCCGAAGAACTAGGATTCAAATTTGATTCCTCTCTCTCTCTCTTTTTTGAATGTAAGTCTATAAAGAGTTTCATTGGATTGATCTCAAAAATGTATTCTGAATTTCTCCATATTGTTCCATTGCCTTTTTTTCTCCTTGTTCTAAAACACTTATCATCTCTAGTCTGAACCACCTAAATTATCTCAAAACTTCCTGATTTATTTTTAACTCCTGTATAATCTATTCCACATAGAGTATCCAAAGTAAGCTTGCTATCTCTCTCTTTTTCTTTTAGAACATAAGTTATGCCACATGGTTGCCCTACTAAAAAGCCACAATTGATTCCAATCACCCATAGAATAACATTTAAGCCTCTTGCATGACCTGTAAGGAGTTTATGTGAATATTCCCTGGATTGACTCCTTATCCTCCACTAATATTTCTAATCTTCATCTTGGAAAGCTGCAGCCACACAGGTCTTTTTCTTTTAGCTGAACACAAAAAGTTTGTTCCTGCCTTAAGTCTTTTGCAATTTCTTGATGACTTTCTCCTAGAATATTCTTTCTCATATCTTTTCTCATCTGTCTCCTTTTCCAATTCAAGTTTAAAATGTAACGTTACTGCCTCATGGAATTTTTCTCTGACATTTCAAAGTAAATCAGCCTCTTTCCTTGTCCTGGTCATCATATTCCTCTGCTTTTTCAATCTAGTACTCACTACTATCTGATACCATCATATTTAAAACTCTCAATAACATCATTAGATAAAGATTATTATGACTGTCCTTATATAGAAGTTGAAATTGTACTTCAGGTTTGTTGAATAAATTATCTAAGATTAATATTTAATCAGCAGTGCTCTTTGTTTTCCAAAATTATTATTATTGCAATTTGCCACTTTGACTTCCCAAATTAGATCTCTCTCTCTGCCTCTCTCTGTCTCTCTTCTACTCACTCTCTCTCTCTCACACACACACACACACACACCCAAAAATATTTACTTTACTTTACTCAAGCAGATCTAGGCAAGCCTGCTTTATTTTGAGAAGTAAAGTGCTCCATGCAATGCATCTTTACATCTTTGTAAATAAGAGAACCACTCAAACTTCGTTCAAGATATAATCAATAACTCTGATTTCTAGATATCAGTCTTTCAGTCTTAAGTTAGGTAACTCTCAGATGCTTAGGTTAAATCACTAAGCCCACCTAATATTACTGGGGCTAGAGTTATAAAGTTGAAATGTAGACCAAATTCCACATATGTATGTTTACATACTTTTAAACTGCCTTCAGTGTGATTGCATAGGGGACTGAGTAATCTTTTAGCTGAAAAATGCATGTATGCGTGTATTTGTAATATTAAGAGGTAGGGATGAGAAGATAAAGGGGTGTGAAGAATTTGAAAGGCCACAACAATTTAGCAAACAATAAGTCCTTAATCAGAAACACATGGTTTTCCATACCATGTGTAAAACATTAAAAAGAGAAAGGACGGAAAAGCATGATAGTGGGTATTGTGTTACAGTATTGAAAAAAAAATATATGTTTTGCTTCAATAATACTTATAGTAAAAATAAAAGCTATTTTTTGGAATAAACAGTTTAATTATTGTATTTATTTCTGGATATATGTTTGCTTTGTATGCATTAAATACTTTGTAAAACATTCACATCTGAGTGCACAGATCACTTCTCAGTTTAGCTCATAGACTCCTCAAGTTACAAAAATGCTTTGATGCATCAGGTAGTTTAACAAAGAAGTTCTCTATTTTTTTTTTCTTTTTTTTTGAGACCGAGTCTTGCTCTGTCGCCCAGGCTGGAGTGCAGTGGTGCAATCTTGGCTCACTGCAACCTCTGCCTCCTGGATTCAAGCGATTCTCATGCCTCAGCCTCCCGAGTAGCTGTGATTACAGGTGCCCACCACCACACCTGGCTAATTTTTGTATTTTTAATACAGACAGGGTTTCACCATGTTGGCCAGGCTGATCTCGAACTCCTGACCTCAAGTGATACCCCGACCTTGGCTTCCCAAAGTGCTGGTATTACAGGTGTGAGCCACTGTGCCCGGATCCTAATAATCTTTAGATATTTTTTAAAAATAGGCAATAATATTTCATACACTTTAAAGATAGTTTTTTGTTGTTGTTGGGGCAGGTTGGGGCAGGGGTTCTTATTTATCATTATTTTTAATTAACAGTCTTCCCTGTCTAAGAGAAAAGCTCCAGAAATTTATTTTAATACCTACCATTAGATAATACAGCAGACTGCCTTCTAAAATGGCCTGTAACCATTTACATCTACTATAATTTGCACCTGTTGTAATTCCTCTTTTCAATTTTTTAAATTTTTAATTAAAAAGTTACATTTGCTTTTTAAATTTACAAGTACAAATTGTTTGTATTTATGGCATTTAACATGATGTTTTGATCTATGTAGACATTGTGCAAGGGCTAAATAAAGATACTTAAAATATGCATCACCTGACATACGTATCATTTTTGTGTGACAAGAACACTTAAAATCTACTATCTCATATATTGTCAAGTATACAATATATTGTTATTAACAATTGTCATTGTGATGTTCAGTAGATCTCTTGAATTTCTTCCTCCTGTCTAACTGAAATTTTGCATTCCTCCTCGTCAGTGTGGGCTGGATCTAGTGACTTGCTTTCAGCAAACTGAATATAATAAATGTGATTGGATATCACTTCTAAAATTAAATAGTACAAGACGATGACTTCTGTCTTGTTAGCAATCTTTCTTTTGCTTGTTCTCTCTGCTTGATTGTTCTGATAAAGCAAGTTGTCCTATG